>NC_000001.11:153184587-154434587 GCF_000001405.40 Homo sapiens
TTAAGGAGTTTTTGGGCTGAGAAAATGGGGTTTTCTAAATATACAATCATGTCATCTGCAAACAGAGACAACTTGACTTCCCCTCTTCCTGTCTGAATGCCTTTTATTTCTTTCTCTTGCATGATTGCCCTGGCCAGAACTTCCAATACTATGTTGAAATAGGAGCGGTGAGAGAGGGCATACTTGTCTTGTGCAGGTTTTCAAAGGTAATCCTTCCAGTTTTTGCACATTCAGTATGATACTGGCTATGGGTTTGTCATAAATAACTCTTACTATTTTGAGATATGCTCCATCAATACCTAGTTTATTGAGTGTTTTTATCGTGAAGGGGTGTTGAATTTTATTGAAGGCCTTTTCTGCATCTATTGAGATAATCATGTGGTTTTTATCATTGGTTCTGTTTATGTGATGGATTACATTTATTGATTTGCGTATGTTGAACTGCCCTTGCATCCCAGGGATGAAGCTGACCTGATTGTGGTGGATAAGCTTTTTGATGTGCTGCTGGATTCAGTTTGCCAGTATTTTATTGAGGATTTTCACATCGATGTTCATCAGGAATATTGGCCTGAAATTTTCTTTTTTTGTTGTGTCTCTGCCAGGTTTTGGTATCAGGATGATGCTGGCCTCATAAAATGATTTAGGGAGGATTCCCTCTTTTTCTATTGTTTGGAATAGTGTCAGAAGGAATGGTACCAGCTCCTCTTTGTACCTCTGGTAGAATTTGGCTGTGAATCCTTCTGGTCCTGGGCTTTTTTTTTTTTTTTGTGGTTAGTAGGCTATTAATTATTGCCTCAATTTCAGAACTTGTTATTGGTCTACTCAGGGATTCGACTTCTTCCTGGTTTAGACTTGGGAGTGTGTAATGTGTCCAGGAATGCATCCATTTCTCCTATATTTTCTAGTTTATTTGCGTAGAGGTGTTTATAGTGTTCTCTGATGGTAGTTTGTATTTCTGAGGGATCAGTGGTGATATCCCCTTTATCATTTTTTATTGTGTCTGTTTGATTCTTCTCTCTTTTCTTCTTTGTTAGTCTGGCTAGCAGTCTATCTATTTTGTTAATCTTTTCAAAAAACCAGCTCCTGGATTCATTTTTTTGAAGGGTTTTTCATGTCTCTATCTCCTTCAGTTCTGGTCAGATCTTAGTTACTTCTTGTCTCCTGCTAGCTTTTGAATTTGTTTGCTCTTGCTTCTCTAGTTCTTTTAGCTATCATGTTAGGGTGTCGATTTTAGATCTTTCCTGCTTTCTGATGTAGGCATTTAGTGCTATAAATTTCCCTCTTTATGCTGCTTTAGCTGTGTCCCAGAGATTCTGGTACATTGTGCCTTTGTCCTCATTGGTTTCAGAGAGCTTATTTATTTCTGCCTTAATTTCATTATTTACCCAGTAATCATTCAGGGGCAGGTTGTTCAGTTTCCATGTAGTTGTTCAGTTTTGAGTGAGTTTCTTAATCCTGACTTTTAATTTGATTGCACTGTGGTCTGAGAGACTGTTTGTTATAATTTCCATTCTTTTGCATTTGCTGAGGAGTGTTTTACTTCCAATTATGTGGTCAATTTTAGAATAAGTGCATTGTGGTGCTGAGAGGAATGTACGTTCTGTTGATTTGGGGTGAAGAGTTCTGTAGATGTCTATTAGGTCTGCTTGGTCCAGACCTGAGTTCAAGTCCTGAATATCCTTGTTAATTTTCTGTCTCATTCATCTGTCTAATACTGATAGTGGGGTGTTAAAGTCTCCCACTATTATTGTGTGAGAGTCTAAGTCTCCTTGAATGTCTCTAAGAACTTGCTTTATGAATCTGGGTGCTCCTGTATTGGGTGCATATATATTTAGGATAGTTAGCTCTTCTTGTTGCATTGATCCCTTTACCATTATGTAATGTCTTTCTTTGTATTTTTTGACCTTTGTTGGTTTAAAATCAGTTTTATCAGAGACTAGAATTGCAATCCCTGCTCTTTTTTTTTCTATTTGCTACATCCCTTTATTTTGAGCCTATGTGTGTCTTTGCAAGTGAGATGGGTCTCCTGAATACAACACACCAATGGGTCTTGACTCTTTATCCACTTTGCCAGTCTGTGTCTTGTAATTGGGGCATTTAGCCTATTTACATTTAAGGTTAATATTGTTATGTGTGAATTTGATCCTGTCATCATGATGCTAGCTGGTTATTTTACACATTAGTTAATACAGATTCTTCATAGTGTCGTTGGTCTTTATATTTTGGTATCTTTTTGCAGTGGCTGGTACCATTTTTTCCTTTCCATATTTAGTGCTTCCTTCAGGAGCTCTTGTAAGGTTGGCCTGGGGGTGACAAAATCACTCAGCATTTGCTTGTCTGTAAAGGATTTTATTTCTCCTTCACTTATGAAACTTAGTTTGGCTGGATATGAAATTCTGGGTTGAAAATTCTTTTCTTTAGGAATGTTGAATATTGGCCCCCACCCTCTTCTGGCATGTAGGGTTTCTGCAGAGATACACTATTAGTCTGATGGGCTTCCCTTTGTAGGTAACCTGACCTTTCTCTCTGTCTGCCCTTAACATATTTTTTATTTCATTTCAACCTTGGAGAATCTGACAATTATGTGTCTTGGGGTTGCTCTTCTCAAGGAGAATCTTAGAGGTGTTCTCTGTATTTCCTGAATTTGAATGTTGGCCTGCCTTGCTAGGTTGGGAAAGTTCTCCTCGATAACATCCTGAAGTGTGTTTTCCAACTTGGTTCCATTCTCCCCGTCACTTTCACATACACCAATCAATCGTATGTTTGCTCTTTTCACATAGTCCCATATTTCTTGGAGGCTTTGTTTGTTCCTTTTCATTCTTTTTTCTCTAATCTTGTCTTCATGCTTTATTTCATTAAGTTGATCTTCAATCTCTGATATCCTTTCTTCTGCTTGATCAATTCAGCTATTGATACTTGTGTATGCTTCACAAAGTTCTCGTGCTGTGTTTTTCAGCTCCATCAGGTCATTTATCTTCTTCTCCAAACTGGTTATTCTAGTTAGCAATTCCTGTAGCCTTTTATCAAGGTTCTTAGCTTTCTTGCATTGGGTTAGAACATGCTCCTTTAGCTCAGAGGAGTTTGTTATTACCAACCTTCTGAAGCCTACTTCTGTCAATTCATCAAATTCATGCTCCATCCAGTTTTATGCCCTTGTTGGAGAGGAGTTGTGATCATTTGGAGGAGAAGAGGCATTCTTGGTTTTGGAATTTTCAGCATTTTGGGGCTGGTTTTTCCTCATCTTCATGGATTTATCCGCCTTTGAGCTTTAATGCTGACGCCCTTTGGATGGGGTTTTTGAGTGGGTGTCCTTTTTGTTGATGTTGATGTTATTGCTCTCTGTTTGTTAGTTTTCCTTCCAACAGTCAGGCCCCTCTTCTGCAGGTCTGCTAGAGTTTGCTGGAGGTCCACTCCAGACCCTGTTTGCCTGGGTATTACCAGTGGAAGCTGCAGAACAGCAAAGATTGCTGCCTACTCCTTCCTCTGGAAGTTTCATCCCACAGGGGTACCTGCCTGATGCCAGCCAGAGCTCTCCTGTATGAGGTATCTGTCGACCACTCCTGGGAGGTGTCTCCCAGTCAGGAGGCACAGGGGTCAGGGACCCACTTGAGGAGGCAGTCTGTCCCTTAGTAGAGCTTGAGCACTGTGCTGGGAGATCTGCTGCTGTCTTCAGGGCTGGCAGGCAGGAAATTTTAAGTCTGCTGAAGCTGCACCCACAGCCACCCCTTCCCCCAGGTGCTCTGTCCCAGGGAGATGGGAGTTTTATTTATAAGCTCCTGACTGGGGCTGCTGCCTTTCTTTCAGAGATGCCCCACCCAGTGAGGAGGAATTTAGAGAGGCAGTCTGGCCACAGCCGCTTTGCCATGCTGTGGTGAGTTTGGCTTCCTTAACACTGTAAGGGGAAACGGCCTACTCAAGCCTCAGTAATGCTAGACACACCTCCCCACACCAAGCTCAATCCCAGGTCAACTTCAGACAGCTGTGCTGGCAGCAAGAATTTCAAGCCAGTGGTTCTTAGCTTGCTGGGCTCCATGGGACCCGCTGATCAAGATCACTTCGCTCCCTGGCTTCAACACCCTTTCCAGGAGAGTGAACAGCTCTGTCTCACTGGGGCACCAGGCACCACTGGTGTATGAAAAAAAACTCCTGCAGCTAGCTCAAGGTCTGCCCAAACAGCCACCTAGTTTTGTGCTTGAAACCCAGGACCCTCATGGTGTAGGCACACGAGGGAATACCCTGGTCTGTGGGTTGCCAAAACCATGGGTAGTATCTGGGCCGGGTAGCACAGTCCCTCACGGCTTCCTTTGGCTAGGGACGGTAGTTCCCCACCCCTTTGCACTTCCCGGGTGAGGCAACGCCCCACCCTGCTTCTGCTCACCCTCCATGGGCTGCACCCAATGTCTAACCAGTCCCAATGAGATGAACCAGGTACCTCAGTTGGAAATGCAGAAATCACCTGCCTTCTGCGTTGGTCTTGCTGGGAGCTCCAGACCAGAGCTGTTCCTATTCAGTCATCTTGCCAGCTCTCTTTAAGAAATTTTTTATCTATGTTCTTGAAAGAGGTTCACCAAAGTTTTTCTTTTACATTTGAAATTTTTATATTGTTTTCTTCTACTTCAACTTGAATTTCCATTTTACTTCTTTATGACATTTTTAGTGTAACATATGCTTAAATATATTTATTGACTACTCTCTTTGAAAGAATGTGTAAGTACATTGAAATTGAAATATTTGTCTATTATTCCCTATGGTTATAAGGCTCTGTGTTTATAAATTCTTCTAAGTCAGACATCATTATACTTATTAGGATTAATAATAATTATTGTTCATTTTACCAAATAAAATATACTTATATTTTATAGATAATTATATTTAAAGTTTTATTAGAAACATTTAATGAACTTATAAGAGCTGTCTCTTTTTTGTTTTCAATTACTTCATAGAACCATAGAAAATATTATCTGTTGATAGTTTCCATCTTTTTATATGTAAGTAACTAAGGAAACTTGTTTATGTGGCTACTCAAGTTGGGTTTCCTGGCAGAGATGAGGGAGATTGCCAGAACATACAATTTAGTATGCTCCCAGATTCTAACACATAAGATGGGCCATGACAAGGGATACTAATGTTCCTGAAGAAGTAATGATCAAGTTGTAAGTCATAGGGGTAGTACAGAAGGTCCAGGGAAGTTGCCAAGGTGGGATGAGTAAGGAGAAAAAATGCCTTAGGAACAGGGGACACAGAGTCAAAGAAAGGACGATACCAACTCCTGGGAGGGGCAGACACTGCAGTTCCTAGCCATCTGTGGGGCAGCCCCACAAAAGCCTCCTGTAGGGTGGGCAGTCTCAGGAGCGAGTGCAATGGGGATGTCTTGTCACTGACATTAAAGAAAGGGGTGATGAGAGAGGGTGTTTCTCCCTTGTGGTATTTTGGGGAATAATCTTCTTCACTGATGTTGTCTTATACTAAAGTACTTTCTTCTTTCTCTCAGTTTACTTTCAACTAGGGAAAATTTCCTAGCAGCAGCAGAAATAAGGCAAAGTCCCCTGCCAGCACCACTCCCAACTCAGGTCCCACAGCCCTGTCCTCCCCAGGTGCCTGAGCCCTGTCTCCCACCCTTCATACAGTAGAAGTCCAGCTGTTAATACCACTTATGCCAGCAAGACTGCGCAGCAAAGCAGAAATGACCCTCAGAAGCCACCTTCTCTGACCTGGACAAGAGGATACTGCATCCCCCGCCCACTTCCATCCCCTTACTTCCAGCAATAATAGGGACCACCACACAACCTAGAAGATGCTACCTGTCTTCAGATTCAAGATGGAAGATATTGTCATAGTCTACTGGGGTCTCCTCCCTGAATCTACAGCCCCTCCCAGCTTTTCACCCAGGAGACAACATGGTTTAGACAGAGTGCCACGTTTTCAAACCTTCCACCTGTGATCCAAATATGCCATATTTCCACCGGCTACCTTCTCTACCACACTGCCTTCTGCTGGCTATATGAGATTCCTGCAAGAACACAGAACATTCACATCTCTGCCTCAATGGAATTCAAAAACTTCATTAACGTTTCTAGGAGCAAACATTGTTTAAAAAAATTAACACATGAAAACTGCTTAAATCAATGAAAAATTTGCCAGAATTCTTTACAGCACAACTCCACATTCTTTGATGAAGACAATCACATTGTCTGTTTGTATTTTCTCCCTAATAATCTCCATAAATCCTAACAAAGCTCACCCCTTCCTCTGGACTTTGAACCTATTCCAAGACCTATGATGTTTTTTTTTTCTCTCTCTGCTTCCCAATCAAACATATGTATCCCTGACTGGTCATGTCTCTGCTCTTTGCTGGAGATGTAAAAAAGTCAAGAGAGACAAAGTCACAGAGAGACAAAGGACAAATGGAGGAAAGTGGAGACTGAATGGTAAATCCTTGGAAGGACCCTAGAGGCAATCAGGGGCCACCCAAGAGTGACAAGGGGACCTGGTTCAAGTCAGAAGGTCTTCTTTTTCCCTCTGGTTGCCCAGTCTCAGTCTCTGATTTCAGCTGCCTCCAGACCCACCTCTACATGAGGCACCTATCCATTTCTGATTAGGGACTCGCCATGCAAGGAAGGTGAGGAGAGTACACAAAGGAGCCATCAGTGTCAGGGCTGCAGGAGGGATGAGCATGTGACAGGCCCTGCAAGGTTCATAGATGTGTGAGTGCTCAGCATCTGGGACCAGAATTGTGAGCCTGGCTCTGCACAGAGCCCAGTCTGTTGGGGATGGACCCCAGAGACAGTTATTACTGCAGCAGTTCTCACACTACTTGGCCTTGAAAATAATTTACACACTTAAGATTATTAAGGACCCTAAGTAGATTTTATTCATGTGATTTACATCTATTGATATTTCTTGTATTAAAAATTAAAACTAGAAAATAACACATTTTACATAAGTAGATATTGCACTAGCTGGCAGAGTGATGATGTCATTGCATATCATCTACTCTCCGGAAAATTCTACCATAGACTAATGAAAAAATATGAGTAAAAAAGTCAAATAATGTCAGCATTATGATTAAAATTGTTTTGATCTCACTGACCCTACTGAATGCATCTCAGGGACCCCAAGGTTCCCACACCACACTTTGACAACCACTGGTCTAGGGCATGATTGTAGGCCAGGTCTCCAGGGTCTCAGAGCACAACACACCACAGTAGCACAAGTCTCAAAGGGTTGAGGACATTCTCCTTGGTCTCAGCTTACTTGTGGGTTTTATTTATGCCTGTTGTTTAACTATCCAGCTAAATTAAGTTCTGACCTTTAATTCAATAATCATTAATCAGAACCAATTTAGCACTGCTAAATTGAGTTCTGTACCATTATTCAACAACCATTGACAACAACAGCTAGAAAGCATCTAGTTTATAAAACCTGAAGACAAAGAGAATAAGACACTGAGGCTCACTAGAGAAGCCTCCTCGGTTGTCTCCTGCAGCAGTGGGGACACACATGTGCTGCATGAACCATTAGGCTGATCTGACGAGGGCTTCTATTAGGCACAGAGGGCATGTGGGATGATGTATTGAATGTATGTCTTCATAAGGGACAGCCTTGAATTATGTGCAGGCTTGTGGAAGCTGAGGAAGAAGGCAGAGCAGAGGATGTCTCCTGGGTTCCTATCTGGGTTTCTTCCTTGGGTTCCTAAGTGCAACTGGCAGGAGTTTCCTTGGGAGCTAATCATATTCAGTGATTATGGAAGTTTGAATCTAATCATATTATATCCCAGTTCTCCTCCCACCAGCCACACAATAGCCTCTCCCTTATTTCCATGGAGGCAAAACCACATCATAGTCAATTGAAAAATATACCTGAAGGATAAAAAATTTCAAGAACAATCAAGAGTGGAGATGGAAGAGAAAGGATAAGAACTAATTTTATAGTAGGATTGGGAAGGTCCCCCCAAATTGCACCCACTTCCCTTTTGCCTAGTCAAGATTATAGGTTCCTGGGTCCCTTCACTGTGCACAGGAATGTACCTGCTGGTTGATTTCAGACTGAAACAAAGAGTAGAGCTTCTGGTTCTTGTTCTAAATCTTGTTATTAAACTCTTCTCCTGGGCCTAAATTTTTCTCAAGCTCTTTGCATTGTAGGTATGTAGAATATATTTTTCTCTACAATTTCCACAGCTTAAAGTCTTTTTGTTTAAGTTTAGCAGGCAGAATTTCTTAAATAAACTTTAAGCTGACACTACTGCCTGTGTAGGTAAGAACCCCCATCCATCATCCACTGTCCGGCCCCAAACCACTGATGTGTTTCTAGCACCACCACCTGGGAACTGGTGGTATCAAAAGATCAGAGCTACCTGGGCTATGCCTTGGCAAGGAGCACAAGGTGCGTCCTTTGTGAGGCACACACTAGGACTAGGTTTCCATTTCTTTATTTTGAGAGATTAGGTAAACCTTCTCCTTGTCCGCTGACCAGCCCAGGAAGTCTTGGTGGTGAAGAGAAGAAAAGGATGTAGCTTTTCTTACATCCAATAAGATAAACAAATGCAGCTAGAGGACAAAAGACTGGATAAACTGCCACAGGATGGTCGATATGCATTGACCTAGAAAGAGACAGAATCCCCTCTACATCATTCCTGGAGGTGACAGCTCCCCAGGAGGTTTTCTGTGACCCACTCACCCCCACCGATCATCCAAATGGATTTCCACAGCACGCTGAACAAACTTCAGCCATATTTCCCCACACTTAGCTCTGTGCCTCAACATCAGTGACCACACTCACTCTTGCCTAGACTGCAGAGTATTTGTCCAGGTTGCTCTGTATCTTCATTCCCTATGCTGCCCTCAAACATGTGCATGCACACACACTCACACGCACACACATGCACACATGAGGACACAGGCATGCATATGCACACACAGGGTCTAGCCTCTGGGAGAGGCTCAATGACTTTAAACTTCATTTAATCCTAAAGAGCAGAGCTAGAGGTGGTGTGAGTTAATGTTAAGCGATTTCATTTCAAGTCTCCGAAAGAGATGGTGGGATTGGGGTGGGGGCATATGAAAGATGCTAAACACCCAGCCCAGGAATCCTTATAGAAGAACTGTTTCCTGGAGATGAGGAGCTCAGCAAGTCCATTCTGCTTGTCTCCTCTCAGACACCAGGAAGTCCCAAAGACCTGAGGTGCTGCTGAGTAAATTAGACCTGCCTCCATATCCCTTTCTCTCACTCCCACATCTCCATCCAGGGCAGCTATCAAACTGGAACCCCACTGGGGGCTTAGAGCAATCATACCTCCTCAGGTCTATGAGGGCTGCATGGACACCAGAGCCCCTTGCACACTTCCTGGCCACCATGCTCCAGCCCACAAGATGACAGCTGTAGATGAAGAAACCAAAGACACAGATCACAGACATGATTCTCTTCGACCTGAGCTGGAACTTAACTTTCTTGGATCCCATGCTTTGCTCCTCCTTCTGCATCATCTTGAGCTTGTACCCAGGCTAGGGTAAAAAAGGCCTGGGAATTTTACTCTTTCTGATGTTCAATTCTGATTCAATGATACAATGTCAAACTGACATGTATTAACCTCCTGAAAAAAAAAGAGAGATCAGATTTTAAAGTAACTAGGAATAGCATAGATGAAGAAGAGAAACAGTCAATAATAGGAGAAAAGACAAAATGTCTGCATAACTATTAATAGAATATATCAAAACACAGGAAAATTTGCATGACATTCTAAAAGTCATTTAGTCCTGCCTCCCATCAAATTATTCTCCACCAAAAGGCCTTCAAAAGATTAGTTGGCACTTCATTAAACACTTGCTGGGCCAGACAGTTGATAAACTTAGGAAGTGCTGCTACTGGCCTGAGAAGAGGGTGTTAGCAACTTCTTCCTTACCTCCTGCCACTTCCACCCACACGTGCTGCTCCCACTCTCTGGAACTTTTGGGAGCATGTCTTCATAAGGTACAGCCTTGAATTATGTGCAGGCTTGTGCTCCCTCCTCCAAACTTTTCCTTCCTCAGACTAAAACTCCCCTACTCCACTTTCCATTTTTTAACAGGCACTCTATCTTGGTGCTTCCCAAACTTTTTGCTTTTTTTCTGAATCATTGCAATGTGAGAATGATTGTCTCAGACAGCAGCATCCGTAACCAGCCTCAGCCCTCTGAGTTTGGAGTAGACATGGGCAGGCATCGGCTCCTTGGTGCAGCCCCAGAGATACTCCCCTTGGCTGAGTGCTGTGCTCCAATGGAGGCAACCATGGCTTTGATCATGGCAGTGAGTGAGTGGGAGTGAAGGTCTTAGTCCCCAAGGATGGAGAATTAGGGAGAGGAGAGGGAATATCTCACATGTGAACATTCAGGAGGAAGCTCCTCCACTGCTGTCACTAAAGCATAAAAGTTTATCTCCTGTTTTTTGCAGTGTATCATCAACACAGGAAAGATGACCTAGCAGCAGCTGCAGCAGTGCCAGATCCCCTGCCAGTCCCCTTCTGGGTCCCCAAGCCCTGCTCTGTACCCCACAGCTGGCAGAAGTGGACTTCCTCTCCATGCTAACAGGAATACCACCAAAGCCAAAGAGGCTCTTCTGAAGCCTCCCTTCCCCGCAGCATCTAGGCAGTACGTTGCTCCCTGCACCCTCTCCAATCTCTTTCTTCCAGAATCACAAAGCCCAGAAATTACCTTTCATCTACTGAAAGAGAAAGATACCTTCATAGACCAACAATCTGAGAGCAGTTCATCAAGGGTATCCTCCCGGCTCCTCCTCCAAGCAAGGATTGGACACGTGGGCCATGTTTCGGTCTTCTTTGGTAAACAGCAGACCTGCTCTCCATTCTCTATTTTGACACTGTGTGGTCAGGACCAGTCAGTTCATCTAACTGTTGCCTCCACCACCACTACTGCCACTGCTGGCTCAAGAAGGCATCTCAAGTATGGAGTTTTCCTTCCTTAGCTCTCTGTACCCCTGGGTTCCACCATTTTGGGGGTCTTAAGTAGCAAGGATGATCGAAATTCTAAGAAAGAAAAACTGCTTTAGACAATGGTAAAGTCTTAAGAATTTTCTCTTTCCAATCCTTCAGCTTCAATCAAGACAATTACAACATTTATTTATCACCTCCTCTCCTAAGAGAGCTGACCCCTCAGTCTGCTCCTAAGCCTGTTTTGAACATGCTGAGATGACTCTTCCTTTCCTCTAGAGGCATGGGGACTCTATCTCACTCATCACACACACCTCCTTCCCTCGTGCTCCCACCCTGAGCACCCCACAGCCCACAAGACCCCAACTCTCATGAGCAACAAGGAGAAGACCTTCCCAGGCCACTGGGCCTCCATAGGTGGTGAGTGACTCCTCCCAGGTCCTTCCCAGAAAACAGCAGGAATTAGACAAAAGTACACTCAGGACCTTCCTGGGGGCCAGGTGTACCATCCTTCCCCTTCCTTATCCTCTTTTTAAATTTATTTATATTTTTGTGGTAAGAATATTTAACATGAGCTCTATCCTCTTAACAAATTGTAAGTGTATTAATACAATGCAATATTGTTGACTATGGGTACAAAGTTCTTCAGCAGATCTCTAGAGCTTATTCATCTTACTTAATTATTTTATGCCTGTTGATTAATAACTCATTTCATCCTCCCCCTGTCCCTGGTAACCACTGTTACAGCCTTTGATTTAATGAATTTGACTATTTTTAGATACTTGATGTAAGTGGAATGATGCAGTATTTGTCTTTCTGTATTTGACTTATTTCACTGCATAATGTCCTCAAGGGCCATTTATGTTGTTGAATAAGGCAGAATTTCTTTCCTTTTTAAGGCTGGATAGTATTCTATCATGTGTATATACCACATTTTCTTCATTCATCTGTTGATGGACATTTAGGTTATTTTCACATCTTAGCTAAAGTTTGATTAGATAAAGCTGCTTATTCCAACTGCTACTGTTCCAGCCCATGCTGCCTCCTGTGGCAAAAGAAGATCATTAGGGAAACACAGTGCTGCCTCCCACTTTATTAAAAAATATGAAGACCTTGTAAAGCTGGTTAAGAAATTGACAAGAACTACTTCAAATCATCTGAAAATGTCCCCCAAATTTCCTGACTTTGTGATCCCACACTCAGTGAAGGAAATGGGTCTCTGCTTTTCACTGCCTTCCTTACCTGTGCAAAGAGATCTCGCTTTGTGCCCTGAGCCTGCAGAAGTCACTCTCAACCTGCTGAGGGATTTTCTCTTCATCTCTGCTCTCTCCATTAAGACATCTGCCCCAGTGGGCCCCCAGTTTATTGCCCTTGCTTGTAGCTGGGAAGGTGATGGTGTCACAGGAGGAAAAAGGAAACAGAAGCCTGGTGGGCACCTTAGGAGGAGCCCTCAGGTAAAATGTGGACTCCACAGAGGAGTCCGGTAGAGCTTCACTCAAGAGAATGACTCCCATTTACCCACAGGATCCTTCCCTACCGTGCCTGGCCCAGCTACCTCCCTGCCAAGTCCACTCCATCCTGTGTCCTCCCCAGTTCTCCTGAAGTGGGTCTCACCAGGCAGAGAATGTGTGTGTGTGTGTGTGTGTGTGTGTGTGTGTGTGTGTGTGTGTGTATGTTGGAGGATGAAGAGGAGGTGCAGGGCAAGATAAACCCTAGCTGCAGGGAAGGGGAGATGGACACTCGCTGAAGCTTGAGTCCATCTCTGCTTGGGAGCCTGGATCAGATGGCGGCTGTATCCTGGACAAATCCAACAAGATCTGGGATTTTCAGCCTACACAGCCCAGCGGTACCTGCCTCCTGGAATCTCTGGGCCTCATACAGATATATTCATGTTGGAAGCTGACCCTGAGAAACAGATCTCCATCTCCATAAAGTTGGATCTCCCTCCTCTGACAGACAGTTTATTTGATTCTTATCTCCCCTGCTGAACTTTGTCTTGTATATCCATTCATTTATTTCCCAAATATTCACTGAGCATCTATTATATGTCAGGCCCTGGCCCAGCACTAAAGATGCAAAGAATAATAAGAAAGCCCTTTCCTGGATTAGGGCACTGTATGAGACAGAAGACAGCATTGCCCCCCGGCAGAACAGGTGGGGAGTCAATCCATGGGGAGCACATCAGGCATGTTCAGAGATGGTATCTCTTAACTGCAGCAGGGTGGGGGTCCAGAGCAGTCCACATGGAAGGTGGAATTTTCAAATTGTATATAGAAGATAAAAAATAAATATCAATAAGGCAAAAAGGAGGGGGATACTCCAGTTAGAGAGAAAAGCAATTGCGAAACCATTGAAATATTATTCCATCTCCTTATTGACAAGAAGCATTAACTATTGCCTGGCCAACATGTGCCAAGACACACACTGGACACTGCAGAAACAGAGATTTTAAAAAGTAATTGGTTCCTGATCTCTACACTACATCATGTGAGAGAGTAGATCAGGAAGTAAATAACTACAAAATATGGGGATAAAAATTTCAGAATGAGCTTGGCTAAGGCAACTAACTGCCTGGGAAGGTGAGAGAAATCATGCCCAAGGAGAATTTCCTATGAGTTCAAGGTTGAGGAGGAGAGAGGGAGGACTCGGCTGGCAGAGCAAAAACTCGGAGTTTAAAAAAATAAAAAAAGTCTAGCATATTTTGGAAACTGCAAGTAGCTTTACCCCAGAATCTACGGTAAAAGTAGAAGACCGAGCTGAAAGTAGACACCAGATTAGTAAGAGTTTTGTTGACCCAACCAAGAGCCTTGGGCCTCATCTTAAATTCAATAGTAAAATTAAGCTTTTGTTTTATAAAATTCACTTCGGCAATGCTGTGGGGGTTGAATTAGTGGTGAGACTCTTTGGAGACAGGGAGACCTGTGATGATGATGCCACAATAAAGGCAGCAACCATGGCTGTGAGAGAATGGGGGACCAACTTGAGAGAAATGTGCCTGCAGCTCCCAAACACACCCTGGCTTAGAAGCCTGTGGCTCAGGAGGTAGAATCTGCAGATCCTGATAGCACATTTGGTGTGAGGTTGAGTAGGAAGCAAGAGTCTGGGATGATCCCAGGTTTCTTGTTAAGTCTTGGTGGACAGGATGCTATTCACAGAGTCGGAGCGCATAAGAGGAGCAAGAGGGGCATGTTAGGAAAAATGTGGAAGGTGTTGAACTCTGATTTTGTAAAATCAGCTTGAGGTACCAAAGTACATCCAATGGATGTTAGTATTGGGACCTAAAGCTCAGGGAAGAGGGTGGGCTTTGGGATTCTCTATGCAGAGCTGGTACTTTCAGCAATGGTGGATAATAATATCAGCAGCAAGGGTGAAAAATGAAGGTGCAGGTGATGTTGAAAGGATTCAACAGAGGAGAAAGGGCTCGGGAAGGAGAGTAGATGAGGCTGTAAGTGGGAGTCTACCCATGTCACAGAGGACCAAAAGGGAAGAGGGTTAAAATATAGGACACAACTGTAACAATTACTGCAGTAAAGTCAAATAGGATAAACCCTGAACCATGTCCATGAGGATTTCGTAGAACATTCTTCCCCCTTTATATAATGAATGAGCAAAAATACACAAATATCAAGAAAAACTTACGCAATGGTGATTGATAAACAGTGAAAGGGGAGGATGTATATCTGGTTCCCATGGGCCAGATATGAGCCATAAGGGAGGGAAAACTGGCTGTCCAGGTGGTCTAAAATCCTGTCCAAGAGGTGAAGATGAGGAATACCAGCCAAGAGAAGCTGTAGGAGAGCTTGCCAATGCCTAGGCGCTACAGGAGCCATGCACAGCTAGACAAAGCAGACATGCCTGTTATACTAAAGAACTGTGGCCAACACCCAGCCAGCAGGGAGAGGAGAGTCTGTGAAGGACACATTCAAGTTCTCCACGGGAGAAAGGTCAGCCATAAGCACCTGCCAAGCCCAGAAAGCTCCTATGCCAGTTCACAAAGTTTTCAGGTCTTTCTTTCTCATTCCTTTGCAGCCCCTACCCAAATGGACAAGAGGCAGCTGGGTGAGCAAGGGAAGAAAATTAAAAACTTCTAGTAGCTAATAGAGAAGATACTCTTCTTTCCTGTGCAGCCTTCCTTCCTGCAGTAGTACCAAGTAGGAAAGAGAAGGAAATCCAACATTCAAGGAAAGACCTTCTGATTACTGAAATAAGATTTTTTTTATGTAAATAGAAGTTATTTTTATATAAATAGAAGTAAGAAATCATGCGATTTCTTAGCATGATTCTAAAAGTCAAGGGCATCTGCTAGAGATTTCATTCCAAGAGAAAGGGAAGAGCCAGCCCCACAGAGAGGGTTTTAAGAGGCATCAAGAGAAGAAATAGAGTTGCTTTCTGACCATCATGCAGGTTCTGCTTGTTCAACAAGAATTACACAGAGAGATAGAAAAAGGCATGGAAAAAAATAGAAATACTTTGCCAAAAAAGCAGCGAGGGAGATTCTAATGGAGTTAAAATTGCTGATACATAGCATGTCCCTGGGCTGATACAATATGCAGACATACAGGGCCTTCAGACACACACAGAGAGGAACCACTGAATGGCCCAGTGACTTTTTTGGCCTAAATTAAGTTACTATCTTTTATCAATAACATTGATATCAACCCTTCCTACTCAAAAGTGAAATCATCCGTTAATAGTTAACATTAAAATATCTAATCTTACTGTGAACGCCACCAGGAGCTTTGGCTGGAAGGCAGGGGAAAAAAATGCTATGGAGAAGGGGTCTGAGGAAAATATTGAGTTGGAGAAGTGGGATTATAGGGCCAACACCAGAAAATGAGAGAATGAGACAGAAATGAAGACACAGAGAGAGAGGTTCAGCAAACCAATGAAGACACCTGGCCAGCGTTGACAAAAAACGATAGCTAATATGAATAACAAACATTTTTGGGGGGTACTTCATACAGGGCATCCCCAGTCTTTACAATTCTATGAGTCTAGTGAGGCACTGTAATGGATGAGGGTGTAGGTTTTGCACTTGCAAATATGACTGGCATGTTATGAGCAATCGACATAAGTTATATATTATCTTAAGATGATGGTGACATTATATCATTTTATAGATGAAGGAATCGAGACCTGGATGGCTAAGTAAATTACTAAGAGTTGTTCAGCAAGTAAAGGATGAAAGCAGGATTTTTTTTTTTTTTTTTGAGACGGAGTCTCACTCTATTGCCCAGGCTGGAGTGCAATGGCGTGATCTCTGCTCACTGCAACCTTTGCCTCCCAGGTTCAAGCGATTCTTCTGCCTCAGCCTCCCGAGTAGCTGGGATTTCAGGCATGCGCCACCACGCCCAGCTAATTTGCTAATTTTTGTATTTTTAGTAGAGATGGGGTTTCACCATGTTGGCCAGGCTGGTCTCAAACTCCTGACCTCGTGATCCGCCCACCTCAGCCTCCCAAAGTGCTGGGATTACAGGTGTGAGCCACCGCGCCTAGCAAAAGCAGGATTTAAACCCAGAAATCTGACTTCAGGGTCCTCTTCTAACCCTAATCTAGGCAAGCCGGGCTTTGACATTTATCTCTTCTTCCAGCCTCTCGTGGAGGCCCAGCAGCCTAAGAAGCCTGTTCTGTGTTTCGTCTCAGTAGTAGTTCCTTCCAGCCAGCGAAGGAAGTCACTTAGCCACCAAACCCTAAGTGAAAGGTAAGGCTAGTAGCTGGGATACCAAATGTAACACTGCCAGGAGTGCTGACCTTTACAGAGGAAGGTTTTAAAGACTGGAAAGATAATGGGCAAACGTCCTACTGAAAGTCCAGTGACTGATATACTTTGATTCACTGAGAACTTCTTGAGCAAGAAATAGGAGAGGGAAGAAAGGAGAAAGAGAAAGATAACAATGGCTAGTAGAAATCACTACATTTTTTACATTGCTGTCACAAATGACTGCCATCTCCATATCTAGATTGGTAGCTTTGGTCCAGAGCTGAACATAGGTGAGGCTGGGTCTCCTGAGATGGGGGTGAGAGCTGCTTCTCAACAGCTTTGAGGAGAGAGAGCTGATGAACAATATTATGGAAGAAAGAGGAAATTCTTATGAAAGGAGTGAGCTGCACAAAGACTATGACTCTATCGCCAATTATTCCAGTGATAGGGGGTTAAATCCCAACCCATTCTCCTCTTTTATTTAGGTTCATTTGAGGTTTAATTGAATATGGCATTATTTATCCTTGTGAATAAACCCCATATGAGGTTTCTCCATCTTCAACTCATGATCTTCTATTCAATAAACACTTGTTAAACTGAAATGAACTGAAGGCCTCAGGTCTCCCCAGTGGCCCAAGGGCCAAAGCCATATTTCCAATAACCACCCAAGAGGGTTGACTCTAACTAAACTCTTCTCAGACTTAAACCCATATTCTTTTAGCACAAATCTGTTCCCCTGTTTCCTCAGCTCTCATTAAAAGTAATACTAACACCCCAAAACCTGGTGAAACATTGTCCCAAAGAGTTAAACAAACGAGTGACTAATACAAATTCTTGAGTTTACATGATAGTAGATTTTAAAAAAAGAACAACTTGCTGAAATGCTGAAACTCTCTCCATTTGTAAGATAACAAAATTGGCTGAAGTCATTGGAGCCAATCTGGCAGACTGGAGTCTGCACAGAAAAAGCGTGCTGATGTCACAGCCAAATTTCCACTGCATGTTTCATACTGACCCTCCCCGAAACTGCACATGTGACCCATGAGGTAGCATGAAGAGATAACTTCCCATGCCCGAGGACTTTTTCCAGCCCTCCCTTTTCCTTCCACCAGTCACCTACTAATACCAGAATCTAATCCCTAACCTTTCCCAATAAAATGACTGCCTTAAAGCCAGCACAGGGAGACAGATTCAAGCTAAACTCTTGTCTCTTTGATGGTCTAGTTGCAGTAAAAAGCTTTTCTTTTCTCAAAAACCTGGTGTCATCGTATTGCCTTCTAGTACACTAGGAAGAAGCCCTTTTGCTCTGGAGTCATCTTCAATTCTTAATTTTCTGCACAGTCAGTAAATAAGTCCCATGAATCTACCTGTCTAATGAGGTCTTTCTCATGGGCACCCAGACCCATGACTGCCTTCCTTCAGATGTGGAGATTTTCATAATTTCTTTAAAACAGTCTCATTCGACTTTTACTTCACCACCCCATCTCCCAATCCATCCTAATATTTAAATACCTTAGGCATAATCATGTCACAATTTTAATCAAAAGTCACTAGAGATTCATTCGTGATGACTGCCACGATGAACCTCCTAAACCTGAGTTCAGGCACCCTGTGTCTAAGCCTACCCACCTTTCGCACTCCAGCCTCCCATCGCCACTCCTAACACACCCCCATTCCAACCACAAAGACCCTGGTCAGGCCTTTAAAAAAGGCAAGGAAGGAATTCTGAGAGGCAAATCTTTGTGCCCTAAGGCAGGATCTGGGGCTAACCCAATTGTGTGGGGTGGTAAGAAGAGGTTTCAGAATCTCACATTAGAAAAATAAAGAAAAGAAGAATGTCAAAATGGCAGTGATCAATTCAGGGTTGCTCTCCTAGAAGGGTGGGGAAGGAGCAGGTTCAGAGGAATTAAACTTTGAGGGTGGAAGAGGAGCTGGAGACCATGTGTCAACAGTGGGCCAGCTTTTCTGCTCCCAGCAACAATGAGCCTCCCATCCTCAGAGCCCAGGACTCTTCACTGCAGCCTCATTTTACCAGCCTGAATGTTGAGGGGTCTAGGGAGGGGTGGGACAGCCAAGGGGGGTGATTCATCATGGCTCTATTCTGGTGTTCAGGGCTTGTTGTGCTGGGAGCTATGGAGTCACACAACAATTGCCCCTCGATGATGCTGCAATGACCTCATAAGTGGAGGTCATTTCCCCTGCCCCCACCCCCAGCTTCCTCAGATCTGGGCAGAGGAACCAAAGGGAAAAGCCACCTTCCCAGGCACAGCCATAACATCCACCTCACTCAACTGCTTGTCAAGTTCACCACCAACACAGAGGGGTAAGTTGCATTTGGACAGGTGGAAGTGGCCACTCTTTGGCCTCTTCTACCCTGGGAGTGACCTGAAGTACCCCACGCACTGAGCAGGGTTGGGAAAGTCATGTTTGAATGAAAGTTTCCTGTTATTTTCAGTGGTAAGAACTGGTGTGTGCTTCACCTTGGAATAGAGTCTCAACAATTTTAGAGTTCAACTTAATAATATGCCTCCCCAGAGAGCTATACTGATTTTAAAACAAAATTTAAAATGTTATTTTTATATTGTTAAAAGAAATCAAAGAAATATAACCAATTAGATCCAACTTGAAGTATTGTGAGGGACTGAAAATCCCTGTCCATATCTAGGAGTTAAACTGTCCGTGCAGAAATGCCTAGCTCAGGGCAAAACTCAACAGGAGAGAAAAGGAATTCCCTTCTGAAAATCACATTTTGTGGCTCTATCATTCAGATTTTCAGAGAAATTGGAATTTCGTGGTTCATCTCCTGATTTCTTCCCTTACCCTATTATTTATCAGAACCTGGATGGAGACAAAGGAGTGGGCAGTTCTAGAGTAGCCCATGGGAACCCACTCATGGCAGGGATTAAATTACTTTCCCTCCCATGGCCTCTAGTAAAGAAAGCAATTCTCAAGGTTCAGGGAACTTAGGTGGGACACAGGATTGAAAGCAGTGTCCTAGGCCCCCAAGTCTGCTAGTGTACCTCCCATCTATCTTCAGAGGAACAGGAAGTGGCCTTAGAGGAGCGAAACTTCTATTGTGCCATGAATGCCTTGAGCAATCTGGTCAAACTTAGGGACTCCTTGGAATCATGTTTCTAAATGAATTAAATACAACATATGGAGTTACAGAGACACCAACTCTACTGAAATACAGTTTCAGTGGGGTGGGGGAGGTGGGGGGTCCAAAACCATAGGTTAAGAACTCCTACTAGAGTCTATAGCATGGAAGCAAGAATAAGTGAAAAGGAAGCAGAGTTAAGGGTGGAGAGATTAAGAAATGCTATCTCAAACTCATACAAGGATGAGGGCGGCCCTAAATGAGAAGATGATCTAGAGCCTGAATGCATCTCAGGGAAGACTTTCTTAAGTACAAGGATAAGCTGTAAGAAGCCTGTAGGTATCCTCTCCCACCTACAATGCATCTCATATTTCTTTGCAGGGCTCAGATAATCAAGAAACAATGTCGAGTGATGATAAAAGTAAATCAAATGACCCCAAGACTGAGCCCAAGAACTGCGATCCCAAGTGTGAACAAAAGTGTGAGTCCAAATGCCAGCCCAGCTGTTTAAAGAAGCTGCTGCAACGCTGTTTCGAAAAGTGCCCATGGGAAAAGTGTCCAGCACCACCCAAGTGCCTGCCCTGCCCCTCGCAGTCTCCTTCATCCTGCCCTCCCCAGCCCTGCACCAAGCCCTGTCCTCCTAAATGCCCTTCATCCTGCCCACATGCTTGCCCACCTCCCTGCCCTCCCCCAGAGTGAGGCACTGTGGGCACTACCCAACCCCACCACCACTGCCACCTCCACCATGTACAACGCTGTGGGGCTGGAGACTGAAACCATGAACTGACAAGTAAACGTGTTCCTCTGCTGTGCAAGACTTCTCCTGGTGTTTCTGGTGGGTTTTGATTTGTTTTGTTTGTTGTTTTACAGCACTAAACCACCAACAAGCAATCCCTGAGAAGTGAGGCTAGAACCCTGCACTCTCAACAACCTTTGAGAACTGACTTTCCCTCTGACCCCACCTGCTGCTTAGAGGCAGGTGCCCACTTCTGAAGGGTGTACCCAGGTAATGCCAGGCTGTGTTAGAGCAAAGCCTGAGAGATCCATAAATATGGTTGCAGCTGTGAAAGCGTCTAACGCCAGGAAGCAGGAAAGAGATGGTATGAGGGAGAAAGAGGAGTAGAATATTGGTGAAAGGTCCAGGAAGGCTCAGGAAAAGGCATTGTACTACTTTTCTGTTAGTCCTGTTGCATAATGCTTATGCAGAAGGGCTCTCAGTACAGGCTGCATGGGTTTAATGCAACTCTATCTCTGCTCCCTAACACCTTGTAACCTTAGGCAAGTTGCTTAACTTCTTTGTGTCTCAGTTTTCCTCTCTTTGCAAAAGGAATGATGATGCTAACAGTACTGCTGTTATGAAGTTGTTGTGAGGCTAAAGAATTAACAGACGCCAGGCCAGGCACAGTGGCTCATGCCTGTAATCCTAGCACTTTGGGAGGCCGAGGCAGGTGGATCGCCTGAGGTCAGGAGTTCGAGACCAACCTGGCCAACATGGCAAAACCCCGTCTCTACTAAAAATACAAATATTAGCTGGGCGTGGCACACGCCTGTAATCCCAGCTACTCGGGAGGCTGAAGAAGGAGAATCACTTGAACCCAGGAGATGGAGGTTGCAGTGAGCCGAGATCGCACCACTGCACTCCAGCCTGCATGAGAGGAGCGAGACTCCATCTCAAAAAAAAAAAAAAAAAAAAAAAGAGTTAACAAATGCCAAGTGCCAGGTTTACAGGGACATAGTGAGTTGGTGAAGGAGCACCCCACACCCACCGCAGTGTAACACTCATCACACCTGAACTTCATTGCTTTGTGTAATTCTTCTTAGCCTGTAAATCTCCTGACCACAGGAGTCAGGCTTTGACATCTGTAAGCATACAGTTAGACATTCTTTTAAAAATATTCAAAAAGGAGTTACAGATTATACCACTATCTGTTACCTGGCTCTAATACTGAACTATAGTTACATAACATGTCACTAGTGGAAGAATCCCAGTGAAGGGTACATGAAACCTCTATTTTTGCAACACTCTGTGAATCTATAAAATTTCAAAATAAAAACTTAAGTACAAAAAACTAGATATTGTACATATCTGGGACCTCAATTAGGAATGAATAGGGAAAGCCTTCATAGCTGATGTGTTAGTGGAGATTATTTACAAGTAGTTAGAGAAAGTCCGTGTCAAACTAGCTTAATTCACAAAACAGAATTTATCAGCTCATGCCGAGAAGGGTTTGGGAACAGGGCATAGGATTAAAGGGAGAACTGTAGGAATCAAGACTTCAAGGCCTGGGATCAGGGACCCACTCACCATCTCAGCCACTCTCATCTCGCCAGCCTCTACAATGCCTCAGAATATGTCCCATCCTCTCCTAGTGCCCCCCACCCCGCCATTCAGTAAGGTCCTGGGCCAGTTGCATACCCAGCTTGTTGACAGGTTGGGCACAAGGATATTCCTATTTTCACCAGGAGAGGAACCTGATTGCCTAGAAGGTCACGAGCATGCCCCGTGGCCAAGCAGATGACAGAGCTTTGACGCACAGACAAACCAGTTGTGAATTGTTTCGGTGCACTGCACATAAGCAGCGATACAGTGAACAGCATTTAAGGATTCCCTGCTATCATCGTAATAGATAACTGAAGAGCCAAATCTGGGATGGCTCCCTATGGAACCATTACACAAAACTAGCTCTCATCCTTCTGAGCCTGAAGGATGGTTCAGACAGCGAAGGGTTTGGCAAGTATAGAGAGTCCAAAATGTGTCAAAGAAAAAATAACTGGGACCCCACCAGCCTGAGTCTGTACAGTCAGCTGGTGACAGAGCAGGCTTTTAGAATACGTGAAGTAGGCGGAACATTTAAGGCACCGCCCCCTTGTTTTCCAGGTGTGACATGAGGAGACCTTGAGGTCTCAGGGTCTTCTGAGGCACTGAGGTTCCCATACTCTAGATCCCTGCAGAGAGGCACTCACTGGATGCCAGGAGCCTCTGAAAGTCTAGTTTAGAGCATTGGGGACTGTGGTAACAGGTGGAAACCCCTTCAGCTGTGGGCAACAGGTGGAAAACCCTTCTACCTCACAGGAAGTCAAAAAGGAGGAAGGACAGAAGAAAGGGAGAGAGAGAGAGAGATAATAGAACAATAACATGGCGTCTTCATCCATGGTCAACAGACCATCCTCTATTAAATGGTCACTTTTAAATAATAAATCCTGAACCCAGTGCTAAAGAGTGTACTACAGTTGGTGGGAATATAAATAGACAAAAATCCTTTTAGAAAACAATTCAAGGAATGTGGGAATATGTATCATCAGAAGCATTAGATGCTTCAACTCTTTGGCCCAATGGGTCCACTTCATAGAACCTATTCAAAAAAAAAATTGCAAAATGGTGGGTAGGGGAGCTATATAAATAAAGGTGATTATCACAGCATAACTTAGAAACAATTTAAATATCTAACAAGGTTTGATTAAGTAAACTTGAACCTATTATATGATGAAACATTGTTTTAAGACATTAAATTTAATAATACATTAATAAATTCATTACATTAAATTTAATAATTTTAAAACATTAAAATAAATTTTAATTTATTTAATTTTAATGTATTAACCTATTCAATGTATTAAATTAATTTAATACATTAAAATGAATTAAAGAAAGTAAGGCCTCAATTGAAAATATAACGTAAAGCCATTATCTTTAACCAAAACCTTCCTTGATAATAATGGTAATAATAATAACAAAAGGAAATGTGTAGATATTCTCATTATTTTAAGACAATGGGGATATAGGTAACTAGTAGTTTATTTCTATTTTAATCTGGATTTTCACATGTTTTTGTTTCATGATGGGTTAAAAAAGAAGTAATCATGAAATAATCAACAATTTATGAAATAATCATGACTACTTCAGAGACCCCCAAAGTCCTTTATTTTACTCAATGTACAAACACAGGGAAGGAAGAATGTCTTAGGAAGTATGCACCACATCGAAGGCACCTCGCCGTGGATGCCTTCCCTCCAGGGGCAGGATCTCAGTCCCAGGCCAGGCAGTACGCGTCAGGGGGCTGTGCCCTCCCAGGTGGTTCTGCAAACTCTGGGCACAGCCTGAAAGGAGGCAGCTCTGGGAACATGAAACCATTCATTTCCAATTTAGGTCTTGTTTCTCCCATGTAAACGGAACCAAATATAGACATCTCTTCTTTTTTTTTTTTTTTTTTTTTTTTTTTTGAGATGGAGTCTTGCTCTGTCGCCCAGGCTGGAGTGCAGTGGCGCGACCTCGGCTCACTGCAAGCTCCGCCTCCCGGGTTCACGCCATTCTCCTGCCTCAGCCTCCAGAGTAGCTGGGACTACAGGTGCCCACCACCACACCTGGCTAATTTTTTGTATTTTTAGTAGAGACGGGGTTTCACCATGTTAGCCAGGATGGTCTCGATCTCCTGACCTCGTGATCCGCCCGCCTTGGCCTCCCAAAGTGCTGGGAAAGTCTCGTATAGAGCACTGGGGACTGTGGTAACAGGTGGAAACCCCTTCAGCTGTGGGTAACAGGTGGAAAACCTTTCTACCTCACAGGAAGTCAAAAAGGAGGAGGGACAGAAGAGCCACTGCGCCCGGCCAAGATAGACATCTCTTAATGGCTACTTTCCCAAAAAAAAGCTGGATCAAAGGCAATTCTGGGGAAATGGTTGGGACATGATGAGGGTGCCACCTCCCTGCAGAATCCCATAATTACTCCCAGCCCCAGCGGCAGTCACCAGGGTTCTGCCCCAAACAGTAGAGGGCTGTATAAATAAGCAACGCCTGAAGAGTGGCATCACAAGAATCTGTGCAGCACCAGGCTCGATGGCTCCCAGATAACAAGACAGGCAGGACCAAGGCCTCTCCCTTCATGACAAAGCAGTTCTGAGGATCCATTAAGATGGTCACAAAAGGAGCCTCCACCACAGACCCCTTTGCCTTGTGCTTTCTTGAGAATCAGGCAGAGTACAGCTAGCCTTCTAAAAGGGCTTCTAAGCCCTCCCAAATCAGGCAACTGGCTGTGAGGTGGGCTGGCGCTGTGAGGGCTGGGCACAGAACCTCGGGGTTGTCTGGCTTTGAAGCTGAAAGGAACCTTAGAGATCTTTTTCCTGCATCCTCCACTCCATGCATGAATGCCAACTGGGGAGAGGGGAGGAAGTAACCAGTTACCAAACGTCCTATTTTTCCTGTCCTGTTCCCACAGGACCAAGATTGCAGCTCAGCACACGAGCACAGGCAAATTCTAGAAGGCTTTATTAGTGATAAGTCATAACTGCTTCCATGTCACAGCGGTTGATGCTCAGCAAAGAGATCAGTAAAAACACTCAGCCGTTTGCCAAACACATAAAGATTTTAAAATACAAACTGATGGTAAAATGCATACCAGGATATTTTCAGCTGTACCTGTCTTCCAAGTGCAGGAAATCTCATATGTCTCATCTCCAGAGCTATATGCTCCCTCCCAGGCTCAAAGGAAACTCTTCTCAGACTAAGGAGTCATGGCTTTTTCCCAGAAATGTGCTCATCATCTCTCACCTACACCATTCAACCCTCCTAACTGGCTTTCGAAGTTCACCTTCCTCCAGTTCTTACTCCAGTGGAAGCCAGCCAAGGCAGTCTTGCTAAAATTCAAATTTATACATGATGTCCTTGCTTAAAATCCTTGAGTCTCCCCTTTGCCTAGAGGGCAGCTCAAATAACATTCTGTCATGCAAAAGCCTTCAGAATCAAGCCCCTGACTCCTTCTCTAGCCATAAGGCCATTTCTCCATCTCCTTCTAGAACTTTACAGCCCAGTAACAGGTAACTGCTGGCATTTCCTGGCACACAACACAGAGTCTCTGGCCTTTGTGACTTTACACCCCCTTCTCTATCATTTGCTCTGCCTCCACTGAATCTTCCTCTGAATGATCCTCCTGGGCAAATCCTCATCCTTTAAGTCAACTCAGGGGTCACCTGCTCCAAAAATCTTCCCCACATCCCACCCCCAAACTGGTTAGATGCCCCACTCTGTGGTCTCAGAGCTTCCATGCCTTCCTCCCCTTATCACTTCACATTCTGGCCACGTGTTCGTAACCTGACTCTCCCACCAGCCTGCCCTTTGAGAAGGGGCAGCCGGGCATGCATCGCTGACATGCAGTAATAACCAATGATTGGATGCTCAGAGGCTGCAGAGCCACTTTCCCAAACAAGAGAGGATTGCTCTGGACTGAGCCCCTGTCCACTGTGCTCCTTAATCTCGTGGCATGGAGTTATCCCCAGAATGCGACAGCGGGGAGAGGGGAAGGGGACTCAGCATGAATGGCCTGGGGCTGAAAGGCAGCCCTGGCCCTTGTTGCAGTCTTGTCCTTGGCCACTTTCCCCTTCAGCCACAAGATACAGATCCTGCCAGCCCTCCTAATGCCTTGCCAGGAAGATGCAGTCTACCTCCATGTGGGTCCCTCACCTCGGGCAGCAGCAAGGAAAGGGAAAGGGCTTGGCATCCTACAGACATGGGCTCCAAGCAAGCACTGCACCAGCCAGCTGTGGAGCCGGGCAAAATGCTTCGCCTCAGTGGGAGAAGGGAGCTCTTCACCTGAGGAATGAGAAGAAAAGTCTCACCAAGGGGCAAGGTGGGGTGATGAAGTCAGATAACTTATATCAAGCCCCTAGTGTGGGCAACTGAACTTAGGAAGCCAAGATGCCAACAGTACTCTAGTATCTATGTACACACTCGGAGTCACAACTCATCACCTACTGCAGCAAAAGCTTCCTGCTATCTGTTGTGAGAAGCAGTGCATTTGAGGGAGAAACAGGGAGTTCCACAAAAGGATGACAAATATCTCTGAAGGCAAGTAGAGTTAGGGGCCACCTCACCACCCCATTCCCAGGTTGGGCCCACAGTAGGAGCCAGAAGGAGATGCTCATATTGCCGAATATCAGAGCTGAACGTGGCATTTAAAATATCCTCAGTGTCTACATGAGGAAGCGAAGGTCCAGAGAGGGGAACAACCAAAGTCACAGCGTGTCGGTTGTAGAAAGCATCCAGGATTTCTAATCCTGATTTAGGCCAAGGTTCGCCAGAAATCAAACTCAAAAGGGAAAAAGTTGAAGATCTACAACAAATTTAAGTAACTGGGGAACATCCTTCCTCCCCACCATCTGTGTTGGTGATCTTTGACCTGAAGTCCCTGAACACCCTATAGATGACGGCATGTACATGTGAGTATTTCCTGTGATCCCAAACTGTGAACAGCCACTGGCTGGTCTGTGTCTTTGTTGTCTTCCCAAAGCTTATAAGGAATCCCCAATACACTGGTCTGCTAAGTGTTTTTGTTTTTGTTTTTTAATTATTATACTTTAAGTTTTAGGGTACATGTGCACATTGTGCAGGTTAGTTACATATGTATACATGTGCCATGCTGGTGCGCTGCACCCACTAACTCGTCATCTAGCATTAGGTATATCTCCCGATGCTATCCCTCCCCCCTCCCCCCACCCCACAACAGTCCCCAGAGTGTGATATTCCCCTTCCTGTGTCCATGTGATCTCATTGTTCAATTCCCACCTATGAGTGAGAATATGCGGTGTTTGGTTTTTTGTTCTTGCGATAGTTTACTGAGAATGATGATTTCCAATTTCATCCATGTCCCTACAAAGGACATGAACTCATCATTTTTTATGGCTGCATAGCATTCCATGGTGTATATGTGCCACATTTTCTTAATCCAGTCTATCATTGTTGGACATTTGGGTTGGTTCCATTACTGGGTATATACCCAAAGGACTATAAATCATGCTGCTATAAAGACACATGCACACGTATGTTTATTGCGGCATTATTGACAATAGCTAAGTGTTTTTTATGTGGACCATTGCCCAGACCAGACATGAGCTGACCACGTAATCTTGAACAAGATCTTTGACACTTTTGTGCCTCAGTTTCCTCATCTAAAAAACGCAGTCAATAAATAGTTCTGTGTCTCCTGTTTAAAGCACGTGCTGGGGCTAAAACAAGGAGATAGAATCAGGTGGCCTCTCAAGTCCCGTCTGGCCCTGAGGGCTTGTGATTTACAGCTCTTTCCTGAATTCACACCTCTGATTCAGACCCCCTGTGTGGGTGACACAGGAGGAAAGGAAGGGAGAGGAGTGGTGGACTTCCTCCCAGGAATTCGCAAGCTGCCCAGGGGCACCCGCTCTGCAGGAAACCAAATTCTGCACCATTCAGCTCTATCAGAGACATTGCCCTGTAATATGCAGATGAATGGGTCAGAGGAGTCTGAGGACTTTTAAGATCTGAACAGAGGAGATAGTTATTTGATGGGAATGGGAGAAAAAAAAACTGTCTTGCACACACCTGAGACTCTTCTGCTGATCCTGTCTAATTATGCCCTGGCTCCCAATAATGACAGCTCCAAAAGTCTAAAATCTTAAATCTCAGATGTCATTAAATCAGATTAACTCCAATCTTGCTGGAGGGCTGGGGATGATCACAGAAACAACTTAGTCACCTTATCTTAAGATTTGGGGTGAGACAATTTTTCCAAAGCTTTCTAATCCACAACCCCAGATACTGGGCCACCAAGATTGATTTTTGAGGACTCAGGCCCCAAATACTCCCACTCCCCACCTAGGAAAAGACAGGTCACCTAAGGTCAATCAGCCACTGGGTGAGCCACTGCCGCATGCAGAAGACAGAAGACTGGGTCTTCCTATGGGTACATTACAACCTGACCAAGGAAAAAGTGCCCACACACGTGTCCACACACTACAAAGTTACACAGTTACCCAGGCTACCCATTCGTGATCACATTTACAGTATCACAGAATGTCAGAGATGTGATGGACCTGACTGAAAGTCTAACTTTCCTATTTTAAAGATGATGAGGCCAGGCCACTTACTGAGCTGAGGAAGACTGTGGTAGGAGGAGTTTTTGAGGCAAGATCAGGAGTTTGGCTTTGGGCATGTATTAGATGTTCTATGACACACACACGTGGAGAGATAAATACATGGCAGAATTTGAACCTGTTTTAAAGAAAAATGTGCAGTGTCTCACGCCTGTAATCCCAGCACTTTGGGAGGCCAAGGGGGTGGATCACAAGATCAAGAGATCGAGACCAGCCTGAACAACATGGTGAAACACCGTCTCTACTAAAAACACAAAAATTACCTGGGTGTGGTGGCATGTGCCTGTAGTCTCAGCTACTTGGGAGGCTAAGGCAGGAGAATCGCTTGAACCTGGGAGGCAGAGGTTGCACTGCCCCGAGATCACGTGCCACTGCACACCAGCCTGGCCGACAGAGCAAGACTCCATCTCAAAAAAAAAAAAAAAAATTCAAGTCAAAGACCAAGTATTGGAGGGACAGAGCAAAGGACATAGAACAAGAAGAACCAGGGAAATCAAGGAAGGCTTCATGGAGGAGGTGAGTCCTGAACTGATTCAGATTGCACTAATATTCATAAGTAGCTTGATGGCCCTAAGTTTTGGAGCATACATTGTCTAATTTATTCCTCACAAGAAATCTGTGAAATAGTATTTTCCTTTCTCAACAAGAGGAAATTGAGATTATGAGAGGTTAAATCACTTATCCAATATTGCATATACTCTATGTGATAGTCAACCCCAGATGAATGGAATCCTGAGTTCTTTCTCCATATATCTCAGTCGCTCTTTTTTGTTGTTGTTTGTTTTGTTTTGCTTTGTTTTTTGAGATGGAGTCTCACTCTTTTTGCCCAGGCTGGAGTGCAATGGCACAACCTCAGCTCCCTGCAACCTCCACCTGCTGGGTTCAAGCGATTCTCCTGCCTCAGCCTCCCCATTAGCTAGGATTACAGGAGCCCGCCACCACGCCCGTCTAATTTTGTATTTTTAGTAGAGACGGGGTTTCACCATGTTGGCCAGGCTGGTCTCAAACTCCTGACCTCAAGTGATCCACCTGCCTCAGCCTCCCAAAGTGCTGGGATTATACGCGTGAGCCACCACGCCCAGCTCAGTGCCTCTTTATCAAAAGCTAGCCTTTGATTGAGGATGCTGACATGACAAGTAGGAATATATTTAAATGAGGGAATGGTAAATGAGATTTTATTCTTCATCTGAGGCTCCCTTCCTCAAGAGCTCCCAAGAGCCTCCAGCACTAGGAAGGTTATTAGGTTTCTACTGCTTCTGTGACAAGTTACCACAAATTTAGTGGCTTAAAACAACAAAAGTGAATCCTATGACAGTTCTGGAGCTCAGAGGCTGACAGAAGTCTCACCAGACTGAAATAGAGTGCCTGCAAAGCTGCACGTCTTTCCGGAGGTCCTACTGGAGAATCTGTTTCCAGACTGTAGAAGCCGCCCTCATTTCCGGCTCGTGGACTCCTTCCATATTCAAAATCAGCAATGGCCAGTTAAGTCTTTCTCAAATCACATCACTCTGACAGACTCTTCTTGCTTTTAAGAGCCGTACACTTATGTTGGCCCCACCTGGATAATCAAGGATAATCTCCCTATTTTAAAGTAGTCTGATTAGCAACTTTGATTTTATTCACTACTTTCAGTCTCTCTTGCCAAGTAACCTAACGTGTTTACAAATTCTAGCGATTAGGTGGCGAACATATCTAGGAGGCCATTATTCTGCCTACCACAGAAGGACTTTGGGGTCAATTTCAAGATTGTTCCACTGTCATGAATCAACTTGATGGCAGGCAGGGCATCCAGTGAGAGGAGTCAAACTCTGGGCTCTACCTAACTGGGCTCACCTCCCCTCCATGAGAACACGATCTAGTCTCTTGTTCTGCACATTTCTATTTAGTCTCCTTGTCCTGGGGCTTAACCAAAGTCACAGGCATACATGACATGAGCAAGGTCATCTCATGCATCCTGTCACAGGAAACTTCCAGAAATCCCAGCTAAGAAGGTCTCTTCCCGGATTCTCTTGCTCATTCCTTTCCTAAGCTGGCCTCCATCTATCCTTTCATTTCACTTGTATCTCTGTACTTCAACAGCCTCCCAACAAGGATTCTTTCCTAGAGGCCACCTGAAATGCCCTTGTCCACCGTCCTTGCCTGGGTAACTCATACTGTCCGGTAAGACAAAGCACAGACATCCCCTCCCCCAGGAGCCTTCCATGACCTTCCACCCAAAACCAAGGAAGAGGCCTTCTTCTGGAGCACAGGGGCTTACCTCTGGCCATATTCTCCATGGAACTGTGAGTCATTTTGGAAGGGAAATGCATCGACATCACATAGGGGCCATGAGTGACTGAAAGAACATATTATTAAAATCTGTGATGAATTCCTTGCTTTCTAGGACACAGGAGAGTTGCTTTGTCTCTTCAACAGCATTCTAAGAAAAGATGAAAAATACAAAGAGGAAGAGAATTGAAAGGAGGAGATGAAAAAGGAGGAGAAAAAGAAGGATGAGTCTCCCCACCCTACACCTACTCTCCCAGATGCCCCAAATGACTTTTTCTCTTCAGATATACACCTGGGTATTCCAAGTCCTTCCACTCTCAGGCCTCTGTCTACTGCCAGGACCTCAATGGGGCTCATGGTGATGTCACATTAACCTCTGAGAACCAGTCTCAAAGGTCAAAAATGCTTCCTGATCTCCCCAGCTTACCTTTTAAAAACTTTTCAGGTATCAAGCATCCAAAACCTATATAAACATTTGAGACATTTTTGATTTTAGCCAAATATTCTTCTTAGGAAATGACTTAAACCTACCCCTTCAAGTTAAGAGATTGAACATAACTTTTTTTTATACTTTAAGTTTTAGGGTACATGTGCACAACGTGCAGGTTAGTTACATATGTATACATGTGCCATGTTGGTGTGCTGCACCCAGTAACTCGTCATTTAACATTAGGTATATCTCCAAATGCTATCCCTCCCCTCTCCTCCCACCCCACAACAGGCCCCTGTGTGTGAGAACATAACTTTAAATTAAGGAGAAAGGAAGGGAACATCATCATATTTAAAGACCCTTGAATTTGGTCAACTTCAGCAAACACAGAACCACCATTTTAAGGAAATGGGGGCTTCTTTCAAAGTAAATCTTTTCCCATTTTCAATTAAATGAGATTTTCCTCTACTCCCAGCTCTCCCACATCCACCTTCTGTATTCCTTCATTAATACATTTACCCCATCAATAATCATTTGTCTTCCATCATCTTCCACTTACTATACCTATGGCATAGTACCTATCCTCTAGGAACTTATAACCCAGGAAAAAATAAGATCTATATATAAATATCTGGAAAGTCCTAATTTCAATAGTAAATGTCATATGAATAATATAAATAATAGATACCATGGGAGTGCATAAAGAGGTGGATTCATTTCTGGTTTAGAGTAATCAGGAAAGGCTCTCAGAGGGTGGTAGACATGAGTAAAGCTTTGCAGAATGCTTAGGATTCCCACAGGCACAGGGAGAACACACCAGGTAAAAACTAACAGCCCAAACTAGAAAGTAGAGGTAGAGAAAACTGGGTGTGTTTGCTTTGAAACTTTTCCTTTCATCCCCTGACTTTTATTGACTTGAGTTCTAAGAAAACGTTTTCCAGAAGGCAAAGAGACAAGTTAACTTTGTTCCAGCCTGTTCTCCTGGTCACTATGAAAACTCTGTGAGTAACTCCACTTTCATAAGGGTGTCATAAATCAAGGTTGAGAAGATGAAGATTGTCTGCCTTCTCCTTCCTCTCTCTTCCCCTTCACCCCACTTCACAACCCAAGAGTAACAAATGAACCGCAATTTCCCTCAAGACCATCACGCAGGAAAATCACTCTCTTCAGCAGGCTGAAAGCCCTTTGTTCGCTTGGAACCACAGGACGAGCCTTCATCCTTGCATCTGAAGGGTGACTTTCTAGGCTTGATGAAGAAGTGTCTGCAACAGGCCATACAAGCCCTTGACCCAGAGAGGCCCCAGGCCTTAGGCATAAAATCTTCCCATTGGTGAAGATGAGATGAGCAAGGTGGATCTTATCTCTCACCACATCCTGTACCAGTTTGGGCAGACAAGGAATCCTGGTTGAACAGACTGAGATAACACTTTATGAACATTCTTTTCCTGCTGCCTCTGATGAGAGAGATCTGAGAGAAGCCCCTCCCTGCTGAGGTCTGGTGAGGACCCACAGGCCAAAATGCAGTCTGATTAACAGGCATCCCAAGCAGTGACTCAAACCATCGGCAATTTCAGAGGAAGCTTGTTATGGTGACTCCACAATTAATACCACAGCCCATGTGACCAGTCAGTCCCGCGGGAGGCTGGACTAAGCAACATATAAAAGTCCCACCTTGCTGGGCTTCACAGTCCACAGCCTTTGTTGAGTCTTGTTGAAGATCAGGTAAGTGGGGCATCTGTGCCCTCTCTCTCCCTGTTACTCTGTCTTTAGGCGGCCGCTGTTCTGTTCCTCTTATGGACTGTACTTTCTACTGATTTTTTAAGTGGTTTGCCATTTCTTGGGCCTCACAAACTATCCTGTATATTCTATCCAGACTAGAATTTGCCTATCTAGTCTAGTCTCTTGCACCTGATTTTCAAAAGGATTCGTAGACTAGAAGAGAAGGGAAAAAAACCTGTGGTAAGACTGGGGTTTGGAGCTATGGATGTCTAGACAGAGGCCAGGAGAACACTCCCACTTTGGAGACAGGTGCCACAGGGAGCTGCAGCCAGGATAGAAAAGAGAAAGAGATAAAAAGCAGCCAAGAAATTAGTTCTTACTTCCACTCCTCATTCCATTCCATTAGTTCTTCCATCCACTCCTCATTCCTCTTTCTCAACCCTTCATTCCCCAGTTCCCATGCTGATATTTTTAATACAGATAATTTCGAATCTTGTGTTTTTTTCAGGCTCTGCAAATCACCCTAGGATGTCCTTCAGTGAGCAGCAGTGCAAGCAGCCATGTGTGCCCCCTCCATGCCTCCCAAAGACCCAGGAGCAGTGCCAAGCAAAGGCTGAGGAGGTGTGCCTCCCCACATGCCAGCACCCCTGCCAAGATAAGTGTCTAGTGCAGGCCCAGGAGGTATGTCTTTCTCAGTGCCAGGAATCAAGTCAAGAAAAATGCCCACAGCAAGGCCAAGAGCCATACCTACCTCCATGCCAAGACCAGTGTCCACCTCAGTGTGCAGAGCCATGCCAGGAGCTATTCCAGACAAAATGTGTGGAGGTTTGCCCACAGAAAGTCCAGGAGAAGTGCTCATCCCCTGGCAAGGGAAAGTAGCTGCTCATATGTCATCTGGGTTCAAGAAGATGGCCAGCAGATGAAACCCTGACCCCAGCCCACGCTCTGGTGACCTTCTTCTGTGGGTACCTCTGTGTGCAATGTACCTTCTTGCCTCCTGGCTTCCTTAGCATTCCAGGACTTGGTCTGTGTCTCTGAAGACAGTTCTTTCTGTATTTCATCACCCTCTGTGAATAAGCATTGTTCTCAGCAGTCTGATGGAAGGTCTCAAATGTAGGAATGGTGTGGTTGTCAGGGAAGACCACAGAAGCCTAGCACAGCTTCCTTGGTGCAAAAATTCACCCAGCTCTGGGTGTGTAACAGCCAAGGATACCTTCATTCATCTTTCAGAGTTTCAGGCTCTCAAATAAGCCTCAAAACAAACTGAATTCTGATGGACTTTCCACTTATCACCACCACCACCACCTCCACCACCACCACCACCACAGGTGTTGAGACAAAGCGGCTTGCGGTGTTTCAAAAATCAAAAATTTGGTGATTTTGTCTCTGTACACTAAAAAGAACAGCAAATTATTGAACTTTGAAATGTTGGTTGTGCTTTTTTAAAATGAACCGAAAGTATGTAAACGATTGAATCCAAACAACCAGAAGGGAAAGATAAGATGGATGTTTGGTGCCCTTGTCAATCTCTGTGCTTCATAGCTGGTCTAATGTGGGCCCTTAGTTCTCACCATGTACACTCTTTAGAGATGTGATTTGTGTCTGTGTGATGCAGGCTGGTCTGTTCTCCAGCTTCCTTGCCTTCTTCTCCCTGGTGAAGGTAAAATACATAATAAAGCTGATCCTAAGGCTGATATCTGACTTGACGTGTGCTCTCTTTTCTCCACCATCAAACCCCTCATTGTCCTTGTGACAACTGTCTTCTCCTTTGGTGGGGGAGGGGAGTAATCTGAAACAGGAATAAAACACAGACCTCACCGGTGCATAAAACAGCAGTTCTGAAAGAGGCTTCCTGAAGGTCACTGAGACCACCCCACCCACAACATATCCTAGGTTCACCCACTTGTGCACTTCACACATGAGAAAATCCAGCAAGGGGCTAGGACCTGCCCACACTCAAAACCTCAGGTCCAGGTTCTTTCTACTACAGCATCTTTCCTCTCTGATCCTTGCTTTCCAAAGGGAAAGGCTGAAATGGAAAGGAGGGGAGATGTGTGGAAGAGGGATCCCAAATCAATTCATAACACCTACAAACATAGCATCTGTGTCAAAGGAGAGAGCAAAGCATGCCTCTGAGATTAATGCAGACTCGAGGACCAAAACTGTCTGCCCTGCCATCTGGCCAGGTTTCAGGTAGGCCTGGGGCCTGGGTAACCGGCCTGCTGCCCCCCACCCATGGAGGAAACACAGGCAGTGGCCACTGGGGTTTGTGAACGGGTGGAGAGGGCACTGTACTGACATGAAATAACCACAGGCTGCTCCCTCGGCAGTGCCCCGAGCTCCGACCTGAGCCCAAAGGAAGCTATGCCAAGGACCAGCTTCCTAGGGGGGATGTAGCTTCTTACCCATTCTACAGGTGCCCCCTCCCTTCTCAATCCTCATGAGGAAGAGGTGGAGGGCCGGGACAGCCCCTCCTTGTAGGGCGTGTAGAGCTCTATGTCTCAGTCATTTGGCTAAACTGAGGGTCACTGAGTCTGTGGGTGACATGGACCAGGCCCTGAACTCCATGCACATTCTCTATGGGGATTCTAACAGCAGCCTTGGGGAGTTCCTGTGCTGCCCATTTGCTTAGGAACTTGTCCTAAAGCCAGTAAGTGGTGAAGTCAGGATGCTAACCCAAGTCCCTCTGACTCCAGAATGGAGCTCTCACTTTTGTAATGAAAGTGCTATGGCATACAGAAGAGATTTCCAGAAACTCATTCATTCATTTATCCACCTAAAACATGCTCCCTGATACCTACCAGGTGTCAGGCACCATGCCAGGTACTGGAGAGACAGTGGTGAACCAGGCAGTCAGTATCCCTGTGCAGAGTTACGAGCTGTCTCTTCTGCAGGCCACATGCACCAAGGATACCTTTCTGAAAACCTCCTGGATATCTCAAGTCCCTGAACATCTCCAGATGCCTGAATCACAGTTCTCTTGCCTCCTTGCCTAGTCGAAATAGGTTTTCTCATCCATTTTCCAACCTTGGAATAAACCAGCTGCTCCCCAGGGCCAGCAGCTCCCAGAGCTCCATCCTGCGGAGATGTGCCAGAGAGGCCTTCCTATCAGTGAAGCTTCTGTTCACAGACTCTTCTCCAGCTTGGCTCAAGTCCAAGAAACATCTTTGTTCTCCAGCATCAAAGGCATGCACAGATTGGAGTCCAAGATCAGACACCCAGGCATTAAAGGAAGCACGAGGCTAATGAACAGGGAGAGTCCAGACTTATCAGAGAGAGGGGAAATCTGCTGATTACAGGGGAGGCCTCTACGGTTAGGAAGGGGACAAGTCTGCAGATTGCAGATAGGAGAGCAAACGCCAAGCAGCCAGCAGGCCTTCATCTAGCTCTGTCATAGGAACCTCCACACCTCCTCATCCTCACAGAGGTCTGCCCCAGCCACTGCCTGGGCCACTGCTGCTGCAGCCTGGTCTCTTAAGACACAGACCAGGTCCACAGCCACAGAGGCCACAGGGACAGCTAGGACACAGCATTCAGACTTCCCCAGCTGCCGCTTCTGTGCTGAGCCTTTCAGGAAGTAGGGAGGGGCCTTACCAAGGAAAGCCCTGGATGTTAGGGGTTCTAGCTAACAGTTAACTCAACATGAGACAATAGTGGATCTGTGGGCCCCATATGCCAAGAGGAAAAAATACAAACAGACAGGAATTCACAGGAGGAGCTGTGGATTCACTCAATCACTCAAAATATTTATGGAGAAACTACTATGCCAAGCCAGACTCTGGAAACCTGCGACAGTGCCAGGAGGTGGGCAAGCAGAGCAGTGGCCTGAAAGACTTTCACATCAGGAAGAGTTGAAAAATATTTAGTCTACAAAAGAAAATACCCAAGGGAGTGGGACAGCTGAACTCAAATATTTTAAGTGCTTTTATGAGGGAGGAGTGAGATTTTTGTGAAGTGCCAAAGAACAAAGTTAGGACCCATGGGCAGAAATCATGAAATTGGGCTCAGTTTAAGAACTTTCTTATAATGAGATCTATTGGACTGCGACAGGAGCTGCCTTTAGATGCACTGTGTCCCATGAACTGGAGGTTTGCAAGCCAGTAGATGACAACCAGCTCCTCCCAATCCATCAAATACTGTGACTCCTCTAACTGTAACTTGTACGTGGAAATGGGACCCAGGGGCAGGGAGCCTCCCACGAAGGGAGATTCAGAAGACCTGACCGCAAGCTCAGGAGACAGGAAGTTTCCCTGGCTTCCAGAACACTGCTGGGAGGCTCTTCGGGGGGCCCAAACTTCTGGGGACCAGCAGAATGTGTGACCATGGCTTGAAACTAAAAGAAAGGAGGAAGACAGGTAAGTCATGGGAAGAGGCTCCCCCAGATTTGGGGTTTTCTTAATGTTTTTGGACCCACAAATGCTTCAGCCCTGAGAAGCACCCTACAGTAATTCCTCACTGCTTTCTAATCTCGTTCTTCCCAGCTGGGTTTAGTGTGCTCGCTCCCTTTTACATCTCATTTATTTACCATCCAGATACCCTTTCTCTTCTGTACCAAAGTGATCCGCCTGTTCTTCCACCTGACAACCCATCGCAGATTCCTTTCTGCCTTCACCTTCCTCTCTCCCACCCAGGACTCTCCCCTGTTTGTCTCAGCCAAACCAGGGGTTTCAACCTGACCTCCAGGAAGCCCTCCATGGTTTCAGCCTAGCTCCTAAGTACTGCAGCTTGGGCTCTGTGCTGCAGTGGCCGCAGGGGTCTGCAGCCCTCTACCAGCTGCCTGTATTTGAATGACACATGTCTCCTGTCAGCATGAGAGCCCAGATGACAGCTCCTGGGGCTGGCTGTGTTCTTGCCTGACTTCACAGGGCCCATCACAGTGAGGTCTGAGACACCTGTACGGCTGGCCACCAGCATGCCCCCTGAGCAGAGACAAAGCGGGGTGCTGGCTTCTAGACCACCTGGACAATCTCTTTTATTGATAGGGTAACCAGCTCATCTTGATTTGCCTGGAACTGTCCCAATTTTAGCACTGAAAGTTCTGAATCCTGGGAACTCCCTCAGTCCCCGACAAACTGGGATGGTTGGTTGCCCTAAGCACCTGTGTGTATAAGACATGATGCTTTGTTCCAGGTGGGGGAGCACAGAGGGAAAGCAGATGAGGCCCTCCATGCTGGAGGAACTTATAGCCCAAGGGATTTTTCTGGAAAACTGTAAACCCAGGAGGCCTAGTTCCCACTGCCTGCCCCCTCCATAGCCACATTCTCCATGAGCAGGGGTGGGGGCAGCAGGGGCTGGTGAGGGGTGATCAAATACTAGATCAATGAGCAGGTTCCCAGCCTAGGCCTGTTTCAGCATGAACTGGCAGGTCTTGACCAGGAGAAGTGGTATCGTGGGGGCCACCACCCCTATTCGACAGCAGATCTGGACTTGTCCACTCCTGCTCTCCTTCTCTCCTACGGACACCTGCCTCACATCTGAAAATGGTTGAAAGAAAATAAGTGGCCAGCTGGCAGGGCCTTCTCAACTCAACCTCCCTCATCACCCGGTTCCCAAGCCAGCCTCATAACCTGTCTTTCCTCCTTTAGAAGCCGCTGGGGACCGTTTCTCTTCTCTTCCCAACAGCACCACCTGCTGGCCATAGAGGCACTTGGCCTTCTACTAATCACACCCAGTCTGGCCTGAGTTGGAGATGGCCGCACACACTCCGGCCGTCAGTGCTCCATGTGGAGAAGACAAGAGTACAGAGATGCAGCATCTAACAGAGTCAGAGGAAGGCTATATGTGCAAGACAGAGTTACACTATTTATAGGGTGGGAGCAACACGAATAATGGTTCAGGACATAGGCTCAGGAATCAGACTTCTGGAATTCAAATCTAGACTCCACCACTTCTATTGTTCCCTTAAAACAAATTTCTCCTATGTGAGAGTAAGTGACACAGAATCTCCTATGAGCCAAGCACTGGAGTTACAGCAGCGAACCAGATACACAGAATCCCTGCCTCCCAGAGCTCACATGAGAAGGAAGACAGACAAAAAGCAACTCAGCAAATGCATAAATAAGAAAGTGAAAATGAAGAAAATGAAACAAAGTGGTGAGGAGAGACCAGAGAAGAGGGGTGCTCTTTAGCTCGGGTAGCGTGGAAAGGCCGATCTGAGATGGGGATGTCGGAGTAGCGACATGAACAATAGGAGGAGCCATCCATGTGGGATCGGGGTAAGTATCAGCGCAAAGAGAACAGCAGGTACAGGGAGTACTGCAGGTCAGACTGCCCCTGGAGCCTTAACTCGGATGCTGCATTTGAAGGTAGACCCTGGCCAACTTTTAGTTCATCCAAATTAATGTGAGAAAAAGAGCGAGGTCTCTGGGCACCTTGTCACATGAGCTGTGGCTGAAGGAAGGGGGCGTTTCATCCAGAGATGAGGAGACTTAGAGACACACAGTGGCTGTCTTCAGGCCTGTCAAATGTCAAAGAGAGAGGCAGTGGATATATTCTTTGTGATCCCAAGGAGAATAGCATGGATCAGTGAGTTCTGGGCACAGAAAAGCAGATTCTGCTCATATCAGGAATAAAATGGCCCAGCAAATGAAATGAGCTGCTCATGAAGTAGTGATCCCACCATCCATGAAATATGCAAGCAGAGACCAAATAAGTAGCTGAGATTATAGGAAGTGTGGATGCAATGCTTTTAATCTTTAATTATCACCTACTCTTGCACTTGAATTGCTTATAGGTTACCACAAGATTTTGCTTCTCTCTGAATACAGTAAAATAGCCTTTGTCAGCCAGTCCCTGAAGGGATGTCCGCCCCAGGGTTGGGGAACATCACAGCAAGGCAGGAGAAAACTGGCTGTTGGGTACAGAACACGCTTCTTGTCAAACCCGGAGCAGACTCTGGCAAAGATGAAAAGCGGAGGTCCTCACCTCCCTTTCATATGCTCCCCTTTTCTGTCCCAGCACCAGAAGATGGAACTTCCTTTTCCTTACAATGGTCTAAGAAAAAACTAGTCTAAGCAATTAGAGAAAATATCCTACAATTCCCAAGTCCTAAAAGTTTTTATGTTGCACATCCTGGTAATAAAAATATTTCAGCCTCACCAATAAACATATAAAAACGGTGTTCAACCTCTCATTATTCATCAGAGAAATGCAAATGAAAACCTCAAAGAGATACCACAACACACCGACTGGAGGGGATAAAAGTAAGAAGACAGAATCACAGTGTGGGTGAGGTTGTGGGAGTGCAAATTGGTACAACCACTTTGGAAAACTCTTTGACGGTCATGACTAAAGTAGAATGTATACACAGCCAATGACTGAACAATTCCTCTCCTAGGCATCTGCCCCGCATACGGTCACCAAAACTCAAACATTAGAATGTTCATTCTAGCTCTCATCAGGCATCCTTGTGAAAGTGGCATCACCTTTAAACCCTGCATGGCAACCCCTGACACACTGCCAGGCTGCCCAGGGAATACAGGGCAACCTGGAAGTCCAACTACTTCCTTCAGATCATCCAATTTTTCAATCATTATCTGAAATGTTTCATTGTAGAAGCAGCAATGTGGGCTCCAAGTAGATGCAGCAGATCCACATGTCCCTCTGAGGGAAAGCCATGGTGCCAATGGGCAAGAACACCATGATGTGCAAGGCCATCCAAGGGCACCTGGAAAACAACCCAGCTCTGGAAAAACTGTTGCCTCATATCCAGGGAAATGTGGGCTTTGCGTTCACCAAGGAAGACCTCACTAAGTTCAGGGACATGCTGCTGAATAGTAAGGTGCCAGCTGCCACCCATGCTGGTGCCATTGCCCCATGTGAAGTCACTGTCCCAGGCCAGAACACCGGTCTGGAGCCTAAGAAGACCTCCTTTTTCCAGGCTTTAAGCATCACCACTGAAATCCTGAGTGATGTGCAGCTGATCAAGACTGGTGACAAAGTGGGAGCCAGTGAAGCCACACTGCTGAACATGCTGAATGAACATCTCTCCCTTCTCCTTTGGGATGATTATCCAGCAGCTGTTTGACAGTAGCAGTATCTACAACCCTGAAGTGCTTGACATCACATAGGAAACTGCATTCTCACCTCCTGGAGGGTGTCCGCAATGTTGCCAGTGTTTGCCTGCAGATTGGTTACCCAACTGTTGCATCAGTACCTCATTCTACCATCAATGGGTACAAGCAAGTCCTGGCTTTGTCTGTGGAAACTGATTGCACCTTCCCACTTGCTGAAAAGGTCAAGGCCTTCTTGGCCGATCCATCTGCCTTTGTGGCTGCTGCCCCTGGGGCCACTGCCACCACTGCTGCTCCTGCTGCAGCTCCAGCCAAGGCTGAAGCCAAGAAGAGTTGGAGGAGTTGGATGAGAATATGGGATTTGGCCTATTTGACTAATCACCAAAAGGCAACCAACTCAGCCAGCTTTATTTGCAAAACAAAGAAATGAAGGCTTACTTCTTTCAAAAAAAAATGTTTATTCTAGTGTTATTCATAATATCCAAGTATCAGAAAGAATACAAATACCCATCAATGAATAAATAAACGGTGGTATATTCAGACAATGGAATTCCATACAGCAATGTATACAAATGATCTACAGCTACACACAGCAATAAGGATGAATCTCACAAACATAAAGTAAGTGGCCAAAAAAAAGACACATAAAAAAGCATTAGGATGAAACATATGAAATTGCCATTTATGGAGGTCAAAAACTGTTCATAGGGTTCAACATAAAACACGCTGTATAGTTCCATTTATATCATTTATGTACAGTACAAAAGCTGGCCAAATAAATCTCTGTTGTAGACAGTAAGAACGTGGTTGTGTGTGTGTTGGTTGTAGTAGCGTGGTCATTGGATGGGAGAAGAAGGAAGGTTTCTGTGTTGCTGGTAACATTCTATTTTTTTATCTGGGGGCTGCTTATCTGGTTGTGTTCAGTTTGTGAAAATTCATTGAGGTGGACATTTACAATATATGCACTTTTCTGAATGCATATTTTAATAAAGAGTTGAAAGTTCTATTGGGGTTCATCATATAATACATACATATTATTTAGAAGCAATAGATATGTACTGTCATTCTAACATCATGAAAGTTAAAAGACAAACACAAAATACAGACAATTTTAAAAGAAAAGATAAAAATACATAAAGAAAAAATTCAAATTTTTTCTTTCTGCTCCCAATGAATAGTTTTATGCACCCTCAGTGAACAATCAGCTCTTCTGGAGATTTTTTATAATGAAGTCCTGGATTACGTAAATGCTGCATGATCTTTGGCAAATCTCCCAGCCTCAGTTTCTGCATCTGTAAAATTGCACTGATGATCACCCACCCATCCTAGATGGCTGTCCTCAGGATCGAATGAGGTATTTGTGGAAGTATTTAGTAATTTGTAAAATGTGAAGGGTTAATATGATTATTACTATTAGCAGATAGTTACTATTAACATAGATTTACATGATAGTGAAGCCAATTCTATAGTAAATAGTTTGGATTTCATTAAAAGTAGCTAGAGATTTCAAGAGGAGTGTTCCCCATCACTAGGATGGCAAAACTATCTGCCAAAGGTATTGTAGAGTGATTCCTGCACCAGGAAGAGAGTGGAAATAATAATATTAAAAGTGATAATAATGGTGAATATTATGTGGCAGATATTTTCTAAGCACTTTATGTATATTAGCTGCTATTATAACCGTTATAACAAGCAAAAGAAGGAGGTCATATTAATATGACTATTTTATAGACAAAAAACTAAGGCTCAAAGAAATTAACCTACGCGAGATCTCAGAGATAACAATTGAGATAGCCTAGTTTAGATGCTCTTCACATTACCCTCCAAAGCTGATGCGAGCATTCAAAATCTATTCCCATTCAGCAAAGTTCAGTCTAATATCAAGGCAAACTTCCTTTCATTAATCTATTACTCAGCAAGTATTTTTGAGCCCCTATTACATGCCAAGCTCTATACTGGGTATTGGGTATGCAATGATAAATAAGCAAACACAGTCCCTGCACTCAGAGCATATGAGCTAGTAAAAGAGGCAATCAATATAAGAAATACACAAAAATAAATACATAATTCTAAATTTTGTTACATTCAACAAAAGAAAGTTCTAGGTTATATAAAATAATGAATTGGAGAACCTAATTTAGATTAGAGATCAGGAAAATCTTCCATGAGAAAATAAAATTTAATCTGAAACTGGAGAGGTAGGAGGAGTTGTCCAGGTGACAAAAAGAAAAAAATTATAGTGAAAACAAAAGATGGTTCTGATATAGGAAAAGCCTGATTGTTGTCTCAGACACAAAGATAGAGAGTGAGAGGGACTGTGTCCCCAGACAGGGACAGGAGGTGTGTGGGCAGGAGCAGACCCCACAAGCCTCTGAGACCACGTGACAGGTTTTGACTTTTGCCCTAAGAGTGAAGCATTAAAGATTTTTAAGCAGAGAGTGACAAGATTCAATTTGCAGATTGTAAATATTGCTCTAGTTAAAGTGTGGAGAATGGATTAGAGGAAGCAAGCAAGAGGTGAAGCGGGAGCCACTGGGGACACCATGGCTATAGCCAAGTCTCTGTGCAGCAGCAGCCACCATTTCCAGAAGCAGCTGGGAAAGACTGAAGGAGGAACAGGTTTGGGTGCAGTCCAGGTAAGAAGACCAGGGGCTCAGTTTTGAACCTGTCAATTTTGAGACGCATACAGAATAACCAAGCAGAAATACAAAGTAAGCACTTACATCTATGAGTCAGGAGCGCGGGAAAAATTCAGGAATGGAGATCTACACTTGGGAGCCATCATCGTAGGGGTAGCATTCTAGCTTTGGGGTGTATAGATCATCCAGTGACAGAATATAGATTAAGAAAAGAAGGGAACTTAAGACCATGCCCTGAGAAACCTCAACAGCTAAAGGTTGAGAAGAGAGAGAGCCCTTGGCAAAAGATTAAGAAGGAGTCAATGATTTAAGAGAAAAGTCAGGAAGGAGAGAGTGTGCAAAATGCTGAATGCCACTGAGGATCAGGAAGTGCCCACACTGAGTGACAACATGGAGAGCAGGCATGGGGGTGGGAGGGTCCAGCCAGGCTGGTCACCCAGGGATTGCTCAAATACTGGAACCTCTTCCCACTCACTTCTCTTCTTCTAAGGCACAGTGGTTTGCCATTAGATCCTGGTACATGGGAATAAGTGAGTGAATGAATGATAAATGATCTGAGGACCCAAAAGGTTTAACAGCTTGACCAAGATTATCCGGCCAGTAAGTATCAATGCCAGAGCTGAAACCCAGCTCATCTGATTCCAATGCCCATATTCTTGGTTTAAAAATACAAGCTTTAACCCAGGGGAAATACCTTTGATGACACACTCTCTGTCATGTTTAATATCATACTTTAAGGACTATTATACTTATCTCTAAAACTGAATCTATGGCTTAGGAGTTCATCAAAAACTAGGGTAGGGAGTGAGAGGCATCCCCTAAGGTCGCCTATCCAGGGGATAATGCATGAAGGAATAACCTTTACACTAAATGAATGTATAGTTTGGGTTACATCCTTGAGACCCTGTCTCAACTGACGAGCATGTGAGAGTCTGGCCACTCGCCCTGTAGGGCCAGCTCAGAGGGGAGCTTGGTGTTCTGGAGTTGTCGGTCAGGGGTGATGGTGGTGACTGTGGTATCGTGGGGGCCACCACCGCCATTCATGGTTGAAAGAAAAGAGGTGGTCAGCTGGCAGGGCCTTCTCAACTCAACCTCCCTCATCACCCGGTTCCCAAGCCAGCCTCATAACCAGTCCTCCCTCCTTTAGAAGCCGCTGGGGACCCCTTTTCTCTTCTCTTCCCAACAGCACCACCTGCTGGCCATAGAGGCACTTGGCCTTCTACTAATCACACCCAGTCTGGCCTGAGTTGGAGATGGCCGCACACACTCGGGTCCAGTCAATGCTCCATGTGGAGAAGACAAGAGTACAGAGATGCAGCATCTAACAGAGTCAGAGGAAGGCTATATGTGCAAGACAGAGTTACATTACTTATAGGGTGGGAGCAACACGAATAATGGTTCAGGACATAGGCTCAGGAATCAGACTTCTGGAATTCAAATCTAGACTCCACCACTTCTATTGTTCCCTTAAAACAAATTTCTCCTATGTGAGAGTAAGTGACACAGAATCTCCTATGAGCCAAGCACTGGAGTTACAGCAGCGAACCAGATACACAGAATCCCTGCCTCCCAGAGCTCACATGAGGAGGAAGACAGACAAAAAGCAACTCAGCAAATGCATAAATAAGAAATTGAAGAAAATGAAACAAAATGACCAGGGAAGAGGGGTGCTCTTTAGCTCGGGTAATGTGGAAAGGCCGATCTGAGGTGAGAGCAACAGAAATGATGGGTTACATGATGGTGGCAATGGCAGCGTGCTGGAGGTGAGAGGAAATCTGAGGGAACATTTTCTTGAATGTGAATTGACTGACAAAAGTGTCACTGAACACATTACCTTTGATTCCTAAATAGCCAGAATGACAAAGCCTATCTGTAGATTACTCATTGTGTTCTCATTCATTTATTTTTTCATTCAACAAATCTTTGTTGAGTAGCTACTGTATGCCAAGCTTTCCTTTAGGTGCTGGAGATGTAGCAGTAAACAGACCAAAAGTGCTGTTTTTGTGGAGTTTACACTTAGAGGACACCAAAAGCTCATTTATCCATTCACTGAGCTCCTGCTGAGCACCTAATGCCAAGCATGATGCCAGACACTGATGGGTCCCAGACCCTAAACAATAGGGCTATCTTGGGGTGGGCACATTGTGGCCAGGGTGAATATGCACCTGCATCTGTTTAGGTTTGTTCACAGGCATAAACACACACCTGCCTGAGCATGTATCCCATCAAACCTCAGACAACATGTATATACTGTTCAGATGTTTTTCAAAATGCATCGGGAAGACCCCGAAGGGGTCTCAGTAGAGGCTTTTTATTTGATTCAAAGCTTCAAAAGATTATTCCATCTGCAAAATGTATAAAGGCTGGATGTTGGAGGAAGCATGAAATAGGGAGAGGAAGGACCTGCTACTAGAGTTATGGCTAAAGGTGGTAGATGGCAGCAGTGGAGACAAAGACAAGAGGGTGACGCTAAGTGTTTTGGAGGAATAACTAACAGGAGTAGCAGGGGGACTCAATGTGTGGGGTAAAGGAGGAGAAAGAAGGCAGAAATACTCCCAAGTTTATGGCTTAGGCCACTAGGTGGATGCAGAGAGGTGAGGACTAGGAGATATGTGGGTACATGTCTGAAGCTCAGAGATATCTGGGCCAAAAATGTACATATTTGAGAGCTGTCATCACATAGAAGGTATTTAAAGATATGTGAGTGGCTGAGATCACCCAAGGAGAAGAAGAGAGGGCCCTACCGAGCTGAGGACTCCACAAGATCTCAAGGTTGGACAGCGCAGAAGGAGCCTGTACAGCCAGCTGACAAAGAGCGGTCAGTGAAGGAAGAGAAACTAGGAGGGTGGAGACTGGAAAGACAAGAGAAGACAGGTGTCCAAGAAAGGAAGGAAAATCAATGGAGTCAACCAATACTAACTGGTCAAGAAATGCAGAGTGGCTGGTGACCTTGATGAGGACAGCCTGAGTGGGGACACAGAGGCCAGAACAGAACAGAGTGGACTGAGGAGCAAAGGGAGGTACCAAGCAGGGCAGTCTGTGGGGTTCCTGGATGCAGCTGGATTGGTTTGCTGCTCAAAGAAAATCCCAGCTCAGACCTACTCTAGGACAGAAGAGGCCTTCATGAAAGATGCCTGGCTGCAGGTGTCCAGGTGTGGGAAGGTGAGTGGGAGGAGGCAGGACTGAGCAGCACTTCCCCAAACCAGGAGGGAAGCCAACACCGAAGCCCAGGCTTCCATTTATAGAGTTTCCACAAGTGGACCCGGACTACTCCACCCTGTTCACAAAGCAACCTCGCCTGAACCTTTGACACCAGAGGCTGAGTCAGGCCCAGATGGCAAACACACTTTAAGCCCTAATCAGACTTTGCATGGGTTTACTCAGCCCATGCCTGCTTCTCTGCCCCTACCATGTCCTCCTAGAAGAGGGAGCACCTCTTCCCCGTCACCCCCCAGAGACTCACCTGCATGAGGTTCACACACTGCACTCTCTCACACCATATACCACACACACACACGCACACACATACATACACAAAGTCAGTGTGATGATTCCAGATGCTGGAACCATGCCTCCCCTTGCCCTTTGCCAAATGCCTGCCATGCTGGCCACAGAGGCAGAAGGAAAATGACAATTCTGCCCTTTTGTAATGCATGCTACTATTTTTGTCCATCACAGGTTCCTCAATTTGAGGCCTAAGTGTTCCTAGACTTCATCCGGTGTTGGAGGAAGCCCTTGCTGCCAGGGAAGCCCCAGTGTGAAGACAGGACATAGCAAACCTCAGGGAGACCCCGGGATGAGGAAGAAGACAGCCCCACCCTCTGGAGCCTGCAGAGGGAATGCAGTGGAGAGACACAGTCCTGGCCTTAAGGTTATCCCCAGTTTGAGGAGAAAGAAAAGGTCCCTGGCCTCAGAAGATCCCCAGTGCTAATGTCCCCACAAAGTGTGAGGGTCTCCATCGTACGCATCTCTGTCCTCACCCTCTCCGGACTTGGATTTTTTAAAGATATAGTACAAAATACAAAATGAAAATCACATCCAACTTACTCACCTTTAAAGAGCCCTGATCAAAATATGACAAGTGTGTTTCTCCAGTCATATGTTGAGTACTCACCTGAAGTCTAACCCAGGCTGGAGTTAAAACATCGACTCTGACACTCCAGTCTTTATATCATCATATCTACCACCAACACATCACCCACGTTTACCTTGACCCAGTTTCAAATATGAGAATTTTAGATTCAGAGGCAGAGCAGGGGTCAAGAACTGGCGTAGAGCCAGGCTCCTCAGAATGTGGCCTGTCCCTGTTCACACGGCCCAGGCAAAGCCTCACCAGGGAACCATGCTCCAGCTCCCTGCCCCACTCCAATCCTGCAGACCCCAGGTGACATTCCTGAGGCCACACAGCCTGAGTAATGACACAGCTTAGTGGAGCTGACTCATGGAAAGAGTTGCCCCATGTGCATTTGGAGGACAAGGACAGTTGTGCAAGGTGTTTGTGACAGGCCATGAGGAGGGGCAGGACGTGAGGCAGCAAGAAGTACCAGTTGGTAATTGTCATTACTTCTACTAGAATCTCCAGGTGACAAATCTACCTCAGTGCCCATAGCCCTAGATGTTGCAAAGCAAAGCAGCACTTCCACCCACGGCCTCAAAGAGCATTAAAGAGTCACTCTGTTTCAGCTCACATGAAATCAAACCATCAGTCCATCTGACTGCCCTCTGGATCGCAGCTCTTGGCTAGGTACAAGAGCTGGGGATATGAGGTCTTTTCAGCCCCCTTATCTGTGAAAGAATGGGATTGCACTAGATGCTCTTTATGGCTTCTTCCACCTATGACATCCAGTGGTTCTAAGCAGGTCTCAACAGGGACCCTGAAGTATGTCATACATATGTGACACAAGAGGGGAACCCACTCAGAGCACCCAAGTTCAAGGTCCCAAGAAAGGAAAGCCCAGTCTCCAGCTCCATACTACAGGCTAGTGGCAAATCCCTGGCACAAAGAATGTTGGCAGTCAAATACAAATGTGAGGATCGTTCATCAAACTGGCATGCTGTGTCCATTCATCTATTCATTCATTTGATAAGCATTTAATGGGAGCCTTCTATGCCTGCTATGGAGCCAGCTACTAGATATGCAGAAAATAATAGACAAAGCCACTCCCCTCAAGGGCCTCAAAGTCAACTGGCAGAGGCAGAGGCAGAAAGAGGAAGAAAAAAAAAGCAACATGCTGAAAGAAATACAATGTTGGAGAAATGTCCAGCTTAAAAGGGGCCAGGAGAGGGATTGCCAAGGTGAGCGAGGAATCAAATTCACTGAAGACATAGTTGAGCTGTTAACACTTAAAAGAAACTGGACTTGGAACCCCCACCATCAACTTGGACTCTAATTCATGACATATATGACCTTTGTACTCTCTGTTTCCTGACTTATAAAATGAAAGTACTGAAGTATGTGCCCACAAAGCACAGAGTTCTGAATACTAAAAAAATTAATATAGTAGCTCCAAGCTTAAGCATGGACTCAAAAACAAAATATAATTCAATCTCTACAGGTCAAAATCAGCCATGGGCTCAAGCACTAAGTAAGCTCAATCCTTAATGAGTGGCAACATTCAAATCTCAGTACAACTGCAACATTTTAAGCATTTAAGTGTTAGTAAATGTCTTAGAATTTCCTTGATAATTATACTAATAATATAATAACACTGTTAGATTAAATGGATTTGTGCCTTCCTGCCATGCGTAGTTGAAAGACAGATGATGTAGCTCTATATCATGATTCAAAGTCTCAAGGGACTAGGTCCTAGAACCTAATTAGTCAGAGAGTATGGGTCAACAATAATTGATAATTCATGAAAATGGCTACCTTGGGTAATTTCCTCCAAAATTCAATTGACTCAATAATTCCATGGAGCAAACCTGTACATTGTCCTGGAAAGAGTGGCAATAGAGATTGTAATGGGAAACCATTTGCAGCTAATTCAAAACAAAGGAATCCTGAGAGAAACCCTCAGCTCATGATCAGGGGAGCCTTGTACAGAATTTTCTGAAACCAAGCAAATGATTTGCTTTCAGGACAAAATAATCTGTTTGTGCTGTGAAGCAGGAGATTGGGGATTCAGCCAAGGACCTCTGTAGGGGACACAGCTGACCCTAAGCTGCTTCCTACAGAAAGCCCAACCCTACCTGTGGGTGGAGCAAAGGCCTGGCCCCATTCAGAGGCAGGTAGCTGTCCATCTAGAAGAGTGCACTGGTTTGACTTCTCAATTTTCATACTAGATTATCAACCCTGCTACCTATTCATTTGATTTCCAAAGCATATGTAAATACATTCAACAGCATCTTCAAGAGCTTCAGGCATGTATCTGAGAGTGTAACTCTTAATCCTCATGGGTCCAGAGCTCATCAGAAGGCTCAACTGAAAGAATAATGACTACCTTAACTAACAGTGTTGATTATTTATGATGTGCCGTCTCATCTAATTCATACAACAGCTCTCTTCAGCAGGTACAATCATCTCCTCCATCGTGAGATTAGGACACCACCCTGAAGAGATGTCAGCGTCAGAGAATTAGAGAAGAGGTGTAGACAGGATTTGAACCCAGCAGTTTGACTCTAAGCCTTTACTCCTAAACACTGGGAATGGTAGTCTAAGGAAGTCACTATCTAGATACTAATCCTTTCCTCTGAGTTCTATCCATGAGACAAGTTAGACAACTGTAAGACTAAATAGTCAACTGCATTAACCTAGTTGCTCAGAAAATGGTCTTCCTTGGACTGAAACTTCATGTGTTGACCTGAGATTTTATGCTAGTATTAATGAAAATTGGCCATGAAAAACTACTTCCACATGTTACCACACTCTTGATGGATACTTGGTATTCCGTGGCACTCAGTATCTCCTCTGTAAGGTCCTACTGATAGATATTTCTTAGGGAGAAAAAAATAAGATTTTCCCTAGCTACTGTGAAAGGAAAATCCTGGGGCCCCAAAATTACTAAGCTAAAGGGAGAGGTAAAGCTGAGAACTGCTCAGGGCAAACCTGTCTCCCATTCTATTCAAAATCATCCCTCTGCTCACTGAGATAGATGTATATCTGATTGCCTCCTTTGAAAGGCTTATCAGAAACTCAAAAGAATGCAGCCATTTGTCGCTCACCTAACTGTGACCTGGAAGCCCCCTCCCTGCTTTGAGGTGTCCCTGCCTTTCTGAACCAATGTACTTCTTACATATGTTGATTGATGTCACATGTCTCCCTAAAATGTATAAAACCAAGCTGTGCCCCAACTACTTTGGACACATGTTGTTGGGACTTTCTGAGGCTGTGTCACGGGCACACGTCCCCGACAAACAAATTTTCTTAATTAACTGAGACCATCTCAGATATTCAGGGTTCACACTACCATGACCTAAAATCAATGTCTCATCCACTCATAAGAAAAAAATAAGACAAACTCAAATTGAGGGACATTTAAAATACTTGACCAGCACTCTTCAAAACAGTCAAGGTTATTGAAAACAAGGAAAGTCTGACAAACTGCCACAGTCTAGAAGAGCCTCAGGAAACGTGACAACAAACATGGTATTCTCAATGGAACGCTGGGATCAATAAAGGACATCAGGAGAAAACTAATGAATATTAATAAATTATGGGCATTAGTTAATAACAGTTGGCCCTTCAACATCAAGGGGAGTAGGGGCACCAGGCCCCATACCCCTTGTCACAGTTGAAAATTCACATACAACTTTGACTGCCCAAAAACTTAACCACTAATAGCCTACTGTTGTTCAGAAGCCTTACACATAACATAAATAGGTGATTAACACATACATAGACTAGTATCTACCCATATTTTATGCATTCATGTCATACCTAACATTTTCTTAATTGTTTAGCTATTTCTACGTTACACAGTATGCCTGAGAAGTTTTTCAAATTGTCAAAAATCTCCAAAAAAATTTTCCAATATATTTATTGAAAAATATCCACATAAAAGTGGACCCATGCAGTTCAAACCGATGTTGTTCAAGGGTCAACTGTATATTGATAGATTCATTGGTTGTGACAAATGTACTACAATAGTATAAGATATTAACAATACGGAAAACTGTTAAGATATTAACAATAGGGAAAACAACAGGGAAAAAATAGTGTAAGATATTAACAATAGGGAAAAATATGGGGTACATAGGAGCACTATACCATCTTTTCAACTTTTTAAAAATCTACAGCTCTTCTAAATGTCTGGATTAATGTTTCTACATTTCTAGATAGGAAAGTGTAAAGGTGGTAAAAATATCAACTTGCCCTAAATTAATTTGTAAAATGAATGCAATTCTAATCAAAATCAGTATTCTTAGAAATGACAAAATTATTCTTGTTTATTTATAGACATAATCAGATGATAAAGTATCAAGCCAAGACAATAGTTCTAAAAAAAATAGCAAAAGTGGACTTGTATCACCAGATATTAAACTACTTTATAAAGATTTTAAAAATGAAAAATATGAGCATAGGAAAAAATAGAGAGATTAATGGAACAAGGAGACAGCCAAGAAACAAATCAAGAATATATTATTTCATATATAACAATTAATTGATAAATAATTAAATAAAAAGTGGAATAAACTATGTACACTCTAAACTGATTTCGTTTGAATTCAAAAGTTAAATGTAAAAAAAATCCTGTAAAAATTAAAAATTGGAAATACATAGATAACTTGATCTCATTTTAGGCTTCTAAGTATTCAAACACAGGCAAGAACAACAAGAAAAAATATTAATACAATTTCTATGTCTACAAGTACAAACAGAATTACACAGAACAAGAAAAACTTGGGAAAAAAAACACATTTCAACATACACAACCAGCAAGACTTATGTTCTTAATATACTAGCGAAGAAATCCGTAAGAAAAAGATGAACAATCTACCAGAAATGGAAAAATCAAGAACAGGAAATTCACAAATGAGTAAATAAATACCAATAAAGACATCAAAAAAATCATCACTAGTAATCAAGGAAGTAAAATTAAAGCAACAATTTTGCTTATCAGGTTGGCAAATAATGAAATAATAAAAGGAATGATAATACCCAGTGTTGACAAAGGTGTGTGGAAATCAACACATACAATGCTTGTGGGAGTTTAAATTGGGACACTCTTTCAGGACAAGTTGGCAACAATAACAGAAATAATAATAACAATAATAGCTAAGAGTTTTGAGTTAACTGTGGGCCAGGTGATGATCCAAGTACTTACCATGTATTAAGGCACACGCACCTCATAGCAATTCAATAAAGGAGGTACTGTTAGCCACATTCACTGGAAGAAACCATTGTCCTAAGAAACCCCTCAAGGCCATTCAGCTAGCAGGTGGCAGACTTGGGATCCAATTCTAAGTGGTCTGAGTCTATGTCTTACATGTGCATAAAACGTGATAGGTGTACTGTCATGCTAGGAATTTAGCAAAAGAAAACAGTTGGCAATGTTTACAAACTTAGGTGTACGAAGACACTTATTGCAATGATTTTATAAAAGCAGGGGGAAAGGCAACAATCTAAATTATCACCAGTAGAGAAGAAATTAAATAAATTTATGTTTTCTATATTTTACCAATATTCTAAGTAAGCATGTATAGCTTTTATAATAGCAAATTAGATACTTTGTTCATTGTCAAAAAAAAATTGTCCTTTGGGTTTTGGGGTCTTTTTCTGTATTAATTTATTTATTTCTTATTTTTTAATTAACAAAAATCTATACATTTATAGAATACAACATGGTATTTTGACATATGTATACATACATTGTGGAATGGCTAAATGAAGCTAATTAACATAAGCAAAAACCTCGTCCTTTTGATTCTAATACCTGACTTGTCTTCCTTTCCTTAGTTCTGATTTTCTTTCTATCTCATAAGCCTTGTAACATATGTACCCTTTGCTATGGGTATATTAATAAACAAATAATATATATAAAACAAACAGTATATTAATAAACAAATAATATAATACAATGAAAGATTCTTGACTTAGGCATTTGAAGGAGCAGGAGATGACAGTTCATTGAAAATAAAAATTAACGAATTAAGAGCTAATTAATGAAGACCCTCCAACTTTCTTCATGTTCTTGTGCTTCTCAGACTTTTGAGCACAAGTCCAGGCAAACAAGCATTCAGGATCAAGAGGACAGGGGTTGGAGAGGGGCTCCTCTGCTCACCCCAGGATGAGGGGGCTACCAAGGACCTGGCCTTTCTCTGCTGAGCACCCTGCCAGTCCTAGGTCAGGCCCTGTGGAGGGAGCTGGAATATGTGAGTGGTGGTTGGTTAAAATTGGGCATCAGTGTTGTGGTCTATCTGATCCCCAGGACCTTGAAGGCTAAGATACCCAGTCTCCCAGTTGAAGTGTTGTGGCAGAGCAGTCACATGTGACAGGTGTCCAAAGCTTTCTGGTCCACATGGGGCAGTGTTACCCAACTTTTGCAGTGTGCTGAGACTTTATTCCTGCTGGAATGTCTGTTCCTAGAGGCACTTGGCACTTTATGGTCTATCAAACACATTCATGCTCATTATCTCATTTGAAAGATTCACTGCTGCTGTAACGGGCTTGTGGCCGTACTCCCTGCTGTCTCCCCAGCATGCAGGACAGTGCCTGTGTGCAATGAGTGGCAATGGCCATGGCATCAAATGGGCACCAATGGTAGTGGACATCACAGATTTTTATCTGTAAAATGGAGATATTAGTACCTACTTCTGAGGGATATTGTGGAGATAAAATCAAGTCCTAGTTGTAAAACTCTTGGAAAGCCGCTGATTCATTGTAAGGGGTAAACAAAAGTATCTGAAGAACCAAAGAACTGAAGTGTGGCGCTCAGGAACCTAGGGAGCATCCCACCTTCCTGAACTTGCAGGCTGTGGCTGCTGAAGAGTTCTTGAAACTCAAGGTCTTGATGTGGCGGGAAGCCTTGCAGGGTGGGGTGGGGTTGTACCCCATTTCACCATAGCGCCCTCCACCCATTTATTCTTACAAGGAGCAGTGAAGAAATCCCTTTTTTCTTATCGCCGAAACTGTGCAGAAGAAAGGCAGCACTTCAGGGGCCAGGTTGCCAAACTGCCCTGCTGAGCTCTGCAGGCTGAGTCAGGCATGGCCTAGGAATAGTTTTTCCAGAAGGAGTGATGGATTTGTGCTGATCTGGCCTTTCCCTTGTGATGAAAGCCAAAGGGCCCTCATGCCTCTGCAAACCCTGCAGTCTCACCCTGGGGGAAGGAGCTCAGAAGAACATCCGATCATCACCTCAGGCACCCATTGGGACCCCATAGGGCCACAAAAGGAGTCCTTACTTTCCGTAGCTTCACAGAGTGAGGCTCCATCACAGCATAACCCACTCTGCACCTCACTTCTCCCTGCCTTCTGAAGACAGCTTCATGCAGCAGGAGTCCTGGACTGTGCAGGAGCCCACATGGACACTTGAGCACTTACACGCTGTGTGGTGTGCGGCAACTTCCTCAGCTCCTCTGAGCCTTCATTTACTCAACTGCAAGATGGGAGTGACAACAATGCCAAATCCACAAATTATTTTAGGAATTAAATGAAACAACTCTGTGACTCCTGGCCAGAGCAATGGTATTTATTTGTTTGCAATGATTTATTTGTTTGTTGCACATGACATTGTCACACAGACCAATGTAGCCAATCAAGCTCAATCACTGTGACTTAAGATCCACCTTCTAATATTTTCCAAAACTAATGCCAACACCTGCCCAGTTCCAATTGATTGATCCCTGCCATGCTCTTACTCCAACATGCTTGCAAAAACCCCAGGCAGCCCAGCTTTTCCTCAGGATGCCAGTGTTTGAAGAAATAACTTATCTTGGGAAAATTAAGTCATAATCATGCTTCTTTCCAATCTAAATAACCTTTGGTAGCTGCCCATATCTTTTAAGCTAAAAGTCAAAACTCCTTGACGTGGCTTTCAGGCTCCTGAGTGATGCGGCCTGTCTCCCGACTCCCCTCTGTCCTTCCTAACCCTTGCAATGGCCTGCACATGCCCACTGGGCCACTCCACACCACTGGACATGCTCTTCCATCTGGCTCCATTCCTTCCCCACCCATTTTTGTCCCCTACATATCCTGAAGGATTCTAGCTCAAGCATATTCTTCTCTAGGAAGACCCTATTGGCGCCGCCACCACAGTCTGTGTGCACCCCTAGAGTGTGTCCACATGTATCCCCTGTCTTGCAATCATTCATTCACATTCTGTCCTCCATACTACAGTATGAACTTCTTGGGGGTAGGGACTGTGTCTTGTTTGTCTTTGTATCTCCAGTTCTATCGCAAAGTAAATACTCAGTGAACGAATGAATGTCGTTTCTTTCTTGCTCCAGCACAGTTTTCTGGATAAGAAGGAAATTGCTTTCCAGTCTGCTTCTCCACTTCACCATCTCATGCCAGCTAATCTCTCCTTCTCAAGTCTCAGGTCCAAAGTCTCCCCCATCTTCAGCCCCCTCCCAGTCTCTTTCCCGAGTATCCGGCATGATTCAACCCCCCATCCACCAGTTTCTGCTCCATCACAAATAAGTAATTATATGTATCTACATTTTGCATTTAACTATATTTGCATTTATCTCATGTGTGTTGCAAACACCAGGGGTGCTACTTATGGCAACTTTATCGGCAGATCCCGCAAAGTTTAAGAATGTATTCTGTGCCTGTAGTGTAAATAAAGCAGATTGGTCAATTGGGGCTTGAAACCAGTTTTGTTGTTGCTGTGTTAAAACAAACTAAATGGATGTCCCAGAGATGAGCTCTATCACAGTCTGACAGTAAAAAGGGTAAAGTGATAATAATTCTATAGCTGTAATAATTGTCAATCAGCCCTACAATAATACTGATATTAACATTCACTGATTGTTTCCTGTGTGGTGAACAGAATACTAAGAGCTTTACTGACAACACTCACAACTGTCTAAAGGATCTAACGCTTATGGCTGTGTGACCTTGAGTAATTACTTTGCTTTTTTTGCCTCCATTTCCTCATGAGTAAAATAAGTATAGTTATCGTACCTAAGCCTCATAATGATTAAATGAGTTATTATATATAAACGTTTAGAGGAGGGCCTAGCACATAGCAAGCCTCCCAAAAATGTGATCCCTCCTCACCCCCAAAGTTAATCTGAATCTGAATTAATTGGTCCTGGGATCTTCTACCTCAGAGTTTGCTGTGTGGCTCAGGCTGCCAAGGGAGTAGAACTAAAACCAACAGGTGGAAGAAACAGAAGGCAGCTATCTACTCATTATAATTGTATCTTTCCATTAAAGCCTTTAATGTGATAGAATTCAGCAATTTTACTCCTTATCTTTTTTTTTTTTTTTTTCTTGAGACAGAGTCTCGCTCTGTCACCCAGGCTGGAGTGCAGTGGCGAGATCTCGGCTCACTGCAAGCTCCGCCCCCCAGGTTCACGCCATTCTCCTGCCTCAGCCTCCCAAGTAGCTGGGACTACAGGCACCTGCCACCACACCCGGCTAATTTTTTGTATTATTTTTAGTAGAGACGGGGTTTCACCATGTTAGCCAGGACAGTTTCGATCTCCTGACCTCGTGATCTGCCCACCTCGGCCTCCCAAAGTACTGGGATTACAGGCGTGGGCCACCTCGCCTGGCCTATCTTAAGAAACTATCATTCATGTGTACAAGGAAGCATATATAAAAAAAAATGCTTGAAGCTTTGTTTGTAATAATGAAAATCAGAACAACCTACATGCCCATCGATTTAGGAGTGGCCAAATAAACTGTGGCAGATCCAACCTATAAATTACTAAAGAATTGTGATAAGGAATAATGTTGCTTTATGCCTGTCAACAGCGTGAGCAAGGCAGGGTTCTAAGTTCTTACCTAAATTTACTCATCTAATCCTCACAAGACCCTGTGGCTATAGGTATACCACAATCCCAATTTATAAAGCAGAGAAACTGCGGCTGGAGGGTTTAAATAATTTGTATCATGCAACTAGCAAGTGACAAAGCTATGATCTGAGTCCAGGCAGTGTGGCCCCAGGCTCCATCCTCTTACCCTTCATGCTAATTTATTGCTGAGTGGGGAAAAAAGCAAGCAGCAGAAAGACACACAAAATATATAATACTATTCAGGTAAAATATACACACAACACAGTACCATGTTGTTTCTAAATATGTACATAAAGGTGAGAAAATGATCTATTTTAACAATCAAACCAATTTACAACATTGGTTGCCCATGTGAAGGTGCTAAAGGAACAAGGATTGGCAGTGATGACCAGGAATAATTTCATCTTGACATATAACGTCTTAAATTTTAAAACAAAATGTGTTCCAGTATTATAGAATGACTTAAAATTTATAAAATAAAAATAGTCAGAAGGAATCACCTACTTCAGGATTAAATGAGTTCCCTAACATAAAAAGCATTAGCTTAGATTTCTACTCTTGAGGAACTCTTCAGGGAGGGATTCAAGCATCAGTGAGGGATTGGACAGGAAAACCACCCCAGCTGGTTGGTTACCAGAGAAACTCAACATGCTCCCAATTAAACTCAGTATCTTTTACCCTCAAACTTCTTAATCCTCTGGTCTCTCCTAGTTCCATAAGACATTGCTTACATTTACCCAGTGTAATTATAATTCTGTATAAGTTCTGTTTTTCTAACTCTAACTTCTTTATTCACATAAAATAACTTTCACTATTCTTCTGAAAGCCTTTAATAATGTGAAGATGGCTATTTATCCCTGTCTTCTCTCCTCCTACTTCCACTTCTACCACCATCACCGCCACCACCACCGCCTCTGCCACCTCCACTACCATCATTTCCACCACCACCATCACCACCACCACCACCATCATCCTAGTTGTGGTGGTGCTGATAAGAACTAGTGGTAATGGTGATGATAGTGGCTGTAGCAGTGGTGGTGATGATGAGAATGAATCAAGGTAGCAATGTGATAGATTGGTGCTGGTGATGGTGGTGGTGATGGTGGTGGTGGTGGTAATGGTGGTGGTAATGGTGGTGTAGGTGGTGGAGGTGGTGGTGGTGGTGGTGGTGATGGTGGTAGAAGTGGTGGTGGTGAAGGTGGTGGATGTTGGTGGTGGTGATAATTGTAGTGGAGGTGGTACAGGTGTTGGTGGTGGTGGTGATGGTAGTAGAAGTGGTGGTGGTGAAGGTGGTGGATGATGGTGGTGGTGGTGATAATGGTGGTGGAGGTGGTAGAGGTGTTGGTGGTGGTGGTGATGGTAGTAGAAGTGGTGGTGGTGAAGGTGGTGGATGATGGTGGTGGTGGTGATAATGGTGGTGGAGGTGGTAGAGGTGTTGGTGGTGGTGGTGATGGTAGTAGAAGTGGTGGTGGTGAAGGTGGTGGATGATGGTGGTGGTGGTGATAATGGTGGTGGAGGTGGTAGAGGTGTTGGTGGTGGTGGTGATGGTAGTAGAAGTGGTGGTGGTGAAGGTGGTGGATGATGGTGGTGGTGGTGATAATTGTAGTGGAGGTGGTAGAGGTGTTGGTGGTGGTGGTGATGGTGGTAGAAGTGGTGGTGGTGAAGGTGGTGGATGATGGTGGTGGTGGTGATAATTGTAGTGGAGGTGGTAGAGGTGTTGGTGGTGGTGGTGATGGTGGTAGAAGTGGTGGTGGTGAAGGTGGTGGATGATGGTGGTGGTGGTGATAATTGTAGTGGAGGTGGTAGAGGTGTTGGTGGTGGTGGTGATGGTGGTAGAAGTGGTGGTGGTGAAGGTGGTGGATGATGGTGGTGGTGGTGATAATGGTGGTGGAGGTGGTAGAGGTGTTGGTGGTGGTGGTGATGGTGGTAGAAGTGGTGGTGGTGAAGGTGGTAGATGATGGTGGTGGTGGTGATAATGGTGGTGGAGGTGGTAGAGGTGTTGGTGGTGGTGGTGATGGTGGTAGAAATGGAGGTGGTGGAGGTAGTGGTGATGCAGGTAATAGAGGTGGTAGTGGTGATGATGGAGGCAGTGGAGGTGATGGCAGTGGTAGTGCTGGTAGTACATGTTGGTGAAGGTGGTGAAAGGTGAGGATAGTGGTGGTGGTGGGTGGTGGTGGGTGATGGTGGTGGAGGTGGGTGATGGTGGTGGTAGTGGAGGTGATGGTGGTGGAGGTGGGGGTCGTGGTGGTGGAGGTTATGAAGGTAGAGGTGGTGGTAGTGGTGGTGGTGGAGGTGGTGGGGTAGCTGTGGGTGATAGTGGAAGTTATGATCATGGTGATGGGTGATGGTGGTAGTGGTAGAGATGGTGGCAGTGGTGGTGTTGGTGGTACCTGATGGTGGTGGTGGTAGAGGTGAGGCTAGTGGTGGTGGAGGTGGGCGATGGTGGTGGTAGTGAAGGTGATGGTGGTGCAGGTGGTGGAGGTGGTGGTGATGGTGGGTGATAGTGGTGTTGGTGAAGGTGGTGGTGGGTGACGGTGGTAAAGGTGGTAGTATTAATGACAATCAGAATGAGTGCCAGTGCCATGACAGTAGTCGTGGTGATGGTGATGATGACACTGGTAGTGGTGATGGTGGTGGAGGTCACAAAGGAATAAGAAAACAATCTATTTTAAAGAAAAACAAACCACTGTGCCTACAACACAGCGCAGCACGTTGACATGGCAGTGATGACAATGGTAGTGATGGTGCAAAAGGTAGTGGATGTGATAGTGGTGGTAGCAATGGAGATGGGGGAGGTGGTGAAAGTGGCAGCGACGGTGGGAATAAGTGAAGATCAAAGTGGCAGTCCTTGTGATTGTGATGGCGATGGCGATACTGGTGAAGGTGATGAAGTTGGTGCAGCTGGTGGAGGTGGTGGTGGTGATGGTGGTAAGAGTGAGCAGAGGCAACAGTGTTAGTGGTGGGGATGGTGGTGACGATTACGGGGCAGATGATAACAATAAAGTGTTAGGCATTTGGCACAGAACTGAAAGTAATGGCAAGATAGACATGGTGACCATGGTGATGATGAAAACAGGTTGGTGATGATGAAAACAGAGGTGTTTAGTTCAAGCAGGTGAAAAGACAAAAGCAGCTCTAGATCTAGGTCTGATACCTGGATACTGAGACCAAAGCTTCTTCCCCATTTTTGCTGCCGCCATTTGTCAGAAAAAGTGGAGAAAAGTTACATGGAAAGTAGACTAAGATGAGGACAGTAAATAGAATGTCACTACCCAAGCTATGGGGCCTATAGGACCTCATGTGCTCCTTCCCAGCCACAGCAGCTTTTTCTAGATCTCAGCCCTCCATGTCTACTCCATTTGGGGTTTGCCATGATGACAATTTCCTGTGTGCATCGGAAAGCAAGAAAAGTGGAAAGAGAGTAAGACAAGTGCACCAAGGCAGTATCCTGGAGTCTCTCTTCGCCCACCCTGGATAAGCCGTGGCCAGACCTGTCAGAGCTGGCCCTACTAATTGCTACTTCCATGTCGGGAGGTCACCAAGTGGGAGTGTGAGGCTGCATTCCAGTGGTGGTAGAAGGCCCCACCAGCCACACCTGCCCAACACTCCCACAGACACTGAGCCTGCTGAAGTACACTTGGCCTGTTCTACCATGGACAGCAAGGTGAGCAATTAGGCCCAGGAATCAGAAAACAATCTATTTTAAAGAAAAACAAATCACTGTGCCTACAGCAGCCTGTCCAAACACAGTAATCACAATAACCATGGCATCCCTGAAAGCCAGTGGCATTTCTGAAACTCATTCCAGCAAACACAATAAACAATTTGGAGTTGAACCAGGCTAATTCCATCTCTGTCTGCCAAGGGTTTGGCTAAAGCACCTCCACTGTCTCATATTTGATTCTCTGAGGGATTAGGCACAATGAGAGCAGCAATTAATGTCACACTTTTGCCCCTTCCTGGCACCTTCCCCTAGATTGTATTGGGTTTCCCAGATATGACACTATGCTGAGCAAGGCTGGCAGTTAAGTGTGGCATCCATATGTCCTGTCCATATGTCCTATGTATAGCCAGCTCTTAAGTGATGATGATAATGATGGTGATGGTGGTGGCGCCATCAGGGACTCCCAAATTGGGCTACATTATCTACTTACCAGAGCAAGCTCATCCTCCAATGAAATAACATCCTCCTAAGGCCACAAATGCCAAGCATCCCCTCAAATCACACTCTTTCCTGTTCTATCTTCTTCTCTCAAAAGCCTCATTACCTGCTCCCTACTGGGCACAATTGCCTTGGTTAGGATGTTCCCCTTTAGTTTTGTTTAACTCACACTTACAGGGCACCACTGTGTAGCAGACACTTGGCAAAGTACTGGAGTTTCAGTGATGAACAACCTTCAATGATCAACAACTTTAATTTACAGAACTCAAGGAGTTCTTAGTCCAGCAAGGGAGATGGACATGTAATATATAATGTAAACACAATATGGAAAGTGGTTTTATTCGGTTTCTTTTAAGGTAAGCTCAGAATATTACAGGAGCACAATAAGAGGGCACATAACCTAGTGTTGGACAAGGCTTCTTGAAAGCTCTTGGCTCACTTGGCCGAGACCCTCCTTTCCATCCAGCCCAAATTAAGGTTGAGTGGAAGACAAAACCTGAGTGTCCCCTGCTGAAGGGAGCCACGATAGCCCCCCCCCCCCCATTCTCTCATGGAAGCTTAATAAATCAGCTTGAATCCCAGTTTCTTAGGGTCTTTAAGGTTCTGGATTCCTCAGCAATCTCTTCCTGGAAGGGGTCCAGGACTAAGGGACCAAACCCAACAACCTTCTGACCCAAAATCTTCTGGGGCTGAACTCTCCACATGTCCCCTCAACCCACTGCCAGCGGCATAAAAGGGAGAACATCACCAGACAAGGAGCAAATCAGGCTGCCAGTATTTTTGTGCAAGGAACTGTGAGCAATTAGAAACATCCAGTCCTTTCCTCATGAAGGTTACAGTCCTATCAAAGCTAGAAGAAACATGGAGATCAGCTAGCCCAGTCCACTCACTGTATAGCTGAGGAAACTGAGCTGCCCAACATTGCACGAAACCTAGTCCTTGTCCCATTGAGCTAGAATGTGTGTTCCACAAAGGCAGGGAATTTTTTGTCTGTTTTGTCTCTGTCTAGAGCAATGTGTGACAACTAGACAGCTCTCAGAAAATATTTGCTGATGCTGATGTTGACACAGAATTGTATCACACCGGACAGCAGGATTGTGGAAAACATGGGCTTTGGAGTCAGACAAATCCAACTGTAGTCCTGGCTCAGTTGCTTTTGACCGTGTGACCTTGGCAGGTTATTTGTGCTCCTCACACCTCACTTTTGTTATCTATGATATGTGGATAACAGTGCTACAGAATGTGGTGAGGTTCCAACATGGAGAAACACCCAACATAGCACCTGGAACATAGGATGTGCTCAATAAATGGTAGTTATCACTGCTAGTAATAGTATTAAGTACCGAGTGACTGACTCAGAGAAGAACTTGGGAGAGAACTGAACAAAAGGGGCAAAGCTAGCCAGACCCCCCAATCCAATATCAACCATGAAGGCAAACCCACGAGAGAAAATCTGCCCCTGAAATAGTTCCTCTATGCACTCCCCACCCCTTCTCCCTCATTGACACCTGACACTTTATCACTGAGCTTCATCCTTTCCATTATAATTCTGACTCTTTTAACCTATCACTCCCTGAATAGAGAAGACCCACTTTAAATCAGATGCCCACACTCTAATTTAAATGAATTGTACAATCTTTCCTTGAGTTCAACTAGCAGTGTTTAATCAAATACTGACTGTTTTCCAATGGCTTTCCCATATAATAGATCTTGTTTAATCTGCACAGCATCCTCAAAACATAGGCAAATCAAAGATATTTTACACATGAAGATATAGGATCAGAAAGGCTAAGCGGCACACTTGCAGTGTCACAGCTGGCAAATGATATAACCAAGATTCCGCCTCAGATCCTCTGACATCAATTCAGTCACCAAAGTCTCACCAAGACCCAGGAACAATTTCAATAATGAGCTAGTAGCAGAATGACAGAGGCTCAGGCATCCCCTGCTGAAGGAAGTCACAACAGCCTCCCCCTTCTATCATGAAAGCTAAATAAATCAGCTTGAATTTCAGTTTCTCAGGGTCTTTAATTTTCTGGGTTCCTCTGAGATCTCAGCCTGGGAGAGCTGAGATGTCTCAGCTGCTTGCATCTCAAGCAGCCAGTGCAATGCCTAGCCCAGCCCACAGCAAATGCTGGTAGAATGAATGGATGAACAAATAAACTCTTCCACATCTGCCTACTTCTGGAATTGTTACTGACCTAGATATTAGACGCTTTGGCCTGGGTGGGGAGGATATTAACCCCTAGGATGAGGGGCTCCAAGGACACACTGCCTGCTTCACAGGGTGCCTCTGGCTGCGTCCAAAGACAATGCTCTGGGCCAGCTCCTGAGTCTAGAGTGGCCCACAGTTCCAACGCTGTGTTTCAGCAGGGAGACAGACCCACTCTCACACTTGCGAACCCTCCCCCTACCCTTAGGTGAATGTGGGGGCAGAACTCCTGCACCACAAGTGTTCATTTTCCAGGAGGACATGTGGAACTCTCCAAAGGGAAGAAGCAGGACCCGTGCTTTTAACCTAGTGTTTCCTAAACCTCAGTAATTCACATACCTCCTTGGTAGTTTTTCCCATATTCATGAACCACTTGTATGATTATTTATTCAACACTTTTCTCTGGATGAACTCACAATTTTTACTTAACCAGATTTATTTTTGAAGATATACTACCACGGTGTTACCTTCTTTTACCTCATCCTAAGCAATGATACCCATAAAATAAATCTGAAGTGCTTACTGTGTACACATTAAAAGAAATATATTTTCTATTTTAATGTATAGCTATCAGAATAAGGAGGCTTTTTAACTCACTAGCAGAAAGCACACTTCGCTTTACGTAACTCTTCTGCAATCCATATAGGATCCAGCAGGGATTATGTGGAGTAAAATGTCCTAATTAATCACTGAGAGCAATTATACACCATGAATAATTTAATCATGCATCAACATCACAGTCATGTTGATAATGCAATAATACCAATAATCCAAAAACCTGTGCTGACATCCACTTTAAAACTTCTAGTATGCTATAATCTCTATTATCTCTCCCTTTTGGAGCCAAACAGGCCTTATAATTTCTTGGAGTTGCCAGAATTTGATCACAGAGCCCAGAGTGGGGTAGGGAGAGATATTATTCTGACTAGACTCAAACCAGCACTGTTACAAATCTTGAAACAACTCCTCTGTCCTCCCTACCTCCCTTTTCTGTCTCCCTCTTTCTATTCTCTGCATCATTCTTTCTTTCCTTCTTTTTCTTTAAACAAACACTGACTCACTGCCTGGTGTATCCACGGACTCCAGGTTTACTAAGAGCTGCAATGCCATCCCTGCCTTCCAGGAGCAAACAATCTTGTTGGGGAGGTGAAAATAGGGCAAAGACTTAATATTGTCCCCACCCAGGCCAAAACATCTAATACCCAGGTCAGTAACAATTCTAGATGTGGGAAGATGTGAAAGAGTGCATTCATTCATCCATTCATTCTACCAGCATTCATTGTGGGCTGGGCTAGGCATTGCACTAGCTGCTTGAAATGCAAGACAATGAACAAAACCTAGTAACTCCCCCTCCAAGGAGACCTCAGTCTAGGGAGAAATGGGGTTACTGAGCTGCATAAAGCCAAGTGTGCTTTCTGCAAGGTGAAGTGCTCTCAATCGAACTGGGATGCTGAGGAAGCTTTCCTGGAAGGGTGATGTCTGATAGAGTATTGAAAGAGAAATTAGACAAATTAAGGAAGGGGGCATTCACAGATGGAGGGAAAAGCACAGGAAAAATATGAAGGCATGGGAAACAACCTGACTCAATGGGGGAGAGGGTTTTGTTGAGTTTGGAGGACAATGCTCCTATCAGGGAGCAGTCAGAGATGAACAGGAACTGAACCACAAAAGGCCCTTTGGGCTAAGAAATCTGGACTTGCTCCTGATATGTAGACACTGAGGATTTTTAGTAGAAAAATGAAGTAACTGGGACAAATCCAGTAACAGTTGCTGCAAATACACAGTAACAATGCAGTTACCATAGACACCAAGGCTGGCTGACAAGTGAGAATCCGAGAGCAATCCTCAGGCCAGGAAAGAGGGCCAGCAATCCTGTTCACATTTCCAGGAGAAAGGAAACTGGTTCTTGAGGAAGAGTAGGGTGTGAGGACAGAGATTAAAGACAGTGGAGGTCTGAGACACACAGACACACATAGGAATATGTACACACATCACACACATACAGTGCACACATATTACACATGTGTATGTAGACATTTGTACACATATCACACATATGTACACACATAACATACAGCTATATGTGCATGCCATACCAAGAGACATGTGTACGCACAACACATGCACACACAGATGTGTACACTCATCACACACAGGCACATGTATGTGCATCACATATACACAGATTGACATGTACACAGATCACACATATGACAGACATATGTGCACACATAACAGATATATGTACATACCACATACAAAGGCATGTGTACACACATAACACATGCAGACAGACGTGTATGCTCATCACACAGGCATGTACATGTACATCACATATACACATATTGACATGTACAGAGATCATACATATGACAGACATGTACGCACACCACACACAGAAACGTCTACACCCATACCCATAGATATATGTACACATATATGCACAGAGATGTGCACACACTGCACCATATGCACACATTTACACTCATACACATGAAAGCAACATGAAAGTCAAAGTCCGAATCTGGAAAAACCTCTGTCAACAATTTTTACTGTTTTCCAATCCTATCTCAAAACTCACTCTTTCCAGAAGACTTTTCCAGTTGCTTCTCTTCTCTGCATCCCCTCATCCCCCCGGCAATGGGCTAGCACTTCTCTCAAGCATTCTATTACAGAATGACTTATTTTCCACATGCCACCACTAAGCTGTCTGCTTCCCTCTTCCCCTTCCTCATGCCCTCTCACACACATACCAAAAGGGGCCACTTCAGACCACACATGCCCAGGGGAATCCTGGTTCAGAAGCCTGTGAAGAGAAGAGAGCTTTAAAAAGACAAGATGGAAACCGCATTTTGGGGAAAATCAATGATTCTGTGGATCTAGACAGAGTCTGGGGGAACCAAGGCTTATACACAAGGAAGTTGGGGGGCCAAGAAGTAAAGGTTTGAGATAAAAGAGGGTATTTCACCACACAAACCTTTCTCCTCACCTACTATGCAGCCAACACTGTGTATACAAAGAAAGATAAGGTCCCTTCCAGCAGCCTACCAGGGAGACAACCAAGATCTGGAGAAATTCAAGAGAGCGTTCTCAAGGGTACAGTGGACACAGGACAGCTGGAAGGTGTACATGGTAAGAATGGGAGTGGGCCACGGAGACCAGCCATTAAAGCTAGTAGTCATGGAGTCCATGGCGTGACATGGGGGTCCAGGTCTGTGCATGATGACACTGCCATATGGAGAGTCAGCAGCCAAAATTGAGAGTTTGTAGAAAGAGGAAGTATAAATTAAGAGAAAAAACACAAGAACAAGATTAAAATACTCAACAACATTTGAAATACTACAACTTACCAGCTGTATTTGGATGATGGAATTATAGGTGACTTTTTTTTTTTTGGCTTTGCTTTTCAAATTTGTAGCAAATTTTTTTTTCTTTTTTTGGTTTTAATTTTTGTAGCAGAATGATTTACTAAGGATAAGGGGCCAGCTCCACCACCAGGGGATTCCCTGCTGCAGGCACACATGCACACCTGTAGACATATGAACACACGTCACACAAATTAATCCTTCCTCTGGGATCTGAAGTGGCATACACTAATTGCAGGAGGATCTAAAGCAACGCAGCCTGCCCACATGCCTTTCTTAATCCTGTGCAATTATACGCACCCTGGGTGATGACACTCGCAGAGGTTATTCTTAAGGCAAGATTACTTTCCTCACCCTGCCCTCCTGCTGCACCCTCCCTTTTCCTGCATACTCAGCTCAGGTGGGAAATGCTCTCTGGGAGAAAAATTCCCAAAATTCCATTGATTTGAGCCTAAGGCTGGCATACAGGGAGGTATGACATTTTTATGCTCTTTTCCCATTGGCCTGTGATCCTTGTCAACCCACCTAGCTTCTTCCCTGTCACTGCCTCTGACCATCCTCATCTCTCCTTCCTCTCTATCCAGAGAAGAGCCATGGGAAGGAGGCATAAAAAATATCTACTAAGATGGGAGTGGATTACATTAACTTCATAGATGGAGAAACTGAGATCTGAGGGACAAGACCTTGCCCAAGCTCACAAGGTGTTGGTGGCCAGGCAGGTTTAGAGCATTGCCCCGCTGACAAGACCCCAAGACCTCAGCAGAGGAAAGACCTTGATCCCTACCCTTCAGAACAGACCAGAAGCTAACAAACTTCCTAGCTCCCAGCAGTTTGCCATAGCAAATTTATTTAAGATACTTTCATAGAAAACAAAATCAGATTATATTTTCCCTCCTCTATGAGATTAAATTCTCATCATCTCTTTGACTGATCAACATATTTACAAATATTTACTCTGAGGTCCAGCCCTGAGTTACATGGGGATATGGAGAGTTAGGGAGATCCATATTGCCAGGGATACTCTTAGCCCAGAAGAGAAGGCCCAAGGAATCTGTGCCAGATGTAAATCATGGTTCCACAGTCCCACCTCTTGGGATTCTCTGAGCACATGGATGGAACCAGACAAAGAGGTCACTGGAGACCCACCCACCAAGCCATGATGTCACTTTTTTAAGCATTAGGAAAGTTTGCCCCAAGTCATCCACCTGATTTCAACAGGTTCAGCTATTGAAATAAGGAGTATAATTTGAAGAATGAGCAAAAATTAAGGATAACCAGCAAGTCTGAGGAACAGGATTACTGGCCAAGACAGAGATTGAATCCAGATTGTGGTCTTCAGTTGTAAATCCTATTAACAGTCTGGGTAAGACAGAGGTCACACTCAAAGCCCACTGCAGCTGCAGGGAATTCCTGAAAGTAGTGCTTAAGAATCAAAATTGGATTTAAAACCAAAAGGGAAGGAGCATTTGCCTTGCTTTGCTTCTCAATGGTGCCCAGCGAAGAAGTGCATTGGTGCAGGTTATCTGAGATAGCACACGGCTGAAAAGCATGAGTGAAAGCTTTTAGGCCAAGCAACCTAAAAGGCTACAGGTTTGAAATGCTTATGCTTTTTTCTTTCTGCCATATTGATTTCCAGGTTGTCTGACTTGGAATCAGTTAAAACAACATGGATAATTCAACCAACAGATATCAGTGGATCCAGCATTCTTAGACCACCAACTACCATTACGCACCACAGTCCTGAGGGGCCTCAGGTGACATTCCCTTTCTCAGAGCAAGACTGGAGCACTCACTGCTCCTCCCTGCTCATAAAGTTTACATATGAGCTAGGATGCAGGCCCTAAGCCTTCAGGCTACCTAGCAGCTGCCCACCAGTGAAAACTCTGCCTCCTGATATCAGCAATTTACTTTCAGGCCCAGAGGCTAGTGTGCCCTGGCCCAACAGCCTACTGGAGCTTAGCAGGCACAGCTACAAAACATTTTTACTTTCATTTTAACTACTCCCTCCTCTCACTGCCAGCACCTAGAGGTATTCTTGTTAAAAGAAAGCAAAAAACCACAACTCGAATCTACTGTGGCAGGGGTACTGAGCTGGGCATCCAGAAACCCAGCTTCTAGTCTTGGCCCTGCTGTGTAGCCTTGGAACATGGTTTAGCCTCTCAGGGCCTTGGGTTCTTTACCTATCTCTACAAAGGAGAGAGATGTTTGGAAGATCTCTGTGTGTCCTTCCAGCTGTCATACTCTGTCAATGCATAAATTTGTCCCTGAGTAGCTGGGAGCATTCATGAAAGCATCCTCTGCTCCCTGCCTCCCAGAGGACACAAACCAGCCTGGCTGGGGAGTCATTCCTTCATTTGGTTCCTATTGATCCAAAGAGGAGAGGTACGCGGTGCTTGAAAAGAACACACAGTTTAGAATCAAACGAACTGAGAATCCTGGCTTTTCTACTTAAAGGCTGTGAGAATTTGGGCAAATCCATTAACCACTCTAAGCTGCTTCCTCATCCTGAACTGAAGATAACATTACTGGGCACACAAAACTGTTAGGAGGATTGAACCTATGTGACAGTGGTCCATAAACTGAAGAGTCTGTCCACAGAGGAAGTGTCCAAGCCCAGGCAAGCATGATCCCTGGATGCACTGCTAACCCTGTGTGCATCTATAAGCTGTTTGAAAAGGTCTGAACAACTCATCTGTGGTCCCCACCCTCAGCAAAATGATGGGCTCCAGGAGCACCCAAAAGAGGACCAAGTAAGAGTCAACACTGCCTGATAACACCCCAGGGGGCTATAAGTGCTCTTTAAATCCTAAGATGCAGAGTTAAGAACTAATAGGGAGCCTTCCTTCAAGGACAATTATAACTTGAAAAAAGAAACAAGTCAAAGCGATGTGTCATTAGCAGACCGTAACTAGTACAATTGTTCCTTAAGGCCTTGGAAAGGGAAAGTGGTGAGGGAGATGGAACCAGTGGGTGTGATGAATCCAGGGAAGCTTCCTGGAGAGGGAACACCAGTAGCCACGAACCACTGCAGAGCTCTCCTTCTCCTACCCACCTCTAAGCAGTTCTCCCCATGTAACACCGAGGATCAGCCACCCCTTCAAACTGTTGGCCCAGAAGGGCAGTAGAAAGGAGGAAAATGGCAGCCCAGGAGGTACCTGGAGTTCTGTGACACTTCCTGGGCCAGGACTGTGAGAGAAAACTGTTCCCATTCCAAGTCAACAGTACAAAGGGCTTCCAAGCACTACTCCTGTCCTGCCAAAGCTCCCAAGCCCCTGTCCTGTGTTCATTTTATTCTTTACAGCCACCTGCTGCCCCTTTAACCTGTTAGATAAGTAGTCAGCACTCAGTCATGAGAACCCATGTGTGTAGCTCTGGATACTTCAAGGTTGTGATGAGCATGCTTCCATCCAACTGGGGCTCACCAAGCTCAAGAAATGAAATCTCAGACTGGGGCCCAGGAGCCAGGTGCCTCTACTCAGAGAAGCAGCCTTCTCAGAGTAGTTTGCAGCTGCTCTTTCCTAAATCCCCCCAACATAGCTTGTTAAGATGGCCAAGCTGTGCATCACAATGCGGGAGGCCCTCACACTGTCTCCTCTACCTGCTTCTCTCTTGCTCTGAAGATGCCTGTAGCAGGAAGATGTGAGCTTCCCACAAAGATAAGCTAAGCTGAGATGCAGAAAGAACAAATCTCCAACTTTTTTGTGATTTATGAATCAGAAGCTGGGTTGTCTCCAAAGGATGCATCTGTGATTGTGGATAAGCCCCAATGTGTCCTTAACACCCTAGACTGCCACATCTTTCTGAAGAATCACCACCCTTCACACACACACACACACACACACACACACACACACACACACTTCCTATACGGGGCCTTCCCATCAGATAGATATTGTGAGGGTGGTCAGGGAAGCAGGCTAAAATTCCACTAGCCCAGTGTTAGCCCAGTGTCACTTCTATAGCTGGCCTTGGATCCCCTGCACAAGGCTTGTTCATTCTGCACAGTGGCTAGGTTTAATCTGTAGTTCCATGCTGAAACCCTCCACTCCTCATCATCTGACAAGATCATCTCTCAACCGCAGTCAGTCAATAGGTCTCAAGAGTTCCTTCAATTCCACTGGGATTTACTGAGCACCTATTAATGCCCAGCACCATGCCAGGCACTGTGTAGCATCTGCTTTAAGGACCATCCCCTCTAAGGATACAAGTATAGGCAAGAACCATGTCCTAATCTGTCAAACTGCAGAAGTCAAATGTGCTATCAAGCACACCTTGCAGGGTTAGGTGTCTAAAGGCTATAAACCTTAAAAATCTGAACTGCCAAGTCTTACAAAACCCCAAATACCTATGTGTCATTCTACAATTCTACAAAGTCCCATTATTTCCTCACTGATATGATAAAAGGTGATAATCAGTTGCTGCCCACACAGATATCCCATTAGGACTACTGCTTCTGCTCCAGAAAGATGAAATGAGAAACCAGGTTCATATATTCGTATATCAGGCAAGGTTAACTCAGGGCTGAAAGCCACAAGATCTGGTACTCAGTATCATGTCACATCAACCTCTTCTGCATGTTAACGAAATATTTATACTAGTTACAAGTTATATATATATATATATATCTCTACAGATATATCTCTATATATATGTAACTCTATATATATATAACTTGTAACTAGTACACATATTTAGTTAACATGCAGAAGAGGCTGATGTGACATAGTTATATATACATATATGACTATATATAGTCATATATGTATATAAAACTATATATAGTCATATATGTATATAAAACTATATATAGTCATATATGTATATAAAACTATAGTCACATATGTATATAAAACTATATACAGTTATGTATGTATGTAAAACTATATACAGTTATGTATGTATGTAAAACTATATACAGTTATGTATGTATGTAAAACTATATACAGTTATGTATGTATGTAAAACTATATACAGTTATGTATGTATGTAAAACTATATACAGTTATGTATGTATGTAAAACTATATACAGTTATGTATGTATGTAAAACTATATACAGTTATGTATGTATGTAAAACTATATATAGTTAAATATGTATATCCTTTCTTATTAAATGCTATATAGGGTGGCAGAGGCAGGCATGGGGCACCATCCCCACCCGCGACTCTACCAAAAAGACCCATGCATAGCTTTGGAAAGCCTTCTGGCTCTTTGATGCTTAACATGGTGCCCAGTACATTTGTTTTGGCTGGATTAACAAATAAAGAATTAGCATCTTAAAATTAATAGAAAAAAAAACCCTATATTTCTTAGAAGAAAATGAACCCCCCAAAGCCAACATGGACAATTTGAAGATTAGTCATTTTGGGTCAACTGTACTTTAGGTTCCCGTTTTGTTTATTTTTTGAGACAGGGTCTCACTCTGTCACCCAGGCTGGAGGGCAATGGTGCAATCTTGGCGCACTGCAGCCTTGACCTCCCAGGCAGAAGCGATCCTCCCATCACAGCCTCCTGAGTAGCTGGGACTACGGGCACATGCCACCATGCCCAATTAATTTTGTTTATTTTTTTGTAGAGATGAGGTCTCACTATGTTACCCAGGCTGGTCTCAAACTCTTGGGCCCAAGCGATTCTCCCACCTCAGCCTCCAGAGTAGATGGCACTACAGGCGCATGGCACCACACCTCGTTAATTTTTGTATTTTTTGTAGAGACAGGGTCTTGCCATGTTGTGCAGGCTGGTCTCAAACTCCTGGGCTCAAGCAATCCTCTCACCTTGGCCTCCCAAAGTGCTAGAATTACAGGCATGAGCCACTGTGCCCGGCCTAGTTCCCAAATTTTAGAATTCCATGGAGAAGTAATATCTCCCTCAGAAAAAAGTGGTAATCATTACACCATAGCCAAATTTTCATTTTGACATGGCAGGACATAAAAGAAACAACTACAGCCTCATGTCACCACATCTTTTAAAGGAAGAGGTAGGAAGGCCATGATTTCAGAATTGAAGACTTTCTTTCCCAAGAATACCCTGCTGACGTCCTTTTACTTACACTTTTGCTAAGGACTGGTGAACACATAGCAATGGGCCAACAAGGGACCACACATATCAGTACTGGGAACCGTCGTCCACACGTGCTCCTCTTTCCAATGTGGCCCAGCTAAATAAAACTGTTCTTTCTTATACCCACAGCAATCACTAATCGCGGCCTGTTTCCCTCCAAATTCTCCACACTGCCTCAACTTCAAGCAGAGAAACTTGCCTTCTCCAACAGATCCTGTCTTCTCCCTACTGGGTCTCCTCTAAGGAGGAGAGCACCTGAGTTCCTCTTGGGTTCACCTGGGTTTATGCTGTCCAAACTGAAACTAGTGCCACAAGTTTCTGATGGCCACAGTCTAATCAGGATCATCTGGATCATTAAAAGTGCACTATAATTAAGAATTTATTATTGGAGCTGTCATTTCAAAACATAACTGGGCAGAACAAAGTTTGACTGTGGTATCTTAAACAATACCAATTGACTTCCGGTTATGAAAGAAGCAGCATCCTGTTCTGCATGCGCAGAGGTGATGCTACTGGTCCAGAGTCAACAAGAAAGTTTTGAGTTATTCTCCTAGGAGAAGAATTGGACTTGCCCAATCCCTCCATGGACTCCTTTCTGGCCTTGGTATCCAAGGGAAGGCCAGGTTGGAAGTAAGGATGTGCTGTTATATGAGAAAACAACAAAAAAGACAGCATCACCTTCTACACTTAACATAACTATTCTCCCTTCACATGCCTGTGAAATAGGTACTACTATTTTTATTTGATAGACAAGGTAACTGAGGGTCAAAAAGCTTGATCATTCCACAGTCAATAAGTACTTACTGAGTGCCTCCCATGTGCAGGTACTGCACTAAGAGCTATGACTCTGCCCAAGGTGACACAGCTGGCAAGTAGCAAAGGGAGCACCCAATCTGTCACCTAATCTCAAGTCTATCCCATTCAATGACTGCCCCTCAGGCTAAGGTCAGTGTTTTGCCACACAACACCACAGGACAACAGAGCCAAAGAGCCTTTGTGGGATCACATGGTCCATCTCTTTAGTTTGCTCTGCTGCAAGGAAAGTCAGTATTGATTACCCTTCTCAGACTGTCTCAAATGCCTGCTGTCTCTGGGGATGAATCAAAGTAGCTTCCCACGTCACATTAGTTACAGCACTGTCTATGGTGTGCAGTCCAGAGCTGGGTGCTGGGGACTCATGCCTCCAGTGGGCAGGACAGAAACACCCCAGCAAAACACACATGAAATCCTGGGAGATAAACTTTTGCAAAGGAGTAACGGGTTCTAAAGTTTTGAGGATTTTTAGAGTAGCAGGACCAGAAGTCAAACAGTAGGATTTAGAAGGTCCTACTCCTTGGATAAAGCACTGAGATCTTCAGTTTGACTCTCTTAGGGCACCTCAAGACTCTGGGACCTATTCCTCAAGCACAGCCCTGTGGTCACCTGGTATGCATCCTGTGCCAGAGGTTTTGGAAACAATGTCTGCCATCCACTCTGACTGGGTGACCCCACTGATGAGCCTGCCACACTGTTGCATCAGAGAAGGGGCCAGTCACACACCAGGCTGCCCATCTCAAGAATGCCAAAACCTTCATGAATGGGCCATCCTGTGCCTGCAATCACAGGGAGGTGGGGCCGACAGCCACGGGTCACGTAACTGAGGCCAAACACAAGAAGCTGGCCTGGATCAATGAGTCAGGGAGAGCTCTATATATAACCTCAGGAGATCAGTGCTCCTCACATTGCCAGCATCTTCTCTCCTCACTCACCCTTCCTGGTGCTTTGGGTAAGTGTGGTTCTACTGACTCTCTCATTTTCCCAGCTGGTCTTGCCCAGGCCTGACTAGATTAGATGGACCAGGGCCTCTTTCCCCTTTGGGAGCTATAGGACCTCTGCCTTCCCAAAAGCACTCACATTTAGAGGGCGGTCAGGAAAGGAGCAGGGGATGAGCTGCTGCCATGCAGATGGTGTTTCTGGTCTTCTGGCCAGAATGTAAACTCCACAAAGACAAGACTATCTCCTGCCTCTCTGGCACCCGCATAGGGGCAGGCATGGTGCCGGGCACAGAAGGACTCTGCAGAGGCTGTCCAAGGCAGCCTGTGCACAGGCTGAGCAGACCTTGTGAACCTGTCAGGAGGAGAGGCTGAGCCACTCTCAAGAGAGTAGGGAGAATGATCCAAAAAAGTTGCAGATGGGAGGGATTTCAGGTGCCACAGAAATCCAATTGCTGTTTTACAGAGTTAGAAGTTCTGAGAGGGAAATACAACTTCCTACTAGTCAAAGTCCCTTCTACCAAACTTGGACTTGAGAAAATCATGGAAGAGATGGCTAATAGCTTCTGGTCGGGGATGTTGGTCCAAAGGACCACCAGGGTCCTTCCCCTGTTTCCAGGCAGGGCCACAGCAGAGCCTGTCTTTTCTAGTGACTAGCCCTTGGTTCATGGCCTAGCTCAGTGGGACAGACCAAGAGTTTGAACTAAGAGCTTCTGCAGAGGATGGAGTGCAACAGCCCTCAATAGAATGAAGTCCGACAAACCTCTCTCTGTTGTGCTGGGAATGGGTAAAATCTCCTATCCTAGGTAGAGGTTTGTGGTAGTTTTCTATTTGCACTCAGAGAATCAGTGTTGAGATTGGAAGAGGCCTGAAAGATGAAGTGTTCAAACCCTTTCATTTAACAGGAAATGAGAAAGAGGCGGGCGTGTGGGTGATCTGCCCTCAAATCACACAACAGTGGTCAGAGGCAGAGCTGGGAGAAAGAATGGGCACTGCTAACTGGGCTGTTTAAAGCATAATGAAGGCTTTCTGCAGGGGAATGAGGAACTCAACTTTTCCAAAAGCAGCAATCATAAGAAACCCCGCTGAGGGCTCTCCGGGCACCTGAAGGAGCCCTGGGAGGATGGCGATGTTGCCTATGGATGCAGCTGCCTCCGTAAGTATCCTCTTGCAGCTGGTCCAGCGATGCTCTCTTCTCCCCTTCCAGGCTCTCCTTCCTTCTCAGACAAGATGTCTTATCAGAAAAAGCAGCCCACCCCTCAGCCCCCAGTGGACTGCGTGAAGACCTCTGGCGGCGGTGGCGGTGGCGGCGGCAGCGGCGGTGGTGGCTGCGGCTTCTTCGGCGGCGGCGGCTCAGGGGGCGGTAGCAGCGGTTCTGGCTGCGGCTACTCCGGCGGCGGTGGCTACTCTGGCGGCGGCTGCGGCGGGGGCTCCTCCGGCGGCGGGGGCGGGGGCGGCATTGGAGGCTGCGGAGGGGGCTCCGGTGGGAGCGTCAAGTACTCCGGAGGCGGCGGCTCCTCCGGCGGGGGCTCTGGCTGTTTCTCCAGCGGTGGGGGCGGCTCCGGCTGCTTCTCCTCCGGTGGCGGCGGCTCCTCCGGGGGCGGCTCCGGCTGCTTCTCCAGCGGTGGGGGCGGCTCCTCCGGGGGCGGCTCCGGCTGCTTCTCCTCCGGCGGCGGCGGCTTCTCGGGCCAGGCGGTCCAGTGCCAGAGCTACGGAGGCGTCTCTAGCGGCGGCTCCTCCGGGGGCGGCTCCGGCTGCTTCTCCAGCGGCGGGGGCGGCGGCTCTGTCTGCGGCTACTCTGGCGGCGGCTCTGGCTGCGGCGGAGGCTCCTCTGGCGGCAGCGGCTCCGGCTACGTCTCCTCGCAGCAGGTCACTCAGACCTCGTGCGCGCCCCAGCCGAGTTACGGAGGGGGGTCGTCCGGCGGCGGCGGCAGCGGCGGAAGCGGCTGCTTCTCCAGCGGCGGGGGCGGCGGGAGCTCCGGCTGCGGCGGCGGCTCCTCCGGGATTGGCAGCGGCTGCATCATCAGTGGCGGGGGCTCCGTCTGCGGAGGTGGTTCCTCTGGAGGCGGCGGCGGCGGCTCCTCCGTGGGTGGCTCCGGGAGTGGCAAGGGCGTCCCGATCTGCCACCAGACCCAGCAGAAGCAGGCGCCTACCTGGCCGTCCAAATAGATCCCCCAGGGTACCACGGAGGCGAAGGAGTTGGAGGTGTTTTCCAGGGGCACCGATGGGCTTAGAGCTCTCATGATGCTACCCGAGGTTTGCAAATCCTTCATGTCTTAACCTACCTGGAAGAAGCCATTGAGCTCTCCGGCTGCATCTAGTTCTGCTGTTTAGCCTCTTTGGTTTCTGTACAACTACCTCCCAACCCCAGTGCCTCAGTCAATAAATTTGCAAATTCATGAGAATTTTTAGGTCTCCAAGAGTATTTGTAGTGTTCAAGTTCATCCATTCCATTCCATTCTTCTCCTTTCCTGCATTCGCTCATTCACACTTACATTCATTTTACAAATGCACGGACTCTATTGGCGGAAAGGTGAGTGGATAGATGGGAGTCACCAGGAGAGGGAGGAATGGCTGGCAAACGAAGGTCAAACATATGAACATTCTAGTGTACGGCTTAAAATCATGACGTGATCCCAAAACACAAAGATCCTGAGGAGAGACTTCAGTAAACACCTCCCTGTGGATTGAGTAGCTACTGTGGGTCTCCTTACTGAACTCTGTTTTTTAAAGACAGGCTGCCCTGGAAAGACGCTGTCTCTCACAGTCCAAAGCCAATTCTGCAAGGTCTGAAAGCTGGGTGGCTGCACATTAGGAGCACCAGCTCATGCTACTCAGACTCACGGAGAAATAAAAAGCATATCAGATGTTTACGGGCCCCTAGGGTGAGCAAGACCACTTTAGTAGGTACCCGTAGGGAGAGGAGGTAGTAGGGGAGCTGTTTCCTGCTCTCTCACTCTCTCTCTCGTTTTTTTTTTTTTAATTTCAATCAGCTTTCTCGGGTTGAATGTTTCCTGCTCTCTTGAAGGAACTTTACCTAACTTAGGAAGATGCAGCATACATATACGAGATGTAAAAGCTTGGCACCAGAAAGAGGTCATGGAAAACACAAGAGCTTCCAATTAACAAGGAAGAAGCGACAGTTGCTCCAAGGGATGTATTAATTGCAGAGCCCTCAAAAGAGATGTAGAACATCAGCCTGGCCAGGGACTTTCCAGGTTCTGTTTCATATCCTGATTTTACCAGCTCTAGTTAAATGCCAATTTACTGATTTACTCAAGAAAAACTCCTGCTACGTCAAAAAGCCAAAGTACCCTTCCTACTCAATCACTGCTGGGGGGAAAAAAAGTCTTCCTCCTCAACTCTTCCATTTAGGATCACTACCATGCATCATTTTACATCGGTAATTCATGGAGATCAGAATAAATAGCAGTCTTAAAGATCCAGGAGCCCAACCACTGCATTACTTTCATGTTTTTTAACAAATGAAAGTCAGACTTTCAGTTCTGGACAAAATGAAGTAGATGTATTTCTTACTATCGCTCTTATGAAGTAGAACTAAAATCTCTGGGCATAATATATAAAACAAACATAAGAAGACTTTGTAAGCTGGGTGGCTGCACGTTAACAGCACCAGCTTATGCCGTAAACATCTGATATGCTTATTATTTCTCCGGTGAGTCTGGAGAGGACAAGGCAGAGTAGCTAGAGTCCTCAGAACTAAAGGACTGACAGTGGTAAGTTTCCTGGGTTTTCTTTTTGCCTCCTGTGTTTCCCACATTGGGCACTAGAAAATCTGCAACCAAGATTCTGGCAGGTGCAGACAAAAAAATTGCACCAAGAAAGTTCTCTTGCTTTAAATAAAAGACCAGGAAGGGGGTAGTCTAGTAAAACGGAAACCTTTCTGACAATATTTGCCCTACTTCAACCAAACACCATGGGGAAAAAAATGAACAAGAATCCTGGACTTCCACCATAGTAAGGAGACCACATGGGCTTACTCAGAAGGTGCTACACTCTCCATAACCCCACTAGTGTGGTTTTAGCAGAAGTCTGCTATAATAGAAAATTTAAACAAGATCTGAAGTCTCTTAACATAATGCCCAACGTGTCCAGCACACAATAAAAATCACTCATCATACCAAGAACCAGAAAAAAATCTCAACTTGAATGATAAAAGAACCATTCAACAGATAACCCAACAATGAAATGACACAGATTTTGAGATTATGTTAGGGATTTTTTTGTTGTTGTTTTGAGACAGTCTCACTCTGTCTCCCAGACTGGAGTGCAGTGGCCCAATCTCAGCTCACTGCAACCTCCGCCTCCAGGGTTCAAGCAATTCTTATGCCTCAGCCTCCTGAGTAGCTGGGACTACAGGCGTGTGCCACCACACCCGGCTAATTTTTGTTGTTTCTTTGTTTGTTTGTTTGTTTGTTTGTTTGTTTGTTTTCAGTAGAGACAGAGTTTCGCCATATTGGCCAGGCTTCTCTTGAATTCCTGGCCTGAAGTGATCTGCCCGCCTTGGCCTCCCAAAGTGCTGGGATTACAGACGTAATCGCCGCCACGCCTGGCCTTATCTGTTAGGGATTTTAAAGACGACATTATAAAAATGCTTCAATAAGAAATTACAAACACACTTGAAACAATGAGAAAATAGAAAACCTTGGCAAATAAACAGAAGATATAAAAAGAGCCAAGTGGAAATTTTAGAACTAAAAATATAATAACCCATTATATAGTTAAATTTTAGAACTGGAAAATAAAAAACTCACTAGATAGGCACAATAGCAGAATGGAGATGACAGAGTAAAGAATCAATATCCTTCCACCTTCCACTATTTTACCCCTCCAGAGAATACAGCAACAGGCACTGTCTTAGAAGCAGAGAGCAGCCCTCCACAAATAATTAAACTTGGTGCCTTGATCTTGGCCTCAAAACTATGAGAAATAAATTCCCAGCCTCAAAAACTATGAGAAACAAGTTCCTTCTCAAAAATAGATCAATAGAAATTATTCCATCTCAACAACAGAGAAAATAGACTGAGGAAAAAAAAAAAACAGAGCCTCAATAAACTGTGGGACAACAAAAGTGTTAGCATTCGTGTCATCAGAGTCCCAGAAGGAGAGGAGAAAGGGTGTGATCCTGAAAAATTGTAGAAATAATGGCTCAGAATTACCCAAATTTGGTGAAAGTAATTAACCTACAAATTCAAGAAGATGAGTGAAACTCAAACAGGATAATCCCAAAGAAATCCACAATAAGAAATACCATAATCAAACATCTGAAAGCTAAAGACAAAGAAAAAATCTTGAAGAAGAAAATTTTGAAAGCAAATCTTGAAAGTAGAGAAAACTGACATATCATCTATAGGGGAACTATTATTTGAATGACAGCAGATTTCTTGTCAGAAACCAAGAAGGCCAGGAAAAAGTGTCACCACATCTTTCAAGTGCTAAAGAAGAAGAATTCTGTCAACCTAGAATTCCGTATCCAGTGAAAATGTCCTTCAGAGATGAAGGTAAAACAAAGATAGTTTCATATGAAAGAAAAATACGAAAACGTGATGCCAGCATACCCATCCTAAAAATGTGGCTAATGGAAGTTTTTCAAACAAAAAAGAAATGATAGAAACCAACGTGGAACATCAGGAATAAAGGAAGAACAGTGTGAAGTCTAAAACTATAGGACAGTATCTTTTTCCTCCTGAGTTTTTTAAAATTATGTTTGATAGTTGAAGCAATAACCATAACATTGATATGGCTATTAACATATGTATAGAAAATGTTTAAGACAGTTATATCAGAAATCAAGAAGTAAAGGGACTTAAATGGAAGTAAGGTCTGCAAATTCACTTAATAAAATGTCCGTACCAATAGATGATGATAAATTATGCATATACAATGCAATACCCACAGCAGCCACTAAAAAATCTGTATACATACAAACAGATCCACTCAAAAACACTATAGATAAATCAGAATAAAATTTTTCTAATGAGTGTACATTTTTATTATAGTATAGCATACATATATACAAGGGCACAAATTATAAGTGACAGCTCAGTTAACTTTTACCAAGTGAACTCATCCCAATAACTGAACCTCAGAAGCTTTCTTTATTCCCTTCCCAGTCATTAGCTCCCTTGAAGATACCATTAGATTAATTATGCTAGGTTTTGAAGGTTATATAAATATAACCTTACATGTGTCATTTTTAGAATTTATTTTTAATTAAAAGATAAAAATTATATATATTTTTGTGTAAAACGTGTTTTAAAATGTATACATTGTGGAATGGCTAAATGGAACTAATTAACATATGAATTACCTCACGCACTTATAATTTTTTATGGTGAGAACACCTAAAATCTACTCTCTCAGCAATTTTCAAGAATACAATTCATTGTCTTTAACCATAATCACTACATTGTAAAATAGGTTTCTTGAACTTATTCTGCCTATCTAACTGAAATTTTGTGTCCTTTGACCAGCATCTCCCCAGTGCTTCCCTTCCCCACCTCCAGCTCCTGGTAACCACCATTCTACTCTCTTTTCCTATGAGTTCAACTTTTTTAGATTCCATATCCAAGTGAGATCATGTGGTATTTGTCTTTCCATACCTGGCTTATTTCCCTTAACATAATATCCTCCAGCTGCATTTGTGTTGTCCCAAATAACAGGATTTTCTTCTTTTTAAGGTATTTTCTTTACTCATTCATCTCTTCATATACACTAGGTTGCTCACATATATTGGCTATTCTGAATAGTGCTTCAGTGAACATTAAGAGTGCAGATACCTCCTCAACATACTGATTTATTTTCTTTGGATATATACCCAGTAATAGGATACCTGGACCATATGGTACTTGTATTTCTAACTTTTTGAGGAATGTCTATAGTGTTTTCCATATGCTATGCTGTGTTAATGTATACTCTCATCAACAATGTGCAGGGATTCCCTTTTTTCCACATCCTCTCCAACACTTGTTGTGTCTCATCATTTTTTGATAACTGTTCTAATAGGTGTGAGGTTGCTATGGTTTGAATATGTCCCCTCCAAAATTCTGGTGTTGAAACTTAATGGCAAATGTGATAGTACTAAGTGGTAGGGACTCTAAGAAGTGATTAGGCCATGAGGGCTCCTCCCTGGAATGGGATTAAGGCACTTATAAAAAGGCTTTCCACAGCATTCTCCACACTTACCCTTCCACCTTCCACCATTTTACCTCTCCAGAGAATACAGCAACAGAAACTATCTTAGAAGCAGGGAGCAGCCCTCACCAAATAATCAAACCTGTTGGTGCTTTGATCTTGGCCTCAAAACTACGATAAATAAATTCCCAGCCTCAAAAACTATGAGAAATAAATTTGTGTTCTTGATAAATTAGTCAGTTTCAGGTATTTTGTTATAACAGCACAAATGAACTAAGACAGAGCTGATGTGTCATTGTTACTTAAATTTGCATTTCTCTGATGATTAATGATTTTGAACATTTTTGTATACCCGTTGATCATTTGTATGTCTTCTTTTGAGAAATTTATATTCAAATCCTTTGCCCATTTTTTAATTGGGTTTTTTTAATTACTATTGGGTTGTTTGAATTCCTTATACATTTTGGATATTAACCACTTACCAGATGTATGGTTTGAAAATATTTTCTCCATTCTTTAGGTTGTCTCTTCACTCTGTTGATTGTTGCCTTGGCTCTACAGAAGCTTTTTTGTTTGATATAAGCCCATTTGTCTATTTTGCTTTTGTTGTCTGTGCTTTGGGGTTCAACATCCAAAAAATCATTGCCTAGACCAGTGTCATGAAGCTTTTCTTCTGTTTTCTTCCAGTAGTTTTACAGTTTCATGCCTTACATTTAAGTCTTTCATCAATTTTGAGTTGATTTTTGCATATGATGTAAGATAGGGGTCTAATTTCCTTCTTCCACATGTGGATATCCAGCTGTGCCAACAATTATAGAAGAGACTGTCCTTTCCCCATTGCACGTTCTCAGCATATTTGTCAAAAACTGATTGACTGTAAATGTGTGGATTTATTCTCTTTCCTTAATCTATGTGTTTTTTCAATTTTGATGCCTTTTATTTCTTTCTCTTGTATAATTGCACTGGCCAAGACATCTAGTACTATGTTGAATAGAAGTGGCAAAAGTGAGCATCCTTGTCAGAGGCAAAGCTGGTAACTTTTCGCCATTGAGTGTAATGTTAGCTGTGGGTTTGTCATCAATAACCTTTATTGTGCTGAGGTACATTCCTTCTATATCTGATCTTCTGAGAGTTTTTATCAGAAAATATGTTGAATTTCATCAAATGTTTTTTCTACATCTATTGGGAGTGATTCATATGGTTTTTGTCCTTCATTCTGTTCATGTGGTGCATCACATTTATAGATTTGCATTTTTAAACCACCCTTTCATTCACAAAACAAGTCCCACTTCATCATAGTGAATGATCCTTTCAATGTGCTTTTTTTTTTTTTTTTTTTTTTTGAGATGGAATCTCACTCCGTTGCCCAGGCTGGAGTGCAGTGGTGTGATCTTGACTCACTGCAACCTCCACCTCCCTGGTTCAAGCAATTCCCCTGCCTCAGCCTCCCTAGTAGCTGGGATTACAGGTGCACGCCACCACACCCTGCAATTTTTTTTTTTTTTTTTTTTTTTTTTTTTTTTTTTTTGTATTTTTAATAGAGACAGGGTTTCACCATGTTGGCCAGACTGGTCATGAATTCCTGACCTCAGGCAATCCACCCGCCTCGGCCTCCCAAAGTGCTGGGATTACAGGCGTGAGCCACCACACTCGGCCCTTTTTAACTCAGTGTACTAATAACTTTGTTGAAGATTTTTACATCTGTGTTCATCAGGGACATTGGGTTCTAATTTTCTTTTCTTGTAGTGTTCTATCTGACTTTGATTTCAGGGTAATTCTAGCCTCATAAAATGAGTTTGAAAGTATTCCCTTGTCTTTCATTTTTGGAAGAGCTTGGAAAGGATTGATATTAGTTCTTTAAATGTTTGGTAGAATTGAGCAGTGAAGCCATTGGATCCTGGGATTTTCTTTGATGGAAGACTTTTTATAACTAATTTAATCTCCCTACTAGTTATTGATCTGTTCAGATTTTATATTTCTTTGGGATTCAGTTCGATAGCTTGAATATTTCTAGGAATTTGTTCATTTCTTCCAGGCTATCCAATTTATTGGTATGTAATAATTATTCATAGTAGTCTCTTACGATCCTTTGTATTTCTCTTGTATCAGTTGTAATGTCTCCTCTTTCATTTCTGATTCTATTTATTTGAGTATTCTCTTTTTTTCCTAAGTAGTCCAGCTAAAGGTTTGTTGATTTTATCTTTTCAAAAAACCAACTCAAGGTTTGTTGATCTTTTCCACTGTTTCTTTTTCCTCTACTGCATTTATTTCTGCTATTATCTTTATTATTTCCATTCTTCTGCTAACTTTGGACTTATTTTATTCTTGTTTTCCTAGTTCCCTGAGATGTTATTTTAAGTTGTTTATTCAGGACCTTTATTCCTTTTTGATGTAGGCATTTATTGCTGTAAACTTCACTCAGAGATACTTGTGCTGTTCCCTTTATGTCTGGGTATGTTGTGTGTCTATTTTTGCTTGTCTCAAGATATTTTGTAATTTCCCTTTTAAGTTTTTCATTGACGCATTGATTGTTCAGCAGGGTATTGTATAATTTCCACGTATTTGTAAATTTTCCAAAATTCTTCTTGTTATTGATTCCTTGTTTCATACCATTAAGGTCAGAAAAGATGCTTGATATGATTTTAATCTTCTTATTTGTTAAGACTTGTCTTGTTGTCTAACATATGATCTATCCTGTAGAATGTTCTGTGTGTGCTTAAGAAGAATGTGCATTCTTTACCATTTGGTGGAATGTTCTGTATATGTCTGTTAGGTTCGTTCAGTCTAGAATGTAGTTTAAGTACAATGTTTTCTTATTGATTGTCTGTGTAGATTATCTGTCCATTACTAGAAGTGGGATATTGAAGTCACCTGCTGTTATTGTATTATAATCTATCTTTCCTTTCAGGTGTATTAATATTTGCCTTATATATTTAGGTGCTCCAATGTTGGTTGCATAAACATTTACAATTGTTATATTCTCTTGATTCATTGACTCCTTTGTCATTCTACAATGACCTCCTTTGCCTTGCTTTACAGTTTTTTACTTAGAGCCTATTTTATCTGATGTAAATATAACTACTCCTGCCATCTTTTGTGTTTCATTTGCATAGAATATTTTTTGTTATCCCTTCACTTTCAGTCTATGTGTGTTCTTACAGGTGAAATGAGTCTCTTATAGGCAGCAATAGATGGATCTTGATTTTTTAATCCATTCGGTCACTACATGTTTTTTGATTGAGAATTTAATCCATTTACATTCAAGGAAGTATTGATAGGTAAAGACGACTGTCATTTTTTTAATTGTTTTCTGGTTTTATTGTAGATCCTTTGTTCTTTTCTTCCTCTCTTACTGTCTTCCTTTGTAATTAAGTGATTTTCTCTAGAGGTTTGCATTGATTTATTACTTTTATCTTTTGTTTATCTACTATAGGTTTTTGTTTTGTGGGTTACCTTGAGGTTACAAAAACATCTTATAGTTATAACTGGTTATTTTAAACAGATAACAACTATGTTCACATAAAAATAACTTTATGCTTTTACTTCACCCCTCCCCCATAAATTTAATATTTTTCATTTTAAATTTTTGATGTCACGATTTACATCTTTTTGTACTGTATATCCCTTAACAAATTATTGTAGCTATTATTATTTTTAATAGCTTAGTCTTTTAACTTTCATACTAAAGATATAAGGAATTTACACATCACCATTACAGCATTAAAGCATTTTAAATTTGACTATATAATACTTTTACCCTGTGAGTTTTATATTTTCTATGTTTTTGTGTTGCTAACCAGTGCCCTTTTCTTTCATCTTAAAGAATTCCCTTTAGCATTTCTTGTAATATAGGTCTGGTGGTGATGAACTCTCCTGGCTTTTGTTTGTCTGAGAAAGTCTTTATCTATCCTTCATTTCTGAAGGGCAGATTTGCTGGGTACAGTATTCTACATTGATCGTTTTGTTTTGTTTTGTTTTGTTTTGTTTTGTTTTGTTTTTCCTTCAGCACTGTGAATATATTATCCCTCTCTCCAGGGAGAGAATATATTATCCAGAGAATATATATATCCAGAGAATATATATATCCAGAGAATATATATATCCAGAGAATATATTATCACTCTCTCCAGGCCTGTAAGGCCTCTGCAGAGAAATCCACTGTTATCCTTACTGGAGCTCCTTTTATGTTATTTTCTTCTATTCTTTTGCTACTTTCAGGATTCTCTCTTTGTCCTTGACTGTTGACAGTTTGATTACAATATGCCTTAGTTAGTCTTGTTTGGATTGAATCTGACTGGAGACATCTGACTTTCCTGTACTTGGATATTTATATCTCCATCCAAATTTGTAAAGTTTTTTTGCTATTTGTTTAAATAAGCTTTCTATGCACTTTGTCTTTCTCTCTCCTTCACAAACTCTTACAACTTGAATATTTTTTCTTTAGATACTGCCTCATAAATTCCATACGCTTTCTTCATTCCTTTTCAATCCTTTTTCTCTTTTCACCTCTGAGTAAATATTTTCAAATAACCTGTCTTTGAGTTCACAGATTCTTTCTTCTGCTTGATTGACTATGCTGCTGATGCTATTTCATTTTTCATTTAATTCATCATCTTTCTTCAGCTCCAGAATTTCTGTTTGTTTTTCTTTTTACTTAATTTTAATATCTCTTTTAAATTATTCATTTTTTGATAATGTATAATCTTCCTTGTTTCATCAAATTATTTCTATTTTCTTGAAGTTTCCTGAGCGTCCTTAAAACAATTATTTTGATTTATTTCTCAGACAGTTTGTATATCTCCATTTCTTTGAGGTCAGCTGGTGGGTAATAACTATGTTTTTTTGGTGGTGTTATGTCTCCTTGGTTTTTCACATATCTTGTCTTATGTTGATGTCTGTGCATTTGAAAAAGCAGAGACTTGTTCAAATCTTTGAAGACTGGTTTTACCTGGGAAATCCCTTCAACAGTCAGTCTATCCACAGATTCTGGGCAGGCCATCTGTTATAGTCTAAAGGCCGGCTTGCTGCTGGAATCCTTGAACAGGTGGCCTGGTGTCTGGGTTCATGGGGTTGGGTCTGTAACTTGGATCCTCTGGAGTGGATTTGTTGATTGGGTCTGTGGTGATGGGCCTGGAGCCTGAATCTGTGGGGGCCAGCCTGAGACCTGAGTCCACAGGGGCTGACCTGGCACTGGAATGGGCCTTGAATCTGAATCTCCAAGGGCTGGCCAAATCTGAGATGGGCCTGGTGCATGGGTCCACTGGGATAGGGCTGTAGCCTGAGTCCCTAGGGGCAAGTCTTGGTCTGGGTCCACAGGGGCTGGCCTGGAGTGTGGGTCTGCAGAGGTGGTCTTGGAGCCTCAGTTCATGGGATCCAGCCTGACACCAGGATCTACTAAGTGGGCCTGGACCATGGGTCTGCTAGAGCAGGCCTGGACTTTGAGTCCTCTGGAGCCTGGAACCACAAGGACCAGCCTCGAGCCTGGGGCCAGCCTGGTACTAGGGCCAGCATAGAGCCTGGGTCTGTGGAGGCAGATCTGGAGCCTAGGATTGTGGGTAATGCCCTGGTGCTTAGAGCCACAGGAACTGGCCTGGAGCCTGGGGACTTAGGGGTCAACCTGGGACCTAGGTACACAGGGGAAGTCCTGAAGCTTGGGTGTGTTGGGGTCAGTCCACCACTGTGGTCTAGTGGGACATGCCTGTACCATGGTCCTTCTGGAACAAGCCTGGTCATTGGTTCTACTGGAGCATAGGGCCATAGGAGCTGGCCTGGAGGGTGAGGCCATGAGGACTGGCCTATCATTGGGCATATCTGGAGCCTGTGTCCATGGATGGCCTCCTGGTGTTTGAGGCAAGGAATGCCAACCTGGTGCTGGGGTGGGCCTAAAGCCTGGGGTCACAGGTACTGGCTGAGTGCCAGGTGAGCCTCGATCCTGTCTGTTATGGCCAGTCTGGAGGCTAGGTCTGCATACGCCAGTCTAATGACTAGGGCTGCAGGGCTGGCCTTACCTAAGGGCAGGCCTGGAGCTTGATTCTGGGAGGGCTGACTTGGTGCTGGGGTGGGGATCAAAGCCCAGGGATGCTGAGGCCTACCTTGCCCTGGGGTGATATGGAGCCTAGGGCTACTGGGCTCAGCCTGGCACTGGGGCAAGCCCAAAGACTGTGTTTGCTTGGCAGGCCTGGAGCCTGAATGTGCAGTGTCTTGTCTAGCACTGGGGCAGGCTTCGAGATTCAGTCCACAATTACCATCCTATAGTCTGGGGCTTGTTTGGTACTGGGTTTTACTGGGGTGGGCCTGGTTTACGGGTCCAAGGAAACGTCTGGCACTCACTTTCCTGGAGTGCAGTGGCGCGATCTCGGCTCACTGCAACTTTTGCCTCCCAGATTCAAGCGATTCTTCTGCCTCAGCCTCCTGAGTATCTGGGATTACAGGCGCCTGCCACCATGCCCAGCTAATTTTTGTGTTTTTAGTACAGATGGGGTTTCACCATGTTGGCCAGGCCAGTCTCGAACTCCTGACCTCAGGTTATCCGCCCTCCTTGTCCTCTCAAAGTACTAGGATTACAGGTGTGAGCCACTGCACCCAGCCAACATTTTCTTAATAAAATCATTTACACACAAACCTGTGGCTCAAGTCTACTTCTCTATGGGAACAAAAGCTAAGACACTACTTCAGTTTTCTATTGTGTTTGAGTTCAGGCCAATCCTCCCTCTTTTTGGTAGAGGCTTTTTTTTTTAATTCAAGACTTGTTTTGGATATAAGGCCACCTTTCATCAGGAACCTCACGTCCCTCCTGGGATGATAATAGACCTTTTGTCTTTTCTAGCAAGTCCTTTCTGGTATAAAGACCACTGTCCTTTTGGTTTGAGTACTGTGGTTTCTACAGAATTTACCTTCTGTCTCTGAGGCATGTCTTTGCTGGTGAATTTACTTTTGTTTTTTCTGCACACCTAATTTAATATTTTGTTTGATCTGCATGTCTGGTTTAAAATTTTTGTGAACACTCTTATCTTAATTTGGTTATGTGCATCTGTAAATGATTTGGCTTTTTTTCCCTTGCTTGTTTCTAAAAATTTTCTAAGAGCAAAAATAAACATTCTAAATGTTGGATACAGAATTATTAACTAAACGCCACTAGAGCCGTCACCACCACTAAAACACTGATCTAAACTCCTGGTGTTCTTTGATGGTACTTGTGGGATTTTCTTTGCTCTCTAGAAATTCATGAGAAATGGAATGGGATTTTCAAATATTAAGACATGCCAGGTTTTCTGGGACTCCAGCTGGCTACATATTACTGGCTCAGAGTAAAATGGCCATTATTCAAAATTTCTTTAAAAAAAAAATTAAACCCTGCAGCTATAGAGTTAACATGTAGAGACTTTTAAATTCTCTATGTCTCTAGGTTTTTTGTTTTGTTTTGTTTTGTTTTGTTTTCTGCCTACTTGGAATCTGCTGACTTTTCTGCTGGAGTTGAGAGAAAACTTTCTGCTTATGACATTCCAGACAAGATTTTTAAAGTGCTCTTTAGAAGCTTTCAGATGAATAGCTTTACAAATTATAACAGCTTCATGGTAACTAACAATCTAGATCTGTTTTGAAATGTAAATTTATAACAGGGTGATGGTCCCAATGTGACTGACATTGTCAGCCGTAATTCTGGTTGTTCTCTTAAAATGCTGTATGGGATAGAAATAACTAAATTTCTTTTTTAATTTTGAACTTCCGTCAGATTTTTAACCATGGCTAGTTCAAGTTTTTGTTATCCACATTTATTGCTTTGATTTTTCTCTAAAAGCATTTTCAATTGACTACATTTTAAAATTGCTTTTCATGGAAAAGACTCTAACAGGTAGTCTTGAACACGGATTTCTGATAACTTTAAGATCAATGAACTAAATAAAATGTTTTCAAAACTCAAATGAAGAAACTGATGGGTTTATGAAACTGCTAAATAAGATAAAGCAGAACAAAATTAATTGCATACGATTGAATAACTGATGAAGATAATGTTTTTATAACTTTTACTTGAAATGTTACTGATTCCTTACTTACATGTTTTGTTTTACAGATTTCAGAAAATTTTCCTTTTAAGCTATTCACATGTTATAAAAATTTGGTAAAGTATATTTTGTGAACAAAGGTGAACATATTCGCTTTTTCTCCCTACTTAATTCCTCCAAAATTTAGAAACTATTCTTACTATGTTTTTAGCAATACGGTTATTTACATAAGTTCAATAAGAATCTGTTCTGTATTTATAACAGGATACAATTGGAAACATTGATTATATTACCAAGGCTTTGACTAAAATATCATCTTTGGGAATGTGCATGAAATGCCTGGCTTCAAAGGTTTATAGCCTTACAGTGAATGAGTAAAAATTGTCACTTCCTAGCAGGCCCGAGAAACTTAAGTCCAGCTCTGTTGCCCAGGCTGGAGTGCAGTGGCATGATCTCAGCTCACTGCAACTTCCACCTCCCAGGCTCAAACAATTCTCCTACCTCAGCCTCCCAAGTAGCTGGGACTACAGATGTGCATGCCACCACACTCGCACCACCATCCCCGGCTAATTTTTGTGTTTTTAGTAGAGACGGGATTTCACTATATTGGCCAGGCTGACCTCAAGTGATCCGCCTGCCTCAGCCTCCCAAAGTACTCGGATTACAGGCGTGAGCCATTGCACCTGGCCAAGACTGTAGATAATATCTAAAGTCTGCCTTGATTTGACTTCCTACCCTCAAAAGATTTTTTTTAATATGGGATTTCCTATGTGATTAGTGTATAGAGAAAAATTTATATTTCTAAAGAAAAGCTATAATATACCTGTTATTACACTGTAGTTTTGTACATTCTTTTTGTGTTCTTATTATCCATCTACAGACTAGACTAGATCCTCAATTCTTCTAGATTTCTCCAATCCAACTTTCCTCCACCGAATTACTAAAAATGATAACTTTTCTGTTTCTAAAGCCCTATCAGCGGAAACTAGACGAATTTTAAGAAACAAGTCTTATGCCTGACGTATAGGCCACCCAAAAAGTTCACAAAACCACCCGATGTCATAACTAGAGACATTCAAACTGCAAGCCAGTACGAAGTTGATGTTTTCACTCTGTAGATAGCTTTTCCGAGGACATCTGAACAAGACTCTGTATCTTAATGAGACTCTAACCCCTCTTAATGCTACCTTTTTCACTTGGCAAGATAATTATCATTTGATTTATTCTTTCAGTTGATTATATTTAAGCCTAGAATCATGGCTCAAAACCATTATGCAAACTGAGATTGTCATATTAACGTTGATTTTATTTGGGTATTTTCCCTTTTTAAACTTTGTGTCTGCTACGTGTTAAATTTTTGCAGAAGTACAACTCTTAACAGAATAATGCTGCTCCAGCACTTTGAGATGATAGCAAAAGACTACAAAACAGATGAAATTGAACTTAATAATGGATTCCAGGTAGACTTAGCCTGAGGGCCACTCCCTTCAGAACTCCCTTGTTGCTCAAATGTGGCTTAAAAAGTTTTGATACTGACTTCTAGCCACCATTCACTCCTTCCAATATGGGATGATATCAGTAATCCAGGACAGGCCTTTTTTGGCACCAATGGACATCAAAAGCTAACTACAGGATGACTAATTAGTGGCGCTTTTGGAGAAAGATCTTGATAAAAATAAAAATTAAAAATCCCTAACAGAGTCAGGGAAGCCCCTAAAAAGAAGGTTCTCATGCATAAATGCCTGATAACAAAAACAATCATGAAAGACTGCAAAAACCAGGACTTGTACAAAGGCCATTGCAACCTTATACAAAAAATACTTCTGCTGAGGACATCTGCCCAGCCTTGGACTGGCATCACCCTTATTATTAATCCTTGAAGCCAAGGATAATGATCTGAAAACAATTATGTAATCATCCTCATTTTTTCTTTGAAAACCTTTGTCTTCCTTTACTTCCCTGAATACGCACACATATTTTCATTGCAATGCCCTATTCCCAAATAAATATTATTTTCTTTTAGAAAGCCTCTCTGCAGCTGTTATTTAGGTTGACAGAGGACAATGGCAGCTAGCAAGGCCTATCTTGACTAATTCAACTTCCAACCAACAGCATAGAGGAAGATGTCCAAACTAATATGGGGAAAAAGTTAAAATTTCTACAATAGAGGGAAGTACGGATATATTAATAACCCTATACTAATTGGCATATACACTGCAGTGGACTGAATTATGTCCCCCTCAAGATTCATATGTTGACACCCTAACCACCACTTTGATTGTATTTGGAGATGAAGGCTTTGGGAGGTAATTAGGGTTAGATGAGGTCATGAGGATGGTACCCTGATCTGATGGGATTACTGCTCTGATAAGAAGAAACACCAGAACTTGATCTTGCCTGCTCTCTCTCTCTCTCTCTCTCTCTCTCTCTCAATACAGTGAGAAGGCAGCCATCTGCAAACCAGAAAGAGAGCCCCTCACCAGAACCCAATCATGCTGGCTCCCTGATCTCGGACTGTCTATCCTCCAGAACTGTAAGAAAACAGATATCTGCTGTTAGAGCAACCTGTCTATGGTATTTTGTTATGGCAAATGAGCAGACTAATACATGGACTTTGTGACTACTTAGCAAATAACTAGCATAAATTTGATAAATGAACAAATGAAAGACTTCCCTGAATTATGTGGCCAGACCTATGAAAAGCAGCACTCAACAGTTCCCTTCAAAGCTGTTCCCTCTGTTACTAAAGAAAGCATTTGGAGGTGGTGAGTTCCTTGTTAAATAACATGGAAAATCCTTTGGTGGATGGCAGTTAAATAGGAGGTAGAAGTAAGTATGTGGCAATGTCTTTATTAAAAATTTTTTTTAATTGTCAGATCTACCAAAGAGCCAGTGTGATATGCCAGAAACAGCCCAAGACGTGGAGTAAAAGAACTGGGTTGGGGACCCAGGGTCTCCAAGGTTTAACCTTGAACAGATCATCCAACCTATCTGAGCCTCCATGAAATGAAAGTTGTAAAGCCCACATCACACAGCCACTGTGGAGCTCACAGCTACAAATCCCTGTCTAGATGAATGGAAGTCATTGTTGTTGCTTCATAGTCTCAACCTATCTGAAAGTCTCTGATGCAGTGTTCAGGTGCCACCTGCATACCACACGTGGCCAAAGGCAGACTTCACCTGCTCCCTGCTGGTGAAGAGCAGCACTGCACCTCCTGTCTGACACTGGAGCCTCTGCGACCTGAAAGTTTGCTGTTCCCTTCCACTCTAGCTGGTATTTGTCTTACTCAGTTGCAGTGTTGAACTGGTAGCCTTGTGGGTATTCATTATTTTCTGACAGGGGCTCCCTGGGTTTAGTCATAATTTCCACACACAAAAAAGGGATAGAGTGTCCCTGTATCCCTCATGGACATTAGCAGCAAATAAATAGCCTGGGCTAGAGGAAAGTGCCCTGGCTTTAAAGTCAGACAGGCTTGAGTTTGCAGACCCTGTCCCATGCCCTTAGCAATTAGGCCACCTTGGGCTCCCCGCTGGCATTCATTGAGAGTTGTCACCTTTCTTTTTTTTTTTTTTTTTTTTTTGGTTTTTTGTTTTGTTTTGTTTTTTTAATTTTTTTTTTTATTATACTCTAAGTTTTAGTGTACATGTGCACATTGTGCAGGTTAGTTACATATGTATACATGTGCCATGCTGGTGCGCTGCACCCACTAATGTGTCATCTAGCATTAGGTATATCTCCCAATGCTATCCCTCCCCCCTCCCCCGACCCCACCACAGTCCCCAGAGTGTGATATTCCCCTTCCTGTGTCCAAGTGATCTCATTGTTCAATTCCCACCTATGAGTGAGAATATGCGGTGTTTGGTTTTTTGTTCTTGCGATAGTTTACTGAGAATGATGGTTTCCAATTTCATCCATGTCCCTACAAAGGACATGAACTCATCATTTTTTATGGCTGCATAGTATTCCATGGTGTATATGTGCCACATTTTCTTAATCCAGTCTATCATTGTTGGACATTTGGGTTGGTTCCAAGTCTTTGCTATTGTGAATAGTGCCGCAATAAACATACGTGTGCATGTGTCTTTATAGCAGCATGATTTATAGTCCTTTGGGTATATACCCAGTAATGGGATAGCTGGGTCAAATGGTATTTCTAGTTCTAGATCCCTGAGGAATCACCACACTGACTTCCACAATGGTTGAACTAGTTTACAGTCCCACCAACAGTGTAAAAGTGTTCCTATTTCTCCACATCCTCTCCAGCACCTGTTGTTTCCTGACTTTTTAATGATTGCCATTCTAACTGGTGTGAGATGATATCTCATAGTGGTTTTGATTTGCATTTCTCTGATGGCCAGTGATGATGAGCATTTCTTCATGTGTTTTTTGGCTGCATAAATGTCTTCTTTTGAGAAGGATTCCCTATTTAATAAATGGTGCTGGGAAAACTGGCTAGCCATATGTAGAAAGCTGAAACTGGATCCCTTCCTTACACCTTATACAAAAATCAATTCAAGATGGATTAAAGATTTAAACGTTAGACCTAAAACCATAAAAACCCTAGAAGAAAACCTAGGCATTACCATTCAGGACATAGGCGTGGGCAAGGACTTCATGTCCAAAACACCAAAAACAATGGCAACAAAAGCCAAAATTGACAAATGGGATCTAATTAAACTAAAGAGCTTCTGCACAGCAAAAGAAACTACCATCAGAGTGAACAGGCAACCTACAACATGGGAGAAAATTTTCGCAACCTACTCATCTGACAAAGGGCTAATATCCAGAATCTACAATGAACTCAAACAAATTTACAAGAAAAAAACAAACAACCCCATCAAAAAGTGGGCGAGAGTTGTCACCTTTCTTAAGTTACTTAGTCTTCTAAGAAAATACCAAAATATTAAGAGAAGCAAAACAAACAATTCATATGACTTCAAAGATTGTAACTCCATCACTGTGGAAACAGAGTTTCCTACAGCAACCATCTTATAGATACAGATTAAGAAACTCAGGTTCAGAGAGATCAGCCAATCTATCCAAGGACACTAAGTTTATGTTTGTTTCTATCTTTATTATTGCTTATTTTAACTGAGGTCATCACCTTAAACTTGACGAAAAGCCCATTATGGTAGAGGAAGAATGGGGAGATGCAGAGAGAAGGGGTGGAGGACAAAACTAGGAAGTCATTTTCCACAGAAAAAGGCAATTCTGCTTCAAGGAGCCCCCAGCAGAGATTCCCAGTTTCCTTCTGGGGTCTAATTCGGCCTGAACTGCCCCTCGTCCACCCCACCAGCCCCCAGAATGATCATCCAAGCAGTTTCCATCTGAGGGTATCCTCTTTCCCTTATTCATGATGAAATTCATCTCTCATTTTCTCAAGCTGTTAAGCTACTGACACAAACTATTAAGCAACTACCACATTCAAGAGATGGGCGAGACCCTGAAGACACAGATGAATGGCATGTTAATTTGATTGATCATTGGAGATGTGTTACAAAATCTAGGCTTGCAGATTATACTAAGCTTTCCTTGGCAGAGAAAATCCAAGCCGACAGGAAGCGTTGTGGGGAGAGCATGCTGCTTCTGGTTTGAATCTTGTCTCTGACTGCCCCTCATTACTCTCCTCTTTGGGTTTTTTCCTCCACCTGCTTGGCATGTCAAAATTTTCCAGAACTCTGTCCTTTTCTCTTTTTCCTCTACCTTTCCACAGATTATCTCATCATCATCTTAGTTTTAATTTCCAGTATATTGATAATCCTTAATATAGCTGAAAGGCCCTGGCCCTTCCAGAGCCTAAGCTCCAGTGGAGAAACAAACAAATAAACCAATAATACCATTAGCTCATTAACCATCTCCCAAAGTGCTTATTGATCACGTAGGGGCTGGGAGAGCATCTCAGAATAAGACAGAATCTCAGCTTCCACAAAGCTTACAACCTCTTGAGTGATGAAGAGAAGTAAGACAAAATTTTAGCACAGCATGAAAAGCAAGAGTTATCAGGGCCTCTCATTAGGGACCTCTGCCTTGGAGGACTGAGAACGAATAAACAGAAGACATGATGTTTATGCTGGGGTTTTGGGAACCATTAGGTTATCAGGCAGAGAAGCACATTCAGAGGCACTGATCTAAGAAAAGCTTCTGGTGTATTCAAGAAACAGGTGTTCTGGTTGAGTCCGAGAGAACAACGAGGACAGGGAAAGGAGTGGATGCATCAGTGATGCTGGTGAAGGGCCTGGAGCGTCAAAACAAAAAGTTTCTATTTTAACCCACGGTTAATAGGAACACAAGGGCCTGACAAGTCCAATGTGTTTTGTGTTTGATTGATTGTTTTGTTACAGAAATATCACAACGTAAGTGGTATGAAAAATGAAAAGCCAATAGTATGACTAATGAAGCAGCTGGGTGAGAACAATAAGAACATTAACTCAGGCCATGGCATGGAAAGAAAGGGAGGGACTAAAGTCAGGAAACATTTCTGAGCTCAAAATCATAAGGCTGGCAACTAATTGGTTGTAAATAATTGATAATATATATATTAAGGACTATTATGCTCTTGGTTGATGTTAAGCATTTCATCTATATTATCTCATAATAATCTGCATTGTCTTCACGATGGCCTTATAGGTTATGAACTTATACATCCCATTTTGCAGATCTGGAAACAGAGGCTTTGATTTGGCCCCAATTCCATCCACATCCAAAGTATAAGTGCTGAGCTGGTAACTGCCTCCCACATTGGATGTGGATGAAGAGGAAGGGGGAAAGGTGACATGGAGTTTTCCAGCTTGGAAAAGGCTGTTGGAGAAAGGAGACACATTCACTGCTGGACTTGTGAGAGATGAGATGTCCACTGCAGATCCCATTGCACATATGGGCCTGAAGCTCAGAGAAGGATCTTGGCTGGACTCATAGAATTAAGCATCATCAATATATTGGAAATTAAAACTATGATGATGATGAGATGATCTGTGGAAAGGTAGAGGAAAAAAAAGAAAAAGACAGAGTTCCAGAAAATTTTGACATGCCAAGCAGGAGGAGGAAAAAACCTAAAGAGGGGAGTAATAAGGGGCAGTCAGAGATAAGATTCAGTTCTGCTCTGATACTAGTCATTTCTTGCCTTCTGCTAGCTTTTGAATGTGTCTGCTCTTGCTTCTCTAGTTCTTTTAATTGTGATATTAGGGTGTCAATTTTAGATCTTTCCTGCTTTTTCTTGTGGGCATTTGGTGCTATAAATTTCCCTCTACACACTGCTTTGAATATGTTCCAGAGATTCTGGTATGTTGTGTCTTTGTTCTCGTTGGTTTCAAAGAACATCTTCATTTCTGCCTTCATTTCGTTATGTACCCAGTAGTCATTCAGGAGCGGGTTGTTCAGTTTCCATGTAGTTGAGCGGTTTTGAGTGAGTTTCTGAATCCTGAGTTCTAGTTTGATTGCACTGTGGTCTGAGAGACAGTTTGTTATAATTTCTGTTCTTTTACATTTGCTGAGGAGTGCTTTACTTCCAACTATGTGGTCAATTTGGAATAGGTGTGGTGTGGTGCTGAAAAGAATGTATATTCTGTTGATTTGGGGTGGAGAGTTCTGTAGATGTCTATTAGGTCCACTTGGTGCAGAGCTGAGTTCAGTTCCTGGATATCCTTGTTAACTTTCTGTCCCGTTGGTTTGTCTAATGTTGACAGTGGGGTGTTTAAGTCTCCCATTATTGTTGTGTGGGAGTCTAAGTCTCTTTGTAGGTCTCTAAGGACTTGCTTTATGAATCTGGGTGCTCCTGTATTGGGTGCATGTATATTTAGGATAGTTAGCTCTTCTTGTTGAATTGATCCCTTTATCATTATGTAATGGCCTTCTTTGTCTCTTTTGATCTTTGTTGGTTTAAAGTCTGTTCTATCAGAGACTAGGATTGCAACCCCTGCCTTTTTTTGTTTTCCATTTGCTTGGTAGAGCTTCCTCTGTCCCTTTATTTTGAGCCTATCTGTGCAGAGACAAGATTCAAACCAGAAGCAGCATGCTCTCCCCGCAGCGCTTCCTGTTGGCTTGGATTTTCTCTGTCAAGGAAAGCTTAGTATAATCTGCAAGCTTAGATTTTGTAACACAACTGCAATGATCAATCAAATTAAGAAAAAACTTATCTGACTTGTCACCCCCTTGATGGGACTCAACTACCCCCAAGACAACATTTTTTTTTTTTTTTTTGAGACATTGTCTCGCTCTGTCGCCCAGGCTGGAGTGCAGTGGGGCAAACTCAGCTCACAGCAACCTCTGCCTCCCGGATTCAAGTGATTCTCCTGTCTCAGCCTCCCAAGTAGCTGGGACTACAGGCGCATGCCACCAGGCCCAGCTAATTTTTTTATATTTTTGGTAGAGACAGGGTTTCACCATATTGGTCAGGCTGATCTCAAACTCCTGACCTCAGGTGATCCACCCACCTCGGCCTCCAAAAGTGCTGGGATTACAGGCGGAAGCCACCATGCCTGGCCCCAGGAAAAAATTTTAATGAAAACATTGAAATTCTGCCAGTCTAGGGCTGACCTCTCAGAAATGTCCCTTTTTACACTTCTCTTTGCAGAAGAGCTTTTATTTCTGTACTTAGAACAAACCCCTGCAAATAAGAAAACAGTTTTCCCCAGTGCGATACAGAATGCTGTCAAAATGTGTTTCAAAGTCCCAACAAGTCACATTTGCATATTTACTCCTTCAGAATGCTCAGATAAATGAAGCAGGCTGGCTTTTTTTCACAGAAACCCTTTTGCTCTCCACAGCCATGCCAATCACCAATCACACGTCTCAGCTATGGGACTGTCTAGATCAGCCATGCCCAATAAGAGTATAATGTGAGCCACCAATGACAGCCTCAGAAACACAGAGGTACAGATTGGAAAGGAAGAAATAGAACTGCCTCTGTTCACAAATTATAGGATTGTCTATGAAGAAAATCCCAAAGAACTGATCAAAACAATACCTGGAACTAATAAGTACAACAAACAAAAGTCAATTGCTCTCCTATATACCAGTAATGAACAGTTGAAATGTGAAAATTCGAATAATACAATTTACAATAGTACCAAAAACAATAAAATACTTAGGTACAAATCTAACTAAAGGCTGGGTGTGGTGGCTCACACCTATAATCCCAGCACTTTGGGATGTCAAGGCTGGAGGATCGCTTGAGCCCAGGAGTTTCAGATCAGCCTGGGCAACATAGTGAGACCCCACCTCTACAAAAAAAAAGTAAATAAATAAATAAAAATTGAACTAAAGAGGTACAGGATTTATATGCAGAAAACTACAAAAGTCTGATGAAATAAAGAAAATCTAAATAAATGGAGAGATATATTCTGTGTTCAGAGATTAGAAGACACAGTACTGTTAAGATGTCAACTCACCCAAATTAACCTATAGATTTAACGCAATCCCAATCAAAATCCTAGCAAGGTATTTTACAGATCTTGACAGAATGATACTAAAATTTATATGGAAAGGCAAAAGACCTAGAATAACACAGTACTGCAGGAGACAAACAAAGTTCGAAGACTCACATCACCTGATTTCAAGACTTACTATAAAGCTATAATAATAAATACTGTGTGGTATTGGTGAAAGAATAGACATATATATCAATGGAGAGCCCACTGGGCCTTAGTGAACTTACCTTTAACAAAGGAACAAGGAAAAGGAGTCATTTTAAGAAATTGTGCTAAAATCATTGGGTGACCTATTTGAAAAAACTGAACCTAGACATAGACTTTACGCCTTTCACAAAAATGAACACAAATGATCATAGACGTAAATGTAAAATGTAAAACTATACAGCGTCTAGAAGAAAACATAGGAGGAAATCTAGGTAACCTTGGGTATGATAATGAGTTCTGAAATACAACACCAAAAGCACAATTCATGAAAGAAAAGTTAATAAATTGGACTTCATTAAAATTAATAACTTCTGCTCTGTACGTGGTAACGTTAAGAGAATGAAGAGACAAGCCATAGACTGGGAAAAATATTTGTAAAACACAATCTAATAAAGCACTTATATCCAAAATATGCAAAGATCTTTTAACACTCAACAATAAAAAAACAAACAACTTAATTACGAAACAGACAAAACATTTAAGCAGACATCTCACCAAATAAGAAATGCAGATGGCAAATAAACATATGAAAAGATGCTAAATATAATTTGTCATTAGGGAATTGCAAATTAAAATAACAATGAGATATTATTATACATCTATGAGAATGGTCAGGATCCAGAAAGCTGATAATACCAAATGCTGCTAAGGATGCGGAGCAACAGGAACTATCATTTGTTACTAGTGAATACAAAATGGTATAGCTCTTTGGGGAGATAGTTTGGAAGTTTTTTACAAAGTTAAACCTAGTCTTAGCACATGATCCAGTAATCATACTTCTAAGAATCTACCCAACTGATTTGAGAACTTAGGTCCACAAAAATGTGCAAGCAAATATTTATAACATTTGTGCCATTGACTAAAGGTGGTGCCATTTTCATCACATCATATCAAAGGGTACACACTATCACCATGACATCACTATTGGGTTGACCTTGATCATCTGGCAATGTAGCATTAGTCAGGTTTCTCCACTGTAAAGTTACTTTTATTCCCCCTTTGCACATGGCACTCTTTGGACGGAAGTCACATGTGCAATCCATACTTAAGGAGTGGGGAGTTACGTTCTACTTTCTTCAGGACAGAGGATCTACATAAATTATTTGCAATACTTTTTTCTCTTCTCTTCCATTTATTTATTTATTCAATTATTTGTTTATGTTGGTATGGAGTCATGGATGTTTATTTTATGCTCTAGGTTATAATCCAATACTAATTCATTTATGTTCTTGTTCAAATTGTTTGATTTTAGCTGTTAAGAACTCTTTCAGTTGGCTCTCATATTTTTTTATTTACCCCACCATTTTACTATTACTATTTTTGAGTAGTGCCTTACTTACTGGTACTATAAGAGGTTCCAAGCTTATATTGTATATTTCTTCCCAATCCTAGAGTCAGCCATTTCTCCAAGAAGCTTTGGTTTATTTCTTAGAGAATGGTACTAGAAACCAAGATCTGGCTACTAGGTGTGCTCATTGCTATCTCTGCACTCTTTCTCCCAAAATCCCATAACCCCATTCTCATCATGAGAAAAATTAGACAAATCCCAATTGAGGGACATTTTACAAAATGCCTGACCAGTAATCCTCAACATTGTCAAAGTCATCAAAAACAAAGGATGTCCCAGAAGCTGTCACAGCCAGGAGGAGCCTAAGAAGACATGATGACAAAATACCTGGTGACATCACTCAGGGAAAGCAAATGGAGAGGATCCTCATGATGGGGGAGGGAAAGGAGCCCTTAAGGAAAACAATGAAAAGACAAGAAGAAAGAAATCTGGAGGGTGTATTGCCACCAGAGCCACAGGAAATGAAAGGTTTCAAAAATATGTAAGAAAATAATCAGGTGTGTCAGATACAGTTAAGACTGTAAGAAGAGGAGTGAGTGACAACTGCCCCCTTGGACTTGGCTTTACGACGTCCTTAGGAAACCAAGTAAGAGCAATTTCAGTGGAGCAGCGCCAAGTGGGGGTAAGGGCATAAGTGTAGTGCAGAGTAAATGAGACGTGAGAAAGAGAATAATCTTTCTAGAGATGTGAGTGAGAAGAATAAAGAAGAGATTAGAAAGTAACTAGAGAGAGCAGTGGAGTTAAAACAGATTTATTTTTGTTGTTGTTTTGTCCAAATTGTTTCAGGATGAAAGAATCTTGAGTATCTTTATAAACTGTGAGCATGAAGAGAGAGAGTATGTGAAGATGCATTCAATATATTCATTCTACAAATATTTTTTTGATTCTTACTATGTACAAGAACTAGAAAACAAAACAGCTGAAAATCCCTACCCTCCACAGAGCTGACATTCTAGTTGGGGGAGATAAACAAGATAAATGGGTAAATACATTGTATGAAAGAGGGTGCAATAAAGCAAAGAAAGGAGACAGTGCTGGCAGGAAGGGGTGTTGCAGTTGTGGGTGGGGTGACCAGGAAAAGCCTCATTGAGAAAGTGGCACTTGAGTAAAAGCCTGAAGGATATGAGAGAGAGGGCTATGTGAGTATCTGAGGGAAAAGCACTGCAGGCAGAGGGAACAGCAAAGCTAAGACCCTGAGGCAGAAGCCTGCCTGGGATGGTCAAGGAACACCAAAGAGGCCAGTGAGGCTAGAGCAGTGAGAGAAAGAAGAGTAGAATGTGTGGTCAGAGACAAAATGAGAAGCTGGATCATGTAGGACCTTTTAGGTCTTGGTAACAACCTTGGCTCTTACTGCGAGTGACATGGGGAGCCATCAGAGGGTCTTGAGCTGAGGAAAGACAGGATCTGACATGGATTTTAACCAGATCTCTCTGTCTTCTGTGTTGAGAATAGACTTAAGGGCTGAAGGACGTCAGAATCAGAGGGACCGATTAAGAGGCTATTGCAGCACTTCAGGTAAAGGTGACTTGAACCAGAGTGGTAGCAAGAGAGGGGCTGAGAAGTGGCTGAAATAATATATTTTTAAGGCAGAGCCAGCCAGATGAGGAGAATGGGAGGAAAGAAGAAGTCAGTGGTGACCCAAGGTTTTTGTCATTTGGCTACAGATCATGAAGCTCCATGCAGGCTCCATAGCATGAATCAAGCATAAGAGTCCTTCCACATCTCACCCTTGGCTTACTATATGAACACCACACTGTTACCAACATGCCTGGTTCAGTATTAGGGTGGTGTGCCCAAAGTTCACTTGGAGAGCTAAGGGCAGGCTCAGGGTCAGTTGGCCACAATACCAGGCCTGAGAGTGGAAGTGCCATTTACTGAGGTGAGGAAGACTGTGGTAGGAGAGCTTTTGAGGCAAGATCAAGAGTTTGGCTTTGGGCATGAATTAGATGTTCTATGACACACACACATTGAGAGATAAATACATGGCAGAATTTGAACCTGTATTAAAGAAAAATGTGGTCGGGTGCAGTGGCTCACGCCTATAATTGCAGCACTTTGGGAGGCCGAGGTGGGCAGATCACCTGAGGTCAGGAGATAAGAGACCAGCCTGATCAACAATGTGAAACCCCATCTGTACTAAAAATACAAAAATTAGCCAGGCGTGGTGGTGGGCACCTGTAATCCCAGCTATTCAGGAGGCTGAGGCAGGAGAATCGCTTGAACCCGGGAGACGGAGGTTGCAGTGAGCTAAGATCGCACCACTGCACTCCAGCCTGGGAGACAGAGAGAGACTCTGTCTCAAAAAAAAAAAAAAAGTTTCCACTGTAAATATAAATTTAGGAGGTAAAAGTGATGAGTTTAAAAAGAGAGCTCAAGGAATGTGAACAGGATGGGATGGAAGGAAGGAGTGAAAAGTTGACCCTCTGAAGCTGATGTCAAGGAAGCTTTGGGAATGTGGTTGCAAGAACATTTGCAAGGTTGCAAGAAGTGGACAGAGATCCTGCCAGATGGCCTCAATTTTCTCTGCTGAGTGGTAGGGGGTTGGGAAGGAAGCTTGGGGAAAGAGGTAAAACGTGGGCATGAATATACATGAGGACAGTGCTAGCAGGAGACTAGACAGGTAGGAGACTAGTCCCAAGGCAGTGCTGGGGCCCCAGCCTGGAGGCAGGGGAGGCTTAGTTCCTCTGACCTCCAACTCTTGGGACAGACAGCCTCACCACTCTGGCCCCTGATGTGCCAAGAGCAGTTTTGTGGCCAGACGTACCAGGATGCCAACCACCCCCACCCCCCACCCGTGTAGCAAGCAACTGTCCCAGCAGGTTTGTATCTCCAGCCATTCTCCCTCCCTTTCTGTGCCTGTACCTGCTGGGTGCCCTGCCTCCTCATTAGGCAGGTCTGGGCAATGGCTCAGCTAAGGGCGCTCCCACTCCACACCCACCAGGGCTGGCCCAGCCCCAGCCCTGACCATGGAGCCAGCTCACCTGCACCACCTACTGGCGAGGCAGGGCAGGACTCCAGCGCCCTTCTGCTGCTATTCCCTAAACCCCGCTTCCACACCAACAGCCGCTGGGACTTAGGGCCCACACTAGGACTCTTAGACTCCAAAGCATTTCAGACCTGGAAAAGGCCCAGGTCACCAGTTGCAACCCCAGTTTTACAAAAGAAGATACTGAAGCTATTCGTTCATTCCACAAATATTTATGGGGCTACCATTACGTGCTGGTGTATCTGGCATCACTCAGGAGCTAGGGACGCACTGGGGAGGTCCTGCCCTCATAAATGGAACAGGCCAGTGAGGAAGACAGATATAAAATAAATAGCCACAGAATTAAAGATAAGCTTTAAATGGCGCAACGTTGGAAAGGGAAAAGTTTATGAATGAATTTATGGCTGGCAGAAGGAGGGCTCCTCTCTGAAGACATGACCTTAAGACTGGAAACTGAAGGTTGAATATAAATTGGCCAGAAAAAGAAATGAAGGTGGGAGAAACATTCTAGACAGAGGAAACAGTATGTGAGAAGGCCCTGATGTCCACAGCCTATGAACAGAAGGCCCTGTCAACAATGGGGCTCCGGAGCTCTGGGGCTCCGACTCACCTCATGAGGAGAAGAGCCCGTGAGGCACATATCTGTTGTCTGGTGGGTCCATCCCTCCCTCATCCCCCTCATCTCTAAATGAAAGCCCTCCTAAGGGAAGGCAATATTGCTTGCTCTTACTTTAGTCGGTTTGAACATATGTATTTTATCCTTCAACTTCATAATATTGTGAGTTCTTCCTCTCTTTCCTTTAGATAGCAACCCAGAGAATTTCACTGTTGCCCAAATTTGACAGAATAGCAAACCAAGAAGGTTGATCAAGTATCCTTGGCTTCATTGAAACTAGCATCTAAACCAAGACTCCCTGTGCTTTTAAACAGCAACACACCTTTAACTTCCTTAAACACCAGAAGGCTATGCATCATGAAGCTCCATGCAGACTCCACAGCACTAATCAAGCATAAGAGTCCTTCCACGTGTCACCCTTGGCTTACTATATGAACACCACACTGTTACCAACATGCCTGGTTCAGTATTAGGGTGGTGTGCCCAAAGTTCACTTGGAGGGCTAAGGGCCAGCTCATGGTCACTTGGCCACAATACCATAAAATGCACCCCTGAAATATGAACCTCATCACATGTGTGTAAAAAGACTAAGAGAAGAAAGGCAAGTAGGAATGAAGTTAAGGGATATTCTTGCCTTTCAGGGAAAGTCAATAATGAAAATTCCAGATTTGGGATCCATAAGAATATTGGTGATAAATGAAATGATTGTGGGCATTCAATAAGGAAAATGGACTAATGAATAATAATGAGCACTGGTGTTGGTACCCCACACACACACAAACACATACTTCAGCAGTCACAGAATTCCTCTTTCCCTCAGCAGTCACAGAATTACCACGATTGGATGATAGATAGTACCTGTCAGTGCTCTTGTGGGTGACAATGAACAGAAGCAGAGACTTGTGGCTAATGGATTACCATCGGCCTGGAGGTAGATCTCTGCAAAACCTACACGAGGCTATGGTGGTGCGGAGAAACAGACACTACCTAAGTTGAGTCTGTTATTCATGTATAAAGTGGGGGGGATAATAGTGCCCTCCTCACAAGGTTCTCGTGAAGGTCAAATGGGGTGATCTATGCAAAAGTTCCTAATACTCATTGCCCAATACATGTGGATACTTGGGGCATGGGTGATAACGAAGGATTTGAATAAAAATGCTGGGCCGGGGTAATCCCAACACTTTGGGAGGCCAAGGTGGGTGGAGCCCTTGAGCCCAGGAGACCAAGGAGCACTTCAAGACCTGCCTGGGCAACATGGTGAAACCTTGTCTTTACGAAAAATACAAAAATTAGCCAAGCATGGTGGTGCACACCTATAGTCCCAGCTAATCAGGAGGCTGAGGTGGGAGAATGGCTCAAGCCCTGGAGGTCAAGGCTGCAGTGAGCTGAGACCATGCCACTGCACTCCAGCCTGGGTGACAGAGTGAGACCCTGTCTCAAAAAAAAAAAAAAAAAAAAAAAACCTGAAGATAAAGACGTGAGCAATGACACATAGAGGATGACAACATCAAAATTCAAAAAGATTTCAACAGATTTGAACAAAAGGGAACACCACTAATACGACACTAAATCAAGACAAACCAGAGTCTTGCAGTTAGGTTGAAAAACAGGCCTGGTGAAGGCAGGAAGGGATGAGAGGTGGGTTAATAGCAATCATGATGAAGTGGAAGCTGATGGCATGATGCGGTGGCCAGAGAGGTAAAGCAATCTTGGGCTGCATTGCTATGGCCAGGGTTGTTATTACCACATGAATTCAGAGCTACAGCATTTACAGAGGGTTTCACATGTACCACCTATTAATTGAAGAATGTTGTTAGATCAAGGGAAGTGATTACTCCAATGAACCCTGAGTCAGAGGATCCCTGGAATTTTGTCTTCTGCCAGTCACCAAATGTAAAAGGAATATAAGTAACCAAACAGCCAGTGTGATATGGGCAAAGGAACAAAAACTCAGCTCAGCATTGACACGCACTAGCTATGTGACCTTAAGGAAATGACTTAATCTCTCCAAGCTGAGCCTCAGTTTTCTCAATAGAACAGCAGTTCCTGCCCTGTAGAACTGTCTTGAGGATTAGATGAAATCCCATATACCATGTGCCTACCACAGAGTCTGCAAGCAGAAAAGACAATCAATTGCCATTAGGCCCGCAGCCCCCTCAGTTATCCACTTATGGGTATCTGCTCTGTAGTTCTGCTGGAACCTGGTTTCATTTCAAGTCAGTTTCCTTCTCACCCCTTAGTCATTACACACTGGGTCCTTCCCCCATCCTCACCCCAGTCGGAGCTGAGTGGGGACAGACCCAGACAAAGCCACTGTACTTGCCCCCTTCCCCGAGACATGCCACTGGACCATCACAGCACATGTTCCCCAGATCTGAGGCTCAGCATGTCCAAAATGCTGACGGAGCACCTGCTACACACCAGGACTAGGTACGTAGTATGAGTGTACTAACTGGGTTCCTGCTTTCACAGAGCTTATAATCTAGTGGGAAATTCAGATGATTAAAACATGTATACAGACAGAGAGAGAAAAACACATAAATAAGTAATTATAAGTGAACATAGTAGAGGGAAATCCTAATTTGGGGACCTCAAGAGCTAGGCTCTTAGATGAAGTGGCACATGAGCTGAGCACTGGAGAGAGAGGAGGAAACTCCCCAGCTCCCCTCCCAGGCAGGCAGCTGCTTAACTTTTGGGTACCAGAGGGCTCTCAGCCACTCTGAGAGGGAGCCCCAGCTCCCCACCCATGGGGTGACACTTCTTACTCCAGCCTACCATGGAAAGTTCCCAAGAGGTCCCTGTCACACGTCCTGGGAGCTCCACCCCTGCCCACCAGTCCTTCGACCTAATAACACCTTCCCCTCTTGCAGGGCCAGGCTCTAATTAACGCCCCGCCTGACGGAACCTGCTGGGCCAGAAACACACTGGGTGTGCTCAGTCTGGCTCCCAAATGCATACCTTCCCCAGAGCCACCCTGCCCCTGGCCTTCTGACCCTCTCCTCCCACTCCCAGCACCCCCGCAGCCCTGGGGCAGGGTGTGGAGATGATTTTCAGGGCGCAGCGAGGAGATAATTTGTGGGTGTCTACTGTACTGAGACTCAGACCCACTTCCCCCACTAATCCTTTCACACTGCCATATTCTAGATGTTGGTGAAAGAGAAGAGAAAGAATAAAGACAGGCACGAACAGGAGCAGAAGGGCAGACAGACAGAAAATGAGGAGCATGAAGAAACAGGCAGGGAGGCAGCGTGAGAGAAAAGAAGAGGCCGAGAGGGAGGGGAGGGAGGCACAGACACACACAAGACACAATGTTGGAAAGAAAAAAGCCCACAACGTGAAGAGGAAGAGCCCAGGAAGCATGGGGAAGGGTGGCAGGAAGCTCAGGAAGAAAGGTTTTCCTAAGTCAGCCAGTCGGAAGAAAGCCACCGCCAGGGGAGCAGCTGCAGTTGCGTTTCCCGCGCACCACACCCCACCACACCCACCACCCACAGCCCCAGAGGCTGCATCCACCACAGTGAGGGGTCACAGGAGCCTCCACAGGGGCGGGGTTGGAGGGCATTGGTGCTGGAGAAGATAGGATGTCTCCCCCAGATCTCACCAGCAGAGGGGAAGCCGCCAGAGGGTAAGGGGGAAGGATGGCCTGGCATTAAGAGGGAGTTCCCTGTGAGAAATCTGCGGAGGCTCAACAGTGGAGACACTGGGATTTTCCGCTCTGCGGTAAGCGTCTGAGACCAGCTGAGGGAGACACTGCCTCTGCCCAACCCATCCTGGCTTTCCTCCTACAGACGCTTAGGTGGCCCCAGCAGTGTGCCAGGCCCTGTACTGGCCCAGGAGACGGAGCGAGGGGAGCAGGTGCAGCCCTCGGGGAGTCCAAGCCGGCAGGGAGAAGGCACGCGGGCAGCAAAGAGGCACTACGAGGCCGGGGCCGAGTCCATGGGCGCTTGCGGTGGGAGACGCCATTTCTAGTTTGGAGAAGCAGGTTCTGGAAGAGCAAGCCTTTGAAAAGCAGCTAAAAAAAAAAAAGTGGGATTGGAGAGGTCAAGAGAGGGGAAGTTGTGCAGGCAAAGGCAGGAACATGTGAAAGCCCAGCGTGTGAGACTGCAAGTGACCCGCACGGGCTTGTTCTGTGGGAAAGAGATTATGGAGGCCCTAACCGACATACTCGTGTGTTGTTAGTTGACTCAGTGGGGAAGGAGAGGCCATACCATGATTTTAGCAGAGGGGTGATAGGAATCATGCCGTGCCTCAACCTCAGAACCTGGGTGCTCCTTCCTCTACTTAACTCATGGGGCGACTTGAACAGGTCATCTACCTCCTTCCGGTTCAGTGTTCCGTGAAACAGGAGGCTTTAACCAGATTGATATTCACTATGCTGGAACCAAAGAAAACTTTGGAGTCTTTTTTTCCCAGCTTATAATCATGGACAACCACTGAGTCGATGAGCTCTGGGCCCTTCCCACCCTGACAATGCCGGGGGCCATGAAGGGGCTGTGCCCCCTCCTTCACCGTGGGCTGCTTCAAACCTGCCCCACCCACTTGCAGGCCTGCCTGGCTCCTCCCTGCTCATCACCAGGTCTGGGCACAATCTGCACCAATTTTCCCCAGGCAGCTGCGGTTGATGCCCACGAAGGCACATCCTTCCTGCCACAGTCAAACAGGAGTAACAGACAGCAACAATCACACGCCTCACCCGATGCCAGTGGAATGGTTCTTCAATGCTGAGCACGAGTTCTCAGACCCTTACACCTGATCATTCATTTAACCCTGGCGATAATCCTCTGAGGGGGGTGTTAGTATTGCCCCTCACTCTAAATGATTAAGGGGAAGCTGGGAAGAATTTCTCTATAAAAGAACACAGGAGAAGCAAACTGCCTGGAATAAGCTGCCTTGAATTTGCCTTGGAAGAGCGTTTGCTGGCTGGGCACAGTGGCTCACGCTGTAACCCCAGCACTTTGGGAGGCCGAGGCAGGTGGATCACAAGGTCAAGAGATCAAGACCATCCTGGCCAACATAGTGAAACCTCGTCTCTACTAGAAATACAAAAATTAGCCAGGCGTGGTGGCAGGCGCCTATAGTCCCAGCTACTCAGGAGGCTGAGACAGGAGAATTGCTTGAACCCAGGAGGTGGAGGTTGCAGTGAGCCGAGATAGTGCCACTGCACTACAGCCTGGGCAACAGAGCAAGACTGTGTCTCAAGAAAACAGGAAGGAAGGAAGGAAGGAAGGGGCATTTGCCGGTTGAGTGCTCTGATTTTACTTAGTATGTTTAAGATCAATAAAAGTAGATAATTTGGGAAAAACAATAATCCAGACCATGCAGTATTTTTTCTTGAGACAGAGTCTTGCTCTGCCGCCCAGGCTGGAGTGCAGTGGCGCTATCTCGGTTCACTGCAACCTCCACCTCCCGGGTTCAAGCAATTCTCCTGTCTCAGCCCCACGAGTAGCTGGGACTACAAGCACCTGCCACCACACCTGGCTAATTTTTGTTTTTTTAGTAGAGACGGAGTTTCACCTTGTTGGTCAGGCTGGTCTTGAATTCCTAACTTCAGGTGATCCACCCGCCTTGGCTTCCCACAGTGCTGGCATTGCAGGCATGAGCCACCGCGCCCAGCCAATATTGTTGTTTTGAGGCCTTCATGAGTGCTGATGGAGTTGGGGAGTCTACAGTCTCTTCTAAAGTTCATAAGGGATGGAGGTTGGGGAGGGAGGTCAATGAGTCCCTAAGGCCTGGGAATGGTGTTTAAATCAAAAAGAGGAGACCCTCTATTTTGGAGGATTATAAGGAAGGCCAAGAATTATAAGGATACCTTTTTCATGAAACCATTTCTCAGCATCTCAGTCTACCCCTCTGGCTACTTCCTGCATGAGGGGATGTTAAACTCACCCCTGCTGGGGAAGGTTCCTCTGGGAAGCCTGTGCCCACACCCCACCCCTCCACCAGAAGGGGGCTAGCAGGAGTGTCACTTCTTACTGCAGGAGGAAGACCTTTCACTACAGGAGTTCTACTGGAGCCACCTTCCTCTGATTGTATAAATGGAGCAAGAGTTCTGAGTCTCCCTGGGCTTATGTGACCCTCTAGACAAACCACTCTTCCCCTGCTTACATAACCAGGATGCCATAGGGCAAATGACAAATGGACAGAATCAATCTAATGAGATCGGAGGGACCGTTTTGAAAGCACAGAGCTGTATACAGATTAGGCCGTTAAAGCCTGCTTTGTAAGAGACGTGAAACACTGGAAGCAAAGACACAGCATCAGTACTCAAAACATGTACAGGGGGAAGAAAGCCCATGTTTCTGGCACCCCTTCTTCCTCCTTCCCTCTTTAAACCAAAAATAAAGCTCTAATCCCCACAACTGACTGACGAACCTCCATCTTGGCCAAGGGTATTCCAAAGGAAACCTGAAAATCTAGTTCAGGCCATGTTGGGAAGTGGGGTCAGACATGGCTCATTATACCCTTCTCCCTTAGGGATTCAGGCACAACTGACCAGCATTAACCTTAAAACAGAGATCTTAAGACTGACCAAACAGACTGTTGCTATAAGATATCAACATGACAGTTAGCAGATCCTGAAAGAAATTGAAGTATTTTACCCCAAACTATATTTATTTGACATATTTTGAAATGGCCCTGTAAAGCTGTCTCTTGTGGGGAAAATTCCCATTCTGTAGAGAATTCCCTTCCCTCTCCAGGTCTTTTCCCTGATCCAGGAGAGAATTGACTAAGAGTCTGGCTCCTTTTAGGTCTGATAAGAGCTCCGCAGCCTGCTACCTGGAGGTTTCATGTGCATGATAAACCGTGGTCTCCACAATCCCCATCTTAACCCAGACATTCCTTTCTATTGGTTGGAGGTCTTTAGATAATAACTCTTTCAACCAATTGCCAATCAGAAAATCTTTGAATTCACTTATGACTTGGACGCCCCCCCCGCCACCCACCCACCTCCTGCTTGGAGTTGTCCCACCTTTCCAGCGAAACCAATATACATCTTACATGTATCGATTGATGTCTCATGTCTCCCTAAAATATATAAAACCAAACTGTAGCCTGACCACGTTGGGTACATGTTCTCAGGATCTGCTGGGGCTGTGCCACAGGCCGTGGTCACTAATATTTGGCTTAGAATAAATCTCTTCAAATATTTTACACAGTTTGACTCTTTGTCAACACCTTCCCTTGTTTCCAGATCAAAACCCGTGAAAACAAGAGCCAGCTCACGTGCTTCCGGTAAACAGCAGTACGTCATCATGCCCCCATCTGAAGAAAAGGAGCTTCCCTCTGGGCAAGAGGAGCCCAGGTAGGGAGGGCTACAGAGCACCAGGGCTCTGGGCTCTCTCTCAGCCCAACACCCAGTGGGACCCAGCCAGGCAAGGGCAAGTGGCAGGCACTGGGCAGCTTGTGTGGACACAGCCCTGGCCTGACCCAGAGAAGCACATGCTCCCTGCCTTCAGGGTGCTCTTGGGGGACATGGACGCGAGACCCTAACAATACAGCCACCATTACAGACAGACGACCAGAGCCAGCTCTGAGCCTTGGACTGGGAGGGAACAGGAACAGAGAGAATGCTGCTGGTGGGATGGGGACACTATCCAGGAAGGCTGCCTCAGAGGGGAAGTTCCGAAGCAAACTGGCAAGGTGAACAGGGACCTGGGTCCACTCATTCATTTATTCATCCATTTCTTTAACAAACATCTGTAGAACCTATTAAACTCCAAACACTGCTGAGGAACTGAGGATAGAGATGAATAAAATAGAATTCCTCCCTTGGAGAAACTTACAACCCAGAGGAGAGGACAGACATATCTATAAATCATATCTATAAATAATTACAGCCCTTAAGTAAGGGCTGCATCCAAATATGTACCAGTCCATGTGTGAGCAGAGAGGGGGGGTGGGCACACTGACCTAGGTCATGGGTGAGGGATGAAGGGTGGGGGCTTCCAGGCAGAAAACAGGGAAGGCTCACCAGGCAGAGGCGGGGAGAGGGGGAGAGAGAGAGAGAGAGAGAGAGAGTGAGAAAGCAAGAAAGAAGGTGAAAGGAAGGAAGGAAGGAAGGAAGGAAGGAAGGAAGGAAGGAAGGAAGGAAGGAAAGAAAGAAAAAGAAAGAAAGAAAGAAAGAAGAAAGAAAGAAAGAAAGAAAGAGAAAGGAAGCAAAGAAAGAAAGAAGAGGAGACAGGGGTTGGGGGGAGAGAGAGAGAAATGCCACAAGGACCAGCCCATTGTCTCGCCTGACTGAGGAGGTAAGTGCCCAGGGGAGAGGTAGGTAAAAGAGAGGGGAAGTCTAAACTCAGACCAAGAGGGCTGTGAATGCCCAGCTGTGAGGTTTGGGGGCTCCTGGAGGATGTTGGCAGGAAAGGACATGACCATTCAAACCTGAGAAAGGATGGGCTGGCAGGGGAGGGGGACACAAGGTGCTGAGCCACCTTGGCTGGTGAGGGTTGGAGAGACCCAGCAGGGGAGGGAGGGCAGTCTCAAAGGGAGTGGGGCCTCCTTCAGTGCTTGAAATGAGGCCAGGTGCTGATGATGTTATACAAAGCCTGCCCAGGGGACAGGATGTTGACCACGTCACTGTGGCCCATCAGCAGGTAGTTTGGAGTCAGGTACCCCTCAACCACGGCACACTGGATCAGGTCCTGGGCCGCCTCCAGCGCTGCAGCATTTGGAGGCTTTTCTGCAAAACACATTTTCCCCATCAGTCATTAGGGGCTCAAAGTTTCTTGATTAGGGAAGGGACAAGCACCTAGATTCCAGTTTCTTTCTTCCTCCACCACGCCCCATTCCGCCATCACCATAGCCAACACATTTACGTAAATTGTGGCAATCAGGCACAAAAAGAAAACAAGGTCATTGCTTTCTCTGATTCCTCCGTGCCAAAGTTTCTTCCAGAAGGTTAAAAACTGCTGTGGAGGGGGCCAGGTGCAGTAGCTCACGCCTGTAATCCCAGCACTTTGGGAGGCCAAGCAGGCGGATCACGAGATTAAGAGATCGAGATCACCCTGGCTAACATGGTGAAACCCCATCTCTACTAAAAATACAAAAAAATTAGCCGGGCGCCTGTAGTCCCAGCTACTCGAGAGGCTGAGGCAGGAGAATGGCGTGAACCCGGGAAGTGGAGCTTGCAGTGAGCCGACATCACGCCGCTGCACTCCAGACTGGGAGACAGAGCGAGACTCCATCTCAAAAATAAATAAATAAATATAAAAAACTGTTCTGGAGGAGAACTGCAGCACAACACACCACTTCTGAGCAGGTATAAAGCAGATACAGCACCACTGGGCCGCCCACTGGTTTTCCATAACAGGCAGTGGTGCTCCCCAAATTGTTGCCATGGCTAACAAGAAAGGGGACACATTTGCCAACTGAGCGATAAAAGCACTGAAGTTTGCAAAAGACGTTTCCCCCCTTGCTCCATGTTTGCCTTGGATATAAAGCAAGGTGGAGCTGGGCATGGGGATGGGTGGATTTGGGGGTAAATGCTCTGTCTGAAAGGGGATCCTGGTGACATCCTGTATTAAGAGTCCACTTTAAAGCTAAAATGTTCCATTCACACTGCCAGGCACTACAGGGCTGCCTTTCCCGCCATGCTTCCCAGACATGCTGCATGGTCCTTCAACCCCCAGCACCCCTCTACCCCATGCTCACCCCTTACCTACAAAGTAGCCGATGAAGGCAATTCCTAGGGCAATATCGTTGAATCCATAAGTGTGAGAGCCTTGGATGTGCCATCCAACCCCTTCATACACGCCACCATCCTGGCCCACCAGGAAGCTTAGGTCAGGAAAAGAAAATGAAGACAGTCACTCTGGGAAACAGAATTTAAATACTTCATTCACTCCTTCAACCACTCATTCATTCTTTCATCCATTCATCCAATATTGACTGGAGATCTCTTATGTGCCAATGTGGACAAGGACAGAAAACAAAACAAAACAAAAAAATACCACAGTCCACTTCAACCTGGCCTTTGTTCCCATCACACCACTAAATCTGACCCCTCCAAGGTGAGCAGTGGCTTCCTGGCACTAAGTACAATGGACACTTACTTTACTTCTAGACTACACTGACCCTGTTGACCACTCTCTTAAAATGTTCCCTTCCCCGGGCTTCCACAACCACAACCCTCCTTGTTCTCCTCCTCCTGCTGCTCCCTCAGGCCCCTCTCCCACCCCACCTTACCTTCCTCAAACATGGTGCTCCTCCGCACTCTAGTCTAGGCCATTCTCTCACTCAACGTATTCACCCTGGACAATCATTGCCACAGCTTCAAGTACTACCTGTAAAAACAGTCCAAGCAAACCCACCTTCTTCTAAAATTTATCCAGCTAGAAAATTGGACAACACCCTGAATGCCTTCTACCCCCTCACTCAGCCCACCTGGTCACCAATCATGGCTTGTCAATTGTATCTCCTACACAGCTTCTAAATTCCTCCACTTCTTTCTAGACCAACTGCCACGATCCCACTGCAAGTCACTGGATCACTGCAATAGCTTCCTGCCCAGAGTTTTGCCTCCTTCCAACCCATTCTTAAAGTAGCACCCAGAGTGATTTTTCTAAAATACAAATCCTATCATAGAGCATGACCTCCCAAATAGTCTGCAGCTGCCTTTCAAATTGAGTCAGTCTCTCTGAGTCTGCTATGAGGCCCTCCGTGATGTGGCCCCTCCCAGGCTTTCCCACCCTTACTACTCACCACTCCTCTCTTTCAAATCTATTTGTAATGCTCTGTCTGAACCCCGGGCCCTGGCAAATACTGTTCCTCCTCACCCAGACACTCTTCCTCCTTCTTTGCCTGAATAAACCCCACTGCTTATCCATGTCCCAATGAGGATACTCCTCCCTCTAGAAGCCATTCTCAGACCCCAATCACCCCCCACAAAGCCTTGATTAGAGACTCATCATATACATTATCCTGTTCTGCATCCATCACAGTGCTCAAACACTTTGACTTGTAGTTACTTGTTAGCCCTCCTTCTCTCATATCTATCAGTGAAAGTTGTCAGAATCAAAATGGAGTCACTTGTGTCAAACTCTAACAAAAATAAATAAAGCCAGGAGGTTGAAAAGGGTGGACCCTCATGCACACAAGCCTACAATAAGAACTAGCACAAAGACTCTCTGAAGGACTCTTACGCACACAAGCCTGTAACAAGAACTTTTGCCAAAAACTTTCAAAACTGCAGCTTGTTACTAGTCACAAGGACATCTGGCTGATGAAGAACACTTGCCCAGCACACTGTCTCCACTAATGAACTGGTGTCACCTCCCGCGATAAGTTCCAATGTTCTCCAGTGTTCCCTTTATTTCAAAACAAACTTTTGCCTTTTGCCTTTAAAAGCTTCCCCTAGCCTGAACCTCTTTGGATATGCCTGTGGTTCCTGTAGCATGCATATCCCAGATTTGCAAATTCCCTTTACACTCTCAAATAAAATACTTATCTTTATTCTCTTGCTTTTGTTTTTGTCTTTTTCAGACAGGGTCTCACTCTGTTGCTCAGGCTGAAGGGCAGTGGCACAACCATGACTCACTGCAGCCTCAAACTACTAGGCTCAAGCGATCCTCCGTTTCAGCCTTCCAAGTAGTTGGGACTGACTACAGGTATACATGTCACCACACCCAGCTAATTATTTTATTTTTTTGAAGAGATGGGGTCTCCCTATGTTGCCCAGGCTGATCTCAAACTCCTGACCTCAAGCAATCCTTCCGCCTCGGCCTCCTAAAATGCTGAGATTATAGGCATGAGCCACCGTGCCTGGCCAAATTAATCATCTTTGGAGAATCTCTCTCTGTTTGTTGTTAGATTGATATATCTCGTCTAGCACCAGGCATATAGTAGCTATCCAATAACTATTGATTAAAAAACTAGAAAATAATGTGTGAGTGGGTGCTTTGTCCTGATTACAGTCCATATCAGGGTTACAGGTGACATATCATGAGGCTGGAGCAGAAGGATATTGCAACAGGTTTTGAAAAGTCAAGGAACGGGGATGGAGTCTCTAAAGACTGAGTGAAAGAGGAAAACAAACATTCCCTCACCTTCTGGCATTTTCCATGTGGAATTTCCAGATTTTTAGTCAATTTCTTGTTACCTGTGCTAAATAACCATAGAAAGCCTATGGAAAATCCTGCAAAGTGAAGCAAGAGTTCCCTCCTGTTTGCAAAGGCTGCTTTTAAAACAGGAGTTAAAAGGAGAGATAGTAGGCCCAGAACAACACATGTGCAAAAGCACATCTACCTGAGACTTTGTAAGATTTGTTGTGATTAAGTCACAGATGAATAATTGAAATACATTATACTCTAGCCCTAAATCCTTCCTTTGAAAATTCCAAGACATCTTCCAAGCAGCTTCTTCTACTCCATTAGTTTAATGTGTTTCTTTATTACAGACCTGGCATTAAAGGTACCAAAAGAAAATGTTTTGATCTTGCTCCCTGTCTTCAAACAGATAAAGCATTGTCCCTATTGTAGAGATGAGACAAAAGAGGCCCAGAGAGGTTAAAAGTTCCTACATCTATAAAATGAGGTAAGTAACACCAGAGGAATAGCAGGATTCTAACATCGGAGAGAGCAAGTTTGGAGCTGGGCAGACTGAGATAGGAGTGAGCAAGGCCTTTGTCTCTGACAGGTTAGAAGGGATTGCATTAAAAAGGTACAACCCTTCATGGCCTTCCCTGAGGGTATCACAGTCTTGCTTTATCACTAGGCTTCTAATGCCTTCTTTTCAGAATCTTCCCAACCACTTGTGGAGATACGTCCAAGCGAGGTAACTGACCATTAGCTATGCTCTGAATGATCCTCAGCCCAATCTTGCAAAAATAAAATATGATGCCTTATGGAAACCACCCAGCCCAAAGGAGAGGCTCAGGAAACATCAGTTCCCTCCCACAGCCTTCCTTCCTACAATCCTGAAGAAAAAGAGGGTTCTTTTGGCATTGATCCCACTTACTGATATCCAATGTCACAAAAGTTCCGTGTGTCCATGTGAAAGGACTGTATGTTTCGGACGACAGTCTGGCAGTCTGTGGATACAGTGCAGCTTGTGCCAGCGGTGTGGATGATGATGACATATTTGGCTGGGAGGTTCATTTTAGGGCAGTGTGTCTCTCTGGCTTCCCAAGCAGATCGTTTGATGATGTTGGGGCAAACTGTGGTAAAATGAAAAGCCAAGGAAGTAGGAATTTTTTTTGCCTCTCTGTGAGCAATCACTCAACTCCAGGCTGGATTATTCCTCAGCCTCTCCCAGGCCTCCAGCACCCACGGGCACATCCTAATGTAATATCAGCTTTGGGATTCTGGGGAAGTCCAGTTGGGAGGTTTCTGATTCAGATGGCTGGAGCCAAGGGGCTGAGGCAAAAATCTACAGGCCTGATACCAATAGAAATCAGCGTATAAGCAGAAGGGAAAGGGCTGTGGGTTATACAGAGGCATGGTCATTGTCTTCAAAAGACCATGCATTGCAAATATATATGCAGGTATGTGCGCTTATGTAACAGGGCTACTACGCGGAAGTCAGTGGACTCTCCGAACTGATCACACATATTTGGAAACAACTTGAAATCTAGAGAGAACTGTACAAATATTAAGAAATTATCATTATTGAAGATAGTGCCTGTCCAAAAGCAAGAAACATTTTATTTGAGATTTACAGTTTTAAAAAGCTAATTCTAAAAATATCATTGATCCCAAGAAAAGGTCCACTAGCAGGAGTGCTTATTAATTTGACTGGTTTTAGGTTGCTGCTTATTCACTTCAAAATAGTGCATTATTTTTATTACTCAGCTTTTTGTTATATGCACTCTGATGTCAGCATCATCTGTGAGCACAAGCTTTTCTCCGAGCTGTGGCTGTGCTGTGGCCATGGCTGGTTTTTGCATTTAGAAAGGTATGTAAGCTTATGTATGTCCTTCGTGTCCCCACATAATAGACACAACTATGTATACATGTTAATCCCACTCCATTCCCACTCTATTTTTCTCCATAGCTTTTATGCCGTCTAACATCATATACATTTCTTTGTTATTTTGTTCATTTTCTGTCTCTTCTCACTGAAGTGCAAGCTTCCTGAAGGTGAAGAGTTTCATCTGTTTTGTTCACAGCTGTATGCTCAGTACTTAGAACAGTGCCTGCTATGCAGTAAATATTTGTTGACTGACTGAAAATCTGTGTACATATGTATTTGTTTTAAGAAGAAGTCTATGGCTATCTCATTCTGATGGGATGGAGAGGAGGCCAGGAAGATGCCCTCTCAGAATTTTCCAGATCTCAAAGTAGGCATGAGATGTTCTTAGTCCCAGAATCCCATGGGGTCTAACAGGAAAAAGCACTCCCAAACATGACTCCAAACATGGCTAGGTGGTGACGAGGAGGAGGGTGAGGTGACATGGAGGGTCTTACCCTTCCTGGGCATCACTGGATGTTGAGGGTCCAGGCAGGTCTCTTCTTTCAGAAGAAGTGGCTGAATATACCTGGGCGACAGGTGACCCTTCTGGATGGCATAGGAGATCAGACCCTCTGCAGCTGATAAGGCAGCAGGGCTGGGACTGCTGCCTTAAAGAGGAGGACAGGGAGCACAAAAATGTCAGTAAGAAACTCCACCTAGACCAGACACCTGCAGAAAGGATGATATGACCACTTGAGCCTGAATAACTGGATTGGAAGAGAGGAAACTGGTCCAGTTGCCAGAACAGAGTGCCTAAGAGGCGAGAAGCTACCTAGATCTCTTAGCAGCCAAGGTTGAAAACTTCTTCCAAGAGCCAAGCTAAGACTTTATCCACTCCATCTCTAGGCAGAAGAGCTGGAAGGCAGTGAAGGATACATGCAAAGGGAGGCCCACCTGACCAAGTCAGGTGTGCACTAGCACAGGAGAAAAGGCAACCAGAATTTACTCATAGCTCCCCTGATCAGGTGTGCAGTAGGCTTTTTATATCTGTTAACTCATAACTCTCACAGAAAACCTCTGAGAGAAATGCTGTTACCTAGCCCCAGCTGTCAAATGAGGATGCTGGCAGGTGCTGGTTCCATATGTATTATTTCTCAGCTCCATCCCTGTTCTGTGCTTTTCTCTATTTTTCTAGGGGCTAGAAGCCTGCAAATTATACCTCCAGATTTCCTTGCCTGCTGCCTTCTGGTCACTTTCTACCAGTGGAACTGGAATAAGAGATGAGCCATGCTTCTCTGCCTCTGGCAGTCACAGCATCTATGTCAGACAACCTCAGACTTTAGAAGTGACAGCAATAACCGTGAGCTCAAGCAACGCCCATGCAAGCTTCAGCAATATCACAGGAGTACAGACCAGTAAAGAGAGGCAGAGGACAAAAAGTATGCATGTCACAGGATCCAAAGGAGAAAAGAATTTCAAGAGAAGGGTGATCATCAGAGAAGGTAAGTATGATGTAGGGTAAAAAGATGAGTGTTGACCCTTGGGAGTGGAGGAAGAGAGTGTACACAACTCTCCAGCACAGGGTCCGCAGGGAGTGACCCTTACCTATCTTATTGCCAAAGAAGGCGATGCCCAGGGAAATGTTGTTGTAGCCCTGGGTGTGCAAGCCTTGGATGTTCCAGCCAACACCTTCATACACCCTGCCATCATCCCCAACCAGGAAGCTGACAAGAAGGAAATAATGATTTTACTGCAAATCTCCATAAATGAAAACCTCTCACTGATCCTCAAAAGGAAAAGGGGTTCTGGAGGCTCATAAGTAAGTACTATGTTCCAATAACAAAACAATAGGAGGTGCAGAATAACCAGTTTTAGACCTCCAAGAGACATGGGAATATATTTTAATTTTTGTTGGGATTTAGCTTGCATGTGTTTTCCAGAACCTCACTTCAAAAATACTCATTTGGTTCAAAGTGGAATTTGACTGCATGACACTCAAGGACCTGAGGACATTAGTTCAATGCTTTTCAAGAGCTTAAAAATTACTACATCATGTTTTTAAATTATAGGACCAAACACTTGAACATTCTCTAAAATAATTATGCCAGATTCAATAGTTCCTTTTGTATTGATGTTTTTCTTCAGATTCTCTTTAGGAATTTCCTTAAGCTCTTCTTTATCATAGAAATTTGTTTAGAATGTTCCTTTTTCACATTTACTTTTTAAATCAATTTTTTATTCTACTTCTTTTATTCCTGCCTCTTTATAATTTCTCTCCTCCACTTTCCAATCAGTCTTCAGAATTGATGTTTTCACAACTTTGCCGTATTCATCTTTTAATAGAACATGAGTTTCCGCAGCAAACTGAACACAGAAAGAACACCTCCCTTAGGTCAAGGAAAGACACTGAACTGAGTCAGGCCGACTTTCCACCCTACACCGATGTCGACATGAGGAATGGGTGTGGAGCCTGGTGTGTCCACCCCTTCCCTGGCTTTGCTGCCAGTACTTTCACAGGTTCCTTGGTCACTCCTGCAGCAGCCTGTGGTTAGTACGGTGTGAACAGTCCCTTACAGCTACTGTCAGCTGCATTGCAAAAACTGGAGATTGTCAAGTTGTCACTGTAGAAACCTGACTTAGAGATGCAGAGGCTGAAATAACTTAGGAATACAGTGACCAAACCAGAAAACACAGCAGCGACAACAGCAGGATGGTGGAGGTGCTGGTGGCAGGGGCAGCAGGTGAGTCGTGGTTGACATGACATGCCCCATGGGCAGACAGGGAAGACCCAGCCATCCCAGGGGTGCTGGGGGCCAAAACCAGGGCCTGCAGCTGCTCTTATTTATTTGTGTTTAAAAATAAATAAATAAATAAATAAGACTTAGATTTTCCTTTCCAAAATGGATAATTCAGAAATTATTTATGTTTGTCTTTAGAGTTCCATGCGGGACAGCCCCATTCCCACTCTCTCTTTCCCTCTCCTTCTACATGTGTCTCCTCATTCTTGAGGCTAAGGGAGAAAAGGTTCTGGGCTTCCACTGATGATCCCCAGAGCAGAAACTCAATGCACAGTGCACAGCTCCTTCATGCCCTCCCTTGTTTCTTGCGGGTCTCTCCTCCCCGCCATTCCCAAAGCCCACTCTCCCCGGTGGGGTCCCCGGACTTGCTGTCAGAGTGGTCTTTCAGGGTAACAAGTGGGACACTGCTTCCCAGGTGCGAGTCCCTGTGAGGTGGGGAGGAGCAAGGGCTACACTGGCAGGTGCTCTCACACAGCTCTGGGTACGTGCTTCCTCTCTCTGAGCAGAGCTTTTAATTCCCCCAAACCATGGCTTTCCCGCCTGTGAAATAAGGGTAGGAATATGGGTAGGAACCCATTTCTCAGAGTAGCTGGGAGGGCCAAATCGGGTGATATTTGTGAAGACCTCTGTAAACTGTAACGTTTCGTGAGTTCCAAGGACTCAGTTAAAACTGCAGTTGTTACGTAACCTTCCTTGCTTTTTCACAGGAGCACCAGAATCGAAAGCCACTTAAATAAGTGGCTTAGAGTCATCCCTCTTACAATCCCCGAAGGATTCGGATTTTGTTTGATTCCCCTTTTACCATTTCTATTCATTACAAAAGCAATGTAAATGAAGCGCAGAAAATAAGAGCCACAGAGAAGGGGAAGTGGGAAGCACCCCCGTGACTTTGGATGTGGGCCTCAGGGACTTGGCTAGCCTCTTACTTGTACGCCACGTCGCACCAGCCTATGGTGTAGACGGAATGGGACTGCAACCCCCGCAGCATCTGGCTGCAAACGCTCTGCTGCTGGCACTGCATCCCTGGGAGCTGGTCTGTGATGATGTAGGCCACAGGCAGGGTCAGCAGGGCCCTGCAGGCGAGCGGTCTTGCCCCCCACTCCTTGCGGGAGACGATGGTGGGAGTATCTGTAGGGAAGACCACAGAATGGCACATAGCAGGCCCTGCCCATCTTCCCCCAACAGGTCGACCATGTGCCCTGACCTCTCATGCTCAGGCCCGACCTGCCCCATGCATGGGAGACACCCTGGGGGAGCCCTTCACCACCAAAGCCCCCTCCTTCTCTCCACTGTGGCTGAACCACTGCCCAGACACACGCTGCACTCAGCCTGGGAAGTCGTGCCGCCTTGTTCCCAGACAATCTCTCCTTGTCTTTCCCTGAAGGGCAAATCCCATCCCCTACTGCCCCCTGGCCTACATGCTCCCCTCCTTCAGAAAGCACCCCAGCCAACCCCGCCGCCCACCCTGGGGCTCTGAGCTGCCTCCTTAGCCCAGAAGCCTGAGGATGCATTTTCCTCACTGCCATTTGCCCTGGTCTCAACTGTGTCTCTTGTCTTCCCCTCCCCTAAGAACCATGACTCTCTGAAGGAAGCTCTATCAGTCTCCTCAACTAGGGACTCCAGAGCCCACAGGAGGCTCCATAAACACGGGGTCTGCACCTCTTTCTTCCGGGCGAACACTCCCTAGCGGCAGGGCTGTGAGATCCCACCTGCCGCGTCAGGCTACCTGAGGGCTCCCTTTCTCCATTCTCATCATGGGAGCCCCAGGAGCGCTCTGAGGGACAATGGAGACACTGTCATGCTGGAGCTGGGAGTGGAGGACATGTCTTTTCTCTCTGGGTTTTTTCTCCTTCTCTCTCTCTTTTTTTTTTTTGAAATGGAGTCTCGCGCTGTCACCCAGGCTGCAGTGCAGTGGCGCGATCTCGGCTCACTGCAGCCTCCACCTCCCGGATTCAAGCAATTCTCTTGCTTCAGCCTCCCGAGTAACTGGAATTACAGGTGCATGCCACTATGCCAAACTAATTTTTTGTATTTTTAGTAGAGACAGGGTTTCACCGTGTTAGCCAGAATGGTCTCGATCTCGTGACCTCGTGATCCACCCTCCTCGGCCTCCCAAAGTGCTGGGATTATAGGCGTGAGCCACCGCGCCCAGCCTCCTTCTCTTTCTTCATTTGAGTTTCTCTTCTTTTTCTCTCCTTAGGCTGAGGAACTCCCCTTTGCCTAAGGACTCAGGATGATCCATGGGAGTGGTTGGAGACAAACCTCCTGGGATTCCTCCCCACCCCTTTGACTTTCAGCCCAGACATTATCAAGTCCTGAGAAACATTTCTGACCACTTAAGAAGCCCCAGCCAATCTCCAAACCGCCTCACCATTGCGACCCTTGTGAATGAACTGTGAGATGCTGACAAACAGGTCCATAAGCCTCTGGGACAAGCCTCTGGCTTGGGTCTCACTCCAGGAGAACTGTGGAAAATCCCCTGCAAGAGAGCACTGGTGCATTGGTGCACTCCTTGGAGTGCACATGGCCAGCAAGCTCAGAGGCTGGGCCAGACATCCCACTCTGCAGTGCACAGCCTCTCCTCCTCCCCAGGTCACCTAACGTCTTCTAGCAAGCACACAGAGGAGAACCACAGAAGTCTCTGGCCTTGGCCTGCCTCTGCCTTCCACATCTGCCCAGAGAGGCCTTTGTCCTCCCACCTCCCCCAGCCTCCCTCCATTCCAGGAGCACTGCAGTCTCACCTGCTGCCTTATCTGGGCAGTGCCACCTTTCCTGGTTCACCGGCAGACCTACTAATCAAACCGTCGGTACCCAGCAGAGTGTCCCATACCAAGACAGTTGTGACATGTTGAGCTAACACACATGTCTTAATCACCTATTGGTGCCAGACAAGGTTCTTGAAACAGAAATATACAGATTATTGTGACCGCCTTCAAAAACTAGACGTTTTAGAGATGTTTTACTGTGGATTAGCCACTGCCAGCCTGTCCTTATCCCCCATTGCTCCCATTCAGTACCAGGGGTCCTGGGAGCAGTAGCCAATGGCAGCAGTGACATTGTTAGCAACCCCATCTCCCACAGACCAGCCCTGTGGTTACAAAGCACATCCAAGGATGCTATCAGAATTGTGGCTTAAAACAACTTCATGAGTTAAGCAAAGCAACTATGCTGTCTATAGAGAAGGGAAACCAAGTCTTAGGGAAGTTAGGTTACTTGTCTAACATAACAGAGGTTTTAAGCGTAGATTTAGATTCCAATCAGAATCTCTGGCCCCGAAGCCCCTGTTCATAACAACTGTACTCTGCAGCCTCCCCAAAGTTGTCAGATGAACTTGGGTTAGTCACTGCCACAATGTGACCTGTTTCTCTTCCTACAAGACAAAGTCACTGAGGGTCTCCACCATGATTCTGAGGTTCTGTCCTTCTGTGAAATCAAGAGCAAATACATGACCAGGACCCCAAGTCCAAGGTGTGCTGGAGAGACTGCTGAGGACAGGAGCCCACCTCAGCAGGCAGAGGGCCTAAGCTGGGCTGTGAAGGGGACACAGAGGACTGGGGAGGGGGAGGGAGGAGCCCGGAGAGGACACTTTACAAATGAAACCCACAGGACTCTCAGAGTGGAAGAGCAGCCCGCAGGCCAACACTGACACCTGGCAGGGCAGGAACCAGGAGGCAGGGATGAGGACCACACAAAACTCCCTGCTTTGCTTGGGCAAGTTAATTTCCCCATCAGGGCCTCAGCTTCTCCATTCATACAATGAAAGGCCTGTGAGTTTCTCTAACACTAACTCCAGGTAATCCCATTAAATTTGCTGTCTGAGTAGCAGAGGACAGAGAGAAAGCTATATTACATTTTTCCTTCCGAAGGGGGTCTGTGTATGTAAAACAAACTGAAAAACATGTCATATTTAAGAATCACCAAGCTCACTTTCATTTTAATTCAACAGCATTTATTTAATGAACATTGCTATGTGTCTACTCTTATGTATATAACGATAAGAAATCTTCTTAATCTAGAGAAACGGCATTGCTACTCTTGGGGAATTTGCTTTTATTTACAAATGTAGACCCAAGTGCTGGGTTTAACTATGACTGGTATAATAACGATGGTGACAATAATTAAATCATAGCTACAAATTACCCAGCACTAACTACTTGGGCATTGTGCTAAATGGCGCACACTTGTGATCTAATTTAATCCTCAAAAACAACTCTAAGAAATGAGCAATATTATCCTTTCATCATGGGAGCAAATAAGATTCCAAGAAATTGAATAACTTGTTGAAGACCATAACAAAGGACAGGCAAGGATTTGAAAAAAATCTGTAAACTCTAGAACAGGGCTCCAAATTGCAAAGCTACACTATCCACTAACAAAGTGAAAGCACTCGGATGGGTTTCTATTATTAAACTTGAGAACGGTCTTCTCTTGCTCATCAAAAGCACTTCTGATGCAAGTAAATAAAACTTACCCCAAGCCTGGAGACCCAGAATGAAGAAGGCAAGAAGCCATGGCAGCGTCCCCATGTGGTCCCAGGACTCTGACCGGGAGAGTGTGGACGGCAGCCCTGGAAGAGAGGCTAACAGTTAACACAACCATGCTAACTCTGCAAGTGGAGCACCCACCTACTATGTGGCACCACTGTCTGCCTCCCCTACCATCCTGTGGCTTCCTGAGGGCCAGCACCTGGCTCAGGCTTCTCGGGGCCCCTTAAACACATCAGGTTCCCAATAAATGTGAGGGCACTAATGGCTATGTCTAGCCACCGACTCCCCACCCACCTCCTGTTGCCCTGGGCAACTCCTGGTTCCTCATAGAAGCGCAGTGCCTGATCTTAGGCCTTTCAGGGTAGAAAATAACAATTTCTAAAATCCTCAAGGTAGCTGTTATGAAAAAACACTGTGTATTTATTTTCATATCTAGTGGTGCAATTTCATATTTGATTCAATTTTTATAGGTAAGAACATTGAGGCTCAGATGGAGTGAACTACAAGCAGAAGCAGGCTTGGCTTCGCCCCCTGCACCATTTGAGAGTCCCAGGTATGTAAAGTCATTCAATTCAGTCATCTACTCTGCAAAGATCCCTGACAGTTGTTCGACTAACCTCTTCTTTAGTGAGAATCATAATAACAGCTACCACTTACTGACTGCATTCTGTGTTCCAAGGTTTTTGCTGAGGACTCCATGGATATTCACTAAGTAGTCTCACAATGACCTATGAGACCCGCACTTATCATCAGAACACTGGGCCTCAGAGAGTTTGAGTCACTTGTCCTAAGTTTCCCAGATAATAGGGTCAGAGCCAGATTCATACCCAGGTCTGTCTGACTCCAGAGCCTCTGCCTGAAACTTCACAACCTGTTTGAGTTTCTGATGGACGTTCTCAATGTGGGCCCAAGAGGTTGAACTATAGGATCACTATAGTCTTTTCCAGCTCCAGGAATCTTTCCTGCTCTTTCAGGTAGAAGTGAATTGCTTACTCATACTCAGTCAGACTGAAACTTTAGCTGTATGAGCTACCACCCAAAACATCAACTTTCCCCCCAATTTTCCTACTGAGAAAATATAAAGTGGAGTTTGAAACCAAATGGGATAGATCATTGCCCTCCAGGGTTTTTAAACTGCAATCAGCAGTCCCCAAATGGAAAATTTTTAAAACCATGTCTTAAGAGTAGAACATGTGGAAGCCTCCTGGGTCAGGACAAGCAACCACTTAGCAGATAACACCCAGGATTCCATTCATTCAGGAAAACTGCAGTGAAGACAAAATGAGCTAATTACAAATGAGGCAGGCACCTAATAAATATAAGGAAAAATGTTCAGCCTCCCTCGTTAGTTAAATGAGAGGTAAGGATTCACTTTCCCAAGATTGAAGGCCTGTTAGGAGCTGGCCTCCTGCAAAGCTACTGGAAGCCACTATCAATTCTGGTTTGCACCCTGGTCACTTAATCACTGTGCTTCCACAACCATGAAACGTCAGTATGGCAAATCCTGCCCCAAGCTGGTCATATCATACATCCAAAATATCAAGGCTTCAGCCCAGTCCCTGACCTTGCCAGAGACAGAACTGATAATGTCTCCAATCCACACCATGAACTGCAAACACTAAGCTGGTAGGATAAGCTAGAGCCAAGGATTTACCACCTTGGCTCACATTGCTGTGCATCCTGTATACTGAAAGAAACATTAGACCAGGAGACAAGTGAGACATAATAGATAAGAATTTAGGGCTCTACAGAAAAGGAAGAAATTGGGTAGAGGTAACCTCAGAACCCACAGCCTTGCCAAGAAAGATCCAGCAGTGGTGAAACCAAACTCATTTAGAAGAATTTAGAATGAAGAAAATTTTCTTATTTGGAGAAAGAGTTCCAAAAAACGAGATCAGGGGAGCTTTCCCTACCATGTACACATTTTAACCCTATAGACTTCCGTCCCATTGCTGAATGAAGACTTCTAAAGAAATACACACACACACACACACACACACTCAAACTCACAGATACCTGTGGGTTCTGTGCTGTTCCAGCCCAGCAGGTCAGGGTGCAGTCGGCTCGCCCCTGATTGGCCAGCAGCTCCTTCCCTTCCAGACTTGGCCTCCAGGACCTGCCCTTCTTCTCCAGCTGGTGCCTCCTCAGGCCTTCACTCCCCCTGGCCCTAGAGGGCACTCCCTCCCTGGGAATGGAGCACTTGGGCTCTGGCTTCCCAGAGAGAAGAGGAGAGCCCAGGATCCCTAACAAAAGATGGAAGAGAAGAGAAAGGCAGAGGGCTGAGGCTCCAAGCCAGCTCTGTTTACAGCACCCAGAGAAACTTAAGTGGGAACAGACCCAGGCTGAGAGCACCTGGGGACCCGCCCTGTGAATAAGCCCAGGTAGCTCCTCCCTGGGAAAGGGTGTGATTGCCCAACACTCCCTGAGTTCCTTCCTCATCCCCAGCCCTTATGTCTTGTAGACTGGGGTCCCGGGGGTCCTGTCCCTGACATCTGGGAACTTCCTACCAATGAAGATCTATCTGTTCCAGGTTCCACTGGAGTCACCAGCAGGGGCAGGAGGAAGGGACAGAAATTGAAAAGCACATTCCCAGGAGGCAGCTAGCAATGTGTCATCACTAGAACTTATTCTGACCCTGTAGCTATCATGCCCATTCATCCACCACTTCATCTCAACTTCAAACTCTTCCCTTGAAACAAACCAAGGCTCTCCCCTCCTCACGCATTCCTGACAGTGGCCCTCAATCCTCAACTCTGGTCTCCAAGAATCCCTGTCTCTTCTCTGAAGAGGTTGATGCATAAGACTTTACAGTCAGGCTCAGCCAAGGGTACCTGAGCTGCAGCCCCCTGGATGGGGAATGCTCAGGCGAGAGGTCTTGGAAAGTACCATGCACCCTTTAGAAGATACTTGGATACCCACTCTGTTCTATACTCTGATCAGCCCAAACCACACTTCAGGGACAAAAGCTGAGGAGACCTCTCCTAGACCCCACAGCCTCACATGGCTGCCAGCATCTGAGGGAGACATGCTGAGTGACCTCCATTTTCCATAGGGTGGGGAATCTTGGGTGAGGACCTCAGAGACAGACATCTAGGAAGGGGACCGGGAATTATAGTTGGTGACAATGACAGACACTATGAGTCTGAAATTTTTATTTATGATTTTGGATCTTTTGCAATCATGATTAAGTCCTTAAAATGAAAATGGTTTATAAGCTCATCTTTAGAACAGCAAGTTAGGGAGAACTGAGAGACTGTCTCACTCTAAGACCAGACATGGAAGAGAAGAAACCCAAGTGATAAAGGGGGCAGTGACAGCCCACAAAAGGAAAGGAAAATGGGTAGGATCCTGCAGTCCCCAACTGGAGATCGAAGGACACCAAGGGATTAGCTGTCAGAAAGTCTGAAGCAAGACCACTGTTACCCAAATGGTATTTTCATTAAAATTAGAGAAAGTGTTCCTTCCACAGGTAAAAGTTATAGCTAATATGTTAATGCTAATGAAAGCAATTAGGATAAACAGCTACTTTGTATAAATTATGTAAATTGAATTATTAAACAAAATAGCACTTTGAATTTTTAATCACAATAATTAGGAACTCGAAGTCACTCACATATAATTTTTTTTAGTTATATTTTAAGTTCTGGGTTACATGTGCACAACATGCGGGTTTGTTACATAGGTATACATGTGCCATGTTGGTTTGCTGCACCCATCAACTCGTCATTATATTAGGTATTTCTCCTAATGCTATCCCTCCCCCAGCCCCCAACCCCCTGACAGGCCCCAATATGTGATGTTCTCCTCCCTGTGTCCATGTGTTCTCATTGTTCAACTCCCACTTATGAGTGAGAACATGCAGTGTTTGGTTTTCTGTCCTTGTGATAGTTTGCTGAGAATGATGGCTTCCTTCATCCATCATTGGATGAATGATGGATGGACCTTCATCCATGTCCCCACAAAGGACATGAACTCTTCCTTTTTTATGGCTGCATAGTATTCCTTGGTGTATATGTGCCACATTTTCTTTATCCAGTCTATTATTGATGGACATTTGGGTTGGTTCCAAGTCTTTGCTATTGTGAATAGTGCTGCAATAAACATATGTGTGCATGTGTCTTTATAGCAGCATGATTTATAATCCTTTGGGTATATACCCAGTAATGTGATGGCTCAGTCAAATGGTATTTCTAGTTCTAGATCCTTGAGGAATTGCCACACTGTCTTCCACAATGGTTGAACTAATTTACACTCCCACCAACAGTGTAAAAGTGTTCCTATTTCTCCACATCCTCTCCAGCATCTGTTGTTTCCTGACTTTTTAATGATCACTATTCTAATTGGCGTGAGATGGTATCTAATTGTAGTTTTGATTTGCATTTCTCTAATGACCAGTGATGATGAAGATTTTTTCATGTGTCTTTTGGCTGCATAAATGTCTTCTTTTGAGAAGTGTCTGTTCATATCCTTTGCCCACTTTATGATGGGGTTGTTTGTTTTTTCTTGTAAATTTGTTTAAGTTCTTTGTAGATTCTGGATATTAGCCCTTTGTCAGATGGATAGATTGTAAAAATTTTCTCCCATTCTGTAGGTTGCCTGTTCACTCTGCTGATAGTTTATTTTGCTGTGCAGAAGCTCTTTAGTTTAATTAGATCCCATTTGTCGATTTTGGCTTTTGTTGCCATTGCTTTTGGTATTTTAGTCATAAAGTATTTGCCCATGCCTATGTCCTGAATGGTATTGCCTAGGTTTTCCTCTGGAGTTTTTATGGTTTTAGGTCTTACATTTAAGTCTTTAATCCATCTGATTTAATTTTTGTATAAGGTGTAAGGAAGGGATCCAGTTTCAGCTTTCTATATGGCTAGCCAGTTTTCCCAGCACCACTTATTAAATAGGGAATCCTTTCCCCATTTCTTGTTTTTGTCAGGTTTGTCAAAAATCAGATGGTTGTAGATGTGTGGTGTTATTTCTGAAGGCTCTGTTCTGTTCCATTGGTCTATATCTCTGTTTTGGTACAAGTACCATGCTGTTTTGGTTACTGTAGCCTTGTAGTATAGTTTGAAGTCAGGTAGCATGATGCCTCCGGCTTTGTTCATTTTGCTTAGGATTGTCTTGGCTATGAGGGCTCTTTTTTGGTTCCACATGAACTTTAAAGTAGTTTTCTCCAATTCTGTGAAGAAAGTCAGTGGTAGCTTGATAGCATTGAATCTATAAATTACTTTGGGCAGTATGGCCATTTTCATGATATTGATTCCTTCTATCCATGAGCATGGAATGTTCTTCCATTTGTTTGTGTCCTCTTTTATTTCATTGAGCAGTGGTTTGTAGTTCTCCTTGAAGAGGTCCTTCACATCCCTTATAAGTTGGATTCCTAGGTATTTTATTCCCTTTGTAGCAATAGTGAATGGGAGTTCACTCATGATTTGGCTCTCTGTCTTTTATTGGTGTATAGGAATGCTTGTGATTTTTTCACATTGATTTTGTATCCTGAGACTTTGCTGAAGTTGCTTATCAGCTTAAGGAGATTTTGGGCTGAGACAAGGGGTTTTCTAAATGTACAATCATGTCATCTGCAAACAGGGACAATTTGACTTCCTCTTTTCCTAATTGAGTACACTTTATTTCTTTCTCTTGCATGATTGCCCTGGCCAGAACTTCCAGTACTATGTAGAATAGGAGTGGTGAGAGAGGGCATCCTTGTCTTGTGCTGGTTTTCAAGGGGAATGCTTCCAGCTTTTGCCCATTCAGTATGATATTGGCTGTGGGCTTGTCATAAGCAGCTCTTATTATTTTGAGATACGTTCCATCAATACCTAGTTTATTGAGAGTTTTTAGCATGAAGGGCTGTTGAATTTTGTCGAAGGCCTTTTCTGCGTCTATTGAGATAATCATGTGGTTTTTGTCATTGGTTCTGTTTACGTGATGGATTACATTTATTGATTTGCATATGTTGAACCAGCCTGGCATCCCAGGGATGAAGCCGACTTCGTTGTGGTGGATAAGCTTTTTGATGTGCTGCTGGATTCGGCTTGCCAGTATTTCATTGAGGATTTTCGCATTGATGTTCATCAAAGACATTGGCCTAAAATTCTCTTTTTTGTTGTGTCTCTGCCAGACATTGATGTCAGGATGGTGCTGGCCTCATAGAATGAGTTATGGAGGATTCCCTCTTTTTCTATTGATTGGAATAGTTTCAGAAGGAATGGTACCAGCTCCTCTTTGTACCTCTGGTAGAATTTGGCTGTGAATCTGTCTGGTTCTGGACTTTTTTTGGTTGGTAGGCTATTAATTATTGCCTCAATTTCAGAACCTGTTATTGGTCTATTCAGAGATTCAATTTTTTCCTGGTTTAGTCTTGGGAGGGTGTATGTGTCCAGGAATTTATCCATTTCTTCTAGATTTTCTAATTTATTTGCGTAGAGGTGTTTGTAGTATTCTCTGATGGTAGTTTGTATTTCTGTGGGATCGGTGGGGATATCCCCTTTATTATTTTTTAGTGCACCTATTTGATTCTTCTCTCTTTTCTTCTTTGTCTTGCTAGCAGTCTATCAATTTTGTTGATCTTTTCAAAAAACCAGTTCCTGGATTCATTGATTTTTTGAAGGGTTTTTTGTGTCCCTATCTCCTTCAGTTCTGCTCTGATCTTAGTTATTCTTGTCTTCTGCTAGCTTTTAAATGTGTTTGCTCTTGCTTCTCTAGTTCTTTTAATTATGATGTTAGGGTGTCGATTTTAGATCTTTCCTGCTTTCTCTTGTGGTCATTTAGTGCTATAAATTTCCCTCTGCACACTGCTTTAAATGTGTCCCAGACATTCTGGTACATTGTGTCTTTGTTCTCATTGGTTTCAAAGAACATCTTTATTTCTGCCTTCATTTCGTTGTTGACCCAGTAGTCATTCAGGAGCAGGTTGTTCGGTTTGCATGTAGTTGTGTGGTTTTGAGTGAGTTTTTTAATCCTGAGTTCTAGTTTGATTGCACTGTGGTCTGAGAGACAGTTTGTTGTGATTTCTGTTCTTTTGCATTTGCTGAAGAGTGTTTTCCTTCCAATTATGTGGTCAATTTTAGAATAAGTGCATTGTGATGCTGAGAAGAATGTATATTCTGTTGCAACATTTGGGGTGGAGAGCTCTGTAGATGCCTATTAGGTCCACTTGGTGCAGAGCTGAGTTCAATTCCTGGATATCCTTGTTAATTTTCTGTCTCAATGATCTGTCTAATATTGACAGTGGGGTGTTAAAGTCTCCCATTATTATTGTGTGGGAGTCTAAGTCTCTTTGTAGGTCTCTAAGGACTTGCTTTATGAATCTGGGTGCTCCTGTATTGGGTGCACAGATATTTAGTATAGTTAGCTCTTCTTGTTGAATTGATCCCTTTACCATTATGTAATGGCCTTCTTTGTCTCTTTTGATCTTTGTTCATTTAAAGTCTGTTTTATCAGAGATGAGGATTGCAACTCCTGCTTCTTTTTTGCTTTCCATTTGCTTAGTAGATCTTCCTCCGTCCCTTTATTTTGAGCCTATGTGTGTCTTTGCATGTGAGATCGTTCTCCTGAATATAGCACATTGATGGGTCTTGACTCTTTATCCAATTTCCTAGTCTGTGTCTTTTAATTGGGGCATTTAGCCCATTTACATTTAAGGTTAATATTGTTATGTGTGAATTTGATCCTGTCATTATGATGCTAGCTTGTTGTTTTGCACGTTAGTTGATGCAAACAACTAACGTTTATGCATGATGACATTATGATGACGTTTCTTCATAACGTCAATGGTCTTTACAATTTGGCATGCTTTTGCCGTGGCTGGTACCAGTTGTTCCTTTCCACGTTTAGTGCTTCCTTCAGGAGCTCTTGTAAGGCAGGCCTGGTGGTGACAAAATCACTCAGTATTTGCTTGTCTGTAAAGGATTTTATTTCTCCTTCATTTATGAAGCTTAGTTTGGTTGGATATGAAATTCTGGGTTGAAAATTCTTTAAGAATGTTGAATATTGGCCCCCACTCTCTTCTGACTTGTAGAGTTTCTGCCGAGAGATCTGCTGTTAGTCTGATGGGCTTCCCTTTGTGGGACCTTTCTCTCTGGCTGCCCTTAACATTTTTTTCTTCATTTCAGCCTTGGTGAATCTGATGATTATGTGTCTTAGGGTGGCTCTTCTAGAGGAATATCTTTGTGGCATTCTCTGTATTTCCTGAATTTGAATGTTGGCCTGCCTTGTTAGGTTGGGGAAGTTCTCTTGGATAATATCCTGAAGAGTGTTTTCTAACTTGGTTCCATTCTCCCTGTCACTTTCAGGTACACCAATCAAACGTAGATTTGGTCTTTTCACATAGTCCCATATTCCTTGGAGGCTTTGTTCATTTCTTTTCACTCTTTTTTCTCTAATCTTGTCTTCTTACTTTATTTCATTAATTTGATCTTCAATCACTGATATCCTTTCTTCCCTTGATCAAATCGGCTATTGAAGCTTTTGTATGCTTCATGAAGTTCTCATGCTGTGTTTTTCAGCTCCATCAGGTCATTTATGTTCTTCTCTACACTGGTTATTCTAGTTAGCCATTCCCCTAACCTTTTTTCAAGGTTTTCAACTTGCTTGCGATGGGTTAGAACATGCTTCTTTAGCTCGGAGAAGTTTGTTATTACCCACCTTCTGAAGCCTACTTCTGTCAACTCATCAAACTCATTCTCCATCCAGTTTTGTTCCCTTGCTGGTGAGGAGTTGTGGTCCTTTGGAGAAGAAATCTTCTGATTTTTGGAATTTTCAGCCTTTCTGCTCTGGTTTCTCCCCATCTTTGTGGTTTTATCTACCTTTGGTCTTTGATGTTGGTGACCTACAGATGGGGTTTTGGTGTGGATGTCCTTTTTGTTGATGTTGATGCTATTCCTTTCTGTTTGTTAGTCTTCCTTCTAACAGTCAGGCCCCTCAGCTGCAGGTCTGTTGGAGTTTGCTGGAGGTCCAGACGCTGATTGCCTAGGCATCACCAGCAGAGGCTGCAGAACAGCAAATATTGCTTCCTGATCCTTCCTCTGGAAGTTTCATCCCAGAGGGGCACCAACAAGATGCCAGCCAGAGCTCTCCTGTATGAGGTGTCTCTCTGTCCCTACTGGGAGGTGTCTCCCAGTCAGGCTACACAGGGGTCAGGGACCCACTTAAGGAGGCAGTCTGTCCATTATCAGAGCACAAATGCCATACTGGGAGAACCACTGTTCTCTTCAGAGCTGTCAGGCAGGGACGTTTAAGTCTGGAGAAGCTTTGCCCACAGCTGCCCCTTTCCCCAGGTGCTCTGTCCCAGGGAGATGAGGGTTTTATCTATAAGTCCCTGGCTGGGGCTGCTGCCTTTTGTTCAGATATGCACTGCCCACAGAGGTGGAATCTAGAGAGGCAGTCAGCCTTGCTGAGCTGCAGTGGGCTCTGACCAGTTCAAGCTTCCCGGCAGCTTTATTTACACTATGAGCATAAAATCGCCTACTCAAGCCTCAGCAATGGTGGATGCCCCTCCCCCCAGCAAGCTCCAGCATTCCAGGTCAATTTCAGTCTGCTGCTCTAGCAGTGAGAATTTCAAGCCAATGGATATTAGCTTGCTGGGCTCCATGGGCGTGGGACCCACCGAGCCAGGCACCAGAGGAAATCTCCTGGTCTGCCAGTTGCAAAGACCATGGCAAAAGTGCAGTATTTGGGCAGGAGTGTACCGTTCTTCCTGGTACAGTCTCTCACAGCTTCCCTTGGCTGGAAAAGGGAAATTCCCTGACTCCTTGCACTTCCCAGGTGAGGTGATGCCCCACCCTGCTTCAGCTCACCCTCCATGGACTGCACCCACGGTCCAACCAGTCTTGATGAGATGAACCAATAAACCAGGTACCTCAGTTGGAAATGCAGAAATCACCCATCTTCTGCGTCAATCTCACTGGGAGCTACAGACCGAAGCTGTTCCTATTCGGCCATCTTGAAAGAGCACTCTCTTGGCATACTCAATATGTTTAGTTGCCTTACTTTCTTTTCTTTCTTTTTTCTTTTTTTGTTGAGATAGGGTCTTGCTTTGTCACCCAGGCTGTGATGAAGTGGTGCAATCTTGGCTCACTGCACCCTCGACCTCCCAGCCTTCTGTGCACCCACCTCAGCTTCCCAAATAGCTGAGATTCCAGGTGCACCACTACACCTGGCTGATTTTTGAATTTGTGTAGAGATGGAGTTTCACCATATTGCCCAGGCTGGTCTTGAACTCCTGAGCTCAAAAGATCCACCTGCCTTGGCCTCCCAGAGTGCTGGGATTATAGGTGTGAGCCACTGTGCCCAACCTAGTTGTCTTACTTCCTGAAGAGAAATGATCCTGCTTGAAAGAGTAACCTGTCATGTTGTGAGAAGGCCTATGAAGGGGGCCCCAGAGTGGATCTGAGAGATGCCTCTGGGAGCTAAGAATGATTCCAGGCCAGCATCTAACAAGAAAACAGGGGCCTCAGTCACACAGCCATAAGGAAATGAATGATGCCAACAAACTGAATGAGCTTGGGAGCAGATTTTTCCTCAGTCAAGCCTCCAGATGAGAATGCAGCCCTTCAGACCTTAACTTAGCCCTGTAAGGACTTTAGCAGAGGACCTACATAAGTCGTGCCCAGATTTCTGACCCATGGAAACTATGAAATAATAAATGTTGTTGTTTTAAGCTGCTAAGTTTGTGGCCATTTGTTATGCAGCAATAGAAAACAAATACAGTATCTAAGATAATCAGGTAGCCTCCTGGCCATATAAGAGCATGTCAACAGCTTAGAATGGAATCTTTGATGTATCTTTCTCATAACCATACAAAGACACAAGAAGAATTAATATGTTAAAATCCTACACCTTTAGCAAAATTAGCAGATTAAAAAAATCCAATTTTAGTTACAAAGGATGAATATGTTTGGGAGATCCGTAGTACCGCAAGGTGATCATAGTTAATACTAATATATTGTATACTTGAAAATTGCTAAGAGTAGATCTTAAATCTTCTCACCACAAAAAAAAACAAGTATGCATGGTGATAGATATGTTAATTAGCTTGATTTAACCATTTCACAATGTATACATGTACCAAAACATCATGTAGTGTGCTGTAAATATATATAATTTAAGAAGACAAAAATGGCCACAAACTTTTTGGTATATGAAAGTAAGTGTGGAGAGGGGAGAGAGCAAGTCAGGAAACTAATACTAGAAGCCATAACAATGAATGGTGAGGTAGTGGAATGGTGAGTGCTATGAGGAAACGTGGAGATGGAAAAAGAGACCATTATAATCTGGAATCCACAGCAGATATTCATCACCAGAATGTGAGGGACCACCTAGAGGGGCACTGCTCTGGACAGTTCTAAGAATGAAAAGGGTATTGCATGAGAACTGGTGGAGATCAACAGAAATGACTGGGAGTGCAAGGAGAACAAATGTAGTATCACAATATATCCAATAAACTACCAATTGAGTGCAACAGATGGAGGAGCCAATGAGCTGAGAAACAGGAGAAGCTATATTAATTTTCTCCCACCTCCAAACACAACTGTCACAGGATACTCCTGTAGCAACTGGACCAGAAAAAACCAACTCATTCAAATACGAATAATAAAAAGGCAAACTGTCACATCCAAACAAAGCCTCCATTTAAACATATGGCATAAGATCATATTTTATTAACAAAAAACTCATCATTAAAAAAGGTTCCAATAGGCAGAGGGAAAACATATTTCAACATAATTTTCCTAATTGTCTACCTATAAAAAAATTCACAAAACAGAAGTAAAAGGCCTCAAAGAAGAATTTAACTCGGCAATAGGAGGATGTGAAAGAGAAGTGACATAATCATCTCAGGAATTAAGACTAAAATACAAGGAGTACAAAGGGGAGCATGTGCCCCAGAAAACACATGTCAGGTGTCTAGAGAAAAGAAATTTAAAAGTCCAAAGAAACTAAAATTTTTTAAAAAGACAGAGAAAAAAAAGAATTAGAGAGAGTTTGTACACAATATGATGCACTTATTATCTCAGAACTGTACACTTAATACTTATGATGTTAAACTGTATGTGTATTTCACCACAATAAAAAATTGGAGGAAAAAAGAATTAAAGCAAAAGTGATCAATGTAGAAGACAGGCAAAGGAGATCCAACATACATATAATTCACGTACCAAAAGAAGAAAACCAATGTAAAAGAGTAAATACCTTAAACAATAATTCAAGAAAAAATGTTTTGAAATCAAAGATACAACTCTACATATTGAAAGGCCACACTTTTACCTGTGAGAATTAACTTGCAATAGTAATTGCTAAACCATGTTATGGTACTTAAAATATGAAGAAATAAACTTTTTAGTCAGTCATGTGAAGAGACCAAGCCATTTATAAGAGAAAAAATTAGATTGCCATCAGGCTTCTCAACAACAACATTCACACACAGATTGTGAAGAAGAACCTACAAGAGACTCATCAAAGAAAAGATAGCATGAGCCAAGGATTTTATGTCCAGCCAATCTGTCCTTCAAAGTATAAAGGCTACAGATAAAAACTGTTTTGAATATGTAGTAACTAGGTAAATCTTTTTGCTCCATGAGCCCTGCTATGGTTTGAATGTGTTCCCCAGAATCTATGTGTTGGAAATGTAATTCCCAATGTGATAATTCTGAAAGGTAGGGCCTAATGGGGGGTGTTTAAGTCATGAGAGCTCATGCCTATCTGCCTTCCACTATGTGAGGATGTAACAGAAAGGCCTTCACCAGGTGCTTGTGCCATAGTCTCAGACTTGCCAGCCTCCAGAACGGTAAGCCAATAAATTCCTGTTTATTATAAATTACCCAGTGTCAGGTATACTGTTATAGCAGCACAAAATGGACTAAGGCAAGCTCTTTATTAAGTACTTTACTAGAGAATAATCTTTATCCAGTCAACAAGTTATTGGAGAAATTTCGGCCAAAAAAACTAAAAACTTGTGGTGAGCATCAAATATGTTTAACTGTAGAACTAGGGCTAAAACAAGTCTGAAGGACACAAAAGTAGATCCAACAAGTGAATGGGCATTTTTAATAAATATTATTGAAACAAGTAGATAGTCATATGGAAAGAAATAAATTTTTTATCCATACCATACACAACACAAAAATAAACTCTAAATGAATCAAAAAATACATACAAAAATTAAAACATTGAATTACTTGAGAAAACATGAATTAATTTTATTATAACATGGGAGTGGTAGGCCTTTCTAAATATGACTCAGAAGTCATAAAATATGATAAATTGGCTACTTAAAGTAAAAAACTCTTGCATACTCCAAAAACTAAAAATGTATCATAAGCAAAAGCAAAAAGCAGATAACAAGCCTGGGAAAAATATTTGCAATTAGTTTCACAAAAAAAGCTAATTTCTCTAATGTATATATTTTTGCATGAAAGCACTTAGAAGCAGAAGACCAACAATCAAATAGAAAAATGGGCAAAGGACAAGAAGAATGGATGGAAAGAGAGATACAAATCTCCCTTACACACATGAAAAGATACTCAAGGTCACTTATAAGAGAAATATATATTAAAATTTCACATAAATGCCATTTTTAACCAATCAAATTTGTTAGACTTACTTCTATGAATCTCACCTCTTTATAAATTCCAGATCTTTAAAATATTCTGTATATGATCTTTTTGTCATCTGTGCTTTGCGGATGCTTTCTCTAACTTGGCGGTTTACCTGTGCACTTTCTTAATAGTGTCATTTGATGAACAGTAGTTATTAATTTTAACATAATCCAACTTATAATCTTTTCTTTTAGGGTTAATGTTTTTTCCGTCATTTTTAAGAAGTCTTTTCCTACACCATAAAAAATGAAGATGGATATATTATCTTCTACATCGCTTATGTTTAGCCCATTGTATGCAAATCTACAATTCACCTGGAATTGATATTTGTGCATCGTGTGAAGGATAGGTTTTATTTTTTCTATAGGAAAATCCAATTATTCTAGCAGCATTTGTTGTATAGGCAATTCCACAAATATTCTCTCCCCTCTCCTCCTACTAGTAACAAAGTGTCAGCCCAGCCAACGTGGTGAAACCCTGTCTCTACTAAAAATACAAAAATTAGCTGGACGTGGTGGCACACACCAGTAGGCCCAGCTACTCAGGAAGCTGAGGCAGGAGAATCGCTTGAACCTGGGAGGAGGAGGTTGCAGTGAGCCGAGATCGCACCACTGCACTCCACCCTGGGCAACAGAGTGAGACTTTGTCTTCAAAAAAAAAAAAAAAGAAGAAGAAAAGTGTACTTTTCTGTCTTAGTAGTATTGATCTGGCCATGTGATTTGCTTTGGCCAATAAGTAGATCATGGAAGTGAGGTGCAAAAGCTTGAAATTTACATATGCATTTGGACCCCAGAATAAATATGCATGGGGTTGTTCTGTGTCTAGTCTGGAGCAAGAAGCCAAACCCAGACAGAGCCACAGCTTGAAGCAAAGCCTGTCAGTCAACTCTAAATCAGCTCATTCACACTTGTTTCTCAGTGTGAGAATAAATGCTTATTGTTGTATTCTGCTAAGTTTTGAGGTGATTTGTGAGGCAACATTATTGTGGCCAGTGCTACACTGGGGAACCAATATATTATTTTAAAGAATCAAGCTTTTGTTTGAGGTGTGAGTGTGTGTGTGTGTGTGTGTGTGTGTGTACATATTGTTTTTTATTTTTTCTGTATAAACTCTATCTCATGGTATTCAAATGGTTGGTAAATGGAAGTTTCCCTTTATAAAAGTATTCCAGCTAATAAATGAAGCTGGAACTATTGAATTATAATATCAGCATTTTATCATCCCTAATAAATTTCTGAACATAATTATCAGTGGCTGCTAACATCAAAAAGAAGAGCTAAATAGGCCATCAGGCATTATGTGACTTCTGATGGAAGAATCTAACCCCATCATTAAGTATTCTTGCCCTCAAAAAAATTGAACCAAAAACCTCTAGATCTACCAACTTACAGGAAATTTCAGAGCAGAGAGATGTGTTAAAATGTACCATGGATACAAAATTGCAAAATCTATGCTGTGGAAAACTGTAGCAAACCAAACTAGTTTCTTCAACAAATAAATAGCAAGGAAAAAAAGAGATGCTAGGAGCCTACAGGTTAGAGGAATTATAAAAGACATATCAAACACAATGTATGGGCTGGGTGCACTGGCTCACATCTGTAATCCCAGCACTTTGGGAGTCCGGAGTGGGTGGATCACTTGAGGCCAGGAGTTCAAGACCAGCCTGACAAAAATGGTGAAACCCTGTCTCTACTGAAAACACAAAAATTAGCCAGGAGTGGTGGCAGGCACCTGTAATCCCAGCCATTCAGGAGGCTGAGGCCTTAGAATCGCTTGAGCCCTGGAGGCAGAGGTTGCAGTGAGCCAAGACCACACCACTGCACTCCAGCCTGGGTGACAGAGTGAGATTCTGTCTCAAAAAAAAAATAAAAAATAAAAAATAAATTTAAAAAACCACAATGTATGGACCTTATTTGGATGCCAATTCTAACAAACAGGAAAAAAGCGAGACAAATTCATGCACAAACTCAGCATTTTATGATATTGAGAAATTATTATTGATTGTTGATTCTTTTAGGCATGATAATGATATTGACTATTTCTTACTGTCATTTTATTTCAGCAACATATAATGAAATGTTTATAGGTGACATTGTATGATACATATGAATTTCTTTTGCGGAAATGTGTGGGGAGTATGGTTTAAATGTAATTAGCCATGAATTAATCATTTAAGCTAGATTTTGGGTACGTATGAGTTAAATATATTAGTCTCTATAGGTTTGTATAAATCTAAAATATTCCATAAGGGGGTATTTTTATTATGCTGCCTCATACAACAAGTTGGAGAGTGTTCCTCTTTTCCTACTATAAAAAGGTTGTTTAAAATGGATGTTATTTCTAACTTCTTCTCTTGTAGAATTCATTAGTGAAGATACCTCAGACTAACTTTTTTAATTGTTGTTTTGTGTTGTTTTGTTATTATAAGAAGGTATTAATTACAGATGCCATTTCTTTAACGTTTAGGACAAGTTAGGTTTTCTGTTTCTTCTTGTGTCAAATTTGGTGATGTGCACCTTTTTAGGAATTTTTCTATTTAATGTCAGTTTGCAAATGTATTGAATACTGCTTTTCATACTATCTTCTTACTATGTCTTCAATGATCTTCAGTAACGTTCCTTGCTTAATTTCTGACATTAGTTATATATGTTTCTCCTCCACCCCCTCTTTCTCAGTTAGACTTATTAGAATTTTACCAATTAATCTTTTTTAAGATTAATTTTAGACATCAGGACGGGTTCCAAGATGGCCGAATAGGAACAGCTCCAGTTTACAGCTCCTGGCGTGAGTGATGCAGAAGACAGGCGATTTCTGCATTTCCAACTGAGGTACTGGGTTCATCTCACTGGGGCTTGTCAGACAGTGGGTGCAGCCCATGGAGTGTGAGCCAAAGCAGGGCGGGGCATCGCCTCACCTGGGAAGCACAAGGGGTCACGGAATTCTCTTTTGTAGCCAAGGGAAGCCATGACAGAGGATACCTGGAAAATCGGGACACTCCCACCCTAATACTGTGCTTTTCCAACGGTCTTAGCAAATGGCACACCAGGAGATTATATCCCGCACCTGGTTCAGAGGGTCCCACTCCCACAGAGCCTCGCTCACTGCTAGCACAGTCTGAGATTGAACTGCAAGGCAGCAGCGAGGCTGGGGGAGGGGTGTCCACCATTGCGGAAGCTTGAGTAGGTAAACAGTCCACAGACCTTTCATCAGTTGGGAGCTGTGTGTGTGACGTTAACAGTCATTAATGCCTAGATTTTTTATTAGGGCTTGCAAGGTGATGATATTCCATTTCTACCATTACTTTTTCATGTATTTATTAGAGTACATCTATTAGGAGAAGTTCTCTACTATTTGGTTATTCAATTGTATTCTGTGTATAGGAAAGGAAGAATAGGTACATTTCTCTTTCCCTTTTTTTACAAGTTTTAAAGTAAAAAAGTAGATTCAGTGGATGTCCTAGCAGTGACAATTCGGGGGTTTTTTTAGTGTTATTATGAATGTGTTGATTTAAACTTAACAAGCTCAGACCCATTGCAGTTGTTGTTGCTATTTATGCTCATATTGTCATTAGCCATTAGACATTGGAATTTTCCCATTAGACAGTAGAAATTTCCCAAGTCCTTTTGACCCAATATGAGAAATATTTAATAGCTTCATTGCTACCTTATATGATAAAATGTTTTAACTTATATGTTTCCCATCCCAGACCTGAAATCAGCCATTTCTCTAAGAACTGTTGATTTCTTTTACTGGGAAATGGTATTTTAAGATCACAACTTGGGTACTACAGATACTTATTGCTACCATATTGATCGGGTTTCTGGGCCCTTTCAGTGAGCAAAGGTAAAATTATTTAAGGTGAAACACCTCATATGTTCATAAATGAGTTCACCCTATTGTTTTTTTAATTCACATCCAGGGACACAGTGTATCACTTAACCTCTGCTGTGTTAATCTGTATCTCCTTTTCCCACACTGAGAATCCTACTTTCAAAAACACTGGGGATGATGGAACTAGAATATCACATAATTACTCATTTGTTTGATTCAACATCTCATACTAAACTTTCTTCTAATAACAATATTAATATTAGAACTATAATATGATGACTAAAATGATTTTAAAAACTAACTTGCAGATGCTCTCCTTATTCTCTCCCCACTTTTTTACAGTTCTACCTTATACTACATTGTCAGAGTTCATAACCATTACATACAATACTATTTTTCTAATAACTTTCATTTGGTCTTAATTCTACAAGTAAATATATATCAAATGCTTACCACCAGTCATAATGCCAGTGTCTCTAAAGTTATTTTGGTCATTTTTAAAGACATTCTCCTGTAGATTCTTACAAAGAGTCTTATGGGAATAGTATTCACAGAGTTCTTCCATGTTCATGAGAGTTTATCTGTGACCTTTGTATATAAAAGTCAATTTGATTGAACATAATCCTTGGATCACATTTTTTCTTATTTTTAAAATGTGTTATTATATTTTCTCCTAGCCCAAAATGTTGTTGTCAATAAGTCTGATGATATTTTTCTCTCTTATTAGTGATTTGTTTTTTTGTTTTTTCCTGAATGCCCAAAGGATATTTTCCACTAAAGAGAATGAGTTCTTAAAAATCCATTAGTTCAAATAGACCGTATGTTTGCATTCATCATTTTGAGTGCATCTTTTCTGGTAGGAAATGTGCCCTTTAAAAACAAAATTTCGAATTTTTTTTATTTCAGGAGGTGTTTCTAGCATAGTAGTTTTGAATATTTGTTCTGTTCCTTTACTTCAGTTTTCTTCTTTAGGGACTCCAGTTACATGTATACTTGTATCTTGTATCTTCTTTGCCTATCTTTTATATTTATCACTTTCTCTCTAATTATTTTAATGTTACTTTTTAGTTTATTTTTTATTTTAGAATTTTCCTTCGTTTTATCTTATTTTTCTTTAAAGGCATTATCCATTATGTATATCCACTTTTAACATTTTTTTTTTACTGATTATTTCTGAAATTGATATTTCCTTTATTTCTTATTCTCTTCTGAGCCCCATTACCTTATTTCTGAGTTTTTGTACTTTCCATTAATTGTTCTTTCATATCTTGTATTATTTTCCTAATTATTTTAGCTCAGTTTGAAATTGTAGTTTATAGTTTTCACCCATAAGCATGTCTTTATGTAATGCTTTTATTTTCTTTATTCTGCTCCTGATTCTATTTTTATCTTAAAATGACTTTATGTGGGTTTGAACCTCAATTATTTTCTGTTGTTTATTTTATATATTAGCTTTCCTCAACTTTAAAGATGTATGGTTTTGAGAAGCTTTTTTAATTCAATCACTCTGGGACACCTTCTATTATTTTTTTCAAGTAAATGTTCAACATTATGATGGCTTATATTCAGAGAGCTTCTTGCTCCACTGCCTTTCCACACTTTCATGTGAGCTTCTTTTTTGTTTTTTCTTTTTTTAATCTCTTAGGCCTGGACTGAATTAGATTCTGTTTCCAGCAGTTCTCACCTGTGGGGCTTTGTTCTAGAAGGGAATTTTAGCTGGCTAGTTTTGAGAGGCATAGGACCCAAACCGTTCCAGTTCCTGCAGATCTTACTACAGAATCCTTTGTGTTTACACACCATTGGAGTGTGCAAAAAGGCCTCTTGATTTTAGATGCTAAGCTGTCAAAAATTTGGGGTAAAAATATCTTGGTTATTTTAGGTTCTCATGTCCACCAGACACCCTGTTGCTTCTCTTTGCTTCCTCTTACACAGATGCTGGTACCATAGAGATCTTATGGCTCTTGGACTGAGAGGGAACAGAAACACAGAAAATGCTGGTGGTATGCGGGCACTGTCCAGAAAGTTCTTCTCCAAATAGGGGATGATGTAGTGAATTGGCAAGGTGAACATGAATTTGGATCTCTTCATTCATTTATTCATCCATTTCTCTAATAAACATCAGTAGAACCCATTAAATTTCAGACACTGCTGAGAAACAGAGGACATAGAGATGAATAAAACACAGTTCCTCCCCTGGAGAAACTCACAACCAAGTAGCAAGGATAGACATATCTATAAATAATGACAGCCATTAAATAAGGGCTACATCCAAATATATACAAGTTTATGTGTAAGCAAGGAAGGTTGGTCACGTTGACCTGAGTTATGGGTGAGGGGTGATAGGTGGGAGGTGGGGGCTGCCAGGCAGACACCAGGGGAAGGCTCACCAGGCAGAGGGGAATGGAGAGAGAGAGAGAAATGAAACAAGAACCAGCCCATTGTCTCACCTGGCTGAGGAGTTGGGTTTCCAAGGGAGAGGAAGGTAAGGAGAGAAGAAATCTGGACTCAGACTCAGAGGGCTGTGAATGTCCAGCTATGAGGTTTGGAGGCCCTTGGAGGATGTTGGCAGGAGAGGGCATGATCATCCCAACCTGAAAAAGGAGGCACAGGACTGTGTGGCAGGGGAGGAGGGCAAAAGGTGTTGAGCCAAGCTGGATGGTTAGGACAGGAGAGACCTGACAGGGGAGGGAAAGCAGTCTCAGAAGGACCTGGGGCTTCTCTCAGTGTTTGAAATGAGGCCAGGTGCTGATGATGTTGTACAAAGCCTGCCCAGGAGACAAGGTTCGGGCCACATCACTGTGGCCCACCAGCAGGTAGTTGGGAGTCAGGTACCCTTTGACCATGGCACACTGGATCAGGTCTTGGGCTGCCTCTAGTGCTGCAGCATTGGGTGGTATACCTGCAAAACACAGCAGCCCATTGTCTACAGGATTACAGGGCACCCTGCAAAATAGAACATATCCCCAGAACCCACCCTCATCACCAAGCTAATAGATTCCACTGTTGGCAGCCTCCCTAGAGACAGGCAAAAAAAACAAGGTCAAGACTTCAGATTTCTTAGTGCCAAAGTTTTCCTGAATCAAAAGAGCCAAGCCTGGGATAATAAATTCTTCTGAGGATATACAAAGCTTTTATCCACTGCAAAAGTTTAGCCTGGTAGTTCTTTATAAGGGTGCAATTTAGCCCCCCAAAGGACATTTGGCAGTGTCATGAGATATTTTTGGTTGTGAAAACTGGGATGCAGGGGAATACTAGTCGGTAGAAGCCAAGGATACTGCTAAACATCCTAGGACGGGACAGCCTCTGACAACAATGAATTATCTGAGCCAAAATATCAATTGTACTGAGGTTGAGAAACTTGATTTAATCACAATGTACTGCCTGTACCCTTTCATGTCTAGCTCAATGCTCAGCCCAGTATCAAGTCACAGTCCTGGTTCACCCCATCCCCCGACCCAATGCCCATTTTAGTATGGGCCATGTCACTGAATCAGCCCCAGTGACATGACCTCATCTTTTCAGAGGTTTGGTGAAAGGCCCTTGAGTCTAAACAAACTGATTAAGAACTTTGAGTTGTTCTCACTTTGGTAGGACATACATTAAAATTGGAATGATACAGAGAAGATTAGTGTGGCCCCTGAAGTAGGATGACATGCAAATTCGTGAAGCATTCCATATTTGTATGGAGAAATAAAGTGTTTCCTAAAGGAGCAAATGCTAAGGGAATTTGTCACCACTAGGCTGGTCCTATAAGAAATGCTCAAAGAAGTTCTACAGATGGAAACTAAAGGGCAATACACACTATCATAAAAACATATGAAAGTACAAAACTCACAGGACTTATAAAGCAATTACTCAATCGAGACTGCAAAGCAACTGGGTAACCATTAACATTATGACAGGAATAAATCCTCACATATCAATATTCACCTTAAACGAAAATGAACTAAAGGCTTCACTTAAAAAATATAGGCTGACTAATGAATAAAAACACAAAATCCAACTGTATGCTGCTTACAAGAAACCCCCTAACTGGTAAATAAATTTACAGACTCAAAATCAAGGGTAGAGAAAGATATTTCATGTAAATGGAAACCAAAAAGGAGGAGGAGTTGCTACACTATATCAAGTAAAACAGACTTTAAGTCAAAACAGTTAAAAAAAAAGATAAGGAAGTTCATTATGTAATGATAAAAGGATCAATTCAATAAGAAGCTATAACAATCCTAAATATATATGCACCCAACTCATATATATATAATGCAACATTAATTCAAGATGGATTAAAAACTGAAATTTAAGATCTCATTACCAGAGCACCCACATTCATAAAACAAATACTGCTAGACCTAAGAAAAGAGATGAATGGCAATATAATAATAGTGGAGAGCTTCAACACCCCACTGACAGCACTGGACAGATCATCAAGGCAGAAAATCAACAAAGAAACTCTAGACTTAAATTGGACTCTAGATCAAATAGACCTAGCAGACATTTACAGAACTTTCTAGTCAACAATGTTAGAATATATATTCATCTCTTCTGCACACAGAACAGTCTCAAAAATAGACCATATGCTAGGCCACAAAGCAAGCCTCAATAAATTTTTTAAAAATTAAAATCATATCAAGTATCTTGTTGGACCACAGTGGAAGAAAACTAGAAATCAATACCAAGAGTAACTCTCAAAACTATACAAATACATGGAAATTAAACAACCTGCTCCTGAATGGTCATTGGGTCGATGATAAAATTAAGGCCAAAATTAAAGATTTTTTGAAATAAATGAAAATAGAGACACAACATACCAAAGCCTCTGGGATACAACAAAAAACAGTGATAAGATGGAATGTTACAGCATCAAATGCCTCTATCAGAAAGATAGAAAGGTCTCAAATTAACAACCTATGTCACAACTCAAGAAAATAGAAAATCTAGAACAAAAAAAACCCAAAACTAGCAGAAGAAATAATAAAGATCACAGCAGAACTAAATGGTATTGTGTAGAACTTCTTTGAGCATTTGGTCTCTATATGAGACCAAAAAAAAAGAAATAGAAAGGATCAATGAAACAAAAAGTTGGTTATTTGAAAAGATAAACAGAACAGAACTCACAGACCACTAGCTAGATTAACCAAGAAAAAAAGAGATAATATTAGAACACCCACAATCAGAAATAATAAAGGTTGCATTACAGTTGATACCACAGAAATAACAAAAGATTGTCAGAGATTACTATGAGCATCTCTATGCATATAAACTAAAAAACCTAGAGGAAATGGATAAATTCCTGGAAACATACAACATCCCAAGACTGAACCAGGAAGAAATAGAAATCATTAATAGACCAATAACAAATAATTAAATTGAATCAGTAATTAAAAAAAGATTCTCCCAACAACAAAAAGCCCAGGACCAGATGGATTCACAGCCGAATTCTACCAGATGTAAAAGGAAGAATACCAACCCTACTAAAATTGTTCCCAAAAACTGAGGAGGAGGGAATCCTCCCCAACTCATCTACAAAGCCACTCTTATACCAACGCCAGGTAAGGACACAACAACAACAACCAAAACTACAGGCCAATAGCCCTGATTAATATCGATGCAAAAGTTCACAACAAAAATCTAGCGAACTAAATCCAACAACATATCAAAAAGTTAATTCCCACAATCAAGTGGGCTTTATTCCTGGGAAGCAGAGATGGTTCAACATATGCAAATAAATAAATGTGATTCACCACATAAGCAGAATTAAAACAAAAACTATATAATAGTTTTGATGCAGAAAAAGCATTCAATTAAATCCAACATTACTTCATGATAAAAACTCTCAACAAACTAGGCATCAAAAGAACATACCTCAGAATAAAAAATCCGTATATGACAAAATCACAATCAACATCATACTGAATGGTAAGAAGTTGAAAACATTCCCCCTAAGAACTAGAAAAAGACAAAGATGCCCACTTTCACCACTCCTATTCAACACAGTATTGAAGAAAACAATCATGCAAGAGAGAGAAATAAAAGGCACCCAAATTGGAAAAGAGGAAGTCAAATCATCTCTGTTCACTGATGATATAATCTTATACCTACAAAACCCTCAAGACTCCTTCAAAAGACTCCTATATTTAATAAATAATTTCAGTAGTTTCAAGATACAAAATCAATGTACAAAAATCAGTAGCATTTCTATACACCAATAACAATCAGCTAAGAACCAAATCAAGAACTCAATTCCATATACAATAGCTACATATAGATAGATATAGATAGATAAATACACCTGTTATATATAGGTGTGTATATGTTTGTATGTATATATATGTATTCCTAGTGTGTATATATATGTATTCCTGATATATATATATGTATTCCTAGTATGTGTATGTGTGTGTATAAATATATATATATTTATTTATATATATTTATATATATATACACCAAGGAGGTGAAAGATCTCTACAAGAAGAACTACAAAACACTGATGAAAAAAATTGTAGATGACACAAACAAATGAGAAGACATCCCATGCTCATGGATTTGAAGGATCAGTGTCATTAAAGTGACCATACTGCCTAAAGCAATCTACAGATTCAACGCAGTTCCTATCAAATTACAAACATCATTTTTCACAGAATTTGAAAAAACTATTCTATAATTCATATGGAACTAAGAAAGAACCCAAATAGCCAAAGCAATTCTAAGTAAAAAGAATAAAGCTGGAGGTATCATATTACCTGACTTCAAATTATACTACAAGACTATAGTAACCAAATTAGCATCGTACTGGTATAAAAACAGATACATAGATCAATGGAACACAATAGAGAACCCAGAAGTAAAGCCACATAGCTACACACAACTGATCTTTGACAAAGTTGACGAAAACATACACCAGGGAAAGGACACCCTATTGAATAAATGGTGCTGAGAAAGTTGGATAGTCACATGCAGAAGAATGAAACTAGACCCACTGCATATAAACATTAACTCAAGATGGATTAAAGACTTAAATTTAAGATCTCAAACTATAAAAATCTTAGAAGAAAACCCAGGGAAAAACTCTTCTGGACATGGGCCTAGGCAAAGCATTTATGACTAAGTCCTCAAAAGCAAATGCAACAAAAACAAAAAAGACAAATGGGACTTAATTAAACTAAAATATTTCTTCACAGCAAAAGAAATAATCAACAGAGTAAACAGACAACCTACAGAATGGAGAAAATGTTTGCAAACTATGCATCTGACAAAGAGCTAATACCCGGAATCTACAAGGAACTCAAACAACTTTTAAGGAAAAAAGTCAGCTCATTAAAAAGTGAGCAAAGGATGTAGACAGACATTTTTCAAAAGAAGACATGCTAGCAGCCAAAAACCATGAAAAAATGCTCAACATTACTAATCATCAGAGAAATGCAAATTAAAATCACAATGAGATAGCATCTTACACCAGTCAGATTGACAGAGACTGAGACCATCCTAGCCAACATGGTGAAACCCTGTCTCTACTAAAAATTAAAAAATTAGCTGGGTGTGGTGGCATGCACCTGTAGTCCTAGCTACTCGGGAGGCTGAGGCAGGAGAATTGCTTGAACCCGGGTGGCGGAGGTTGCAGTGAGCCGAGGTCACACCACTGCACTCCAGCCTGGCGACAGAGCAAGACTCTGTCTAAATAAATAAATAAATAAATAAATAAATAAGTCAAAAAATAACAGATGTTGCTGAGGATGCAGAGAAAAGGGAATGCTTACACACTATTGATGAGAATGTAAATTAGTACAACCTCTATGGAGATTTATCAAAGAGCTAAAAATAAAATAGCCATTTGATTCAGCAATCCAAATAGTATCAACCCAAAGAAAAAGAAATCATTATATCAAAAAGACATTTGCACTCATATGTTTATCTCAACACTATTCATAATAGCAAAGGCGTTGAATCACTTCAATGTCCATCAATGGATGACTGAATAAAGAAAAGGTAGGGTGCGTGCGTGTGTGTGTGTGTGTGTGTGTGTGTACACCATAGAATACTATTCAGCCATCAAAAAATGAAATCGTGGCATGGTGGCTCACTTTGGGAGGCCGAGACGGGAGGATCATGAGGTCAGGAGTTCGAGACAAGTCTGGCCAACATGATGAAAGCCTGTCTCTACTAAAAATGCAAAAATTAGCCAGGTGTGGTGGCATATGCCTGTAGTCCTAGCTACTCGGGAGGTTGAGGCCAGAGAATCGCTTGAACCCAGGAGGCGGAGGTTTCAGTAAGCCAAAACTGCACATTGTGTTCCAGCCTGGGTGACAGAGCGAGACTCCATCTCAAAAAAAAAAAAAAAAAAAAAAACAAAGAAAGAAAAGAAAAGAAATCATGTCTTTTACAGCAACATAAGTGGAAATGGAGGCCATATTCCTAAGTGAAATGACTCAAAAACAGAAAATGAAAAACTACATGTTCTCACTTATAAGTGAAAGCTAAACAATGGGTACATATTGGCACACAGAGTACAATAATAGACATCAGAGACTTCAAAAGGTGGGAAGGTGAGAGCAGGATTAGGGATAAGACGTTATTTAATGGGTACCATGTACACTACTCAGGTGATGGGTACACTGAAAGCCCAGACTTCACCACTGTGTAGTATATCCATGTAACACAATAGATTTGTAGCCCCTAAATCTATAAAAATGAAAAAAAAAGTAAAATAGAGCTCTGAGCCATGACAATTCTCAGTGTGCACTCTCAGTGCAAAGACTGGGGCTCACTGTGGCTTTGGCATATAAGGAAAAGTGTCTCTACATTGTTGTCATGGTAACCAAGAGAAGATGCATCTGCTGACCAAGATGAGCTAAAAATAAGCACAAAGATCTTTTCCCCTTACTTTGCATGTTCCTTACATATTGGAAGAAAGAGACATTTGGCTGGGTGTAAAGGAGGGTAGATATAGGGTGAGCATTATGTCTGGGGGTCACCTCTGGTCACACTCAGCTGAGTCAAATGTTGGATTGGAAGCTGGGTCAATCAAGCATATGCAGGCACTAAAATGACGCTTGAGACTGAGACTTTGTCTTCCATGTCAGATGCTCTCTTTCAAATACCATGCAATGACCCTACTGACCAAAGCATCCACTTACCTGTGAAGGTGCCCATGAAGGTAATGCCCAGGGCAATGTCATCGTAGCCAGGGGTGGAGGAGCCTTGGACATTCCAGCCCACCCCTTCATAAATGGCGCCATCCTGGCCCACCAGGAAGCTAGAGGACCACAAGGGGAGATGGAGACCAGCATGAAATTCTGGAATTGTTTCTCTCTTTCATGTATTAATTTATTCATGTCTTTACTACTTCAGACTTTGATTATCTATTGGATTCTAAGCACTGGGTTACAGAAACAAGACAGAGTCCTTGCCAATGGAGTGCTGGTAAACTAGCTCAGGGGGAATGAGGGAGGCAGGGTAGGGAGAGGGAATCCCAATTTACAGCATATGCTGATTTCTGTGGTGTAAACCTCTCACTATAGCAGATTTCAGGTGACCAACAATTTAACAACCAGCTCTCAAAATTCCAGAATCTCTAACAATCAGCTCTCATGAGCTGGCACAAGCCCATTCGGCTCCAGCACACCACTGCGGCCCCCAGGTAGCTCACAGTCAATGAAGATAAAAGAGAATGACAGCTTTCAATCCCTAGGCCTTTTCTCCTTCTCACCAAGAAAACGGTTTCCCCCAAGGTGACCCAGGATCTCCTTACCATTAAATACAAAGTAAACTTCCCCAGTCTTTCCTGACTTGATCTCTCTGTACATTTGACTCTGCCACACCTCTTGACTTCTCCAAACACTCTCTTCCCTTAGCTTCCATCACACCACACTCTCTTGGCTTTCTTCTCCAGCTGCTCTCCCTCCACACCTCATCTTCCTGCACCCTTTCCTTAAATGTGAGGTTCCTCAGGATGCTATCCTCAGCTCTCTTCTCCCCATACTCCACACAGGACTAACCCATCCACTTCCTTGGCTTCAGTTGCTATCCATGAAAGTCCGCACGTTCACAACTGGACCCATCTTCTTCGTCACCTGTTCCCCTTTCTGGGATCCCCATCTTGGTGAAAGGCATGGTCACCCACCCACCCATTGGCCCCAGCCAGGAATACAGGCATCAGCCCACCCACTTCATCCACTCGTTAACCCAGGCTTGTCAATGATGTCTCCCAACTACACTCCCTGATCTGCCCTGCACCCTGGTCATTAACCATTAACCTCCACTGACCTCTGAAATTCTTCCACTTATCTCTGTAACCTCTGCTACCATCACAGGGATGTCACCACTCAGTCCTGCCTGGATTGCTGCACAGTCCTCAGATCTCACGGCCTCCAGTTCCACCCTTTCCCATCCAGTCCATTCCTAAAGGGTAGCCAGACTGGTCTTTCTAAAATACAAATCTTACTATGTCAAAACCCTGTTTTCAGTCCCTCAGCACTGAGTGCACACACCCCAGCTTAAGTTACAAAATCCTTCTGACATGGACTGTGTCTGCCTCCCCAGCATCAGCTCTACCACACTCCTCTTTGACATCTATATTTATCCCAATGAACTTCTCTCAGCTCCCCACAGGCGCCTCTCTCAGGCTGGAATTCAGTCCTTTCCACAGAGGCCATTTCCCTCTTCCTGAATCACTCTTCCTGCTTCCTCCTCCCACTCAACTGTAAGGCCTCAGCTAATCTGATGTTCCCACAGGGATTGCTTCCTTCACGCCTATTTTCCTGGCATCCTAAACCTCCCGTCTACCCTCCATGTGTCCCCTATAATAATGTTTAACCTACCCTACTAGAACTTATTTGTTTGAATTACTTTTCTTCCTCACTAAAGCATTGGCTCCATGCAGGCAAGAACCATATCTGTGAGGCACATCCGATGGCATCCCCAGAGTAGCCTTGTGCCACGCAGAGTACACATTCAATTACATGTTCAGTGAATTGTAATCTATGAAGGAGGGAGTGTGTCATCCTGACTACAGACCACCTCAATGAAAGAAAATGACACAGTCATAATGCTATAATAGAAGAGGATACAGTACAAGGTCCAAGTCAAGGGACAGGCAACTACCCTCTGAGACCTGAATGGAAAAAGGGAAAGGGCCTCCCCTCAGCCTCCACCACTTTCCAGTTTAGGCTTTCCAAATTTACAGTCCATTTTCAGGTATCCACTCTTATTAAAGACAGCAACGCTGCAAGTAATCCTGTATGGCAGGACCTAGCAAAGCACTTGGTAGGTTCTGATACGTCATAGGTGTTGGAGGGAAGGTTTTCTCCTATCTTGAAAAGGGTGCTACTAAAATGGGGACAGAGAGCAAGGGGCCAGAGAGGGGAGAGACAGTCAGCCCAGAATCGTGTACCAAGCAATGGTAAATTCATCGCTAAGCCATAAATGGCCCTAGAGTTAAAGGTTCCTTCTATGAATGTGCATGAATATGCCAAATGGTCTACCAGTAGCTTTTTCTGAGATTTAAAATTTAGTGTGAATTTTCCTGATGGGATGTTACATGGGGTCTAACGCCGGATGTCTTATCTGCAAACTCTGAAAGCATCCTTCAAGAAATTTCTACTTGTTTTGTGGACTATTCATTTTGTGTGTTTGTGTAGCAGTTTTTAAAATCAATACTTTTTAATGGAAACATCTTGATCAAAAATGTGTCACAGAATTTTGAGACCCTTTAAGATAATGCTTAATGGGGAAAAAAAAAAGAAATGTTTACTCTTCCACTTAGGTCTGTGTCTTCCTTATTAAAGAATCACAGACCTTAGCATTAGAGAAATCAAAAGATAGTATTTGGTCTCTCCCCCGCCTTCAGACAGGAAGGATATCCTTCCCAAGGAAGTTGGTGGTTTCTAGAAGCAGAGAAGCAGCACGGGTCTACCATGAGGGGGAACCACTTCAGGTTGTGGCCAAAGTGAGCAGCAGAGCCCCAGCCTCTGAGTAGGAGGCGGTGGTTACACAAACAAAGCACAATCTTTCGATTATCTTTTCTACAGGTGTCACAATCTTGCATGCGTACTGCTTCCTCCAGTGACTTTTTGGCAGAGTTGTAGCATCCGTCATGCCAGTGTACTACCTTTAGTAGGTACACATCTTGAGAACATGTTTGGGCAAATGACTACCCCCTTGGCTATCTCCTAAGAAAGACCCAGGCAGGGTCGTGTGATGAATTCATTTGGTTATCCATACAGTGCCTCTCCTATGGTGACTACCCAGTAAATATTAGTTCCCTTTCCCCTTCCTTTCAAAGGCTCAGTTTCTGCCCCCAAGGGAAAAGAAGCCCAGTGTACCCAGACCCACTCACTTATAACCAATGTCGCATGACTTGAGCCTGTCTATGTAGAAAGACTGGATGTCCCGGACCAGCAGGCGGCACTCATCAGAAATGTTGCAGGTCCTCCCGGCAGTGTGGATAATGATGCCATACTTCGCTGGGAGAGTCATCCTGGGACAGTGGGTCTCCCTGGCTCCCCACACAGACCGTGGGACAACGCCGGGGCAAGCTGAGGTGGGGCGAGAAACCACAGAGGGTTCATCTTCCCCATCTATGCCAGCCACTTCTCCACCGTAGGCTGATATAATGCTCAGGACCCTCAACTTCCCAAACCCCTCTGGGTCTCCCACCCTGCCCCCAACCACCCTGCCCCCAACAGTGGGACTTGAGAGCAGACAGTGTCCCGCAGTGGGACATGGACATTTTATTCTAAGAATATGTATTTGAGTCATTTGTAATCCATGAAACTCTCTGTCAATGTAAGCGATCATTTATGTTAACAGATGGCACCAGAGATCAAATTTACTCAAGGCTTTAATATAATAGAGATGAATCTTCTTTCAATCTTGATTAAGCCCAAGAAAAGGCTGAAAGTGCTTATTAAATTTACTGTTTTTGATGTTGCTGCTTGTTAAACCCAAAATGGTATCCACCTTTTATTATCTGAATTATGTTGAGCTCTTTCTTTAAAGTCTGTGTAAGTGGTGGTCTAAGTTTTCTGCAGCACTTCAGTCTATTCGTGTTGTTTTGGTTTTTGTATTCAGAAATGTGTGTTTGTGTGTGTTCATGTGTAAACATATGAGTGTATAAATATGTGTATAAATGTGTCCAGTCCCTTTCCATTGTTTCCTCCCTTGCACTTTTCTCCATATAACATCCCAATATGTCACTTATTTATTTGCTTATTGTCTTTCTCTGCCCTCTAGACTGAAACTTCATGAGGCCAGGGACTTTTGCTTTTCATTCCTGAGTATATTTTCAGGGTCTAGAAGGTGTTCAGTAATTGCTTGTTGAGTGATGGAAGAAAGGAGTGTGCATATATGACACCAGGGATAATGCTATGGCTCTTTCATATGAGGAATCTGAGGGACAAAGAGGTGGCCTGGAGGTTTCCTCTCAAGATTTGCCAGCCCCAAGAGTTCAGAGAGTTGGGTGGCCAGTTGCCTTCCAGAAGGAATCTAATGGGCCCTACTGAAAAGGTCACTCCCAATGGTATTTGCGAGTTAGTTGGGGTGAGCCCAGTGGCAGGCCCAGTAGGGCTGAAGAAAGGTCTTACCCTTCTTCAGGCTTGTCTTCTGCCGAGGGGCCAGGCAGTTCTCGCCTTTCCCAAGAAGTGGCTGAACATAACTGGATGACAGGTGGCCCTTCTGGACAGCATAGGTGATTAGGTTTTCCATGGCCGACAGGGCAGCAGGGCTGGGACTGTGGCCTAGAAGAGAGAAATCTGTGGGAAACCTCCACCCAGCCTGAGTTTCAGGGGATCTTTTGGGGAAGGAGAAGATGCTCTGCCAGCCCCTGCACAGCTGATGGAGAGGAAGAAAAGGGAACAGGTTATGCCCCCAGTTGGAGAGGCTGAGAATTAAGGATCTTCCTGGAAAGATCTCTCAGTGGCTCAAAATGAAGTCCTTTCTCATCCCAAATACCTGCCAAACTTCACCTCCTCTCTCCATGAAAGAGCTCAGAAGCAGCACCAAGCCCAGCAGCACCCGCCAGGCCAGGCCAGGGTTTCCCATCAGAAGGGGCCCCTCCAGGCATGTGTCAGGCTCTTTGCCTACAATAACTCATTTAATCAGCAGCACAAACCTCTGAGAGATGCTATTATTAACTGCATTATTTGTGAAGAGGAACTTGAGGCTCTGAGAAGTAATGTGCTCAAGATCCCAAGCTAACGACAAATGGAAATGAGTAGTCATGAAAACAAAAGCAAAAACAAGATAAACACAGAGTCCTCTGGAGTGCTGGGGAAACCACCCAGGAGCTGGAGATAAAAGATATGGACCATGTTCTGATTCCTCTCCTTCTAGCTGTGTCACTTGGGGTCATCGACCTCTCTGAAACCCAGACTGCACCTCTGCACAACAGGGGTCATGAAATCTACCTGGACTCTCTCAAAAGGTACTGGAAGGGGAAAATGAGAAACTAGGTATGTAAGATCTCTGTTAACGGGAAAGGGTACACAAATTCAAAGGAATGGTCCTGGAGTACATATGTTAAGATGCATGTGGCAAGGGGCCTTGGAGCAACAGTCCAGAAAGAAGTAGAAGAGAGTCAGAGATTAGGGGACCCAGAGTGGTTTTTTTTTAGAAATATATAGAAAATCTAGGAGTAAGAGATGAAAGGAAGAGGTGCCTGGCAGGAACTTGGAAAGCATGGCCCACAGCCACAGAATGGTCAGAGCTCAAGAGGAAGATGTGTTAGTCATTGACATAGAGGAGAGAGCTGAAGCCCAGATAAGCTTGCAGAGAGATGACTGGTCAGCATCTCCACATAAAAGATGGCTAGAGAAAGAGGAGCCTGTTTACAGGGGTTGAGAAGGAAGCCAGGGCAGTAGGAAGAGACCCTTCACAAAGTCATTTCCTGGAAATCAAGGAAGAAGAAAATTCCAAGAGAGAGTGGGTCTTCAGAGAAGTATGAGAAGGATAAGACAGCAGAGTAGCAGATAGCTAGTTCCCATGAAGTGGCCCCTGAGACAAAGGATTAGAGAACTCTTTGGAGAAGGTCAGCTGTGATAACTGTTACCTTTCTTAGTGCCAAAGAAGGCAAAGCCCAGGGAGATGTTGTTGTAGCCTTGGGTGTGCACTCCTTGGATATTCCAGCCAACACCTTCATACACCCTGCCATCATCCCCAACCAGGAAGCTATGGAGCAAGATAATACAGGTTTCATGGCTGGCACTGTAGGACATTCCTGAGAGGTGAAACCACTTACCCAGCCTCAAAATGGAGAAGGACTGAAGCTATGTTCACTAAAAGGAATTTGCATGAACTCTTCCCAGACATTGAAAAGAGCAAGTCATTTATACTAGTCCTTAGAATTCAGAAGGACCCACTCTCACACTCCCTACCCCCTTCCCTTTTCAGAGGCTGCAGTTTTACCATAAATCATTCTACATGCTCAGGAGAAGAGGTCCTAGAGGTTCCATGGTAACTGACCACACAATGGAAGGCTCTTCTGTCTTCCACGCTTCCTTAAACCGGGCTCTCCTACCTCCTCCAAAGTGTGTGCTGCCTGTGTGATCCACGCAGAGCTGTTCATTTGATTTCTCCCTGTCACGTAACTGTCCTACATAGACTTCCCAAGAAATAGCTCCTGAGACAGGGACGAGGATGCAGGCACTTCATCTGCAAAGAGATCTAACAGAGCAGGAGCACCATCATCTCAGACAAACACCACCACTTTAAATTCCAGCTCCCTTTCTAGCCTCATGTATTTCAAGGAAATCACTTCTCTTCTAAAAAACAAGCAGCCAGAAAGAGCAGACAGTAAAACACAGATAAGACAGCTCAGGCGCAGAGAGGGGTGGGAGGAAAGTCCCTTGAGTAACTGCCAAACTTCACCCTCATACAATTGGCCCCAGTAAAACAGTGGGCCTTAATAAGCACATTCCTTTCCCTTCAGGTGCACTAAGATAAGGAAGCTAAAAGCAGACTGGGGGGCGGTGGGGATATGCCTGCAGCTGCAGAAAGATGTATGGGAACAGACACACAACTGTCCCTCCCAGATAAGCACGACAAAGACACAGAAGCAGTCCAAGCCTCTGATAAACTCTCCCACCCTGAAACCTTAAAAACTCTTAGTCTGTAAGAGAGTAGGCTCTGACCTAACTTGGCCAAAAGCCTCTCTCAGTTTTGTTTTTTCTAAAATAAACCAGTCCTCGACTGTCGAGCCACCTTTCATGGTTCTTTCCTCTTTAATTCTTACAGGATCCCAGAAGCCAGGGTGAGGAGAGTGAGACAGAAGGAAGAAAGCCAGCAAAGTATGTGAAATTGGGCTGGCTCACAGTGGCTACCTGTGACTCCACCCCACCCTGTGGCCTTCCCAGGAGCTGTGTACATGCGCTTTAGAACTGCCTCTCATAAGGGCTGGGGTTGAGGAGGCTACACACCAAGCCCTGTCCCCCAGGAAGGCATTCACTCCCTTTTGTCGTCAGGGGCTGGGGGAAGGTCTGAAGCAGGAAAGCAGAGAGATGTGTTGGGCACTTGAGGCAGGAAGCCATCACTGCACTCAGGAACTGTCCACAGCTAGCCAAAGTCAGAGGTGAGCCAAGGGCATGTGGTATGGGCACCAGTACGACCTACTAGAGCGATCATTACAGGAACAGATGGACATTTGCCTCACTGAGGCTGGAGCCCATGTGTGTGGTGTGGAGGAGCACGCCAGGGATGAAGAGAGCCAGTTTAGGCTCCATGGGTCCATAGATATGTGACCTCAAATTAATCAGCCTCCCTCCCTTGGGCCCCTCTTCCCAGGGCAAAGAGATGGTGACACCTGCCTACCAGTCGGGAGAGCTAAAGCCCTCATGTATGAGGAAGTCGTTTGCAATCTGTAGTGTGCTGTGCAAGCCAGGGTTGGGGGAGGGTAGAGAATACAGTTATTACTTAACCTTCCTTGCTTCCTCCTGGGAGCTCTCAGAGACAGGCACCTCACAGAAAAATCCAAAGGATTGGGAGTTTCATGGGGGTTTTAAATATTTTATTCATTATAAAACATATAGGACCACAACCCAGAAAATGAGGAAAAGGGATGAGAAGGGACAGGAGAAGCATCCCAGGGAAGCAACACTGACCATGTGCCGTGGGACCCAGACCCAGCTCTTACTTGTAGGCCACATCACACCCACTGTTGTTGTGGACATGATGGGCCTGCAGTTCCCGCAGTCTCTGGCTGCAGACTGTCTGGTCGTGACACTCCAGTCCAGGGACATGGTGTATAACAAGGACATTCACTGGCGTGGTCAGCTGAATACTGCAGCCAACAGCTTCTGCCCCCCATGCCTTGCGAGAGACCGTGGTGGAGACATCTGTGGGAAGGCCTTGGGGACGTCACTCAGCGCACCTGCCCCATCACTACCGCATTAGCCCGCCAAGCTGAACATGCAGGCATGGGCTGTGTCGGCCCCTTGGTAGTGGAAGAGCCTTCAGCAGGCAGGTGCACCTGCCCTGCCCACCTCTACATACCCATCTCTCCAACACTCACCCCGAACACAGACTCTGCACCTGGCCAGGGAGCCTAATGCTTTGCTCCCCCATCCCATAATGTCCCCTACTCATCTCCTCCCCTGCTGTGGTCCAGGCTCTGCACTTCAGGAAGCATCACCTGCTTATCCCTGGGGAAAGCCCTGAGCAGCCTGGCTTGGTGTCACCTCAGCATTCAATGTGTGCTCTCTGATCATTTCCTCTGCGGTTCTGAGTGTTCCCTGAGGGGACTGCATCTTCTCCCCCCAGCAGGGGCTATGTCTCCCCCTCAGTCTGAGGACTTCCTGAGGGCAAGGTTTGGGTCTCCCTCCACAGGGAGTCCCTGTCTGCAGAGGCTGTTTCCCCTCTTCCTGGGTTTCTAGCCCTCCAGCACCAGCCTTCCATCCCAAGGACCTGGGTAATTAATGCAGGTGGTTTACTGGTACTGCTCTCTGCACTTCAACCCCATTTTCCCCCTCCCAGTCACATGTGGCTTTGCAGACCTCAGAAACATTTCCGATCACATGAAAAACCCCAGCTCGTCCCAAAACCCCCTTACTATCCAGATCCAGTTTACCTTTTTCAGTGAGCTGGGAGATGTTCTCAAATAGGTACTGGAGCCCCTCTGATACCTGTTTAGCTTGTGTTTTGTTCCAGGAGGAATCACCTGCAAAGGAATATCCCATTTTGCATCAGAGAGCACCAATACCAGCCATCATGGTGGCACCAGCTCTGAACAGAAACAGCCATCCCCTCTCCACTGCCCCTCTGCCTCCTCAAATCCCAGAGCCTCCTCTAAGAAATCTCTCTGGGCTGACCAGAGGGCCACCTCTAATAGCAGCAGGTGGCATAACTTCCTTCCATGCCAACTCTGGGAAATCCCCTGGGATAGGCAAGGAGTTGGAAATGTTATCCTTTTCTCATGAGCTGTATCTACACACACAATTGGCGGGGAAAAAAAAAAAACTAGAAATGTATTCAGACACTTCAAAACCACAAAGTCCTCTCTTGTGTGCATTTTACCGAAGCAATGGGGAAGCGTGTGTGAAGAAGGGGTTAGAATTACCTGCACGGCTCAGACCAGTTCCCCCGGGATTGATTTTAGGGACGTGTGCTATGCCCATTCTCCTGTCTGAAGGCCCATGGGGGATGGGCAGGGTGTTGATTGAGACCCTTACCCACAAGGAGCTTTCTCTTATTGACAAGCACAAACCCAAGCCATAGGCTGGACTCTGATTGACATCATAATAACACAAATGTAATCCTTGCTCCTGTTTATTTGCTTTTACTGCCCACGTATTGCTATATCTTCAGGTGCATTATCTCATTTAATCCTCACAGTGAGTTTAGGAAGTCATAACTATCTCAATTTTCAGATGGGAAAATAAGGGTTTATAGAGCTTAATTGCTTGTTTAAAATCATTCCTAGAGGCAGAGCGAGGACTTGAATCCAGGTCTATAGGCTCCAAGTTCTGTGCTCTATGTACAATCTATTCTTTCTCCTTAAGAGAGAGTAGGTTTTGGGGGATTTTTTCGTTTTGTTTTGTTTTTTGTTTGTTTGTTTGTTTGAGACGGACTCTCACTCTGTCACCAGGCTGGAGTGCAGTGGCTCAATCTCGGCTCACTACAACCTCTGCCTCCCGGGTTCAAGCAGTTCTCTCATGCCTCCCTCCCGAGTAGTTGGGACTACAGGAGCGCGCCAGATGGAGTTTCACCATGTTGGCCAGGATGGTCTCGATCTCTTGACCTCCTTATCTGCATGCCTCGGCTTCCCAAAGTGCTGGGATTAGAGGCGTGAGCAACTGCGCCCGGCCAAGAGAGAATGGGTTTGTTTTTGTTTGTTTGTTGGTTTGTTTGTTTTTTGAGACAAGTTCTCGCTCTGTCACCCAGGTTGGAGTGCAGTGGCACGATCTCATCTCACTACAACCTCCATCTCCTGGCTTCAAGCAATTCTCCTACCTCAGCCTCCCTCCTGAGTAGCTGGAACTAGAGGCATGTGCCACCACACCCAGCTAATTTTTGTATTTTTAGTAGAGACGTGGTTTCACCATGTTGGCCAGGATGGTCTCGATCTCTTAACCTCGTGATCTGCCCACCTAGGCCTCCCAAAGTGCTGGGATTACAAGCATAAGCCACCACCCCTGGCCAAGAGAGAGTAGTTTTTTTTGTTGTTGTTTGTTTGTTTTTGAGACAAGTTCTTCCTCTGTCACTCAGGCTGGAGTGCAGTGGTGGGATCTCGGCTCACTGCAGCCTTGAACTCCTCAGGCTCAGATGGACAGTAGGTATTTTTTAATTCCTATTATGAGACTTTAGGATCACCCTTCTCGGTTGCTTTTTGGCCCAGGGAAAGAAAACTTACCCCAGGCCTGGATACCCAGAGCAGAGAAGACAAGAAGCCACGGCAGCATCCCCACGTGGTCCCAGGACACCAATCTGGAGAGTGTGGATGGCAGCCTGAGAGAGACGCTGACAGTTGTTAACATGACCATTCTCAATCTGCAGAGCATCCCAAACCCTGACTGCAGTGGGTGCCATCTGCCTCCTCTACCATCCTGTGGCCTCCTGAGGGCCAGCACCTGCTTCAGTCTTCTCAGGGCCCCCAGCATACAGCAGGTGCTCAGCATCCCTGTCCTATTATTACCCGAGGAACTCAATTTCATCACGTGCCCACGGCGTGCAAGGCTGTGTACACACTTGCACATGCAGTCTTATTTAATTAGTCCTCACACTAATCCTGTCATGTAAGACTGTTAACCCCCATTTTTACAGACAAAGGAAGTAAGATCCAAGAATGGTACAACCGAGAAATCCAGACTCATATGGATGGGTCTTATGCAGAGAATCCCTTCCCAGCTGGGAATATGCCAGATGAGGGAGATATAGGAGTAGGAGGGGTTCCTAGTTCTAGGGCAGAGGAAATCCAATCCTTAACACTCTTTCTGGTGGATTCCAGTCCCTTTGCTGGAAGAGGGCTTCTGAAGAAGAAACACATACTCAACTCACAGATATCTGTGGGTCCTGTGCTGTCCCAGCCCAGCAGGTCAGGGTGCAGTCAGCTTGCCCCTGATTGGCCAGCAGCTCCTTCCCTTCCAGACTTGGCCTCCAGGCCCTGCCCTTCTTCACCAACTGGCGCCTTCTCCTCCAGCCTTCACTCTCCCTAGCCCTAGAGGGCACTCCCTCCCTGGGAATGGAGCACTCGGGCTCTAGCTTCCCAGAGAGAAGAGAGCCCAGGATCCCTAACAAAAGATGGGGAGAAGGGAAGACAGAGGGCAAGGCTCTGAGCCAGCTCCTTTCACAGCACCTGGAGAAATGCAAGTGGGACCAGACTCAGGCTGAGAGCACCTGGGGACCCGCCCTGTGAATAAGCCCAGGTAGCTCCTCCCTGGGAAAGGGCAAGATTGCCCAACACTCCCGAGAGCTCGTCCTCAGCCCCAACCTGGGAAAGCCTGCAGGGCCTGAGGGTTGTGTCTGCAACATCTAGAAACTTCCTGCCTGTGAAGTTCTGCTCCAGGAGCCTGAAGACTGTGGATTGAAGTCACTCACCAACACCACCTTTTACCAGGGTCATGAGCAGGGTCAGGATGGACAGAGAGAAACTGGGAGGTACAATCTCAGGAAACAGCTCACGATGCCTAATTCTGCCCCAATAGCTTACATGTCTGCCCATCATCCTCCCGCCTGCCACTCCCCACCGTCGGCATCAAGCTGCCACCTACCACAGAAAGCCTCCCACAAACCAAGAATCTCCAGCTCCTCGCCATGTTCCAGTTGTCACCTAATCTCATTCCACATTCTGCAACCTGGACTTACAGCCCTTGAGTCTTCACAGAGGAAACTCTGCATGACACTTTCCAAGAACGCAGTAGGATGCAGTCTCCACGGGGACCTGCAGAGCCTCTCATGTCCCGGAGGGTGGGGCAGCCTCCCTAGACACTTAGGAAGTGCCCTGAATCCAGAACAGTTGCTCTCAGTGAGCTGCAGTCCCACTCTCAGACTGGGCTCCCCAGGAGCGCTCTCTGGATGGGGCCCATTGAGCATGCGCCAGGTCTACCTGGCATTCATCCCAGTCATGCACCCAGACCCAGGCTGGAGCTGTGTGATGAGCAGGGGCTGCTGAGCTCTGTCCTGGGGTGAGGGTGAATGTGGGGCAGAGCCAGAGACAGAGATGAAGGAGACCAAGAACTGCAGCCTGGGACCAGCACTGTAGGGACCCTGGTAGTTTCCCCAGCCTGGCAACATGCTGTTTCTCCATGCCTTTTGCTGGCCGCCCATCCTAAATAAGTAGAACAGTTCTCAAAATGAGAAGGTTTCTGGGCTTGCATCCGGGGCACCAAGGACTTGAGGAGACTCGGTTCCCCTTTTTGGAGCGGCTTGGGGAGGGGAAGCCCAAGAAGAGATTGGGTGGTGGCTGCCAAAGGGGACCAACAGATTCTCTGCCCCATCCAGAGACCAACAGATTCTTGAGGACTAACAGACTGAGGGCTGTCCGGGACGAGGGCATCGGGAGGGAGGAAGAGAGCAGTGTGGGTTGTCCCTCTCTGATTCTGTGAACTCAGAATCCCGAGAGGACCTCCTAAGTCCTAAATTATCTGGCCCCCAGCCCCATCTCACTCCACGCTGCCAGAGCAGGCTCCCAGTGCTCTCTGCCCCACCTCCCACCATCTCAAGACCCTTCCCAAGTGCCCAGCCTCGCTCCCCACCTGCGCCCAGAGGCTCCACTTCAGCCTGGCATCTTTGGAAAGGGCTCCGTGACTAGTTGGGACTGGTAGAGGCTCAGAGTCTCTCTTCTCCATTCTAGCACCTGAATGAATTGTAATTATAATCTCCTCAAGAGCAGTTCCCAAGTCTATCTCTTTACCTGCCTTTAATACTATCATTATTTATATTTACATTTTTTTGTCCTCTGTCTTAAGCCTCCCTCCAGCTGTGAATTTCACAGAAGTGGGAATTTACTTTATTCTGTAGTCTCAGGGTTTAGCTTAGTGTCTGGCATAATGCTGACACATGTTAGAAACTCAATAAGCATTTGTCAGATAAAGAAGGAAGGAAGGGAGGGAGGGAGGGAGGGAGAGAGAGAGAGGGAGAGAGAGAGAAAGAAAGAAAGAAAGGAAAGAAAGAAAGAAAAAAGAAAGAAAGAAAGAGAGAAAGAAAGAAAGAAAGAAAGAAAGAAAAAAGAAAGAAAGAAAGAGAGAAAGAAAGAAAGACTTAAACAGGACACTCTTTTAAAAGGTGTCAAAAGAAGAAATGGAAAGGAAAAGCAAGCCAGCACACCGACCTGCCTCAAATAATGCATACCTTCAAGTACCTAAGGCAGTGGTTCTCAAAAAGTGGCCCAGGGGAAACTGGGGGACCCCAAGACCCCTTGGGGGGGTCCATGAGATCAAAACTAATTCCAGAACAATATTCTCTGAACTTCCCACCACAGGAAACTGCCCACAAACCAAGACTCCCGGCTCCTCACTTTCCTCACTGTGCTGATATTTGCACTGATGACACAAAAACAATGGTAGAAAAAACCGTTAGAGACATGAACCTATGTGTGGCGTCAGACTGCACTAGCAGTCATTGTATTCTTCACAATGTATTCTTTCAAGAAAAGGAGGCTCACTTAGGAATGTTTTTGATGAAGCAGTGAAAATTACTCATTTTATTAAATCTCAACCCTGATTCTCTCAAGGAAAAGCATTTGTGTGCTACAGTTGTGAGCTGAACCAGCCACTTTTCATGGACGCCGTGAACAAATAACATAGAACAAATGATAGCCAAACTATGGATACTCATATTTGGGTATGCGGCATACATTTTCTTGAAAATTAACAAAGTGAGCCTTTCACTTCCGGGAAAACAACTACAATTTGTTAGCATAATAAAATTGGAGCTTTCAGTCAAAAATTTGAATTTTGGAAAATTTGTGTCTGCCACCATGAGTTTGACAGCTTCCCAATATTTGAAGACTACTGACAGGATCAGTGGTGATATTAACAAATGTGGTGGGGCTTTTTTGCTTTTTTTGTTTTGTTTTGTTTTGTTTGTTTTTGAGACGGAATCTATCTCTGTCGCCCAGGCTGGAATTCAGTGGCATGATCTCTGCTCGCTGCAACCTCTGCCTCCCGGGTTCAAGTGATTCTCCTGCCTCAGTGTCCCAAGTAGCTGAGACTACAGGCATGTGCTACCACACATGGCTAATTTTTTGTATTTTTAGTAGAGATGGTGTTTCATAGTGTTAGCCAGGATGGTCTCGATCTCCTGACCTCATGATCTGCCCGCCTCAGCCTCCCAAAGTGCTGGGATTACAGGCGTGAGCCACCACGCCCGGCCAAATGTGGTTTATTTATATGTGTGTGTGATATATATAAATATGTATATATAGAGAGTAATAAATGATGTCAGCATTTAGAAGACGTACATAACTCAGTCAACCAATATTTTCCAAATGATCAATATATGAAGTCACAAAGTTTGGATAAAAGATCCATTAAATTTTAAGAGGGACCAATTGATTCTAATGTAACAGAGAACAAATAATTCATTGATATGGTTTCAGACTTTACGTTGCAACTAACCTTTGAGAAACCATCACTTGTTGGGTTTTGATGTAATATGAGAGAAGAATATCCACAATTATATATTTAAAGGCTATTAATGTATTCATCCCCTTTGCAACTACTTATCTGTGGGAGATTGGATTTTCTTCAAATCTTCAACCAAAGCAACATACAGCAATACCTTGTATGCAGAAGTAGATGTGATAAACCAGCTGTCTTCTTTGAAGCCATACAGTAAAAAGGTCTGCAAAAATGTGAAAAAAAAACACTCTTCTCACTAGCTTTTGACATATATATATAATTATTTTTAATTGTTTAAAAACGTGGTAATACGTAATGTGTTTATTAATGGTACTTTAAGTGAGTTAATAAATCATTTTAAATTTTTTAAACTTTTAATGTAGTAAATACTGATACATCTAATCCACAAAAGCTCTTTGGGATACTCAATAACTTCTATGAATACATATAAAAGGGTCCAGAGAGCAAAAAGATTAAAAACCTGGGGCCAAAGGAATCCCACAGGCTGTCCTGATGCAGATAGGCCACAAGGTGGCAGCATGCGCCCTCTGATAACTCCGGAGTCACCTTTCACTCACTAGGAGTCTCTGAGCAACCTCTTTTATCCATCACTCCCTTCCACTTCCTTCCTTACCTTCATGCTTCTGTGTGGCACGTCTTTTTTTTTTCTAACTAGCTTTATCCACCAACGCCTTCATAATTACAGGGCATAGCCATCTCCTAAGCATAAGTTCTGGCCAAACCAAGCCAGTCATTCATTTTATTCTGCAAACATTTGTCAGGTGTCACTCATATGCAAAGCTTATCATCCAGGGATGAGTACATTGAGAACACTGCTCTCAAGTAGTTAATAATATAATGAGGGAGACAGATCCAAACGCCAGTGATTATAATGCCTGCTGAGTGTGAAAACCCTTTATTCTTTACAAAGGGCTGTGGACTTCAAAGGGAGTCCTGAGAGCAGAGGATGCCAAAAGCCAGATGCTGAGATACTCGCCAAAAATTTCTGCAGAGATCTGGAACCTAGGGACATAGTGAGCGCAAAAGCCAGGTTCCCAAGAGATCGGGGAGGAGAAAGGGTTGGAGCAACAGAAGCCAGGCAACAAAAGGGAATGCCAGCTTTCTCAATTTTGAAGGTGGCATGTCTGAGAAATTAGGAGGATGATGAGCAGAGGCAGCCAAGGTGGAGACAGGGGGAGAGGTCCAGACTTGGGGAAGCTTAGGTTGAATGTCTAAGAAGCCAGATCATTGGAGGGTCCTCACTGTGGATGCTGGAGCAGCCCAGCATGGGGGCAGGGAGTGCGGCTGCTCTCAGCAGAGGGCCTCAGAGACCTCAGGATGGCCAGTCAAGGGAGGCCACAAGGATGCCAGGGGTGGTCAAAGCTTGATGTGGACTGAGCCCAAACGTGGTAGAACAATGGTCTGAAGCTACCCGTGGATAGCTTCTGTAAGTCATCCTAATGCACTAGAGTCTAGAATGAGCACTGGGGAAATGGGGGATGTTAGGGCGCTTGTGGTTAGGAGACCCGTACCCAGAGATCTCCAAGGAAGAGCACTTGGGACTCCCAGCAAGGAGGAAGACAGGGAGTGGAGGAATAGGCAGCAGGCTGTGCGCAGCCTGAGTGGGGCTGGGCCTCAGGCATCAGAGTCCCTGTGAGGAGAGGGACCTGACTTCACCTGCAGGTGGAGCAAGTAAGCCAGGAGACAGTGTCCAGGGGCCATGAGGCTAGTAGTAGTCATGAAGCCCACCAAGAGTCCATCAAAACTTGGAATCTGTGCTAGAAATGACCTAAGGGTCAGCTGTCCCAATCTCCTCATGTAATGGATAAGAAAATGGAGGCCCGAACATGGAAATCACTTCTAAAGACCACCAGCAAGTCTGAGAAAGCTAAGGACTAAAACCAGCTCAGTCCCTCAGTCCGGGTCCCACTGTGTGCCTGCTGTAACACCCCCATTACAACACAGGAGGGGTAAAGCTCCCTGAAAGACCACAGTGGGAGCTGCAGAGAAGGGAAAGACAGACCCGCAGTGGGTCCCAGGCATCTGGGAAAGAGCACAGTGATTTGATGGTAGCTGCAGGAACCTCTGCCTGCTTGTTTGTTTACTTGCTTGGTTGTTTGTTTGTTTGAAATGGAGTCTCACCCTGCCACCCAGGCCAGAGTGCAATGGCGCGATCTTGGCTCACTGCAACCTCTGCCTCCCAGGTTCAAGCGGTTCTCCTACCTCAGCCTCCTGAGTAGCTGGGATTACAGGTGCGCACCACCACACCCGGCTAATTTTTTGTATCTTTAGTAAAGATGGAGGTTTCACCATGTTGGCCATGCTAGTCTCGAACTCCTGACCTTGTGATCCACCCGCCTCGTGCTCCCAAAGTGCTGGGATTACAGGCGTGAGCCACCGTGCCCGGCCACTTATTTGTTTTTTAACCCAAAAAGCCACACCCTTTTCTCCCAGTGAAAACCTCGAGTCATTGTACAGAGCCAGGAAAATTGGCCCACCCACTTCATGCCCTAGCAGAAGGCTCCGACTTTCCCTGGAAAATCAGTACCCAGAGGGGAAGACCCCCATCCCACCATCCCTCAGTCCAACCTCTGGCCTCGGCTGGCAGTGAGGAGGCAGGTGGGTGTCGGCCACCTACTGATCATGCCAGGAATTGTCTGCTCCGGTCAGAACCAGAATGGCTCAGCCCTGGCCTCACCTGCGCCTGGGCTAGCCTGGAACCTGGGGGCCTGCAGTGGCCTTCTAAGATGGGGGCCCACTGTCAGCATCAGATCCCCCAAGTGCAGATTCCCGTCTGTTTTGAAACCCTGACCAGCTGCTCATTCCCACCCACTGCTGAGCCTTCTCTCCCCCAACTCCCTATTTTACTTTCATTCTGAATCAGCACTAAATGACCACAGTCAGTGGCTCTGCAGAAAGTCACAGAACAGAGGGTGACAGGCCAGTGTTTATGTCACATTCACTCATTTCATCATTGATTCATGCACTCCTGAATTTATTCAATCAACAAGCGTTCATCCAGTGCCTCTGAGCCAGCCCTTGCCTGGTGCTAAGACTTTGGAGGGTAGCAGGCAGCATCCCTGCCTAGAGGAGCCACAGTGGTGTGGAGGAATCAGAAAGTCCACCTGAAAGTTGAGAGCTCCATGACAAAGCAGAGATGCCTGCCGCACACCATCACTCAGGGTTTGAGTCACACACACCCTGCTTCATTGTCATGCTTTTTTTGTTTTTATTTTAAATTAATGGACAAATTGTATTAAACAGGAATTTTCATATAAAGCTTCAGATGTCCTGGGCCCTCAGGAGGTCCAAGAACATCTGGTCTACTTTCCCACGTGGCAGCCCTGGCCTGACACTGGCTGTCCCTTCAAGGTAGGAACGTTCTCATTCCCCACAGTTGCCACCACTGTCCAGTGTCCCCAACCCTGAGGCCCCATATCAGTGGCCACAAGTTGCCCTACTGCTGCCGTTGATGTTCTCATGCCCCACCAGCTTCACCTTGGGTCTGGTTCCCGCAAGGGTGAGTTGGAGATCCTTGGTCCTGAGTGAGAAGTGCTTTGTCAGAGGCAGCAGAGGGCGCCATGGGAGCACACAGGAAGGGCGCCTGGGGCTGTGCAGGGACTGCAGAACAGGCTGCACTGGCACACAGGGTTGGCTGCTGGCTGCTGGCTGCTGGCTGCTGGCTGGGTTTCCTCTATTAGCTTAAACAATGGAAGGTGGACTTGGATAGGAAATCTACCTCATGTATTCCTGAGCTGTGTCTGCACCGTTCATTCATTCGTAGGCGACTCATGTATTCAAGCACTCATTTATTTATTAGATGCTTGCTGTGTGCTTAGCACTGTGCCAAGCCCTGTCCTTAGCTACCAAGAGTTTAAAACGTAATTTGGAAGACAGGATATAAGATTATGTCTCCCCTTTGTATTGCGACTCACTCATCAAGTTCTCCCAGCATCTAGCATTCATATCTGGCACTCAGTAGGTGCTCAACAAATATTTGTTGCATAAATGAATGAAAAGATTATTAGTAATAATACCTTTTATTTACTGAGCTCTTCCCAACTTTCCATGTATTGTCGCAATCCTCAAGGTAAGTCCTGATATTATCCTATTTTATTGATAAGAAAAGTAAGGCACAGAGAAGTTAAGTAAACTGCCTAAGGTCACACAGACAGTCTGAAGTCTTAACCACTACTCCAGGTGCATCTCAGCAGTGTGAGGCAGGCCATGCTTAGGGCCAATGCTTAGCACACACAGAGATTGCCTCAGGCTTTCAGAGGACAAAGCAGTCAGGAGGGGCTGGGGCAATAAAGGAAGGCTTCATGGAGACAGAACAAAATAACCAGTGCAGGTAGAAGAAGAGAACCATCTTTCCTGATAGAGAGAGGGGGCAGCAAGCAAGAGGGAGTCCCAGGGTGGATCATCCATACTGGCTTCCAGGGGTGACGGGAAAGGATGCCAGCAAGGACTTCAGCAAGGATCAATCAGCAAATCCGAGGGTGTCTCTCTTGCCAAGCCCCGGGCTGTGTGCATAGGAGAAGGAGAACATGAATGAGAACCTACCTTTGAGGATCTACAGCCAATTGTTGGACAGAGGCAAAATATGTATATAATTTTACTCCAGGAAAGCAAGTGTTGAGAGCCAGAAGTGGTATGAGAATCATAGTCAGGAAGACAGAAACTGTTTCCAAATGGGAAGCACAGAGCAGTCTCCTTGGAAGAGAGTGCATTAGAACTGAGCCGTGGGGGCGGGCAGGATATCACTGTGGAGTAGGGGAAGGGCACTCCTGGGGTGGCAAGGTGGGAGGTGGGCCCTGTGTTCCCACAGTGGGCAGGGAGGTAGTGAAAGGGAAGCTGGCCGGACAGGCAGGGCCATTCCAAGAGGGCTTTGTGCGCAGGGCTAAGCCAAGCTTTCTCCATAGGCAATGGGGAGCAACTGGAGGTTCGTAGCAGGAGAAGGACACATCTTGCCCACCAGGAGGCTAAGTAAAAACAGTTGTCTCCCAAGTTATAAGTTCCTGGAACCCTTGCTGGGAGCAGGATTTAGAAAAATGATGCTGAGAGATGCTAGAAACATATTCGCCCTGAGGCTCTCTCACTCAGACTGCAAGAGGAAGGTATCATCAGAATTGCCCTTAACCAGGAACCAGAATAGCTGGGTCCCCTTCCTGCCAAGTCAGCAACCAGCTATGTGACCTTGCTCAGGTCCATCTCCGGGTGTCAGTTTCTTCATCTACAATGCAAGAGGGTTGCCCACCTCTGAGAACCCTTCTAACCCCAAATCTCACCCTATGAATCTAAGAACACCAACCCCTCGCCATCCTAAGTATCACAGAGCCAGGCAAGCATGGGTGAGAGCTCAGACCATCCTTGTTGGACTAAAAGGAAGGGGCAGACTGCCCATGGGGGGCAGCCGAGAGGGTCAGGCCCCCATAGGTCCTCAGCCTGCTTCAACCTCAAAGGGGATGGGGGGCTGAGTGGTGCCAGAGGAGCAGCAGGCTCGCTCGGGGAGAGTAGGGCCTTAGGATAGAAGGGAAATGAACTAAACAACCAGCTTCCTCCCAAACCAGTTTCAGGCCAGGGCTGGGAATTTCACAAAAAAGCAGAAGGCGCTCTGTGAACATTTCCTGCCCCGCCCCAGCCCCCTTCCTGGCAGCATTACCACACTGCTCACCTGTGAAGCAATCTTCCGGAGACAGGGCCAAAGGGCCAAGTGCCCCAGTCAGGAGCTGCCTATAAATGCCGAGCCTGCACAGCTCTGGCAAACACTCTGTGTGGCTCCTCGGCTTTGGTAAGTGAGCTGCCAGCTTCCCCAGGCAGAAGCCTGCCTGCCGATTCCTTCTTTCCTTCCCTGACCCAACTTCCTTCCAAATCCTCCTCCTAGAAGCCCTCCTTGGTTGGCCCTGCCTACTTTAAAGCTTCTTTCACATTTTCTTAGGTCATGTTCCCCTGGGGCCTCCTGCCCTCAAATGCTTTGCTTTTTGGCACTCTGTAGATATTCTAAAAAATCATTTTGTACATGTGTGTGACAGGCCATCTCCCAGTTAAGTTGCAGCCTGTGCTTTCTTTTTATTTTGCACTTCCCCCACTATTTCTGTGAGTGCTTAGTAGGAAGTGTCAAAGAAGCTTGACAGCATTTTCTTCTAAGTGTCCCAACTCTTGGTTTTCCATTACACAGACAGAGTGCAAGACGATGACTTGCAAAATGTCGCAGCTGGAACGCAACATAGAGACCATCATCAACACCTTCCACCAATACTCTGTGAAGCTGGGGCACCCAGACACCCTGAACCAGGGGGAATTCAAAGAGCTGGTGCGAAAAGATCTGCAAAATTTTCTCAAGGTAGGGCTGGACTCTGGCAGGTCTGACCCAGCCTCACCGCAGTTTGGGTTGACAAGGGAGGATGGGAGTATGGGCTACAGCAATCAAGGGGAAGATTTGAGCTCCTGGAGCCCAGCCCCAAGACGCAGCGAGTGTCCTGTTATACAGGGCAGGTGCTCACAGTTACACAGGACGACAGGGTCAAGAAATTGCTCAATTGAACACCTGCTATTTGTCGGGCCCTGTTCTGGGCAGAGGGATGTAGTGGTAAATGGGGAGCCCACTATTCCAGTGGAGGGAGACACACAGTAAAGTTGTTGGCCAATAAAGAGCACAGATAAAGCCAAATGCCAATAAGTGCCTGGAAGAAAATGAGATAGAGTGCGCTGTGGGCAATGGGGCTGGGTGGGGTGGAGGTGACCAGTTAGGGTACATGAGAAGGGCCTCTTTGAGGAGGTAACATTTGAGCTGAGCCCCGAATGTTGGGGAGGGAAGCCCCTGAGGATGACACTTGGCACAAAGCTGAGGAGACCCTAAGCCTCAGGCGGGAACTTGGGGTGGAAGACTTGGGGGCTTTTCTAATCCTAAGGGTCTGCGGTGGAAAATGAATGCATAAAGAGCACATGGAGAGCACCTGCACAGCACTCAGGGAACTGGGAGGTTTTTCCCCCGCTCCAAAAATGATTAGGCAGTTCTAAGAAAAAGGCTGAGCACTTCCAACAGCCTTTTTGTTTTCTTTTCAAATTTGGGGAAAGTCGGGAAACAGAGGCCTGCATTAAGAAGGGTGGAACACATGGGTCTCAGTCTCAGTTCCAGTCCCGGAGCCAGACATCCTGGGGTAGGTCCCCAGCCCTCCCAGTGCCCCTCCCTCCGCCTTGGTAAGGTGGAGAATTGCAGCCTTCAGAGTTAGGGGCCCTGACAGCTCTCCATAGGTGGAGGCCTCAGGCAGGCAGGATGCTGGGTGGGGTAGGCAAGAAAGGGCCCAGCAGAGAGGCCGCATGGCAAAACTATCCTCCATGTGACCCCCTATGCCCGCTTCACCCCCCACCTGACATCCCCCACCAGAAGCAAAGCGATGCTGTGGGAAAGGAAGCAGAGCCTCATGGATGGGCTGCACAGGAGAGTGCTCGCATTGGCTGGGTACCCCACAGGTTCTGGGAGGGGACTTAGCGAGGTGACTCAGCCAGAGGGTGGCAGAGCTGGAACCAACCAGTGCTCTCTTGGACCCCGCCTGGGTCTGGGTCTTCCACCTCCCCTGATGTCTCTCCTTTTTTTTTTTTTTTTTTTTTTTTTGAGACAGAGTTTCGCTCTTATTGCCCAGGCTGGAGTGCAACGGCACAATCTCGGCTCACCACAACCTCCACCTCCTGGGTTCAAGCGATTCTCCTGCTTCAGCCTCCAGAATAGCTGGGATTACAGGCATGCACCACCATGCCTGGCTAATTTTGTTATTTTTTGTAGAGACAAGGTTTCTCCATGTTGGTCAGGCTGGTCTCGAACTCTTGACCTTAGGTGATCTGCCTGCCTCGGCCTCCCAAAGTGCTGGGATTACAAGCATGAGCCACCCTGTCCGACCATCTCCCCTTTTATACTTTATCACACCCTTGAGGTCAGCGGAGCACATACTCTGCTCTCTGACCCTCCATCTCCCCTGCCCACACCTAGTTTTTCTAGGTGTTTCCCCGTTGTATTGGTTGAAATAAGTTTCACTAATTGGTAACCTCCAGAGGGAAGGGAAGGGAGGGCAGGGGAAGGAGTGAAGTGCAGAGGGGTAGCAGAGTGGAACTGGCCTCTAAGTCAGATCTGAATTTGCATGCCCTCAATAGTCAAGCTGTGAAAACTAATGACCCTCTCTAGGACTGGTTTCAAGTCTTCCTCCAGGAAGATACCATTCCTAGCTGTTAAAGTTGTTATAAGGACCAAATGAGGTGACATTTCCAGGCTTACTCATGCCATGACCAGGGCAAGACCCTGGAACTCAGCTTCCTCTTCTATAAATAGAGAATCAGCACCCAAGTCACAGGGTCATGGAGGGAATAAACTGGAGAGCGTTTGGTATGTGCTCAGTGTCTGCTCCATTGTGCGCACTCAGCCTATGGTCATTTTTAATTTTTAAATCCAGCCCCAGGGTGAGGCTTCCCTTGTACATTTGCCAGCTGGTCATTTACTGTGCTCCCAGTCCCCACCTCTGGCCACACCCAGCTCTCACAGCCTTCTCTCCCCACCCGCAGAAGGAGAATAAGAATGAAAAGGTCATAGAACACATCATGGAGGACCTGGACACAAATGCAGACAAGCAGCTGAGCTTCGAGGAGTTCATCATGCTGATGGCGAGGCTAACCTGGGCCTCCCACGAGAAGATGCACGAGGGTGACGAGGGCCCTGGCCACCACCATAAGCCAGGCCTCGGGGAGGGCACCCCCTAAGACCACAGTGGCCAAGATCACAGTGGCCACGGCCACGGCCACAGTCATGGTGGCCACGGCCACAGCCACTAATCAGGAGGCCAGGCCACCCTGCCTCTACCCAACCAGGGCCCCGGGGCCTGTTATGTCAAACTGTCTTGGCTGTGGGGCTAGGGGCTGGGGCCAAATAAAGTCTCTTCCTCCAAGTCAGTGCTCTGTGTGCTTCTTCCACCTCTTCTCCAACCCTGCCTTCCCAGGGCTCTGGGCATTAGACAGCCCTGTCCTTATCTGTGACTCAGCCCCCTCATTCAGTATTAACAAAATGAGAAGCAGCAAAACATGGGTCTGTGCTGGGCCCCTTGGGCTCACCTCCCTGACCATGTCCTCACCTCTGACTTCAGGCCCCACTGTTCAGATCCCAGGCTCCCTGCCCCATCTCAGACACCCTGTCCAGCCTGTCCAGCCTGACAAATGGCCCTTGTCACTGTACACTGTAGAAAGCAAAAAGGCATATCTCTACCCCTTGATATGCCTGCTACCTCACCAACCAGCCCCAAGCCTGTCTTCACCCATCACTGTCTACACAGCCCTCTCTCTCTCCTAACAGAATTCTATTCCTCTGAAAGTCTTCCAGAAATGGACCTAGATAGTGCCATGTCTGGGGAGGAATACTGGCACCCAGGCAGTGGAAACAAGGACAGATCCGGTGTGTTTACTCTCACACTTTTTCTGGATCCAAGAGAGCAATTGGATCTCTCTTAACAGACCTGCCACCCTAATCAACGGGAGTGCTCACACAAGTGGGAGTCTGAGAGCTTAGCCCTATGCCCACCCTGGTCTCAACAGAATGGCAGAGTGAAGAAATGAGCTCCAGTCCGGGCTCTGCAGCTAAAAGACTCCGTGACTACCAGGAGGAGTCTGTGCTCTGGGTCCAGAGAGCCTGGGGGTCTGAAGATTCTGATTTTAAGCTTTGAGGGCCAGCTGTCCTTTCTGGTGGGTAGCTGAGAGCTGGGCCCAGCACAAGTATCTGCTTCTCTCTGCAAAGCCTACTACCAGGCCTGGCCCTAGCTGCCTCAGGGCTACTGCTGCAGCTCCCCCTTCAAGCTGCCCCAGATCCAAGTGCTCAGTTCAGGGACTCCTCTGCCATCTTCCTGCCCTTTGGCTATAAAGTCCCTTTCCTAGGTTATAACCAGTGGGGTTTGGCCTTCCAAAAACCAGAGTCCAGATCAAGGTCCTCTGACCCCTGTCCTTTCAGCAGAAAGAAGACTCACAGAATTAGGATCTGGGGAAGCTGGGAAGACTAGCAGTCACCTACTCTCCCTTTTCATAAGTGAAGAAACCGAGGTGTAATATGGAGAAGAGACTAGTCCAAAGTCACACAAATGACAGAGTTGCTCAAAATAATGCAGTACGAAAAGTAGCTTGAATCATATCTGCCCCACTGGCTGCACCTCCCCAGCCCCTTCCCCAGTGCAGAGCAGGAAGATATAGAGCTGCCAGTGTTGGATTTCAGCCCTCCCCTCACAGCCTGGCTATGGTTGTGCCCCCAACCTGCCTGTTGCAGACTCCTGCTTTAAGGGCCTGGGGGCTCCGCTCTGGGTGCAGGGTTTTAAGGGCTCCCACTCGAGGGTATGAGGATGTTTCCAGGAACTGTCTCAGGCTGAGAGCTTAGGCAGCAGAGTCTAGAAGCCCTCCTCAGTCCCTTCTGTGCCTGACTTGGAGACCTGACAGCTGGGGACACTCATTTTCTGACAGCCCTTCTGCTCCCATGCTCACATCCAGGGAGGAGTCACTGTCTTCACTCCCTTCTGAACACAGCTTGGTAATGAGGAGAGAGAAGCATCCTGGGGATTGGAGGGCCTTAGACCAGATGCTTCCAGTAGGGTGGTAAGTGCTCCCCCTAGGCCCTCTGCCCACCACTACTTATCACAATGTGCCTAAATATGTTTATGACTCTGCCTACCCCTCCAGACTGATAACTCCAAGAGAGCAAAGTCCATCTGTTTTTTTTTTCTGATTTATTCTCAGCACCTAGAGTAGTGGCTGCTACATAGAAGGTTCTCAGCAAATATTGCCTGTATAATGGCCTAGGTTTCTCACGTGTTCTATGCTCTCTTCTCAAGGGATGATGTGGAGAAAAAAAAGCAAGAGGAGATCAAAACCTGCAAATGGAAGGCTTCTGCATTAGCATTACAGAATCTCAAACCTGAAGGTAAGGAGCAGCAAGTTGATGGAATCGGAGGGCCCCTCCACCCCCTGTTCAATCAGACCAATTTGATTTGAAGGAAGAGATTTGTCTTGAAAAAAGTGTGAAAACTATGGACTTAATCCAATCTGCCCCACCCACACTCTAGAGTGATTCTTGCCAACATCCCTGCCAAGTGACTGAACCAACCCTGCCTGAATTCCTCCAGGAAAGGAGAGTTTCCCCCTTTGGGAGTGACACTTGGAATGTCCCTCATTATACTGAGCTGAAATCCATCTCCTCATGCCCACCCAGCATTAGTCCTACTTTTCCTCCCCTTTGAGGACACAGAACAAATCTAACCCCTTATCATCCATCCTCCCATCCACATGTTTATTCCTCCACTTCTTCAAAACGCCTTCCCTAAATTACATCCAGGCTTTCTCCAGCCTCTTCACCTTTGCACCAAAAATGCTGTGCTCCATCCTGGTGTCTCTTGTAAGTCCCTTAGGATCCATCAAGCCTTGGAACAAGTGTTACTGCTTCCTCACCATCCACCCTTCTCAAGAAGATAGGGACTTCCTCCTCCAGGCCCACAGAACTCTGACAATTCCACCATTGCACTTCAAATACTGAATGGCAAATACTCATTTGCCAAGACTATGAACCCCTGAAAGCAGGGACTATAGCTGATTTTCCCCCACATTCAAGATCCCAGCATGGACCATCCACTTGTTCATCCACAAAGTGAAGATAGGATGGTTCTAGAGCAGAAATGGGTGCTTTGCTCGAATGTGGGTGTGAGGTAGGAGTGGCTCTCAGGAACTGGGGTTGGGGGTGCCAGCTGTCTGGAGACCTGGGGCTGGCAGAGAGCAGAGCAGCTGAGTGGCAGGATGACCCAGAGACCTCCTCAGGTAACAAGGATTCTTCCATTTACCTTGTCTCTAGTAACTCAGTCTGCATGTAGGCAATTGTTTCAGACCCTGGGGGAAGGTCTGACAACAAGCCACTTGCACCCTGCGGAATTTTCTTTAAACGTAGTTGAACAGAACTCATCAAGGTGACTTAACCTCTTCATTCCCATTAGCCTCTTTCATTTCAAAAAAAAAAAAAAAAAAAAAAACCTCATTCTGCTGAGTAGAGCAGAGTGGGCTTCTTTTCTCAGATAGAGAGAGCAAGCATGTCCATGTCCATGTCAAGGTTAAGATTCCCACTCCAAGTGGAAATCAGTAGCTATCTCTGTGATTAATGAGTCCTTTGGGGAAACATGACCTTTGGGGACTTTCCCAGCACCATGGTGACTAAAGAATCAGAGACAACCTGTCTTCAGATGACTATCCAACAATTCCTGCAACAATGAGTTGCCCTCCAGGCTGGTGTTAGCAGTGGAACCTGAACTGCTAGATGCCTTCCTGGGAGGAATGAGGAAGGATCAGAAGTAGTCTAAGCTGCTAAACTCTTCCCAGACACTTCACAGTGCTCTGAATGTGGTCTGGGGCCTGGGTGGTGGTGGGATGGCTCCAGAACTTGGGGGAGAAATGAATTCACTTGTCCACTCACTTGTATGTCCCTTCATTCACTCAACAGACATTAACTGCAGACTTACTATGTGTCAGGCACAGTATAATGCTGAGGGGCCTTCATGATAAATAAAGCTTGTCCATGTTGTCAAAGAGTTCTCGGGCCTGCAGGGAGACAAGACAGCTCCTCAAATTAATCTGATGTGGAAAATGAGAGGCCAGGGAGGTCCAGCTAAAAGATTTCGGTGGGATGTAGCTCGGTGGGACTTTGAGGTGGGAATGATGCCCTTCACTGGGGCCATCTCCATGGAGGGGTAAGTATCAGTGTGACATCAAGGCTGGTACCTGGAGACATCCCGGGATAAACATGAAGGTGCTTCAGGAGACCATGTATGCAAAGGCCTGGAAATGGGCAGGCGTGGGGTTTGAGGGCGAATGAGGAGCACTGGGGGCGTGGCAGGGAGAGGTAAGAGAGACAGATGAGAACAGGATAGGTACCAGGCCAAGGAACTCACACTCCATTCAGCAGAACAGGGGCAGAGCCCCGAAGGCTTCAGGGAGGGCAATGATATAATCACATTTGCATTTCATAGAAGTTTCTCTATCTGTGTTTTATGGGATGGGTTTGGGGTGGGAATGAGACCCCAGGCACATGGCCTGTGGGGAGTCTGTTGCAAGAGCCCAGGTGAGCACTTAAGAGTCCAAGCGGTGCTTCTCAGAAAAAGTAAAGCTAGAGCCTCAAACTACCCCAAGCTTCACCTCAATTAGGAGAGGTGTGACTGCAACATGATAAATAAGATCATTTCATGCTGTTTGCCAAGACCTTTCCAGGAAGGAAGATCTCAGCTTTCACCAGCCCGGTGAGCCAACCTTACACAACCCTGATGCAGCCCTGCCCTGAAGTAAGCTCCATAATCCAACCCCAATGCACTGCCCCCTCTTCCGGCAGTTGCTTAAAACATATATTTTAGAAAGCCCCGTGTCATGGATTTTGACACTCCAATTACCAAAGTGACAGCAGGACTGAAACAACTGGTTTCTCAAGTCCTATTGCCCCTTGGGGCTCTGACCTGAAACAGTTTCTCTATCCTAAGACGACAATCAGTCCCTGGATGATTAGATCACCCCTGTCTTCAGAGATCCACTCCCAGACACAGGAGACAGGGAAAGGGAGCCCCTGAGCGACAGCCAGCTGGCCTCCATCCTGAGTGTCCCACGGAATGCAGAGTCCCAACTAAACACAGAGCACCGCTATTGGTGCTGGCTCAAAACAACTACATCTAGGCTTTCCTTTTCTGCATGAGTTCTCCCACTCTTGCCCACGTACCCAAAATTGCTGCATGCAGACTGTACAGTGAGGAAGGGGTTTGTTGCCAAGACCCGAGGTGAAGAGGAAGAGGAGGGTGGCCACCAGCAGGGGCGGCAGGGGCAGCAGGATTCCAGCATGCAGCCCGCACCTTCAGCATCCCCCGCCTTGACTTGGAGTCTGATCCTCCCTCCTCTCCCCTGCCTCTCCCCCAACCTTTTCCCTCTTGATTTGCCCCCTCTCTTTCTCTCTTTACCTTTTCTACATCCTCTCCCTGAGCTTTTTCTCACTTACTGCCTTCTGCCCTCCTGTCCTCTGTGGTAAAATGCAGTTCTATGTGGCTGAGTGCTTTCAGGGAAGCAACTAGGGGTCATATCTAACCTTTGTGAAGTAACTACGGGTCATATCTAACCAGAAATGGCTCCCTCAAAACACAAGATGTCCCAGTTTCGAGTCTACTCCTCATAATGAAAGGAGACAATCACAAGGGAAAATTGTTGAAGGTCTTGGGGAATCAAGTCTGGAAAAGGTAAGCAAGGGAGCCATGACAGCTGCCTTCAAATATCACCAGGGTCCAGGGAGAGGAGCCCACCCCCGGGGGCAAGGCCTCCAAACCCGCTGTGGTGTGGCTCATTTGCTGCCAGGCCCTCCCACTCTCCCAGCACTGCCTCAAGCATCGCCCTCGCATTCTACTCCAGGTGTTCATTCCCTCTGGTAGGAAACAGCTCCATGCAAAGAAGCCAACATTCATCAGCTATTCAGTCTGCAAATACTCATTGAGTGAGAACTAAATGCAGAGCACTGTTATAGGTGCTGGGTCAACAAAACTGCGTCTAGGGGAGAGTCAGACAAGAGGCAAGTCAAGAAATAGATAGCCCAGATCATTTTAGATGGTGATGAGTTGCACAAAGAAAATAAAGGGGACATGCTAACAGGACTGCTTTGTGGGCCGGCAGCCAGGCAAGGAAGCAACACTGGAAATGAGGCCTGGATGACAAGAAGCCATCTCAACGAAGATTTCACCCCAAACACATTGGAGAGCCTTTGGAGGGTTTTAATCAGGCAGGTGATGTGATATGATGTATCTGGAGGAGAATATTCGGCAGCTGTGTGGAGGGTAGCCTGGAGAACCCCAGAGTAGAAGCATGAGGACCAGTTAGGAGGCTGATGAGCCTGGTCTTATGTCAAATAGTGTGCTAGATTCCCTGCCTTCACAGAGCCCTCAGTCCAGTGGGGGCACAATTACCAGATATTTTCTCTATAATACAATGTTGTGGGCAAAAGACAAGCAAAGGCAGATGATAAGCACAAGATGCCCAGAGAGTACAGAAGGCACTTTTTGCCGTCTTATTGGCTGTGGTGTGGGGGAGGGGGTAGAGGGGAGCCGGGGGGCAGGGGTAGAGGGAAGGAGAGAGAAGGAAAGCTTGCTTGGACTAATGCCCAAGCTGAGTTTTCAGAGGGCAAGAATTGCACTTCCATGTGCCCAGTGCTGTGTTAGGCAATAAAAGAAATCAGAGAAACATAGGAAGTAAGGGCTCTTGCCCTCCAGATTTTTAGTTTGCTTTATCTTAAAACTTGAAAGGCTTCTTGTGTTGGCCAAGTCAAAATGATGAGACCTAGCCATTCTCACATCAGGGGCTTCTGATAGTCATTTTGTTGAGCCCAGATCCTTCTCCTGAGCTCCAAGAGCCTGATGCACAGGCTGGCATGGCTTGGCTTGTGGTGTACTGGAAGCCTGCCTGAAATATCCTCCTGAGGGCAAAGTATTGCACATATAGCACCCAAAAGAGTGTTATTGGTGTCCTTTATCACTCAGTAATGCCTTTGCCCAGACAGCTTTGTCAGGCTCATCATTCCAGCAGCAGCCAGTGAGCAGAAGAGGGAGGTCAGCCCCAAATTGGAAGGGGCCTAAAGTCTACTCTTGATGGAAATACATGAGGAAGATATGAACAGGTGAGCTCCCTGGAGGATGTGACGGTTGAGTCAGGCCATGGTGTATAAGCAGGTGTTCTAGAGCCAGAGAAGGGCCCAGGTAGCCTAGTGTCTGCAACAGAGCAGACACAAAAAAATGTTTGTGAATGAAGGGATGAAAAGGCACTTCAGACAAAGAGAACAAGAGGACAGCAGGAGCAAAACCCAAGAAGTTTCAAAGCCGTGGAGAAACTAGAGACTGTTCTAGAGTGGCTGGAGAATAGGGCCTCTGGGGGTGGACAGATGGTGACAGTGAGACAGGGCCTCCAGAAGCAACAGGGCCAATCCCTGGGCTCTGTGGATCTAACAGTGCTTGTGTTCATTTGCTTGTTCCACGACACCAGCCACAGTCACAGGGTCTAGTCTCTGTGTATTCATGAAGGGACTGGAGATCACTTGTGCAAACAGCACACTATATACATGAAAAAACTGAGGCTCAGAGAAGGGAAGCCATTCGCCCAAACTCACAGAGCCAAGCAGTTGAGCTGGGAGTCTAACCAAGCTCATTTGATTCCAAGTCAAGGGCCCTTGTCATTGTCCTTAGGTGCCGCTGACTGATGGATTTTGACCAAGGTTAGCAGCCCTTAAAATTTTTCTAGCCATGATTTAAGTTCAATTTGTGGTTCAGTGGGCTATTTGGAAACAAAATTACAGCTGGTGAATGTTTTCACAATAGCAAATGTGCTGGACTTTTGCTCTCATCGGTTAGTTGTTGGTTTTTTTGTTGTTTTTTTTTTTAACAGATTCTAATACTACTATATATATCAGAAGTGGTCCCAAATCAAGGTAAGTGCATCAAGGGAGTGGCCTAGTTTGCAGAACAGCTTGGTCTAGTTCAAAGGCCTTTAGAGGAAGATATTGCATAACTTCCCTTGGTTCCTTATCTTACACTGGTCAACTTTAACTATCCAAGCCACCCCTAAATATAACCTCAGTCTGCTTTGGTTTAAAATAATCTATACCTATTGTGCTGTGGCAGAGGGTGGGTCAGCTACAATCGTTACCTCCTGTCTAAATTATTATCTTACTGTTATTGCTAATGTTTGTTGAGTGCTTACTCTGCATCAGATACTGTGCCAAGTGCTTTCCATGTGCTATGAGATGACCTAATCTTGGCCAGTCGCATGGCTTACGCTTGTAATCCCAGCACTTTGGGAGGCCGAGGCAGGCAGATCACGAGGTCAGGAGATCGAGACCATCCTGGCTAACGCGGTGAAACCCCGTCTCTACTAAAAATACAAAAAAATTAGCCTGGTGTGGTGGCGGGCACCTGTAAACCCATCTACTCGGGAGGCTGAGACAGGAGAATGGCGTGAATCCGGGAGGCGGAGCTTGCAGTGAGCCAAGATCGCGCCACTGCACTCCAGCCTGGGAGACAGAGCAAGACTCCATCTCAAAAAATAAAAAAATAAAAAAAGGAAAAAAAGGAGATGACCTAATCCTCTCACCAACTCTGGGAGAGGGGTGCTGTGGTTATCCCCATGCTACTGATGGGGAAATTGAGGTTTAAAGATTCTAAGTAACTTGTTCAAGGTCTCACAGTTAGTAAGTGGCAATGCTAGGATTTGAATACAGAAGCATAACTTCTAGCCTCACACTCTCGACTGCTACTCTTTAGCACCAAGGGACATCCTCCTTCCTACCCTCTCACTAAGTGATGTTCTCCTTCTAGACCCTGCACCAAGTTCCCCTCTATCCAACTGAGGTCTCTCAGAGCACTAACACTGGGTGACACCTGAGTATTCACCTAGTCTAAAACTTTCCAAAATAGATGTTTAAAATTCCTTTGAATTCTTCAAAAATAAAGAAAACACAGACCCAGAGAGGCAAAGTGATTTGGCCAAGGTCATGCAGTGAGGGAAGGCTTTCCCCAAATGCTCTCACATTCTCATTCACATTTGGTGATAGAAGCCTTCCAGGCTTGGGCCATTCCAGGACTCCCTTCCCTGGGTCACACATTCCTTCCTTTTCTGCCAATCCCACTTCACCCCCATCTTCAGGCTCTCCCCTCAACCCCATCTACAGGCTTCTACTTTCTCGCACACTTTCCACACAACTGCAATTGTTTCCTTTGATGGGGGTGGTCAGCAAAGCTTCACCCCAAGACCATGTGCCCAGGACTCATCATTTGTCACTTGTCCTGAATCCCAGCTTCCCATACACTGTCTCCACATGGCTTCACAGTAAATAAGCCGAAAGTCAAACCCACTCTCCTGCAGTAAAAAGCCCCCTTTCCCACTTTTCCTCACATCTGTCTTGCCTGACCTCCAGCAGGGTATCTAACCTTTCTAAAATTCTTCAATTTTGCCACCTGGCCTGCCCCTGCTGCTGAAGAAGATCCAGAGGTGGAACAGGAATTAAAAGAAATTAAAGAATGTGTAAGCAGAAACTCAGTTGTATGTAAGAAAACCCAATTCCCCCTGAGAAGGAGAAAGAGCTGGAGTCCTTTAAAAATTAACTGCCTGTTTTTCTGTAGCTAGTGAGCCTTATCTTTCCTCCTTTCCCAGGCATTATGAAGACCTGTTTCTCTAGCTATGCAGCTGCAAGGTCACTAGACAAATAAACTCAAGTCATAAAACGTGTTTTTCCTTGAAAAGTAAGAAATGATGTAACGCATGTCTCAATTAATTGAAATCCAGTGTATTACAGTTCTAGTACATCTCACACATATGACCATGTTTCAAGTCCTCAGTAGTCATGTATAGATCGTGGCAACCATATTGGACCCTGAAGCCCTAGATCATTTCAGAAATGGAATGGGGCTGGACTAGGGTGGTGATAATGGTGGTGACAAGGGGTGGTCAGATTATCAATACATTTTGAAGGTGGAAATGACTTTCCAGTGACTTCTGCTGATTTCATAGTTCAGGGCTCAGTCCTTTGAATGTTAATCCAACTGGACCGGTTCACCTAAATAATTAATAAATATCCTCCTCAACCCCATTGGTCTCTCTTATTTTTTAAAATATCCCGCTACAGAGGGAGCAGCCACGGGAGGGTCTACCAGAGCCCAAGGCTCTGCCCCTGCTGCCTCTTCTGTGTGTATCTTGATGTTCCCACTAAACAGGGACTGGGGCTGACTTCTGATTTCATGCTCCCCATCAGTGCCAGACCTAACTTTAGTGGTTGGTTGGAGGAGTCAGGGGTTGGAGGACAGGGAGGTTTCCAGTGACTTCCGCTGATCAGATTGAATTGCACTTTTCACCAGGGCCCAACAGCTGTCCCTGAGGCCATGCTTCTTCATATTTTCCCTGGGGCCAGTTATAGAGAGTCAAGCCAACAGACTTATCAATTTCCACACATTTATTCATTTAAGAAATGTTTATCAAACATTGTCCTAGTGTCCTCATGCTACTATAACAAAATATAGAATGGATAATTTATAAACAACACAAATTTATTTCCCACAGTTCTGGAGGCTGAGAAGTCCAAGATCAAGGTGCTGGCAGGTTCAGGTGCCTGGTGAGGGCTGCTCTCTGCTTCCAAAATGGCGCCTTGTTGCTGCTTCCTCCAGAGAGGAGGAGCACTGTGTCCTCACATGGTGGAAGGTTTAAAAGGGGAAAACTTGCCTCCTCAAGCCCTTTCATAATGCATCAACCCATTCAAAAGGGTGGAGGCATCATGGCCTAATCACCTCCTAAACCCCAACCTCTTAATACTCACATTGGGGATTAAGTTTCAACATGAATCTCAACAGGAACACAAATATTCAACTCATAGCAAACAACCACCTCTTTCCAGGCACTGTGCTTGTGCTAGTGATTCACAGTGATTCAGCACCTGCTCTTTAACAACCTAGTCCATCAGAGAAGATGAATATTAAACAAATAATCATGGCCATGGATCCAGAATCACAAAAGAAGACAAGAGCACCAAAGGAGAGCAGCATGGTCCTACGGTACTGTTAAACAAAGAACCTGGCCTGGACTAGTGTGGAGAGTCTAGTCAGGGAAGTCTCCCCTGACCCTATGTTGGACAGGGCATAATACTCTTCTCCCTGGTCACTTGCTCCTTGTTCTTCCCAACTCCTTTCCATCCCTTTCCTTCTTTAAGAAAACTAAAGAGAGTGTTTCTCACTATCCCATGCCCACAGACATGCAAATTCTATATCATTTCCCCCCTTTCAAAGTTCTGCCCCAAATTTTATGACCATGTGTCCACTCTTTCAGGTAGCCTAACTGGCCCCAGTGCACCCCCAAAGCTGGGTCACTCTCTATTCTCCCACAACATCGTATACTTACTTCTGCCAAAACATATATGACATGGCATAGGGATTCCTCCCGATTCAGGCCTTCCGCAATCAGAGATGAACATTTAAGCCAAGGACTTCTTCTTTCATCTCTGTATCCCTAGCATCCAGACCAGTGTCTTAGGGGAAAACTTTTGGAGTAATCCTTGATTTTTCAATTTCCACCTTCAAAATGTATTGATAATCTGACCACCCCTTGTCACCACCATTACCACCACCCTAGTCCAGCCTCATTCCATCTCTGAAACGATCTAGGGCTTCGGGGTCCAGTATGGTTGCCATGATCTATACATGACTACTGAGCACTTGAAACATGGTCATATGTGAATCTTTGGATTTCAAAGTCTTAAAATGAAAGAAAAGAATGTAAACTATCTCAACAATAATTTTATATAGCTGAAGTAATAATATTTTAGATCTATTAGGTTAACCAAATGTTATTAAAATTAATTCCCCTTTATTTTTACTTTTTTAAATATGGTTTCTAGTAAAGTTTAAGTTATACATATTATATTTCTCTTAGACAGGATTGCCCTGGGGAATCTCTTCTTAGCTGATCTCTTAGCTTCCATGCTTGCCTGTGCTCTATAATCTGTTCTCCACGAAAGCAGCCAAAGTAATCCTTCAAAGCATAAATAGAATCATTTCGCTCCCCTGGTCAAAACCCCCCAGTGTCTCCTTAGCACATTTAGAATAAAGTCTAAAGTCCTCCCCATGGTCTATAAGCTGCTGTTATCTGCTTCCTGATACCTACAGGCTCATATTCCCCACCACTCCCCATTTCAGTCACTGTACTCCAGGTATACTGGCTTCTGTGCTACTCTTTGAGCAGGTCAGGTATGTGCCCACCAAGAGCCTTGGCTACTCACTGCCAGGAACTCTTGGCCTCTAGATAGCTGCAAGTCACTCTTCTTCATTTCTTTCAGATTTCTGCTCAAATGTATACCCTGACCACCCCATCGAAACCAACATCACCTTCCTTCCCTTTCCACCCCAACTCTACTTCTCTACTTTAGTTTTCTTCATATAACTTATCATTAACTACTATTGTATCAATATGATCACACCATGTCATATCATATTATATTATATCATATATACACATATATATGTATATATCATATATATACATATATATATGTTTAAAGACATATATATATGTGTGTGTATATATATATGTGTTTAAAGACAGGATCTTTCTATGTTGCCCAGGCTGGAATGCAATAGCTATTCACAAGTGTAATCATAGCACACTACGGCCTCAAACTCTTGGACTCAAGCAATCCTCTCGCCCCAGCCTCCTGAGTACTGGAACTACAGGCACATGCCATGATGGCCAGCCATACAATATATTTTTATTTGCTTGTCTATTTATTTATTTTCTATTCTCTCCCAAATAATATGCAAGCTCTAAGAGGACAAGGACTTTGTGTCTTTGGTCTCTGATGCTCAGAGAATATTTGTTGAGTGAGTGAATGAATGAATGAATGGTGGACATTCAATAAATAATTCGATAAATAAATAATTGGTGATCAAATGAACAAATGGGGCAGGAGTTCTAAGGGATCTAAATCAGACTGCCAGAAGAGCAGGGGTAAGGTGTGATCAAGTTTGGGAACCGCAGGCATGGAAAGAAAAAAGTTCACAGACACTATTCAGAACTTTTCGTGAGTGTGTTTATTAACTCTTACTCCCCACGGGCAAGGCTGGGTTTTGGTGAGGGAAAGAAAAGACCCTCATTGAGGACATTGCTGGGTAAAAAGCCTTCAGAGAGCTACCTACTCTTTGTGGGTGTGGTAATGGGCAGCCTTCAGCGCAATGGCTACCAGGGATATGAATTCTTGAAAGTCGACCTGTTCATCTTGATTAGCATCCAGGCCTTGGAATATTTCATCAATGACAGCTTTATCTTTGATATTCTAGGAAAAAAGGACAACAGAGACCTTGAGTTCAGAACCTCCACACAAGACCCTTTCTTAGGCCTCTTATCCCTCAGAGCTCGGGTTGTGAAGGCCCAGGCACATTAACTCATTAGCCAACACTGTGTTGGAGAATCCAGTGTAACAAAACAGAGAACACAATGGTCATGAACCACCCTGGAATTAACAAGGCTTGACCTGGAAGGTACTCTTCTGCTCACTCATTCAACCCCTCCCGTGCCCTGCCTCTCTCCATTTTACATATGAGGAAACAGACTCAGAGAGAGGAACTGAGTAGAGCCTTAAGTGAGTTATTGAGAGAGGGAAGCAAAGGACCTCTCCCACAGCAGCGGGGAGAGCATCCTTTGGGAGCTCAAACTGGGGCCAACCCCACCCCAGTCCTTGTCCCACCATCCTCTGCCAGGCCTTGCCACTCCCCTCAGTGCAGGGTCATGGGCAAGTTTGCAGTGAGAGGGGCATCACCTACCTTGATGGTGTTTGCAAGCTCCTTTGTAAGCAGCTGCTTCAGCTCACCCTTAGAGAGGGTGTCAAAATGCCCCTTCCGAACTGAGTATTGGTGGAAGATATTGACAATTCCCTCCAGATGCTCTTCAAGTTTTGTCATCTTCCCAGCCTAATGTTAACCTTCAAGGAAACAAGGGAAGTCTAGAGGCAGTTTCTCCCCCACCCCTCAACCTCCACTCTCCCCTCTCTTTCTGAATCAAGGGCCTAAAGAAAACATAACATCCTCCATATCTATTTTGTGGTCTCTGCTCTGTTTGATCCATGGTGAACTTCTCATGTGTGGATAGGATGGGGAGGAGAAAACATATAATACTGTCTAACGTCTAAAAAAATCAGCCTCAGTTGCCCATGTTCCATACCACCTCATCCACCGGGGTGCATAACTTGGAGGGTATTGCTTACTCAAGGTCCCTTGGGAAGGGTTCTGTGATTGGCCAGGCTGTTTGCTTTCCTCAGGTGATGGCACTATGGCCACATATCCCCCACAAATGGTCCATAACCCACCCCTGCTTAGCCATTCTTTTTTTGTTGTTGTTGTTTTGGGTTTTTTGTTTGTTTGTTTGTTTGTTTTTGAGACGGAGTCTCACTCTGCCGCCCAGGCTGGAGTGCAGTAGGGCGATCTCGGCTCACTGCAAGTTCTGCCTCCCGGGTTCACGCCATTCTCCTGCCCCAGCCTCCCGAGTAGCTGGGACTACAGGCACCCGCCACCACGCCCGGCTAATTTTTTGTATTTTTTTAGTAGAGACGGGGTTTCACCATGTTAGCCAGGATGGTCTCGATCTCCTCACCTCATGATCCGCCCGCCTCGGCCTCCCAAAGTGCTGGGATTACAGGCGTGAGCCACCGTACCCGGCCTGCTTAGCCATTCTTAAATCATGGGACTGAGTCTACATAGCACAACAAGAGCTGATCTACTTGGGTCCAAAATGCAATATCACCCCAGAGGTGCTCAGGCAAGTGGAGGGTTGTGGTTTCCAACACCTTGTGATTTCAAAGTGGTCACCTGCAGTCACTACCCTGTGGACCACCTAAGAACCCATCCAAGGAAAATGCACTTACCCCTCAATGCACAGGAATGTGGAGCTACAGCAAAAAGCCAGCAGTGGTGAAGGGCACTGAGCCAAGGAAGGTTTTATAATCAGTTCAGGCTTCATCTTAGCCCTTGGGTGAAGAAATCTCTGATTCATCTTGAGGCAATTTATGTAAAGTACTCTGTTGCTCAATAGAAGCTTCAAACCTGTGGCTTAGGCTGCCACAGGAGCAGCCCAGATTGTACCCAGACTGAATTTTGCCCTCCTGCTCAGCCTGAAACAAAATCACCCCCACTCCACCCACCCGCACAGGGGTGCCCTGAACCTTTTTTAGCCCTGAGCCAGGGCCCAGGTTTCAGGTTTAGCTCTACTCCACTGCTCCCTAATAAAAGACTAGGAGAACAAACTTTACAGCCTGAGTGTCTTGTTTTAACAGATGAGGTTACCAGCTCTTCAGTTTTGGCAAATGGAATATCAACTTAAAGATCTTTATGCAGCTAAGGAGATAGGTAGGGAGACCTCCTCCTAAGTCGTTCTGGGATGCAAAGTTCATCACTGGAGCAGAGGATCAGTTTTCAAAATAGATTCCAAGGTTTTCAAAAAAGGAGAGAGCAATGCTACTATGCCTCCCCTTTGCTTTCCCAACTTTCTAACTTGGCTGTTACAAAGACCTAGAAAGCTGGAGTAGGGTAATCATTGTGTGTGAAGAAAGTTCACCATGCCTAGGTTACTTTACCATGTTCATGAGTTCAGTAAGACAGAACATTCACACGAGTTTTAGTAAAGCAACTTTATTACTCACAGAGAGGCAGCAAGGGACAACAGATGCCCAGGATTCATGGAGAGGTGGTCCTTCAAGATTCAGAAACCTGCCCAAAATGGATTAAGTCTCATCTGTACATTCCCCATGTCGCACCAAAGCTAAGGGACATCCAAAAGCACTCTGCCCTTGGTTTATGCCTAGAGGTCAATAAGATTGCTGAGCAATCAAGGCCATGCCAGAACCTGTGCTGCCATCTACCCCACAACACAGATATCCCCCTTAGCAAAGCTAGTTCATTTCATGTGCCCACCGACCTCTCTGGATCTGGAGGCAAAAGTCTGTCTCTCCGATCCATGTGTCACCTTGACTGACACAATCTCAGTGCAACATTGTTAAGCCATTGACAGTATTTGTTTCACTAGGCCCAGGAGGACACCACCAGAGCAGGATGATCAGGCTTGTGTAAATCAATGACAATGACCAAGGTGAATCTCAATCATTTTAGGAGGTTTATTTGGCCAAAGTTAAGGATGCGTGCCCAGAGGTAGGTCTACGTCTTTCTCCAAAGATGATTTTGAGGGCTTCAATATTTGAAGGAGAAACAGTGGATATTGGGGGAAGAGGAAGAAATATTTTTTAAATGTGTCAGTAGATAAGAGACAAGTGATTGCATCCTTTTGAGTCTTTGATCAATCTTTCACTGAATACACAATTTTCATGTGGGAGCGGAGTAGAGGAAATAGTCACTTATGCCTTCATCTGGCTCAGTGAATCTGCATTTTTACATAAGATAACAAAAATAGGGGAGAGGAAGCAATCAGATATGGATTTGTCTTGGGTGAGCAGAGGGATGACTTTATGTTCTGCCCTTTGTCCCACACCTGTGAAGATAAGCTGTCAATTACACTGCCAGGGTGAAATTCAATAGAACTGTTTTAGGGTAAAGATCTTGAGGCTCACAAGGAATTTCCTTGTGGGCAAGTTGTGAGATTGGTGTATGGCTTTTTATCTTTGTAGCTATCTTATTTAGAAACCAACCTGGGTGGGGGCAGGCTTGCATGACCCATTTCCCAGCTTGACTTTTCCCTCTGGCTTAGTAAGTTTGGGATCCTGAGATGTTTTTTTTTTTTCACATCTGCCTGGAGAAGGGACTAGCCCAGGATCCCAGCCATCCAGGCAAGAGGTTGCTAAATGCGGATCACGAGGTCAGGAGATCGAGACCATCCTGGCTAAGATGGTGAAACCCCATCTCTACTAAAAATACAAAAAATTAGCCAGGCATGGTGGCAGGCACCTGTAGTCCCAGATACTCAGGAGGCTGAGGCAGGAGAATGGCGTGAACCCACAAGGCGGAGCTTGCAGTGAACCGAGATCGCGCCACTGCACTCCAGCCTGGGCAACAGAGTGAGACTCCCTCTCAAAAAAAAAAAATAGAAATCAAAAAAGCAGGAACACAGCCTCACATACAAATATTAACCTCCAATGTGAATGGCCTAAACACTGCACTTAAAACACATACCTTGGCAAATTCGATTTAAAAACAAGACCCATCCTTCTGCTGTCTTCAAGCACCTGTCTCATGTGTAATGACACCTGTAGATTCAAAGTAAAGGGATGGAGAAAGATCTATCATGCAAACAGAAAACAAAAAAGAGCAGAGGTTGCTATTCTTGAATCAGATCCGATAGACTGTAAGCCAACAACAGTAAAAAAGGATAAAGAAGGGCATTACATAGTGATAAAGGGTTCGATTTAACAAGAAAATTTAACCATCCTAAATAAATACACACCCAACACTGGAGCACCCAGATTTATAAAATAAGTACTTCTGCATCTAAGAAAAGATTTTGGCAGCCACACAATAATAGCAGGGGACAACACCCCACTGACATCAGTAGACAAATCATCAAGGCAGAAAACTAACAAAGAAATTATGGACTTAAATTTGACACTTGACCAATTAGACTTAATAGACATCTATAGAACAATGCACCCAACAACCACAGAATATATATTATTTTCATCTGCACATGGAACATACTCTAAGATCAACCACATGCTCAGTCATAAGGCAAATCTCAATAAATTCAAAAAAATCAAAATCATACCAAGAATCTTGGACCGCAGTGGAATAAAAATAGAAATCAATACCAAGAGGAACTCTCAAAACCACACAAATAAATGGAAACTAAACAACTTGTTCCTGACTTTTGGTTAAACAACAAAATTAAGGCAGAAATCAAAAAATTCTTTGAAACATACAAAAATAGAGACACAACACAACATATCAAAACATCTGGAATGTAGCAAAAGTAGTGTTAAGAGGGAATTTTTTTTTTCATCTTGGATGTGGGCGAATCTCATTTTAATTGCAAAAGACTTCATTCACAGCACATTCAATAATGGACCAACAGGAGAGTTGCTGGCTTTTGAACATATGAATATATAAAAATACCTTGCAACTTAGGTAGTCAAGATAATAAGTGCATAAAAGGAAAGCAATCCTCATTTTTCTGAAAACTTTTACATTTTAAAAGGTGACTAGGCATACTTGGAAGTTCAAAGCTGTAGAATGTACCTTGCAGGGGAAGAAGGAGGAAAATCCTTTCCATGTTTTTAGGTAAATATATAACAAATATATCCCAATTCCACTTGATAAAGTCAGTTGCATGACTTCCTTGAACCAGGCTAGGGCAGAACACTCAGTAAAAGCAGGCCCTGGGTGGGGATGTGAATCCTGAAGAGGAGCACCAGATCCCACGCAGCACTAAACACATCAGTTTTACCCTCTAACATAGATGAGGCACGCCGCCCCATGACCCTGGACAGGGGATGCAGGAGAACAGACATCAGGTGGTTACTGCTCCCACTGCCTGGTGCTTTCCAATGGTTTTAAGTCAGGCCATGGAGAAAATCCTTTACCACCAAACACAAACTGCCATTGAACTTGTCATAAAGGATGTTATGGGGGAAATTCTTGAAACACATACATAAGGACTTCTATTTACCTAATTAGAAAAATGATTACAGAATTGGCATTCCTGTTTTCGTAAGATTTTGTTCTCTACATTGGAAAGGTTTAAGAAAAGTTGTCTATTTTTGGTTTTATTTTACACTTTCAAAAGAGAGGGAACAGAGAGAAACGTATGACTAACTGCCCAACTTTGGGGTCCCACAGGTATGAAAGCAGACTTCTCTGACTCTAGGTCCATCTAGATTTGGGGGAAGTTTACATTCCTAGGGAGGGTTAGTGAAGCCTGTTACACCCCCAATCCTACAGAAAGTATTCTACAGCCAATCTATCACAGTGTTCTAACAAAGCATATGTTGAGGAAAACTACAGGTTTCAACCTAACATCTAAATCTTAAAAAGTAGCACTTCGGCAACAAACAAGCGCAGAGAGCTCACCTGAAAAGTGAAATAACATGACTATTGCTCAGATATCTGAAAAGTCAAGCTGCTGCCCCCAGCTCCGCCCACTCAAAGGCTTAGGCAGACACCTAGGGTGGCGGCGGCTCCTTGGCAGCACCTAGGGTGGCGGCGGCTCCTTGGCAGCACCATTCACAGTGGTATCATCATACCGGGGTAGGAGCACCTTAGTGTCATTGCTGGTAACATAAACCAGGACATCGGAGGAGTTCCTGCCGTTCATCTATCTGCAGCAGTTCCAAACACAGCTAATCAAGTAACCCTTAAAAGTTAAGATAATGCTAATAAACAGAAGAATAATAAGGACCAAACAGGTGGATTCACTGACATGACATCATCTCTGTAGGGAAAATTAGGAGGCAGTTGTCGTATGTATTCCTGAATGGAGTTTGGATAAACAAGCACAGTGATTGCAACCAAGGTGTTCAGAGCAAAATCAAAGATCTGGTAACAGGGCCAGGTGCGGTGGCTCACGCTTGTAATCCCAGCACTTTGGGAGGCCGAAGGGGGTGGATCAGGAGGTCAGGAGATGGAGACCACGGTGAAACCCCGTCTCTACTAAAAATACAAAAAATTAGCCGGGCGTGGTGGCTGGCGCCTGTAGTCCCAGTTACTCGGAGAGGCTGAGGCAGGAGAATGGCGTGAACCCGGGAGGTGGAGCTTGCAATGAACTGAGATCGCACCACTGCACTCCAGCCCGGGCGACAGAGCGAGACTCCGTCTCGGAAAAAAAAAAAAATCTGGTAACAGAAGAATGGGATGATCCAGAATGCGTGTTGCCTGTATGCTTCGTAATTAGCCTTAATTACGTAATTAGCCTTAATTCTCATGATATCAGTATCATGAGAAGAGAAATCGCAATGGCAATGCACGTATTGGCGTCATCCATGAACTCAAAATCACCTCCCAGTTCAGAACTTGAAAAGTGATACTGATCCGGATCAGCCAGGGCACTCAACAAAATCAGGAGTACCACGGCGTTGATGATCAGGTACCAGACACCTAACAGGATGGTGCTGGTGCGGACATGGAGGCACAGGCAGCAGCTGTTGGAGTAGAACCGCATCCAGGGTGCGACCAGGGCGTGACCATCGTCATTGCTCCTGGAGCAGAGGCGCGAGGACGAGCCCAAGTTTCCAGGAGCGTTGACCTCCTCGCCCAGACTCCGCCACGCGGCTGCTGCAGACTCCTCGGCTGCTCCGGCTTCCGGCCCGCTCACCGGTGTGCCCGCCAGCCTCGCTCCTCTATCCTCCCAAGAGGGAATTTTATAGCGCTAAATGCCTATATCAAGCGGGGTGGGAGGAGGGGGGAGAGATAGCATTAGGAGATATACCTAATGTAAATGACGAGTTAATGGGTGCAGCACACCAACATGGCACATGTATACATATGTAACAAACCTGCACATTGTGCACATGTACCCTAGAACTTAAAGTATAATAAAAAATATATATATATAAAGAAGATATTAATAGAAAGATCTCAAATTAACAACCCAACCTCCACCTAAAGTAATTAGAAAAACAAGAACAACTAAGCTCAAAGCTAGCAGAAGAAAAGAAGTAACTAAAATAAGAGCAGAACTAAGTGAATTGAGACCCAAAAAGCCATACAAAGGATCAGTGAAAGGAAAACTTGCTTTTTTGAAAGGATAAACAAGATTGATAGACCATTAGCTAGATTAACAAAGAAAACGAGAGAAGATCGAAATAAACACAATCAGAAATGACAAAGGTGACATTACAACCGATTCCACAGAAATACAAGAGATCCTCAGAGATATGAACCTCTCTATGAGTACAAACTAGAAAATCTAGAGGAAATCAATACATTCCTGGAAACACAACCTCCCAAGACTGAGTCAAGAAGAAATAGAATTTCTGAACAGACCAATAACAAGTAATGAAAATAAATCAGTAATAAAACACCTACCAACAATAGCAACAACAAAAAACCCTGTATCAGACGGATTCATAGTCAAATTCTACTAGATCTACAAAGAAGACCTGGTATCAATCCTAAAGAAACTATTACAAAAAATCAAGGAGGGACTCCTCCCTAACTCATTCTATGAAACCAATATCCTCATGACACCAAAATTTGGCAAAGGCACAACAAAAAAAGAAAACTACAGACCAATATCCCTGATGAGCATAGACATAAAACTCTTCAACAAAATACTAGAAAACCAAATACAGCAGCATATCAAAAAGTTGATTTCCCAAATAAGTGGGCTTTATTCCTGGAATGCAGGGATGGTTCAACATATGCAAATAAATACATGTGATTCACCACATAAACAGAATTAAAAACAAAAACTATATGATCATCTCAATCAATGCAGAAAAGCATTCAATAAAAATTCAACATTTCTTCATGATGAAAGCTCTCAATAAAATAGACATCAAAGAAACATACCTCAAAATAATAAGAGCCATCTATGACAAACCCACAGTTGACATCATACTGAATAAGCATAAGTTAGGTGCATTCTGCCTAAGAACTGGAACAAGACAAGGATGTCTACTCTCACTATTCCTATTCAACATAGTACTGAAAGTCCTAGCCAGAGCAATTAGACATGAGAAAGAGATAAAAGGAACCCAAATTGAAAAAGAGCGAATTACTTCTTTTCACTGACAATATGATTCTATGTCCAGAAAACTCTAAAGATTCTTCCAAAAGACTCCTAGACCTGATAAACAACTTCAGCAAATCTCAGAAAACAAAATCAACATAGAAAAATCAGTAGCATTTCTATACACCAATAATATTCAAGCTGAGAACCAAATCAAAGATGCAATTCCATTTACAACAGCCACACACAAAAAATAAAATACCTAAGAAAATATCTAACCAGCAAAGTGAAAGACCTCTACAAAAAGAACTACAAAACACTGCTACAAGAAATCATAGATGACACAAACAAATGAAAAAGCATGCCATGCTCATGGATTGGAAGAATTGATATAGTTAATAAGTCCACATTGCCCAAAGCAATCTATAGATTCAATGCTATTCCTATCAAATTACCAAGGTCATTTTTCACACAACTTTACAAAACTCGTCTAAAATTCATATAGAAGCAAAAAGAGCACAAATAGCCAAAGCAATCTTAAGCAAAAAAGAATATAACCAGAGGTACCACATTACCCAATTTCAAACTACACTACAAGTCTACAGTAACCAAAACAGCATGGTATTGGTACAAAAATAGACACATAGACCAATGGAACAGCATGGAGACCACTGAAATAAAACCACATACCTACAACCAACTGACCTTGAACAAGGCTGGCAAAAATAAACAATGGGGAAAGGAAATCTTATTCAATAAATGGTGCTGGGGAAACTGGCTAACCATATGCAGAAGAATGAAACTGGACCCTTACCTCTCACCACATACAAAAATTAACTCAAGATGGATTAAAGACTTAAATGTTAAGACCTTAAACTATTAAAATCCTGGAAGAAAACCTAGGAAATACTCTTCTAGACATGTTCTAGGCAAAGAATTTATGGTTAAGTCCTCAAACGCAATGCAACAAAAACGAAAACTGATATGGGACCTAATTAAACTAAAAAGCTTCCACGCAGTGAAAGAAACTAATAACAGAGTAAACAGACAATCTACAGAATGGGAGGCAATATTCACAAACTATGCATCTGACAAAGGGCTAATACCCAGAATCTATAAGGAACTCAAACAACTTAACAAGAAGAAAACAAATAACCCCATTAAAAAGTGGGCATAGAACATGAACAGACATTTCTCAAAAAGAAACACAAGTAGCCAACAAACATGCAAAAACTAATCATCAGAGAGATGTGAATCAAAACCACAAGAAATATCATCTCACATCAGTCAGGATGACTATTATTTAAAAGTCAAAAAAATAACAGTTGTTGGCAAGGTTGGAGAGAAAAAGGAATGATTATATACTGTTGGTAGAATGCAAATTAGTTCAGCATTTTGGAGATTTCTCAAAGAACTAAAAATAGAATTGCCATTCAACCCATCAATCCCGTTACTGAGTATATACCCAAAGGAAAAGACACCTGCACTAGTATGTTTATCAAAGCACTATTCACATTAGCAAAGACATGGAATCTACCCAGGTACCTATCAATGGTGGGTTGGATAAAGAAAATGTAGTACATATATGTCATATATGTCAATACTATGAAGCATAAAAAAGAACACTATCATGTCCTTTGCAGCAACATGGATGCACCTGGAGGCCATTACGCTAAGTGAATTAATGTAGAAACAGAAAACCAAATACCAGAATTTCTCACTTATATGTGAGAGCTAAACACTGAGTACACACAGACAAAAAGATGGGAGTGGTAGACACTGGGGATTCCAAAAGGAGGGAGGGCAGGAGGGGCACCAGGGTTGAAAAGTTACCTAACAGGTACTATGTTCACTATTTGGGCAATGAGATCATTCGCAGCCCAAGCCTCAGCATCATGCAATATACCCATGTAACAAACCTGCACATGTATATCCTGAATCTAAAATAATTTTTTTTTTTTACAAAAAGGCCAAAGAAGGATCCTTCAGATGGCCTCACTGTTTGAAACCAACGGGCTGGGTCTGCCTGTGGATCCCTTCCCCTGTGTCTGTACAATCCCTGAGGTGTTTACTCAGGTACAGCAGGAGGTGTTGGCAACAACCAAAGGCCACTCTGCTCTGCCAGCAGATGATCAGAGGCTGTTCAGGTGTTCATCACCAGCTTAGTTAATGCATTCAGTGAGTCTCACTGGTCCTAAATAGTCCAGGTGGTAGCATTAGTTGTCACTGACGTAGTCAATGACAAGTTGGGTACCATTTTTCCCAGGGCATGTACACCTATGCCAAGTAGGAGGACACAGACAGCAAAATGGAATCAGCTATCAGAATGCCTTCCTGGCAGAGTATGTCAGGCAACCTTGCAATGTCAGAAGCCCTTCCAGCTTACGGTGTCATTTTGCACAAACACTTGAGGACCCCAAATTCCAAAACAGCATGCTCTATCTAAGGGTGACAGGTATTCTGCAGTATATCCCACAAAGGAATATACTAGCCAGGGGAGCACGTGTAACTCCGGTCAGGGAACTGTCACTATAAAAGTCTCTAGTTGAAGTGTACAAAGCCTGTGTCAGATTTAGCCATGAGTTACATGGCAAGGTAAACTGCATGATGAGCCTGCTTTCCCATACCATTGACCATGTTTAAAATCTGTCTGATTTTATGTCTATGTTCTAGGTAACCTGCATTGAGGCCATCACTCTCCAATCAGAACCACCGATGGCTGTTGGGGCCCCATTCAAATTGGCAACAGGCCACAGATTGACTATTCCAGCATGGAGATGCCCTGAGTACATGGGTGGCTGATTCAGCAGTGTTTTAGATCACAGGGGAATTTCCAAATCTAAGACTGGAAGGAAAGCTCCTCCGCCCAGGGAAGAAGACAGAATTGTTACTGGGGCAACCCCTAAGAGTTTAGGGCAATCAAAATGCCCAATCCTCTTGCTCTATACATAGGGAGATTATCTTTGCCTAGAGGATTGCTCACACCAGGAAAAAACTACCAGTCCTTCAGGCCCTGAGGTGTGCCAGGTAAAGTCCTGGGCAAGGAAAAGTGGCCCAAGAAAGAAGCTCATCTGGTACCTCCTCTCCCTACTCCTCACTCTGGACAGCAGAGACCCTATAGGGGATGAGGAGAAAGAGGCCAGGCAGGCAGGCGAGGAATGGCTGTCCCATCCACACCCAGGGTGGAAAACGGCTACAAGAGAGCACCTTCATGTTTTAATTAGGGTCTCTTTCTTGGAGACAGTAGAGATCTGATTCTACCTCTGCCACTTGCCAGATTCATAAGCTTTGTCAAGTTTCTGAGTCTACTCATGTACAAAATGGAAATAGTAGTTACCTCTCTCATAGGGTTGTTATGAGAAATGAGATAAGTTACCACAATGTCTTGAGCTAAAAAGCGAAATCATTAACAAAATAATTGGCCTGTGTCAAAATTTTTGTTTCAATTCATTAATGAGAGAACCAGTGAGGAAGACTTTTTTGAACTGGTTTGAAAGATATTAAGAATATGAAAGACAGTTAGAAAGTAATGTCTAAGATTCTTAATTTAGACACAAGACTAGATACAAGTCTTTTGACTTTTCATAGGGTGACAAAAACAAACCATAACAGTTTTGGGTTTAATGTCTTGACCAGCCTATAAAGCCATATTGCCCTATCCATCAGAGGTAAACTGTCTACATCATCTGTTATGAATTGCTATCAAACATGCTTTGCCGATCACTTTTCTCAAAAGTGTCAGATGAGGTCTAGTAGCAAGGACCTTCTTTTTTTCAGACAGACTCTAGCATGAGATCAAAAATATAAGCAATCATCAGTTTGCCTTTTTCCAGGTTTGAGATGATTTTTTTTCTTTCACACTGACACATAGCTGGAGCCCAGTAAGTGTTGGTAGCTTTCCCTCCCCTCTTCAGCCCATTTCAATTTAGACTGAATTCCCCCAGGCAGGAGGGCAGAAAATGGGCTGGGTTCTGGACCCAATCAAAATTGTTCTGGTTCCCAAGTGGAGGGATAAACAGGAAAATCTTTTCCATTGGAATAAGGCCTTTTGCTCAGCCACTGTAGACCGACTGCCCAAGTCCAGATTCTCTCCATGCCCTTTAAGACTTTTGTCACAACCACCAGGAACACACCTGAAGTCAGGACACTTGGGCGAAGAACTTGGAAGGAAAAGCAAGACTTCAAACAGGTCATCCTTATAGGACCCAGAAATCATAGTTGCCAGATCTGCTTCAATTGGTGAGCCAAGCACTCCTTTGTGGGCTCAAATGTTGCATGCGATTTCCTGCTAAACTACTTATTTCTAAACTTCCCACTCCCTTGTTCTTCTTTTGCAGCTGGGGAAACAGGAAACAAAGTCATCTTGCTCTGGGCCACAAGTCCTGTCTGATTCTGCCCAGTCAGTGTGGTTTCGGTAATGGGCACGGTCTTGTTTGTAAATCATCATCTCCAAGCCTGCGTCCTCTGGGAAGCTTCCAAGGCCTGCCTCTCTCACTTCTCTTCTCCAGATGGCCAGTGACAGCTGGGCCACCTCCCCTGCCCAACTGTGCACTCAAGAATCAACTGTCGACCCAATTCTTCACAACCAGTACCCATCACTTATGGTGAAACTCCAAAGGGCACCGTGGGCCACCTTCCTCTTCTGGTAGGCTCAGAAAAAGAAGACTTATTGGACTTCCAAGTAATGGCAGACAACTGAGAATAGTAACTCTCCCCAAAAGAATCCATTGACAGCAAGTCCAATAGTGCACTTTCAAGGGGAATCAAAGGCGCTGGGATAGGTTGCCCCTCACCACCCTGACACACACACACACCCCACCACCACCACTGCCACCACCAATGTGGATAGCTGAAAGGCAGAATCAGGGTACTCGCTCCTTTTTTGTACTCCTGTTACTATCTTTTCTCTTGTGAGTTCCCCTAAATGTTGAGTTGACCTGAGATGTGGCTTGGTGAACCCTGGAACCTTTCCCACCTTTTTTAGCCTGGGCCACATTCAGGTCAGCTGCTCACCTTTGCACTATATATTGGAGAAAACTATAGCAAGATCACTGTGGTGTCTCTCAGAGCTCCATAATCTCCGTTTCTGCAATGCGGAGTGTATTCCACACTCCTGACTTAAGCAGAAGCACTGGCTTGGGAGGATGGATAGATATCCTTCAGCAAAACTGAGAAGAAAGTAATTTAATGCCTAGGCCTTCCTCCTTGCCCCAGCAGAAGCCCATCTCCACATTCTGATGACTAAATTTTCCCATCCCATCTTAGATGCCAATCTTAACTTTCAGCTGGCTGCCAACCATTTTCACTAATATGTTAGCTGATAACACATAAAATTGACTGGTAATTAAAAATATTGGTGAATAAGGGCTTAAACTATTACCTTTCCCTGCTCATTTATATTTTATATGATTAAGGCCTACTACAAGAAAAAGCCCAGTGACCTGAACTGAGTAATCTTCAGCACTGGAAACCAGTTAATCTGAGTGGCATTTTGCTAATGGTAGGAAAAGGGTTTGCTCCTCCTGAAATCCTAGGGAATTGGTTACCTCCTCTTCTCCTCTTGAGCATGAAGCATGTCTAGCTTCTCCAAAGAACCCCTCCCCTCCACTATCCCAGAGTTAGCTTCCTCTCTTCAGCCCATGATCCTGGGGTTCCAAGCACAGTAATTATCCCAGAGAGGGTGGAAGGCTCCCTGCTGTATTTAGTAACTCGCCCCGCAAAGAATCAATTGACAGCAAGTCCAACAGTGCACTTCCAAGGGGAATCAAAAGCACTGGGATAGGTTGCACTCCCGCCCTGACATACACACACACGTGCACAGACCCCACCATACCCCACCATAAGTACTGGTAGCTTTTTCTCCCCTCTTCAGCCCATTTGAATTTAGACTGAATTCCCCTAGGCAGGAGGGCAGAAAATGGGCTGGGTTCTGGACCCAATCAAAATTGTTCTGGTTCCCTAGTGGAGGAATAAACAGGAAAATATTTTCCATTGAAATAAGGTCTTTTGTTCAGCCACTGTATACTGTACTTAGGCAATGGCTGGGGCCCTTGTGCGGTGCAGAGGGACACCAAGCAGCTTCCATCTTCCAGGCCGGGGTGTATCCTTAGCTTCACAGAGCAGGAAAGCTGTGGAGGACTGTGGGCAGCAGGGTAGGAACTGATTTAGCCCTTGGCAACAACACACGTCCCCACAAAGCATACACCCACCCACCCACCCAGCACAACAATAGCAATAAAAATACTCCAATCTTTGGCCAGGTGTGGTGTGGATCACACCTGTAATCTCAGCACTTTGGGAGGCCAAGGTAGGAGGATCGCTTGAGTCCAGGAGTTTGAGACTAGCCTGGGCAACATAGCAAGTTTCCATCTCTACAAAAAAATAATTTAAAAATTAGCCAAGGGCAGTGGCTCATGCCTGTAGTCCCAGCTACTAAAGAGGCTGAGGTGGGAGGATTACTTGAGCCCAGGTGTTCGAGGCTACAGTGAGCCATGATCATGCCATTGTACTCTAGTCCACGTGACAGAGCAAGACCCTGTGTCTCAAAAAAAAAAAAAAAAAAAGAGAGAGAGACAGAGAGAAATACTCTGCCATTTGTTACTAAAAACCAGTAAGCAGGACAAGTGTTCTTAACCTTTTTGAGGTGTTGGGCCTTTTCGAGACTCTGATGGAAGCCGTGGAGGAATGTTCTCAGTGCGTCACTCAAAATGATGCACACAACTTCAACCCAATTTCAGAGATGTATAGACAGACAAGTTAAGAACCCTGGTTTAGTGATTCTGGTGACAGCTTCCTACCTTTTTACCCATCACTAACACCACTGCCCCAGCACCTAAGTGAGGACAACAGAAAATTCCCCACACCACAGCATGAAAATCCAGTTTGGGGTGACATTCTTGTCAAAAGGTTCCCCTTCATTTTCTTCTTTTTTTAATGTCCACCTCAGAGAAGAACCACTCGTCTTCTGGCCTTCCCCTTGTACCAGCCCTTGGGAAGTATTTTTTAGATAATTTTCTGATCACCAAAGCATAGAATCCCATAGGGCAGCGTATGAATAACCTATTCTTTGACTTAAGTTTTACTAATTTATTTTCCTATTTGCCTATTCCTTTATCATTTAATTGAGTTGGGAGTTTGGGAGTGGAGAGGGAGGAAAAATTTTCAAAATCCCCAAGGACAAACTACAGGTATGTGGACAGGTGTGAGGATTATCCTGTTAATGGAGGACTCTGAACATTGTCCACCTACATCACACCACACACACAATCAGCCTCTCCCCCCTTCCCTCTCTTGCTCTCTTTCTGTCTGTCTCTCTCTCACACACACACACACAGACACACACACACACACCCACACACTTCTATGTAGCTATCACTCTAATTTCCCAAGAGCCACATCTAAGACATTTAGCTGGAAGCTAAAATTTAGCTTAGAGAACAGTATCAGTTGTTCTTATACTACCACCCTGTTCCCAAATCCCCGACCCATTTCAGAACCACTAGTAAAATCATCAGCTATAGTGTCATGGACTTTTTGGAATCCTTAAGCCTCAAATCCAATGGCTCAAGATGGAGGGGCTGGAAGGGAATGTGGGGCAGAGGCCAGGTGAGGGGTAAAGCAGGAAAGGCTTGTGAGAGGTAGGGTGGGATAACATAGATTTCTTTTTCTTCCTTTGGGTTTTCCAACCCTCCCTCCACACCGAGGAACCTCATTCCACAAAAGCATAAGAGAGAGGCATGAGGTATTGATGACTTTATTATTCTGCAGGTACATGTCCAGGGGCCCAGCCTCTGGGCCCAGTAACTCAGCTACTCTTTGTGGCTTTCTTCATGGCTTTTTTTGTGGGCTGCCACGCCCATCTTTATCACCAGAATGAGGAACTCCTGGAAGTTAACTGCACCATCAGTGTTGATATCCAACTCTTTGAACCAGACGTCTGCACCCTTTTTCTGTCAAGATTGAGGAGGAAGAAGCCAGAGTTTAAAGATCTCAGAGAGAGCCGAGGCATAGCCATCTATGAAGGGTGGCAGGGAGGACCGCTGGCCCAGGGCAGCCCCAGGACCAGGCAGAGAGCCCCCGCCACACCCAGCCCCTCCTCACCCTGATATACTGAGGACACTCGGTCTCTAGCAATTTCTTCAGGTCATCCCTGTAGACGGCATGGAAATTCCCCTTTATCAGGGAGTACTTGTGGTAGACGTCGATGATAGAGTTCAAGGCTTTCTCCAGCTCGGTCAACATGATGCCCACGGACTTGCCCCACCTGAAAAACAGAACCTTCTGGGGAATCCCATGGCAGGGAATTTGCATCTGGCCAGGGCAGTACGCAGAGGATTCATGCCCCAAGCGATGGCCTTGTCCTGGCCTGCACTCTCCAAATAACCAAACCAGCAGATGGCTATGGCTCTGGTGGGAAGGGTGGGATGATAGGGATACACGTGTGGGAAGGGGAAGGGTCCATTCACACAGAGACATGTGCACACACACGGGGCCCGTAGACTTTCCTTACCACCCCACCCTCTGCTCAAGAAAAGTCCAGCCTAGGAGACAATGTGCCCTTACCCACTGGAAGGTGCTGGAGGATACTCTCCTTCCTTATCCCTGCCTCACTCCCCACCTCCAGGAGTATCTTTGCTCCAGACCTCCCTGAGCTTTCTCTCTCCTCTCTCAGGAAGGCTGCTCCACTTCCCTGACCCTCCCCAAGAGAAGCCCAAAGTGCGGGGCCAACCCAGACAGTCCCACTTACCAGGTCTTCTGAAAGACAGCTGACAAGAGACATGCAGGGCTGAGAGGCAGCTCCTTTTTATAGCGGTTAGGCTTGGCCAGCTGCCCACAGCTTCAGGCCATCAGAGACAGCTTCTCCCTGCCAGAGTTGCTACAGTCTCTGGTTTCTCAACCAGGTGAATGTGGCAATCACTGTGCAGAATGAAAATTTTGGGTGGGGAGGTAGGAGAAGCGGAAAGAGGAAGGCATTTGCTGGGCAATAGTGCCCAGAAGGAAAAAGCAGGTAGGGGGGCTCTTTTTCTGGGCTGCTGGCATCCACTTGCTTGATCCAGCCAGATTCCCACTCCCATGCCCTCTCCACTATTGCGATTGCTAATCCCCTGCATTGGTGGTCAGGCCATACATCCCTGAAACTGAATTGAAGTTGAATGCATCATTTTGAGTGCATGCACTCAGTGAGAACATTCCTCCATGGCTTCTGTCAGAGTTTCAAAGGGTCCAAAGACCGCAAAAGGGTTGAGAACACGTGTCCTGGCTGATGGCTTTTAGTCATGAGAACTATTGTTCTCATTACTAAAAACTAAAACTATCGTTGTTGTTCTTTTGGGTGGGTGCTTTGTGGGGAAATGTGTTGTTGCCAAGGGCTATATCCATTCCTACCCTGCTGCCCACACTCCTCCACAGCTTTCCTGTTCTGTGAAGCTGGGGATGGACCATGCCCTGGGAGATGGAGGCTGCTTGGGGTCCCTCGGCACTTCACAAGGGCCTGAGCCATTGCATAAACACAGCAGGGAGCCTTTCACCCTCTCTTGGTTAATTATTGTGTCTGGGACCCCAGGATCACTGGCTGAAGAGAGGAAGCTAACTCTGAGGTAGTGGAGGGGAAGAGTTCTTTGGAGAAGCCAGACGCGCTTCATGCCTAAGAGGAGAAGAGGAGGTGGCCAATTCCCCAGGATTTCAGGAGGAACAAATCCTCTCCCCACCACTAACAAAATGCTACTCAGATTAACTGGCTTCCAACCTTGAAGACTGTGGTGTGTTTCTGTTGTTACAAAGAAAATATTTGTAAAACAAATATCTGATAAGGGATTAATATCCAGAATATAAAAGAATCCCTACAACTCAACAACAAAAAACAAACAAACCAATCAAAAATTGGGGAAAAGACTCAAATAGACACTTCTCCGAAGAAGATATACAAATGGTCAATAAGCATATGAAAATTACTAATCTTTAGGAAAACATGAAGCAAAACGACAATGAGATACCACCTGACACCTACAAGGATGACTACTACTTCTTTTAAAACCCAGAAAACAAGTGTTGGTGAGGGCATAGAGAATTGGAAGCCTAATGCACTGTTAGTGGGAATGTAAAATAGTGCAGCTGTTATGGAAAACGGCAAGTTTGTTCCTCAAATAAATAAACACAGAATTACCATATGATCCATCATTCTGCTCCTGGGTATATATGCAAAAGAATTGAATGCAGGGATTCAAACAGATGTTTGTACATTCATGTTCATAGCAGCATTATTTACAAGAGCCAAAAGGTGGAAGCAACCCAAGTGTCCCTCAACACATGAATGGATGAAGAAAATGTTTTGTGGGGACATGTGTTGTTGCCGAGGGCTAAATCCATTCCTACCCTGCTGCCCACACTCCTCCACAGCTCTCCTGTTCTGTGAAGCTGGGGATCCACCGTGCCCTGGGAGATGGAGGCTGCTTGGGGTCCCTCTGCATTGCACAAGGGCATGAGCCATTGCATAAACATAGCAGGGAGTCTTTCACCCTCCAAAATAAATCCAGCTCTCTCTGGATGTGAGCCATTGGGGACCCAGCACAGTGCCCAGCACACACAATAACAGCAGCCACAATCACTGATCAGAGCAAATCATGACAAAATACTAGTTCACACTCACTGAGCTTTTCCCATGTCCGGGAACTATTCTAAGTGCTGCTTTATTTGCATTGATCATTTAATTCTCACACTAATCCAATGACGTATGTACTATTATAATGCCCATTGTACAGATGAGGAAACTAAGCCCCACAGAGAGACATAGTAATTCAGCGTATCAAATGATTGAGTGACTCATGATGTGATGTGACAGCATCCACTTCCTATTCCTGCCTGTAATGCCTTTTGTCCCTGTAATGTCCTCCTCACCATTCCTGATCCAGCTCAGGCATCATCTGCTCCAAGTCCATCCCTGATCCACCTGCCCTCACCCCATCAAGGCAGAATTAGTTCTTCTCTCCTCCATGCTACCCAAATCCTTACCCATCACAGCATTTGCCCTGCTATGTTATGATTCACTTGTTTATTGTCTGTCTTTTCTTTGGGACCAGGAGACCATTTAGAAAAGAAATCACATTTCTTTTCACAACCCTAGGGCCTGGCAGCTACTACATGTTCAATTAATACTTATTGAGGGATAAATGAATACAAAATTAAGTTTGACCCTTCCCTTATCCAAGGCAGAAATTCTCTTTATCACAATCAGCCATCTTAAATCATTTCTGGAAGAAGGCAGGGTATAAATTCATCAAACAAATGCAGTCTGACTTCCTTGACAAAAGATGAATCAAGCTCCATCTAGGAAAACAACGCCATTTCTGACATGACAAGTTTTCAACCAAGGATCCACCCTTGGTTAATACCTATTATTCACCACGTACTATCCTATGTGACCAGCATAACAGCACCTGCCTCAAAGCACCATATCATATTTTCAAAGTATTTTGCATCCACTGACTCATTTGATATTCCCAGCAACCTAGTGATGTGGACATTACAAGTATAATTATCCCTATTTGACAGATGGGGAAACTGAGGCACAGGGCATTACTTCAGGTCCTTCCCCTGGTCCAGTGAGGGAGTCCTGAGTGGTGACCTCCTTCCCACATCATGTACAGGCTGACCAGCAAGATCGTGAAATGTCGCCCCCTCCCCAGAAACTGCGCCCCTGGACAGCCTTGGGTGCTTTGGGGACAGCAGGAGCCAGGCTGAACTGACCTTGCAGCAAAAGGTATCAGGACTTGGGTAAGCACATCTGGGGAAAGGCAGAGGCTGTAAGCAGCCTAGCGGACATGGGGCAACCTAGAGGGAGCGGAACCTGGTCATGTTTACAGGAAAGGGCTCAGTCCCTGGGTGTGTCCCAACAGACCTGACAGGTCCATCCCTGAGGCCAAGGAAATGAGGACAGAGCAGGCAGAGCTGGTGAAGAAACCCCCAGAAGGGGGCAGGAGAGGGCAGGGAGGGCTCAGGCTGGGTGCCCCTGCTTCGTACTCAATGCCTGTGGAGCCCAGCACTTCTCAGGTGAGACAGGTATTTCTCCCCTGGGCCTGCAAGAAGAGTGGCCAAAGTAACTCAGGCGATGGTCTTCATGCCTCTAGACACAGCCAGGGGCCTGCAGGAAGGAGCACAGATCTAGGTCATCAATTCCAGCCCCACAGGCCCCAATTCTGCATTCCTTCCCCAAACACCTGCTGAGCGTTTATGGGGACACTGAGGTCCTGTCTCGGCGGAGAGTACAAAACAAGCACAGTGTGGCAGAAGATGCCCTTCCACAGGAAAGAATGCAAAGGGGAATGGGGTGCAGACATCTCCCAAGGAATGGAGGGCCCAGCTAGGTCCTGAAAGGCAAACTAAGCTGATGGCAAGTGTGGGAGGGACAGCAGGCCAGGCCCGGAGCAGCAGGGGCAAATTCTGCCCCAGAGCCTGACTGATGAGAAACAAGGTCTCCAGCTCAGCTCCAGGGACAATCCACCATGTTTGGCGCAAAGGACCAGGTGGGGAGGGAACCAGACCAAGTTTCTTAAGTGACCCTGCAGTCCTGTGCGCAGGTGGTATATCACCCCCCAACACTCTTTCAAAATCCATGATTTCTATCTCAGTAAGCTCAGGACACCGGTTCCCAGACCAACCCTCAGAAAAGACAACCCTCTAAAGTGGGCTCTGGCATTTCCTGAAGGCAGAGGAGACCCTCCCTAAGGGATTCTGCATTAGATCCCTAGAGTCCCAGGGGAGAGGAAAAGGAAAAAGAAACAGAGCAAGGGCAGGGACAGGTCTCAGGTGGGTGGGGTCAGGGATACCGGAGGACTCAGATCAGTGGTTCATGAATAGCCCTGGGTCAGGAGTAACCCTCACATCCATCATCATGTTGTAGAAAAAAACAGACCCAACCCTTCTCTCCCTCAGGAAGCCTTCCTGGGTTGACTGTCACCCAGGTTCTACTCATTGCTCTTCCCTTAACATGTGTCTGTGGTTCTGCCAGGCTGGATTGTTGGCTCAGCTCCTGTCAGTGTCTGACTCAGCATGTGCAAACCCAGCACACAATATTCCCTGCAGACTGGCTCCCACCCAGGCACCGAGGTCCCATGCCAATCGCCAGCACCTGAAACCTCCACCTCATTCTGGATCCTCCTCTCCCTCAGTCTGCGCCCAGGTCTGGACCTTGATGTTCTGCCTTTTCTGATGCCGCCTCCCTCCCTTCCGTCCCCATGAAGCTGTTTACCTCCTCGTCACAGCCTCTAGCCAGGCTGTGCAGGTCTGATCTGTCTTCCTCCACCCCAAACCCCTACCACTAGTTTCCTAAAGCACAGAGCTGGTCCCAGGGCCCTCGCCCCTTCCCCACACTTAACAACTAAGGATCCCTTACCAAAAGGATAAAGTCCAAATTCCAATGCTCAGTTTTCAGGGACTTCCAGACTCTGGTCCTAACCCACCCATTCAAGCTGACTTCCTACTGTTTTCTCCATGAACACTAATTTCCAAGCAAAATTTCTGTTGCTCCTAGACATACTTTATGATTTTCTACTGTTGTTCCCTCTGCTAGAAATGCACCTGCCTCCCGATCCTGGTCTCTTCCCAGGCTCAGCCCCACCCTTGTTCACTGATTCTTGGGGCTCTCTTTCAGAGCAGGGATGCTGTCGGAGCGGCATGTTAGTTCACCCCTACCCTCACCCCTGTGCTACCACCTGTGTGGTGGGTGAGTGAGTGACCACAAGCGAGGCCTCGCTATCTCCCCAAGAGAGGAGACTCTTCCTTCTCAGGCTGAACACTGCGGGTGGGGACTGTCTCCCTATCAGATAGGGCCCCCTGGAATCAGAGGTGGTGTCTCTCCCATCCAATATAAACTCCCTAGAGGAATAAGCTGTGTCTCCTCCTCAGACAGGGACTCCCTGGAGATAGGAGCTGTGTCTCCCCCTCAAAAAGGGGCTCCCTGGAGATAGAAGCTGTTTCTTCCCCTCAGACAGGGGCTCCCTGGAGGCAAGGGCTATTTCGTTGATCTAAAATGGATCTTTCCCAGCTTGGGACCGAAACTTCTTTTTCTGGATTGTAGGTGAAGCCCAGAACCATATACTGACAAATCCTTGGAAATATGTATGAAATTGCTTTATTCTCTCTCACATTGATGTCCTTTCCACAGACATGTACACACATGTGCACACACACACAGGGACACACACAGACACACACAGCTGTGTTCTCCATTCAGCTCCTGATATCAAGGTCACACCTCCTCCTGGGTCCGGCACCGGTGGGCAGGAGGCTGCCTGAGCTCCCTCTAGTAGAGGCTGTGTTGGGCACAGTAGCGGGCACACAGCTGCTGGTGGTAGTGCAGGTGGTAGTCCTTCACCAGCTTGCCCAAGATGTAGAGGAACTCATCGAAGCAGATCTGGTTGTCCTTGTTCTTGTCTGCGGCCTGGAACAACTCTGTGATATAGTATGGCTCCTTCCGGCCCTGAGAAGTGGGCAGAGCATCAACAACCCACCCAGGCATACAGCCCACCTGCCAGGCTCCCCACTGCCCACTGGGAGGGGATGGGGTAACTGTGGCCTGGCCTTGCCTGCAAGGAAATGACTCCTCACTCCAATCGTCAGTGACTAGGACTCTGAATGCTGCAAAGAGACAGGGGCATAGTTGGTGCCCCTAGTTGGTGCCCCCATAACCGAGCCTGGAGCTAGCTGCATGTGTGCAGACAAAGGAGGTAAACTGGGCACCATTGATGGTTTACTGTCTGCAGTGCCCGAGAAGCACTAGCATCCCAGACGACTTCGCATCCACTGGCAGTAGCTGTTTATACTTCTCTTCACAGCTGAACTGGAGGCTCCTCTGGAGAAACACCCCAGCCAGGGCTTCCTCAAGGCAGGGCAGTGCCTTCCTCCTCCACACTGGGAGCTCCCCAAGAGCAGAGTCGACCTGGCCCTCGAGTCTGCATCCCCAGCGCTGCTGCAAGGCTGGTGCCCAGGGGGTCAGAGGTTTGCATGCCTGTGCATTTGCCTGCATCAGGAGCAATTCCCAGGCAGATGGTCAGCATGCGAACCTCTGAACCCCTGGGTGCTGGGCCCACATAGAGCGCAGAACAAGGGAAAGGACAAAGCCAGGAGCCCTGGAGCTGTCCAGGTTGTTCCGAGGCAGGCGGCCCAGATGTGACCCTGAGGGCTGAGAAATGGGGATGGTAGGGGAGAGGAAAGAGGCATTTGAGGTGGAAGGAACAGCATGAAGAAAGTCAGGGGCCAGAGCACAGCACGGGGACAGAGTGGGAAGAGACAAGGTGGGCATCGGGAGCACTGGGCAGGGCGGGTGAGGCAGCTTTCAGCAAGATTTGGCTGGTGGGCATGAGGACCAGTGTGAAGCCCTAGAAACCATCTGGGGGAAGCAGCTGTGGACAGGTTTGCAGCCTCTCTCTCCCCTCAGGGCCCACCCCCACCACCTGTTCCTGTGATCTTAACTGTTCCACAAAGCTGGTTACCCAGAGAGGAGCTGGAGGCTTCCTGCCCGGGACAGGCTCTCCCAGCTTCCCTCACCTCGGCCCACCTTCCCCAGGGCCGCCTTCTGTGTCCAGGTTCTATCCCCGCAAGGGCCCCGTACCCAGGCGGGGCTGTGACCCCCATGAGTGCAGGGTCCGGGCCATCCTGGTACAGTTTGCCCTGGAAAGGACAAGGTTTCCTGGAAACAGGACCACCAACAATCACTTCCCCCTCACTCCGTCCCTCTCTACAACCCTCAGAGTAACACTCCAGTAAGCAGAGGCAAGGCTGGGGAGATGGGAAGTGACTGAAGAAGAGCCTTTTCCTGGATGGAGTGGCCTTGAGTCAGGATGGACCAGAAGTCCTCTGGAGATGACAGTCCAGACACCCCAGGGCATGGATAGACAGCAGCACCCCACAGACACCCTTGCAGGCCCCAAGGAGCCCAGTAATCATGGGTCTACGTTTGATGACAAAGAAGATGGGCAGGGCCTGAGGGCTGTCTAAGCCCGGATTTGGGTGCTGGGCCTGTCCAGGTCTGAGAGACTCTGGGGATAAGAGGTGGAAGGGGAAGTAATGTTTCCTAACCCCACCCCACCCTACTCCCACCCTGGTTAGGGGGGCCACCGCAGTCCCTGCTATCCTTCCCCCGGGCATGGATCCCACCTCTCTTCCTGCTGCCACCACACTGTGCCACCCTCTCCAGAGGGAGTCCCCATGCCATCAGCACCATCCCTTCAGCCCTCACATTCCCATGGCCCTCCCAGAGCCTCTGTGCAGCTCCTCTCTGGTGCTCTGATGCCTGTGACCTCCCACTCCCCACTTCCTCTGGAGATGAGACAAGATCACCCTGTCAGATCAGCAGTGCTCCCTGGACTCTACAGATAGGAATCAGGACAACTGCTGCTTCCACCGCTCATGGAGCCAGCCAGGCACCAGGTAAGCACTTTATACAAATTATCCCGTATCCCACGTAACCCTCACGTGGGCCATAGAAAGCAAGCATATTTACCCCCAGTTTCCTAAGGGGGAAATGAAACCCAGAGAGGATAAGTAATTTCCCCAAGATCACACAATGATCCACTTGGAGCTTCGTTCAAACCCATGTCTTTGGGAACAAGCCCAAAGGCATGCTTTCAGTTCCAGTCCTACACCCGCCTTGGGCCACGATTGTGCTGTTGGGATGCCCATCCACACTGTACGTGTTCTCCAAACAGGTAAACTGTCCCCACCTCTGCTTTTTAGAACCTGCACAGATCCAACACAAACCCTCACCCCCACAATTCTCTTGGAAGAGGCACTGACCTGTCACTGTTGGGGTGAGTATCCAAATCCACAGATCCAGCCTGTAGTTGATCCCAGAGATTCCCCAACGCTCAGGCAGGAGGCACCTGTGTGAGCCGCGAACCCACCACCAAGCCCCACATCCCACCCATCCTCAATGCCTCCAATTATGGCAGCCAGTGTTGTGATGCTTCACAGGTCCTTCAGGAGCAGGACTGAGCCTTAATTGCATTCCTGAGGTGACATCACAACACTTAACTTGCTAAGATTAACTCAACCAGTTTCAGGGGCCCACATCCCTTGGAGCAGGATCTGAAGCATCTAAGAATCACAAAAGGTCCCATTATCTGTCTCCCTGCCTCAGAGCTTGTCCTCTCAGCTCCAGGGCTTGGGTGGGGTCAGACACACACTTAACTACATCTCCCTGGGGTGTCCTCCCTCCATTAGTGAACCCCCAAACTCCACTGTCATGAAGCACATTCATTCCTTCATTCATTCAACGAATATTCTTGAGTACCTACAGTGTGCCAGGCCTTCTGCTAGGCAATATGCATCAGATACAGGGCCAGCTCACAGGGTGGGGACATGTGAGGGGACAGTCACACACTGTCACTAGGCACATGGAAGCCAACTGAGTGACACAGACAGGTGCTCCAGGCACCCAGAAAGGGACACCTTCCACCTGGGGAGTTGGGGGGGACTTCCTTAGGGAGGCGATATTTCAGCTGCGACTTGAAGAGACATTTTGAGTTGCAAGGAGGAAAGGAGAACCAGGCACTCTAGACAGAGGATATGGCACAGGCAAAGGCCCGGGGCTGTAAAAGAGCGCGGCCCCCTCAGGGGATGGAGTCCACAGGGTGCACAATGAGAAGTTAGAAGAAACAAGGCTGGAGAGGCAGGAGGGAGACAAGACCGGAAGACCCTGTGCCAAGCTACAACTGTGACTTTATCCTATCCAGCTCATAGTCTGTCAGTGGAGGCAGACATCTAGCCAAAACTCCAAGGTACTGTACTTAGAAAAGCACCACAGACTTGGTGCCAAACACGCATCTCCCACCTCACAACCCCCACTACCCATGGCCAGGGCAAGACTGTGATACACAAACAAGAGAGGAAGCTAATAGAGGATTTTTTAAATCAGTTGGGTGATGGACGGGAGGTGAAAGAGAAGTGGTAGAACCAGATTTGTTTACTAGTAAATCACCGACTGCAATGTGGAAGTCACCCTACTCTGAGAGGGGCCAGACCTTCAGGCTCGACATCCCTACAGATGCTACCTGGGCCCCTGAGTGAGTGACAGGTGGGGTCCCCTCTGCCAACTCACCCCAACACAAGACTTCTCCCAGCCGGCCCCTTCTACTTGGCCCCATTTCACCCCACACAGCTCCCTTGGGAGGGCCTGCACAGGCTGATGACTGAATCTTCCAGAATGGGGCGCCAAAGGGCAGGTCATCAAACCAGAGACTCCATCTATGCATCTCTGAAGGCTGGAGAGAAAATCATAGGTAGATACCGAAGCCAACAGCTTTTCCAGTTTGCTGGGTGAGCCTTCATCTACTCAACATAAAGATTTCCCCAGCAAACAAGTGGTTCATCAATACACTTTCCTGTTTCTAAACTAAAAACATGGCTTGAATTTCTCAGCATTGCCAAGCTAGAGCTACAAAAAATTGTATCGAATTCTTTGGTTCAGCCATCATTACCCTGGCAATTTCTCCCAAAACAATTAATTAAACAGATATTTTAAAAATCATCAGGAAAATGTCCACCATTGCAATATCCATAACCAAGAAACAAAAATAAAAGCAAAACCTTAAAACTATCTAATTAACAAATTTGGTATACCCATATGGCTTACTGTTGGACAATTGCTGGATAACAGCTTGTTGTTTAGAAGAAACTTCATTTCTGACCTATGGCTGGGGATGGGGGGCAGACTGCACTCCTTTTCACCCTACCTTTTGTTCACTCTGGGACAAAACAGCCCCCTACGCCATGCCAATACCCAGTGATGATCCCTTGCACAGCTGCGCTGTAACTGCACTTTTTGCTTAATGTTATGCTGTGGACATCTCACATGCTTAATCAATGCTAGCCTGATTTTTGGCGAGTACATAGCGATCATCTGTTTGCATTTATCAAAATTTGTCTTATGAATCCATTATTGTTAGACATTAAATTACTTTTATTTATACATTTTAATGTCAACTCTTCCTTAATGTTTATCAGAATTTTGCCACGTGTTAGGTGCTAGGTGCACCTGTGCTAGGTGCTGTGGAGAAAGGGGGCGGAAATGAATTGAATAACATTCTGCCTTCCAGAAACTCATAGTCTGTAGGTGGAGACAGACATTTGGCCAAAACTTCAGGTTACTGTACTTAGAAAAGAACCATAAACATGGTGCCAAGCATGCATCTCCCATGTCACAACCCAACCACCCATGGCCAGGACTAAGATTGTGATCTTGACAAACACAGTCTTCATGTCTTTCCAGTGTGCAGACCAGACACTGAAAACAATGTCCCGTGACATCCAGAAGCCAGTACAGCAAAGGAGTAGCGCTTTCTGGTGAAATTGAGAAAGGAGGTTACCCGAAACTGGCCCTGAAGCACCCCCATCCCCGCTTCGGCCGCACCCAGGGTTTTAGACACCTCAAGAATTGGAAATACTTCAAGCAGGATAATATTCAATTTCTGACTAAGAGGGCGGTGAGGTGGTGGTGAAGAGGATCAAGTAATTACCTTAAAAATTAAAGAAATCTCATATGGTACTTGAGACGATGAATCGGGTTATACTGATGGAATATTTAGGGATTTTTGCCAGTTCTTACCAGTGTATATCTATTTTCTTTTTTCCAGACCTTTTTTATCTTTAGGATTAGAGCAACCTGATATCCCAGTCAACAGCCTCAAGAGTATCTGAAATGTGTGTTAGATGGGCTGTGCTTGAAGGGGGAGCTGCTAGATGCATTAGAATCCTCACAGAAAATGTGATAAAGAGAAAGAAAGGGTACATTATTGCCGTGTAGAGAAAAAGAATAGGATTTGAGCATAGGGAGTCCCTAGGCTGCTTCTGTAGGACCAGGAGGCTGCTGGAGAGTGAGAAGATGATTAACAGTATTAAGTTCTTCCTCTTTGCTGAGCACTGCTCCATGGGCTTTACATCCACCCATTCATCTCATCTTCTTAACAATTGCTGAAAAAGCCCAAGGAATGACAATTACAGGAGCATGCTGGGGACACAGCTAGTAATGCAGAGGCACATTTCTAACCCAGGCCCATGGGCCCCACATACCTGTTCTCAACCACTACATTACCTTGTCCCCGAATAACAGGAAATCCAACCTTAGGGAGAGCAGGAGAAGGGCCCCATGGTTAGAGGAAAGAGCTGGAACAGAGGTGCTCAGGTAGGAGCCAGCCTGGGCTGACAGAGGGGCAGAAAGAAGGGCTGGAGTGGTGTAAATGGAGCCCAGAAAGACAGGAGATGAGGTCTGAGGGGCAGGCAGAGGACAAGCCAACGAGGACTTTGCAAAATTTGGACTTTAAGCAGGATGGGAAGCCACTAAAAGTTTTTAGTAAGGGATATGCCATGTTCATAGCAGCTTTACATGCTATTGTAAAGCTGATAGTTCTCCCAAACGTAACCTATAGATTCAGTGCAATCCCAGTCCCAAAGTCCTTGCTGGAATTTTTGTAGAAATTGACAAGTTAACTGTAAAAAGTATATAGACAGGCCAAGAATAGCCAAGGGAATCATGAAAAAGAAAAGACATGGGAGGATCTACAGTACTAGATGTTAAGATTTATCATAACAGCTCCGGTAACTAAGATACTGCCTGGCTGGTTCAAGGACAGTCACATAGATCAACAGAACTAAATAGAGGTCTGAGAAAAAGACACACACGTATGGTATATTTATTCTGTGACAAAAGTGGCACTGCTGAGCACAAGCTTTTCAATACATTTTACTGGATCAACTGGATGCTCATGCTCATGAAACTAGACCACACAAGCAGACAAAATGACAATTCCAAGTGGATTGTAGGTCTAACTGTGGAAAGTAAAGTCATAAAGCCTCAGTAGCATATGCAAAGATATTCAAGACCTCAGTCTTGAAGATTTACTTCTATATTTTCTTCTAAGAGTTTTAGTTTTAGCTCTTATGTGTAGGGCTGTGACCTATTCTGAGTTAATTTGTGTGTATGAAGGAAGGAAGGGGTCCAGCTTCATTATTTTGCATGTGGCTGTCCACTTGTCCCAGCATCATGTGTTGGAAAGACTATTCTTTCTCCATTGAATTGGCTTGGCGGGCTTGTTGAAAATCAATTGACTGTGAATGTGAAGGCTGAGAACACTTTATCATGAACTGTTAGCTTCACCTATGTAAAGATATCTTCTCTCTGCTCTACCTCCTGTCGAAATCTGACACGACTCTTGCTCAAAACAAGCTTTGTTTCCTGAGTTCCGTGGCCTTGTCTCATGTGGAGCAATCATGTCACATTAACCCCCTCCCCACCCCCACTCCACGTCCACCCTGTGGGCCACGGCCCTGCCCTTTCCCAGCTGTTTTATGATCTGCTTTTTCAATTAGGACTATGTTTAAAACATCTCCCCAGTTCTTAAATATTTTTGAGTGATTGATTCCAAATAGCTACATTATATGGAATTCCAGAACCATTCTGACTAACAACACTTTTGACGCCAAATGTGTGGGGGTTATATTTCCTTTTTTTAAAATCCCCACACCAACCAATTCTCCAACACTCTGAACACCATCGGGGTATCGTGCAATTCCGTTCTGATCCTAACTACCAAGAGTTAGCACAGACCCCACAAGGTGAAGGCTCAGCCCCACAACACTGCCCCCACTGCAGATGCCAATCGCAGCACCTGACCGCCCATACTTCTGACTGACTGGCTAAAATTGGAGGTTCCTACAAACCCCCTCCTCAGGTTAGATAATCTGCTACAAGAGTTCACAGGACTCAGGGAGGCACTTTACTCATGATTACTGGTTTATTACAAAGAGTACAACTCAGGAAAAGCCACGTGGAAGAGACACACAGGGCCATGTATGAGGGGCAGCATGGAGCTCCCAGGCCCACTCCAGGAGCCCACCCTTCCGGCACCCCACCTGCTCAGCAGCCCTACAGTTCTCTGAACCCCATCGTTTGGGGTTTCTATGGCAGTCACTTCATTTAGGCATAGTTGATTAAATAATTGGCCACTGGTGATTGAAGTCCTTCCCCAGCCGCTCTGTGGAGGCCCAGTGTGGGGCTGAAAGCTCCAGCCCTCTAATCACATGGTTGCTTCCTCTGGCAACCAGCCCCATCCTGAAGCTATCTAGGGGTCCACCAAGAGTCACCTCATTAGCACACACTCAGCATGACTGGAAGGGGATTGTTATGAATAACAAAAGATGCTCCCTCTCCCCTGTCATTCAGGAGATTCCAAGGATTTCAGACGCTCGGTGTCAGGAACAGGGACAAAGACCAAATGTCCATTTCGTATCATCACAGGGATTCCATGTGTATAGGCATCAAGATTTACTTAACCCACCATTACTAAAAATTTAATTATTTTTATCTCTTCCTGTTTCTACCACTTGATTAACAATTGTGTCCCCAATATACTATTTTATGCAGTGTCCTCTGGTAAGCATTGGAGAGAGAAAAGAATACAAATTAAGTAAGAAAAGCCCTCTGCCTTTCAGAAGCTTTTGGTGAAGATCTCTTTTTTTAACAGGTGCAAGATTGGTGCCCGACGTGGGACTCACAACCTACAGAAGGGCGGGAACCACGAAGGACCCAGCCACGTGGTACTGCCTCCGGCGACAACCAGGGCGAGGTGGGTGCTCGGTGGCGCCACCGTGTGGAAGCTTGGGAAACAGAAAACCAATTCTCTGCACTCAGGGCCAGAGTTTTGTCCTGGGCCTCTGACTGGGGCCAACTGTAACAGGAACAGCCCTTACAGTGTAAGTCAGAATCCTACAGTCCTCCTTGGCCAAGGAGCCTTCCTGGAGTCCCCCCCACCCCGCACTGCTTTCTCCAGCTTGCCAGTTTTACCTACACGGCCCAGCCTCGTCTTAAAATTGGGCGAGATGAGGAATGATCATTGCCAACTTGAAATTTGGTTGAACAGATACATTTCTCAGGGTACGCTTGGGTCACTTCCTAGCACTGTCTGTGTATGCGGCCTCCGAGAAAGCAACCTCCCTTATCAGGCTAACAGAATTGACAGTAAATCCTCCCAGCAAACCCATTCGACAGGATGGTGGGTGTTAGTCCAAACTGCACCATTTTGTAAGCCCCCTGCCATTTTGCGGACCCTGGTCAGAGTGAAACATTCCATGTGGATTCAGGCCGTGAGAAACATCCTGCCTAACCACCTGACCGCAAGGCACAAGAGCATCCTTATCATACCCTGCTGGGCAAAGGCGCAACTGAAGGAACATCCCCATCATATCCTGCGGGGCAAAGGTCCAAGAAACAGCCTATCACATCCCGCTGGAAAAAGGTCCAAACCGCCTGATCACAGGAACATCTTATCAATATCCTCCCGGCGAGCTAGCCATACTGCCCAGACCCCCACCTAGACCTATAAATTACCCCAGCCTGTAAGCGGCAGGGGGCTCTGGCATTAAGCTTGTCCCCCACCTCCTCAGGTCTTGTGCTGGACATAAAACCTGCATTTCCATAGAGCCACCAACTCTCTCTGTGTCTTTTTTTAACCCTTGCCTTCCCTTCAAAACCTAACAGTGGGACCACAGGCTCTGGGCTGCAGCTGGGTGTTCTCATCCTCCAGTGTGGATGGCTCACAGCAGAACTGAGTCCTAATAACCTCTTGTGAATGCTGCAGAACTCTCTCTCTGTCTCTCTGTCCCGCTCCCCCAACTGCTGCACGAGTCCAGAGATGCAGCTGGCCAGCACCACCCAGAAGGACCCCAAACAGAACAGCTGGCTGTCTTGGAACATTCCCGTGGCTCCCTCTGCCCTGTCCCTCTCACCGTGGCTCCTGGAAGTGCTCTATGGCCTATTGAAAGGATGCCCCTACAAAGCTTCCCCTGGTTCCCCCACCTGAAAAGTGATTTCTCCTCTTCCAAATTCCCACACACTTTATCTGAACCTTTTTGAAGACACCTGCCTCACTTGCTAGTTTGGCCAATGTTTATGGAGTTCTCTGCACTGGAGGCTGGGGGCACAATATAAGACATGGCTGGGCGGCAGCAAACATAGCATATGTGTGGCCAGGGCTGTCACTGAGACATGCAGGGACATGGGGATGATGGCTCTGCCTGGAGAAGGCTTCACAGAGAAAGTGACCACTGAACTGCCTGGGGACCTGGGGGCTTCCGGGCTCTGTCCCACTCTACTCTCTCACCACCCAGTGCCTTATATTGGAGTTCTCTCCTGGGGCCAGAGCATTGCTCAAAGCATGGTCCACATCCACTCCATCTCCCTGCCACCCTGACACCTGCACACCCAGAACAGAGTCAGCACTCACAGCATAAATGAATGGATAAAATACAGCAAAAAGAACAAATTGCTTTCTGTCCTCTTCCCCCAGCAACTTGAGATCTTCTAGAGACCCAGGAGTATGTTGCTTCTACTTCAGGCTGGGGAGAGGCGAGCTCCCCAAAACGATAGAGGAGATGAAGATATCAACCAGCCAAATTCCTGTTCACAATCAGCCTGTTGTGAGCTCTCCTGGGGGATCAGCAGTGGCTGGGAGGTTGGATGTGTGATAGGATGGGGTGGGTTTATGGAGAGTGTTTGTTCCAGACATGACACAGGGGAAAGGCTCACAGGGTTCAACCTGATGAGCAGGTGCAAAAGATAAGGCCCCTATTAAAGCTAATTTGCTAAGATTTTGATTTTAGCAAAAACAAATGATCAGTTTTTTGGATGTCTCAAATATGTTTGATATTTTTGGAGAGGTTCCAAGATGGCCGAATAGGAACAGCTCCAGTCTACAGCTCCCAGCGAAGCAGAAGACAGGTGATTTCTGCATTTCCAACTGAGGTACCGGGTTCATCTCACTGGGGCTTGTCAGACAGTGGGAGCAATACAGTGGATGCAGCCCACAGAGCATGAGCTGAAGCAGGGTGAGCATCACCTCACCCAGGAAGCACAAGGGGCCAGGGAATACTTTTCATAGCCAAGGGAAGCCGTGACAGACGGCACCTGGAAAATCAGGTCACTCCCACCCTAATACTGTGCTTTTTCAGTGGTCTTAGCAAACAGCACACCAGGAGATCATATCCCGTGCCTGGCTCGGACAGTCCCACACTCACAGAGCCTCGCTCACTGCTAGCACAGCAGTGTGATATCAAACTGCACGGCGGCAGTGAGGCTGGGGGCAGGGTGCCCGCCATTTCTGAGGCTTGAGTAGGTAAACAAAGCAGCCAGGAAGCGCGAACTGGGTGGAGCCCACCACAGCTAAAGGAGGTCTGCCTGCCTCGGTAGACTCCACCTCTGTGGGCAGGGCATAGCTGAACAAAAGGCAGCAGAAACTTCTGCAGGCTTAAGCGTCCCTGTTTGACAGCTTTGAAGAGAGTAGTGGTTCTCCAAGCACGGAGTTTGAGATCTGAGAACTGACAGACTGCCTCCTCAAGTGGGTCCTTGACCCCCAAGCAGCCTAACTGGGAGGTACCTCCCAGCAGGGGCCAACTGACACCTCATACAGCCAGGTGCCCCTCTGAGACAAAGCTTCCAGAGGAACAATCAGGAACCAACATTTGCCATTCTGCAATATTTGCTGTTCTGCAGCCTCCGCTGGTGACACCCAGGCAAACAGGGTCTGGAGTGGACCTCCAGCAAATTCCAACAGACCTGCAGCTGAGGGTCCTGACTGTTAGAAGGAAAACTAACAAACAGAAAGGACATCCACGCCAAAACTCCATCTGTACGTCACCATCATAAAAGACCAAAGGTAGATAAAACCACAAAGATGGGGAGAAGCCAGAGCAGAAAAGCTGAAAACTCTAAAAATCAGAGCACCTCTTCTCCTCCAAAGGAACGCAGCTCCTCACCAGCAACGGAACAAAGTTGGATGGAGAATGACTTTGACGAGTTGAGAGAAGAAGGCTTCAGATGATCAGTAATAACAAACTTCTCCGAGCTAAAGGAGTTTGTTCAAACCCATCGCAAAGAAGCTAAAAACTTTGAAAAAAAGATTAAATGAATGGCTAACTAGAATAGACAGCATAGAGAAGACCTTAAATGACCTGATGGAGCTGAAAACCATGGCACGAGAACTACATGACTCATGCACAAGCTTCAGTAGCCAATTTGATCAACAGGAAGAAAGGGTAGCAGTGATTGCAGATCAAATGAATGAAATGAAGTGAGAAGAGAAGTTTAGAGAAAAAAGAGTAAAAAGAAATGGACAAAGCCTCCAAGAAATATGGGACTATGTGAAAAGACCAAATCTAAGTCTGCTTGGTGTACATGAAAGTGAGGAGGAGAATGGAACCAAGCTGGAAAACAGTCTGCAGGATATTATCCAGGAGAACTTCCCCAATCTAGCAAGGCAGGCTAACATTCAAATTCAGGAAATACAGAGAGGGCCACAAAGATACTCCTCGAAAAGAGCAACTACAAGACACATAATTGTCAGATTCACCAAAGTTGAAATGAAGGAAAAAATCTTAAGGGCAGCCAGAGAGAAAGCTCAGGGTACCCACAAAGGGAAGCCCATCACACTAACAGAGGATCTCTTGGCAGAAACTCTACAAGCCAGAAGAGAGTCGGGGCCAATATTCAACATTCTTAAAGAAAAGAATTTTCAACCCAGAATTTCATATCCAGCCAAATTAAGCTTCATAAGTGGAGGAGAAATAAAATCCTTTACAGACAAGCAAATGCTGAGAGATTTTGTCACCACCAGGCCTGCCTTACAAGAGCTCCTGAAGGAAGCACTAAACATGGAAAGGAACAACCGTTACCAGCCACTACAAAAACATGCCAAACTGTAAAGACCATTGATGCTAGGAAGAAACTGCATCAACTAACGAGCAAAATAACCAGCTAACATCATAATGACAGGATCAAATTCACACATAACAATATTAACCTTAAATGTAAATGGGCTAAATGCTCCAATTAAAAGACACAGACTGGCAAATTGGATAAAGAGTCAAGACCCATCAGTGTGCTGTATTCAGGAGACCTATCTCAGGTGGAGAGATACACATAGGCTCAAAATAAAGGGATGAAGGAAGACCTACCAAGCAAAAGGAAAGCAAAAAAAAGCAGTGCTTGCAATCCTAGTCTCTGATAAAACAGACTTTAAACCAACAAAGAACAGACGCGACAAAGAAGGCCATTACATAGTGGTAAAGGGGTCAATTCAACAAGAAGAGCTAACTATCCTAAATATATATGCACCCAATACAGGAACACCCAGATTCATAAAGCAAGTCCATAGAGACCTACAAAGAGACTTAGACTCCCACACAATAATAATGGGAGACTTTAATACCCCACTGTCAACATTAGACAGATCAATAAGACAGAAAGTTAACAAGGATATCCAGCTCTGCACCAAGCAGACCTAATAGACATCTACAGAACTCTCCACCCCACATCAACAGAATATGCATTCTTCTCAGCACCACGTCACATTTATTCCATCACATTTATTCCAAAAATTACCACATAGTTGCAAGTAAAGCACTCCTCAGCAAATGTAAAAGAACAGAAGTTATAACAAACTGTCTCTCAGACCACAGTGCAATCAAACTAGAACTCAGGATTAAGAATCTCACTCAAAACCACTCAACTACATGGAAACTGAACAACCTCCTCCTGAATGACTACTGGGTACATAATGAAATGAAGGCAGAAATAAAGATGCTCTTTGAAACCAATATGAACAAAGACACAACATACCAGAATCTCTGGGACACATTCAAAGCAGTCTGTAGAGGGAAATTTATAGCACTAAATGCCCACAGGTGAAAGCAGGAAAGATCTAAAATTGACACCCTAACATCACAATTAAAAGAACTAGAGAAGCAAGAGCAAACACATTCAAAAGCTAGCAGAAGGCAAGAAATAACTAAGATCAGAGCAGAACTGAAGGAGATAGAGACACAAAAAACCCTTCAAAAAATCAATGAATCCAGGAGCTGGTTTTTTGAAAAGATTAACAAAATTGATAGACCACTAGCAAGACTAATAAAGAAGAAAAGAGAGAAGAATCAAATAGACGCAATAAAAAATGACAAAGGGGATATCACCACCGATCCCACAGAAAGACAAACTACCATTAGAGAATACTGTAAACACTTCTATGCAAATAAGCTAGAAAATCTAGAAGAAATGCATAAATTCCTGGACACATACACCCTCCCAAGACTAAACCCAGAAAAAGTTGAATTCCTGAATAGACCAATAACAGGTTCTGAAATTGAGGCAATAATTAATAGCCTACCAACCAAAAAAAGTCCAAGACCAGATGAATTCACAACCGAATTCTACCAGAGCTACAAAGAGGAAATGGTACCATTCCTTCTGAAACTATTCCAATCAATAGAAAAAGAGGGAATCCTCCCTAACTCATTTTATGAGGCCAGCATCATCCTGATACCAAAGCCTGGCAGAGACACAACAAAAAAAAAGAGAATATTAGACCAATATCCCTGATGAATATCAGTGGGAAAATCCTCAATAAAATACTGGCAAACCAAATCCAGCAGCACATCAAAAAGCTTATCCACCGTGATCAAGTGGGCTTAATCCCTGGGATGCAAGGATTCAACATACGCAAATCATTAAATGTAATCCGTCATATAAACAGAACCAAAGATAAAATCCACATGATTATCTCAATAGATGCAGAAAAGGCCTTTGACAAAATTCAACAGCCCTTCATGCTAAAAACTCTCAATAAATTCGGTATTGATGGGACACATCTCAAAATAATAAGAGCTATTTATGACAAACCCACAGCCAGTATCATACTAAATGGGCAAAAACTGGAAGCATTCCCTTTGAAAACTGGTGCAAGACAGGGATGCCCTCTCTCACTACTCCTATTCAACATAGTGTTGGAAGTTCTGGCCAGGGCAATCAGGCAGGAGAAAGAAATAAAGGGTATTCAATTAGGAAAAGAGGAAGTCAAATTGTCCCTGTTTGCAGATGACATGATTGTATATCTAGAAAATCCCATCGCCTCAGCCCAAAATCTCCTTAAGCTGATAAGCAACTTCAGCAAAGTCTCAGGATACAAAATCAATGTACAAAAATCACAAGCATTCTTATACAACAATAACAGACAAACACAGAGCCAAATCATGAGTGAACTCCCATTCACAATTGCTTCAAAGAGAATAAAATACCTAGGAATCCAACTTACAAGGGATGCGAACAACCTCTTCAAGGAGAACTACAAACCACTGCTCAACGAAATAAGAGAGGACACAAACAAATGGAAGAACATTCCATGCTCATGGATAGGAAGAATCAATATTGTGAAAATGGCCATACTGCCCAAGGTAATTTGTAGATTCAATGCCATCCCCATCAAGCTACCAATGACTTTCTTCACAGAATTGGGAAAAAACTACTTTAAAATTCATATGGAACCAAAAAAGAGCCCTCATTGCCAAGACAATCCTAAGCCAAAAGAACAAAGTGGGAGGCATCACACTACCTGACTTCAAACTATACTACAAGGCTACAGTAATCAAAACAGCATGGTACTGGTACCAAAACAGAGGTATAGAGCAATGTAACAGAACAGAGCCCTCAGAAATAATACCACACAACTACAACCATCTGATCTTTGACAAACCTGACAAAAACAAGAAATGGGGAAAGGATTCCCTATTTAATAAATGGTGCTGGGAAAACTGGCTAACCCATATGTAGAAAGCTGAAACTGGATCCCTTCCTTACACCTTACACAAAAATTAAATCAAGATGGATTAAAGACTTAAATGTTAGACCTAAAACCATAGAAACCCTAGAAGGAAACCTAGGCAATACCATTCAGGACATAGGCATGGGCAAAGACTTCATGTCTAAAACACCAAAAGCAATGGCAACAAAAGCCAAAATTGACAAATGGGATCTAATTAAACTAAAGAGCTTCTGCATAGCAAAAGAAACTACCATCAGAGTGAACAGGCAACCTACAGAATGGGAGAAAATTTTTGCAACCTACTCATCTGACGAAGGGCTAATATCCAGAATCTACAATGAACTCAAACAAATTTACAAGAAAAAAACAAACAACCCCATCAAAAAGTGGGCAAAGGATATGAACAGACACTTCTCAAAAGATGACATTTATGCAGCCAAAAGACACATGAAAAAATGCTCATCACTGGCCATCAGAGAAATGCAAATCAAAACTACAATGAGATACCATCTCACACCAGTTAGAATGGCGATCATTAAAAAGTCAGGAAACAACAGATGCTGGGGAGGATGTGGAGAAATAGGAACAGTTTTACACTGTTGGTGGGACTGTAAACTAGTTCAACCATTGTGGAAGACAGTGTGGCGATTCCTCAAGGATCTAGAACTAGAAATACCATTATATGACCCAGCCATCATATTACTGGGTATATACCCAAGGGATTATAAATCATGCTGCTATAAAGACACATGCACACGTATGTTTATTGCAGCACTATTCACAATAGCAAAGACTTGGAACCAACCCAAATGTCCATCAATGATAGACTGGATTAAGAAAATGTGGCACATATACACCATGGAATACTATGCAGCCATAAAAAAGGATGAGTTCATGTCCTTTGTAGGGACACGGATGAAGCTGGAAACCATCATTCTCAGCAGACTATCGCAAGGATAGAAAACCAAACATCACATGTTCTCACTCATAGGTGGGAATTGAACAATGAGAACACCTGGACACAAGAAGGGGAACATCACACATCAGGGCCTGTCGTGAGGTTGGGGCAGCGGGGAGAGATAGCATTAGGAGATATACCTAATGTAAATGACGAGTTAATGGGTGCAGCACACCAACATGGCACATGTATACATATGTAACAAGACTGCACGCTGTGCACATGTACCCTAGAACTGAAAGTATAATAATAATTTTTGTAAAAACGTTAATTATCTAATACAGATTATATAATTAATTTAATAAAGAACCTCAATACAAAAAAAGAAATTTATATGTATTCTCTATGGTCAGGCACAAATTTATGAATGCACGTGTATATAAATAAATTTAAGTGTGTCCTTCAAATATTTTGTATCAGGAATCAGCAAATTATGGTCTTAAAGCCAAATCCAGCTGGCCAACCAATTCTGGAGATTAGTGTTTACTAGAAACAGCTGTCTTCATCCACGGGGCCCTTATGTCCAGGGCTGCTTCTGGGCTGTGGCAGCATCTGCCCGCCCTGCTCTGCACCATTACTGGTGTTTTGTTATCTGACGACTCTGTTGAGTTCCTGGGCAGACTCTGCCAGAAACTGCCAAGTGATATAAATTTGTCAGTTTTCATTAATTTATTTCAATGTTTGCTTTGTATAATTCAATATTATGTTCTTGTGTATATAAGGATAAGACTATTGCCAGGTGCAGTGGCTCACAACTGTAATCCCAGCACTTTGGGAGGCCGAGATGAGTGGATCGCTTGAGGTCAGGAGTTCGAGACCAGCCCGGCCAACATGATGAAACCCCATTTCTATTAAAAATACAAAAATTAGCTGGATATAGTGGCAGGCGCCTATAATCCCAGCTACTCAGAAGGCCGAGGCAGGAGAATCGCTTGAACCTAGGAGGAGGAGATTGCAGCGAGCCAAGATGACACCACTGCACTCTAACCTGGGCTGCAAGAGCAAAAGTGTGTCTCATAAAAAAGAAAAAACAAGAAAGAAAAAAAAGATAAGACTATTGCATCTTGGTGACTTGCACACTAATCAATAGGAAATATTCTTCTTTTTCATTTAATCCCTTTTCTTAGAATTCTTTGTTGTCTTGTATTAATATTGTTGTCCCTGATTCCTTTTGTATTGCATTTCTTCTGTTCCTTTTTTTTATAAACAGTGATGATATGTAACTCAAAATGAATCATAGACCTACATGCAAAACATAATATTACAAAACTCCTAGATGGTAGCATAAGAGGAAATTTGATCATCTTGGTTTTGGTGATGACTTTTTAGATGCAACACCAAGGCACAATCCATGAAAGAAATAATTCATAAGCTGGACTTCTTTAAAATTTAACATTTCTGCTTTGTGAAAGATATTGTCAAGAGAATGAAAAGATAAGCCACAGACTGGGAGAAAATATTTACAAAAGACATATCAGACTTTGTATGTTATCCAAAACGTACAAAGAACTCTTAAAACTCAGAGATAAGAACACAAACCAAACAATTAGAAAATGGGCCAAAGACCTTAACAGACATCTCATCAAAGAAGATACAGAAGGTGACAAATAAGCATATCAGCTGATGCTCCACATCATATGTCCTCAAGGAAATGCAAATTAAAACAACAATGAGATACCAGTACACACTTATGAGAATGCCCAAAATCTGGAACACTGACAGCACCAAATGCTAAAGAAGGATGTGGAGCAACAGGAACTCTCATTCATTGATGGCAGGAACACAAAATAGTACAGCCACTTGGGAAGACAGTTTGGTGCTTTCTTAAAAAACTAAACATACTCTTACCATAGGATCCAGAAATCACACTCTTCGGGATTTACCCAAAAGAACTGAAAGCTTATGTCCACACAAAAACCTGCATACACATGTATATGAACACATTGCACAGTGGTGAAGTCCGGGCTTTTAATGCAGCCATCCTAAATAACACGCATTGTACCCACTAAGAAATGTCTCCTCCTTCACCCACCACCTGACCTCCTGCTCTTCACTGTCTCCAGTGTCTATGATTCTACTCTCTCTCTACCTCCATCTGTATGCATGATGTACCTCCCACTTACACATGAGGGTGCACAGTGTTTGACTTTCTTTTTCTGAGTAATTTCACTTAAGATAATAGCCTCCAGTTCCATCCATGTTGCTGCAAAAGTCATCATTTCATTCTTTTTATGGTTGAGTAGTATTCGTCTGTGTGTGTGTGTATGTGTGCGTTTGTGTGTGTGTTTGTGTGTGTGTGCGTGTGTGTGTGTGTGTGTATCTTTTGCCGCTAAAAGTAATATTGCCGTCATATGGGAAACTGGGAGAGGGAGAAACAGGTCCCCCTGGTTACATAAGAACTGACAGAGAAGGAAGTTGAAGAAAGATGATGGGTGGAGAAAATAGGTCCCACCTAGGGAGACATCACATCAGCTCTATGGAGCCCCAGAGTGCTTAAAGGGCTGGCACTAAATGAACCAGGACCTCTTGCGGCCTACAAGGAACATTGTAAGGGGGTAGCAGAAAAAGTCCATTTCAGTGATTCATCATCTCCTTTTCCTCACCATGCCCCAGGGACTCCTGTGCCTTCCCAACCCTCTTGCCCCTACCTGGTTCAGGCTTTCCACAGCAGGTTAGGGCACATTATAGCCAAGGGCACAACTCCCAACTCCTACACAGGCTGTTTTGCATAGGAGGAGGAAAAACACTGAAGACTTTCTGGGAAGTTAGTGCCATGGGGCAGGAAAGAACTTTTCCCACTCCCTACCTCCAGGCTCATTCCATGGGGCGGGGGGGGCGGGGGTCACTCCACCACTCAACCTAGATAGTGAGGCCCCTGACCCCAGTCCCCCCACCTAAATCCAGGGCTTCTGTGAGGGGCTGACCAATGGTTAGCAATGAAGTAATCCTGCTTCCCTCCCTGGACTTTGAGTTCCCATAGGGCAGACCCTGATGCAACCCAAGACCTATAGCACAGGGGATAAGAGTAAGGATTTGATTCAGGCTTTTCTTTGTTCGTGTGATGATTTGTTGTGTTTACTAGCTGAGTAAACTTGGGAACATCTCAACTTCTCCTTTCCTAAAATAGAGATTGCAGCACCTGCTTCTTAAGACTATGAGGGGAGGGTTGAGGAGGATGCAAGAGCAGCAGGTGTCTTGATGTCTAGACATTAAAACGCTCAGTAAGCGGTGGGGGTCATAGAACAGGCTGTCACAACAAATGTGTGGAAGTACTGGGGGAGGGAATAAACAAGACCATGCTGCCTTTGGGAGTCTGAAACTCCATTCTCTTTGGGTCCAGAGGCCCAGTGCTCTTTTCTCCCATTTCCTGACCTGTTACTACACATGTACCGCTGCCTTACCCTCAAATCAAGATTGAGCCAGAGAAGGCCCCAGGTGAGGTCTCTGGGGTGGGGTGGGACCTGGTGACCTGGGACCCTGGCCAGAAATCCTGAGCACAGCCTCCTGGGTGTGTCCCACACACCTGATATGGGACAAGCCTCCAAGAAACAGATGACAGAGGTGGCCCCAGGCCTCCCAACCCGTGGGAAGAGCCAGGCTGAGCCTTATAAAGGACTGCTCTTTGTCCAAACACACACATCTCACTCATCCTTCTACTCGTGACACTTCCCAGTTCTGGTAAGTCTCACCTGCCTCTTTGCATTTTCTAGAAGTGCCCAGTGCCCAGCCTGCCATGCTGCCTGTAGGAAGGGAAAGGGCTGTGGACAAAGTCTCAGAAGCCTGGGTCTAGGCCAGCTCTGCCATTAGCTGGGCTGTGTGACCTTCACTTGACCCCAAAAGCCCACGTCTGTACAACCAGGTGGCTGAACCAGACCTGTCCATTGCTCCTTTGGGATCTCCTGAGACAACTCCTGTGGAAATGTCCCCAGTGGGACCTGAGCACAGGACCCTCCCTTTCCTTCCTGTCTTCTTCCTCCCTGGATTCATTCTCCTTTTGGGATCCCAGTTGCTGAATCCCCTCCCCAGCTCTGCCCCCACAGAGGGAGGAGGGATAAGGATCCCCTGTGAATGCTTTGGAGGCTCTCCAAACCCCCAGGCCTTGGACCTGTAAATTCTCAGTCAATCTCTGGGCACAGGGCTTGGCCTCTGGCCTTGGCCTTGGCCTCAGATTCAGAAAGCTTTGAGTGGCTTCTCTTAGTCAGTTGCTGGCACGGAGCTTTCTCCTGCGTTGAGAGGTGTTGGGGGTTTATTGTCAGATGCCCACATGCGTTAGCCAAGGTCCTTTTCTGGTTCTTTGGAAAGTGTAGAAATGAGAGCTGCACTGTCTTATTTTTCAGGCTTGGGGTGCAGGGCAGCCCAGGCTGGCTACTGGCTGGAAGATCTGCTTTGGAAAGTCAGACATTTTTATTTAAACAGGGTCAACCCTTGGTGATTCAGAGGGTGCAGATATTTCCCAAGAGCAGACATGAAGCGACTCCCACCTCACTCCCACCCCATCCAGCAGCTTAAGAACCAGGGAGTTATTTCTGTTCCTTGTAACAGAGGCAATTCTTGTTTCTCATTCCCAAGGGAATGTAGGAAGGGCCCCCTGTCCTCGGGAGAGGGCTGTGTTTCCTGCTCACACTCATGTCCACGCTCACATGTGCACCTGGAGCCTGCACGCACTGTGTCATGCAGGGCTTGCACTTGAGTCAAGGTGGGGCCCACGGTGTCTGGTTCCTGAAGCAGCCGAGGAGGGTCAGACACCAGATCACCAAGGCCATTGTCCTGCCCCCGTGACTCTCACCCCGACTGTGAAGCTGGAGGAGATGGATTTGGTGCTGTTTCAAGAGTGGGGTCCGCCATGTGCTGGTTGAGGCTGGGGGGTCCCAGCTTAGTTCTTCTATGTGTTGCTGGCCTCCGACTCTCCCTGCTTCTCCTTCTCTGAAGCACTGTCCACAGCTGGACTTCTGCCATCCACCTGCATCTCTTCTTGGCCCTGGCCAGGATGGGCCGGGTCTCAGACTTGGTCCTACCCTCTCATTTTTGAACAACTTATCCCATCACATTTAAAAAAATCAAGTTCCTTCTGCTCCATCTTAGGGCTGTTTTTACTCTGTCCTCAGCCCTCCTTCTAACACCCCCACATAGAGACCTTAATTCAAACTAAGGTAAGAAATGATTGTCTTTATTTCCTGAAGGCTTTTTGAAAGCAAAGATGAGCAACACTCAAGCTGAGAGGTCCATAATAGGCATGATCGACATGTTTCACAAATACACCGGACGTGATGGCAAGATTGAGAAGCCAAGCCTGCTGACGATGATGAAGGAGAACTTCCCCAATTTCCTCAGTGCCTGTGTGAGTTGGGGTCTAGCTTCTCAATGTTGGTTGGACCCTGGCATGGCTGAGGATACATTTTGCTATGTGGCCTTGGACAGGTCACCCTCATCCTCTGATTAAAAAGTTTCCCATTTGCAAATAGGGCTTTATTGCTTGGATCATATGTGAATCTAAGGATGGTAGGCGAAAAAGTATGAAAATGGGAAAGAGTTATACAGATATAAAGGAGGTTATTAGATGGTCAGCAAAGTGTGCAGCTTGAGGACAGTGCACAGTCCCCTCCCAGCGCTCACTGACCCTCTCTCTGTGAGACTGAAACTCACATGCTCAGGTCCTGCTTCCCAAAGGCCCCACATCAACATCCCTGAGATTACTGGGAAAGCACTAGAAGTTCCATTGCTAGTAGAAATCAATAGCCCTCTTTGCAATAAAGAAAACTCATTGGCAAATCTGAAAAAACCTGTGGGCTACTAGGTACCAAAGGGTCTAGATGACCAAGAGTAGGGAACCCAGAAGATGAGTTTGGTGGAAAAGGAGAAGAAAGGAGAGGAGGTCAGAGAAAGAAGAGAACAAAGCATGAGGGCCAATTTTGAGGCCCTGGGGTAGAACTAAGGTAGGCAGTGCCCTTAAATGCTGGGAACAGGCAAGATTGAGGCTGGGGCAGGGGACTGCTCTCCCCAAGGTCACTTAACAGAGTGCCTCGGGACAGGACCTGCCTCCCATCCTGAGGTGTGAGACAAAAAGTCTCCTTAGAGAACTCCAGGGATAACACTCACGTCCTCACCCCAACTTCACCCACTCACCCTGTGCTCTCAGCCCCACGACCATGCCTGTGCAGATCTAGGTACTTGTCTGTATCTCTGCCTCCTCCTCTCCCCTCCCAGCCCAAAACTTGTTTGTGATTGAATTTTTCTATTTTGTATGTTTTTCTCTTCACAGGACAAAAAGGGCATACATTACCTCGCCACTGTCTTTGAGAAAAAGGACAAGAATGAGGATAAGAAGATTGATTTTTCTGAGTTTCTGTCCTTGCTGGGAGACATAGCCGCAGACTACCACAAGCAGAGCCATGGAGCGGCGCCCTGTTCTGGGGGAAGCCAGTGATCCAGCCCCACCAAGGGGCCTCCAGAGACCCCAGGAACAATAAGTGTCTCCTCCCACCAGACACTTGCCTTATTTCTTCTTCTCTTTGGTGACCTACATTGTCAAAACTACCAATTCCAGGTTAACTTTGTTGGAGAATTTCCCCCACCCCCATCCAGTGGGTCACCCAGGAGTAATGTCCCTCCAGCAACGTTCCCCCTATGGCCTCCAGCAGAGCTGATCTGCCTCTCACACAGGTCCTGGTGTCTGCCTCTGCACCGTTCCCTAAATGCAGCCACCTTGGCAGGTTCCAGGTGGAAGTTGGTAGAAGGCCCCTGCCAGGTCACAGCAATGCTCTCCTTGTCAAGGCATGGACCAGGGTCATTCAGACACATTCAGATACTGCACTGAGAAGGAGCTGGCATCTCTCAGTGTGCTCCTGCCCTCCCACTCCTGCCCCAGCTGTTCTCCAGGGCTTGGGGAAACAGAAACCACTCACATAGGGATTCCTGGATGGCTTCAGGTTCAGCGCCCTTGGGGCTATGAATGGGAGGCTCAGCAGTGCCCTGAGGATGGGCTTCCTTGTCCTGTGGCCTCTGCTCCAGGGGCAGTGTCCTTTCCCTGTGCTGTGTGCTTGTGTGCATGTGCCTATGTGGGTGACCCTGTGGAAGTGAGAAGGAGTCACTGTGATGCTTAGCTGTCCTAAATGATGGTTTGCTCAATGCCAGGACTGGGTTTCTGGTGATGAATGAATATTCCAGATTTTGAGGAGCTCTAAGTGGTCCAGGAGTCCAAGTAAGCAGTCTGGCTGGAATAAGGCAGCATCACGGAAATTCTGTAAGGACTGACACAGAGAGCTCATGCTGACTGTGATGAGAAATTGCAGCACCTCTATCTCGCAGGTAATGGAGTAGTTTGTTATTGGTAGTCTACTCCAGGCCAGGCAGTGTGTTATGGGCTGAGGATGCAGAAACAGGCAGGACACAGTGCTGTCCTAGCAGTGCACTGGCGGGTCTCTCCATGCAGGCCACAACACAGGGTCAGTGTTCACCTGGTGTCACTTCCAGGCAATGTTCTGTGCAGCCGCTCTTAGTATTCTTCCTTGAGGCTCACATCATGTGTCCCTATCACTCTTACTACTCTGGTCAGTCTCCAGCTAACCTCTCAATCAGGCAAACATTCTTCTTGGAGGAATCAGGCAAACATCTCAAAAATTCTCTTTCCATCCTACCAGCAGCAGTGTGTAAGATGGGCTATTTGTTCTTTGGAATGACTGCTCCACTCCACACTCACACCTCTATTCACAGACCAGCATCTCCTCTCCTTATCAGGAACATTCCTTCCTGAACATATTCTGCACCTCGTCAGCCTTCAGGACTGATCTGCCATTTTCACCTCTAAATCCCCATGTCTGACCATTAGTTTTCTTCTCTTTCCTTCTCTCCCTTTCTCATTCTCATTCCACCTGTTCTTGGAACTCACGGAGACCTACAGTCCCTGGGCTTTCATTTTCTCCTCCCAGCCCCCTGCTGCCTTCTCTATGCAGCCTGCCCTCCATCATCCACCCCAGAATTGCTCTCTTTCCTCTCTTAGCTCTGTTGCCCACTTTCCTTGGGCCATACCTTCCCTGCAGATCTCCAGCCCAGAACCATCTTCCCCTGTTGTCCTCCTCTCTCCTCCACCGGGACTGCTGGTCACTGCTTAGAACCGTCATGCCAGGGTCCCAAAAGTGTGGGTGCCTGACTTCCTCTCTGTGCAGCACTCTCTGAATCCCTCCTATTCACCTTGCTGCTGTTATTCCCCGAATGCGCAACATACCCCCCATCAATATATCTCAGTATTTCATGTCTCAATACCAATCTTTTAAACTACTGCCTCTACCAGAAATGTCTTTTAATACTTCTTCTGTCTCATTAACATTACATTTCAAGGCTGAGCTTTAATGTCAGTGTCTCTTAGACATTCAGAGGGTGAACCACCATCCCTTCACCCCAAAGAAATGATCTCTGCTTCATTTGTGCCTCCCTCACCATGACCCCACTCTTACCATAGTGGCTACATTACTTCAGATTCCCCTAATGTCTTTCCAGCCAGACTTGGAATCATGGAGGGAAAACATTGTTACCTCGGATCTCCTGGTTACCCAGCACATAGTAGTACTGGATTCCAGCTCATAATAAGTACTCTATATCATTTTTCAATATAAAATGTATTTGTGCAAATTCTAGTCAATACTACTTTATGTAAACAGCAGTGTAAAATCCAAAAACTTCCAGTCCTGGAGGCAGGTTGTGCAGCTTAGGGGAGGACCCCAGAATCTGGACCCCAGAGTCTGGAAGCAGGCCAGAAAGGATAAGGCAAATGACTGAACAGTTCCCTCAGGACTCACGTACTGATCTCCCAAAAGAAGAGAGGGTCTCCCTGGGGTGGGGTTGCTGGACCTTCAATCCATCGCTACAGTCCAGAAGGCAATTGGCCACTCCTAATGTGGGCCTGCCCTCCCTTTATTTTTCCAGTTCTTATTTCACCTGATAATATTCCGTCCAATTGGCAATGGCACATAAAAATTAGGATGGAGTGTGTGGACAAATACTTCTTCATCTTCTTGTCTAGGTTTTAGAAATCACCTTCTCAAGGGAGCCTTGTCTAATGTTCCTGAGACTATTTCACACTCTCCATGCTTATGTCAATGCAGGACTCATCACATCTATTCGGATATTCTGTTTACACACCCATGTCATCCCAGAGAGGTGATCACAGGGCAGGGACACATGTGTGGCATACAGTTCCTAGTTAAGATCCCAAATCCTGAGATATTGCTGATTTGCTATGGCAGGTCGTCAAGAGAACTGTGTCATTCCAAACTCACCAAGGTGGCTTATAGAACAGAAGCAGATGGATATGAAGAGGAGAGGGGACCAGACCATCTCCGCAACCACAGCCCAGAGCTCCAGTCACCAGATAGAAAATTGATTTGATTTCATCCAATATTCCTTCGAAAGAGTGTCAAGGAATAGGGTGGGGCAATGTGTCATTCTGCATTGGAAGGAGGACATTTTAGAGCAAGGCCTAAGGGCACAGGTATTAGTGTCATATTGATCAGAATTCAACCTTTGTTCTAACACATACTAGAGCAAGAATTTACTTGATTTGGAATAATTAATAGCTACTGGACATTATATTGGTACTAAAGAGAAAGAATACTTGACAGCTCTATGCCCACACTCACATTACAGCTGATGTGAAAGAGATTCTGGAAATCCAAATGTTCCCCAGAAATTCTGATATCAAAACATTCCAATAACTTTTTTTTTTCAGGCGCAGTCTCACTCTGTCGCCCGGGCTGGAGTGCTGTGAGCTGTCCGTGGTGCTGAATTCACTGTGACGTCACTCCTGTCTCTCTTTGCTTTCTTCTGACTGACATTTATTCAGCCTTCTCTACAGGAATCTCTTATGTTCCCCCACATGCAGGTGGTTTTTCAGTAGGCTCCTGAAGAGTGATCTCAACTTTCCAGGAAGAAAAGAGGGCAAAGGGAACAATGTGAAAAGAAGCAGAAAATCATAAAAGACCATGTGTTTGATAAACAACCAGATTGTTTCTGGTTCCCTGCCACTATAAAAACACCATGAGAGCATACTCATACATGTTCCCTTATAAATCTGCGAGGTAGTTTCTTTGGTATTCTTGCCCAGGAAATGGGTTGATTCATCACAGATTTTATATATATACTTTTTTTTAACTAAGTGTGAGATAATATCTTATTGTTTTTGTAACTTGCATTTTACAAGAGTTCTGACCAGCACCAGATAAGCTTCAGTGCTCTCCTTTCTTTGGCCTTAATATTATTGGATTAAAGAATTACTGCCTCTCACTAGGAGCATCATTTATTTACCATTATTTTCAATTTCATATTAAAACTCAATTTCTAGTAGAGTCTTTGGTTTCCTTGGTTTATTTTTCTATTTAAATATTTTTTATCTTTTATTATTCTTTACCATGTTTTGAAGTAAATTAAAGCAGTTAATATGAGCCAATCAACTTCTTTGGGAATTACATAGAAGAGCATGAGAGCCTTTATTTCAGGCAATGCAACAACGTAACTTTAAAGAAATTTAAAGTGGAACTCCAACTCATATCCACATTGCTCTATGCACAGTTAGCATTATTACATCCGAGCTACATTTACTTCATAATCTGCTGCCACAGTATTTGTCTACCCACTTCTCCACGAATACCTTCCCTAACCTCATATTGCCTCCCACTCCTTAACACCACAAACAATACTATGGGGAACATCATTATATATATTTCCTTATGTATCTGTGTGAATATTTTTTGGAATATATATATATATATTCCAAAAAGTAGACTACCTGGGACACAGACTCTATGTGCTCTTGGCTTGACTATTGTTTTCTTACCAACAGTACCAAGAGTTCCTATAGCTCAGCATTACTGCCAATATGTCTGCTTCTGGTTATGGAATACTTTCATAGCAGACTAATTATCCTAACAAAACATAGAAAACGTGGATGAAAATCAGAAAATTTTCTGCTTCAAAGCATCAAAAAGCTACCAAGTAACCAGGACTTGAAGGCTCTGGTTATCCAAGAGAAAGAAGACTCGATCAATGCACTCAAAATTAAAGCTGCTTCTCTTCCTGAGGAATTTATCATTTCTCAAGTAGTTTGTACAAAGAAGTTAAAAACCAAACAGAAAGTAACTTCTAAGAGACAAAGAAGATTATTTGCGACTTTAATAGTCATTCAGGGCTGGTGAGATTAAAATCAGTGTTGAGGACTTCCAACACAGCCAGAACTTGAAAAGCCAAGAATTTAGATAAAAGAGAAGCAACAAATGGTGAGTTGATTACTCTAATTTTCTCCCTTTGAGGCATGCGTCTTTTCACAAGTTGCACAGGACAAGAGGTACAGACCATCAGAAAATCTTTGTTAAAAACCTAAATAGCTAGTAAGAGCCTTTAGGAGATAAACATCAAAGCTCAGAGGATTTCCAAGGTAGAGGTACCCTTCTAAACATTCCAGGATTTCAGTTAGAACACCTAAAGTGCTACTCCTAGGAATAAGTATATGGATCAGAAATATAAATCCTAAAATTTAGTTTTGAATCAACTTTATCCTAGATTGGATTTAAATGATCTGCTACTTGAATTCCTTTCCAGAAGCTAAAGAAAATTCTCTAGAGGGAGAGAAAATCATCCATATCCTGAAATAAAAAAAATTCATTTTTAATGTTCAGCATTCAAAAAAGCCAAGTACACCAACAGAGAAGATAAAAATAGGAAATGGAAATAAGAGAAGACAATAGAAGATGTAAACAAACCGAGAGATGATAAGCCAGGCACAGAAAGATAAATATCACATGTTTTCACTCATCTGTGGGAGCTAAAAAAAAAAAAAGTTGGTCTCATGGAGGTAGGGAGAATGATGGTTACTAGAGGCTGGGAAAGGTGAGTGGGTGGGGTGAAGGGAGATTGGCTAAACAAATAGAAACATCTAGCTATATAGAAGGAATAAGATCTAATGTTTTATGGCAGAATAGGGCAACTATAGTTAACAAGAGTGTATTGTATATTTCAAAATAGCTAGAAGAGAAGATTTCATATGTTCTCACCACATAGAAATGATAAATACTTGAGGTGATTGATGCCCTAAATACCATGACTTGATCATTATACATTCTGTGCATGTAACAAAATGTCACCCATGTACCCCATAAGTATGTAACAATATTAGACATCCATAAAAATTTTTTAAATACTGTAAATGGAAGCAGAGAATTGAGAAGATTGCAGAGGAGAGTGAAGTCAAAATAATTATTTAAGGTCAGACAAATAACAGTGTATTTGTATAGAATGAAAAGACCAGAAAACAGAAAAAAAATGATGGTGCATAAGAAAAAGAGGAGAATTTCTGTAGAGGGTGTTTGAAAAAAGCAAGGAGGATGGGATGTAGTGAAAGAGGATGGATAGACATCTGCTGGGAACATAAAAAGTTCATAGTAGTGGGGGGAAGGCAGAGTGTATGGCCACTGATTCTGATAAGAGGGTAGATGGGGTAATTGAAGTATGCAAATACTCTCTTATTTGTATTGAATGTGCAGTTGGATTAGTGGTCATGAATTTGAAGTGTGACCAGTCAACAAGGTAAGCACATTTTTCTCCAGACTTGTTTATCTGCAGAAGTGTAGACAGAGTTGGATTTACCCAGTGTTGGCAATGATCATTCATAGCTGATACAGAAGAAAAAGACACCCAGACATGTACTCTTGATAGTAGACAACCCCACATTTGAAGCAATCTGCTTTAAAAAACCTGAACCCTGAAGATGCTTAAGGCTCTAGATCTACCGAGTTACAAAGGGAAGAGAGAGGCTGAGTAATCTGTTCATTGACACCACATGGATGCAATCAGGAACTCCACACTGTAGGAAATTCTACAGGACAAATGACCCAGTTTCTACAACAACAACATCAAAATGAAAGGAGAAAAAGAAGAAATTGAGAGTGAAGCTGCACATTTAAAAATCTTGGCTGAGTGCAGTGTCTCACGCCTGTAATCCCAGCACTTTGGGAGACTGAGGCGGGTGGATCAAGTGGGTAATCCTAATTAAATATTTGTTAAATCAAAAATAATAATTCCTGGCCCTGCACAGTGGTTCACACCTCTAATCCTAGCACTTTGGGAGGCCAAGGTAGAGGATCCCTTCAGCCCAGCAGCTTGAGACTAACCAGGGCAACATAGTGAGACCTCCATCTCTACAAAAAATAAAAAATTAGCCAGGCATGGTGGCATGTGCCTGGAATCCCAGTTACATAAGAGGCTGAATCAGAAGGATTACTTGAGCTAAGAAGGTCGAGGCTGCAGTGAGCCATGACCCTCAGCCTGCTGCACTCCAGCCTCAGCAACAGAGCATGACCCTGTCTCAAATAATAATAATCATTCCGAAATAAGGGACATAATTTTTAAGGAGAGTTAAAAGGCTGAAAAAATAATAGCATACAAGCCAGAATGGGAGTCTCTGAATTTAAAGTGAATTATTTACATTGTTTAGGAGGAGAATAGAGATATTGATTAACTCTAGTCTAGTATATATTGCAAGTTAAAATTTCAAAGGTAACCACAAAAATTGTGTGCCTGTGTGTGTTTGTGTGTGTATGTCCAAACCTATAAAAGATGGGGATAACCACATAAAAAAGAACAAAATGTGGCTCACGTCTGTAATCCCAGCTCTTTGGGGGACCGAGGTGGGCACATTCCTTGAAGTCAGGATCCAGGCAGATCAGCTGGAGACCAGCCTGGACAACATGGCAAAACATTGTCTCTCCTAAAAATGCAAAAATTAGCCAGGCATGGTCGCAGCCACCTGTAATCCCAGCTACTTGAGAGGCTGAGGTAGGAGAATCACCTGAACCCAAGAGGCAGGGGTTACAATGAGCCAAGATCACACCACTGCATTCCAGCCTGGGCAACAGAACAAGACTCTGTCTCAAAAAAAGAAAAAAAAAGAAAAAAAAAGAAAGAAAGAACGAAGTAGCTAATCAAGAATCAACTGTGTTGCCAACATGCATATTTAAAGAGAAAAAGGAAAAGAACCCAGCAACCAGAGCAGGGGACCAGTTTACTGGCTCTTGGTGTCTGCTGAGCCAGGGCCTGGGTGGACAGCCCATGGGCTGGGCTGGGCTGAGATGGGGCTGGGTCATCCATAACCTTTAGAACAGGGCTTCTGGCCATGGGACTGATGGTGTAATTCCTTAGCAACTGCAGCAACACTGGAGACAAACTCAGAAAAATTGATCTTCTCCTCATGATTCTTGTCCTTCTTAAACAACTTTTCCAAGAAATCTGGGCTCTTTTTTTTTTTCCTGTGGGGAGAAGATATCAAACAAAAGGAAGGTTATAACCTGGGGCTGGACTGGGATTGTGAGAAGGAGATGGCAGAAGCTAAGGGGAAATATGTAGCGGGTGAGGTGGGGGTTTTAGGAGGGTGGGGTTGGGACAGCCGTAATGGATGGGATGGGGAGCCCTAACCCTGGCGTTTTAATTGGTGACTCTTGGTTCAAATGAGAGCATGCATAGCAGATCCAAAAATTCTGAGGCCAGGTCTGTCTGTGCCCCTTGGAATGCCTGATATTCATTCTACATGGGCAAACACCCTTTGGACTCCAGTCTCAAAATTCCCTCCACTCCTCATCATCCCATCAAAATACACCAATTCTGAATCCCCTCCTTGTCGGAGCTCACTCTCTGTGATTCAATCTGTTGCATTATTTGTGCCAGTGAGGTCAGTGGGTGCTAATGGTTTAATGGTGAAGTTAGATGTTATAGTGAGTGGAAATCAAAAACTCTCCAGGGTTTTAGGGCTGCCTCATTTCACTTGGCATTATGATTCTGTGGTGTCACTACTGCTCCCAGGGGTACATGAAAAGAAGCTTCCAGAAGGAGCAGACGAACCCAGAGTTGAATCTAAAGGGGGAAATTTTTTTACAGACAGAAGAGAGATACTTTAAGCCAGGAGACCTTCTCTCGACCCACAAGTCACATAGCCTGCTGACTGTCTAATAACAATCGTTAACACCACTATCCCTCTTCCCATCTTACAAAACATCGCACATGTTTTACCTCATTTAAATGTTCATAACAATCCCAGGAAATAAGTGACATTGTCCCCATTTTTACATCTAAGGTAACTAACACTCCCTGAGTTGGTGTTTACGTATTTGTAACAATGAAATAAGTAAACAGCAGGGGCTGTGCAGGAAATCGGTTCTTCTCACCCCATCCTGGACTCTGTCTACTGCCCACCTTCCATTCAGGAGTAGAGGTGCAGGTGGCTGGGGGGAGGTGTGAGATGCTCGCCAGCCTGCCACATCGGTGCCTCTCCATGTGCTGGTTCTCAGGCCAGTCAGGGCCATGGGTGCCGTGCACTCCTGCCCCACTCCCACCCAGCCGCTGGGTCCCTGCTCACAAGGCTGATAGGAAGGTGGGGGAAATGCATGACGTTGGACATCCAGATCTGCCCATGGCATCTGAATCTCGGGTGTATTTGTGACATAGGTTGAGCAAGCCCTTCAGCTGCTCCTCAGCTCCCATGTCCAGTAAGCTGCAGGAAAGGGCGCCGGTCGCCTGGCTTGCTTTCCAACGTCTAAGACTGTGGGGAACAGGGATGAGAGGAGACAGGATAGGCAGGGAATGGAGTGAGGGCCGGTGCTGCAGGGAAGGTGAGAGGCAGCCCTGAGAAGGAGCAAAAGGAATCTGATAATCCTTCAGTCCAGGTGAAATCCAGAGGAGGGAATAAATGTTTGAGGAGAGGGAGGGGAAGTCATGGAAATTGTAAGACCCAGGGTGGGATGTGTGGGCAGAGGGAGGAGGGGGTCGGCTGCAGGAGTGGAAGAATGAGGTGGTAGCGTCTGAGGGATCCTGAATTTAAGGTGCTGGGGAAAGTAGGAGTCCGCCTAGGGATCTATTACTGCTGAAATCAGCAGTGAGACCTTCCAGCAAAACACTGACATGAAGAAAGGCACGATCACCCCCTCGCTTTCCCAGAGCTCTGGGATCTCAGATAAAATATAAAGAACCCAGGTGGTGCCCCGTCTGTGTGGAGCTACTGACAGGTCAGCAATCAACAGCCCAGGGGAGGCCTGAGCGACCCCACTCCATGTGTCTCCTGGACCTCTGGGCTCAAGTCCTCTTACGATGCTCCAGGGGGCACTGGAGGGCTCTGCCAATCCCTGCACATTTGTACCGTCCCTGTGCTCCCAACCCTGGGCCCAGGGCTGGGAGCAAGGGGGAATTAAGGGAACAGTACAAACATGAAGGATTCACTCTGGACCTCTCCAGTGCCTCAGAGCATCTTGAAGAGACCTGAGCCCAGGAAGCTGCGAAATGAACAAACCACTCAGTAGAAAGAAGGACTGCAGCAGGTAGAGGCGGTGCTGGGAATCCTGGACTTGGCTCTGGCCTCATGGGTCTACAGAGACATTCTCTGCAGTAGCTCTTCTGTGAAGCTCCTTGGTGTCACAAGACCACCAAAAGTCAGAACAGAAAGGATATAGATTATCTAGTCCAGCCCCTCACTGCCCAAAAGAAGATGCTGAGGCCTGGAGGGAGAGGATGAATGACTTCCCTGCAGGTTGCACAGGCCAGTCAGGGACAAGCTGTAACTTGAACCCAGGCATCCTGACTCCCAGCCCAGGGCCTTCCTCCTGACATAAATAGGCAGCAAGCAGGATGGAGCATTGTGCCTTAAACATAGAAGCACAAGGGCACACGGGGACTCACCAGACCCTGCAGAGAAGGCCTAGAGGAGGGTAAATGGGAGAAGGGTGTCAGATGGAGAGCAGTGCCTTTGATGGTGCTCAGATTTAGGCTGGGACCAGGACTGGGTGCCTGGGGCTTATTCCATCAGCTGCCTCAACAGGATGCTGGTCCGGGTGGGAACTCAGCCGACACTGCCCTGGGACTCAGTTGTGCCTGCCCAGCGAGGCCCCAGCAGAGTCCTCTTGCCTTTCTAAGTCCTATGGGGCTGGAACGGTGGGTGATGACAGAGGGAATGTGAGAGTGCTGCTGTGCCCCCAGGACATAGGGCATTTGGGGATTTGCAGGTGGAATCAGAGTCCCTGATTATGTATCCAATGAATCATTTGAGGAGCTTTCATTACCTGTCAGTAATGTAAACGCAGCTGTCATTTGTGACAGGTTACCACATGCCAGGCAGTCTGCTAAGAGCTTTGCATGCATGGTCTCATTTAATTATCAGGAGAATCCTGTGTGATGGGTATTATTATCTCAGTTTACAGACGTGAACAGAGAGTTTAGCTAGATTTGCCAAGAGTACACCCTTAGAAAGTGGCAAAGCCAGGATTTGAACCCAAGTCCTACTGACTCCGAAGCCCAGCTTCTAGCCATCTGTGGAAATCCAGGGTCTGTGCTGTCAGTCTTGGCTGAGCATGGAGTTACCCTGCCCCGCAGGAGCCACTGTCCAGTGCAGTGCACAGTAGAGGAACCAGGGCTCTGACCTGGACATGGCCCAGGGACCTTTGTCCAGGCTGTTCTGTGAGCTCTAGGCCCCAGATGGCAGGCAGGAAGCCTCTGTGTTCCCCAGAGCACACTCCTGCTGGCCACAGTGGCCTCCAGGTCACTCCAGAAGGGAAAGCTGCTGACTAAGACCCTGTGCTTTCTAAGGAAAGCCACTTTTATTTGAGATGTCTTGCTGATCCTCCCAGGGCACCCAGGAAGACAACTGAGATTTTTATCTCATCTTACAGCTGAAGGAAAAAGGGTCACTGGCAGGTGGCTTGCACAAAGTCACAGAGCTGGGGAGGGGCAAACATGGGACCATGTCACAGAACTCTGTCTCCAATGAGCACTCTTGCTGCATGATCTCAGAGCCCCACCAGGTTCCTGGACACACCAAGACAGCCATGGTCCATCCGCCACAGAAACCTCAGGGGCAGGGACAAGTCCTGCCAACTCACTGGGCTTACCATTGGCCTAGTATGTAATGCAAATTATTCCCCACTGGGAGAGGGGAGCCCGGATTAGTCAGTGGACATCCACTCAGGTACGCTGGTGCTCCTCAAGGCTGCTTCTCATGTCTCCTTTGAATAGGGCCTGTTCATGGAGCCCTTCATATTCCCCCTACAGTGCTCCTCATGCTCCCAGGGTCTGTCAGGAGCACCAGTGGCCTTCCTGACATCAGGACTCCCTGGCTCTGCTATTCTCTCGATTGTCCCTCATCACATGTGTGTGCACACGCACACACACATGCATCTGTGCACACGCACACACACACGTGCATCTGCACACACAAACACACACACGTGCACCTGCACACATGCACACACAAGAACACGTGCATCTGCGCACACACACATGAACACCTGCATCTGTGCACACACACACAAACACGTGCATCTGCGCACACACACACACGAACACGTGCATCTGTGCACACATGCACACACACAAACACGTGCATCTGCGCGCACACACACATGAACACGTGCATCTGTGCACACATGCACACACACAAACACGTGCATCTGTGCACACACACACACACACGTTGGCACTGAATACATCTGCACTGGTGCCTTGGAACTGTATCCTCTGCACAGCTTCCCATCCACCCTCCTCCAGCCAGGCCCTCTTTCTGCAGAGTTTTCAAATGTGTTTATTCCAAGATATTTTCAGGAGTCAGAGATGTCAAACTGTAAAAAAGCACAGGAGCTTAGGGAAGGGATGGAGGTGAGGCTGTAGTCCCAAATCACCTCCAAAGCCTTCCGGTTAAAAGCACGGGTTCCAGACACAGGCTGCCATACAACTTATTATCTCTGTGTGTCAGTGTCCTCATCAGTAAAAGTGGTGACAAAGATAGTAGATTCCTCCTAGGTTGTTGTGAAAATTAAACGAGTTAATATATGTGAAGGACTTGAGAGGGTAATCAACAAGTGGTATTTGCTAAATATACTTACTATTATTATTATTCTGTCTATATTCAAGAAAGCAGCATAATGAGGTATTATTTGCACTACCTTTCCCCAGGGCAGGTGCAGGAGGGGGTACTTGGAAGATGGTTTCATCTTGAGCAGAAAGGGCAGAACCTCGTTGCTTGTCTCAGAAATGCCGAGTTTTCTACCATCACCTGAGGGTCCCAGAATGAAACTGTGTGTGCAGAAGACAGATCTGAGGATTAGCCAGCCTCTCTAGTGCTACCTATCCAGGTGTGGCTCCCTTCAGTTAGTATGGAGAGCTGAGACCTTACCTGAGGCATAAGTACAAATGCTTGCCCAACTAGTGGGGTTGGTTCCAGCCTGATCCCTGCAGGCAGTCTGTCTAAGACGGTGGTTTGCACAGTGTGCCATAGGGGCCCCCTTGGAAGAACACGTGATGAAATGAAGCAACTGGGGCTCAGGCAACAGCCCAGGAGTTAGGAGCACTGAATTCTTGTCTGGGTGGCTGCGGGTGAGGCCCTTACCTCCTTCTGTAGAGTTGTCTCATCTACTGAAGGATGAAAAGAACTCATTGCACAGAATTCTCCTGAGGTTCACAAGAGATAATGGGGACAATGGTAATATATAAATATAAGGAGATGGCAGTTTTGTTTTTGTTGGGTTTTTTTTTGTAAACAATAGTGATTTTCTTTTCTTTTTTAATTTAATTTTATGGTTTTTTTTAAGTTCCGGGATACTTGCATAGGATGTGCAGGTTTGTTAGTTACATAGGTAAACATGTACCATGGTGGTTTGCTGCACCTATCAACCCATCACCTAGGTATTAAGCCCCACTTGCATTAACTATGTATCCTGATGCTCTTCCTCCCCCCGCCAAAGTGACAGGTCCCAGTGTGTGTTGTTCCCCTCCCTGTGTCCATGTGTTCTCATTGTTCAGCTTCCACTTATAAGTGAGAACGTGCAGTGCTTGGGTTTCTGTTCCTGTGTTAGTTTGCTGATGATAATGGCTTCCGGAGATGGCAGTTTTGAGAGACTTAGGGCCGATGGGGTTAATTGGAGCCAGGTCAGGTGGGGCAGCAAATTAAAACTAGCAAGAGAAAGTCCAACAAGGGGGTGACAGGTGCATCGAAATGAGAATCAGGCAACTTGCTCCTAACAAACCATGTGGCCAGCAGCGGGCACACCTCAGGCCTCTCTTTCTTCATCCATAAAATCGTATGAAATCCTGTGTCATGAAGGAGTGCTCCCATATCAGCAACACACTCCCCCACCACCATTATAATGCACTCTCCTTGATTCAGCACCCTCCAGGATCCCTTCTGAGACATACTCTCCTGGTTCCTCCTGCGTCCTTTGAAGGCAGGGGTTGGCCATTGGAGATGCTGATACTGAACTAAGTACCCTGGCTTAAATGAGAGTGACTGGATCCTACAGCAGTAGAGGCAGGTGACAGAACTTAACCATTAGAAGCAAGGTGGCCTCACAACATACCAGGCAGCAAGATTAGGCTGGCCGCAGGGGAGTGTGTCCCGCAGGGATCTACGGAGTTGGCTAAAGAGCATGGTGCTGATAGGAACAAGATATACAGGCATCTGTGTCAGAAGGAATTCAGCCTTGCCCACACAGAGGCCTGGCCTCTGCCCTGGGATTCTGGAGGTCATGTCTAAGCCCTGGAAATATCATCCCCAAGAAGCGTGTCCTTGTTTTCCTGGAAATTAGAACCACTCCAGAAAGCCTAACAATGTGATTGATGGTGGAGGCTTTGAGTCATGTCTTATCAGCTCAACTTCTGGAGGGCTGGAGACTGAGGTCAGTCACACAGGCAGTGCACCAAACGGTCCTCATAAAAACTCTGGTCACCAAAGCTCAGATAAGGTTCCCTGGTTGGCAAAGCCACAAGCTGTTGCCAGGAGCAGCACTGCCCATGACTGCACAGGGAGAGGATGACCGGATGCTCCTGCTTGGAGCTTTCCTGGACTCTGCCCCATGTGTCTCTTTCTTACATATTATAGTCTGTATCTTCTCCCTATAATCAACCACAACTATGAGTATAACCACTTTCAGTGAGTGCTGCAAGTTCTTCTGGAAAATTATCAAAACACAGGGTACTGCTAGAGACCCCTGAGCTTGTAATTGGTGTCAGCAGTGAGGGCTGTCTTGTGGACTGTGCTCCCTCCAACTCTAAAACAGCCAACAGGGTACAGCTTAATATGATCAATAAAAAGAAACCAAGAATGAAAGCAGAAGGCTTAGATCAGTCACCAGATAGAAAAGTATTATCCTTTGTCAGGTCTCCACACCTGAGCCAGTTCTCAGACCCCGAACCCATCATTAGAAAGAGAAGCCTGGTCCCCACAGAGAGACCTTGTAATATCACAGCAAATGCATATAACAGCGATTTCTTCACCTTCATCTAAGGTGCCTATGGCCAATTCCTCTGCTTGATCAGTTAGGCTCCTCGTGCCAGGACCCCAGTTGCCCCCAAAAAGGTGTAACTTCACAGGAAGGGTAATTGATTCTGATCACCATGTGGGACTGCTCCTACATAATGGGGTAGGGAGCATACTTCTGGGACTCGGGTGATCCCCTGGGGTATCAATTATTATCCCTACATATAGTTTTAACAGTAAATGGGTAAGTACAGCAACCGAGGTCTGATAAGGGCATAGGAACCAGCAGCATGCAGCCCTCAGTGATGAGAGTCTGCGCCGCCCCACCAGGTAAGCCACCTAGACCAGCAGAGGTGCCAGCCACCAGGAGGGAAATCTATAATAAATCATAGAGGGGGGAGAGGATGTGCATCAGTTGTGACCTCTAAAACAACCGCAGCAGGACAGCCTGTAGTAGCCCCCAACCCTTCTTTTGTAAAATTACCCAGAAATCAAAACCAGCTAGAACTGGAGAAGCAATCGCTGGATGGAATGAACCTGATGTGAGAAGCAAATAGATCTGAGTGGGCATAAGGTGTGGACTGCAGTAGATACTGTGATGCCCACCCTCATCCCTGTTACCTGATCCGTGTGCCCGTCTCCAGCTTCTGTTAATGTTGGCCACTAATAGGGCACGACTGCACCCTTCTCCTAAGAGCAGCCCCTGATCCAATGGAGCTCCCAGCCCGGAAATGCCTAAAAGGCTCTGCCTCTCCCTGGGGGTGGCCTATAGCCAGTGACAAATGGTGCAGGAATACACAAGGTGGGCCTCTTTGCCTCCAGGTGGGGTAACTCCATTCAGGCTGCAGAGCTCCCTGTGGGATGAGAACAAAGCTAGACTGAAGCTGAGCTCCTGTCTCCAATGAGCTTTTTCCCCGTCCATGCTGTCACCCCCATGTCCTCCCAGGTTTCCCCTGACAGCACTCCCTGATAAACCATATCACTTGCAGGGGAATCCCCATCTTAGTCTCTACTTCTAGGAAATCTTACTGTGAACTTACCCCAAATAAGTTCTCCTGGTAAAATAGAAAGGGTGATGTCAGCCAAGTATTATCTGGTGGTGGGGCAATATCACGAGTGAGGAGAATGCAAGAATCCGATAAGAAAGGAGGATAAGCCAGGCAAGGTCGCGCGCCCTGTGGTCCCAGTTACTTGGAAGGATGAGGCCAGAGGATCGAGTCCACAGTGAGCTGTGATCACACCACTGCATTCCAGTCTGGGTGACAGAGAAAGACCTCATCTACTTAAAAAAATTTTTTAATGGAGGGGGCCAGGCATGGTGGTTCTCGTCTGTAATCCCAGCACTTTGGGAGGCTGAGGCAGGATTGCTTAAAGCCAGGAGTTTGAGACCAGCCTGGGCAATCTAGCAAGACCCATCTCTATAAAAATGAAAAATTTTAAAAATAGCCAGATGTAGTGTCCTGCACCTCTAGTCCTAGCTATTAGGAAGGCTGAGCCAAGAGGATCTCTTGAGCTCAGGAAGTTGAGGCTGCAATGATCTATGATGGCACCACTGCATTCTATCCTGGGACACAGAGCAAGACACTGTCTCAAAAAAAAAAAAAAAAAAAGGAGGATAGGCTGGGCGCAGTGGCTCATGCCTGTAATCCCAGCACTTTGGGAGGTCAAGGTGGCAGATCACTTGAGGCCAGGAGTTCAAGACCAGCCTGGCCAACATGATGAAACCCCGCCTCTACTCAAAATACAAAACTTAGCTGGACGTGGTGGCTCACACCTGTAATCCCAACTACTTGGGAGGCTGAAGCATGAGAATCGCTTGAACCAGGGAGATGGAGGTTGCAGCGAGCTAAGGTTGAGCCACTGCACTCCAGCCTGGGTGACAGAGGGAGACTCCAAAAAAAAAAAAAAGAAGGAGGATAATCCTATGACATGAGGCTCAAAGATGGAGGAATTTACAGAGGTGTAAGGAATAATAGGGAAATTGGGGAAATGGTCTGAACATGGCCCTGGTGATTAAAATGAATGCTGATCCTACTGCCTGGCCCAAAGGGTTTGAAGGGCTTAAAACTGGGAAGAATTAGCAACACCCAGTGGAGAGGCCACAAGAAGATGGGCATCTTGTGGGGAGGAACAGCCATTGCATCATTTTTATTTCTGCATCTTCATTGTCTGGCAGAGTACAAGGCTCAGAGATAAGCATCACTGTCTCCTCCCTGCCCTTCATCTGATGCTCCTTATCCAACAACGACCACCCCAAAAGCATGGACCTGAATCAGCTGGACTTGTAGCCAGTTTCATGTGTTTTGGAAGGATTCCCCCACTGGCCCAAAACTGACTGTCTTGCCTTTGCATCCCCAGTGCCCAGCTGGATGCTGGCATTCAGCAAACCACATTTCTTAGAAAGACAACAATATCCACTCACACTGATCCCAACAAGCAGACACAGGAGCAAGGCCAGAGCTGCAGGGGTCAGGCCAGAGGACAGGGGTCTAGTGCTCACTGCTGCTCCTTTCTACTCATGAGAGTGGTGCAGAGAGCAAGTGCCTATCTGGCCTCTGGCAAGGCCCCAGGCAAGGGTTCCAGTTTACACCCTGATCTAGGCTCACCAAGCTAGGTAGGTAGGATGCGTCCTCCCAGGTGTGTGAGCACAGGTGAATCTCAAAGCCCAACAACCAAAAAAGAAGAGTGACCAAATCAGGATTCAGGACACTGTGGGGAGCACTCTGGAAGCAGACATTTGCTGGGGAGCATTTCTGTACCTAGTGGAGCATCTACAAAGCAGTTAACCAACAACTTCCTGTTCTGTCTAAGATACACACGGCCAAGGAAAAGGAGGAAGTATCTTGTGGGAGTAGATGCTTTATTGTCCATGGGGGTCTCCAGAGGCCCCTGGGTAGGGTGGGATCACTGGCTTCCCCCGGAACAGGGTGCCACTCCATGCATTATCTTGTGGTGGTCTATGGTTATATCCCCCAGCAAGGAAAGAAACTCAGAATAATTAACCTTCTTATCCTTATTATCATCTTTTTTCTCAAGGGCATTGGACAAGTAATCCATGTCGCTTTTTTCCTGCATGGAGAGAAACACGCAAGAAAGAAAAATGATATTTGAATTGGAAAAAGAGGAAAGAGGTATCCTGTGGTGTGAACATGACAAGTGGGTAAGTGGGACAGGAGTGGGTGGAAGAGAGAGAGCAGCATTGCTGGGTTGTTCCTGAGGAGTTCTCCATTGAGTGACTCCATGAGGAAAACACAGAGATTGGTGTCAGGCTCCGCCAGGAACCACACTGGTAAGGAGTGAGGGGCCTTCATTGGCCACAGACCCACAGACCCACCCACCTACCCACCTGTACAGGCGCTGTCTCCTTTCTCCCCAGGGGCCCAGCACAGGCTGACCGCCTTCCTTCTCTTACATGTTGACTCTTCTCCCATTCCATTTCTTTCCCATTCAAACTGTTAAGTGCCAGGTTCCCTTTCTTTAGGACCCAGTGCTCTATTCTCTCTTGTTATATTTTACTAATAAGAGTGATGCATTCTAACAGTGAAATAAAACCCAGTATATGAATAAGCTCTGCCAAATATAAAGGGTGGTGCTCATGTTATCAATATTCTGATTTCCATTGAGTTCCATCTTGACAAGCCTCCACTTGAACCTAGAGGAGTGACTCTCACAGAGGGACAAGGTTACGTTGGGCAGAAGAAACAAATGGCCAGAGCGTGTGTGTAACCTCTCCAGGTAACGTGGCAGGGGGCCCAGTGGCAGGACAGGAGCCCAGCATGTCTGATTCTCAGTTCCAGTCTCCATCTCTTGAATGGTTAGTCTCTCCACGGGGCTGGTCCTGCCTAAGGCTGGGACAGATGGATCAGTGAGGCATACCAGGCTCAGAATTACCCAATAAAAATAGTGAATTCAGCTCCCAGAGATGAGTCCTCAGACATGTCACAATGCACAGGACCTGTCCAAGAATCACTACTCCATTGCCCCGCACAAATATAAAAGCTCTCCCAGCCAAGGGCGGGCAGAGTCCCCACTCACACAGCCACTGAGGAAGTTGGGGAAGTTCTCCTTCATCAAGTTCACCAGACCTGGCATGTCCATCCTACCATCATCTCCACTGTATTGGCGAAACATCGCGACTATGTCCAACATGACTTTCTCACCTAGAGGGATATTCATCTTTGCTTTCAAAAAGCCTTCAGGAAATAAAAACAATGATTGTTTTCCTTCTCTAGTGAATGACTGATATTAAGAAGATGAGAAGGGATTGAGGAGCAAATGAGGACGAGGCTAAGGTGGACCAGAGAAACCTGTGTTTCTCTGTGTGGTGGGATAAATTGCTTCCAAAGAGGAGGGTAGAGCCATACCTGGGATCTGGGCTCACACAGGCCGGGGAGCAACAGGAGAAGAGGAGACAAGCAGAAGCCCAGCTATGGGCCGTGCTTGTGAGAGGGAGAAGTAGGGAGAGATAGAGGCCAACAACACGTGGAAGAACTAAACCCTGAGCAGGGACCCCCAGCCACAGTCAGCACATGGCAGACTCCACTCCTCAAACAGCACCAAATCCATCTCCTCCAGCTTCACAGCCAGGGTGAGAGTCACAGGGGCAGGACAACGGCCTTGGTGATCTGGTGTCTGACCCTCCTGGGCTGCTTCAAGAACCAGACACCGTGGGCCCCACCTTGACTCAAGTGCAAGCCCTGCATGACACGGTGCATGCAGGCTCCAGGTGCACATATGAGCGTGGACATGAGTGTTAGCAGGAAACACAGCCCTGTCCCGAACACAGGGGGCCCTTCCTAGACCCTCACAGGAATGTGAAAGAGGCACGGGTGACCATAGCTAGCCTCTGTTAAAAAGAACAGAAATAACTCTCTGGTTCTTAAGCTGCTGGATGGGGTGGGAATGAGGTGGGGGTCCCTTCATGTCTGCTCTTGGGAATTATCTGCACCCTTTAAATCACCAAGGCTGGATGTTATTTAAATAAAAAGTTCTGATTTCCCAAAGCAGATCCTCCAGCCAATACTCAGTCTGGGCTGGCCTGCACCCCAAGCCTGAAAAATAGGACAGTGCAGTTCCCACTTCCCACACTTTCCAAAGAACCAGAAAATGACATTTGCTCATGCCTGTGGGCATCTGACAATAAACCCCTATCACCTCCCAAAGCAGGAGAAAGCTCTGTGCTGGCAACTCACTAAAAGGAGCCATCTAAAGCCTTTTTGAGTCTGAGGCCAAGGCCAGGGGCTGAGCCCTGTGCCCAGAGGGTGACTGAGAGTTTGCAGGTTGTAGTAGGGAGTGAGGGAGCTTTGGTTGCTCAATACCTTACCCAGGTAGGGGCAGATCATCTCACCAGGGCTATGCTGTGTGGAGGTCCCAGGCCTGGGGGTTCAGCAAGCCTCCAAAGTATTCTTAGGGGACTCTTAGCCCTCTGTGGGGGCAGACTTGGGGAAGGGATTCAGTACCCCAGACCCCAACAGGAGGATGAATCCAGGAAGAAGACAGGGAGGGTCCTGTGCTCAGGTCCCACTGGGGACATTTCCACAGGAGTTGTCTCAGGAGATCCCAAAGGAGCAATGGACAGGTCTGGTTCAGCCACCTGGTTGTACAGATGTGGGCTCTCGGGCTCGAGTGAAGGTCACTCAGCCCGGCTGGTGGCAGAGCCGGGCCTAGACCCAGGCTCCTGAGTCATCATCCACAGCCCTCTTTCCTCCTATAGGAGAAAGTGAATGGTAGGCCAGACACTGGGCACTGCTAGAAAAGGCAAATAGGCAGGTGAGACTTACCAGAGCTGGGAAGCATCACGAGAAGAAGGATGAGTGAGATGTGTGTGTTTGGACAAAGAGCAGTCCCTTTATAAGGCTCGGCCTGGCTCTTCCCAGGGGCTGGAAGGCCTAGAGCCACCTCTCCCATCTGTTTTTTGGAGCTTTGTCCCACATCAGATGGGTGGGACACACCCAGGAGGCTGTGCTCAGGATTTCTGGCCAGAATCCCAGGTCACCTGGTCCTACACCACCCCCAGAGATCTCACCTGGAGCCTTCTCTGTTCCAACCTAATCCAGGTCTGGGGCAGCCAGTGGATGTGTCAGATTAGGACAAGGAATGGGGGAGAGAACACTGGGACTCTGGATCAAAAGAGGATGGAATTTCAGACTCTAGAAGGAAGCATGGTCTCTGTTCATACATTCAGTTCTTTTACCTTTGAGATACCTAGAACTCTCACCACCACTTACCCAGCATTTTGATCTTCCCAGCCTCGAGATCCCTGCTGTACATGAGTTTCTCTTTAGTCCTCACAACCCTCTGAGGTAGGTGCTGCTATCCCCAATTAAGGAAAGAGGGAATTGAGATGTTAAGATTAAAGAAACAACCCAAGTTTACTCAGCTAGGTTCCCTCAGCCATCCTGAGCTGAGACATGGACCCATTCACAATGAAGAGTAAAGCACTCACTTTGCTTTATGTTGAAGATATAACAGTACATTTTTTTAAAAAGGGGTGGGGGACTCAGCTCACCTCAGGATGCTCACACTTTAGAAGAAAAGAAGAAACAGAGGCTGAGCAGGGTGACTCATGACTGTGGTCCCAGCTACTTGTGAGGCTGAGGCAGGAGGATCACTTGAGCCAGAAGTTTAAGGCTACTGTGAGCTATAATCATGCCACTGCACTCCAGCCTCAAGGAAAGAATGACAACCTGTCTCAAAAAAAAAAAAAAAGAAAGAAAGAAAAGAAAAAAGAAAGAAAGAAAAGAAAGAAAGAAAGAAAGAAAGAAAGAAAGAAAGAAAGAAAGAAAGAAAGAAAGAAAGAAAGAAAACATAGAAAAAGAATAAAATAGAATCTGTAGCTGCTAAAAGATGTACAGTGAGGCTGTGTCGACCCCAAGAAGAGAGCAGCAACTCTGGGGAGGAGAGGTGGACAGAGGAAAATCCAGCTGGAGGTGGTGCCTGAGTGTAGGCTGACACCTCCTGATCATCAGCCAAAGGAAGTGAAAACCAACCCAGATCCCAGCCATGAACAAACGCTCAAGGGCAGAAAAACACATAATGTCAGGACTGAGACAACTGTAACTAAAAAAGAAAAGAAAATCATAAAAATTTAAAACCCATATTTCGTGCCTGGGTATGAGGAGAAGGATGCATGGGGCTGGCACTAATAATGTGGCCAACTCAGTACCCAGACCGTTTTCAGAGCTCAATGCTCCCCAGTTTTGCTTCAGTGTTTATACTGCCCAGGGCCAGGAGGTGAGTCCCGCATGGTCGGAGCCACTCCTGACAGTCCTGTTCCTGCTCTGCCTGCCTCCCTGGCAACTACGACTGATCGTGTGTCCCACTCAGTTCCAGCCAAGGAAACTAAGTTCTGCTGGGTAGGGCACCTGGGAACTCTGTTTTCCTGGCTGAAGGGGACTGGGGCAGTTGGGGACAGGAACAGCTGGCCTAGCCCTGTGCTCCTCCCCTGCCCCCATGGCAGGGACCCCGGTGCTGGGCATAGAGCAGTCTATCAGATATTATTAGCTCTGATCAAGTCCCTGTGCAAGCCCTGCATGTCACACGTGCATGCCCTGCATGTCACACGAGCCCTCCTCTGGCTCCTAGCCAAGAACAATAGCATTCATCTGGCCTTCACCCTGTCCTCTGCTCTGTCACCTGCTCCATGCAAGGATTCTTTTTTTTTTTTTTATACTTTAAGTTTTAGGGTACATGTGCACATTGTGCAGGTTAGTTACATATGTATACATGTGCCATGCTGGTGCGCTGCACGCACTAACTCGTCATCTAGCATTAGGTATATCTCCCAATGCTATCCCTCCCCGCCCCCCACCCCACCACAGTCCCCAGAGTGCGATATTCCCTTTCCTGTGTCCATGTGATCTCAATCTTCAATTCCCACCTATAAGTGAGAATATGCGGTGTTTGGTTTTTTGTTCTTGCGATAGTTTACTGAGAATGATGATTTCCAATTTCATCCATGTCCCTACAAAGGACATGAACTCATCATTTTTTATGGCTGCATAGTATTCCATGTTGTATATGTGCCACATTTTCTTAATCCAGTCTATCATTGTTGGACATTTGGGTTGGTTCCAAGTCTTTGCTATTGTGAATAATGCCGCAATAAACATACGTGTGCATGTGTCTTTATAGCAGCATGATTTATAGTCATTTGGGTATATACCCAGTAATGGGATGGCTGGGTCAAATGGTATTTCTAGTTCTAGATCCCTGAGGAATCGCCACACTGACTTCCACAATGGTTGAACTAGTTTACAGTCCCATCACACTACCTGACTTCAAACTATACTACAAGGCTACAGTAACCAAAACAGCATGGTACTGGTACCAAAACAGAGATATAGATCAATGGAACAGAACAGAGCCCTCAGAAATAACGCCGCATACCTACAACTATCTGATCTTTGACAAACCTGAGAAAAACAAGAAATGGGGAAAGGATTCCCTATTTAATAAATGGTGCTGGGAAAACTGGCTAGCCATATGTAGAAAGCTGAAACTGGATCCCTTCCTTACACCTTATACAAAAATCAATTCAAGATGGATTAAAGATTTAAAAGTTAGACCTAAAACCATAAAAACCCTAGAAGAAAACCTAGGCATTACCATTCAGGACATAGGCATGGGCAAGGACTTCATGTCCAAAACACCAAAAGCAATGGCAACAAAAGACAAAATTGACAAATGGGATCTAATTAAACTAAAGAGCTTCTGCACAGCAAAAGAAACTACCATCAGACTGAACAGGCAACCTACAAAATGGGAGAAAATTTTCGCAACCTACTCATCTGACAAAGGGCTAATATCCAGAATCTACAATGAACTCAAACAAATTTACAAGAAAAAAACAAACAACCCCATCAAAAAGTGGGCGAAGGACATGAACAGACACTTCTCAAAAGAAGACATTTATGCAGCCAAAAAACACATGAAAAAATGCTCATCATCACTGGCCATCAGAGAAATGCAAATCAAAACCACTATGAGATACCATCTCACACCAGTTAGAATGGCAATCATTAAAAAGTCAGGAAACAACAGGTGCTGGAGAGGATGTGGAGAAATAGGAACACTTTTACACTGTTGGTGGGACTGTAAACTAGTCCATGCAAGGATTCTTATGGTCCCCCAGCCTGATGGCTCCTACCTCAGCTTTGGTGTGGAGCATCATTCTCCTGTCCCAGAACTGAGCAGGAGGCCAGGCACTAAGAGGTGCTCAGGCCATGAGAGAAGAGAACGAAGCCAAGGGAGAGGAACCCAATCGTGAGGGAGGGCCTGACCTGCCCTCCACCCCATCAGGACACAGCTCCAGGGGGACTGCCCCATAGTATGGAGGGGTGGTTCTCTCTTAACCTCTCACTTTCTAGGAGGACAAACAGCACAGGTGACCCTCAAATCCGGGGCACGTGTCTGACACCCTCTGGGTGGCCCCACCTCGGTATAAAGAACCATCCTATGGTAGAAGAGTCCTAGATCACTTCTCCCATGGCCTGTGGAGACACTTGAGTGGGTCAAGTACAGCAGGAAGCTGCTGGGTCTCTGGTCCTCACTTCTCTTCAGTAATAAGCACTTTCCTGGAGATGGGAGAAGAAAGCACCTGCAGGTTACCCTCCCTCTCCAGGGGAAGGAGGATGGTGCAGCGGCTCATCCTCTATTCAAGCCCAGGTTGGCTGCATGTGGGCTGGAGAGTAGTGGTGGATCCCAAGTGTCAACAGGGTGCCTGGGTCATAGAAGCTCAGGACCTCAAGGAAGCCTCGATAGGAGGGAACACAGATGGGCTAACTCCACGCAGAGCGAATTGGCAAGGAACAAACCAAGAACTGGCTCTTCTCTTAAAGCTCACCTAACACCTAAAAGGAGAGAGATTCCTGCAGTGAGCAGTGCTCTGACGTCCCAGAGCCCTGTGGCTCTGTCTATGGTTCCCCCCAGAGACATTGCCACCCATATGTCCCCAGTCTACAGACTCAGAGAGTCTTCAAAATTCAGAGCTAAATGTGATGGGAGATCATCCAATCCTGACCCTCATTGTACACGTGGAGATGCTGAGGCCCAGAGAGGGGTGTGTCTCGTCCAAGGTGACACAGCTTAGGGTGGCACAGCTTGGTCTAGACCTGATTCCCAGCCCGTGACTGTTCCTCCTGCATGAGTGGGCAGCACAGCAGGCTGGAGAGTGAGCACTACCCAGGAGGAAGTGAAGGCATGGACCCCAAATCGCTAGCCTGACTCAGAGCCGTGGAGGAGGCAGAGGAAGACCTGTGTAAAGAGTAGATCTGGGCAAAGGAACAGGACCTCCAGTGAGTCTCAGACCTGGCTAGGAGCCTCAGGCTGTGAAGCCTGGCCGTGGTCCACCACCCTCCCAGAGCATGGTGGCCCTGCCCAGCAATTCCCACCAGATGCCCAGGTCCTGAAGGATCTGCCCCACCCAGACAACTCATCTGAACCTTCTGTCCCATCGCCAGCCACATGAGGCTGTGCAGTAAAAGTGATAGGACCAGGGGTTAAAATTTCCCTTACAATTTCCACGACTTCCCCTCCCTCTCCTCAAACATTTATTCCCTCCTCTGGATTTCATCTGGACTGAAGGATTATCAGATTCCTTCTGCTCCATCTCAGGGCTGCCTCTCACCTTCCCTGAAGCCCCGGCCCTCACTCCATTCCCTTCCTATCCTGTCTCCTCTCATCCCTGTTCCCCATAGTCTCAGACGTTAGAAAGCAAGCCAGGTGACCAGCATCCTTTCCTGCAGCTTACTGGACACGGGAGCTGAGGAGCTGCTGAAGGGCTTGCTCAACCTATGTCACAAATACACCCGAGATTAAGATGCCATGGGCAGATCTGGCTGTCCAACATCATGCATTTCCCCCACCTTCCTATCGGCCTGTGTGAGCAGGGACCCAGCGGCTGGGTGGGAGTGGGGCAGGAGTGCACGGCACCCATGGCCCTGACTGGCCTGAGAACCAGCTCATGGAGAGGCACCGATGTGGCAGGCTGGCGAGCATCTCACACCTCCCCCCAGCCACCTGCACCTCTACTCCTGAATGGAAGGTGTGTAGTAGACAGAGTCCAGGATGGGGTGAGAAGACCCAATTTCCTGCACAGCCCCTGCTGTTTACTTATTTCTCTGTTACAAATATGTAAACACCAACTCAAGGAGCCTTAGTTACCTTAGATGTAAAAATGAGGACAATGTCACTTATTTCCTGGGATTGTTATGAACATTTAAATGAGGTAAAACACATGCGATGCTTTGTAAGATGGGAAGAGGGATAGTGGTGTTAACGATTGTTATTAGACAGTCAGCAGGCTAGGTGACTTGTGGGTCGGGAGAAGGTCTCCTGGCTTAAAGTATCTCTCTTCTGTCTGTAAAAAAATTTCCCCCTTTAGATTCAACTCTTTGGGTTCATCTCCTCCTTCTGGAAGCTTCTTTTCATGTACCCCTGGGAGCAGTAGTGACACCACAGAATCATAATGCCAAGTGAAATGAGGCAGCCCTAAAACCCTGGAGAGTTTTTGATTCCCACTCACTATAACATCTAACTTCACCATTAAACCATTAGCACCCACTGACCTCACTGGCACAAGTAATGCAACAGATTGAATCACAGAGAGTGAGCTCTGACAAGGAGGGGATTCAGAATTGGTGTATTTTGATGGAATGATGAGGAGAGGAGTGGAGGTAGTTTTTTTGTTTGTTTGTTTGTTTGTTTTTTTGCTTGCTTGCTTGCTTGCTTGCTTTTTTTAGATGGAGTCTCGCTCTGTCTCCCAGGCTGGAGTGCAAGGGTGCAATCTCAGCTCACTGCAACCTCTGCCTCCCAGGCTCAAGCAATTCTCCTGCCTCAGCCTCCCAAGTAGCTGGAATTAGAGGCACGTGCCACCACACCTGGCTAATTTTTGTATTTTTAGTAGTGATGGGGTTTCACCATGTTGGCCAGGCTGGTCTTGAACTCCTGATCTCAGGTGATCCACCCGCCTCGGCTTCCCAAAGTGCTGGGATTATAGGTGTGAGCCACCACACCCAGCCAAGTGGAGGTAGTTTTGAGACTGGGGTTCAAAGGGTACTGGCCCATGTAGAATGAATATTGGGCATTTCAAGGGGCACAGGCAGACCCAGCCTCAGAATTTTTAGATCTCCTATGCATGCTCTCATTTGAGCCAAGAGTCACCAGTTAAAATGCCAGGGTCAGGGCTCCCCATCCCATCCATTACGGCTGTCCCAACCCCACCCTCCTGCAACCCCCACCTTACCCCCTACATATTTCCCCTTAGCCTCTGCCATCCCCTTCTCATCTTCCTAGTCCAGCCCCAGGTTGTAACCTTCCTTTTGTTTGATATCTTCTACTCAGAGGAAAAAAAAAAAAGAGCCCGATTTCTTAGAAAAGTTGTTTAAGAAGGACAGGAATCATGATGAGGAGATCAGTTTTTTTGAGTTTCTCTCCAGTGTTGCTGCAGTTGCTAAGGAGTTACTCTATTAGTTCCATGGCCAGAAGCCTTGTTCTGAGGGTTACAGATGACCAAGCTCAAGCCCAGCCCAGCCCAGCCCATGGGCTCTCCACCCAGACCCCAACATAGCAGACACCAAGAGCCAGTAAACTGGTCCCTTTCTCTGGTTGCTGTGTTATTTTCCTCTTTCTCTTTGGTCATGCATATTGGCACTACAGTAGATTCTTGATTAGCTACTTTATCTTTTTTTTTCTTTTTTTTTTTTTAGACAGTCTTACTATGTCACCCAGGCTGGAGTGCAGTGGCGGGATCTCAGCTCACTGTAACCTCTCCTTCCCGGGTTCAAGCAATTCTCCCGCCTCAGCCTCCTGAGTAGCTGAAATTACTTGTAAGGTATAGTGCCCGCCACCATACCCGGCTAATTTTTGTATTTTTAGTAGAGGCAAGATTTCACTATGTTGGCCAGGCTGGTCTCGAACTTCTGACCTCAAGTGATCCACCCACCTCAGCCTCCCAAAGTGCTGGGATTACAGGGGTGAACCATACGTATTTTTTTATGTGGGTTTTCCCTTCTTTTATAGGTTTGGACACACACGCACAAACGCACACACATAAGCACTCAATTTTTGTGGTTACCTTTGAAATTTTAACTTGCTTGCAACATAAACTAGACTAGAGTTAATCAATATCTCTTCTCTCCACCTGAACAATCTAAATAATTCACTTTAAATTTAGAGACTTCCCTTCTGGCTTATATGCTATTTTTTTTTTCAGTTTTAACTCTCCTTAAAAATTACATCCATGTGGTGTCAATTAACAGATTCCTCAGCCTCTCTCTTCCCTTTGTAACTCAGTAGATCTAGAGCCTTAAGCATATTCAGGGTTCAGGTTTTTTAAAGCAGATTACTTCAAATGTGGGGTTGTCTACTATCAAGAGTACATGTCTGAATGTCTTTTTCTTATGTATCAGCTATGAATGATCATTGTCCCTCCTTTAGGAATGATTATTATTTGAGACAGTGTCTTGCTCTGTTCCTCAGGCTGGAGTGATGTGGCAGGATCATGGCTCACTGCAGCCTTGACCTTCCTAGCTCAAGTAATCCTTCTGACTCACCCTCTTAAGTAGCTGGGATTGCTGGTGTGTGTTAGCATGCCTTGCTAATTTTTTATTTTTTGTAGAGATGGGCATCTCACTATGTTGCCCTGGTTAGTCTGGAAGTCCTGGGTTCAAGGGATCCTTCCACCTTGGCATCCCAAAGTGCTGGGATTAGACATGTGAGCCACTGTTCAGGGCCAGGAATTATTATTTTTGATTTACACAAATATTTAACTATGATTACTCACTTGTTTGCTATTTCCATTATTTATCATTCTTTGTGCATTAGGGTAGTTTTCCCTTTACTTGCAGTACTGTACTTGCTTTTGAGGTTTCTTTAGTAAGAGTGTGGTGGGGGTTAAGTCGTCTTAGTTTTGTATATCTGAAAATGTCTTTATTTCATCCTTTTAAATTTTTTTAAATTATGAAGTAATTTTTCAGACACATTAAGAATAGAGAAAATAGTGTGATAACTCCATATGTATTCATTGCCCACTTTGATGATGGTCAATACATGACCATCTTGTTCCACTTATAGTACCATCCACTCCTATCCTTCGTTTTTGTTGGGCAAATTCCAAACTTCATATAATTTCATCTCTAACCATTTCAATTTGTATTTCTAAAAGATAAGGACAACCTAAGAAGCCCATAATCACAATGTTACTATCATATCTAAAAATAATTAATAATATTTCTTTAATATAATCAAATATCCTGTCAATATTCACATTTTTCCAGTTGTGATGGATTTTTTTTAAGTTTACTTAACCAGAGATTAAATAAGTTACATACAGTATATCTGATTGATACGGCTCTAAAACCTTTTCGTTGTTGTTTTCTTTCTTTTTTCTTTTTTTTTTTTTTTTTTTTGGCTTTTTGTTTTTTGTTTTTTCTGGGGTTTTTTGTTTGTTTGTTTTTGTTGTTTTTCTTGTTTTTGTCGTTGTTGTCGTTGCAAGACAGAGTTTTGCTTTGTTGCCCAGGCTGGAATGCAGTGGTGCAATCTTCGTTCACTGCAACCTCCACCTCCCAGGTTCAAGTGATTCTCTTGCCTCAGCTTCTTGAGTAGCTGAGATTACAGGCATGTACCACCACACCCGGCTAATTTTTGTATCTTTAGTAGAAATGGTTTTTCATCATATTGCCCAGGCTGGTCTCAAACTCCTGGCCTCAAGTGATCTGCCCGCCCCGGTCTCCAAAAGTGTTGGGATTACAGGCATGAGCCACAGCACCCGGCCAAGGCTTTTTAAATGTGCAGCTTCACTCTCAATTTCTTCTTTTTCTCCTTTCATTTTGTTGTTGTTGTTGTAGAAAGTGGGTTATTTTTCCTGCAGAATTTCCTACAGACTGGAGTTCCTGATTGCATCCATGTGGTGTCAATTAACAGATTACTCAGCCTCTCTCTTCCCTTTGTAACTCGGTAGATCTAGAGCCTTAAGTATATTCAGGGTTCAGGTTTTTTAAAGCAGATTGCTTCAAATGTGGGGTTGTCTACTATCAAGAGTACATGTCTGGGTGTCTTTTTCTTATGTATCAGCTATGAATGATCATTGCCAACACTGGGTAAATCCAACTCTGCCTACACTTCTGCAGATAAACCAGTCTGGATAAAAAATGTGCTTACCTTGTTGACTGGTCACACTTCAAATTCATGACCACTAATCCAACTGCACTTTCAATACAAATAAGAGAGTATTTGCATATTTCAATGACCCCATCTACCTTCTTATCAGAATCAGTGGCCATACACTCTGCCTTCCCCCAACTACCATGAATTTTTTATGTTCCCAGCAGAGGTCCATCCGTCCTCTTACACTACATCCCATTCCCCTTGCTTTTTTCACTCACTACAGAAATTCTCCTCTTTTTCTTATGCACCATCATTTTTTCTGTTTTCTGGTCTTTTCATTCTGTACAAGTATACTGTTATTTGTCTGACCTTAAAGAATTATTTTGACTTCATTCTCCTCTGCGATCTTCTCAATTCTCTGCTTCCATTTACAGCAAATTTTTTTAAGAAAAGAATTTTTATGGATATAAAATATTTGTACGTACTTATGGGGTACATGTGTGACATTTCTATCACCTCAAGTATTTATCATTTTTATGTGGTGGGAATATTTGAAGTCCTCTCTTCTAGCTATTTTGAAATATACAATACACTGTTGTTAACTATAGTTGCCCTACTCTGCTATCAAACATTAGATCTTATTTCTTCTATACAGCTGTATGTTTCTACCCACTTAGATAAAAGAGAAGCAACAAATGGTGAGTCGATCACTCTAATTTTCTCCTTTTGAGGCATGCGTGTTTTCACAAGTTGTACAGGACAAGAGGTACAGCCCATCAGAATATTTTCGTTCAAAACCTAAATAGCTAATCAGAGCCTTTAGGAGATAAAAATCAGAGCTCAGAGTATTTCCAAGGTAGAGGTACTATCTAAACATTCCAGGATTTCAGTTAGAACCCCTAAAGTGCTACTCCTAGGAATAAGTATATGGGTCCCTTCACCCCACCCACCCACTTTCCCAGCCTCTAGTAACCGTCATTATACTCTCTACCTCCATGAGATCAAATTTCTTAGCTCCCACAGATGAGAGAGAACATGTGATATTTATCTTTCTGTGCCTGGCTTATCATCTCTGGGTTTGTTATATCTTCTATTTTTCTCTTTTTACCAGTTTCTTTCTTTTTTTTTTTTTTTTTTTTGGTGCAGTGGTGAGATCTTGGCTCACTGCAACTTCTGCCTCCCAGGTTCAAGCGATTCTCCCACCTCAACCTCCCAAGTAGCTGGGATTACAGGCACATGCCACCACGCCCGGCTAATATTTGTATTTTTTTTTTTTTTTTTTTTTTTTTTTTTTGGTAGAGACAGGGTTTCACCATGTTGGCCAGGCTGGTCTTGAACTCCTAGCCTCAAGTGATCCACCTGCCTGGGCCTCCCAAATTGCTGGGATTACAGGAGGGAGCCACTGCACCCAGCTGATTTTCTATTTTTATCTTCTCTCATGGTGTACTTGAATATTTTGAATGTTAAACATTGAAAATGAAAATTTTTCATTTCAGGATATGGATGATTTTCTCTCCCTCCAGAGAATTTTCTTTAGCTTCTGGAAAGCAATTAGAGTAGCAGATTATTTAAATCCAATCTGGGATAGAGTTAATTCAAAACTGAATTTTAGGATTTATATTTCTGACCCATATACTTATTCCTAGGAGTAGCGCTTTAGGGGTTCTAACTGAAATCCTGAAATGTTTAGAAGGTACCTCTACCTTGGAAATACTCTGAGCTCTGATTTTTATCTCCTAAAGGCTCTGATTAGCTATTTAGGTTTTGAACAAAAATATTCTGATGGGCTGTACCTCTTATCCTGTACAACTTGTGAAAAGACGCATGCCGCAAGAGGAGAAAATTGGAGTGATCGACTCACCATTTGTTGCTTCTCTTTTATCTAAATTCTTGGCTTTTCAAGTTCTGGCTGTGTTGGAAGTCCTCAACACTAATTTTAATCTCACCAGCCCTGAATGACTATTAAAGTCACAAACAATCTTCTTTGTCTCTTAGAAGTTACTTTCTGTTTGGTTTTTAACTTCTTTGTTCAAACTACTTGACAACTGATAAATTTCTCAGGAAGAGAAGCAGCTTTAATGTTCAGTGCATTGATCGAGTCTTCTTTCTCTTGGATAACCAGAGCCTTCAAGTCCTGGTCACTTTGGTAGCTTTCTGTTGCTTCGAAGCAGATAATTTTCTGATTTTTATTCATATTTTTATATGTTTTATTGGGATAATTAGTCTGCAACAAAAATATTCCAAAGCCAGAAACAGACATATTGGCAGTAATGTTGAGCTATAGGACCTCTTGTTACTGTTGGTAAGAAAACAATAGTCAAGCCAAGAACACATAGAATCTGTGTCCCAGGTAGCCTATTTTTTGGAATATATATATACTCCAAAAAATATTCGCACAGATACATAAGGAAATATATATAATGATGTTCCTTATAGTATTGTTTGTGATGGTAAGGAGTGGGAGGCAATATGAGGGTCGGGAAGGTGTCCGTGGTGGAGTGGATAGGCAAAATACCGTGGCTGCACATTATAGAGTAAATGCAGCTCAGATGTTATAATTCTAACTGTGCATAGAGCAATGTGGATATGAGTTGGAGTTCCACTGTAAATTTCTTTAAAGTTACATTGTTGGATTGCATGAAATAAAGGCTCTCATGCTCTTCTATGTAATTCCCAAAGAAGCCGGTTGGTTCACATAAACTGCTTTAATTTAGTTTGAAACAGGGTAAAGAATAATAAAAGATTTAAAAAATACTTAAATAGAAAAATGAACCTAAGAAACCACTCTACTAGAAATTGAGTTTTAATATAAAATTGAAAATAATGGTAAATAAATGATGCTCCTAGTGAAAAGCAGTAATTATTTAATCCAGTAATATTGAGGCCAAAGAAAAGAGAGCACTGAAGCTTATCTGGTGCTGGTCAGAACTCTTGTAAAATACAAGTTACAAAAACAATAAAATATTACCTCACACTTAGTTAAATATATAGACATATGTATTCTCTATGATGCATCAACCCCTTTTCTGGGCATGAATACCAAAGAAACTACCTCACAGATCCATAAGGGGACATATACGAGTCTGCTGTCATGGTGTGGTTATAGTGACAATGTGGAAACAATCTGGTTGTTTATCAAACACATGGTCTTCTATGATTTTCTGCTCCTTTTCACATTGTTCCCTTTGCCCTCTTTTCTTCCTGGAAAGTTAAGATCACTCTTCAGGAGCCTACTGAAAAACCACCTGCGTGCGGGGGAATATAAGAGATTCCTGTAGAGAAGGTTGAATAAATGTCAGTCAGAAGAAAGCAACGAGAGGCAGGAGTGACGGCACAGTGAACTCAGCACCACGGACAGCTCACAACACTCTGGGTATATTTATGCGATATACACAAGTTACTGGACCAGCCTGCCCAACATGGTGAAACTCTGTCTCTACTAAAAATACAAAAAAATTAGCCGGGCGTGGTGGCAGACGCCTGTAGTCCCAGCTACTCGGGAGGCTGAGGCAGGAGAATGGCGTGAACCTGGGAGGCGGAGGTTGCAGTGAGCCAAGATCGCGCCACTGCACTCCAGCCTGGGCGACAGAGCAAGAGTCCGTCTCCAAAAATAAATAAATAAATAAATAACAAAAAAATTCAAAAAGTAGTCGGATGTGGTGGCGCACATCTGTAATCCCAACTACTCGGGAGGCTGAGGCAAGAGAATTGCTTGAACCCGGGAGGCAGAAGTTGCTGTGAGCCAAAATTGCTCCACTGCACTACAACCTGGGCGACAGAGTCAGACTTCGTCTGAAAAAAAAAAAAAAATTATTGGAATGTTTTAATATCAGAATTTCTTGGGACCATTTGGAATTCCAGAATCTCTTTCACATCAGCTGTCATGTGAGTGTGGGCATACAGCTGTCAATTATTCTTTCTCTTTAGTACCAATATAACGTACAGTAGCTACTAATCACCCTAAATCAAGTAAATTCTTGCTCTGGTATGTGTTAGAACAAAGGTTGAATTTTTCTTTTTTTTATGCTTTAAGTTTTAGGGTACATGTTCACAACGTGCAGGTTTGTTACATATCTATACATGTCCCATGTTGGTGTGCTGCACCCATTAACTCGTCATTTAACATTAGGTATATCACCTAATACTATCCCTCCCCCCTCCCCCCACCCCACAACAGGCCCCAGTGTGTGATGTTCCCCTTCCTGTGTCCATGTGTTCTCATTGTTCAATTCCCTCCTATGAGTGAGAACACGCGGTGTTTGGTTTTTTGTCCTTGCGATAGTTTGCTGAAAATGATGGTTTCCAGCTTCATCCATGTCCCTACAAAGGACATGAACTCATCCTTTTTTATGTCTGCATAGTATTACATGGTGTATATGTGCCACATTTTCTCAATCCAGTCTATCATTGTTGGACATTTGGATTGGTTCCAAGTCTTTGCTATTGTGAATAGTGCTGCAATAAACGTACGTGTGCATGTGTCTTTATAGCAGCATGTTTTATAATCCTTTGGGTATATACCCAGTAATGCGATGGCTGGGACAAATGGTATTTCTAGTTCTAGATCCCTGAGGAATCGCCACACTGACTTCCACAATGGTTGAACTAGTTTACAGTCCCACCAACAGTGTAAAAGTGTTCCTATTTCTCCACATCCTCTCCAGCATCTGTTGTTTCCTGACTTTTTAATGATCACCATTCTAACTGGTGTGAGATGGTATCTCATTGTAGTTTTGATTTGCATTTCTCTGATGGCCAGTGATGATGAGCATTTTTTCATGTGTCTGTTGGCTGCATAAATGTCGTCTTTTGAGAAGTGTCTGTTCATATCCTTTGCCCACTTTTTGATGGGGTTGTTTGTTTTTTTCTTGTAAATTTGTTTGAGTTCATTGTAGATTCTTGATATTAGCCCTTTGTCAGATGAGTAGATTGCAAAAATTTTCTCCCATTCTGTAGGCTGCCTGTTCAGTCTGATGGTAGTTTCTTTTGTTGTGCAGAAGCTCTTTAGTTTAATTAGATCCCATTTGTCAATTTTGGCTTTTGTTGCCTTTGCTTTTGCTGTTTTAGACATGAAGTCCTTGCCCATGCCTATGTCCTGAATGGTATTGCCTAGGTTTTCTTCTAGGGTTTTTATGGTTTTAGGTCTAACATTTAAGTCTTTAATCCATCTTGAATTAATTTTTGTATAAGGTGTAAGGAAGGGATCCAGCTTCAGCTTTCTACATATGGCTAGCCAGTTTTCCCAGCACCACTTATTAAATAGTGAATCCTTTCCCCATTTCTTGTTTTTGTCAGGTTTGTCAAAGATCAGATAGTTGTAGATATGCGGCATTATTTCTGAGGGCTCTGTTCTGTTCCATTGGTCTATATCTGTGTTTTGGTACCAGTACCATGCTGTTTTGGTCACTGCAGCCTTGTAGTATAGTTTTAAGTCAGGTAGCGTGATGCCTCCAACTTTGTTCTTTTGGCTTAGGAACAAAGGTTGAATTCTGATCAATATGACACTAATACCTGTGCCCTTAGGCCTTGCTCTAAAATGTCCTCCTTCCAATGCAGAATGACACATTGCCCCCACCCTATTCCTTGACATTCTTTTGAAAAAATATTGGATGAAATCAAACCAATTTTCTATCTGGTGCCTGTTTGGAGCTCTGGGCTGTGGTTGCGGAGATGGTCTGGCCCCCTCTCCTCTTTATATCCATCTGCTTCTGTTCTATAAGCCACCTTGGTGAGTTTGGAATAACACAGTTCTCTTGACAACCTGCCATAGCAAATCAGCAATATCTCAGGATTTGGGATCTTAACTAGGAACTGCATGCCACACATGTGTCCCTACCCTGTGATCACCTCTCTGGGATGACATGGGTGTGTAAACAGAATATCCAAATAGATGTGATGAGTCCTGCATTGACATAAGCATGGAGAGTGTGAAATAGTCTCAGGAACATTAGACAAGGCTCCCTTGAGAAAGAAGGTGATTTCTAATCCTAGACAAGAAGATGAAGAAGTATTTGTCCACACACTCCATCCTAATTTTTATGTGCCATTGCCATTGGATGGAATATTATCAGGTGAAATAAGAACTGGAAAAATAAAGGGAGGGCAGGCCCACATTAGGAGTGGCCAGTTGCCTTCTGGACTGTAGCGATGGATTGAAGGTCCAGCAACCCCACCCCAGGGAGACCCTCTCTTCTTTTGGGAGATCAGGACTTGAGTCAAGCTCTTCAGTCATTTGCATTATTCTTTTTGGCCTAGTTCCAGATTCTGGTTTCCAGAATCTCTCCTAAGCTTCACAACCTGCCTCCCAAACTGAAGTTTTTAGATTTTCCACTGCTGTTTACATGAGGTGGTATTGACCAGAATTTGCACAAGTGCATTTTATAATAAAAAATTATATAGAGTACTTATTATAAGCTGGGATCCAGTACTGCTATATGCTGGGTAACCAGGAGATCTGAGTTAACAGTGTTTTCCTTCCATGATTCCAAGTCTGCATGGAAAGACATCAAAGAAATTTGAGGTAATGTAGCCACTACAGTAGGAGTGGGCTCAGGGTGAGGGAAGTGCAAATGAGGCAGAGATCATTTCTTTGGGGTGAAGGGATAGTGGTTCACCATCTAAATGTCTAAGAGAAGTTGACATTAAAGCTCTGTCTTGAAATGTAAGTTAATGAGACAGATGACTTATTAAATGACATCCAGCAGAGGCAGCATTTGAAAGACTGGTATTGAGGCACGAAATACTGAGATATATTGATGGGGGGAGGTGTTGCGCATTCTTGGAATAACAGCAGCTGGGTGAACAGGAGGGATTCAGAGAGTGCTGGGGAGAGAGGAAGTCAGGTACCCACCCTTGGGACCCTGGCATGATGGTTCTGAGCAGTGACCTGCAGTCCTGGTGAAGGAGAGAGGAGGACAACGGGGGAAGATGGTCCTGGTTTGGAGATCTTCAGGGAAGGTGTGGCCCAAGGAAAGTGGGCAACAGAGCTAAGAGAGGAAAGAGAGCAATTCTGGGGTGGATGATGGGGACAGGCTACATAGAGAAGGCAGCAGGGGTCTGGTAAGAAAAAATGAAAGCCCAGGGACTGCAGTCCTCTGTGAGTTCCAAGAACAGGTGGAATGAGAATGAGAAAGGGAGAGAAGAAAACTAATGGTCAGACATTGGGATTTGGAGGTGAAAACTGCAGATCAGTCCTGAAGGCTGACAAGGTGCAGAATATGTTCAGGAAGGAAGATTCCTGATGAGGAGAGGAGATGCTGGTCTGTGAATAGAGGTGTGAGTGTGGAGTGGAACAGTCATTCACAAGAACAAATAACTCATCCTACACACTTCTGCTGGGGGAATGGAATGAGAATTTTTGAGATGGTTGCCTGATTCCTCTAAGAAGAATGTTTGCCTGATTGAGACGTTAGCTGGAGATTGACCAGGGTGGTAAGAATGATAGGGACAGATGATGTGAGCCTCTAGGGAGAATACTAAGAGCAGTTGCACAGAACATGGCCTGGAAGTGACACCAGGTGAACACTGACCCTGTGTTGTGGCCTGCATGGAGAGACCCACCAGTGCTCTGCTAGGACAGCACTGTGCCCTGCTTGTTTCTGCATCCTCAGCCCATAGCACACTGCCTGGCCTGGAGTAGACTACCAATAACAAACTACTCCATTACCTGCGAGATAGAGGTGCTGCAATTTCTCATCACAGTCAGCATGAGCTCTCTGTGTCAGTCCTTAGGACATTTCCGTGGTGCTGCCTTATTCCGGCTAGACTCCTTATTTGGACTCCTGGACTACTTTGAGCTCCTCAAAATCTGGAATATTCATTTATCACCAGAAACCCAGTCCTGGCATTTAGCAAACCATCGAGGACAGCTCAGCTTCAAGATGACTCCCTCTCACTTCCACAGGGTCACCCACTTAGGCACATGCACACAAGTGCACAGCACAGAGAGAGGACACAGCCCCTGGAGCCCAGGCCACAGGACAAGGGAGCTCATCCTCAGGGAACTACTGAGCATCCCATTCATAGCCACAAGGGCCCTGAGCCTGATGCCATCCAGGAATCCCTATGTGAGTGGTTTCTGTTTCCCCAAGCCCTGGAGAACAGCTGGGGCAGGAGCGGGAGGGCAGGAGCACACTGAGAGATGCCAGCCCCTTCTCAGTGCGGTATCTGAATGTGTCTGAATGACCCTGGTCCATGCCTTGACAAGGAGGAACATTGCTGTGATCTGGCAGGAGCTTTCCACTGACTTCCACCTGGAACCTGCCATGGTGGCTGCATTTAGGGAGCGGGGCAGAAGCAGACACCAGGACCTGTGTGAGAGGCAGCTCAGCTCTGCTGGAGGCCATAGGGGGAACGTTGCTGGAGGGACATTACTCCTGGGTGACCCACTGGATGGGGGTGGGGGAAATTCTCCAACAAAGTTAACCTGGAATTGGTAGTTTTGACAACGTAGGTCACCAAAGAGAAGAAGAAAATAAGGCAAGTGTCTGGTGGGAGAAGACATTTTATTGTTCCTGGGGTCTCTGGAGGCCCATTGGTGGGGCTGGGTCACTGGCTGCCCCCGGAACAGGGCGCTGCTCCATGGCTCTGCTTGTGGTAGTCTGTGGCTATGTCTCCCAGCAAGGACAGAAACTCAGAAAAATCAATCTTCTTATCCTCATTCTTGTCCTTTTTCTCAAAGACATCGGCGAGGTAATTTGTGCCCTTTTTGTCCTGTGAAGAGAAAAACATACAAAATAGAAAAATTCAATCACAAACAAGTTTTGGGCTGGGAGGGAGAGGAGGAGGCAGAGATACAGACAAGTACCTAGATCTGCACAGGCATGGTGGCGGGGCTGAGAGCACAGGGTGAGTGGGTGAAGTTGGGGTGAGGACGTGAGTGTTATCCCTGGAGTTCTCTAGGGAGTCTTTTTGTCTCACACCTCAGGATGGGAGGCAGGTCCTGTCCCAAGGTGCTCTGTTAAGTGACCTTGGGGAGAGCAGTCCCCTGCCCCAGCCTCACTCTTTCCCGTCCCAGCCTCTAAGGGCACTGCCTACCTTAGTTCTACCCCAGGGCCTCAAAATTGGCCCTCATGCTTTTGTTCTCTTCTTTCTCTGGCCTCCTCTCCTTTCTTCTCCTTTTCCACCAAACTCATCTTCTGGGTATCCTACTCTTGGTCATCTAGACCCTTTGGTACCTAGTAGCCCACAGTTTTTTTTCAGATTTGCTAATGAGTCTTGTTTATTGCAAAGAGGGCTATTGATTTCTACTAACAATGGAACTTCTAGTGCTTTCCCAGTAATCTCAGGGATGTTGATGTGGGGCCTTTGGGAAACAGGACCTGAGCATGTGAGTTTCAGTCTCACAGAGAGAGGGTCAGTGAGTGCTGGGAGGGGACTGTGCACTGCCCTCAAGCTGCACACTTTGCTGACCATCTAATAACCTCCTTTATATCTGTATAACTCTTTCCCATTTTCATACTTTTTTGCCTACCATCCTTAGATTCACATATGATCCAAGTAATAAAGCCCTATTTGCAAATGGGAAATTTTTTAATCAGAGGGTGAGGGTGATCTGTCCAAGGCCACATAGCAAAATGTATCCTCCAACATTGAGAAGCTAGACACCGACTCACACAGGCACTAAGGAAGTTGGGGAAGTTCTCCTTCATCATCGTCAGCAGGCTTGGCTTCTCAATCTTGTCATCACGTCTGGTGTATTTGTGAAACATGTCGATCATGCCTATTATGGACCTCTCAGCTTGAGTGTTGCTCATCTTTGCTTTCAAAAAGCCTTCAGGAAATAAAGACAATCATTTTTTTCCCTTCATTTAAGTTAGGGTCTCTATTTGGGAGTGCTGGAAGGAGGGCTGAGGACAGAGTAAAAACACGGATAAGGTGTAGCAGAACGAACTCAATTTTTTTTTAATGTGATGGGATAAGTTGCTCAAAAATGAGAGGGTAGGACCAAGTCTGAGACCTGGCCCATCCTGGCCAGGGCCAAGAGGAGATGCAGGTGGATGGCGGAAGTCCAGCTGTGGACAGTGCTTCAGAGAGGGAGAAGCAGGGAGAGTCGGGCGCCAGCAACACATGGAAGAACTAAGCTGGGACACCCCAGCCTCAGCCAGCACATGGCAGACCCCACTCTTAAAAGAGCACCAAATCCATCTCCTCCAGCTTCACAGTCGGGGTGACAGTCATGGGGGCAGGACAATGGCCTTGGTGATCTGGTGTCTGACCCTCCTCGGCTGCTTCAGGAACCAGACACCGTGGGCCCCACCTTGACTCAAGTGCAAGCCCTGCATGACACGGTGTGTGCAGGCTCCAGGTGCACATGTGAGCGTGGACGTGAGTGTTAGCAGGAAACACAGTCCTGTCCCGAGCACAGGGGGCCCTTCTTGTATTCCCTTGGGAACGAGAAACAGGAATGGCCTCTGTTACAAGGAACAGAAATAACTCTCTGGTTCTTAAGCTGCTGGACGGGGTGGGAGTGAGGTGGGAGTCACTTCATGTCTGCTCTTGGGAATTATCTGCACCCTCTGAATCACCAAGCCTTGACTGTTTAAATAAAAATGTCTGACTTCCCAAAGCAGATCTTTCAGCCAGTAGTCAGTCTGGGCTGGCCTGCACCCCAAGCCTGAAAAATAGGACAGTGCAGTTCTCACTTCCCACACTTTCCAAAGAACCAGGAAAGGACCTTGGCTAATGCATATGGGTGTCTGACAATAAACCCCCAACACCTCTCAATGCAGGAGAAAGCTCCATGCCGGCAACTGACTAAGAGGAGCCACCCAGAGCTTTTTTGAATCTGAGGCCAAGGCCAGAGGGCAAGCCCTGTGCCCAGAGGGTGACTGACAATTTGCAGGTTGTGGTAGGGAGTGACGGAGCGTTGGTTTCTCAATACCTTACCCAGGTAGGGGCAAGCCATCTGGCCAGGGCTATGCTGTGTCGGGGTCCCAGGCCTGGGGGTTTGGAGAGCCTCCAAAGCATTCACAGGGGACCCCTAGCCCTCCACCCTCTGTGGAGCTGGAGCTGGGGAGGGGATTTAGCAACCGGGACCCCAACAGGAGGATGAATCCAGGGAGGAAGAGGACAGGGAGGGTCCTGTGCTCAGGTCCCACTGGGGACATTTCCACAGGAGTTGCCTCAGGAGATCCCAAAGGAGCAATGGACAGGTCTGGTTCAGCCACCTGGTTATACAGACGTGGGCTTTTGGGGTCAAGTGAAGGTCACACAGCCCAGCTAATGGCAGAGCTGGCCTAGACCCAGGCTTCTGAGTCTTTGTCCACAGCCCTTTCCCTTCCTACAGGCAGCATGGCAGGCCAGGCACTGGGCACTTCTAGAAAACGCAAAGAGGCAGGTGAGACTTACCAGAGCTGGGAAGCGTCACGAGTAGAAGGATGAGTGAGATGTGTGTGTTTGGACAAAGAGCAGTCCTTTATAAGGCTCAGCCTGGCTCTTCCCAGGGGCTGGGAGGCCTGGGGCCACCTCTGTCATCTGTTTCTTGGAGGCTTGCCCCACATCAGGTGGGTGGGACACACCCAGGAGGCTGTGCTCAGGATTTCTGGCCAGTGTCCCAGGTCACCAGGTCCCACCCCACCCCAGAGACCTCACCTGGAGTCTTCTCTGGCTCAACCTTGATTTGAGGGTAAGGCAGCGGTACATGTGTAGTAGCAGGTCAGAAAATGGGAGAAAAGAGCACTGGGCCTCTGGACCCAAAGAGGATGGAGTTTCAGACTCCTGAAGGCAGCATGGTCTTGTTTGTTCCCTCCCCTTATCCTTCCACACATTTGTTATGACAGCCTGTTCTATGACCCCCACCGCTGACTGAGCATTTTAATGTCTAGATATCAAGATACCTGCTGCTCCTGCATCCTCCTCAACCCTCATAGTCCTAAGAGGTGCTTCAATCTCTATTTTAGGAAAGGAGAAGTTGAGATGTTCCCAAGTTTACTCAGCTAGTAAACACAACAAATCATTATATGGACTCAGAAAAGCCTGAATCAAATCCTTACTCTTATCCCCTGTGCTATAGGTCTTGGGTCACATCAGGGTCTGCCCTATGGGAACTCAAAGTCCAGGGAGGGAAGCAGGGTTACTTCATTGCTAACCATTGGTCAGCCCCTCACAGAAGCCCTGGAATTAGGTGGGGGGACTGGGGTCAGGGGCCTCACTATCTAGGTTGAGTGGTGGAGTGACCCCCCCATGGAATGAGCCTGGAGGCAGGGAGTGGGAAAAGTTCTTTCCTGCCCCATGGCACTAACTTCCCAGAAAGTCTTCAGTGTTTTTCCTCCTCCTATGCAAAACAGCCTGTGTAGGAGTTGGGAGTTGTGCCCTTGGCTATAATGTGCCCTAACCTGCTGTGGAAAGGCTGACCCAGGTAGGGGCAAGAGGGTTGGGAAGGCATGGGAATCCCTGGGGCATGGTGAGGAAAGGGAGATGATGAATCACTGAAATGGACTTTTTCTGCTACCCCCTTGCAATGTTCCTTTTAGGGTGCAAGAGAGTTCCAGGTTCATTTAGTGCCAGCCCTTTAAGCACTCTGGGGCTCCACAGAGCTGATGTGATGTCTCCCTAGGTGGGACCTATTTTCTCCACCCATCATCTTTCTTCAACTTCCTTCTCGTCAGTACCTATGTAACCAGGGGGACCTGTTTCTCCCTCTCCCAGTTCCCCATGTGATGGCAATATTACTTTTAACAGCAAAAGATACATACACACACACACAGTGGAATGCTACTCAGCTATAAAAAAAGAATGAAATCACGCTTTTTGCGGCAACATGGATGGAACTGGAGGCTATTATCTTAAGTGAAATTACTCAGAAAGTCAAATACTGTGCAACCTCATGTGTAAGTGGGAGCTACATCATGCATACAGATGGAGGTAGAGAGTAGAATCATAGACACTGGAGACTGTGAAGGGCAGCAGGTGAGGCGGTGGGTGAAGGATGAGACATTTCTTAGTGGGTACAATGCATGCTATTTAGGATGGCTTCATTAAAAGCCCAGACTTCACCATTGTGCCATATATTCATATATATGTGTATGCAGGTTTTTGTGTGGACATAAGTTTTCACTTCTTTTGGGTAAATCCCAAGGAGTGTGATTTCTGGATCCTATGGTAAGAGTATGTTTAGTTTTTTAAGAAAGCACTAAACTGTCTTCCAAAGTGGCTGTACTATTTTGTGTTCCTGCCATCAATGAATGAGAGTTCCTGTTGCTCCACATCCTTCTTCAGCATTTGCTGTTGTCCAGTGTTCCAGATTTTGGGCATTCTCATAAGTGTGTACTGGTATCTCATTGTTGTTTTAATTTGCATTTCCTTGAGGACATATGATGTGGAGCATCTTCTGATATGCTTATTTGTCACCTTCTGTATCTTCTTTGATGAGATATCTGTTAAGGTCTTTGGCCCATTTTCTAATTGTTTGGTTTGTGTTCTTATCGTTGAGTTTTAAGAGTTCTTTGTATGTTTTGGATAACATACAAAGTCTGATATGTCTTTTGTAAACATTTTCTCCCAGTCTGTGGCTTATCTTTTCATTCTCTTGACAATATCTTTCACAAAGAGAAATGTTAAATTTTAAAGAAGTCCAGCTTATGAATTCTTTCTTTCATGGATTGTGCCTTGGTGTTGCCATCTAAAAGTCATCACCAAAACCAAGATGATCAAATTTCCTCTTATGCTACCATCTAGGAGTTTTGTAACATTGTGTTTGCATGTAGGTCTATGATTCATTTTGAGTTATGTATCATCACTGTTTAGAAAAAAGGAACAGAGGAAAAGTAATACAAAAGGAATCAGGGACAACAATATTAATACAAGACAACAAAGAATTCTAAGAAAAGGGATTAAATGAAAAAGAAGAATATTTCTTATTGATTAGTGTGCAAGTCACCAAGATGCGGTAGTCTTATTCTTTTTTTTTCTTTTTCTTTTTTTTGAGACAGAATTTCGCTCTTGTTACCCAGGTTAGAGTGTAGTGGTGTCATCTTGGCTCACTGCAACCTCCTCCTCTTGGGTTCAAACGATTGTCCTGCCTCAGCCTCCAGAGTAGCTGGGATTACAGGTGCACGCCACCACATCCAGCTAATTTTTGTATTTTTAGTAAAGATGGGGTTTCATCATGTTGGCCAGGATGGTCTCGAAGTCCTGACCTCAGGTAATCCACCCTCCTTGGCCTCCCAAAGTGCTGGGATTACAGGTGTGAGCCACCAGGCCCAGCAATAATAGTCCTATCCTTATACACATAAGAACACAATTTTGAATTATATAAAGCAAACACTGAAAGAAATTAATGGAAACTGACAAACTTATATCACTTGGCAGGTTTTGGCAGAGTCTGCCCAGGAACTTCACAAAGCCATCAGATAACAAAACACCAGTAATGGCACAGAGCAGGGCGGGCAGATGCTGCCACAGCCCAGAAGCAGCCCCAGACACAAGTCCCCGTGAATGATGATGGCTGTGTCCAATAAACACTAACCTCCAGAAACAGGTGGCCAGCTGGATTTGGCTTAAAGACCATAATTTGCTGATTCCTGATATAAACTATTTGAAGGACACACTTAAATTTATTTATACACACATACATTCATAAATTCATGCCCAACCATAGAGAATACACATAAATTTCAAACATATTTGAGACATCCAAAAAACTGATCATTTGTTTTTGCTAAAATGAAAATCTCAGCAAATTAGCCTTAATAGGGGCCTTATCTTTTGCACCTGCTCATCAGGTTGAACCCTGTGAGCCCTTCCCCTGTGTCATGTCTGGAACAAACACTCTCCATAAACCCACCCTACTCCATCACACATCCAACCTCTCAGCCACTGCTGATCCCCCAGGAGAGCTCACAACAGGCTGGTCGTGAACAGGAATTTGGCTGGTTGATATCTTCATCTCCTCCATCGTTTTGGGGAGCTCCCCTCTCCCCAGTCTGAGGTAGAAGCAACATACTCCTGGGTCTCTAGAAGATCTCAAGTTGCTGGGGGAAGAGAACAGAAAGCAATTTGTTCTTTTTGCTGTATTTTATCCATTCATTTATGCTGTGAGTGCTGACTCTGTTCTGAGTGTGCAGGTGTCAGGGTGGCAGGGAGATGGATTGAAAGTGGACCGTGCTTTGAGCAATGCTCCGGCCCCAGGAGAGAACTCCAATGAGCCACTGGGTGGTGAGAGAGTGGAGTCGGACAGCGCCCGGAAGCCCCCAGGTCCCCAGGCAGTTCAGTGGCACTTTCTCTGTGAAGCCTTCTCCAGGCAGAGACATCATCCCCATGTCCCTGCGTGTCTCAGTGACAGCCCTGGCCACACATATGCTATGTTTGCTGCCACCCAGCCATGTCTTATATTGTGCCCCCAGCCTCCAGTGCAGAGAACTCCATAAACATTGGCCAAACTAGCAAGTGAGGCAGGTGTCTTCAGAAAGGTTCAGATAAAGTGTGTGAGAATTTGGAAGAGGAGAAATCACTTTTCAGGTGGGGGAACCAGGGGAAGCTTTGTAGGGGCGTCCTTTCAATAGGCCATAGAGCACTTCCAGGAGCCACGGTGAGAGGGACAGGGCAGAGGGAGCCACGGGAATGTTCCGAGACAGCCAGCTGTTCTGTTTGGGGTCCTTCTGGGTGGTGTTGGCCAGCTGCATCTCTGGACTCGTGCAGCAGTTGGGGGAGCGGGACAGAGAGACAGAGAGAGAGTTCTGCAGCATTCACAAGAGGTTATTAGGACTCAGTTCTGCTGTGAGCCATCCACACTGGAGGATGAGAACACCCAGCTGCAGCCCAGAGCCTGTGGTCCCACTGTTAGGTTTTGAAGGGAAGGCAAGGGTTAAAGAAAGACACAGAGAGAGTCGGTGGCTCTATGGCAACACAGGTTTTACATCCAGCACAAGACCTGAGGAGGTGGGGGACAAGCTTAATGCCAGAGCCCCCTGCCGCTTACAGGCTGGCGTAATTTATAGGTCTAGGTGGGGGTCTGGGCAGTATGGCTAGCTCGCCGGGAGGATATTGATAAGATGTTCCTGTGATCAGGCGGTTTGGACCTTTTTCCAGCGGGATGTGATAGGCTGTTTCTTGGACCTTTGCCCCGCAGGATATGATGGGGATGTTCCTTCAGTTGCGCCTTTGCCCAGCAGGGTATGATAAGGATGCTCTTGTGCCTTGCGGTCAGGTGGTTAGGCAGGATGTTTCTCACGGCCTGAATCCACATGGAATGTTTCACTCTGACCAGGGTCCGCAAAATGGCAGGGGGCTTACAAAATGGTGCAGTTTGGACTAACACCCACCATCCTGTCGAATGGGTTTGCTGGGAGGATTTACTGTCAATTCTGTTAGCCTGATAAGGGAGGTTGCTTTCTCGGAGGCCGCATACACAGACAGTGCTGGGAAGTGACCCATGCGTACCCTGAGAAATGTATCTGTTCAACCAAATTTCAAGTTGGCAATGATCATTCTTCGTCTCGCCCAATTTCAAGAGGAGGCTGGGCCCTGTAGGTTAAAACTGGAAAGCTGGAGAAAGCAGTGGAGGTCACTCCAGGAAGACTCCCTGGCCAAAGAGGACTGTAGGATTCTGACTTACAGTCAGGGCTGTTTCCGTTACAGTTGGCCCCAGTCAGAGACCCAGGATGAAACTCTGGCCCTGAGCGCGGAGAATAGGTTTTCTGTTTCCCAAGCTTCCACACGGTGGCGCCACCGAGCACCCACCTCGCCAGAGTTGCGAGGCGGTTCCACGTGGCTGGGCCGTCCTTGCCGGTTCTCGCCCTTATTTAGGTTGTGTGTCCCACTTCGGGCAGCAGTCTTGCAGCTTTTTAAAAAAGAGATCTTCACCAAAAGCTCCTGAAGGGCAGAGGGCTTTTCTTATTTAATTTGCATTCTTCTCTCTGCAATGCCTACCAGAGGGCGCTGCACAAAATCATGTATTGGGGATGCAATTGTTAATCGAGTTGGTAGAAACAGGAATAAATTAAAATAATTAAATTTTTAGTAATGGTGGGTTACGTAAATCTTGATGCCTATACACATGGAATCCCTGTGATGATACGAAATGGACATTTGGTCTTTGTCCCTGTTCCTGACACCAAGCGTCTGAAATCCTTGGAATCTCCCGAATGACAGGGGAGAGGGAGCATCTTTTGTTATTCATAACAACCCCCTTCCTGCCATACTGAGTGTGTGCTAATGAGGTGACTCTTGGTGGACCCCTAAATAGCTTCAGGATGGGGCTGGTTGCCAGAGGAAGCAACCATGTGATTACAGGGCTGGAGCTTTCAGCCCCAGGCTGGGCCTCCAGGGAGCGGCTGGGGAAGGACTTCAATCACCAGTGGCCAATTATTTAATCAACCATGCCTAAATGAAGTGACTGCCATAGAAACCCCAAACGATGGGGCTCAGAGAGCTGTCGGGCTGCTGAGTGGGTGGGGTGCCAGAAGGGTGGGCGCCTGGGGTGGGCCTTGAAGCTCCGTGCTGCCCCTCATACATGGCCCTGCGTGTCTCTTCCACGTGGCTTTTCCTGAGTTGCATTCTTTGTAGTAAACCAGTAATCATGAGTAAAGTGCCTCCCTGAGTCCCGTGAACTCTTGTAGCAGATTATCTAACCTGAGGAGGGGATTTGTAGGAACCTCCAATTTTAGCCAGTTAGTCAGAAGTATGGGCGGTCAGGTGCTGCGACTGGCATCTGAAGTGGGGGCAGTGTTGTGGGGCTGAGCCTTCACCTTGTGGGGTCTGTGCTAACTCTGGGTAGTTAGGATCAGAACGGAATTGCATGATACCCCGACAGTGTTCAGACAGTTGGAGAATTGGTTGGTGTGGGGATTTTTAAAAAAGGAAATATAACCCCCACACATTTGGCATCAGAAGTGTTGTGAGTCAGAATGGTTCAGGAATTCCATACAATGTAGCTATCTAGAATCAAGCACTCAGAAAATATTTAAGAACTGGGGAAATGTTTTAAAAATAGTCCTAATTGAAAAAGCAGATGATAAAGCAGCCGGGAAAAGGCAAAGCCGTGCCACAGGGTGGACGTGGAGTGGGGGTGGGGAGGGGGTTAATGTGACATGATTGCTCCACATGAGACAAGGCCACAGAACTCAGGAAACAAAGCTTGTTTTGAGCAAGAGTCCTGTCAGATTTTGACAGGAGGCAGAGCAGAGAGAAGATATCTTTACATAGGTGAAGCTAACAGTTCATGATAAAGTGTTCTCAGCCTTCACATTCACAGTCAACAGATTTTCAACAAGCCCGCCAAGCCAATTCAATGGAGAAAGAATAGTCTTTCCAACAAATGATGCTGGGACAAGTGGACAGCCACATGCAAAATAATGAAGCTGGACCCCTTCCTTCCTTCATACGCACAAATTAACTCAGAATAGGTCACAGCCCTACACATAAGAGCTAAAACAAACTCTTAGAAGAAAATATAGAAGTAAATCTTCAAGACTGAGGTCTTGAATATCTTTGCATATGCTACTGAGGCTTTATGACTTTACTTTCCACAGTTAGACCTACAATCCACTTGGAATTGTCATTTTGTCTGCTTGTGTGGTCTAGTTTCATGAGCATGAGCATCCAGTTGATCCAGTAAAATGTATTGAGAAGCTTGTGCTCAGCAGTGCCACTTTTGTCACAGAATAAATATACCATACGTGTGTGTCTTTTTCTCAGGCCTCTATTTAGTTCTGTTGATCTATGTGACTGTCATTGAACCAGCCCAGCAGTATCTGTTACCAGGGCTATTGTGATAAATCTTAACATCTAGTACTGTAGATCCTCCCATCTTTTTCATAATTGTCTTGGGTATTATTGGCCTTTCCATATGTTTTTTAGAGTTAACTTGTCAATTTCTACAAAAATTCCAGCAAGGACTTTGGGATTGGGATTGCACTGAATCTACAGGTTGTGTTTGGGAGAACTGACAGCTTTACAATAGCAGAGTGTTCCAGTCCATGAACGTGGTATATCCCTTACTAAAAACCTTTCAGTCGTTTCCCATCCTGCTTAAAGTTCAAATTTTGCGAAGTCCTCATTGGCTTGTCCTCTGCCTGCCGCTCAGACCTCATTTCCTGTCTCTCTGAACTCCATTTACACCACTCCAGCCCTTCTTTCTGCCCCTCCGTCAGCCCAGGCTGGCTCCTACCTGAGCACTTCTGTTCCAGCTCTTTCCTCTAACCATCGAGCCCTTCTCCTGCTCTCCCCAAGGTTGGATCCCCTGTTATTTATTCTGAGCCAAATATAAGTGACCGTGGCCCATGACACAGGCCGAGGAGGGTGGATCACCTGAGGTCAGGAGTTGGAGACCAGCCTGGCCAACATGGCAAAACCCCATCTCTTCTAAAAATACAAAAATTAGCCAGGTGTGGTGGTGGGTGCCTGTATTCCCAGCTACTCGGGAGGCTGAAGCAGGAGAATCACTTGAACCCAGGAGGCAGAGGTTACAGTGAGCTGAGATCGCACCACTGCACTCCAGCCAGGGAGATAGAGCGAGACTCGGTCTCAAAAAAAAAAAAGAAAGAAAGAAAGATTTAAAAGGTCTGTAAAGAAGAAAGTATGAATAAGCTAGTGAGAACTGGCAAAAATCCCAAAAGGAGCCTCAATATTTAATCAGTATAACCTGATTCATTGTATTGAGTACTATACTACATTTCTTTAATTTTTAAGATAATTGCTTTATCCTCTCCACCCCAACTCCACTGCCCTCTTAGCTAGCAATTGAATATTATCCTTCTTGAGGTCTTTCCAATCCTTGAGTTTTCTAAAACCCTGGGTGGGAGCGGGCTTGGGGTCAGGGGTGCTTAAGGGTCAATTGTGGGTAAACTTCTGAAGACTAAATTATGATTTTTTTTATCTTGCCCAAATTCCTATCTAAAGAATCTGAGGAGTCAACCCCTACAAACCATAAATTCTCATCAGATGGGTTTGATTTAACCCTATATATCATGACTTACTTTCCATGCTGACTCTGGTATAACATTACAAGGCAAGGAGGAAAATCAAAATATTTTACCCCAAAAACATGTTTCTTTGTCACAAGTTGAAATGGCCCTGCAAGCTTTGTCCTTTTAGGGGAAAATTCACATCTGTGAAAAATCTCTATTAACATAGCTAGACCTTTTTCTTCCAGGCCCCTCCAATTCTGAATAGATTAGCTAAGAGTCTAGCACCTTTTGAAGGGTCTGAATACCAAACATTTTGCCAACTCTTCTTTCTAAGGGCAACCGCTATGAGACTTCAAAAGAACATTGGTCTCCACAATCTTTTATCTTAACCTGAACATTTTCTTTCGATTTATCCCAGGTCCTTCCTCTCCATTAGCCTGCCCAGCATACCTGGAGCCCCTGCAGATGGCAAGCTATGGGATGTAAAAGCTAGAAAGCACATCCTCTTCCCTAAAGGCAAGCACTTGCTAATCACAGGTCTTACCTGAGGGAAGGGAATGAGAAGTCTTGTCTTTGAATGAAGATTGAAGTGTCTTGAACAGCACAAAGGATACAACTGGAATGGCTGTGAGAGGCCACTCATGAGAGGCAAAGCAGGTGGGAGTTGGAAGTGGTGGGCCAGGACTTTGGGCAATTTATCTTAGCAATCACTTGACTCCAATGACACCAGGCATGGAAAAGCCAATGCTGAATAGAATAACACTGGAAAATGAGGGTGAGTGGTTCACTGTGGCCCCAATCCAAAAGAAATAGTTTAATAGGGGAATTTCAGTAACAAGCTGGAGGTGAGATACTTCGAGGTATAGGACTTTTTCTTGTCCCTCAAATCCCCGTTTTTGACCAAATAATGCATATATATGCCACTTTGGGTTAGTTTGGATCCTCCAAGAAGAGGCCAAGACAAGATTAGGCATGCAAAAATGTTATTAGAGGAAACACCTGTGAAGGATGACTGGGGAGGAAGAAGATAGCAAGAGAAGGAAGGGAAAGCCTTCAGACTTCAATGCAAGCCTGAAACCTGAGAAGGGACCCGGGAGGAAGGAGAATTGGGTAAGAAGAGTCTCAGACTACAGCATAGTTCCAAGAAAGGGTTAGCCATGCGTGTTGGGAGTCCCCAAGCCAGTCATCCATGGAGGACCCCCACGTCTTTCAGTAACAGGCCCACTTGGTATTCCTGCCATGCTCAGTCATTGCCTGAGAGAAGCCCCACAGGAAGTGTGGCCCAAGTACAAAAGTTTTGGTGGATCCCAGCAGCAGGGGCAGCCGCTGGGATTGTCAATCCACTATGCCACCTCTAGCAGGAGAGCCCTGTAACAGGCATATTTTTATAACCTCTGTAGTCCACTTCTTGTCCATCACAGATCTGCTTTTCCACATTGGCTAGAGAAGAGCTCCTCCATGGTTACCATGGGCCTCTTTCCCCAAAGCATAACTCAGAAGACAGAGACTAGGGAGTGAATTACCGCCCATCATTGTAGCTGGTCTCTGGGATACAGCTGGTACTCCTCTCCTTCCTCTTCTATGCACTCTAAATTCCCCTCACCCTTCACTATCACCTTGGCAGATCTTAATGATGTTCCTAATGGTATAACCCAAACCTTTATTTCTGAAGATGCTGAGTCCTTGACCATCATCTCATTCTCAGACCAGAGTTTCTGCACTTATCTATTCACAGTTACAATGGGGCAAGGGAGTAACAGGAAGTGGCCAAGTGAATCACTTGGGTTCTACACATATTCCTCCCTGCCTCCATTGTGTAACAGCAGCCCTATCTCCTGTGGATCAACATCAATTATTCCTGCCCCAAGATTGACTCATCTTCTGCCCTGTTGGTCCCCTTTCCCCAGTTGGTCCCCTGTTGACCTCCTCTACCCTGTTGGTGCCCTGGTAGCAGCTGTAGCTTGTAGTTCAATGCAGCCTTGTTGTGTCCCCTGGCAAGAATGTGCCTCCTCTGGGGACAAAGATCTTCAACCTTTCAGAACCAAGAGTTGTGGGGATAAAAACTACAAACTCCCCAGGTGGGTCCCTGAAGTGATTGTAAGTGGGGCCAACCATGAGTCTTCAGGAAGGAAAGGAAATAGTTAATGTATCTACTGCTTCCTGAAGGATAGAACCTCAGCCTTGCAAAGTGTTGCCTCTGAGCAGGTGCTTCAGCTGTGCCTTTTGAGGTGGTTCCAGGGCTCTGTGAGGCCAGCTGCTTCTGGGGGATGTGGTGTGTGATACCACCATGATCTGGATCCATCCCACACCCACTTCCCTATAAAACTGAGTCCCCTGGGTGCATTCCATGCCTGTGGATAGGCATTCTGTAAGCCCCTAGATAGTGGTGCTGGCCAAGGCTATGCCGACAGGAAGGGAAAATCCACACCTGTGAGAACAAACCATTGGCCGTTTCTGTATAAAAGGTGCCCAGTGTAGCACATTTGGCTCCAAGTGGCTGGTTGATCTCAGTGAGAAATAGTTCCATAGCTGGAGCTCAGCATTGGTCTCTGCTGCTGACAGGTTGGATATTCAGAGGCGACAGCTGTTGCAGGAAGTCAGGGACCCCGAATGGAGGGACCAGCTGGAGCCACGGCAGAGGAACATAAATTGTGAAGATTTCGTGGACACTTACCAGTTCCCAAATAATACTGTCATAATTTCTTACATCTGTCTTACTTTAATCTCTTAATCCTGTTAGCTTCGTAAGCTGAGGATGTATGTCACCTCAGGGCCACTATGATAATTGTGTTAACTGTACAAATTAATCATAAAACATGTAAATATTGATTGAACAATATGAAATCAGTGCACCTTGAAAAGAACAGAATAACAGCGATTTTAGGGAACAAGGGAAGATAACCGTAAGGTCTGACTGCCTGTGGGATTGGACAAAAAGAGCCATATTTTTCTTCTTGCAGAGAGCCTATAAACGGACCTGCAAGTAGGGAAGATATCACTAAATTCTATTCCCAGCAAGGAATATTAATAATTAATACCCTGGGGAAGGAATGCATTCCTGGGGGGAGGTCTATAAACGGCCACTCTGGGAGTGTCTGTCTTATGCAGTTGAGATAAGGACTGAAATAAGCCCTGGTCTCCTGCAGTACCCTCAGGCTTATTAGGATGGGGAAAAAACTGCTCCCTGGTAAATTTGAGGTCAGACTGGTCCTCTGCTCTCGAACCCTGTTTTCTATTGTTTGAGATGTCTATCAAGACGATACGTGCACCACTGAACATAGAACCTTATCAGTAATTTTGCTTTTGCCCTTTGCCTTGTGATCTTTGCTTTTGCCCTTTGCATTGTGATCTTTGTTGGACGCTTATCAGTAGTTCTCTTTTGCCTTTTGTCCTGTTTCCTCAGAAGCCTGTGATCTTTGTTCTCCTTTTTGCCCTTTGAAGTATGTGATCTTGTGACTTACTCCCTGTTCTTGCACCCCCTCCTCTTTTGAAATCCTTAATAAAACTCGCTGGTTTTGCGGCTCAGGTGGGCATCACAGTCCTACCGATATGTGATGTCACCCCCGGAGGCCCAGCTGTAAAATTCCTCTCTTGGTACTCTTTCTCTTTATTTCTTAGCTGGCTGACACTTATGGAAAATTGAAAGAACCTATGTTGAAATATTGGGGGGGTTCCCCTGATAGACAGCAGCTAGGTCAGCCTTGGTAAAGGGAAGTCCATGTTCTTGGATTCACTTGTAACTTCCATGTCTGCCATTATGGCACTCCATTAGAGCACTCCAGTCATGCGCCCATTGAGCCAGTTCTGGGGTGGCCAATGACAAAAATATCTAATGTCAACTGGCCAAATTGTCTACTTGACTGTTCAGTGCCTCTCCCTTATGCTTTACGGTGGGTGATAAACTGTAATAAAAAAGATCTTCATGCTCTGTCCCCACCCCCATATGTTCAACTACATGCCTCTACCCCAACCTCCCTGTCTCTTATCTTCTGATCCTTTTCCACTCAGCCCTCTGACTACATGGCCAGGTCATTGGCTGCTGCAAAGAATCTGTATATATTCTCACCTCAGGCCAGTTCTCCTTCCAAAGTGGATGACAAGGTCCCTTGCTCACATGTGTTCCCATTCCCATGTACCTACATGTGAGCAAGGTACCTCTGACTGTCTTCAAAGTCACATTTAAACGTGGCTATAATCCAGCTGCTGTCCACTTCTGGCTTTCACTCATGTACCAAGTTGACCATTCACAGACCAAGCTCAGGCCTTCTTCTGTTCCTTCAGCCTATCATATGAGAAATCACACATAGCTATAGGCTTGGGTTGGGGAAGAGACATGATGGAACCCTGGCAGATGACATGGTGTTCTAGGCTGCATCCCCATGCAGCTTACTCATGCCCTCCAGCTGTGCTCAGGCTCAACTCCAAAGATGCCATTTCTGTTTTATGATGGCCTGCTGTTGGGCCCATTTTATAACTCAGTAGGTCCAACAGAGGCCAGCTCACAGTGGACAGTTTCAGACGCATGATCACTTGATGCCCCAGGATCAAAGCAGGGTCCAATAATATGCCAGGGCCTGTTTCCTAAAAAATCAGATACTTCCCTGCTGTGGATGGCATGGCCTTGCTCCAGAATCCCAGGGACCTGCATTGTAATTCTCCCAATGGGGCTTTCCATAAACTCCTTAGTATATTTTTACCACCATCGACCCCTCCAACATCATAGGGTATACCAAATCATATGACCCAACTGGATGGCTCTGTGCGCTATGATCTGGACCTGCTGCAGAGCCCTTTCCCACTCCTGGCCCCACCAGACCTGGCATCCTTCTATGCTACCCAGTTCATGCACCGAGCAGTATTCCTAGGTGTGGAACATGTTGCCTCCAGAATGCTGTGAGATCCATGTGCTTCCTTCTTCGTGATAGGGCATGCAAGATGCAGCAATTTGTCTTTTATTCTGGGTGGGCTATTCCAGGCCACCTCTGACCAGAAACCTCACTGATGTAGTAGAGTCCCTGAATTTTCAAAGTGTACATGCCTTACCAAGATCTCTAGAGTAGCAATCACCCCTTGCTCATCCTATCTGATCAACATGATACCACTCTGAGGGAGGTTAATGATAGAGGGAGGACCAAGTCCAGGATCAGCCCACCAGAGCCCTTCTGGCAGAGCCTCTCATCTTACCTGCATTTTCAGCCACACCAAGGCCCAAGGATTCTTCCTCTCCTGACACCTCTCCCAGCCTCAGACCCAACAAGACCTCCACTCACAAAACCCACACAGACTGTAGGGAATTCTCCTTCCTCACCTTTGACAGACCTGACTTATCTAGTGTATCATCTTCTTGGATGTTATTGTGAAATAGATCAATCATGGCATCACAGACTTCTCGGCATGGGTATTACTCATCTTTGTTTTCAAAGGGCTGCTGGAAAAAAATAATAAGTGGTGTGTTTTGTCAGAAGGTCTGTGACAAAACAGACCTTGTGTATGGGTCTGTCAGGGAAGAAGGAAGCTGATGGATGATAAGATGTGTTGGAAAGGCTCTAAGGGAAGGAGGGTGTAATACGTGTGAGGGCTGTGCTAAAATAGAACTAGATTGTGATGCACAGAGACGGGAGAGAACTGAGCTTCCATGTGTGGTACAGGAGCCTGCCTGGCCCTGGGGGTCTGCTGGTTATCGGAAGATCCTGTGATGAACAACAAAGGAGCACCACATTTGTTGCAAGACTCCCCAGCCAAACACTGCATGTCTTCTCTGCCTCAACTCCAAGACTTAGCAGCAAACTCTTCCCAACAGCCTGGAGGGTCAGGGCTGGAGTCTGATGTCTTTGGCAGGACAACCATCCTAAAGAATATAACTGATTCACTCTGGACAGGCCCCCTCAGAGTACTGGACCTTCTCTCCTACACACATATGCATATGCACACATACACAGACACACACACACGTGCACACAAAACAGCATGATGGCTCATGCTGTCCATAGATCACACTCTGGTGCGGCCTCCACTTTAACAAAACCAGCACTTACTGACCACCTCTTGCTGATGAGTGTAAGTGTAAACAGGAATAAATATCCCAGGAACATAAAAAATATATATATATTGTAAGCAGTAAGCAAGTAAGCAGAGGTTGTAGCCCCCAGTTACTTCCAGGCTATAAATCAGAAGAAATGCATGCCAAACTTGATCTGATGGAGGGGTCAGAAGGTCCTCAGATTAGCCACTGTTGTGAGTTGTCTACTCCTGCTCCCTCTCAATCAACCAAATCAAAGACCTTAACTTTAAAAAAAAAAAAAAAAGATTGGGTCTAGGATATGCAACTGACCAGAGAAGGAAGGACACTGGGGCACAGAGAATGACTCATCCCAAGGTCACATAGTCTAGTTGGTGGCCGAGCTGGTGAACTGGATCAGGCTGATAACTGTTAAAGGCAGTTTCTCCTGCTCTTCAGGAATAGCACATGGGCTGTATACTTGTGTGCACCACCACGCTCAGCTATTTTTAAAATACTTTGTAGAGATGGGGTCTTGCTATGTTACTCAGGCTGGCCTCAAACTCCTGCCCTCAAGTGATCCTTTCGCATTGGCCTCCCAAGCCCTGGGATTACAGGTGTGAGCCACCACACCTGGAATCACAGAGGCTGACCTGAACCCTGTAATGATTCATTGAAGAGAAGGACATGTTGGTAAGGAAGAGGTGCTTCTCTGGGACCAAGAACTGGCCCAGCACCAGTGTTCCACCAACCTCCAGGCCCGGTGCCCACGCTCAGCTACTTCCAGCATGGCCCCAGAGCTCATTAATGCACCAGAACCCTGTGCCTTCTGAGCCTTCTGATCCGCCCCAATCCCCAAGGCTGAGGCAGCGTAACAGGATATATTGGGTTGGAACAATGAAGAGAAGTTTGCTGAGCCCCACAAAAACTCCACTGTGCATCCGGGGATGGAAATATGGTCTCCACTGGTTCCCTTTCCGGTAATTCAAAAATAATAGCTATTAACAACTACCAATCGTTCAACACTCTGTGCCAGGCAAATACAATGTGTGATTTACACATATCCCTTTATTTAATCTGCAGGAAAATCATGTTAGGTAAATACATCGTTCCATCATACAGGTAAAGAAACTGAGACTTAGAATGTTTACATTGCCGGGCGCGGTGGCTCACACCTGTAATCCCAGCACTTTGGGAGGCCAAGGCGGGCGGATCACGAGGTCAGGAGATCGAGACCATCCTGGCTAACACAGTGAGACACAGTCTCTACAAAAAATTAGCCGGGCGTGGTGGCAGGCACCTGGGAGGAAGAGGTTGCAGTGAGCCGAGATCATGCCACTGCACTCCAGCCTGGGCGACAGAGCAAGACTCCGTCTCAAAAGAAAAAAAATAATGTTTACATAACATGGACAGGTCACCCAGTGGGTAGATGCATAACCAAAATTCAAACCCAGGCCAGCATGACTACTAAACCTGGCTCTTAACCCTCTGCTATCCTAAGGAGTCCCTGCTTTGTCACACCAGGGCCTGCTACGGAGGATCCCACTGTCCAGAGAGCAGACAGGCATGTACTTTCAGAGCAGAGTCTGCTGGGGTCTGACAGGCACAAGCCCAGAGACCTCAACCCAGGCAGTTGTGTGGACTTCAGGGCCCAGGGCAGCAGTGAGTGGAACCTCGGCAGGCTGCAGAGCCCTGGACCTCATATTCTTTCAGTCCACAGGCCACTCTGGAAAGAATTTGCTCTCCTAGAGTTTAACATCAAGATATAGCATCTTGGCCAGGTATGGTGGCTCACACGTGGAATCCCAGGGCTTTGGGAGGCCAAGGTGAAAGAATCACTTGAGGCCTCAAGTTTGAGACCAGCCTGGGTAACATAGCAAGACCCCATCTCTACAAAGTATTTTAAAATTAGCTGAGCATGGTGGCACACACCTGTAGTCCCAGCTACTTGGGAAGCAGAGACAGGAGGATCAGTTGAGCCCAGGCGTTTTAAGTTGCAGTGAGCTGTGATCTCACCACTGCACTCCAGCCTGGATGACAGAGTGATACCATGTCTCCAAATAAAATTTTAAAAATAAAAAGAGGTAAATTTCAAACAGAAATAATAATGATTCTCTTGGATTATGGAGGAAGTCACTGCCAGAGGCCCATTCACAGTAAACCAATATAGAACATCTTCAATTTTAAACTATTTAAGATTAAGTTTTGGCCAGGTGCAGTGGCACAAGCCTGTAATCCCAGCACTGTGGGAGGCCAAGGTGGACAGATCACTTGAGACCAGGAGTTTAAGACCAGCCTGGGCAACACGGTGAAACCCCATGTCTACTAAAAATACAAAAAAAATAGCCAAGTGTGGTGGCACACACCTGAGGTCCCAGCTACTCAGGAGGCTGAGGTGGGAGGATCCCTGGAGCCCAGTGAGTCAAGGCTGCAGTGAGCCATGATGATCACACCCCCACCTGGGCAACAGAGTGAGACCCTATCTCAAAAAAGCAAAGAAGATTAAGTTTTATAAAAACTTGAGATGCCCTGAAATCTTATGGCTCATATGTGGAAAAAAAAAAAACTTGATAGAGGTTTTCCCAAGTTGGCCAATAATCCTAAAAATTTACATAGCATTATGTATAAAGATGTGAAGCTAAAAACAAAAACCTTTCTAAATTATCAGTAGGAATTCAATCAATAATATGAAAGACTGAATTGTCTTTCTAGTCTCATGTAGAAAATGATTTTACAAAATGGTCATCACGTGAAGCAAAATCACAGAGCCAGGAAAACATAGAAAAATAAAAACTATAGCTGTATCACCCAATTAATAAAAATATTGTCATTTTCTTAGCTTTGGCAATGTTTGTGGTATTTCTCAACTTTCTGAAATTCATAATTTGCTATAACTCTTTTCTCATTCTAAATGAATATTCACTTCCATGTTTAGTTTTGCACCGCTGATTTTTAATTATTTTTCTGAAAGGAAGTCCCCCCAAAAAGTGGCAGGGCCCACAACCCCTTTTTCCAGTCCTCAAACTCTTGCTGATTTTGTCCAAGGTTTTGACTACACCACACCCTCGGTCTGGCATCCCCTTTCATATCTTCTCTGCCTAGAAAATTCCTAACCCTTCTTCAAGGCCCTACTCAAAAGTCACCTCCTCTGTGAAGCCTTCCTTGACTAGCTCAAGAAAGTAGAATCTCCCTCCACTCCGGAACACCACAGCACTTTGTTAGCTCTCTCTCCTTGGCATCTCATGGCCCTGGAATCATGCTCTGCAGAAGCCTCCCCCACCAGCTAGGCAGCAGGCTCCCAGGGCAGCCACAGCAGGAGCTCACGGAGAACATGTTTGCGAGGTGCAGTAAAGGCCCCGGGCATGGAGGGGTGGGACTGGGGCTAACACAAGGCCCCCGAGCCAAGAGTGCAAGGTTCTAACTCCCTTTGTGACCCTGGGCAAAACCTGTATTTCCTTTGTCTGAGAAGTCTGTGTCTTCTCATCTGTCAGAGGAGAAAGGAATTACTATTTCACAGAGATAACAGATGTGAAAGCCCGGGGAGAGGTAGAAAGTGCTATATCAATGTAGGGGGATTTGTATTATGATTGTTGGCAGATTCAGGTTTGCTGGCAGGAGACACTGAGTTAAATCCTGTGACTTAGAAGCCCAAATCTCTCACCAGGCACACCTCAGTTTATAGAAGTGGGTGGTGGCACTGCAGTTTCAGCTTCACAGGGTGTGACAGCCACCAGATTAAAAGATGAATGTCAACTGCACAGTGGGAAGGAGGCACCCTGACTCCCAAATGTCCCTGAGGCTAGAGCTCAGCCTTCAGGTGAACTCGACTTCCCAGATGGTTCTCAGCAGAGGGGACATGGAGTCCCTGGCTCAAGTCTGAGCCCCTTCCTCCTCCCTAGTCTCCAGCCCACTCATCAGCATGAACTCCAGGCATTCAGCTCAAACCTTAAAGCAGCTGGGGGCAAAAACAATAAAAATAATAAGTTATGCTTGTCTCCACACCAAACTCCACCCTGGAAATACTGCTGACATCAACATCTGCCATTGACTTCTTGCCCTCATCCAAAAAGACAAACTTTTATCAATACAAATCTTGCCTAAGATTGGCTTTTTTTTGTTTTAAATGCATATGCTCATTTCCCCCAGCGCTGTGGAGAAGCAGGACCAAAGGTCAGTGTTTGATTTGTAGCAAGAGGTGTGTGCACATCTGTGTCTCCCTGCTATGGATCCAGGCCCCCAGAGACTCTAGAGTGACCAGCTGACTGGCCCAGCAATTCCCCCTCCCTGCCCAGCCATTCTCACTTTGCTTCCACCAGTTGGTGGACAGGCCCTCTCCCTGATGCAAGCCATGGCAGGGCAGAGTCTGTGCCTGATTTGTCTTTAGAAACTCCCCCCCATTCTCCTTTTTGGGAAGGAGAGTGAGCTTGCAAAAGCAGCATAGCATGGTGGTCAAGAGAGCCTTCGCCCTGGAGCCCAGGTGTCCCAGTTCAGCTCCAGCCACGTGTTTATTAGCTGTGTGATCTTGAGAAAGTTACTTACCCTCTCTGTGACTCTGTTTCATCATCTGTAAATCAGGAAAAGTAATAGTATCTTCCCATCATGTTGTGCAGATTAAGCGAGTTAATATCATAATGTGTTTTGGAACAATGTCAAATGTGTGTATGTGCCTAGTTAATTGTCAGCTTCTTCCCTGAAAACATAACACCACATGGGCAGGAATTTCTACCTGTTTTGTCATTGCTCTATCCTCAATCTCTGGAATGGTTCCTGGAACATAGTAAGTTTTAAATAAAATACTACTTAATGAATAGATCTCCTCTCTAAGCAAATCTTTATTCAGACAGAGAAGACAAGGGTATCCCAGTCTAACTGGAGAGGACTTCTGCAGCATCTGTAAGGATGCAATCATTTGTTCATTTACCCAACAAATATTTACTAAGCACCTATTATGTGGCAAGCACAGTTCTAGACCCCTCCTGATACATTTATGTGAGTGATTTTTAGGTTGGCTAGTGTGATCTGAAGCTCCCCACTCCCCACTCCCTCCTCCTGCACTTCTTGTATATCCTCTAGCTCCAGCCCAGTTCCCAGCCCCAGCCCTGCCACTCCAAACCTAGTCCCACCCCACTCCTCTCCTGTCTCCTAAGTTTTTCCCAGACCCATGGGTCCCTCCAGAATTGATTTTAATCAAGTCATATATGTACATAATTTTAAAGTCAAACAGTTCTCCAAGGTTAATCAGTGCTCCCCAATTGAGTCCTCCCCACCCTCAAGTCCCCACCCCTGAGGCAACCACTTTCCTCCCCTTTATGCATTTCTTCCTGTATTTACCTCTGTATTTCTAAATAATCGATTTGTATTGCTATTTGATTTTTTTTCTGTTTTTTATACTAGTTGTTAATGACATCCTACAATGACATCCTACAATGGAAAACAAAAATTTGGTTCTTTGGCAATACATATACACACAAATATGCACATACTTCCCCTCCCTGCAAAATTCCTCCAGTATAGTTACATGATTGTTTTTGGTTAGAACAGAATTAGGGTACAGAGTATTATGATCATGTAAGTACTATTCACAGATTAACAATGCAGTCTGCTTTGAGTGTATTTTCTTTCTTGTGCAACTTTTAAATTTTCTAAGAAGTTAATAATTGATCTTTTTTTCATTTGTTTAGTTTTCTCTTTTCCTGTCATTAACCCTCCCCAAACTCCCCACTACATAGTAAATTTCCTTTCAATTCAGTTAAACACGTTAGATGATCTATAACCTTTTTGTTACTTGGAGATGTCTCTCCTGGAGTTCCCCACAATTCTACTCCAATTTGGACTGATTTATCTCTAGATCGGCCCCAGGACCATCTTCTTGGCTCTAAACTGCTCCCTCATCCTAGGATTTCCTTTTGCCTTTCTCCCATGTGGCATCACCTACTGCCTGGACCTTATGCCTTCCTCTTTCTTGGCTTAATCCCCTGTTTTGGAAGAGCACATTCTCCAATAACTTCCTGAGAAAGCATTCTTAGGAAGTAACGTTAAGACCTTGCATGTCTGGAAATATTTTTGCTGCTCTTATAATTGACAATTTGTCTGGGTATAGAAACCTAGACTGTAAATGGACATAGAAATCTAGATTACAAATTACCTTCCTTCAGAAGTTTAGAGACATCACATGATTTTCTTCTAGTTTCTGGAACTGTATTCTGTTTCATCCAGCTGGAAAGAATCTGTTTTTTGTCAGGGTGTTCTAAAATTTCATAATTACATGCCTTGCTAAGAATCTTTTTTTTTTATCCATTGTGCTAGGCAATAAGGGATTCTTTTACATGAAAACGTAGTTTTCTTTTACCATGCCTTTGATAATTTCTTTGTCTCCATTGTCTTGGTTCACTCTTCACTCCTGGACTTGATTCTCTAACATTCATTTCTTTTCTGTCCTATTTTCCATATTTTTTTTTTAGGCGGAGTCTCCCTCTGTCACTGAGGCTGGAGAGCAGTGACACAATCTCGGCTCACTGCAAACTCTGCCTCCAGGTTTAAATGATTCTCCTGCCTCAGCCTCCCAAGTAGCTGGGATTACAGGTATGTGCCACCACACCCAGCTAATTTTTATATTTTTAGTAGAGATGGGGTTTCACCATGCTGGTCAGGCTGGTCTCAAACTTCTGATTTCAAGTGATTCGACCTCCTCAGCCTCCCAAAGTGCTGGGATTACAGGCTTGAGCCACTATGCCCAGCCTCCATATTTTTTTAATTCTTTCTGTTCAACTTTATCTTTTAACACTTACATTGAATGTTTATTTCTGCCAACAACGGGGGGAAACACAGAAGCAAATCTATTTTATAATTTCAAAGATCTTTTTCTTTTCTAAAAATTCCTTTTAAAATTTCTTCCTGGCCAGGCACAGTGGCTCACACCTGTAATCCCAGCACTTTGGGAGGCCAAGGTGGGCAGATCACCTGAGGTCAGGAGTTCGAGACCAGCCTGGCCAACATGGTGAAACCCCGTTTCTACTAAAAACACAAAAATTAGCTGGACGTGGTGGTGGGTGTCTGTAATCCCAGCTACTCAGGAGGCTAAGGCAGGAGAATCGCTTAAACCCAGGAGGCGGAGGTTGCAGTGAACCGAGATCGCACCATTGCACTCCAGCTGGGCAACAAGAGTGAAACTCCGTCTCAAAAAAAAAAAAGTCTTCCTGTTTCATAGATTCAATATATTCTCTTAGTTCTCTGAAGATATTGATCTTTTACATTTTTTTCTATTACCTTCATTGACTCAATTTTTTCCAAGTTCCTTTTATCTATTTATGGTCGGGGGAGTTCTTTGTCTCTCCTATATAAGGTCTTCCTTAAATATCTGGTGATTCTTGGCTTATCTGCTCCATTTTTAAATGTTTCTTTTTTTAATTATAGAGATGGGGTCTCACTATGTTGCCCAGGCTGGAATGCAATGGCTATTCCTCCCACCTCAGACTCCTGAGTAGCTGAGTGGCACATGCCACTGCACACAGCCTATCTGTTCCTTTTAAGAATGAGGCATTAAAAATTATCAAGAAGCTCTGTCTAAAAGGACAAGATTTGTCTACCCGTGATCTTCATTCCAGTGTAATCTGGCTGAGTTGTTTCATGGAGGCCTTACTGAGATGGTCAATTTTCCCAGAAAGGAATCTTCCAATCTCCTATTGGAGATGTAATAAACCTGGCTGGTAATGTTCTTGAAGGTGAGTGGAAGAAGGGCTAAGATCCTTTCACAATTCAGTATGTAGACTTTTACCTAATTCCCTTGTTTAAGTGTAGCATCTCTGCTCCTGGCTCCTTTTGGGGACCTCATTTACAGTCAGCTCGGGTCACAAAATAAGAGTCACCTGTCTGCAGGGTGGGAAAGGAGACATGGAGTCCACCTGCTTTTTATACAGACTTTCCAACAGTCTTCTCTTCATCCACACAGACACAACAAACTCCCATGGCAGTTCAGTGTGGGGTCCAGCACCAAAGTCAGATTTCCAGGTTCAAATCCTGCTTTACCATTCATGAGATGTTTGACCCTTAAACAAATTATGTCACCTCTCTAAGCCTTTCCCCATTTGAAAAAAATTAAAATTAAAATAGTATGTAGGCCAGGCGTGGTGGCTTATGCATGTAATCCCAGCACTCTGGGAGGCCAAGGCATGCGAATCACTTGAAGCCAGGAGTTCAAGACCAGCCTGGCCAACATGGTGAAACCCCATCTCTACAAAAAAAAAAATACAAAAATTAGCTGGGTGTGGTGGCAGGTGCCTGTAATCCCAGCTACTCGGGAGGCTGAGGTGGGAGGATCACTTGAACCTGGGAGGCAGAGGCTGCAGTGAGCCAAGCTCGTGCCACTGCACTCCAGCCTGGGTGACAGAGCAAGACTCCATCTCAAAAAAAAAAAAATAGTATCTAATGTGGCATTGTTTTGGAGATTAAATAGCATAATGAATGTGAAGTGTCTAGAATAGTGGCTGGTACATAGTAAACTTTCAATAAATATTAGATCATATTATTATTTGTACTACTCCTCTTTCCCAGCCTCCTAAATGTACTCCCTTATCCTCTCTTCCCCTTTCCAATCCCAGTATACATTCTTCCCTCAGAATGACCTTTTTAAAACATTAATCTAATCAATCAAGTCCATCTTTTTGCTTGGGACTAAGGGGTTTCCCAGACACAGGACTTTCAGTGCTAAAACCTTCAGGTCAAACATTCCAAGCAAACCAGGACTAGCTGGTCATCCTGCCACTCCCCTACGTAAAAAAGCAGGTGAGGCTTCCCCTTTCTGTCTGAGTAAAGTACAAATCCCCTGCCACTCAAAGCCCGGGGCATCTGGCCCCTGCCTGCCGGGCTCCAGCCTCTCCTCCCTGCCCACTGCTGCACCTGCTCTGGCTGGTTCTGGCTCCGCCCTCACAGCCCCATGCTGTTCCACACACCCGTTTGCCTTCCCTTCTCCCCAGCTAACTTGTGCTTTAGGTATCTGGCAGGAAGACCTTTTCTGAACCCCCAGATACGGCCATGGGCCCTGCAATAAGGACTCCTCAGGAGAACCAAATGGAAGGGGTGTCTGTAAAAGAGTCTCTCCTGCTTCTTCACAGCTGCATACCTGGCAGCCAGCACAAGGCCTGCCCCACAGGAAGATCCAAGTGGCTTTCTGCTGAATGAATTAAGTCATTAAAATGTGAACAGCCCTTTATTATCTGGTGGCACTTGGTGGTGATCAGTTGGCACCCTGCTGGGAGCAAGGCGCTAGAAAAGATACACCAGATTTAGAAATAATTTTCGAAGGGGGCTGCCTTGCCTCTTCCTCAGCTCTGCTATACCTATACGGAAGGAAGACTCCAGGGGAACCACCACCAGACCTAGGCATTTCTTAAAACCCTCCTCACTCTGGGAATTAGGAACCTTGCCCTCCACGCCCCCGCTGTCAGCCCAGGGACTTAGCTACACCTGCCTTGCCATAGCCACAGCCCTAATTGGGATGGGTTCCAGTGAAGGGTTAGCACATGGACGCTGGCACCAACACAAAGCAAATTTTGTGATCTTACTGCTTAAATTCACCTTGGAGCAATCTGCCACTGTGCAGCTCCGTCTCAGCCTCTCTCCCCTCTGCATTCCTTCTCCCACTCAGGCCTTGCTCAAGCCATCTCCATCTTGTTGATCCCCCCTCTCCCCATCCCAAACTCTGCCCCCTTGGGGAGCTCTTCCCCTGACTCAACTCCCACACCACTCCCATCTCAGAGAGCTGCTGCCTCGAGCAACACCCTAGATCTGCTGGCCAGGTTGTTTCCATGGGGTTCCATTCAAAGAGATTCTATTCAAAGGGGTTGCATCTTGCCCTGCATGGAGTGTCTGGTGAAAGAGATTTCAACAGCTATATCTGAATTTCTAAAGGGTTAAATCAGAAGTGGGGAGCAGGAGGTAAGGAAAAGAGAAAATAAATTTTAAAAAGAATTAAACCATCTCTTAGAAAATGGGGGTACTCGGTGACAATCTCTTAACTTGTGACTCCCCAGCCGGCAACGACATCACTCTGACCTTTACTTCTGCCATCACACTCCCATATCTGACTCTCCCTGCTCCCTCTTTCCCTGTCGGGGACCTCTGTAGCTATCTTAGGTCCATCCCAAAAATCCAGGGTGATCTTTCCATCTCAAAATCCTTAACTTCCTTTTCAGCAGAGACTGTGTTTTCCTAACTGAGACTAGATGCCCTCTGAGGGCCAGAGCTTTCTCCCCTCACCTGGGTGGTCCTTAGAAGAAGAACTGTGTCCCTGCTCAGCTGGCAGCTTATTCAAGGCCGAGCCTCAGTCTCCCTGTGAAGGCTGGGGGCCCCATGAGGGCCTCCCCACCTCTTTCCAGCCCAGGGGGTCTTGAGCGTGCAGAGGGAAGGAGACCATGGTGTACCTCCATCCTAGCCCCTCAGGGATTGAAGGTTGGAAAGCAGGGCACAGCTTTAAAATGCTGCCAAGCTGGAAATTAAAAGGGGTTCCACTTGGCTTCTGATGTGGGGTTGGACCTGAGTTCCAACTCCCAAGGCTCTGGTGGAACCAACAGCAGCCGTGGCCTCAGTGAGATCTGCTGTGGGTCCAGAGCTATCATGCCTGCCACAGCAAGCCTCCTCCAAGGCCATCCTTCTGGTTTCCTCTGCAGTGGCTCTCAAGGAAGCACAAGGGAGAAAATAGGAATTATTATATGTTTAGGGCTTCCTGCTTGCTGGCCTTGCATCACTGCCTCACATTACCCAAATATTTACAGGCTACTTCTGGATATTCTGAAATGGTCTGGAAAGGAAGAGGTAAGCCAGCTCCCCATTTTCCAAGCCAAGGTCTAACAAACCCTGTCCACTAAGTGCAGCTCCCTCCAGGACTGTCTCTGGCAACCGCCCAAGACCTAATGTGGATGTGATCATCCAATCAACAATTACTGGTGAGCTACTCAGTGCCACGTCTAATCCAATTAACATACTGGGACTCTCCCCTCCACCACCCTGCCACCTCACCTCATCAACTTGGCTTAGATTTGTGTGTAGTCACAGTCAAAGGATTCACAAATCTGACTACAGAGGTAGCTATAGGTTTTTTTAAAGGACTCAACCACAGGATTTAACCAAAGCACTGTACAGAAATCTTCCCAGAAATTTTCACCAGAGACATTTCCTCTCCCTAAACCCCCTGCCTCAACGCAAAAATCTCTCCAGCTCTCTCATCCAGTTCCCTTTCCAGTTCTCTCACTGCTACATCATTCTCCCTGTCCTCTTTGTCTTTCCTCGCATTGCCATTCCTAGCCAAAAGTAGCCACTCAGACATCCGTTCCTCCAGCCATTGCCTTGCCACCTCAGAGAGCAGAGGCACTTAGCAGCTCCATGATCTGCCTCCTTCAAACTCAGCAGACGCAAGCGCGGCACCTGCAATGTTTAGGTCTACACAAGTCAGTTGTAGTCCTGTATACTAGCAACAGTTAGTAAAAAAAGTTAACAATGCCATTTGTTATAGAACAAACCATTGAAATATCTAGAAATCAACCCAGCAAGATACACCAGTTTTGAAATGTATCTGGAAGAGCCTAGATAATTTTGAAGTTGAACGAGATGGTGGATGTGGCCTACCAGAGAGAAGACTTATGTAAAGCAGTGATCGCCAAGACATGAAAGTGAAGGCATAGAGATAGAAAAGCAGAACAAAGCAGACATCCTAGAATTAGGCCCGTACATAAATGGAAACGTGATCTGTGAGACAGGTGGGCATTGCATGAGACACTGAGGCACGGGGTGGGGAGATTGCAAATCAGTGGGAAATGACAGCCGAGTCAGTAAGTGACACTGGGATAATTAAGTATCCATATACATAAAAAACAGATTTAGATTTCATTCTGCATCACATAATATGCAAAAAAAAAAAAGAGTTAAAAACTTAATTAAAAAAAAAAATTTAGGCCGGGCATGGTGGCTCATGCCTGTAATCCCAGCACTTTGGGAGGCCAAGGCAGGCAGATCACATGAGGTCAGGAGTTCAAGAGCAGACTGGCCAACATGATGAAACCCCCTCTCTACTAAAAATACAAAAATTAGCCTGGTGTAGTGGCGCATGCCTTTAATCCCAGCTACTCAGGAGGCTGAGATGGGAGAATAGCTTGAAACCCGGCAGGCGGATGTTGCAGTGAACCGAGAGCACACCATTGCACACCAGCCTGGGTGACAAGAGCGAAACTCCATCTCAAAAAAAAAGAAAAAAAAAACTTAAAAATGGGCCAGGCATCCTAGCATTTTGAGAAGCTGAGCCAGGAGGATCGCTTAAGCCCAGGAGTTTGAAACCAGCCTGGGCAACATAGTGAGACTCCATCTCTACAAAAAAAAATAAATATATTTAGCCAGGTGTGGTGGTGTGCACCTGTGGTCCCAGTTACTTGGGAAGCTGAGGTGGGAGGATCACCTGAGCCCAGGAGTTTGAAGCTATGGTGAGCCATGATCCTGCCACTGCACTCCAGCCTGGGCAGCAGAGTGGGACCCTGTTTCTGTTTCTTTTTCTCTTTTTTTTTTTTTTGCAGTGGTGGGATCTCAGCTCACTGCAACCTCTGCCTACCAGGCTCAAGCAATCCTCCCACCATTATCCAAGAACTCATCGCCAAATCTAACATTGTTAAGCTTTTCCCCTGTTTTTAAAGAGTTTTATAGTTTTCGCTCTTACATTTAGGTCTTTGGTGATGGTTTCTATCTTAAGCTGGTGGGTAATCAAGCATTCCTTATGTTATTTGTTACATTGCAGGGGATGTGGGGGAGTGTGGGTTCTCTTTTGCTGTGCCTGCTTTTCTTACATTGCATGAAACACAAGTCCAGTCAAGTTCTCTCTGCCATGGTCACTAGTATTACTGCCTAGAAGATCATCTTATGTATATCTTACTGAGGCCATTGTCTTCTTCTCTGTCTCTGAAATGGAGCAAGAAGCAAGTAAATCTCATCTAGAGAATGGGAGTCTTACCAGAGGCTGGGAAGGGAAGAGGGAGAGGGGAATAAAAAGAAATTGAATGGGAATTCAATTGCTGGGAAGGGGAGAAGGAGAGGGGAATGAAAAGAAATATATAAAGGGTTATATAGAAGGAATACAGAATACAGTTATATAGAAGGAATAAGTTCTAGTATTTGATAAGTTCTAGATACTAAGTTCTAGTATTTGATAGTACTAGATAATACAATAGGGAAATTACATTAACAATAATTTATTGTAAATGTGAAAATAGCTAGAAAAGAAGAATTGTACTGTTTCTAACACAAAAGATAAGTATTTGAGGTTATGAATATTCCAATTACCCTGATTGGATCATTACACACTATATACCTGTATCAAAACATTACATGTACCCCAAAAATATGTACAACTAGGATATATCAATCTTTTTTAATTCTTTGGTGAGCTGGTAGTGTTAGACAGCAATCTTTAATGACCAGTACTGCTCCTTGCGGAGCAGGACTAACTCATAGGCAGCATGCCCAGAGTCAGCCATGATATATCCATTTTTTTAATACAAAAAAAAAAAAGGGTCTTTGCCCTTATCCAACTGCTAACCACCCAGGACACCAAAAGCTCTGAGCTAATGACTGGGAATGAGAGACCAAGCCGACATCTGTCTGGGTAGATGGCACTGCCCTCCAGCACCCTCCTCCCTGAGTCTCCTGCACTACTGCTTGCCCTGGAGTCACTAGGAAGGAAATCCAGATAGGGCTGGCTTCCTCATACAAGGGCTTGAACACAGTATGAAAAACACAAATTAGAAAGCTCTGGAAAGTGAGTACACCCTGGAAGGAAGCCCAGACATACCAGAGTCTTTATCACACTAAAATCACACGTGCCAAGTGCCAGGCTCACGAGGCAAGGCCTGTGTGTGCTGGAAAGATGTGTGAGACACTGCCCTTGTGCTAAAAAAAGCAACGCAGTTGTGGAGGCTGCAGTGTATAAACCCGTAGTGAAGAGCACTAGCCTTGGGGGCCAAAAATCACAGGTTTGAACCTGGTTCCTCTACTTCCTAGCTATGTGGATGTGACAAGTTACATCTCTGAGCCTCAGTTTCTCTGCCTGTAAAATGGAATAAAAAATATTCAGGTCAGGCGCGATGGCTCATGCCTGTAATCCCAGCACTTTGGGAGGCTGAGGTGGGCGGATCACCTGAGGTCAGGAGTTCGAGACCAGCCTGGCCAACATGGTGAAACCCCATCTCTACTAAAAATACAAAAATTAGCCAGGCACAGTGGCGGGCGCCTGTAATTCCAGCTACTCGGAAGCCTGAGGCAGGAGAATCGCTTGAACCCGGGAGGCGGAGGTTGCAGTGAGCCAAGATCGCACCACTGCACTCCAGCCTGGGCAATAGAGTGAGACTCCATCTCAAAAAAAAGGCTTTACATCTATGAATGTATTTAATCATTACAACACATTTAAAAGGTAGGAGCTATTATTATCACCCCCACTTTACAGATGTGAAAGCTGAGGCACTATAGGATTATGTAATTTGCCCAAGATCACACAGGCAGTAAATGGTCACACCTGGATTTGAACTCAGGCAGTCTGGCTCTAGAATCCTTGCCCTTAATTGCTGGACTCTGACACCTAGTTTAAACCTGTTTATTTTTAGCTCTCGTGCTACCCACCTTGTGAGCTGTGACTCTACAATAGCAGAAGTGACGGTGGTAAAGGCAGTGGAGTGGCTGTGGTAGTGGCAGCGGAGTGGCGGTGGTAGTGGCAGTGGAGTGGCGGTGGTAGTGGCAGTGGAGTGGCGGTGGTAGTGGCAGTGGAGTGGTGGGGACAACAGTGCGAATCACAATCAGGGAATTCAAGGGCACAAATGGGAACATTCAACCACTGCCATGAAACTGCAAAACTTGAAGGCTCTAACACTGAACCTTCAAATTTATTAAAGTTCTATCTCAATCCTAAAATTAAAGCCATATAGTGGCCTTTTCCTCCTGAACCCCGAGGTGGGGTGGTGCAGAACACTCCTGGACAAGTGGGATTGGGCCGAGTTCACTGCAAAAGGAGGGATGAAAGCGGCTTTCCCGAATTCCTCACCCACCATCATTCCTCCCGTCTCAAACAGGAGGACGAGAGAGTCAAATACTGAGCAAGGTAAATGGAATCGCCACTTTGGGAACTCTGGATGCATGCCACTTCCTTTCCCCGGGAGGAAAGGCCCCTCCAGGCCTACCTGGTCCTGGAGCTGGACAGGGCCCATCCAAGAGTCCCACCCTGAGGGCGGGAGCCGCCACCTGTTGTCAAGTCTGAAAAGCCACCATCTGGGCTTCCTTCCCAGGGATTGATTCATCCTTACGTCTGTCCTGGCAGCCTTCGCAGATTACAAAACCCTCTTTATCCCATTTAGTTTTTATGACAGCAGTCAGAATGGTGACTTCATCTGAGCCCCAGCCAACCTCACGGTGTAATATGAATCCCTCCTAATGACGAAACGAGACATTATCCCTTTTGCTTTGATTTTTCACTGTTGCTGCTGCTGCTGTTAGGCCCTGCACCTGGCAAAAGTAAGTGCAATACTCATCTGGAAGTGAGTGATTGAAAACTCTAGACAAAAACTCTGCAAGCAAACCAAAGAGGTTAATTTGTCTGAAGACACAGAGCTAACAGAGGCTAACAGAGGCTGAGCTGTGATTCACACAGCAGTCAATCTGACCCCACAGTGCTGCTGTTTCATAGATGACGAAAACAAGACTGGGAGAGGTGAAGTGGCTTGCCCAAGCCGCAGGGCTGGTGAAGAACTGAAGGAGACTTAACTCAGAGCTCCAGATCCCTAAGGCAGGCACTCATGCTTTCTTTGAAGAAATGGGGGACTCCACTGACTTCTGAGAGAGGAAACACCTACGCAATCCGCTGACAGTCTTGGTTGGCAAGCCACAGAGTGTGACACACAAGATAGAAGAGGGAGGCACTGAAGCCTCCTCAGTTGTCTTGGGGTGGGAGGTCCAGGAAACCCCACCATCACCCCTCAGCATGTTTGAAGAACCCCATCTCCAGCCCAGGACCCCATAAGCCTTTCACCAAATCCCTTCCCAGCCCCTCCCCGCCCCCCACTCAGCACTCATGATCCCTCCCCTCTGCCAAGCATCCCCACCCACAAAGCCCCTCACAGTCAGCCCCTGACTTCCAGCCTAGCCTGGTCAGAGCACTGCCCCTCACAAAGCTAGGAACTCCCCAGCTGGGGCTGCTTCTTCCCCATCAGGCAGACATCTGCCGTTGCCCTTCTGCACCCCTCTCCTCCCACTGCTAAGGGCAGGGAGTTCAGACCTGGAAGTTCAAGAGAAAGAGATGAGTTCTTGTCTCTACCCCTCCCCAGGTCTTCATTTCTACCCACTCCCAGGAGTGTCCGGCCTCTGGGGAGTTTTTCCTCATAGAGGAAGGAGGAATATGTTGCCCAGGAGACAATGCCAGCCTCCACTCTGTGAATTCAAGGTGAATCCTCGTGGTTGAAACTACAGGAGGAAAAACAGAGACTGAGGTGGCTTTGGTCTCGCCGTCTAAGTAAACTCTAGCACAGGTGCCGTGGGGTGTCCCTCACACAAAGCCAAAGCACTCAATCTACAGTGCACCTTGAACCCACCACACAGGTATTCTTAAACACAAGAGCTTGCCTCCTCTTTCCCTGCAAACCCCAAGGACTTGGTCTTCTTGCCTCCCCTCTGCAGTAATTCTGCCACTCCTCTGTTCCTTGGGTTTGCAGTAGTCACTGCTGGTCACCAACCATCCACCAGTCCCCTCTCCTTCCTTCTTGCTGGCAGACCACACCTTCCACAACAAAGGCCAACAATGCCAAAGACTTGGTCTCCAAGCCTCCTGTGCCTCTAGAAGTGGCCTAGATGGGACCTAGTTCTGGCTGGTGATATGAAGGAGATGTCTTCTGGAGAGTTTATGAGAAAGATTTTCTGCCTTTCTCCAAAAAAACAAAAAAAAAAAGTTTTGGGAGAAAAAAAAAAGTTCCCTGCACTCCCTATTTACTTTGTTTTGGTTTTTGTTTTGTTTTGGTTTGTTTTGGTTTGGTTGGTTTTTTTTGAGACAGAGTCCTGCTCTGTTGCCCAGGCTGGAGTGCAGTGGCGCCATCTTGGCTCACTGCAACCTCCTCCCCCCGAGTTCAAGCAATTCTCCTGCCTCAGCCCCCTGAGTAGCTAGGACTACAGGCATGCACCACCATGCCCAGCTAATTTTTTGTATTTTTAGTAGAGACAGGGTCTCACCATGTTAGTCAGGCTGGTCTCGAACTCCTGATCTCAAGCAATCCACCTGCCTTGGCCTCCCAAAGTACTGGGATTACAGGCATGAACCACTGCGCCCACCCCTATTTACTTTGGACATTGTCATGGAAGGAGCTGTGCTTATTGCTTCTCAAGAAGAGAGAAAAGAATTACCGTGAAACTGGAATGGTTGAGCTGCAGGGATCTCTTATCTCTAGATTTCTTATTATATGAGATAATAAACTTATATTTATAATCCACTTTAAACCAGTTATTTTATTTGTTTACAACTGGAAGGATCTCAAATGGTACAAATTTCCTTTTCCAAGACTATTCCTATTCCAAGAATAATATTCTTGGAATTCCTATTCCAATATTCTCAGAATTTCCTATTCCAAGAATAATGAAGGGACACTCAATCTCCAGCCACCCTCTCTGTTGCCACCCAGAAATTGGACATAATCCATAAGTCCCAACCAGACACTCTCTGGCCAAGGGGTCCACTTGGGCTGAACTCCTGCCTCCTGCCTGTATCACTAGGAAAAGAAGGGATTGAGCAAATATATGGAAAACGGAAGATGGAATCAGATAATGAAACCCCCATGAGAAGTTTGGGGGTGAGAAAAATGATGCTTGAGTTATTCCACTTGGCTTTTTCCACTGATGCAGCTTGGCGTGACACCTCTACTATTTTCTCTCTTTTTTTTTTTTTCTTTTGAAATGGAGTTTTGCTCTGTCGCCCAGGCTGAAGTGCAGTGGTGCAATCTCGGCTCGCTGCAACTTCTGCTCCCCAGGTTCAAGCAATTCTCCTGCCTCAGCCTCCCCAGCAGCTGGGACTACAGGCACAGGCCACCACACCCAGCTAATTTTTGTATTTTTAGTAGAGACAGGGTTTCATCACGTTGTTCAGGCTTCTCTGGAACTCCTGACCTCAGGTGATCTGCCCATCTTGGCCTAAAGTGCCGGGATTACAGGCGGGAGCCACCACGCCCAGCCCCCTCTACTATTTTCTAAATATCCAGGTATGTGACTTCTTCCTTCTGTGACTTCCTCCTCTTTATTAAATCAGCATACCAATTCTAACCCCTCCAGCCCTTGCGTGTGAGGCCCTCCACGGCCCACCCCAGGCATGTTCCTCCCCAGGAGCTGTAGCACAGTCTGCTCCAGTCTGACAGGTCTCACGGTGGCCACCTTCCGAGCCCAGATCAAGTCCTGTCAAGTCCTGCTTGCTCTGTGAAGCCTCCCTAACCACAACAACCCTTCTGCCCTCTACCTTCCACAAATGCTTGAGATTGTATTTCCTCCATCACTTTATCCAGTCTTGTAATTACACAATCATCATCATTTGGCTACCATAAATGTTTGTTTCGTGTAACGAAAACCAGGACCCTACTCTTGAGGTCATGGCCCCAGAGCAAATAGCTGGTGAGGCCACCCTGGCTTGCAAATTCTCAGCCCATGGGAGCAGGCTCTGCCTGCCTCAATTCTGAATCAAAGAAGGACATGTTCACAAAGACTTTATTTGTGAACAACATGTTTTCCATCACCATGCCAACACAGGCTTAATCTTCCATCATCCAAAGCAGCACATCTCATAAACCACAGCTAACATCTTTAACAAACAAAGCGCAGCTTTTTGTGACTGCTTTCACAGGTCTTAGGGTATCATCTCTGCTATCTGCACCACAAACACTATCTCTGGCCACTTCAAGCTTTTCTACATCTACCTCCAAAATAGAAATCTTTATATAGTCTTCTCTACTAGAATCTATAAATTAAAAATTCTGAACTGCATTTGATGCCTACATGTCAGCAGGGGCCTCTCTGTTCGTAACTACCACCACCCTGCCCTGATTCCACCCTGCACCCCCCGAATATGTCCAAAGCCCTCGCCAAGATTCCCACAAATTACAGGAGTCTGTATATTCTGGTGCTCATTTCTGCCTATGGAACCTGTATTCATGCATGAAATATCTGGCCTATACCTTGAGCCACATGCAAAATTCAACCCTTATCTCAATTTCCACCCAACACAAAACAACACAGATGGAAAACATCAACACATTCATGAATGTAGATGATGTTGTTAAATATCAGGATGGGAGATTCTCAGTGAAGCATCATTTCCATCTAAAAAGGAAAGCCACTAGATTTTCCTGAGGTTAGAGAAAATTCAGAGTGCAGCAGAGGAGGAGAGTCTTCCTCAAAACCAAGTGCCACTAAGGGGCATGGAGGCAAAGGAAAAGTCAACCCCCCCACCCCTAGGCAGGTCCTGCTTGCTAGGGGCTGAGCTTCTGGTGAGCAGAACCTTGGCATGGATGATGTCTGATTTCAGCAACAAAGAGGGGAGCTGGAGATTGAGTGTCCCTCCCTAATTAGTCTTGGAAAAGGAAATTTGCAACAGTTGGGAGCCTTTTGATTGCAAAAAAAATACATTAATTGATTTAAAGTGGATTATAAATAGAGGATTATTATTTCATATAATGAGAACCTAGACATAAGAGGTCCCTGGTTTGGTAAATTCTGCAGCTCAACCATTCCAGTGTCTCTGTAATTATTTTCTCTCTCCTCAAGAAGACCATGCAGACCTCCCCTGCCAAAGCCAAGGTATGAAGCAGGATGGCACCTTCCCAGCTCCCACCAAGCCCCTCCCCACCTTCCTTCTGAGAGCCCTTTCCATCAAACCATCTCCTCCCTTTTCCCTCCTTCCTCTGCCTGCCCTCTCCTGCTAAGGTCTACTCCGCCCCCTGCTGGCCAATCTTGGCAATGGCCTAGGTCTATTACGAGACCCTTCCCCTGGTCCCACCCACTTTCTAAATTAAGAGTACTGATGTCACCCCTCACCCAACCACTGCTCCCAGGAGGCCAGGGGACACATCATTGACTTCTTGCCATCAGACTGGAGGTGAAAGAGGGGGGATCAGTTTTGGGGTCACTCTGACCCACGCAGGGAGAAGCTATGGTGATGCCCTATCCTTACCGTGAGACTAGGAGCTCCTGTGGTCATGAGTGGTCTTCCCCTGAAATAAGAGCTCCCTAGAGGTCACTCTTTGGTTAGGGCCACAGGCTCTCATTCTGAGTCCCTCGGGCCAGCTGAGGGAAAGCTACTGGAGCAAAGCAACAACAAGCAAGGGCGAGCATGGTAGGTGAACACCCAGCTGGGGAGGACAGGCTGGCCCCAGGGGACATTTGCTTGGGGTCACACCTGCTCTGAACTGCCCTGAGACAAAGAGGATCCACTCCCAAAGTATGTTGGATTTTTCCCAGAGATTATCCTATCCTTAAAATGCAGAACACATAAGATTCTCTTTGCCTGCTGGCCTGGCTTCCCCACCCGCCTCTCAGAACAGCAGGCTGTGACCTCATCCCTCCCCAGGACCCATGGCAGGTATTACCCCAGTGGCCCGTGCCTCACCCCACGCCCACCCCATCACCTCATCCTACAACCTCTGGGCTCCCCAGACAACAGCAGGGGTGACAGCACAGGCCAAGGCAGATGTGAACACTAGGAATCTTTAGCAAGAACTAAGGCCCCAAACCCAGCTCAGACGATCCAAGCCTCGGAGCACTCTGGAGCGGGGAAGCTCTGAGAGGCCACCAGGGAAGGGGCAACACTCCAGCCAACTCAGATGAGGTGAAGCCCACCTCTGCCTCCCTTGCCCCCAAATGCTTCTCTCCCAGGGTCTATCTTCCTGCATTCAATCCATTCAGCACCTGCTGGGGCCAGGCTGCCCTGGGCACTGGAAAAACAAAGATAAGACAGACAGGATTCTTGCCCTGTTAGAGCTGATGGTCTGAGAATTAAGAAGTCGTTGTTAATTTTTCTTTTTCTTATCTTATTTTCATTTATTAATGATAAAAAGTAACCCATCCTCATTACAGAAAACGCAGACTATACGAAAGCATGTAAATTAGAAAATAAGAACTATCCATTATGTTCCAAATTATTTTGTTTTTTATGTTATAATGCATCTTCCATTATTTTTATATTTTTATCTAATTAACGCATGTACATAGCTTTTTTAAAGTCAAATAGTTCAAAAAAATTTATAATAAAAAATTGGTATTCCCACTATGCAGCCATAAAAAGGAATGAGTTCATGTCTCTGCAGGGACATGGATGAAGCTGGAAGCCATCAATCTCAGCAAGCTAACACAGGAATGGAAAACCAAACACTGCATGTTTTCACTCATAAATGGGAGTCGAACAATGAGAACACATGGACACAGGGAGGGGAACATCACAAACCCGGGCCAGTCAGAGGGTAGGGGACAAGGGCAGGGAGAGCATTAGGACAAATACCTAATAGCATGTGGGGCTTAAAACCTAGATGACAGGTTGATAGGTGCAGCAAACCACCATGGCACATGTACACCTATGTAACAAACCTGCACACTCTGCACAGGTATCCCAGAACTTAAAGTAAAATAAAAAATAAAAATAATAAATAATAATAATAACAATTAAAAAATAAAAATAATAAAATTAGTATTCCCTGCCTTACCTGCAGTCCCTCTCCTCAAAAGGAATCAATCGTTTTAACAATTTCTCATCACTTATTGAGTGTACTCCCATCATTCTAATAACGTGGCTTACGTTTCTATTACTTAATGCATTGCCTTTAAACATTATCTGCGGAATGCCTACAATGAAAGATAGGGATATAACTCTCTTTTGTTCTACTTCCCAACTCTTCTCTATTCTCCTCCCCAGTTTTGATAGTTATATTATAATTTTAGTTCTTCTCTTGACTACCTTTGTAACTTTTAATAATAAGCCTAAGCCTCCCTTTGTTTTCAGACAGTGCCTCTGAACTCCCCACACTAGAAGAGGATATGTGTGTCTCCCCGCTTCCCTCCAACCTCCCTCCTCACCTTCCTCCTCCCACCTTCTGTCAGTTACAACTTTACTTGTCATGTAAACACTGTCATGTAAAACACTGACATTCTGTTCTGGAATCATAATTAAGTCTTTGGGCTTTGTTTATAGATCTGTTAAAAATAATCAAAAACCAGAAAATAGTGTTTACATTATTATGGCAACATTATTATTGTTTATTACAAAGCTAAGATGACACTTCTTTCTGTAATGATCCAGAGTTACAACCTCTTGTCTCTTACAGAATAATATTCCTAGCATGTCAATAAAATTCTTTTTTTCTTTTTGCTATAGACTGAATGTTTGTGCCCCCAGTATTCATATATGGAAACCTAATCCCCAATATGATAGTATTTGTAGGTGCGGTCTCTGGGAGGTGATTAGGTCATGAAGGTGAAGCCCTCATGAATGGGATTGGTGTCCATAAAAAGACATTGCAGAGAGCCCCTTTACTCCTTCCACTTTGAGGACACAGTGAAAAGACTGCCATCTATGAACCAGGAAGCCGACTCTCACCAGACACTGAATCTGCTGGCACCTTGATCTTGGACTTGGAGCATCAGGAGCTGTGAGAAGTACATTTCTGTTGTTAAGCTACCTAGCTTATGGTATTTTTTTATAGCAGCCCGAATGGACTAAAAGTGCTAAGACACTTTAACTGTCAATTGCTCAGTATCATGCCACACTTTTTTTTTTTTTTTTTTTGAGATGAGGTCTTGCTCTGTTGCCCAGGCTGGAGTGCAGTGGTGCAATCACAGCTCACTGCAGCCTCGACCTCCCAGACTCAAGTGATTCTCCCACCTCAGCCTCCCAAGTAGCTGGGACTACAGGCACATGCCACCACACCGGGCTAATATTTTTTATCTGCAGAGATGAGGTCTTGCTACATTGCCCAGGCTGCATGCCATATTTTAGAGCGCTTTCTTCCTGGACCATTTTTTCTTTTATCTGAGGTCTCTAATTGCTTTGGGTTTTTTTTTTCTTTTGTTAAAAAAGAAATCTATACTTTTGCCTTATATTACTAATGTCTTCTAGTTTCTTATTCTATTACATGAATTCTATTACAAAGTCATTTTTCTGGAAACCCCCTTATTGAATGTCTTTGAAGATGCAGTTTTCTAGTCCTGCGTTTCTCCTTTTCTTCCAGGGCTATTGCTTATTCTGAATGTTATTTTGTCTTTTCTCTTTTGTGCTGGGAGTATTCTTCATATTTTGGTGATTCTACATCCTTAAGAATAAAAGGTTAAGTTAGTTTTTCTAAATAGCTCTTACATTGATGCAGGGTTTACTGTGCTATTGTGAATGTATATCGATTTTCCCAACTGGTTTCTCCTCTGCATAAGAAGGTTGCTTAGAAGTACCACTTATGGGACAGTCACAGTGGCTCAAATCTGTAATTCCAGCATTTTGGGAGGCCAAGGCAGCAGGATTGCTTGAGGCTGGGAGTTCAAGACCAGCCTGGGCAACATAGCAAGACCCCATCTCTACAAAATATTTTTTTTAATTGGCCAGGTGTGCTAGCACATGTCTGTAGTCCCAACTACTTGGGAAGCTAAGACAGGAGGATTGTTTGAACCCAGGAGCTTGAGGCTACAGTGGGCTAGGATCACACCACTGCACTCTAGCCTGGGTGACAGTGAGATTCCGTCTTAAAAAAAAAAAAAAAGACACCATTTATGGCCTGGCAAGCTTCACTTGAGGGTGAATTGACAGGAACCAGCTGTTTATGCTGGAACTGAAAAGGCTTTATTCTAGGGGGCCAAGGTAAACGAGCCAGAGTATGTGTTAATTTTTTTAAAGAAGAGCAGGACCTAGACAGCTATTGCTCTGCAAGCAGATGAGAAAGAGAGGAAAAGGGTTTGACTGCCCTAGCTGGTGCCTGGACAGACTTTCAGTTAACCCTAGCATTGCCTGTCCCTTCTCATTTCCACCCTACATGGTCAACTCATCCCTAAGTCTCTCTGGGGCTCCAAAGTGTAGGTCAGCTCCACCTCCTCCCCAGTCCTTTGCAGGCATCATATTCTGTTCTGAGGCTTCCTCCACTCTGTTTTATCCATCAGCACACCTCCTTTGCCTTTCCAGCTTGGGGAAATGTTTAAATCTCCTACCCACTGTCTGATCCACCTTATATCATCTCTGCTGTGATGGGTTTATAGTCGCCCTTTAATGGGATCTCTGAAGGGAGACACAAACACAAGTCCTCAACCCATTATTTGGAATAAAATATCCTTTATGCTTCATTTGTTGTATTTCCTCCCAGACTTTTTTATAGCCATAAGTTTACGTTTCGCACCATACTAATTTCACAGGAGATTCATAAGTTTTCAGAAAAGAAAAGGGAAAAAGTACAGACAAATAACTTTGGAAAATTTCTCCCTTTTAGAAATTCACAGTACACATTAGTATAATAATGCGTCAGTCAATATTCAGAAATGCGAGCAGCAGAAACTGCCTCAAACTGATTTGAGGAGAACAAAATTTTACTTAAATAACACTAAATTCTAGTATTCTCAAAAAACTGAAATAATTCTAGATTCAAGAAGACTAGAGAACTAGGGTTTAGAAGGTGGGCAAGAACAAAGGAAAGTTACACAAAGAGAAATGCCAAAATCACACCGCCAAAACAGCCTGGTGAGGACCTTGGCATAGTCACTCTGAACACTGAATGGCATGGGCACTGAGGAATGTGGCTGGCCCCTGCCAGGAAGGGTTCCCCAGCACCTCTGCTTCCGGGGGTAACCAGCCCAGCTCCAACTCCCAGACAGGTGTATCTATCCGACTGGTGAAGCCACCAGGGAAGAGAAAAGGTAAGGAACTGGGATCATCCGCTTCTGCTGTAGGAGATGGACACTGCCTGATGAGACGAGAAAGTCCACACATGGAAGATGAGGGTCCAGGAGCTGGGTGGCCAAAAAGAAAAAATATCCAATAAGGCACTGAGAAGACTTGCCAAAATGAAATGGTTTTACATGGTTTTGCTTAGATTTTCCTAGCCTTGTTTTACCAGATCCCTTTTTCTGGAACAATTATTCACAAACATCTCATAGAAAGTAGTGTTCTACAGAAAGCAATATGAGAAATGCTGTCATATAAGTTTAGAGAAATTGTTACCATTTTTACACAAAATTGGAATTACACTGTACATACAATTTTGCATCATTTAATGTGTAACAGCATATAACTTACCTGTATATCAGTTAACAGAGCATAGTTAATTTTCTTTTCTCTTTTTTTCCTTTTTTTTAAGAGACCAGGTCTTGCTCTATTGCCCAGGCTAGAGTGCAGTAGCTATTCACAGGAGTGATCCCAATACTGATCAGCACAGGAGTTTTGACCTGCTGCATTTCTGACCTGGGCCAGTTCACCCTCCTTAGGCAACCTGGTTGTCCCCTGCTCCCAGGAGGTCACCATATTGATGTCAAACTTAGCGTGGACACCCAATTAATTGGCATAGTGCACTGCAGCCCAGGACTCATAGGCCCAAGAGATCCTCCCGCTTCAGCCTCCTGAGTAGCTGGAACTATAGGCACGCACCAGCACACCCAGCTAATTTTTTATTTTTTGTACAGACGGGGTCTCCCGTCTGGTTGGCCAGGCTGGTCTTGAACTCCTGGCCTCAAGCGACCCTCCCGCCTTGGCCTCCCAAAGTGCTGGGATTACAGGTGTGAGCCACTACACCCAGCCTGTTTTTCTTTTTAATACTTCCTCACCCTTTCCTTTGCTTTCTGCTTTCATTTTATGTGTCCTGTTTTGTTTTATCAGATGCTCTGGTTATTTGGAAAACATATTTTTCTCTCCATTTTCCCTGCATGTACTTTAAAGATTTTCAAAAACATTTTTACAAATATTATTCTAATCTTGAAAATTAAGAATAAATGTATATCCTTTTATTCTCCTCATGTAAAATGAGGAAATTAATACACTTTTACTCTTTCTCAATCTGCTTGCTACTTACTGGTGTCCAGCAATATGGCTTGTGACTTAAACTCTGATTCTTGCTAATTCTTTTTTCTTTTTTGAGAGGGAGTCTCGCTCTGTCGCCCAGGCTGAAATGCAGTGGCACAATATCGGCTCACTGCAACCTCCACCTCCCAGGTTCAAGCGATTCTCCTGCCTCCGCCTCCCGAGTAGCTGGAATTACAGGTGCCCACCACCACACCCAGCTGATTTTTGTATTTTAGTAGAGACGCGGTTTCACCATGTTGGCCAGACTGGTCTCGAACTCCTGACCTCAGGTGATCCTACCACCTCGGCCTCCCAAAGTTCTGGGATTACAGGTGTGAGCCACAGGGCCCAGCCTGATTATTGCTAATTAATTGTATTTTCATTTTATTTTTTCTTGAAATAATTATTTTTTAAGCTTACAGTAAATTTTATTATTATATTTCAATTATTTAGATCTAACAGTATGTTTAACCAGTTTTATTGGTTTACCATCAAGAATTCTAAGTCACCATTCCAGAATTCTTAAAATTTTTATTCATCTTTTAGCCAGTCTTGAAGTAATTTACTTCAAGAAGAGAACATGATTCTTTACTTCAAGAAGAGAATATTAGGGACCTTTGTATATCTAGGGATATTTTTCTGGTGTCCTCACAGATGGCTAGCTGCTTAATTATGTTTATGCAATTCTGAGGCACAACCTTTTCTTTCCTCAAAAACTGAAGATTTTGCTTATTTGTAACTTCTAAGAAATATGAGATTCACTTGAATTGCTCTTTTATAGGCAATCTTTTTATTTTCCTTTGAGCAATACTTTTGCCTGAGAGTGTCTAGGCATATCTGTGTTTTTATACATTTTGCCTGGGTTGCAGAGAGCCCTTTTGGTCTACACAAAATCTATGTGGTAGATGCTACAGCTCTAGAGAAAGTTGGCATTTGTTGTGGCTATTTACCTGCTGTCCATGCCTGTTGTGACTGACATCCAGCAATGTTGATGGACACTGTTAGGAGCTACTCTTATTGTAACAATGAGGGTGCCATGCACCACTCCCAGTATTCTCTTTCTTCTCTCTTACGTCTACTTTCTGCCCAATGATCCTTTATTCTCTTGTTAGATACAGAAATATTGGGAAGACCAAGGAAGAGCTCAGGGCTCTGGCTGCCTTATAGTGATAGGCAGATAGGAAGGCAAACACTAACATTAAATTAAATTAAATTAAATTAAATTAAATTAAATTAAATTAAATTAAATTAAAATATAAAATAAAATAAGCCCTACAAGGAGTTGTCTGTTTGGTAGTAACCCTATGTAGCCAGGAAGCTCCATCTTGCCCAAGTTGGGGCAGGGGATGGAAGACTACCCCTTCCATGCACCACCACCTCCCTCGGTTTCCAGGCCCCACCACCCATGTGGGCCTTTGGTGGGTGGGATGGGAGGCTCAGTGAAGTGTCCAGGCCCTATGTTCCTCCTGCTGGCACTGATCAGTGCTGGGAGGGCCATCTCAGGGCTAGAACTGTTCTGTGAGCTCAGTGCTCTCAGCTCCTGCCCCCACCAGTCGTCCCATATGGATTGGCTGGGGTCATGGTAGGAAGCTTAGGGAACGCTTACATATGCTTCCAAATCTTTATTATCTTGCACCTCTACCCTGGCTTTTTAAAATGCAAGCACCAGGACGGGCACAGTGGCTCACATCTGTAATCTCAGCACTTTGGGAGGCCGAGGCAGGTGGATCATGAGGTCAGGAGTTCGAGACCAGCCTGGCCAACATGGTGAAACCCCGTCTCTACTAAAAATACAAAAATTAGCTGGGTGTGGTGGTGCGCACCTGCAATCCCAGCTACTCGGGAGGTTGAGGCAGAAGAATCGCTTGAACCTGGGAGGCAGAGGTTGCAGTGAGCCGAGATCATGCCACTGAACACCAGCCTGGATGACAGAGTGAGTCAGCTCCGTCTCAAAAATTTAAAAAAAAAAAAAATTCAAGCACCAAAAGTGTGACACCTGTTTTTTCTGGTTCTTCACTAACCGCATTCACTAAAGCTGCCAGTGACGCTGGTCCAGCTGCCTGGATGCAGGACGGGCTCCAGAAACCATTCAGTGAAGCCTGGTTGGGAGAGAAAACACAAAGGGATCCCCACACCCTGTCTCTGGGCCCTCCCAGGAGCAGACCCTGTAGGACAGCAGTTCTCAAAATGTGGTCCCCAGAACGGCAGCAACAACGGCACCTGGGATCTTACTAGAAATACAGAGTCTCAGGCCACCACAGACCTGCTTGTGTTAGGACCTCTGGGATAGGGGCCCAGAGATCTGTGTTCTAACAAGCCCTCCGGTGATCCCAGTGCCCACTCAAGTGTGCAAATTACTGCGCAGTTACCAGGTGTCCTCCCACACTTTCACGGGCTGTAGAAACTAGTCTAAGAGAGAACGGAGCGCAGAGCACTGACCCAGGGTCTTCATATTTCCTTGTGCTTGCTGTTTGTTGGGCTGGGTAGTGTAGACATTTTGCCTTACTCCCTACCTTCAGGAGCCATTTCACAAGAATATGATGGTGTCACGGTCTGTGGGCCAGGTGCCTTTTAAATTGGAAGCTCTCTTTTAAGACTCAAGGCAGCTTTATAGGATAGATAATTGTATCCCATTGCTATGGCTTGAATATTTGGCCTCCCTAAAACTCATGTTGAAATTTAATCTTCAGTGTGGCAGTACTGGGAGATGAGGCCTGCAAAAGGTGATTGGGTCATGAGGTCCCTAGCCCCACGAATCCACTAATCCATTCATTCATGGATAAATGGATTAACGGATTAATGGGTGATCATGGGAGTGGGATTGGTGGCTTTATAAGAGGAGGAAGAGAGACCTGAGCCAGCGCACTCAGCCCCAGCACCACTTGATGCTCTGTGCTGCCTCAGAACTCTGCAGGGAGTCCCCACCAGCAAGAAGACCCTCACCAGATGCAGCCCCTTGACCCTGGACTTCTCAGTCTCCAAAACTGTAAGAAATAAATTCCTTTTCTTTATAAATTACCCAGTTTCAGGTATTCTGAAGCACCAAAAAACAGACTAAAACACTAGTTTTTCAGCTGATGAAACTAAGTCTCACAGAAGTTAGCTGCTCTTTCTAAGTCAAAGTCTAACTCCCTGCTGCCTTCTGCAATGCCATACTGCCTCACAGTGGCACTGCCATCTCAGCCTGGCACCAGATCACCTGGGTTTGCAACTCAGCCCTGGCACCAGCCCTGAGGCATGGCCACAGCTTTTCACTTCCCTGAGCCTCTGTTTCCTTACCTGCAAAATAGGGGTAAACCCAACCTGCCCAACCCACCTACCTCCCAGAGTCATTTGCAGGGCCAAGTGGGAAAAATGATCTTAATACAGTATTAATCTTTCCATTTCCCCAGGTGTGTGTGTGTTGGTGGAAAGCAGTGGTACAAGTGTGGGCAGAGGACAGTGACTCGAATAGTGAGGCAGAGGAGAGTCACCAAGGGTACATGTTGCTATGACATAGTGTCAACGTGGGGGCTTCTGAAGGGATGTCTTAGTGTTTTAGATATTTTGAGGGGAAAAACTCCTCTACTAAGACTCACTTCAGAGAAAAAGAGAAGCTGACCAGGTGTGGTGGCTCACACCTGTAATCCCAGCACTTTGGGAGGCCGAGGTTTGTGGACATCACCTGAGGTCAGGACTTCAAGACCAGCCTGGCCAATATGGTGAAACCCCATCTCTACTAAAAATACAAAAATTAGCCAGGCATGGTGGTGTGAGCCTGTAATCCCAGCTATTCAGGAGGCTGAGACAGGAGAATCATTTGAACCCGGGAGGCAGAGGTTGCAGTGAGCCAAGATTACACCACTACACTCCAGCCTGGACGACAGAGTGAGACTCCATCCAAAAAAAAAAAAGAAAGAGAGAGAGAGAGAGGGAAGAGACAGAGAGGGAGAGAGAGAGGGAAGGAAGGAAGGAGAAAAAAGGAAAGAAAGGAAGAAAGAAAAAGAAAGAAAGGAAGAAAAGAAAGAGAGAGAAAGAAAGAAAGAGAAAGAGAGAGAGAAAGAAAGAAGAAAGAAAGAAAGAAAGAAAGAAAGAAAGAAAGAAAGAAAGAAAGAAAGAAAAGAAAGAAAGAAAGAAAGAAAGAAAGAAAGAAAGAAAAGAAAGAAGGAAAGAGAAAGAGAGAGAAGCTGGGTGCAATGATGCACATCTATAGTCCCAGCTTCTCAGGAGGCTGAGCTGGGAGGATCACCTGAGCACAAGAGTTCAAGACTGTATTGTGCTATGATCTCACCTATGGCTAGGCACTGTACTTCAGCCTAGGCAATACAGCAAGACCCTGTCCCTAAAAAAGAAAAATAAAATAAGAGAAAAGAGTTCACAGCACTGGATCATACAGGGGTAAATGCCAAAACTCATATAATGTCCCCTGGCTTCTAGATGCCATTGATGCTCCATCTCTCTTTCTTGGGAGATCTTGCACTCTCTTGCATGCTAGGAGGGCTTCTGTGTGAGACACAACTTTGGTCATTCACTGGTAGCAATCCAAAGGAGAGAGGACATTCTTTCCCTCACATCCTTCCCCCAGGAAGAGGCCATGATTGGCCCAATTTAGTGTAGTGCCCACCTCTTCAATAATCATTGTGGCCAGAGTGACATCATCACAAGAGCTAGATTTGAGGCTTGGAAAAAAGAGCCCTCTGATGGGTCATTTGTGTAAAGTTGGTACTTGTTGCAAAAGACCCAGAGAATGCCATTTCCTCAGAACATTCCAGAGGATGTCAGCCTGGGGGCTGTTTGCTGAACAGGCCCCCAAGTTTCCCCTCACGTTCTCAACTTTGTCTTATTGAAATTCCAGCATACCTACCTGACATGGTGTATTAGTCCGTTTTCATGCTGCTGACAAAGACATACCCAAGACTGGGAAGAAAAAGAGGTTTAATTGGACTTACAGTTCCACATGGCTGGGGAGGCCTCAGAATCATGGTAGGAGGCCAAAGGCACTTCTTACATGGCAGCAGCAAGAGAAAAATGAGGAAGAAACAAAAGTGGAAACCCCTAATAAATCTATCAGATCTCGTGAGACTTATTCACTATCATGAGAATAGCATGGGAAAGACCGGCCCCCACGATTCAATTACCTCCCCCTGGGTCCCTCCCACAACACATGGGAATTCTGGGAGATACAATTCAAGTTGAGATTTGGGTGGGTGCACAGTCAAACCATATCACATGGTCTCTAAACTGTCTTTAGGAAACCATATCACCTGGATCCAACCTCTGGGTTCCAAATTCAATTTCTTCTCAGCTACAAAATCCTTCTTGCTACATCACCCCTGTACGCACAGCCACATGGCACCCAGGTCCACATGGGCAGTGAGCCACCACCTCTCATCTGCTTCCTCTGTCACAGGACTACAAGGGGCTGAGCAAGGTAGGCATGGTCAGGGTGCCAGGCATCAAGGGACAGGGCTATCGGATCAGCCGGGCCTGTGCTGTGACAGGTAGGAGTGAGGCAGTATGATTGGGAGCACCACCAGCACCACTAAAAATGGGGAGAGAAAGTTCCGCTAGGAATGGGGTTATCAGAAATGGGAAGAGACGGTGGTCAGACCTGTGTGGGTGAAAATGAATGCAGGAATGACACCAAAGACCGGCTAGCTTCCACAGCCCTTTGCAGGATGCTCTGAACTTGCTGAGCCCTTTCACACCCGCCACCTGGTCCCTGTTGACCCACCAGCTGTATGCAGCTGACTATCTTCACCAGCTCCTTGAACAAGAATTTCCATTTCCAAGGCCAGGGTGGGGGAGGCTGCAACATTTTTTGCCAGAGAATCCAAAGAGCACATGAGTCAGCTGCCTGGGTCAAGGCCCAGATCCCTGTGGCGGGTCAGCCAGAGAGCAGGAGCTGGCCCTGAAGAGGGGAAGGGGGAAGAAAGAAACCCAGAGGGCTCAGAGAGCACAGGACCCTGCCCACGTGGGCCACTCTGCAGAGGCCAGGCCCAAGGCTGAGTTGGGCCTCCCACACAGACATGGAATGAGAAGGCTGTCAGTGCAGGACAGGGTGAGGACACACTCAGCGGGCACGGCTTTCTCCCCTAACAGCCACTCCACCCAGGGGCCAGAAACTGACTTCACCTCTGCACTGAATTCCTCCCCCCATGTCTCCCTCCTCCCACCCATCTTCCTCCTGGTGCTTCCAGCAGAGCCAAGAAGGCTTCGCCCCACCTACTCCCCTCCTGCTGACACGGACCCCCCACACACACACCCAAGGAACAGGAATACCAAAAATGATACTACCAGAGTGAAGCGTGTCCTGCAGACATTATCTCTTTAATCCTAACTATAATAGTCCCTATTTCAGAGATGAGGCAAATGTGAGAGAACAAGTAACTTTCCCAAGAACACACAACCAAGAAAAAAGAAAGCCAAGATTCAAGTGCAAGTCTGCCTGGGGGTCTGGAGCCGGCTCCCCTGCTGCCCCCTGCCATCCCTCCCTTCCACTCCCACAGCCCCATTTTCCACCCAGAAGCCCTCCTGGAAGCAACCCTCACCCCCGGGCCCCGTTATTCTAAGTCCAGTTGTTCACAATTCATTCTACAAGCCCTCATGTAATGGAATGCTAAAATAGAACTTTGTCACCAGCTCCTTTTTTATGTTGGTCTCAAAGCTGGGGACAAAGGGCATTAAGTTTCTATATATTCTTAAGAGAGGCTTTTGACCATCTATGGAGAAATTTCTAGGTGGGAGGTGAACCAAAAACACAGTTCAGTGACTTTATCTACCCCTCACCTCAAGGAAGGGAAAGGCTGGGGACTGCTCAGAGAGGGCGGGGTGAGGGCGCCACGTGCTGCCCGTCCTCACCTCCACGAAGGAGGGCAAGTTTCCTCCTTCCCCCTTCAACCAAGTGAGAGGAGCTGTAAGAGAACCCCTCAGAGAGCGTGAGCTGTGTCCTGTAGAATTGGGGGATACAGGAAATTCTTCCTGACTCACACCTATAAAAGTCCAAAGGCAAGAGGCTGCCTGCCCCAAAGCAGATGAGGAGGGGTGTCTGTGAGAGGCCTGAGGCTGAAGCCGATTGATGTTGGAGCAATGCTGGGGTCCTGTGGCCAGACAGGGATCCCCACAAAGGGAGCCTGCCTACAGGACAGGGCCACCCCGCAAGGAGTCTGTGTGGAGACTTCTCCTGGAAGCCAGGGGCAGGGGCCGGGAGGCCACCTGAAGAAGGCAGCAGCTACATCAGGAGATCATGAGCTGGGGAGCCCACCCCAGGGGTCAGCGTTCAAGCATCCACCACCCAAGGAGGCCACCAAGGCCAGATTGTAAACACGCCAGTGAGAAGACCTTTGTGAGCACTGCCTCTCCTCCTGCTTCCCCCACTTACAAGAGCCAGAGGACACATGGTGTGGGGAAGGAGAGCTGAAAGGACAGAGGGGAGACAGTGAAGAAGCTACCCACATGCCCTTCCCCGCTGCAGGGCAAAAGCCAGTCCAGGCAAGAGAGGGCCTTTGAGAAGACGAGATTGAACTTCAGGCCGGACTTTTCACAGCCTGAAAATTGAGGCCTGGCCCTGCGCGGTGGCTCACGCCTGTAATCCCAGCACTTTGGGAGGCAGAGGGGGTTGGATCACGAGGTCAGAAGATCGAGACCATCCTGGCTAACACAGTGAAACCCCATCTCTACTGAAAATACAAAAAAGAAAAAATGAGCCAGGTATGGTGGCACGCGCCTGTAGTCCCAGCTACTCGGGAGGCTAAGGCACGAGAATCACTTGAACTCGGGAGGCAGAGGTTGCAGTGAGCCAAGATCGTGCCACTGCACTCCAGCCTGGGCGACAGAGTAAGACTCTGTCTCAAAAAAAAAGAAAAGAAAAGAAAAAGAAAAGAAAATTGAGGCCTAAGATTGACTAGAAAGGCTATGGGACCTGTCAAGATTGCATCCAGGAATAAAAAAAAATAAGAATGTGAGTTTATTGGCATGCATTTGAAGAGAATTGAGTTTTGTTTCCAATTGCACATCACCATGTCCTGGGCACTCAACAAGCCGGTAGTGATTAGTAAGCACCTGCTGTCCTCCAGGCATGGAGCTGGGTGTGAGGGACATAGCAGCGAATCAGCACCCTGGCTTCCTCATCAGGACTGAGCCCTCATTGCCTTCCTGAGATCATGACTGGTGGACACCCTCTGCCCAGCACCTGCAGTCTGAGACCTGTCTGTTGGGCCTGATCTCAAGTATTCGATCCACCTCCTTGCCTCAGAGCTGAACTCATCTTCCAAGATTTGTGTGGGTCAGAATACAACGTAAAAACACCTTGCACAGGAACTCTCTCCCCTGCCCTTATTCCACAACCCTCCACAATGTGAAAGTATGTTCATCCATCCCGCAAAGATTTACTGAGTACCCACCATGTGGCAGGTCCTGTGCTAAATGAAGACGAGGGTGGCACGGTCCCTCACACTGAAGAGCCTTTGGTCTAGATAACAGGAGTGGGGGGAGTAGAAGAAAGGCGAAGTGGAGGGGGACAGGCTTGTACACTGATCCTTTCACTAGGGTGTGCTAAGGGCAACTGTAGAGGACTATATTGGGTACAATAGGAGAGAAGAACAGGGACCTGAGATGTCACCAAGGAGGTCCCATTTGAGCTAGGTATGGAAGGCTGGGGGTGGAGGAGGATACAAAGAGACAGAATAAATTGCATGAACAGATCATGGAGGTGCAAAAGGGCATGGCAAGATCAGGAGACCAGGCAAGTGTCTGGCATGTGTGCCATGCTCCCTCTTTCTGCCAGCAGGGGGTGTCCTTAGCAAACCGCAGGGAGGCCGGTGCATTTGGCGCCATAGAAATGGGGCTAGTGGATGTTTTATCCCCACTTTGGTGCTTGGCAAACACCACTCACCACAATAATCAGTATTTCTACACAAAGGAAGCATATCCCCCTATTAATACAACTTCAACATCCTCTTTGTAAAATATTAATACTGGCTTTATTATGCTATGGTGCATTTTGTTTGTTTCCACTTTAATCTTTCAAACATCATAATCTGTTATTCCTCTGCCTGAGCCATCAGGCCAAATAACACCTTGCACTCACACGTTGTTATAACCCCAAACTTCTCTACACATAACTGAAGCAAAGGTTTCTTTTGTCTCTAAAAATATCTCTGCCCAAGGCACAGATCCAGGCCTAGGGAAGGGGGCAAATTGATGAAAAAATAAACAGAAGAAAAGACTGAGGCAAAATTGAGGAGGGCCTTGGGTGCAAGCCTGAGGAGTTAGATCTTGTTCTATGGGCATTATAGGAAGTCAATATAGGATTTTAAGCTACAGATCAGTTTTATTAGCAAAAAAGGCAAATGTTTTCTTTTTGTTGTTTTTGTTGTTTGGTTGATTGGTGCTATTTGAGAGTGAGTCTCACTCTGTCGCCCAGGCTGGAGTGCAATGGTGCAATCTTGGCTCACTGCAACCTCCACCTCCCAGGTTCAAGCAATTCTCCCACCTCAGCCTCCAGAGTAGCTGGGATTACCGGCATGCATCACTACACCCGGCTAATTTTTGTATTTTTAGAAGAGACAGGGTTTTGCCATGTTGGCCAGGCTGGTCTCGAACTCCCGACCTCAAGTGATCCACCCTCTTCAGCCTCCCAAAGTGCTGGGATTACACATGTGAACCACCGCACCCAGCCCAAAGAGCCAAATGTAACAGCAATGTGGAAGACAAATTGGGAATGAGAAGTCTAGCTCAGTCTTTTCCTTACAGGGCAGGGCTGCCCATCACTGGGACAATGTGACTTGAGATTTGACCCTAAAGAAGAGCAGAGGGGTCTGGCTTCTGCTCCAGCCAGCTGTTGTTCAAACATCTGGCCATCAGTTTCTCCCTTGGCAATCCCAGCACTCTGCTAGACCCCTCAGGCCTCTCCGCAGGCAAGACCACGACGATTGGAGACTGGGTGGTCAACAGGGGGAGCCAAAGGACCGGTAGTGGCAGCCCAAGGCTGGCCCGGTCTCCTGCCACGTGGAGGAAAAGGTAGATGCCAGTGTCCAGGGCCCGGGGCAGCCTGACCCTGTGGGCTCCCTCATTCCCAGGCCCAAGCCCTGACCTCAAATGGGAGAACCAAAAAAAAAGGTGGGGGGAAAGTCTCATTTTTATTCCCAAATTTGAGGCAGGAGGCTGGGGAGATTGACACCCACACTCCCAGATTTTTTTTTTTAAGGTTCTCAGTTTCTTGGAAAGTTTTTTTGTCTGTTTGTTGTTGTTTGAGGCAGAGTCTAGCTTTGTATTTTTTTAATGGTGCTTTTTGATTAACACAAATTTTTCATTTAAATGCAGTAAAGCGTTTTCTGGGCTATGTTCTTTTTCTTCTTGCTTAAGGAAACCTTCACCACCCCCAAGGTCATAACGATCTTTTTCTATATTTTCTTCCAAACATTTTAAAGTTGTTTCTTGTTTGTTTTGTTTGTTTTGTCTTGTTTTGTTTTGTTTTTTAGAAACAGGGTATCACTCTGTCACCCAGGCTGGAGTGCAGTCTCATGAACATGGCTCACTGCAACCTCGACCTCTGGGACTCAAGTCATCCTCTCACCTCAGCCTCCTGAGTTGCTGGGACCACAGAAGCAACCTCACCAGGCTAATTTTTTTTTTATTTTTTGTAGAGACAAAGTCTCACTATATTGCCCAAGCTGGTCTCAAACTCCTGGGCCCAAGTGATCCTCCCGCCTCAGCCTCCCAAAGTACTAGGATTCCAGGTGTGAGCCACAGTGCCTGGCCTCTGAGAGAGTTGTTACTCACCAAATTCAACAGTTTCCTGATCATTCATTGCATATGGTAGATTTGTATTTTCCTAAACTAACACTGTGGCTCTGAGCTGCACACAAAGGGCACCAGTCAAAACATAAAACATAGTCCAGCGCTGAGCTCCAGCCACAGAACAATCTGTAATAACTCACACTCTTAATAACTTCACAGCTAAAAGCGGTATTTATTAACGTATTTGCACAAGCAATCTGTAACTAGGGGGAGGAAAGGATACCCAGGATGTCAAGAAGTAAGGGACATTAGCAAAAGTTGAACATCAGCAGGAAGGATCTGTGTGTTGTCATCAAAATGGTAATTATGCCTTCATAGGAAAATTTGGTAGGAAAATAGTAATGCCTGTTTTTGGGGGAAAGGGAGGTGTGCACTAAAAGGAGTTTGGACCCATTCCTGGGAGTGGTTTCCTCAGGACAGACTATTAGTAAGTCTCTTCCCTCACCTAAGAGACTAAGAGCAGGCACATGGGGCTTTTTGCTTGGCTGGAGATTTGAAATTTTTGTGTTTTATTTGATGTTTTGCAGTGTTTTTCTAATTTTTTTCAAAATATATTAAATACACAGTTCCAGTGTTTTTTAATGCAATAAATTCTGAAAACATTTACATATAAAACAGGTATTCACCCCAGTATTTTATTAATGCAGGAAACAAATACCAAGATACAGGTATTGACATTTTGCTCCCATAAAACAACCGCTAAGAATGAGCCCTCCTAATCTCAACGTTTTTCTGTTGCTACAAGGTTTTCTGTGTGTTTACTCTCCACTTTTATTTGAGATTCAGAGGGTACATGTGCAGTTTTGTTACAAGGGTATATTGTGTGATGCTGATATTTGGAGTATGCTAACTGTCCTATCACCCAGGTAGTGAGCAACCACTGAAGTTAACCAACTTTAACCAAAACAGCATGGTGCTTGTGCAAAAACAGACACATACACCAATGTTGCTATAATCAAAGCTGCAGTTAGGACAGGGCTTCTGGAGTGGAGGGATGAAAGCAGCGGGGTCGGAAGTGGGTGTATCCTGGGGGAGCCAGGAAAGTACAGAAGGAAAGGGGAGTCTGCAGTGGAGGACATGGGACAAGCCAGACTTGGAGAATTGCCAGAGCATGGCATTTGTTGTCGGGTGTGCTGGCAACAGGGCAAGAGCAAGAGAAGGAACCAAGGCCTTGGTGGGTTCCCAGGAGACAGGGTAGAACTAGGCCTCATGGCTGACCCCTCAGCCTTCTCACCATCAGGACCTGAGGTCCCAGCTGGTCCCTGCTCAGGGCTTCCTGTGAATAGAAACTTCCTTCTCTGCTCCAAGCACCCACCAGCTGCCAGCCCAGTGAGCAGTGCCATCCAGTGGCAGTCAACACCCTAATACAGACAACACGTGCACACTAGGAGAAGTTTTCCATTGCATCCCTAGGATAACTATACAACCAAAGGGCACCCCGGACACCTAGTGGGGTGGTGGAGAGGACCTGCCTCTGATGCATATGGTGGAAGGGGCAGATTCATGCCATTGGGTCAAACAAAAGCAGTAGAATGACAAACGGTACACTCTCCATGAGTATAACAATGCAAAAGCCAGACACAGGGAAGATAACATGAAAACCCAACTGGAAATCACTGTTAGGATGGTAGAATTTTGAATTTTTTGTGTTTTTATTTTTGTATCTGTCATGGCGTCTTTTCAAATTTTCTAAGTTTATTGCCCCACGCAATAGACTTCCCTTCTCTCAAGAAAGGCCAAGCTGACTGCCCACCATAGAGGGCAAATCTGCTTGCACCCCAACCACCAGCCCCTTGTCCAGGAACACTCACATCCTCCCCAGGCGGCAGGCTTCACCGGGCGCCTTTCACTCCATGCCCGCCCTCCCAAACCCCATCCAGCTCCATCACTTCTCCCTCTGCCCAGATCCTCCTAGAAGTGTCCCAGGCAGCCTCTCCCCCTGACTGTTCCCTCGTCCCCAGGTGTTCAAGATGAACAGATGGTCCAAGGAGCAATGGATTCATTTCTCCACTATGCTGGGCTCAGCCGGCTCGACTCTATTGTTTTTCTTATTGTTTTCTTCAAAATAATAACCACACAGGGTGACAAACTGAATTTTACATTCTCTTGTTCCACCCCTCCCTACCCACAGTCCCTGTGGCAAATTTTTTTTCTTTTTTTTCCATTGTTGAGGTCAGGTTTTAGGATACCACAGTGACAAGACTGACGGGGCCCTGCCCTTGCAAAGTCCACAGTCTAGATGGAATCTTTGTTGTTTTGTTGGTTTTTTGGTTTTGGGGGTTTTGTTTGTTTGTTTTTGTTTTTGTTTTGAGACAGGGTCTCTCTGTCACCCCGGCTGGAGTGCAGTGGTGCAATCACGACTCACTGCAGTCCCTAACTTGTGGGCCAAGCAATCTTCCCACCTCAGCCTCTGGAGTAGCTGGGACCACAGTTGCGTGCCACCACACCCAGCTAATATTTTTTATTTTTTGTAGAGGCGGGATCTTACTATGTTCCCTAGGCTGATCTTGAACTCCTGGGCTCAAGCAATCCTCCCAACTCAGCCTCCCAAAGTGCTGAGATTTACAGGTGTGAGTCACCAAGCCCAGCCAGTGTATCTTCACTTAAAGATGACAAAATTAAGGATCAGAGTGGTTAAGTAGCTTGCCCATGGTCATGTCTCTAGCAATGGCACAGGGAGGATTTGAACCTGATTCCACCTTATTCCAAAATCTGAGCTCTAACCAGTATGCTCTACTGCACCCCTACTACTGAGCCTGTGTGGATCACTGTGTCAGGGGAGGTTCCCATGCAGTCAGACAGGTTCACGTGAAGACAGACAGGTAAACAGGTGGTTATGATCAGGTGCTGTTGTAGAAGTATGACAACATGGCCGGGCGCGGTGGCTCACGCCTGTAATCCCAGCACTTTGGGAGGCCGAGGCGGGCAGATCACGAGGTCAAGAGATGGAGACCATCCTGGCTAACAAGGTGAAACCCCGTCTCTACTAAAAATACAAAAATTAGCCGGGCGTGGTAGCGTGCACCTGTATTCCCAGCTACTCAGGAGGCTGAGGCAGGAGAATCGCTTGAACCCGGGAGGCGGAAGTTGCAGGGAGGCGGAAGTTGCAGTGAGCCGAGATTGCACCACTGCACCCCAGCCTGGTGACAAAGCGAGACTCCATCTAAAAAAAAAGAACCACCTCCACCTCCTTCCCTCTGCACCCACCTGCCCTGTGAGGTGTGCCGGCCTCCAGGCAGGGTGGGCACCCATTGGGCACTGGAGGCGTAGCCCTGAGGGCCCAACAAAATGATTAATTTTTGTTTCTTTTACAAGCAGAGAAATTTGAACATAATCATAATGAATCTATCATAGTGAATTCATCTTGGCTTGTATTTGTCTTTATACCAATGCAGTCATGAAATGTTATTTTTAATATTTTTCTATGAAGGAAAGCGCCCACAGAGCCAAAAGTGCTGGGGCCTGTGGAAGTCATAAGGCCCTAGGTAACCCATGAGGAACTCAGTCTCAGGCTTTGCATGCTGCAGAGAATGATCAGAATTGGAGGGCCCATCCCTCCCTTCTCCTGGGTGTAGGACTGCACCGCCACCTGAAGCCTTCAGAGCCACGCAGCCTGGCTCAGGAAAGCTGCATCTGCACTCTTCAGTGCCAGGGAACTAAAGGCTGGGGCTTCCTATGCGAGGTGCAGAGCTCCCAGAGGAGCAGGCACACAGACCATGACAGGAGGCGGGGTAAGAGGCATTCATTGAAAGGTGCATCTGTGTAGGATTCTTCCTAGCTGAAAACCCTAAACTGAGCCTGGAGGCAGGAGAGGGGCTTTCTGATGCTGTGGCTCTTCCTTCCTGTGGAGGAGGACTGGAAAGGGGTCCCTTGGGGCCCTCCCCAGCCTCCCTCATTCTTCTGGACAGAGGGCTGGGCTGCTGTCCCCTGGACTTGGGGAGGACACAGGCAGGGAAGCTGGGTGCTCAGAGGACAGAGAAAGGATCTCCTTGGACAGCCCACTGAGCAATGGCAAGTGGCTCGCCAGGTTTCTCCTTCTCTGCTCCCTGCTCTCTTGTCACACCCTTCCTGGTATGAAGCAAGACAAGCTCCGGTAGTGAGCCCCTCCCTGACTCCCTCGCCCTAGGCACTGCCTATAATGGGGTGGGGCAAAACAGCTCCCTTCTCCCAGCTTCCTCTTCAGGCTCCACTGGGTCTGTCCCTGCTCACCACCTGGACTAGGTCCCTAGGTGTCAGGACAGCTGGAGCTGTCTCCAGGTGTGTCATCATCACTGGCATCCTGGCCACCCAGGAGCCATACCTAGGTATCCTAGACCCCCTCTCTAGGCTCCATCCTACCTCCTCCCACCCTGTTACCCTATAGCCAACAAACCCTGCATGTTCATCCTTGGGCACACGTCTGCCCTCTTCCTGCTACCCTACTCCACCCCAGGTCACATCCTCATTCTCTCACCGACCCAGGGCACCAGCCTCCTGGCGGGGGGCTCTGCCTCCACTCCAGGACCCCTTCTCCAGGCTCCAGGTCTCCTTGAAGTCCAGGTTTTCATCACATCACCATTCTGTTCAACCTTCACCTACTTCACGGCTTAGAGATGAGGCTTTCAAACATCTGTTTATTCCTAGAACCTTTCTTTAAAATAAAACCTTATGAGGAAGCCTGATATATGAAAAATACAGGGCTCTGGCTGAAATGGGGTAAGGGACCAGGAGTCTCACCCACGTGAGCCACTACCCCCTCAAGAGGAAGCCCTTAAGTTGCCTCTGAAGATCCACTAGAGCTCTTGAAGTTCCTATTAGTATCCTATTATTAGTGGGGACAAAACTAAAGTGATAGTGCCTGAGGCTGTTAGGGATGCCAGGAAAGGCTGCTCTCATTTACTACTAATGTGAAGTGTGAATTGCTATTGCTGTTTTGGAAAACAATGTAGCAATAGCTATTTAAATTAAATATACATATGCCCTGCAACCCAGCAGTTTCACTCCTGGGAATCTGTGCCATAGAAATAAAAGCACCAGGCCAGGCGCAGTGGCTCACGCCTGTAATCCCAGCACTTTGGGAGGCTGCGGCGGGTGGATCACGAGGTCAGGAGTTCAAGACCAGCCTGGCCAACATGGTGAAACCCCATCTCTACTAAAAAGACAAAAATTAGCTGGGCATGGTGGCGCATGCCTGTAATCCCAGCTACTCGGGAGGCTGAGGCAGGAGAATTGCTTGAACTGGGACCAGGGAGGTGGAGTTTGCAGCGAACCGAGATCGTGCCACTGCACTCCAGCCTCGGCTACAGAACGAGACTCCATTTAAAAAAAAAAAAAAAAGAAAAGAAATGAAATGAAAGCATCAGTCCTTAAGGATGTGTTATAAAGATGTTTACTCAGCAATAGTATTATTAGTTGTAGTGAAAAAAAATTAGAGCAGGAAAGGCCCATGACTAGGGAAATAGGAAATGATCAGATCAATTGTGGTGCTTCCATACTTTGGAATAATAATATATAGCCATTAAAAAGAATGATTTAGATCTATCTCTATCAGTTGACTTGAAGAAATGTTCACGATAAACAAAGAAGAAATAAAATGCAGAAAGTATACATCATGATCCCATTTTTATAATGCAACTACATTATATAAAAATACCTCTTAGGCCGGGTGCTGTGGCTCACACCTGTAATCCCAGCACTTTGGGAAGGCCGAGGTGGGCAGATCACCTGAGATCAGGAGTTCAAGACCAGCCTGGCCGACATGGCAAAACCCCTTCTCTACAAAAAACACTAAAACTAGCCGGGTGTGGTGGTGGGTGCCTGTAATCCCAGCTACTCGGGGGGCTGAGGCAGGAGAAATCATCTGAATCCGGGAGGCGGAGGCTGCAGCGAGCTGAGATCGCGCCACTGCACTCCAGCCTGGGCAACAGAGAGAGACCTTGTCTCAAAAAAAACAAAAAACAAAAAACAAAAAAAACAAAACTCTTATATGTGAAACTACATTTATGTATAGTGACATGATCATAAAGAAAGCTATGAAAGAATGTGTTATAATCTATTAACGTTGGTTATTTGAGTGTAGGGAAATAAAACAGTCCATTTCAGTGAACTTTTCAATGCTCCAGTAAAAGCTCTACCTGACCTCCCAAAATTCTTCACATACCTTGAGAATTAGGATTTATAGCCATTTGTGTAGTTAACTGCATGATCCAAAAGGATGGTAAAACTTCTCTTATCTCCAGAAGAGAGATTAAATGCTCACCACCTGTAAGTCCCTAGGTTAAACCAGTGCCTAGAAGACTAGATAGAGTACTATCTCCCTAGGGATTTACACTTCAAAAGGGCCAGGTGGATGGCTCAAGCCTGTAATCCCAGCATTTTGGAAGGCTAAGGCAGGCTGATTGTCTGAGGCCAGGAGTTCGAGACCAGCCTGGCCAACATGGTGAAACTCCATCTCTACCAAAAATACAAAAATTAGCCAGGCCTGGTGGCGGGCGCCTATAATCTCAGCTATTCGGAAGGCTGAGGCAGGAGAATCACTTGCACCCAGGAGGCAGAGTTTGCAGTGAGCCGAGATCATGCCACTGCACTCCAGCCTGGATGACAGAGCAAGACTCTGTCTCAAAAAAAAAAAAAGAAAGAAAGAAAAGAAAAAATAAAAACAAACAGTGCCTCTAAAAATATCACTGCCTTCAAAAGGAAGGAAACCCTGTCACATGCTACAATATGGATGAGCCTTGAGGAGAAAAAGACAAATACTGTATGATTCCACTTATATGAGGTATCTAATGCAGCCAAATTCATAGAGACAGGAAGTGGAATGGTGGTGGCCAGGGGCTGGAGAGAGGGGGAATGAGGTGCTATTGTTTCATGGGGGTAGACTTTCAGTTCCTTAACATGAAAAGAGTTCTGGAGATTGTATTGCACAACACTGTGAATGTACTTAACACCACTGAACTGTATACTTAGAGATGGTTAAGATGGTACATTTTATGTGATGAGTCTTTACCACAATAAAAAATAAAAATAAAAAATTTTAAATATCACCAATAAATCACCATGTATTATATGATCCCATATATGAAAAATCATATATTTAAAAACAGATGCATAAAAGGATATAATCAAACCAACGGTTATTTCATGGAGATAGGACTTCAGATGACTTCTTTTTCTTTATATTTTAAAATATTTTTCAAATTCTTTACCATCACTAAGTTTATTGATATAATAAGGGAGGAAAGTATTTTCACTGAGAAAAATAAATAGACAAAAATAAGCATCGGGCCGGACACGGTGGCTCATACCTGCAATCCCAACACTTTGGGAGGCAGAAGCAGGCAGATTGTTTGAGGCCAGGAGTTTGAGACCAGCCCAGGCAACATAGTGAAACTTTGTCTCAACAAAAAATTTTAAAAATTAACCAGGTGTGGCAGCATGCACTTGTAGTCCCAGGTACTTGGGAAACTGAGGCAGGAGGATCGTTTGACCCAGGAGCTTGAAGTTGCAGTGACACATGATAGCATCATTGCACTCCAGCCTGGGCAACAGAGCAAGACCCCATCTCAAAGAAAAAAAATAAACCATCGATAGACAAGTTGGAAGGAAGCCACTGGTCTACAGGATGATGTCTGGAGCCCCCCTTTCACCTCCTCCTCCACTTTACCCTGAGCTGCATCTCCAGCCAGAATACCTACGCCTCCCCATCTCCCTGCCAGGCTGAACTGCTCTCCTCATCATCCCCGCAACCCAGAGCTAGACTCCTCTGACTGGCTGTGATCCTCACTGAATTAAGCCACCAAATTACTTTCCCTCTTTGGGATTCCAGCACTGATGCTAGATGGAGGAAGGAGAAGCCATATTATTATTGATTTTTTTTAAAGCACCAAAAACCTTGTATTAGTTTTTTAAATAAATTTTTGGAAGTGTGAACCTCCAAAATTTGAGACAGGTCTCAATTAATTTAGAAAGTTTATTCTGCCAGTGCCAGGCGCGGTGGCTCAAGCCTGTAATCCCAGCACTTTGGGAGGCTCAGGGGGGCGGAACACGAGGTCAGCAGTTTGAGACCAGCCTGACCAACATGGTGAAACCCTGTCTCTACTAAAAATACAAAAATTAGCTAGGCGTGGTGGCACGCACCTGTAATCCCAGCTACTGGGGAAGCTGAGACAGGAGAATTGCTTGAACCCGGGAGGCAGAGGTTGCAGTGAGCTGAGATCGTGCCACGGCACTCCAGCCTGAAAAAGAGAAAGAAAGAGGAGAGAGAGAGAGAGAGAGGGAGGGAGGGAGGGAGGGAGGGGGAGGGAGGGAGGGAGGGGGAGAGAGAGAGAGGGAGGGAGGGAGGGAGAGAGAGAGAGAGAGAGAAGAGAGAGAGAGAGAGAAAAAGAAAGAAAGAAAGTTTATTTTGCCAAGATTGAGGACACAGCCTCAGGAGGCACCCGTGACACAGCCTCATGACAGGTCCTGATGACATGTGCCCAAGGTGGTCAGGGCACAGCTTGGTTTTAAACATTTTAGGGAGACATGCGACATCAATCAATATATTTAAAATGAACATTGGTTAGGTCCGGAAAGGTGGGACAGCTTGAAGCAAGAAGGGGGCGGGGCTTCCAGGTCACAGGTAGATGAGAGACAAAGGTTGCATTCTTTTGAGTTTCTGATTAGCCTCTCCAAAGGAGGCAATCAGATATGCATTTATCTCAGTGAGCAGAGGGGTGACTTTGAGTAGAATGGGAGGCAGGTTTGCCCTGAGCAGTTCCTAGCTTGATTCTTCCTTTTAGCTTAGTGATCTGGGTCCAAGATATATTCCTCTCACTGAAAAAACCACACATATAATAGTTAAAGTGAGTGTCCAAGCCAAAAGAGTCTAGGAAGAGGCCCCAGAGCCCTGGCCATAGGCATGCCCCTTACTCTGTTAGCTAAATAACATCCCTGGGCCTGTTAAATCTACATGCTGCCTTTGTACAAATGAGAAAAAGGTGTCTCATCCTCTAGGCAGAGGTAGCCAGGCACCGAGGTGGTGGCTTAGAAAGCTCAGCACAGGCTGAATTTCAGCCCTCACTGATTCCCCTAGCATGAGCTTTTTGTGCAGGACACAGATTGGAGGGCTGTTCTCAGCAGCTCTGCCTAGGGTAACTCCAGGGAGCACAGCCTTAACACTATAGACTAGACCGTCTCTAACATCCCACCCAGCTCTGGTTTATCAGACTTCTTCAATTCCATAGCCTCACTCCTGAACAAAGCAGTTGGGCTATGTATTTTTGTGAGATACCTATCGCAGCTATTAAATCCATTAAAACCAAGTATCTTAAGTAAACTGAAATGACTTCTGAATTGCTGTGGTCAGGCAGTTCCCTCAGGGCGAAGCATGGATCTCAACCATCAGGGCAGCCCCAGCAATAAGGATGGCTCCTGCCACACAGAAGGCACACTCTGAGTACACATGTATTGAATAAAACAATAAATAATGACAGGATAGGTATCTTGGCCAACCAGAAACATCTCAAAATGCTACATAAAATATGAAAACCTTTTTAAAGTGCATCAGTGAAACAATTTGGTAAGAAATATTCAGAGGCCAAATGTAAATAAAAACAGAAATCCAGGAAAATTAGAATAGCTTTGAAGCTGGGTTTTGCTTTGAGGGCATTTGCCAATCTTGGTAAATTGAGTTTCTATTGTCATAGTGAGAGGTGACAGCGTGCTGGCAGTCCTCACAGCCCTGGCTCGGTCTCGGCGCCTCCTCTGCCTGGGCTCCCACTTTGGCGGCACTTGAGGAGCCCTTCAGCCCACCGCTGCACTGTGGGAGCCCCTTTCTGGGCTGGCCAAGGCCGGAGCCGGCTCCCTCAGCTTGCAGGGAGGTATGGAGGGAGAGGCGCGAGCGGGAACTGGGGCTGCGCGCGGCGCTTGCGGGCCAGCTGGAGTTCCGGGTGGGTGTGGGCTTGGCGGGCCCCACACTCGGAGCAGCCGGCAGGCCCTGCCGGCCCCGGGCAATGAGGGACTTAGCACCAGGGCCAGCGGCTGCGGAAGGTGTACTGGGTCCCCCAGCAGTGCCGGCCCACCGGCGCTGCACTCCATTTCTCGCCGTGTCTCGCCGCGCGGCAGGGCTCGGGACCTGCAGCCCGCCATGCCTGAGCCTCCCACCCGCTCCGTGGGCTCCTGTGCGGCCGAGCCTCTCCGACGAGCGCCACCCCCTGCTCCACGGCGCCCAGTCCCATTGACCACCCAAGGGCTGAGGAGTGCGGGCGCAAGGCGCGAGACTGGCAGGCAGCTCCACCTGCAGCCCTGGTGCAGGATCCACTGGGTGAAGCCAGCTGGGCTCCTGAGTCTGGTGGGGAGGTGGAGAACCTTTATGAGTAGCTCAGGGATTGTAAATACACCAATCAGCACCCTGTGTCTAGCTCAGGGTTTGTGAATGCACCAATCGACACTCTGTATCTAGCTACTCTGGTGGGGCCTTGGAGAACCTTTGTGTGGACACTCTGTATCTAGCTAATCTGGTGGGGACGTGGAGAACCTTTGTGTCTAGCTCAGGGATTGTAAATGCACCAATCAGCACCCTGTCAAAACAGACCACTCCCGTCTACCAATCAGCAGGATGTGGGTGGGGCCAGATAAGAGAATAAAAGCAGGCTGCCCTAGCCAGCAGTGGCAACCTGCTCGGGTCTCCTTCCACACCGTGGAAGCTTTGTTCTTTCGCTCTTTACAATAAATCTTGCTGCTGCTCACTCTTTGGGTCCACACTGTCTTTATGAGCTGTAACACTCACTGCGAAGGTCTGCAGCTTCACTCCTGAAGCCAGTGAGACCAGGAACCCACCAGGGAGGAGGAACAGAACTCCAGATGCCCCGCATTAAGAGCTGTAACACTCACCACGAAGGTCTGCAGTTTCACTCCTGAGGCAACAAGACCACGAACCCCACCAAAAGGAAGAAACTCTGAGAACACATCCGAACATCAGAAGGAACAAACTCCAGACATGCCGCCTTTAAGGACTGTAACACTCACCGCGAGGGTCTGCGGCTTCATTCTTGAAGGCAGTGAGACCAAGAACCCACCAATTCCAGACACAATAGCCTCCCAGGCTGGGTGCAGTGGCTCACAGTCTGTAATCCCAGCACTTTGGGAGGCCAAGGCAGGTGGATCAGCTGAGGTCTGGAGTTCAAGATCAGCCTGGCCAACATGATGAAACCCCATCTCTACTAAAAATACAAAAATTAGCCAGGCATGGTTGTGGGAGCCTGTACTCCCAGGTACTGGGGAGGCTGAGGCAGGAGAGTCACTTGAATCCGAAAGGTGGAGGTTGCGGTGAGCTGAGATCACACCACTGCACTCCAGCTTGGGCAACAGAGTGAAACTCTGTCTCAAAAAATATATATATAATATAATATATACAGAGCATTATTAGAGAAAAATAATCACTATGTATTACTACAAATATTGCAGAAGACATAACAATTCCGAACTTGTTTGTATCTTTTAGTATAGCCTCAAAAAATATAAAGAAAATGACTGAATTACTAAAATAAATTTATAAAATCACAGTCTTAGTGGGATATTTCAACATGCTTCTTTCAGTAATTGAGAGATCAAGCAGACAAAAAGAGAACCTCAATAAGAAAAAAAGAAAACATGACTACAGAACACACATTCTTCTGAAGCACCCACACAACTTTTATGAAAATTGACTACATGCTAGAGCAAAACAAGTCTGAACATATTTTGTAAAATTATACAATAAATCCCCTGCTATCAAAACACAATGTAATTAAAAATCAGTAACAAAAGGATAACTAGAAAAAAGGTACATGTATGAAAGTTTAAAAATATACTTCTAAGAAATATTCATGGGAAGATAAGAAATCATAATGAAAATTTGAAAAACTACACTTTGACCAATCAATAAAGAAAAGGAAACCTTAAAAATGTGGAAAAATCAGCCAGGTGAGGTGGCTCACACCTGTAATCCCAGCACTTTGGGAGGCCGAGGCGGGCAGATCACTTGAGGTCAAGAATTCAAGACCAGTCTGGCCAACATAATGAAACCCCATCTCTACTAAAAGTACAAAAATTAGCAGGATGTGGTGGCAGGTGCCTGTAATCCCAGCTACTGGGGAGGCTGAGGTGGGAGAATCACTAGAACCCGAGAGGTGGAGGTTGCAGTGAGCCGAGATCGCACCACTGCACTCCAGCCTGGGCAACAGAGCAAGACCCTGTCTCAAAAAAAAAAAAAAAAAAAAACCAAGAACACAAAATAGATGGTAGGAATAAGAACAAATATATCAGTAACATCAATACATATGAATGAATTAATTGTTCCAGTTAGAAAAGAGAAATCAACTGGTCAGATTTTTTAAATCCATATGTGCTATTTACATAAAAACAAATCTAAAGCAAAAGAATACAAAAGATTAACAGGAGAAGAATGAAAAAATATATAACATGTAAATATAACCAAACAAAAGCTGGTTAATATAACATGTGTAGAACTAACCAATATATATATTGTTTAGGCTGGGCGTGGTGGCTCACACCTGTAATCCCAGCACTTTGGGATGCCAAGCCAGGTGGATCACCTGAGGTCAGGAGTTCGAGACCAGCCTGACCAACATGGCAAAACCCCATCTCTACTAAAAATACAAAAATTAGTTGTGTGTAGTGGCGCGTGCCTGTAGTCCCAGCTACTCAGGAGGCTGAGACCAAAGAATAGCTTGAACCCAGGAGAAGGAGGTTGCAGTGAGCCAAGATCATGCCACTGCACTCTAGCCTGGGTGACAAAGCGAGACTCTGTCTCAAAGAAAAAAAAATAGAGAGAGAGAGAGAGTTTAGTAACTCCAGCTGGTTACATATTATGTACATTTATAAGACAATATAAAACTTATTGGGTAGCTAAAATAGTACTTAGATGAAGTATATAGCCTTAAAGTTATATATTAGAAAAGACAAAAGTCTAAAAATAAATGAATCGGGCCAGGCGTGGTGGCTCACACCTGTAATTCCAGCACTTTGGGAGGCTGAGGCAGGAGGATCACTTGAGGTCAGGAGTTCTAGACCAGTGTGACCAACATGGCAAAACCCGGTCTCTACTAAAAATACAAAAATTAGCCAGGTGTGGTGGCGCATGCCTGTATTCTCAGCTACTCAGGAGGCTGAAGTAGGAGAAGCTCAAACCTGGGAGGTGGAGGCTGCAGTGAGCAGAGATCGTGCCACTGCACTCCAGCCTAGGGACAGAGTAAGACTGTCCTAAAAAAAAAAAAAAAAAAAAAGAGAGGGTGACAGAAAGAGAGAGAGAGATCAGCCTGGGCAACATGGCAAAACCTCGTCTCTATTTAAAAAAAAGAAAAAGAAAGAAAGAGAGAGAGAGAGAAAGGAAGAAAGGAAGGAAGAAAGAAGAAAGAAAGAAAAGAAAAGAAAGAAAGTTAGTTCTCCCTATTCTTGGTTTTCTGAGATTTTTTTTTCCCCCAGCACAGCACAGCAGTTCTACAGAAAGGCCACCAGACTGCTTATTCATATGGACCTCTAGTCACCCCTGGCAGTGTTTTCCAGCCAGCAAAGGTTTCAAACCTCCCTGGATGGAGCTCAGAGAGGAAGGGATGAGCCACCATCTGTGCTGTTTGGCTGCTTTAGCCACTCTTGCCTTTGGGCTTTGAGGAGTCTGAGGCAACTGGGGGCTGGAGCGGACCTGCAGCATACCACAGCTGCTCTACAAAAACATGGCCAGACTGCTTTTTTAAGCAGGTCTCTGATCCTATTCCTCCTTGCTGGGCAGGAGGTTAATAAGCTGGTCTGCAGCTACCTCTGCCATTGTTTTCCAGCAAGCAGCAGTTCCAAACCTCCTTCAACCTGCCCAGGTCATTGTGCACAAGGGGTCGAAGGATGGAGCTGTCAGAGGTGTGGAGTCCTAATAGGAAAAAGGAGTCAGGCTGGTGGGACCAGGGAAAAGCAAAAAGAGAAAGCAGATCAGCTATAAGTGGGCCTTTCTTCATGATCCAGGACTCATAGCACTCATGTACAAATAACTCACAATCTTCCTGTGCCCAACTGATAGAGGATTTTGCTCCTTAACTCAGCTAAATCCAGGTTCTTGTGTTACAACCAGGAAACATTAGGCATATGGATGCATTGAAGGATGAGGAGGGTGAAATTTATTGAGCAAAAGAGGGGTCCCCTCTCAGCAAATAGAGGGGTCCTGCAAACAGGTTTCCACCTCACAATTGAATACCAGGGCTCCCACATATGCACTGAAGAGTCAGGCTCCTTCCCTTGCATAAGGTATGAATTCCTGGTGGCTCCACCCCGACCTTTCGGTGTGCATGGGGGCCCTTAGTCTGAGCCACTCCACATTGATTTATTTCCCTTACTGTGCATGTGTTAAGGGATGGAATTTTTCACCGTGCACATGTTTAGGCAAGCCCCTGTGCACAATGACCTGGGCGGGTTGGAAGTTCTCCAAGGACACTTCCCTATCTGCCTAGGCATTTGGCTGGCCGTTGCCTCTATCACAACTATCACCAGACCCTCAGCTGATAGAAATTGGAAGTTAGCTCACTGCAACCTTGGCATTGTCGGTACTGCTGTGCCGATGTAACCATCCGTACACAGAAAAGAGCCATCCTATAAAATCCCCAGCAAGCCTTTGTTTCCTTGCAGTCAGCTCCTCTCTTGCTGACTCTGCCAGTTGCTCTTTTGCAACATATTCATACTTTCTCTAATAAATCTGCCTATCTTTACCTACAACTATCTTGGTAAATTATTTTACCGTCCACACATTACCAGCCCCAGAGAGTTGCTGCTCACCTGTGACATTTTAGTTGCCCGTAGGGGAACTCTCTCTCCTTATGGGGAACTCTCTCACCTCTCTCTTTCTCTTTCCCAACTGGGGACCCTTGGTGGACAGCATCTAAGCATAAAAACAACTATAGGTCTCTGGCTGGAGCTACACTTAGGTGGAACTAAACGGTGTCCATGTGGAACTGTCTTACGGCTACCACCCATTTGGGTGAGAGGCCTAAGTTTATGTTATCTTTTCAGTCTCCCAGCAGCTGGCTTCTAGTATCCCTCTGGCAATTGACAGCAACTAGCCCAGGCCACTTTCCAGTGTTACCTGAAGGCCAGAGGGTGAATGGGGCTGGCCACCTTGCCCAGAAGGGAAGAAGGCTCTCTCCTGTATTTTCTGGTTGGAAGTCCCTAATCCCTATGCATGCAACTGGCCATGGATGCTCATTCAGAGCAAATTCACACACGTTTTGGGTGACTCAGACCCTCTCTTTCTTACTCTAAATTCTCCTGTGGAGTCAGCCAGGCATCCTGTCCCAGATGTTGCTAAATCAGGTGATCTCAGACAGCCTCGGAACAATGAGTCTTCCCCTACCCGCCCCCTCCGCTGGGCTAGCACAGGCAGAGCTCTCCCTTCACCTGTTTTCCTTGTACCTGGATTGGCCTTATGCGGGATGGCCAATGCAGGTACAAGGAAGCAGCCAAGTGGTCTTTTCTAATAGGTGGGACCCCCCTTTAGAAAGTGCACCCCCAAGTCCCTCAGCAGACACAGTGGAACCCTTTTTCATCTTGGAGGGACACCTCGAGAGAAAGTGTGGTTCATGCTCCAAAAAGAGTCCCGCCCCCAAGCACATGGTTCCCAGGCCCACCATGGGACAAACCCCGTCTGTTCCTTCAGACTCACCTCTAGGCTGCATCCTAAAGTATTGGGGCAAATTCAACCCCCAAACTCTCAAAAAAGAAACATCTGGGTTTTCTTGTGTAATACAGCATGGCCGCTATGCAGGAAATCCTCAAATTAACCTCCTCAGTCTTTTATCATTGAGAGCAGAATAAGGATAACAGGACTAAAAAGAGAAAGAAAAATGCAGAGACAGGAGGCAGACTCAACTGTTGGCTGCTTCACAAGCCCTCAGCTCCCTCCAGGTTTCCTTAAAAGCACTCGTCCAAGTAATTGCCATCAGTGCAGAAGGCCAGGCCGATAAAAGACAAAGTGCCCCGATAAAATAAATGGGAAAAAGCCCTGTATGGCTTAGCACCTCTGCCACAAGCTCAGCCAGTGGAAACAGGACTGCCCTGGAAACCAAAGGGCCCCTGGGAAGGAATCCTAACCCCTGATGGCCGTGAGCTAAAGGGGCTCTCTTCTCCAGCTGAAAAGATCTCACCTTAACTGGTGAGTTGTGAAAGGGGATGAATTTGTCCCAAACCGTGTAGGTCTGGGGTGCTAAGGCTCTCCCTAATGGGAAATAAACAAGGGTGGTAGGGTGCTGCCACCACTCCGTGCAGTGGCTAGAAGGCTCACGCCTGTAATCCCAACATTTTGGGAGGCCAAGGCGGGCAGATCACTTGAGATCAGGAATTTAAGACCAGCCTGGCCAACATGGCGAAACCCTGTCTCTACTAAAAATACAAAAATTAGCCAGGCGACTAATTTTTGGTGACGGGCACCTGTAATCCCAGCTACTTGGGAGGCTGAGGCAGGAGAATCACTTGAACCCAGGAGGTTGGAGGTTGCGGTGAGCTGAGATCAGGCCACTGTACTCCAGCCTGGGTGACAAAGTGAGAATCCATCTAAAAAATATATATAGATATATAGATATAGATATATACCTCAATAAAATTGTTTAAAATTTTTTTAAAGACATACAAATGGCCAAGAAGTATATGAAAAAATGTTCAGCATCACTAATCATCAGGAAAATGCAAATCAAAACCATAATGAGATATCTCATCTCAGTTAAAATAGGGTATCAATAAAATATCTATTATCAAAAAGACAGAAAATAACAGATGCTGGCAAGGATGTGCAGAAGAGAGAACACTAGTCTATTCTTGGTGGGAATGTAAATTAGTACAGTCACAATGGAGAACAGTATGGCGGTTTCTCAATAAAGTGAAAATAGATCTGTCATACGATTCAGCAATCCCACTGCTGGTAATATATCAAAAGGAAAGAAAATCAGTATATCAAAGGGATATTTACATCCTCATGTTTATTACAGCACTATTTATAATAGTCGAGATATGGAATCAGCCTAAGTGTCCATTAATGGATGAATGAATAAAGGAAATGCAGTATATATACACAATGGGATACTAGTCATTCACAAAAAAAGAATGAAATCCTTTCACTTGCAGCACGATACAGAAATACAAACATCAAATGTTCTCACTCATATATGGGAGATAAAAAAGTAAATCTCATAAAGGCAGAGAGTAGGATGGTGATTCCCACAGGCTGGGAAGGGTAGAGGACGGGGGAGGATAAAGAGAAGTTGGTTAATAGGTACAAAAATACAGTTAAACAGAAGGAACAAATTCCAGTGTTCCATAACACAGCAAGGGACCTTTAGTTAAAAGAACGTATAGCAAATTTCAGAACAGCTAGAAAAAAAGATATGGAATGTTCCCAACACAAAGAAATGGTAAATGTTTGAGGTGATGGATACCCAATTACCCTGATTTGATCATTACATATGGTATGCTTGTATCAAAATATCACACGTACCCCATAAATATGTACCGCTATTATGCATCAATAAAAAATCATGTTGCACATGAAAAAAATAGAAGAGATTAGCTGAGAGTCTAGCACCTTTTAAACATCTGAATAGGAAATATTTGCCATCTATTGCCTCTAAGGGTGGCCGCCTATGAGACTTCATCTACATAATAAGAACTTTAGTCTCCACAATCCTTTATCTTAACCCAGACCCTCCTTTCTATTGATTCTGGGTCTTCAGGTAATAATTTAACTCTTTCAATCAATTGCCAATCAGAAATTATTTTAATTCACCTATGACGTGTAAGTCTTCACTTTGAGATGTCCCATCTTTCCAGACCAAATCAATGTATACCTTAATGTGTTGATGTTTGCCTGTAACTTCTGTCACCCTAGAATGTATAAAATCAAGCTATAACCCAACCACCTTGGTCACATGGTCTCAGGACCTCCTGAGGCTGTGTCATGGGTCATGGTCTTCACATGTGGCTCAGAATAAATCTCTTTAAATATTTTATAAGCCAGGCATGGTGGCTCATGCCTGTAATCCCAGCACTTTGGGAGGCTGAGGTGGAAGGATTGCTTGAGCCCAAGAGTTCAAGACTAGCCTGGACAACACAGTGAGACCTCATCTCTTTTTAAAAATAATAATAATTAAAAATAAAATACAAAAAATATATACATATATGTTACAGAGGTTGGCTTTTTCATAAACAAAAATATGGCATTTGCAACAATGTCAATAAATTGTACAATTAAGTATACACTTGGTGAAAATGATAACATGTTATTTAAAGACATTTAAAAAATCCAGGTGGGGCAGGATGGCTCACACCTGCAAGCTCAAAACTTTGGGAGGTTGAGATGTGAGGATCATTTGAGCCCAGGATTTTGAGACCAGCCTGGGCAACATAGTGAGACCTCATCTCTACAAAAAAATTAAAAAAAATTAGGCAGGCATGGTGACACACACCTATAGTCCCAGCAACTCAGGAGGCTGAGGTGGGAGGATTGCTTGACCCTGGGAGGTGGAGGTTGCAGTGAGCCAAGATTGCACTACTGCATTCCAGCCTGGGCAACAGAGCAAGACTCTGTCTCAAAAAGAAAAAAAGCAAATTGATACCTTCTTAATTTTCAATCCTTAAAAGAGTGCAAAAACAAGCCACAAACTAGATGACATTTGCAACATATATAAGGACAAGAGCAAAAATCTTGACCAGAAACTTCACAGAAAGAGAAACTTATGGCCAATAAACATATGAAAAAGTGCTTGGCCGGGCACAGTGGCTCACGCCTGTAATCCCAGCACTTTGGGAGGCCAAGGAGGGCGGATCATGAGGTCAGGAGGTTGAGACCGTGCTGGCTAAGACGGTGAAACCCCGTCTATACTTAAAAAAAAAAAAAAAAGAAAAAGAAAAGAAAAGATGCTCAGAATCATCAGTAATCCTGGAAATACAAATTTTAAAAATCAGTTAACATTTCATACTGGGCACCAAAAAAACTTAGCCCAACAAAAAATAAGGATGTGGAATAAATGGAACATGCAAAGCTGTTATGAGTACAAATTAGTACAATAACCTTGAAAAACAAGGTGGCATTTTCTAGTAAAAATGAAAGTGAGTACTCTACACACCAGCAATTCCACTCATAGGTGCAAACCTCCAGCAACTCTGGTACGTATCCTAGGAGATATCTACAGGAATGGTCACAGAAGCACTGTTTGTAATGGGGAAAATAGAAATAATCCAAAATGATAATTAGCAATAGTCAGGATAAATAATGTTATAGTCATATGATGAACTCTTACATAGCAGTGAAAACTAGCAAACTAGAGCAACTTGGATAAATCTCAAACATAACGTTGAGTGAAAAACAGCCAGTAACAGAAGAATGCACATGGCATTATTCCATTTACATAAAACTCACAATAATGTAAACCCATATATCATTTAGAGATGAAAATACATGTAGTAAAAATTATTAAGAAAGGAAATGACAAATAGTATTACCAGACAGCGGTCCCACTGAGAGGGAAGAAAATGGGATGGGGAAGACAAGTTAGGGAATTAGAAGGTGATGGTAATGTTCACTTGTTATACTGGGTGGATTTTGTGTCATTGTTCTTATATCTTAGATTTAGTCTATAAACAGTTTTATGTATTCCCAATATCTAATTAAAACATTTAAGAGAAAAAGATAAGGAAGAAATGGTCAAAGAATGTCATGAGACAGGCACTAATGAGCTGGCCTGGAATCAGGAGAACTCAGCTCTGCTCGCAGCTCCCTCTTAACTTACAGTCTGACCTGGGTAGAGGCAATGGCTTCCCTGTAGCTCCCTCTTGTCACTTGTCCAGTGGGGTTAATCATATATACTACACAGGCTGAGCACAGCGGCTCACATGGCTCACACCTTAATCCCAGCACTTTGGGAGGCCAAGTGGGGAGGATCACTTGAGGTCAGGAATTCAAGCCCAGCTTGAGCAAAACAGCAAGACCTCATCTCTACAAAAAATAAATTAGCCAGACATGTTGGTGTACACCTGTAGTCCTAGATACTCGGGAGGCTGAGGTGAGAGGATCACTTGAGCCCAGGAGTTGGAGGCTGCAGTGAGCTATGATAGTGTCACTGCACTCTATCCTGGGCAACAGAGAGAGACAGTCTCTAAAAAATTAAAATAAAATAATACATACTACACACAAATCTTCTAAGATGACAAGAGGCAATGGCTATGATAGGTGCCTCACAAAAATGAAGCTGCTATAAAAATGTGGTCCTATACAAAGGTGGTGGCATTATTCTTGACAATTTCCTTTTTGCTTGGCAAAAAACAGAGAGCTACTTCCTGTGACTCAGTCCTAAACCCCCTAACTGGGGCCTGCCCCAGTTTACAGAGATGGTCTGTGGTGCTGCTGTTGCAGCTTCACCAATGTTAGGGTGATTAGATTGTAGGATTAATGTCAGTAATGGGAGGACCTCAACTGAAGGAAGTGGAGAGACTAGAGCCACTCCCACTGCTCAACCTTCAGAGAAGCAAAGTGACCTCTCATGAAGCCCTCAGCTCACATCCTAACTTTTCCCCATCCTGTAAGCCCACACCATACTCAACAGTGAGCTGAAAGGATTCAATTCCAACTTTAAATTGGTCGGAGCAATAAAACGTCCAGTCTATGCACCTCTCCACACCCAATTCCACCATTTGACTGCTGCACCTACCATATTCCATTGTAAATGCTGCTTCCCTCCCCTATCCTGCGAGAAAAAAAAAAAAAACCTAAAAAATTATACCCCTAAAGATTTGCTGTTTGTTTTGTTTTTTGTTTTATTCTTGAAATTCATGTTCCCTTTCCCCTCCACCACTGTGGAGAAGCAGAAACGAAAGGACACGCCTGTTTACTGAGCAGATGGACTGTGCACCTGTGTTGATTCTCCTGCACCGGTGGCCTGCCCACCCACCAGAGCTCCCCAGGAACGCCCGGCAGACGGCCTTGCCTGAGCATCCCCTCCCCGCAGCAGCGGGCTTCCTGTCACTGAAACTCCTCTTCCCTCTCCTCAGGGAGCATTGATTTGTACGAAGGTCTTCTAGCCCTGCAGGTTGGGGAGGGGAGGCGCAGGGTTCCGATTCCATTTGTCTTTACAAAGGGACCGCCTTTCCCTCATGGACTTGCTTATTGTAGGTGTGTCAATTGTGAAGCTGAGTTGCTTAATTCTAGGGCTGATTGCCGGGAGCTAAAGGATCCCCCTACCCTGACATTCCCGGGGCGCCCTATTCTGTCTTCCTCTTCCTAAGGACTCCCCTGACTGCCAGGCCACAGCCCCACGGCGGGCCCCTGCCAGAGGCTCAAGAAAACCAACCCGACTGTCCCCGCAGCGCCCTGCTCTCTGTCCACAGGAGGGCGCTCGCTCCGAACCCCAAGTTGTCAGCCACTGGAAGGCAGGCGGAGAGGGACTGGAAGAAAGGGGGAGGAAAGGGGTGTAGGGCGGGAACCTAGAGGGGCGCGGGAGGGGTTAGGGAGCGCGTACTTTTCCAGAGGGAGCTGAATAGAGCCAAGGCTTGGGCACGGCTGTGCAGAGAGGGAATTCGGCCCCCGGTCTCTTGCAACCAACAGCGCGACTTCTCCCTGCAGGGCAGGGGAGGCAATAGAGAAGGAGGGCCTCCAAGAAGGTGCATCTCCCAGCTGTTTACCAATCCCCACCCAGTGGGGACAGAAGACAACTTAATTCCACAAAGTTGGACCCCCAAGGGAAGTGGGGAGGTGAGAGGGAAAGAAGGATGTGGTCTCCATCTAAAGTCAAGATCTCTTCCCCAGAAGCTAGAGGTAAACTTGCCCAGCTCGGACTAGGCCTAGAGAGGCTGAATGATGTGGCATCACCCGGAAACAGCGTTTACCCTCCTTATCCTCTTCCCTTCTGCCTGAAAACACTAATCCAGATGATGGACAATGATTCAATTAGTCATCTTCTCTGATGGGGGCTGAGATCCAGGCTGGGATCCCGTGGAAGTGCCGGGTGAGTCATTACGCTGAGGCTGCAGGGATACCCCGCCCCATTACTGAACACCCCGTGGTTCACGTGTTGGTGCAGCTGCCAGCTCCTCAGACCACCGTTCCAACAAAAAGCCCTCACCCTGAATGCAGGGACACACTCCAAGAGTGTGCCTCCCCCACTCCACCTGGGACCTGGGCAGCCGCAGTAGACTCAGTCACACAGCGTCCTCACTGGTGTAGGAAACTCCCTGAGCCAAGCCTCAGGCATCTCAGATGTGCCCTATCTAACCCCTGCGCTGTGATGAGAAAGGGGACTTGCCCCACCCCAGGGCCCCTCTTGCCACACCCAGAGCAAAACACATCTGGGAGCCTCTGGGACTATCTCTGCCTCACTTCCAGGCCCCCAAACCCCATCACATCCCGGCCCAGGGACCATTTCCATCTCCAAGCTCATCCCAGGACTCTCTCTACTGGAAACCACTTGAGCCTTTCCTTAGGATGGCGTTGCCAAGAGGGGCATCTCTCCTCATTCACATAAAGGCACCTTATGTGCTAGAGGCAGCCTTGTCAGGGTGGGTCCTCTGGCCTGGCGAGTCAATGAGTCATTTTCAGAGGTTGACCGTGAGCAAATCTTCCAATGGCTGGTGTCCCACTAAGCCAAGGAGGAACAGAAATCATTCGGAAGCCAGGACGCAAGGGTAAATTTGACCAAAAAAAATTTATTGTACAATTACCCACCACTGGATTTGACTCAGAGAGGACCCCCAGAGGGTGTCTCCATCTTCCCTATTTATTTTCAGCCCTTGAGGGCTTCATTGTAGATCAAAGCCAAGGCCCCCAGGAAGGTGACATACTCCTGGAAGTTCACCTCCTGGTCCTTGTTCCGGTCCAAGTCTTCCATCAGCCTTGCAATTTCAGCATCCTGCAGCTTCTAATGTGTTAGAATGTGAAATCCATACTCAGTGGTGATGACAACCCTGGATTCTTCCCCTTCCCCCTCCCAGGCAATCCTCTCTGCAAGTGGCTCTGTGCTCCCTCATCACCAAGGACCCATGTCACTTTGGCATTGCTTCTCCTCAGCTACTTCTCAGTTACTGGTCCTCATTTGGAGAGATGGATATCCGGCTGGAAGCATCCCCTACCCGCTGGGAGAGTGGGTCTACAGCTCAGGGTCTACATGTGGACCAGGGCCTCAGAATGTGGGTAAATGTGAGTCAGATGCACCTGGCACCTCTCTCTCCCCTAATCCTGCTTCCAAAGGACAAGGGTGGGAAAAGGGGTCCTGGGGAGGAGGCCACTCACCGAGCCAATGGTGAGCTCCTTCTGGATCAGCTCCTTCAGCTCCTTCTTGCTCAGGGTGTGCTTGTCACCCTCCCTGCCGGAGTACTTGTGGAAGATGGCCACGAGGAGGCCAATGGCCTGATCCAGGGGGCATGCCATGGCTGAGGGCTGGGCTTGGAGCTGGCAGCAGAGGGCCTAGTCAGTGCCATGGGAGCAAGGACTTCTCACCCACACACCCCAATAATGCTGCCTGCACTAGCCCCGCCTCCTTTGGAACCACCCAGTCTCAGGCCACACACAATGGCATCAGGAGACAGCCCAGGGCTTGAAGGGGAAGGAGAGAGCACACTAGGGCCAAGGCAAGAGAGGTGGCTTAAGGATTCTAAGAAGCATATAGGAACAGTAGCTTTGGGCACAGCTGAGAACTGTCCTTCAGGGGATCCAGAAGTTGAGGAGTATGGCTGGGCAGGGGAGGGGAATGGAGGCTGCAAAGGCAGCTTAAACACAGCTTCACAGGGCCACACATGGTGGCAATGACACACCCAGGGCACTCCCTTCCGCACCCCAAAAGAGCACACCCCATTGCGATCCCTTAGCCCAAGGCCTGCCTGGCACAGCACTGCTGCTCCTGACTATCCCTCCAGCGGGGGAGCGCCACAGATGGCCCCAGTCTGGATCCAGCGGCTGAACTGGGCAGGGGATGGCTGGACCCCCAGCGTGAGGGCAGCTGGCCCTGGAAAGTACCCAGGGCTCCTGGAGAGAACTCACCGGTAGGGAGGCGGCCAAATGCGACGCGAGCGGTCGAGGGGATGGGCTGTGTCGCAGTCCGACTGGCCTTATAGCGGTCGGTGCCCCGGAGGCCAGCTCGGCCAAGCCCACCCCGCCCGCCCAAGTCCCGCCCGCGCCCCACCCTGCGCCGTGGCTTACACAACGCACATTCGCGGTTTACCCCCTCGACTTTCCACGCCTCCTGCCCGGGGCTGTTCCGGGTTAGGACGGGATGGGGGAGCCCAGCAGTGCCCACTGCACGCCTGGTGACGAGTCTCCCCTCATCTGCGCAGCTCAGTTTGCTCAGTTTGCTCTTCGTGACACGTGACTCGGCAAGGGGAGCAGGAGGAGGACTGCGGCGGTCACCCCTGCTTCCTCTGCCAGACCGTGAATGTGACCCTCGAGCCAGCGCAGCGTCAATGTGGGCAAGGAGGGCGCCTCACAGGATGCCGGTGTCCCACAGAGGATACTCAGGGTCACCCCAGAGGAGATAGGGGGAGTAGCCAGTGGTGTAAAGGATATCTACGGCGCCCATCCCCCACCAGCAACAAGTTCCTACCAACACCTCCACTCCTTCCCCTCAGTGCCCCAAATTCCATTCACTACAGCACCTTTGGTGTTAATGTGCATGCACGTGGGAGCCCAGCCCTGTAAGCACCATTCGTTATTTACGGGGGAGTGAAGGCCTTTTCAGACCCTCCCCTGAGAAAAGATTTTGATGGAGGAGGCAGGGAGAGAAGAAAGCACTGTCCCCCATAGATGATGAGAGTGGTGCTATTGAAGGGGAAATGGTGAAGAGGGAGGGGGCTGGTGTGGAGGCCAGACATGCCCTTCCTACAGGTGCTGCCAAGGTGGCCTCCGGTGAGCTGTGGACAAGTCAGGCCTGCCTGCCTATCACCGCCCTCAGGAGCCACTCCCAACCCCTCCCAGTGTCCTCCTCTCAAAGCAACTTTCCCTCTTAACTTCCTCTGCATCCTTGCAGAGTTCCCGCCTGGCCTAACTTCCCCATTTTCCAGGCAGGCAAAACTAAGCCATGACAAAACCAATGACGTCCACACCAAAGAAGGAGAGGAATGCAGTGGGAGCCCAGGACCCTAACCCCCAGAGGCAGAAGCTGTCTCAACCCACTCAAGGAGAGACCCTTCCTGTGCTCCCCTCTCCCCAGGCCAAGGTAGACAAGACAGCTTCAAAACCAGACTCCCAGCACCTGCGATGGAAACTTTATTTCCTCCCATGGAAGGGTCCATCTGGGAGGGAGAGGAGGGCAGGGGGCCAAAGAGGGTCTGTGAGAGGAGCAGCCGAGGTCAGCAGCAAAGGGTGGAGGGTGAGGGTGGAGGGCAGCCCTGGTCACTTGTTGTCCTCTAGAAAGAAGTCGTTGTAGGCCATGCACAGCATGGTCAGGAACACCGAGTACTCCTTGAAGTCGATCTCCTGGTCGCTGTTCTTGTCCAGGCTCTTCATCAAGTCATCGATGCTGCTCTCCTTCATCTTTTGTGGACCCAGGTGGAGAGACAGCTCAGACCCCGCTCCCAGCCCTGCCCTCGCACCACTGCATGGTGTCATCCCCACCCCGAAACTTCAGGGTGAGCCCCAGCTGAGTCAATGACACTGTCAGCATCTCGACCCCCAGAGTCTGCCCACTGCCCACACCTAGGGAAGGGCCTGGCATGAGGTAGGGGGTCAGGGACCTGACTCCTGAATGGAAATAAATGACAGCAGGAATGCTAGCCTAGCCTGCCTTCCCTGCAATACTGTCCCCCAGCCAAAGAAACAATCATCTAGGTTTTATACCAACACCTGATAAAAACAGCTTGCTGGGTCAGGTGTGGTGGCTCACACCTGTAATCCTAGCACTTTGGGAGGCCGAGGCGGGTGGATCACCTGACATCAGGAGTTCGAGACCAGCCTGACCAACATGGTGAAACCCTGTCTCTACTGAAAATACAAAATTAGCCAGGCATGGTGGTACATCCCTGTAATCCCAGCTATTTGGAAGGCTGAGGCAGGAGAATCGCTTGAACTTGAGAAGCGGAGGTTGCAGTAAGTAAGATCATGCCATTGCACTCCAGCCTGGGCAACAAGAATGAAACTCCTTCTCAAAAAAAAAAAAAGAACACCTTGCTGATTATGTGGCATTGAGCATTATCCAAGTCTCTGAGTGACTCTCTCCCCATTCTAAGGACTAGGTGAGAATAACCCCGGACAAAATGTCTCTCAATGAGAGCAGTGCACTGGGGCTGTGAAGCCACTGCATCCCTCCCCTGCTAGGAGAGCTGTGCAAGAGGCCTGCCTGGAGCCTGGTTGTGCACTGTTGTTCAGTCCCCTGATGTCCCAGCCTGGCTCCATTAGGACGATGGAGTCAGGGTCCTTTGGGTGGAACAGGAAGAAAATATAGACAAGCAGATCCTGATGTCTCCTCATCATTGCCGTCAGCTACAGGTTTTCACAGGAGACATTGGGACTTACAAAGGCGGAAACTGCTTGTCTGTCACGTGATCCTAGTCCCCAGCCTGGGCTCCTGTTATTGCCAGGCCCTCCTCTGGGCGTCTCTCCTTCTGTAATTAATCCCTGCTGGACCTGTGGCCCCTCCCTCTGCCCTCATTAACCTCCAGGATGCAGGCAGCCTGGCAGAAGGCCAGAGATCAGGCCTGGGGACGCCCATACCTGCTTCTGTCCCCTGCCCATGTGGCACACTGTGGACCTTCTTTCTGGGAGGGCCTACCAGGGCTCAAGGTGTGATAGATGGAGAGGCACCCAGGCTAAATTTTAAAGGAAACAGGGAGGATGATTCACAGGCCTGGCCCAGAACTCCAGCTCAGCCTCCCACTAGCGGATTGTCCTTAGGCAAGTTATTTGATGTATTTGAGCATTGATTTTTTTTAACTATAAAAATAATAAGACTAGGCACAGTGGCTCATGCCTGTAATTTCAGCACTTTGGGAGGCTGAGGCGATAGGATCATTTGAGGCCAGGAGTTCAAGAACAGCCTGGGTAAAATAGTGAGACCCCATCTCTACAAAAAATTTTAAAAATTATCTAAGCGTGGTGGTATTTGCTTGTAGTCCTAGCTTCTCAGGAGGCTGAGGTAAGAGGATCACTTGAGCCTGAAAGTTCAAGGCTACAGTGAGCCATGATCGCACCACTGCACTCTAACCTGGGTGACAGAGTGAGACTCTGTCTCAAAAATATTTATCCTTGGCCAGGCGCAGTGGCTCACGCCTGTAATCCCAACACTTTGGGAGTCCGAGGCAGATGGATCACGAGGTCAGGTGTTCGAGACCAGCCTGACCAACATGGTGAAACCCCCATCTCTACTAAAAATACAAAAATTAGCTGGGCGTGATGGTGCGTGCCTGTAATCCCAGCTACTGAAGAGGCTGAGGCAGGAGAATCGCTTGAACCTGAGAGGCGGAGGTTGCAGTGAGCCAAGATCATGTCACTGCATTCCAGCCTGGGTGACAGAGCGAGACTCTCTCAAAAAAAAAAAAAAAAAAAAAAAAAAATATATATATATATATATATATATATTTATTTATTTATTTATCCTCGGGGATATTGTATTATAATAACCTCATGGGCCTTCCCCTCTGTCAGTCACCTCCCTCCCACCACCTCCATCTGGTGAGAACCAGTTCTGTCTCCTCACTACCCTATGTTTACAAGTTAACCTTTCAGTTTGAGTGCCAGCACCATCAGAGAGCCCTGGCCATGCTGTGCACACAGAGAAGAATCAGGCAGAGTCCCTACACTTGAGTTGTACACAGCTGGACCTGGACACCCTGCATCCCTTCACCACCCATGACCCCTAGCACAGGTTCTGCCACTGCTGGGAGAGCCTGGCCCCACCATCGAAGGCTCCTCAATCTCCTTCTCTAAACCCTCCAGACTCAGCCCTTCCTCCTTCTCAGTGAGACCCTGACCCATTCTCCTTCACAGAGGGCTAGAGTTTTGCTGGCCCGAAATCCCCACCATCTTCCTTTGTCTCTGTCTGTAGCCCTTGGCCACCCTGCCCCTGGCTTAGGCTGGAGGATCCTGAGGGTAGGTATGTGTCCCCCAGAGGGAGTACTCAGACTTTGGGGTGGAGGATGAGGGAACAATCACCTACCTCCCCAAGACACAGCTCTTTCTTGATCAGCTCCTTGAGTTCCTTCCTACTCAGGGTCAGTTTGCTACCCTCTCTCCCCGAATATTTGTGAAACGTGGTCACCATAGTGGTCAGGGCCTTCTCCAGAGGAGTCTCCATCACAGTGTGCAGCTCTGTAGAGGGAGAGGGGAAGATCCCATTCCTCAGGAAGTCACCACCAGCAGCACTAGCCTACCTCTGAGGCCCCTCCCTCAAAGAACAAGAGACTGGAACCCAGGATGAGACTGAAATCCACTAACAAGAGCGCCCATCTATATCAGTACAGGTTACAATGAGACCCACAACAAACTCTGGAGCTGCTGGTACAAGGAGAACAGCAAGACCCCAAAGGAGACCACAGACTCTCCTGCTGGGGAGTTGTTGAAAAGTAGGCCTGAGGCAGAAAGATGAGAAGACGACCTCCTCAAAAGGCCCTGGTGGCAGATGGTGGAGCAGATCAAGGGTCACGATTTTCTCTCTGCTTCTTCCAGCTTAGGAACTGGTTTTCCACAGGCAGTTCACCAGCCTTTCCCCCAGTGCCTGAATCACCTGATATCGAGGAGTGTCCCATTATTAAAGTCGGGGACAGGGCAAAGAGAGAGTCCAGGGCTGAGAGGGGGCTGGGCTGGAACTGGGTGATGGGGTCTCAACAAGGAGCAGCAGGGAGGTGAGCTGAGCTGGCCCAGCTGGTCTCCAGACTCTGGCCCAGAGCAGTGCACACAGAGACGGGTCAGCGGGCAGGGAGGGCAGGGGGCCTCTTGAAATCTCCAGGATCATTCCAAAACCTGGATCCAGAGGCTACGCTTGAATAAGGGCCTGGATTCCAATAGCACAGCCACCCTCAGCCAAGGGAAGAGACAGATGGAGCTCAAGTGACTCAGACTCAAAAACCACTTCCCCCTCAGGGAGGAAGGAGGCAACACCCACGGAACTTGAAGGCTGCAGGTTAAATCTGTGGAGAGTCTTCACCTCCAGCCCAAAGCCCTCCCTGCCATTCTTGAACCAGACCCATCATTCCTCTCCCACCACAAAAACCTCAGCCTCTCCCACCTCAAGGAGACTCAGCTGGGACCACAGTTGAAGGCAAGGGACTCTGTGCACCTGCAGGAGCATCCTGGCTAGTCCAGACCCCCACCTCCACCCCAGAGCCATTTCTCAAGAAATTCCAAAGGCTCTGCCCTCTTCTCCCTGAGCGCATGCCCGCTTGTGGGGCCAGGCCTCCTTGGTGGAGGTCACCACCACTTGTCACCCTCATCATCCAGCGTGACCCACCAGATATCAGATGAACAGAGACATAGGAAGGAAGGACTTACCACTGTGGGAGTGAGCCCAGAGAATCCAAGCAGCAGGCATAGCCTCCCTCTCACTGCCTTCTGCCTTTATTTCCCTGATCTCTGTCCCTAGGAATCCAGGGGAGAGAAAGGGCCCATGAGAAGTTGTTGGGGACTTGAGGATGCCCACGTCAGAGCCTCCCGGGATGGAGCTGGGGAGAAACCCCTTCTGCCAATCTCACCTTCCTTGTTTACAAACAAGGGCTGGGGACACACTGAGTTCCCATAGCACACACGTCCCCAATCCCAGAAACTTTACTCTTCTGACCAAAAATCAGAACTCAAAATCTGAAATCTGATGGAACAATAAGCCGAAGAAGGGAAACCAGGCTGTCCTGGAAAGAAAACCTCAGAAGTGTGGGACAAACACAGGGCACCATCTCCCCGTGTCCTAGGAAGCTCTCCACATCGGGCCCCTCCCACCCATCCTGCCACCCACTCCAGGAGTAGAGAAGACAGCCCTTGAGATGGGGATCAGTGGAGGAAGATATTTTCTGCGAAGGATATGGTCAAGGTCATGAGCTAATATGGGCCCAGAGGTTTTTAAAGGGCTTTTAAATGAACGATTTCTTCTAGGCCTCACTGCTCTTCACAGGAAAGGCTCGTCGGAGACTCTTGGCATGGAGGACTGAGAATCAGGAATAGGGAAGGTGTCCAGCGAAGGGCTAAGGCCCAGCACTGGGGTAGAGGTTGTGGATTGGGGAGGGGGGTTCAGGTTCAGGCTGCAGTCAAGGAGGAAGTAGGGGCCAGGGAGAGTTTCCTGTATCCCAGGAGACACTCAGACATCGTTCTACCACAGTAGAACAACATACTTCTACCACCAGTCCAAGAACAGACCTGGGCTCAGGGTGTAGTACCTATCACTGCTGCAGTCCCACCCCAGCCTGGGGGGCCTCCCCACTGCTCCCCACTCCACCCCACCCCCAGCTGGCAAGATTGGAGAGGCAGCAGGGATTGGTTGCTATGCAGTAGGCATCTCTGAAGGAGAGCGTGACCTGGGTGGAGGCCCCAGGGAGGGCGCTCCCAGGGAGGGTGGATGGAGAGGGCAGCGGAAGGCAGCAGACTTTCTCCTGAACTGAAATTCCTCCCAAGTCTCTGTATTCAAACCCTGCGGGAACATCTGAGTCACCTGCCCCACTCCTCTGAAACCTGAGAGAAAAGCCCCATGTGATGAGAGGAAAGAGGACCCTCAAGAGGAGGTCAGTGGGACAAAGCCCTCCAGCCTCTGCACCTGACCTCCATGCACCTCTTCCTAAAAGATCCCTGAGTCACCCAGACATGGCCTTGAAGTCTAACCTCAACCCACCACTGCACCCTGGAGCCACTGGCCTTGAACCTACCTAAGGGGAAGCAATATCATGCCTTATATTTTCTGGGGGGAAAATAATCTCAATTTCATTTGTCAGATCATATATGTGGAATTTTGTCTCCAAAACTATGGTCACCTTCCCACCATTTGCCTCACTCCCACTCCAGCCACTGACCCCCACTCATCTCTTCTGAGGTCCCCTGTCCTTCTCTGAAGGAGCTTGATTCCTGACTGATAACAGATCTCATCCAGGGACCTTTATGGCAGAGACGGTGGATTCGAGAATGCCTATATTCTCATGCTGCTGCAAACAGCGGGTCTCCCTCCACATTGCCCTCCCTGATCCTACCACGCACAGGAAAGGATTAATCCATCCCTGTGGTTTGAAGCCAATGATCTGGAAGTGGGTGGCAGGACAGGGCCTGGACTGTCAACGTCAGCACTGAGTGCCAGCCCTCCTCCCCATCCCACTCTCGCCTAAATACTTCCTCCCTGCAACTCAGCCTTATTCTTTTCCCTCCGACTTACTCCCAGGACACCCAAACTCCATTCCAGACCCCAACCAGGAACAGATATGACCTTCAATTCCAGCCTCGGTTCAAGATCCTGCCAGAGGCAAGGTTGGAGAGAGGTGGGAGGGGTAAGTGGGCTGGCTGAGATCCCACAGCTGGGACCTTCCAAACCTTGGCAGGGGGGTGGTGAGGGGTCCCCTTCTCGGCTTTGACCACACCGAGTGAACTCTATTGCCTGTGCACACACACTGTTAGTCACCCTGCATCCCTCCCCTAACTTCACTGGTCTGCTGTCCATAAAACTTCAGCTCAACTCCCAGCTCTCCCCACCACCACCCCACAACATATCCCTCAGTCCCCAACCCACGCCCCCAGAGTCTCTCAAACCATCAGCCTCAAAACTTCCAAGAATCTTTATTGAACTTGCTCAGCATCAAGCACGTGTCTGAAGGAGCCAGGGTGGAAAAAAAAAAGTGCCCACTGGCGACAGGGAGGGCCCCAGCTGGCAGACCCCCCAACCACATCAGAGGAGTTTTCATTTCTTCCTGGGCTGCTTATCTGGGAAGCCTTCAAAGAATTCGTTACACATCATGGCGATGCAGGACAGGAAGACACAGTACTCTTGGAAGTCCACCTCGTTGTCCCTGTTGCTGTCCAAGTTGCTCATCAGCTTCTGGAAAGCAGCTTCATCTGTCCTTTTCTGGAGGGAGAAGAGGCTACAGATAGAAAACAGAAGCCCAGTGGGTGGAGCCAGGACCAGACCCAGTTTCTACTCCCAGACCAGAGTTCAGGGAGGCTCCTTTGGGAGGTCCAGTTTGGAACTCCAACCCTCAAGGCTAAGCTAGGGTGGAGAAGGTGCTCCTTGGATAAGGAAGTCTGAGTACCTGGTGCAATGGAAAAATGACGGGACCACTACATTTTCACCCAAGGTTGTTCTAATAATCCCATGAGGTAGTAATAGTCATGAAAACAATATATAAACTGTGTTATGTTTGATACAAATATACATTGTTATTGTTTGAAGGGAACGTCTGCAGGCCTGTGATCATCTCCACATCTGTGTCTTCACATCTACAAGCCAAATAGAAACTCAAACAGTGTCCACTGTTGGAGTGATGGCAAGAGTCAGACAGTCCCGGTCCGGATGGCAGTTGTGTACACTGACCACCTTGGGAAGTTACTTAGCACTCTGAGCTTAGTCTTCCCTTCAGTTAAGTTGTGCAAAGCACCTGGCAGTGTCTGACCCATTCATTCTCAGCCCTCTTTCAGCATGGGGCCAGGCAGTGAGTGGTGGTGTTCAATGTGTTTCCACCCCAGGCAGCCACCCCACTGATAGATGCCCTCTGTAGCTAATGCTCTAGAGCAAGACTGCTGCCCTCCTCTGTGGGAAATGCCCCACGTGGGGACTCACTCAGGCACTACCCACTCACCCCCAAGAAGCTGGGCAGCTCCCGGGTCAGCAGCTCCTTTAGTTCTGACTTGTTGAGCTTGAACTTGTCACCCTCTTTGCCCGAGTACTTGTGGAAGGTGGACACCATCACATCCAGGGCCTTCTCCAGAGGGCACGCCATGACAGCAGTCAGGATCTGGGAGCAGGAGGCACAGAGACCGTCTTATTAATCCCACCCCTCAGAGATGTGTTCAGAATGCCAGGCTCCACTCCCATCCCTCCAGGAGCACTTGGCGAGACTCTGCTCCCTCCCTGGGGGAGCCCAGAGCAGTGGGCCCCCGCACCTGGCTGGGAGGGTGTGCACAGTGGGGAACACATGCTCTGGGCAGTGAACATTTGCAAGATCCGCTGCGCAAGCTCTGGAGATTCGGGCAGCAAACTCCCAGGGCCTCCCAGGCCTTGCCTCAACAACAGCATTTTTTCCACCCCTCACTCAGTCTATCCACTCCCACAGCTCAGCCACAAAGGCCCCGCCCTTGCCATTCTTTTCCCTCCCAGAACTGGGTGTGGCTGCTGGAGGCCTGCCCAGGGGCCTGCAGTGGAAAAAACCAGCACAGCCGCTTAGCTCTCAGCATGGGGAGGGGCAAAGTGAGGTGGCAGAGGCAAGGGTTGGAAGAGAAGCTGCAGAGGCCATGCACCTTCTCGAGCTGGGCTGCTGCGTGCAGGGCAGAGGCTCATGGGGCACACCACCAGACAAAGGCCCACAGTTGCCTTCTGCCTTTCCTTTGCTTCCTGCTCCCGAGTGCGCAACCCAGCAAACATGAGCCAGTGCAGATACCCACAGGCACATACATACCAACACGTACTATAGCAACAGCGTGTGCAAGCCCACATCTCAGAAGCACCTGGAGAGCTCAAATTCAGTCACTTGCTCACTTTTCTGTTTGTTTTTTCCTCCGTCTTACGTGCATGTGTGTGTGTGCCATGCACACCCACGCACACAATCCACCCAGAGTTCCACATCAGAATCTCACATCTGGATCTCTTTAGCACATCTGGCCCCCACCAGCCTCCCCTTCTCCTTCCCCAGCCCTGGCCTCTGACACCCCTTGCATGCCAGTCAGGCCAACACAACTCACCAAACCAAGAAAGAAGAAGCGCTGAGGAGAGAGGGTTGTAGAGAGGGGAAGAATGGGGACGGCCCAGAGGTCTGACCTATTTATACCCCAGCCAGGCCCTGCCCATAGCAGGGGACAGGGGAGAGCGGATACTGCCTTCCTGCTGTGGGCTGATGCGGTAAGTGCCACAGCACCCTCCACCAGCCCAGCCGTGGAACCAAGCCTCCTGTTCCCAGGTGGGCACCCGTGGGTAACGGGTAAGCCCTAGCGGTTACTAGCAGGGGACTGGATGAGATGGGCACCACCCAGTGTACATAGCTCAGCCTGAGTTTTAGAGAGGTGGAGGAAGGGGCAGCCTGTGCCTGGAGCATGGGGGACAGGGAGTAGTCCCATGGGGACCTAGGAAAGGAGATGCAGGGGGTGGTGGGTGACAGGTGGGAGATTGCCCTGGAAATGTGGTGACACAAAAGCTAGGGGGGAGATGGGAGGATCGCCTGAGGCCAGGAGTTCAAGACCAGCCTAGGCAACATAGAGAGACTTCTGTCTCTATAAAAAGGAAAAACAATTTTTTTTTTTAATTAGCTGGGCAGCATGGCTGTAGCCTGTAGTCCCAGCTAGTCAGGAAGCTGAGACAGGAGGATCATTTGAGCCCAGGAGTTCGAGACTGCAGTTGGCTATGCTCAAGCCACTGCTCTCCAGCCTGAGCAACACAGAGGACCTTGTCTCTTAAAAAAATAAAGATTCAGAAACAAAAACTGGGGTGGGGATCCCCATGCCCGGTACTGTCTGCCATGCCAAGTAAGGCTCAGGGTCGGGGCGGGGGGATCTGGAGGGGAACAGGCTCACACCCAAAGGAGGCTCTGGGACCACCTCAGGAACGTCAGTGGGAAAGGTCCTGGGTGAGGTAGTGATGGAGTGGAGTGGCAGTGAGGCGTGGGGGCTCACGGATAGATCTCAGGTTCGGAGAGGGTATCAGGAGGGGCCATTTAAAGTTGGGATGAGTGTCAGGAATGAAGAATCCAGGTTGGGGTGGAGAGTTAGAGGTGAAATGGCATGAAATAGGGGAGTTATAATTCGGGTCAACCTCTCAGGGTGGGCTACAAACCCAGTGAGGGTTAGAAGTAGGGGGTTAAGGCCCTCAGGGGGCTGCGGCTTCAGGGATAGGGGCTAGCTCAAGTTATTCCCTTACCCCTCCATACAGAGCACCCCTTCCTGGCTGGGAGAAACACCTCAGACACCCTAATCCCATTAGTGCTGCTCTCTGGGCTCCCACAGCCCGAGGCAGGGAACAAACACCCCCACTGCACCCACGGCCCCACCCTCCTCCAACCATGAGCACTGAGTCCCAGGGGAAACTCAGGCAGTCCTCTCTCAAAGATCCCAAAGAAAGAGAGAGAGGAAGGGAGGACAGGGGTCCTTGTTTTGTCCCCACGCCCTCCTGCTGGACCCTGGAGGCCACTGCATTTCTGCAGGGTCTGCAACTTCCCTCAGGGAGCACCCTGCCCCTGCCCTCAGCTGCCTTCCCGCAGTGGAAAAGGCCAGAGAGGAGCAAAGAGCTCAGGAGACGCGTCCTCAGAGAAGAACCAAACAAAACCAAGCTGATGCCAGTTTTTTATTAGGAGTTAAATAGGCCCTTTCCCATCGTGGTCTCATTGGTGCACGCTCTGCTGAGCCTCGAGGGCCTCAGAGCAGATCCCGCCTCCTCCCATCCACAAGGGAGGCCACAGGGGTGCGGCAGGCAGGCTGGGCCCCAGAGTGGCTCTACCCCTCATTCGCTGGGCATCCTGAGGAAGGAGCCCTCACATCTCTGGGCCTCCTAGGTAAAATGGGTTAACTGATCGCAGAAGACCTGGGCAAGTCCAGATTGAAAGGGGTACAGGAGAGAGGGTAGGAGGGGGTGTGGGAGACATGCCCAGCCCCCGACAGCCAGCGCACCCCCTGGAGCAGAGGCTACTGGGAGCAGGGGGGCTCTGAGGGGCAGTCCTTGAAGTACTCGTGGCAGTAGAGACAGAGGCAGGCAAGTGAGCGCACATACTCCACAAAGTCCACCTCGCAGTCCTTGTTGGTGTCCAGAACACTCATGAATTTGTTGTAGTCACATTCCCGAAACTCAGTCTGTGCAAGGGAAGGGTTGGGAGAGGTAAGGGAGTAGGATGAGGAGGGCAGAACAGCCTCACACGCCACCTCCCTCCTTCCTCTCCCAAGTGGACCCACCCCACCCCAAACTACACCCTTCTGAGGGCCGACTTCAACCTCCCTGCTCTGATAATGCACTCGTTGCAATCCCCTCCCAAATCTGTCCTCTCAGATTATTAATCGAGCACCTACTATTTGCTACTGAGTGCCTACCAAGTGTTAGGCATTCTTCATGGTGCTCTCACTCAGTCCTCTCAACAGCTCTGCAAGGCAGCAGGGATGATTGTCATCCCATTTTACAGATGAGGAAGCTGAGGTTTCTGCTGTGTCAGTTCTCCCCCTCCCACTCCCTCCTCACAATCCAGCCCCCTCCCTTGCTGTCCTGTGCTCATGCTTGTTGTCCCCAGGTCTCTCTTTGCAGAGTCTAGGCAGTGCCTCCCCCCGGAGGAGGAGGGGACGGACACTCTGACTGCTCACCGGGGTCCAGGTGGCCAGCTCCTTCTGCAGCAGCTCCTTGAGCTCCGCCTGGCAGAGCTTGTATTTGTCCCCACAGCGCCCTGCGTATTCCTGGAAGGTGCACACGATGGCAGCTACCGCCTGCTCCAGAGGCCTGGCCATCCTCACTGTCACAGAACAAGGGTGTGGCTCACAGCAGAGTTCCAGGCCAGCCCCCCAGCTCACCTCTGCCCTCTGTGTTTCTCAGAGACTGTTCCCAGACCCATCTTAACCTCCATCAGGCTTCAGGCCCCGCAGTCTCCCCCTCCTCTGAGTAGCCCTCCCAGACCACACCAGCCCCTCCTAATTTATCCCCCTGCTGTCCTGTTGTTATTTCCCCATGTAGAGGTCTCATTGCCCCAACATCGCTGTAAACTCCTCAGAGAGACAGCATCCTACCCCACCACCCACACACCCCACCGTGGGGCTCCTTAAGCACTCTCAGATTATCTGCCACCTCTTCTTATCCCCAACACCCAGGGATGGCTCGGTCCCAGTCTGCCCCAGCCCATGAGATGCCCTAGAAGCCTCCCTCCCTGCAGGAACTTGCACAAGGAGAGCCTGGCCCTGTGCTTCTCTGCCCTCAGCCCTTGGAGAAGCTAGGCCTTAGCAGGGAGGGGCAGGTCTGAGAGGCGCCCCCACAGCCTCACCACCACTGCCCTCACCCTGCCTCCTGCCCTGAACTCGAGGAAGCTGCACCCAGAAGAAAAACTTGTGGGATCCTCTCTGCCTGTCGCCAGCTGTGCAACCTTGGTGAGCCATTTGTCTCTCTGGGTCTCAGGGGCGGGGCCTGATCTGTAAGTTGGGGTTCATCTCACCTCGCTGGCCCAGTCAGGAACCTGAACCAGATGGTCTCTTGAGAGTTGACCAGTTCGGGTGTTTACCAATCTGAGACTGGCCTCCCCTGAGGTTACCCTCCCGACCCCTGGGGGTTTTGAGCAGGGAGGTTCTGTATAGGGATACTCTGTTCTATTGGAGGGGAAGCCCTTCCTGGAATTGCTCACCTCCCCCCACTTCCACTGTCCCCTTCCACCGCCCTTCTGGGATGATGCCTCCAGCCTGGGAAAACCCGAAGGCAGCCAGGAAGGCAAGAGTTTTTTCCATGCTAGCCCAGTGACTCACTCCTGATTCCCCCACGGGACAAGAGTCCTGCAGCACAGGGCGGCCAGGGCCAAGACTCTCCCTGAAGATTTGCCCACTGCTGGGCCCCCTGCTGGGAGCAAATGGCTGGCATGGTTGTGGCTGGCAGGAAAGTAGGGGAAGGGGAGTGGGGAGTGCCAAGCACTGCCAGGATTTAATTCATTGTAAACACCCCAGGATTAGAGCAAGGTGTCCAGGTTCCCAGGAGAGGAAAGGGCCATGATCCTCAGAAATGAGGAGACTCAGAGGTGAAGCAAGGAGGCAAGGAGCAGGTGAGGGGCCTGATCAAGGGGAAGACCAGAGCCTTGAGCCCAGTGCTCCCACCCCAAGGCAGACCTTAGCTCTACACACCTCCCTGCCCAAACTTCCCCAACAGCCCCTCACTGTGTAAGGAAACCTCTGCGTCCACTATATCTGACTTCCCTCCCCGTGTCAGGCCCGCCTGTGGTCATCTCTCTGCTTCCAATGCCAGACCCTGGGTCAGGAGTCAGGCTGGCTACTGGGGGTCCCCAAACTGCCCTGACACTCAACCCAGGGCAGGACCCAAGCAGCTGGCACTCACCACTGGTGCTGGCGTTTCAGCTGTAGGAGCTTAGAGACAGGGCGTCACTATTTGTAGCCTCCCAAGAAAGGAAGGAAGCAATTATGGGGGACACAAGTAGGTCAACACTGAGGATGCCCTCAGGGATCCCTCAGCAGACCCATTACAGGCCCCACCTGCCCACCTATCCACGCACACATCAAAGGCCAGTCTGGGCTCAGACACCACTCCCCTTTCATTCCCCATCTGCCCTCCCCCAGAGTTGGGAACAGGGGACAGTCTCCTGCCAAGTCCTTCCAGCTCAGTTGGAGGAGACAGTCTGGCTTATCCATCACATCACAGCCCCATCTCTTCACTCTGCAGAGGCCCCCAGAATACCAAGTGGGGACACACTTCTGCCTCGCTCAGGTTGCACCCCTACAAATCTCTATTCCGGGTAGAACTTGGAGAGCACGTGGCTAAGCCTCCCCTTTACAGACGAGAAGTCTGAACTTGCCTGACCAGATCCCAGCTTTTGGCTGTGAACTGCTTGCTTCCCAGGGGGGAAATCATCAGGTGGGATGTCTTTGAGGCACAGGAAGGAGGTGTGTTCCTCCCAGGGGCACTTCCAGAGTCTAAGCTTGAGATTTCTGGCCCTTCCACCCCAGGTGATGGGAATGAATTTGGGCTAGAGTCACATGAAGGCTGGCCAGTGGCTGGAGCTCCTTAAGGGCTGTTTTCCTTCTTCCCCTGCTCTGCTCAGCACCAAAACAACTTTCCTTGAAGTCTTGTGGGTGGCAGGATGGGATTTCCTCTGGCTTTTAGCTTGAGTGTGTAGCCTTTTGGGGTCTCAGCATCATGGGAGGGTCATCCATTTGTGTCCCCTCTTGGGGTGAGAACTGGGCTTCCACTTCTGTCTTCCTCACTCCCCAAACCATCAGGATCAAAGCTCAGGTTCGGCTTGGCTTGGCCAATGACCTCAGGGCACGGGGGGCCCCAGTACAGATTCTGCTTTGACTTAGATTTTGGCCTACTCATTTCTTACTGCCTTGTGGTCTCTTCAATGCTTTGAAAAGATTTAATTCTATGCAGCATTTGTTGTTGTTTTTAAGCTGAAGTGGGCACAGACCACCATATTACCAGAAACAGACATACTTTCATGTAACTTCTCTATTCTCTCCCTCACACCAGAGCCTGAGAAACTCCTCCCTGTTTTATAGGAAGAGAACCCAAAACCTAGAAGAGCGTGAGAGGGAAAAGAGGAAGGAGATTGACTCCCAGGCCGGCAAAGAAGCCTTCCTGCCCGTGCAGGCAGCCAGAGCGCCAGTGACACCTTCGACCTCGCCCTCGGCCCCCAGCACCCAAGCCTTGCCTGTGCCGTCCTCTCCTTGGAGACTCAGCCCTGTTGAGGAGGGGAGTGAGCAATAGAGGAGGGAAGGAAAAGAGGAGCTGTGATTAGCCCTGTTTTATAATGGGCTACATAGCCCTGTTTTATATGGGCTTTTTAATGGAAGTATGGGGAGCAGGGGGCAGAGAACAAGAGACAGTCACGCAGCAGAAGGGGGGGCCAGAGTGCACCAGCAATTAATTCAGCTCTAGGTCGAGCTTAATTATTCCCACCTATGATATCCCAGCTCTGCCCCCAGCCACCTCCCTTAAGCAGCCTACCTCTGCTCTCGGGGCTTCATTTTACTCACCTGTCAGTGATGGAGGGTGATAATAGTAACTACCTCATAGGTTTGTGCGGGGTTTAAATAAGCTAATACATATAAAGTTCATAGAGTAAATAGTGCCCAGCACATGGCAAGGGCTTGATAAATGTTAATCAAGAGATGGGTGAGGCCGGGCGCAGTGGCTCACGCCTATAATACCAGCAATTTGGGAGGCCAAGGCGAGCAGATCACCTGAGGTCAGGAGTTCGAGACCAGCCTGGCAACATGGTGAAACCCCATCTCTACTAAAAATACAAAAATTAGCTGGGCATATTGGCACGTACCTGTAATCCCAGCTACTCGGGAGGCTGAGGCAGGAGAATCGCTTGAACCCAGGAGACGAAGGTTGCAGTGAGCTGAGATCGTGCCACTGCACTCCAGCCTGGGCAACAGAGCAAGACACTGTCTCAAAAAAAAAAAAAGAGAGAGAGAGATGGGTAACTTGCCCAGGGTCACGTAATAGTGAGTGGCAGGCCTAGCAGGCATTCATTTTTCGTATAAATATTTAGACGCATTGGGGGTATAGCCATAAACAAAACAAAAGTCCCTGCTCTGTGGAGATGACAGTCTCTTGGGGAAAACAGACAATAACAAAATAGGTGCTTAACAGATTGCTGATATAAATGCTATGAAGAAAAATAAAGCAGAGCTGGGAGAAAGAAGATGATCGTAGGGAGCGACGTACTTTATTAATATATGGGTGGTCAGGGAAGAGCCCAGCAGCCCGGCTCCTTGCCCTTGTCCTCATCCGCCAGCCCCTGGCGTTTCTCAGCTTGGCAGACCTCTCTGGGTTGCAGCACCTTGGTTTGTCCACTGGGAGAGGACTGGGAGAGACTCAGACTGAGACTGCGGGGAGGGCGGGAGCTCATTCTGGGAGGTGAGGCCTGAGGGGTGGGGTGGGGGGACAGAGTTGTCAAGGTACAGGACTTTGGGGTTGGCAGACTGTCATGGAAAGAACCTCTAGGCTCTACCTTCCTCTTGCCACCTGCCCTCAAGCATGTTACATTCTTTACCTTGTTAGAGCCTTAATTTCCTTACCTCCAAAATGGGTTTGGAAGATTCCTACTTTAAGAATCCGACATGAAAGCGCTTTCTATCACTCGCTGTCACTGTGGACAATGTCAGGGCAGAGGCCTCTGAGTCCAATTCAACAAACATGCACTGAGTCACCTCAGTGGGGCTTCAGGGAGGGCGGGAGGGGAGGGAAAGAACCAGCCTCTCCCCAACAGTTCACTTGGTCCTGCCTCCTCCATGCAGGTGGAGGGGAGAGCTGTAACTTCCCTTCCCTTGCTTTCACAAACTCTTCTTGGGATGATTGGACTCTCTGCCCTGCTGGAAGTTCTTCCCCAGCATCTCCCCTGAATCTCCCTTTCTGCAGTGGTTCCGAATGCATCCCACATGAACCGCCCCTCCAAGGCCTGGAGAGGGACCGTCCTCCTCCCACACCCCGTCCAGTGTCCACACACTCAATTGTTCATGCTCGGGCTGAGCCCAGGACCCTTGCTGCTCACCTTCCAGAGCCGCCTCCCCCGCCCCCACTGCAGATGTGGAGCTGACCACTGAGAAATGCACCATATTTGGAGGGCAAGGAGCTCTCTCCCCGTAGGGGCAACGCGTGTGGGTGCATGAAGGGTGAGAGCTGACACTATCTGATCTGGCAGGACTTATTATAGCACTGACTCTCTCTCCCCTGCACCCATTCTCCCTGGCTCTGTCGCCCCAATATCACCACTATCACCATACGCCCTTGGAAACTGCACCGCCTCCCTGAAGGTCAGTGTCTGGTTCTGAACCTCGGGGAAGAACAAGATAAATTGTCCTGAGCATCTGGATATCCCACATGCTTGTGCCAAAAGGGCCTGGGCCCCAGAGACAGGGTGAACCCACCCCAATCCCATAGCCCCATGGGACCAACGAACCTTGTCAAAATGATTAGCTTCCTTTCTCATCATCTGAGCCAAATATAGGGAAGGTGTAGGAAGGGGTATTTGATGACTGGGACTGGTGTAGAGCCAGGAAGGCCTTTGCTACAGAATTGGGGACTGGGCCTGGGGAGATGGGAAGAGGATCTGAACTGAGATCAAAGAGGCCTGTGGACCTATTACTTAGACCTACTACTTCTTTTGACTGCCAAGTCATTGACTGATTGTGACCAATTCATAGATGAGAGCAGTGAGTCAGTGGAGAGATCAAGTGACCTAAAGACAAGGGCATGGGGGCCCTATTTCAGCCAGTCCCTTGTCTCAGAGCCCAGCTTTGCCTTCATTCTGTCCTTTCCTGGAGGGTTAATAGGCTGCCAGGGATTAATGCGAAACAGCAAATGCCAAAGTGACAGTAGGGCAGGATGCAGGGTGAGGTATGTGTTCCTGAGGCTCTCCTCCAGCAGCAGCTCTAGGAGGAAGTGGGAGACAACTGGCCCAACAAACTTTTGAACAGAGCTATTTCTAGACTCTCCTCCTCTGTGCCTCTGCACAGAGATTTGGGGAGAGGAAAGGGGATAAGGGAAGATTGCCGGAACCATCTGGGAAAGTGGTGTTTGTTAGTTTGTCAAATGCCCAGAAGGAAAGGAAATCAGCCTCTTTCAGAACCTGCCCAGCTCCAAGGGCAGCCAGCTGAGGCTAGTCTCCACCAGCCAAAACAGCCCCAGAACCTGAGCCAAGAGAAGCCAGGAATTGTTGTGAGCCTAAGGCCCAAAAGAAACCAGACTGCACTAATCCACCAGGAGCAAGTGGGCCTGCTTCCCCCAGTGACTCAGGATAGGGACACTGAGAGTCTGGATGCTGCTCATCCAGGTCCCTTTCACCTTACACAAAGCCCCAGGCTTTGGAGATGGCTGTGGGAAGGGGAGGAAGGCCCGGACTGCCACCCTAGTGTCCACAGGGATGAGGACCTTTCTTAAGACATGGGTCAAGTCCTGACGCTACTCCTTATTTAACCTCTCCCAGCCTCTGTTTCCTTGTCTGTGACGTGCAGAAACTAATAGCATAGCTCTGCTCTCACCCAGTTGCCCCGAGGATTAAATGAGATGACACTTGAATAGACCAGCAGAGTGCCTAGCTGGAGGGAGTGCTCCACAAATGACAGATGCTGCTCCCTCTCAGTTTCCTCATCTGTAAAAACGGCCTAATGATAGCTCCTCTCGGGGTTACCATGAGGCTGAAATTACAGTGTGCATGAAAGGAACTCTGAGAACTGCTACAGAAATGTTAATTACCATCATCATGATTCCCTGACCTATAGTTACTGGCTCCCTTTCCTACAGGATATTAGGAAGGTGGGCTTCTCTCTTTTTATTGCTATGAAAAGAGACCATGTATCATTGAAGGCCTGCTCCGCCTTGCCTCGCCAGCCCCAGATGTGCAGTCAAGGCAGAATCATAAGTGAGAACAAGCAATTGTCCCAGCGCCTTCTCACTTGGCCTTTTCTGTCTCTGGGGACCCTATCTGAGCTACTCTGGAAGTGGTTCTCAAAGATCGATTTCCCAAGTAAGTAAAAAAACAGTTCAGGCCAGGCATGGGGGCTCACGCCTGTAATCCTAGCACTTTGGGAGGCCGAGGCGGGCGGATCACGAGGTCAGGAGATCGAGACCATCCTGGCTAACACGGTGAAGCCCCGTCTCTACTAAAAATACAAAAAAATTAGCCGGGCATGGTGGCGGGCGCCTGTAGTCCCAGCTACTCGGGAGGCTGAGGCAGGAGAATGGCGTGAACCCTGGAGGCAGAGCTTGCAGTGCGCCGAGATCGCACCACTGCACTCCAGCCTGGGCGACAGAATGAGACTCCATCTCAGAAAAAAAAAAAAAATTCAGGAAAACACTCTGCATTACTCTTCCACTATCCATCCCCTCTTTCTTCATTATTAAGACCCATTTTTTTTCTTCTAAGATGTCAATGTGGTCAGCTAAAAACCCTTGGTTACAGCTAAGACTAGCCAAATTACACAGTTAAGGCCAAAGATGTAAGTGGAAGTCTCTGGGGGAGGGCACTTCTATCATAATAAAAAGGCAAAGGCTCCTGTGGAAAAGGCATTTTGCACCTCATCCTTATTCTGTCTTCCAGCCTGGAACATGGACAGTGAGGCCTGGAGGTATAGCAGCCACAGTGTGATCACGAAACAACAAGCCATGAGGAAAACAGTAGATGTCCTATATATTAAAGGGCCAAAAAATGAAAAGACACTGGATCTCAGATGGCATCTCCGGAACCCTGAATCAAACCTGAACATCCTACTCCAGACTTCTTGTATAAGACAATTGAAGCCGCTAGCATTAGTCAGATTTTCTGTAACTTATAGTTGAAAAAAAAACCCTAACTAGTAGAGAATTTGATATCTTAAAGTGGAATCCTCAAGTAAAAGAATCTAAAATGTGGGGGCCAGGCGCGGTGGCTCATACCTGTCATCCCAGTACCTTGGGAGGCCGAGGTGGGTGGATCACAAGGTCAGGAGTTTGAGACCAGCCTGACCAACATGGTGAAACCCCATCTCTACTAAAAATACAAAAATTAGCCGGGCGTGGTGGCGGGTGCCTGTAATCCCAGCTACTCAGGAGGCTGAGGCACGAGAATCACTTGAACCCAGGAGGTGGAGGTTGCAGTGAGCCAAGATCGCGCCCCTGCACTCCAGCCTGGGCGACACAGTGAGACACTGTCTCAAAAAAAAAAAAAAAAGAATCTAAAATGTGAACTTGGCTAAGTAGAGGGAGGAAGGTAGTGAGATATGATGACCCAATATGTCAGGCTGGAAAGTCAGGACCTTTGTTGTGAAATGACAAAACATTTGGTCAGACCCTGGCATATCTGGGAACATGGACCAAAAAGAAACCTAGGTGTAGTAATAGAGGAAGTGGCAGAAAAAGTTTAGAAAGTTAGCATGAGCTTGTTCCTTGCATCTTTCATCAAAGACCTACAAGAGTAGGATGCTGCTATTACAAAAAAACTGAAACAGGTGTCATTGGCTTTGGGAGCAGGCAATGGGTGAAAGCTAGAAGGGTCTCTAGAAGATTATTAGTAATGATTTGAAGGACAGTGAGGAAATTGTTACTGGAGTCTAGAAAAGAGAGATCCTATTAGGTAATTCCAGGATGTCTGGCAACACTGTTGTCTGTAGTTACATGGAAAACAGAAAGGTACCTAATCAGTTTATGGATATGGGTAAGGAGATTTTTATGCAGAATACGAAAGTACCAATTGGCTTCTTCTGGCTGCCTATGATAAAATATGAGACTAGAAAGTTGAACTAGGCTGGGCGCGGTAGCTCATGTCTGTAATTCCAGCACTTTGGGAGGCCAAGGTGTGCAGACCACGAGGTCAGGAGATCGAGACCATCCTGGCCAACATGGTGAAACTCCGCCTCTACTGAAAATACAAAAAATTAGCTGAGCATTGTGGTGCATGCCTGTAGTCCTAGCTACTAGGAAGGCTGAGGCAGGAGAACCACTTGAACCCCAGAGGCAGCGGTTGCAGTGAGCCAAGATCGTGCCACTGCACTCCAGCCTGGCAACAGAGCGAGACTCCGTCTCAAAAAAAAAATGTTGAACTAAAGAAGGAACTACTCACCGGGGAGGCAGAGGTTGCAGTGGGCCAAGATCGTACCACTGCACAGCCTGGGCGACAGAGTGAGACTCCATTAAAAAAAAAAAAAAAAAAAAAAAACCAGAAGGAACGAACTATTCAGCTTCTTAAAGAATTATAGAGGGCCCAGCACAGTCTTTCCACCAGCAAATGACTCTCAAACTAATAAATGGCCGTGGGGCAAACACCAAATCCAGATCCCTAACAGTAAAAAGGAACTCAGGATAAAGATGAAGTAAGTCAAAGGTAAGACCTTGTAATGAGACCTCAAAAAGATTTAAGGGCAAGCTTCCTAGATCTTCTCAGATAAATAATACAACGTCTAATAATTCTAGAAGTGTACCTCTTAGGCTCTTTCAGACTAGAAGGCTTTTAGGAATCTCAAGGGCATTTACTCCCAGCACCCTGACTCTCAGTCCAAGCTGGAGAGAGACCAATCTTAAAAAGATTTGTAGGTATGGCTTTGTCTATTAAGTGAATTATAAATTGATGCACAGTGAGGCCACATTTTTACAGGAATTATATCATTTTGGACTAAAAGAGACCGAGATGGCTTAAAACCAAAAGAAGTTTTTGAGTCTTCAACTTCAAATGGGCAAGAACTAGGCTGAGAAAGCTACTTAGCTATCAACACAGTTACTTCTTTTGGAAAATAGAGAGTTAACTCAGAAAATGGAGTCAAGAACCTAGAGGCCAAGAGCCAAGAAGAACCACTTATAGAGAGCAGAACTGGGCCCTAGTCAAGAATCTGGTGACATATGTCTGACTCAATTTCGGAATTGCTATGGACCAATGCACCAATTTGTGCCTCCAGTACACCACCACACCCTTAAGAATAGGCGTGTTTGTGGCAGTTATCTTTTTAAAAAAAAAAAGAAAAAAAAAAAAAACAGAGTCTTACTCTGTCACCCAGGCTGGAGTGCAGTGGTATGATCTCAGCTCAGTGCAATCTCCACCTCCCAGGTTCAAGCGATGTTCCTGCCTCAGCCTCCCGAGTAGCTGGGATTACAGGCGCATGCCACCATACCAGGCTAATCTTTGTATTTTTAGCAGAGACGGGGTTTTGCCACTTTGGCCAGGCTGGTCTCAAATTCCTGAGCTCAAGTGATCTACCCACCTCAGCCTCCCAAAGTGCTGAGATTACAGGCGTGAGCCAACAAGCCTGGATGGCAGTTATGTATCTTTATCTCACCTGTGAACATCGACTATGTTCTTCACAGGACTTCAGGTCAAGAGGAACCACTTTTGAGGAGCCGTCCTGGAGGAACTGCACATGAGAAGCCTTGTTCATATCTCTGGGCCTGTCTCAGATAATAAGATCAGAGACATCAAATTGATGCCTTAAAGAGATGAGACTTTGTGGGTCTTGGGAAGGAGATTAATGTATTTTGCATATGGGAGGGATGTGAATTGCGGTTGCTAGAAGACAGACTATGGTATTTAGTCTCCAAAGATGGTCACTGTCAATTTTATGCACGCTGCTCTTTACATTAAAAGATGTCTAGCCAGGCGCGGTGGCTCACGCCTGTCATCCCAGCACTTTGGGAGGCCGAGGCAGGCAGATCACGAGGTCAGGGGTTGAAGACCAGCCTGACCAACATGGTGAAACCCTGTCTCTATTGAAAATACAAAAATTACCCGGGCGTGGTGGCGCATGCCTGTAATCCCAGCTACTCAGGCAAGAGAATCACTTGAACCCAGGAAGTGGAGGTTGCAGTAAGCCAAGATCACACCTCTGCACTCCAGCCTGGGCGACAGAGCAAGACTCCATCTCAAAAAAAAAAAAAGAGAGAGATGTCTAATTCTCCTCCTCCCCTTAATCTGAGCCAGACTTAATGATTTTTTTTTATCATTAGAATATAGCAGAAATGATGTCCTGGGATTTCTGAAATAAATCTTAAGAAATACCAGGCACAGTGTCTCATATCTGTATTCCCAGCACTTTGGGAGACCAAGGCAGGTGGGACCCTTGAGTCCAGGAATTTGAGACCAGCCTGGGCAACATGGTGAAACACTGTCTCTACAAAAAATGCAAAAATTAACCAGGTATGGTGGCGTGTACCTGTAGTCCCAGCCACTTGGGAGGCTGAGGCAGGAGAATTGCTTGACCCTGGGAGGTGGAGGCTGCAGTGAGCCATTATTGCACCACTGCACCCGGGCCTGGGTGACAGAATGAAACCCTGTCTCAAAAATAAATTAATTAATTTAATTAAAATTAAAATTAATAAATCTTAAGCCTACCAGCTTCCACGTAGGCCTCATGCAATGCTCACTTTGGGATTTGTCCTCTCAGGACCCTACTGCCATGCTCTAAGAAGCTCAAGCCACATCGAGAGGCCATGGTAAGCACTCCGGCTGGCAGTTCTAGCTGAGGTCCCAGCTCACATTCGATATCAGTTGCCACGCATGTTAAGCAAGCTACCGTAGAAGTTGAGTTTGTTCAAACATTCAGATTACTCTAGCTCCGATTTCCACCTACATGGAAGACCCCACGTGAGAACCATCAACTAAACCCAGTCTACCTGCAGAACCATAAGAGATAATAAATTTTTGCTCTCGGCCGGGCATGATGGCTCACATCTGTAATCCCAGCACTTTAGAACCCGAGGCGGGCAGATCACCTGAGGTTAGGAGTTCAAGACCAGCCTGACCAGCATGGAGAAACCCGTCTCTACTAAAAATACAAAATTAGCTGGGCGTAGTGGCACATGCCTGTAATCCCAGCTACTCAGGAGGCTGAGATAGGAGAATCACTTGAACCCGGGAGGCGGAAGTTGCAGTGAGCAGAGATTATGATGCCACTTCACTCCAGCCTGGGCAACAGAGCGAGACCCTGTCTCAAAAAAAAAAGAATGTACAATATAATATAGAATGTGTTGTATAGAATACAATACACTTGTTTTCTGAAAACAGGTGTACTGCCTGTCTTGGTCCATTTTGTATTGCTACAACAGAATACCACAGACTGGTATTCAAAACAAAACAGATATTTATTGGCTCACCATTCTGGAGGCCAGGAAGTCTAAGCTGGAGGGGGTAACACCTGGAGAAGGCCTTCTTGCTGCATCATCTCCTGGTGGAAGAGCAAAGAGAGGGAGAGAAATAAAAGGTGGGGGGACAAATTCATCCTTCTATAAGGAACCCGCTCCTGTGATAACAGCACGAATCCATTCATTACAGCAGAGCCCTCATGGCCTAATCACCTGTTAATTACTATTGCTTTGGAGATAAAGTTTCCAACACATGAACTTTGGGGAACACATTCAAACCACAGCACTGCCTATGGCCTGTATTCTTTTTTTTTTTTTTTTTTTTTTTTTTTTGAGACACAGTCTTGCTCTGTTGCCCAGGCTGGAGTCCAGTGGCCCAATCTCAGCTCACTATAACCTCCATCTCCCAGGTTCAAGCAATTCTCCAGCGTCAGCCTCCCGAGTAGCTGGGAATACAGGCATGTACCACCACACCCAGCTAAATTTTTTGTATTTTTTGGTAGAGACGGGGTTTCACCATGTTGACCAGGCTGGTCTCGAACTCCTGGCCTCAAGGGATCTGCCTGCCTTGGCCTCCCAACGTGCTGGAATTACAGGTGTGAGCCACCGTGCTCGGTCTAACAAGGAATCTTTTAAATAAAGCTTTGCGGGGTCGATTAGACTAATTCATATCTCTTGAGTAGATCCTGGTACAACTCATTACTTGCAGTATTGAATGTTAAGGTCTGTCCTTTATTCTGAAATTATACCTTTCCTCCTTTATTGGAATTGAAATTTTATCTTTTTATGAAATGATAGTGATGGTGGATGGTATTTGCCTTTTTTAATATCTTTATTTGACAAAATAAAAGTCAGCAACCTATCTCGATTTCCAATTTTTTGCTGGTGTTTGAAATTCCAAAATTGAGACCTAAAGCATAGCTCTGGCCTTGGAGAGATTTCCAGGAGAGTCAGAGCCCAGAAGGGAGCAGGATCCAGGAGGCCCTCATCTCCCAGCACTCCAGCTGAGCCAGCCGGGTTATGGAACATCACTGAGCAATTAAAATATTATCAACAGACAAAAAAAGTTTATTGAATACAAAACTCAAAGGCATCAACAGTCCTGGGCCCAAGAGATCCATGGCAGGAAGTCAAGAGTTCTGCTTCAGGGTCGGTCTGGGCAGCCCTGGAAGAAGTCATTGCACATGACAGTGATGAGTGCCAGGAAAACAGCATACTCCTGGAAGTCCACCTGCTGGTCACTGTTCTCATCCAGGCTGCCCATCAGCTTCTTCAGCCCCTCCTCATCCACTTTCTCCTGAAAGTGACAGGAAATACACTCATCACCAAGCCAGCCCCAACCCCAGCTCCACCAAACACCCAGACCCTCACACATTCAGGTTGGTTCCCAGCTCTCCCTCCCCACTGGGCAGCTGGGTATAAGGTGGGCAGGAGGCCCTGGGAGCTACCAAGAGGGCCCAGTGAGTAAGGAGAGAGACAGATACTCATTGGTGAGCATCTCCAGTGTGCCCTCCTCCTGGACACAGGGAGGACACTGGATGCTCCTCTGAGCATGCATCAGCTCGAATCCCACAGGAGCCCAGCGAGGTAGGTATCATCACCCCATTCTGCTGATGAGGAAACCGAAGGTTGCTGCTCCCCAACACCAGCCAGGTAGATTCAGAAAAGAACACTTTTTATTTTTTAAGACAAGGTCTTGCTCTGTTGCCCAGGCTGGAGTGCAGTGGCACAATCACAACTCACTGCAGCCTCAACCTCCTGGGCTCCAGCAATCCTCCCACCTCAGCCTCCCAAGTAGCTGGGACCACAGGCTCATGCCACCACACCCAGCTAATTGTTTATTTTTAGTAGAGACAAGGCCTCGCTATGTTGCCTAGGCTGGTCTTGGCAACCAGAGTGATCTCACTTTGTCACCCAGGCTGTATTATAGCTCACTGTAACCTTGAACTCCTGGGCTCAAGCAATCCACCCAAGTAGCTGGGACTACAAGCGTATGCCACCATGCCTGGCCAATTTTTATTTTTATTTTTGTAGAGATGGAGTCTTGCTATGTTGCCCAGGCTGGTCGAACTCCTGGGCTTAAGAGATCCTCCTGCCTTAGCCTCCCACACTGTGGGGATTACAGGCATAGGCCACTGCACCCAGCTGAAAAACACTTTTTTAATACTAGCCGAAATAATTAGAAAAATTTAACCAGCCACAAAAACAAAATTAAAAAAAGGAAAGAAGGACCTGCCTCATGTGTTCAAAGCCTGACACCTAACTTTGGGAATCACCAATGAGTCAGTATAGGGAGGGTGAGGGACAAATTGAAGGTCGATGCATTTCTCCACAAAATGTCCCAGACTATATATCTTAGCTGGGCTTTTCTATCCCTACATACTTTCTTAGTTTGGCATATAAAAATGGAAAGAGGTCAAGCACAGTGCCTCACATCTGTAATTCCAATACTTTGGGAGGCCGAGGTGGGAGGATTGCTTGAACCCAGGAGTTCAAGCCCAGCCTGGACAACATAGCAAGACTCCATCTCTACAAAAATAAAAATTGGCCAGGCATGGTGACAATACTCCTGTAGTTCCAACTACTTGGGAGGATTGCTTGAGCCCAGGAGTTCGAGATTACAGTGAGCTATGATCCAGCCTGGGTGACAGAGTGAGATCTTGTCCCCCCACCACAAAAAAAAAAAAAAAAAAAGGAGTCCGGGCACGGTGGCTCACGCCTGTAAGCCCAGCACTTTCAGAGGCCGAGGAGGGCAGATCACCTGAGGTCAGGAGTTCGAGACCAGCCTGACCAATATGATGAAACCCCGTCTCTACTAAAAATACAAAAATCACTTTGGGAAGCCGAGGCAGGTAGATCACGAGGTCAGGAGTTCGAGACCAGCCTGGCCAATATGGTGAAACCCTGTCTCTACTAAAAATACAAAAATTAGCTGGGCGTAGTGGGATGCGCCTGTAGTCCCAGCTACTCAGGAGGCTGAGACAGGAGAATTGCTTGACCCCTGGAGGCAGAGGTTGCAGTGAGCCGAGATCGTGCCATTGCACTCCAGCCTGGGCAACAAGAGGGAAACTCCATCTCAAAAAAAAAAAAAAGAAAAGAAAAGAGAGAGAGAGAACGTGCCAGTGCTGTGTGATCTTGGGACAATCACTTTTCCCTTCTGGGCTCTGGTTTCTCAAGTCTCCAATGACAGGATTAAACAGATGGACTCGGAAGGCCCTCACAGCACATGGTTCTCTGGAATGCTGCAGGAAACAGCCATTAATTAAGCACTCCCACTCGGGCCTCATTTCCACTCCAGTGGAGCCATGAAGCTAAAGTGGGGAGGGGGCTGGGCCCCACCCTGGCACCTGCATCGACAGGCACCCGGAACTGGGGGAGAGATTTAACCTGCACCCCCACACTCACACCAGGACCTCCCCCACAGGCCTGTGCCACTCACCCCCACAAAGCTGGGCAGCTCCTTGTGCAGAAGTTCCTTCATTTCCCCCTTACTCAGCTTGAACTTGTCGCCCTCTTGGCAGGAGTACTTGTGGAAGGTAGTGACCAGCACAGCCAGCGCCTGCTCCAGAGAACTGCACATCATGGATCTGTGGCTGCAGAGGTGCCAGGTGATGGGTACACTGCTGAGGCTCTTGGGGCCTTAGCTCAGCCTGTAGGATCCACTTCTGCCCTATGCCCCCAAGCCACCTCACAAAACCCCTCTCTGAATGGGAAGGCAGGGGCTGCATCTCCCCCTCAGACTGTGGTTCCCTGAGGCCGGAGGCGATACCTCCATCTCACCCTGAGGGCAGACGCTAAAGCTTCCCTTGTGTCTGGGAGTCACCAAGCCTCCTCTGATGGCACTTGGGACACCCCCCTGAGGGCAGGGCTCCCCATTTTAGTGTCTGCCAGAAGGGAAATGACAGGGTGACCAGAGTCCCATTTTGATGGCATCTGCGCAGGCTCTGGGGAGCAGGGCCACATGCACCGGCTGGCAGATGGGGGCTCCTGTGCAGTCTGGCAGGAGCCATGGCTACAGCCTAGGAGCAGGAAGCTCCCTGAAGGAGTCGTTTCCCTCCTTAGACTCGGGACTCCTGAAGCCAGAGGCATCTCTCTCTGCCATCTAACTGGAAGCTCCCTTGGGCAGGAGTGTTTCCTCTCTCAGACTAGGAGCTCCCAGAGGGTGGGGAATGTGTCTCCCCTCACCCTGAAGGCCCCTGAGCCTCTAGGCAGACAGGGGCATGGATAGGGTGGGGGCAACTTAACATTCTCTCCACCAGGAAGGATCCTGTTGGAATTAGAATTAAAGATATGAAATGTTCATTGCCTTGGGATCAGGATGGGACAGACCTCAGCGGCAAGGCCTCTGAGAATACTCAGACCAGCCTGGAAAGGTTAGGCAGGTTTCAGGGTGAGGCCAGAGGAGCTATGCCAGAGGCAGGGCATGCCCTGGGCCCATCATGCCAGCCCTGCCTTCACCGAGGCAGGGGGCAGAGCTTTGCTGCTTGGGGCCATGACCCAGGCAGAGTCTTGAGACCCCTGCCTCTTGCACCTTAGTCCTGCTAGAATCCAGGACTTTGCAAAAAAAAAAAAAAATCTCAGGATTCTTTTTGCAGCAACGCCCACATGCACACCTCCTGCTCCTAGGCCTAGACCCCCAAAGAAGGGCCCCTAGACTGAGATATCCAGGGGAGGGCCTCAGAGCAACCCCTGCACTGAGACCTCACAGAGGAACCTGGAGAAAAACCCTTCAGTCGGCCGGGCGCGGTGGCTTACTCCTGTAATCCCAGCACTTTGGGAGGCCGAGATGGGTGGATCACGAGATCAGGAGATCGAGACCATCCTGGCTAACATGGTGAAACCCCATCTCTACTAAAAATACAAAAAAATTAGCCGGGCATGGTGGTGGGCGCCTGCAGTCCCAGCTACTCGGGAGGCTGAGGCAGGAGAATGGCGTGAACCTGGGAGGGGGAGTTTGCAGTGAGCTGAGATCACACCACTGTACTCCAGCCTGGGCGACAGAGCGAGACTCCATCTCAAAAAAAAAAAAAAAAAAAAAAAACCCTTCAGTCAACACTTCAGCACTTCACAGAGAGTTCTTCCAAGGGGGAAGGCCCAGAGAGGCCCAGGTTGATCCCACCAGGGAAGCTGGAATGAGAGAACTGTGGAGACAAAGACAGAGACCCACGGGGATCCTCCCCACCCTGCCCTCAGCAGGACAGAGGTACTCACCAGACCAGGTGGCAGAGACAGACCCAGGAAGGAGAGCAAGGCAGCCAGGCTCCCAGGGTGAGGATTTATATGTGGGCCCCACTGGCCCCCAACTTGGCATTTTAAGGAAACCAAACCTGCCTCAACCTGATCCCACCAAACCCTGGCCTCTTGCCATTCCCACTCATTCCCTCCCAGCCCCCTCCCTCCCAGAGAGTGCCAGCTCCACCACCAGCTGGGGGAGGGCTCTAGGCCAGGTCAAGGGCAGCCCCTGAGCCCACCCAGGCCACAGTGGGAAGTGGGAGGTGTCGTGGGGACTGGGCATCCTGGACCGGGGTGAGGGGAGGCAACCCCTGCTCTGGGGCCTGGAGACTGGTGCCAGGCCTCATTCTCATGACATGCCTGTGAGTCACAGCCCACTCCTGTGTGAGAGGCTGTGAGCACACGCTGAGACTTCATGGTCCAGTGCTCGTGTACATACATGCGCCCGTGTGTGTGAGAGAGAAGCAACCTGGGGCCACCCTTAGGAAGCTGGGGGCCAGAGGAGGCAGCTGGGGGACATCAGGAGGAGAAGGACAGGACTGACTTCAGGGCATGGATGAAGTGGAGTGACTTTTAATGGCCAGCACCAGAATACCTCTTAATGAGGTAATGAGGTAACTAAGTGTGCTTAGAAATACCTGGGAAGGTCCCTCTGTGTAGGAAGGTGTCTGGAAGGATGGGGAAGCAGTGAGAAATGGGGTTGCTCTACACACAGCCGCAGTTGGGCTGGGCCACAGTCTGTGGGGAGCATAAGGAAGTCCCGAGTAGTTAAAGGCTGAACAGGAAAACTTTGGCCTCCTCTTCTCCAGCTTGAGGGCTGGGTGGGTGGGTAGGGGTACATCCCTACCCAAGGCTGAAAACACCAGCTGGACAGCTTCCCAAGCCAGAATCCAGGCCTGAAGCACAGCCCTCAGCCACAGCCCTCTCTCACTGCCCCCCACACACATGTCCTCCCCAGACCCGGAGAAAGGCAAACACTGTGGCCATTCAGAGCCCAGCCCAAGGGAGGGCTGCCCCCTCCCAGGGCCCCTTCCTCCTTGGCCCTTTGTCTATCCCGGCCCGTCTGGGCATCAGGGCACCGCCCTTCCTGTGGCCCCAGCTCCCCTCCCTGCTCCAGCTGTCGAGTAGCTTCTTCCCCTCCCCCAGCCCCTCTACCTCAGCCCTAAGTGACTCACCCGAGGTTCCAGGCCCAGATGCCCAGGCAGTGACTCAGCGGCACACCCTCCTCCCCCAGGGCCAGGGCAGCAGCAGTCCCAGAGCAGTAGGTGGAAGCCCCAGCCCAGCCTGGCAGGGAAAGCACTGGCACAGAGACCCCAAACAGGCCCTGCCAGGAGGAGCTTTGGATAATGACATGGCAGGAGGATCAGACTGAGAACAGGCTGGTCCCTTCCTAGCGGTCACCGTGTGACTTGGGGGCCAGCCTGAGCAGTGTACATGAAGTCAGGCCTTGGGGCCCCCAGTGTCCTCTTCTACACCTTGGCACAGCCACCGAGTGTCCCTTGCTCCCCTCAGTACTTGAACCCCTCATGCTACTTGTCTTCCCATCGAGGCCTACTTCAAGTAGAACTCGGAATAAAAACCCTTCACACTGAGGGTGAGGGACAAGGGAGCGCAATGCATCGATTTTCACAGCCATTCTTTCCTTTTAACTAAGGGCCTCCACAGGGCCTTCCCTGCTCAGAAACTGCAGTGCATCCCCATGGCTGTCCCTTAAAGCCAGGCGGTATGTTCTCACTCATAAGTGGGAGTTGAACAATGAGAACATATGGACACAGGGAAGGGAACACCACATACCAGGGCCTGTGGGCAGTTGCGGGGAGAAGGATGGGGGCAAGGGGAGGGAGAGCATTAGGACTAATACCTGATGCATGCGGGGCTTAAAACCTAGATGATGGGTTGATAGGTGCAGCAAACCACCATGGCACATGTATACCTATGTAACAAACCACATTCTGCACATGTATGCCAGAACTTAAAGTAAAAATAAAATAAAATTAAATTAAAATTAAAAATTTTTAAAAAGCCTGGCAGTGAGGCGCTCCAGACTCGGCCTGCTGCTGCGTGTCCCTTAAACACACCGGCACATGCAACTAGTGTGGCCAAGACCCTCGGCTTGCGCTGACCCCTCTGTTCAGAACGTGCCCACACATGCCCATGCCCTCTATCCTGCTGAAATCCAACCCCCCCTTCAAAGGCCACTGCAGGGAGCCTTCCCAGGGCCCAACCGGATTCAGTGTCTACCTGTTCTGTCCTGTACAAAGCGCCCCTTTTGCCCTTTTCGTGTGTACTTAGAGAATTCTGATTTTGACTGAATCACCTGTGTACTTGTTTTCTCTCAGCCTCACCCCCACATGGTGAGCTCACCGGTCTTACTCATTTCTGCATGAGGTAAGGGTCTCGCCCACACCAGGTGCCAACCAGTGCTTACGGCTACCACATGGCAACAGGGGTCACTGGAGGAGTGCTTAGGAGCAAGGGAGTCCTTCTCACCCCGTGAAATCACACCACTGACTATGCTACGAAATAATCACCTCTCCTCTGGATCCCAAGAGTGGAACCGAGACAACGGGTCGGAAAAGAGCTTCAGAGAGCTACAAATCCCTGAGGAGTGACAGCAGGAAACTGCGGCTCCCAGGACCCAGTGAGGGAGTTGAGCAAACCCCCCAGCGGGCAGAGACGGAGACAGGCAGGCAGACGAAGAAGACAAAGAGTCAGTCAGATGGAAAAGCCAGGGAGAAAAACAGAGACAGCAGCAGAGCCGCGGGTCACTAGGGTCAGCTCCTGAAGGCCTGTCCTTAATCAGGTGTCTCTGTCTCAGGAACTGAGGCTGCGACTGCGCCCATCAAATGGCCATATACCTGAGACTGGTGATAATCGTATTCATTTGCCACTAACTTGCTGCGTAACCTTGGGCAACTCCCTCCCCCACGGCAGGGCAGGAGAGTTGTACGGAATGGCCCCTAGAGTCCGATCCCAATCCCACTCTCACATTCTCCAGCTGTCTACAAAGGCAGAGTAGTCAAGACACAAGCAGGCCCTGCGGACATCCAAAGCAGTGACTCTGCCCCGGCCCAGCCTCAGGAAGCTGGGTCCTCACATTCCGTCCACCCCATCTCCGGGCTCCAGGTGCCAGAAATTTTCCACCAGCGGCCCCGCGGGATTTTGCCCAGCTGCTTCGTGCCCTCTGGTGGCTAAGGCGTGTCATTGCAGTGCCGGCCTCCTGTCATCCTCCCTTTCTTGTCCGCCAGACCCTCTGGCGCCCTGCTTACGACTCAAACAGGAGACAGTGCTGATTCATTTCCAAGCGGCCTTCCTACACCCACACCTGCTTCACATAGATGAGGTTTCCCGGACAGTCCCTGCCCAGAAGCCCAGGTGGATGTCTGAGACGGCAGCCAGATACCTGGAAGCCATTTTAAAAGCCTAGGGATATGGGTACTCGGGAGATAGGAGGCGGAAAGACCACTTGAGCCTAGGAGTTTGAGGCTGCAGTGAGCCATGATCGTGCCACTGCACTCCAGCCTGGACGACAGAGCAAGACCCTGTCTCAATCAATCAATCAATGCAAGCCTAGAGATAAGGGCAGGAGAAAACCAGGGGACAGAAGTGAGGGATTGGCCACTGCCAAGTTCTGCCCACCCACCCCCTTTCCCCAGGCCGTTCAGGGGAAAGAGAAATGGCCTCATTGTGGGGGCCACAGGTTTAGTTTAAGTCCTGACATTGCCTCTGGCTTACTGTGTGACTGTCGACCTTGGTTGAGTGGTGCCACGAACCTGAGCTTAAACGTTTTCAGCAGAAGGACCCCCTTTATTATGCCCCGCCCCACAAAATAAGTTCTGAGGTATTCTGTCTTAGCAAAATGCATTAAATAATTTATTTCCCCTGTTGTACTAATTGGATCCATAAGTGTCTCCCGGCAGCATGACCAGCATGCGAGGACCCACGTTATCACATTGGGTTCAGGTCATCCTGGATTTGTCACTCACAATGGGCGTGTGCATATCCTTTGCTGGGGGGTGCAGACTGAAATTTTGAAGCACTCGCTGTGCGTCAGGTGCTCTCCGTACATTACCCCATTTAATTCACACAACAATCCCAGGAGTTGGAATAAGATGACCCCACTTCACAGAGGAGAACACTGAGACTCAAAGTCTGCCAAATTCACACAATTAGTAAGGGGTGGGGAGGCATGACGAACACAGGTGGTCACAACGTTAAACCTTTCCTAGAAGCTCCAATTATTCCCCGATAACCCTGAGAGCCCTAACATTTCATTTCCATTCAGACCAGCCTCAGTCTCTCTGCCCATCCTCTCTCCACCCCACACTCAGCCTATCTGTCTCATTTCTCAACCTCAGCAGGCGCCAGAAGCCCATCTTCTCCCCATCTCTGATTCTGGCATCTTTTCCTCTTGCCTTCAAATGCCCTGTGGACTGGATTCTTTTTAATTTTTGTTTACTTACTTATTTGAGACATAGACTCACTGTCGCCAAGGCTGGAGTACAGTGGCACCATCACAGCTCACTGCAGCCTCATGTGATCCTCCCACATTAACCTCCTCAGTAACTGGGGCTATAGGTGTGCGCCACTGTGCGCATCTTTTTGCATCTTTTGTGGTGATGGAGTTTTGCCATCTTGCCCAGACGGGTCTTGAACTCTTGAGCTCAAGCAATCCTCCTGCCTCGGCCTCCCAAAGTGCTGGGATACCAACGTGAGCCACCATGCCCAGCCTAGCCCGGATTAAATATAAATATAAAAGAGACTGGGCATGGTGGCTCACACCTGTAATCCCAGCATTTTGGGAGGCTGAGGCAGGCAGATCACCTGAAGCCAAGAGTTCAAGACCAGCCTGCCTAACATGGCAAAACCCCATCTCTACTAAAAATACAAAAATTAGTTGCGTGTGGTGGCGTGCACCTGTAATCCCACCTACTCAGGAGGCTGAAGCACGAGAATCGCTTGAACCCGGGAGGTGGAGGTTGCAGTGAGCTGAGTGACAGAGTGAGACCCTGTCTCAAAAAAATAATAATACAATCAAATAAGCTTAAAAGAACCATTTCTCATTGTCCCACCTCCTCTTGGCTTCCCCTTTGCCACACATAACAACACCATCCACCCAATCACCCAAACCAGAAATGTGGCTGTCCTCCTGTCCTCTAGCCTCCTGCTTCCCCCGCTCTGCCCTCCAGATGTTGGCCAGTCAACCTATTGTTTCCACCTTCTAAATACCACCCAGCTTTGTCCACACTGCCTTAGGTCCCTCAGCATCATCTTGCTCCTGGACTACTGCAAACACATCCCAACTCCCCTCCCACCTCCATCCTCGCCCCCCAACTCTAACCCCTTCTCAGCTCTCCCACCAGAATAACCTTTCTAAAATTCAAATCTGAGCATGTCAGCCCAGATTCAAATGCTTAGTGAACCCCCATAACTTTCAGAAGAGATGGCATGCCTTTGCTGGCACAGCAACTACACTGATGTGCATGCCGCGCCCTTCTGTGCTTCCAAGCACCTGCCTATGCCTCACATTCTCTTGAAAAGCCTTTCCTCAGGAGGTCCACCTGTCAATCCTAATCACCCTTTAAACTCAGCTCAAAGGTCATTGCCTCCATGCAGCATCCCGGTATCTACTTCCCAGCCTCGCACCTGCTAGAGCAGAAGAATATGCACACACACATGCACACACACAGCTAGTGTTCCTCCTGCAGCCCCTTGCCCATCGCTCTATCCCTTTTTTTCTTTTTTCTTTTTTTTTTTTTTTTTTTTTTTTTTTGAGACAGAGTCTTGCTCTGTCACCCAGGCTGGAGTGCAGTGTCGTGATCTCGGCTCACTGCAACCTCCGCCTCCCGGGTTCAAGTGATTCTCCTGCCTCAGCCTCCCGAGTAGCTAGGATTACAGGCAGGCACCACCACGCCCAGCTAATTTTGTATTTTTAGTAGAGGTGGGGTTTCTCCATGTTGGTCAGGCTGGTCTCGAACTCCCGAACCTCAGGTGATCCGCCCACCTCGGCCTCCCAAAGTCCTGGGATTACAGGCGTGAGCCACCACACCCAGCCCCCATTATTTCTTATGTTTAATTGTGACTATATATGTGTCCCTCCCACTAGACTGGGCTCCTAAGAAACAGGCACTGAGTATTGTCAATGCTCCATATCCCCAGTGCCTGACACAGAGGCACAAGTGCTGTCCGTCGTAACCACCATCCTCTCTCCTCCCTTCAACACCACTTTTCCAGATATGCTCTAAATCCTCCACCTCCACCCCCAGAACCTCCTGAAAACTGACTTGCTACCATTCTACGGAACCAGCTTTCTCCTACGTCACCAGAAACTCTTCTTGCCAATGCCAGTGTTTTGGGGAGGAAGCAATCTAACACCCTACTCTCAAAAGAGTTCTTCAGCAGGGAGGAGCCACCCACTTCTCTCTCCACCACTCTCTCCTTCTCCCAAAGGAAGAGGTGCGACTGAGGGATAGGCTCTGAGCAGGCTCAGCTCTGCCCCTTCTCACTGCAGCTTCCTCTTCCCAGTCAGTCTGCCCCCCGGAAAGACGTGCCCTGCATCCTGTGCTCCCCACCTGCACTGATGACCCCACCGCCGCAAGGGTCGGCAGCTGGGCAGTTGCTATCTAGAATGAGCTACAAGGAAGGTCCGTTCAAGAAGCAGCAGGAGAGGAATAGAAAGATCTTTCTGGCCTCAGCTCCAAATTACATTCGCTGGTCCACAGCTAAGACTTGGAGCCCTGCTTGAGTACTTTTTCCCAGAACTCAAAAGAAAGAAGGATGTGGCCGGGCATTGTGGCTCACACCTGTAATCCCAGCATTTTGGGAGGCCAAGGTAGGTGGATCACCTGAGGTTGGGAGTTCGAGACCAGCCTGACCAATATGGAGAAACCCCATCTCTATTAAAAATACAAAATTAGCCAGGTGTGGTGGCGCATGCCTGTAATCCCAGCACTAGAAAGCTGAAGCAGGAGAATTGCTTGAGGCCAAGTGTGAGACCAGCCTGGTCAACAGAGTGAGCTAAACAAAATAATAATGATAATAATGTCAGTGTATCATAGTTCCTGAGTTCTCACGCCTGACACCTGGCTCGAGAACACAGGATATTTCCACCCTGGCCTGCCAGCTCCTCATGGTTTCCCACAGCTAGAGGCCGCTGCTGTCCTGGCAAGGGCATAGGCCTGGGTATAAGGCAGGCTTGAGTCTGAAGCCAGGCTCCACTATTTGCCAGCATAGAGGACCAAGAAGGAACAATGTCACTTGGTAAAACTGAAACTGGTGCTAACAGGGATCAACATAAATCAGGGTGATTCACAGTCTTCCCAGAAACACCCAACTTGAGAGATGCATTCTGTGTTCTGATAAATCCAAGTTACTTTCTAAATCTTAGAAAGGGACTAAGGGCAGCTTCAGAAAAAGAAAAGTGACTCAGGAGAGTGGGTGGTGATTTGTAATATTATAGTGTGTTGCTCATGAGGAAGTGGTTTAAAGAAAGACATTTTTGGAGATCAATATGTAATACTAGGAAATGGTTATTGCAAAGGAATTAAGACTTTGGATTCTGGATTTGAATCTTGACTCCACCATATTCTAATTCTGTCAATCAAGATCTTTCAGCTAAAAGAGACAGAAGTTTAATTCAAGCTCACCAAAGTAAAAATGTGGTGTATTGTGTTACATCGCATTAAGGTCACTGTGATAATTCACAGGATCAATAAACCACAGCCATGGGGACCAGAATGAGGAACTCAACACCATCCATCCATCCATTCTTCTCTCATGCTGTTTGTGTCTTTTTGCATGTGGGCATCACCCTTAGTATAGCATAGCAGAGCCTCTCCAAATAATGAGGAATGTGGCCACAGACTGCTCCAGCTTTGTAAACCCATTATCTATATATTAATCCAGAGAAGAGCGCTGATTGGCCCTGCTTGTCTCATATACTTAGCCATGGGCCAATTTCTGTTGCCAGGGAGACGGAGTGCTATGATTTGCCAGTGTGGTCAAGGGTCTCTTACTAAAAATAGGAAGCAAGTTACCACAGTTACTACACTCACCATGTAACCTTACAAACGTTACTTAACCTTTTCCTGAGCATCAGTTTCCTCTTCTGTAACATGGGAATACTATTGCCCACTTCACCTATCAAATGAGATAACACATTTGTATGTATGTAAAGTATAGGGAGGACTCAGTGAGTGTTATTACATGTATCAATAGAAGAAGAAACTGTGGGCCGGGCGTGGTGGCTCACGCCTGTAATCCCAGCACTTTGGGAGGCCGAGGCGGGTGGATCACAAGGTCAGGAGTTTGAGACTAGTCTGGCCAACATGGTGAAACCCCAACTCTACTAAAAATACAAAAATTAGCCGGCATGGTAGCACACGCCTGTAATCCCAGCTACTCAGGAGGCTGAGGCAGAAGAATCACTTGAACCCAGGAGACGGAGGTTGCAGTGAGCAGAGATCATGCCACTGCACTCCAGCCTGGATGACAGAGCAAGACTCTGTCTCGGAAAAAAAAAAAAAAGAAAAGAAAAGAAAAAGAAACTAACATATACTTAGAGCCAGTGTCATGGCCAAGATGGGGCCATCTGATGTATCAGCAACATAGAACCATGACCAAACCCCACATCCACTAAAATACAGGGATCATGATCTACTCCTGGTTTTCCTGTCAATATTTATTTATCCTTTGAGCCCACTTTTTGTCATCTGAAAGTATCAGGTGTTAGTTTAAGAAAAATAGTAAAGAAAACCTTAAAATTGAGAATAATCTGTTAATTTGCTACATTATTTCTCCTAGTTTGGAAATGCCCATATTTTTCTCATTATAATTGGTAAAACATCTAAGTCTAGCTTCAAAAGTAATGGACTTTGATGACAGCTTGCTTGATCCAGTTCAATGCTTCCCCCCATTTCAAAATAAGAAACTGGCTCTCCCCCTCCCCCTCCCCCTCCCTCTCCCTCTCCCCTTTCCACAGTCTCCCTCTGATGCCCAGCCGAAGCTGGACTGTACTGCCGCCATCTCTGCTCACTGCAACCTCCCTGCCTGATTCTCCTGCCTCAACCTGCCCAGTGCCTGCGATTGCAGGCGCGCGCCGCCACGCCTGACTGGTTTTCGTATTTTTTTGGTGGAGACGGGGTTTCGCTGTGTTGGCCGGGCTGGTCTCCAGCTCCTAACCAGAAGTGATCTGCCAGCCTCGGCCTCCCAAGGTGCTGGGATTGCAGATGGAGTCTCATTCACTCAGTGCTCAATGTTGCCCAGGCTGGAGTGCAGTGGCATGATCTCGGCTCGCTACAACCTCCACCTCCCAGCCGCCTGCCTTGGCCTCCCAAAGTGCCGAGATTGCAGCCTCTGCCCGGCCGCCACCCTGTCTGGGAAGTGAGGAGCGTCTCTGCCTGGCTGCTCATCATCTGGGACGTGAGGAGCCCCTCTGCCTGGCTGCCCAGTCTGGGAAGTGAGGAGCGCCTCTTCCCGGCCGCCATCCCGTCTAGGAAGTGAGGAGCGTCTCTGCCCGGCCGCCCATCATCTGAGATGTGGGGAGCGCCACTGCCCCACCGCCCCGTTTGGGATGTGAGGAGCACCTCTGCCCGGCCGCGACCCCGTCTGGGAGGTGAGGAGCGTCTCTGCCCGGCCACCCTATCTGAGAAGTGAGGAGCCCCTCCGCCCAGCAGCCGCCCCGTCTGAGAAGTGAGGAGCCCCTCCACCCGGCAGCCGCCCCGTCTGGGAAGTGAGGAGCGTCTCCGCCCGGCAGCCGTCCCGTCCAGGAGGTGAGGGGGCAGCCCCCGCCCGTCAAGCCGCCCCGTCTGGGAGGGAGGTGGGGGGTCAGCCCCCGGCCGGCCAGCCGTCCCGTCCGGGAGGTGGGGGGCGCCTCTGCCCGGCCGCCCCTTCTGGGAAGTGAGGAGTCCCTCTCCCCGGCCGCCACCCCGTCTGGGAGGTGTTCCCAACAGCTCATTGAGAACGGGCCATGATGACGATGACGGTTTTGTCGAATAGAAAAGGGGGAAATGTGGGGAAAAGATAGAGAAATCAGATTGTTGCTGTGTCTGTGTAGAAAGAAGTAGACATAGGAGACTCCATTTTGTTCTGTACTAAGAAAAATTCTTCTGCCTTGGGATGCTGTTGATCTATGACCTTACACCCCAACCCGGTGCTCTCTGAAACATGTGCTGTGTCAGCTCAGGATTAAATGGATTAAGGGCGGCGCAAGATGTGCTTTGTTAAACAGATGCTTGAAGGCAGCATGCTCGTTAAGAGTCATCACCACTCCCTAATCTCAAGTACCGAGGGACACAAACACTGCGGAAGGCCGCAGGGTCCTCTGCCTAGGAAAACCAGAGACCTTTGTTCACTTGTTTATCTGCTGACCTTCCCTCCACTATTGTCCTATGACCCTGCCAAATCCCCCTCTGCGAGAAACACCCAAGAATGATCAATAAAAAATAAAAAAATAAATAAAAATTAAAAAAAACGAAAAACAAAATAAGAAACTGGCTCCCTACAGGATGATAGACACACACATCATCAACCAGGCTTACTCAAGCAATCCTTTAAGCTCATCCACCTTCAGGCTCTCCATTCACCAACTAGCCTCTGGTTTGCATTTGGATTCTCAAAGGGACTTTACTTCTGGGAAGAAATTGAGCTAATTCCTGGAATGTTTGTGTTTATGTTGTGGTCATAAAGATGCACAATAATTAGTCTCTCAGAACAAAAGCATCCCTCAGTGAAGTGATAAAGAATGACCTTCTGAACCTGCCCAGCTTCTGGCTAGATAAACACCTGTTCCTAAGAACGAAAGAAGAGGCCAGGAGCAGAGGTGCACACCTGTAATCTTAGCACTTTGGGAGGTCGAAGCAGGAGGATTGCTTGAAGCTAGGAATTCCAGACCAGCCTGGACAACATAGCGAGAGCCCATCTCTATGTATAAAAATGAAAATTAAAATTTTGTAAACTATATCTATATATAAAAATTAGCTGGGCATGGTGGCTCATGTCCATAGTCCCAGCTACTCAGGAGGCTGCATCAGGAGGATCACTTGAGCCCAAGAAATCAAGGCTGCAGTGAGCCATAATTGCACCAACGCTCCCCAGCCTAGGCAACAGAAAAAGACCCTGTCAAAAAAAAAAAGAAAAGACAGGAAAGAGGGTGGGAGGGAAGGAGGGAGAAAGAGAGAGAAAGAAGGAAAGAAGGAAAGGAAGGGAGGAAGGAAGGAAGGAAGGAAGGAAAGAAAGAAAGAAAGAAAGAAAGAAAGAAAGAAAGAAAGAAAGAAAGAAAGAAAGAAAGAAAGAAAGGCAGGCGGGCAGGTGCGGTGGCTCATGCCTATAATCCAAACATTTTGGGAGGCTAATGCAGGCAGATTGCTTGAGCCCAGGAGTTCAATACCATCCTGGGCAACAAAGTGAAACCCTATCTCCATAAAAAACACCGTTTACCCAGGCATGGTAGTATGCACCTGTGGTTCCAGCTACTCAGGAGGCTGAGGTGGAGGATCGCTTGAGCCCAGGGAGCAGAGGTTGCAGTGAGCCAAGATCACACCACTGCACTCCAGCCTGGGTGACACAGGGAGACCCTATCTCAAAAAAAAAATAAAAAAGAAAAGAAGAAGGGAAAAAGAGAAGGCAAACAGGCAGGTAGGCAGGAAGAAACTAAAATTTGCTGAGTGCTTATACTGTGTAGGCATTACACTAAGTACTGTACATTTATTATCTAATTTACTCCTCTCAACCATTCTATAATGTGGGCAATGTCTGTGATTAATAGACCAGGAAACAGAAGCTCAGGGGATTAAGTGTAGAGCTGGGATTTGAACTCGGATTGGCATGACTGCAGAGTACCGCTCCGCAATCACCCTGGCTCTGCCACTCCTTCACCCAGAGTTTCTTCTCCAGCCCCTTCCCCAGGTCCTCTTCCTCTCTCTACCCCAGCTGGTGGAGCTAACGTTGGTCCTCTAAGCTTTTCTCTCTTGCTTGCTTCCCTCTGTCTCCTTTCTCTTTCTTCCTCTTTCTCACAGCATCACCACCCCTCAGTTTATTTATTTATTTTAATAGAGATGGTTCTTGCTATGTTGCGCAGGCTGGTCTTGAATTCCTGGGCTCAAGTGATCCTCCCACCCCAACTCCCCCCAGTCCTCCACCCACCCACAATAGCTAAGACTATAGGCACTCACCACCACGCCCGGCCACACCCCTCGGTTTACACAGCTCCTAAAAGGCGTTTGAATCTCCACTCCACCAGCTCCGCCCTTCCAACCCCAGGCTCTGCCTGTGAGCTCACTGCTCCCCCGTACCCCAGCTCCATCCCATCATCCAAGCCCCAACATGTATCATCTCTGTCTTGCTCTGTAGAAACCCAGATCCAGCCAAGCAGCCACTGAGCACACACCAAGTGCTGCTGGGTTTTCCTTGGAAGCTCGCCTGGCTGACCCGTTCTCTCTGTCCCCAGAGCTACTGCCTCACGCCAGCCAGCCTGTCCTGGGACAGCAACCTCCTGGCAACCTCCTGGCTAGCTTCTCCTTGGACTCCAGTCTCTCCCTTCTTCATCCATTGTGATTATAGCTCTTTGTTCTGTCACTCACTTGCTCAAAAACCTTTTGGGTCTCTCCACAGACCACCACATCGTTTAAACTCTTCAACACCGCTCTCAAGGATAAAACTCTGTAATTCATTCTCTATTAATGTACTTGACAAATGGTTATTAAGAGCTGACATTGGACTAGATAGAGCCTGCAGAGAGATTGGTGAATAAAACAGACATATTTCCTGCCCTGGCGGAGCATATAATCAACTGGGAGAAGAAAGGGGGAAAATATATAATTACAAGTAGTAGTAAGTGCTATTAATACAAATAGGTGTGATGATGGAGAACCATGGGGGGCCCCACACACCCACCTGGGTACAGTCAGGAAAGGGGCTTGCTAAGGAGGAGGGCTTTCATCTGAGACTGAAGGATGAGAGTTACTCACTCAGGGAGCAGAGCCCATGAGCATTCCAGGCAGTGGCCCTGGGATGGTAAAGAGTTTGGGACATAAAGAAAGTAAAAGAAGGCCAGTGTGGCTGGAGCATGGATGGAAAGAGATAGAGAATGGCACAGGGTGGAATTGGAGAGATGAGCAGGGGTCAAATCATGCAGAGCCTTGTAGGCTGATGTAAGGAATTTAGTTTTTTTCCTAACTCCAACAACAGGCCAGTGGAATGTCATTCCATTCAAATGATGGAATGACATTATCTGATTTAGGACTTAAAGATGACTCTAGGGAACTCCCAACAAAGGATGGAAGATTAGATTCTTTCTTCAACCTTGGGACATCACTAAGAATAATCAAACAAAACAAATAGAGAAAGGGTAAAAAGCCATGGTTAATGAAACTGATAAAACCCCAAGCTACAAATCACAAAAGGCATCTGCCGAATGTATCTCTGCAGGAAGCTAAGCAAGGACATTCAATGAGAGCAGAACATGCCACCCAAGCCCTTGGTGGAGCGCCCCGTAAAAGGAACCTACCTATTTGAGGTTGAGAAGAGGCTAAGGGAGAGGTCTCCCTGAGGAGACCGACTTTGACACCCCAAGACAGCAGGGAAGGGGGAGCTTAAGAAGAAACAATGCTGGCATGACATTCCTATTGCCTTGTCAGGGACACCACCAGAGATGAACTGGGATAAAGCAGGAGAGGAGACAGAGAGTGTCAGACCACATTCCACCAAGCATTGCTGTGATTCAACCTGGGGAAGCTGATTGGAAAAAAAAGAAAGAAAAGTTTTGCTGTGAAGCAACCCTGTCTGCCAAAAACTGAAAATGAAGAAAAGATGTATTCCCCACCCTCTACCGCCAAGTACCATGAAAGCCCACTACACTTCACTCCACTCTACCACAGCACCCTTCAGCAGATAACTAGCCCCACTCCAAGTAAATAATAATCAGAAAGGAATTAACTTGGGAACTTTGCTTTTAAATGCTCTTTTAAAAATGAGAGAAATGGGGCAGGTGCAGTGGCTCACGCCTGTAATCCCAGCACTTTGGGAGGCCAAGGCAGGAGGATGGCTGGAGCCCAAGAGGTCGAGGATGCAGGGAGCCATGACTGTACCACCGCATTCCAGCCTGGGCCACAGAGCAAGACCCTGTCTTAAAAAAAATAAGAGAGAGATAAATGGAGGAAAGAAACATAAGCAGCAAAAAATGAAGTATAATTATCAATATATCCAAATAAACTCAGGAAGAATTCTGACAAATACTTCTAAAGGAAAAAAAAACCTCATATAACATGACCTCTTCTTTAAAAAATAATTTTTAAAATAAACTCCTAGCCTTGAGCAATCCTCCCTTCTCGGCCACCAAAAGTACTGCGATTACAGGCATGAGCCACCGCACCCAGCCTTAAAAATAATTTTTAAAATGAGATACAAAGTTTCAGAGAAAAGATTATATAGCAAAAGAAGGTGAAGAAGAGAAAATTAGCAGATTTTAGAAAATAAATAAAAGGGAAAAAGTAAAACATTTCAAAGTTGAAGGCCATATTTTTTTTTTCTTTTTTCTATTTTCTGGCTTCTATAACTAAGAAGGTCACTTTTTTATTTTTTTGAGACAGAGTCTCGCTCTGTCACCCAGGCTGGAGTGCAGGGGCATGATCTCGGCTCAACGGCAACCTCCACCTGCCCAGTTCAAGCAATTCTCCTGCCTCAGCTTCCCGCGTAGCTGGGACTACAGGCATGCACCACCACACCCACCTAATTTTTGTATTTTTAGTAGAGTCGGGGTTTCACCATGTTGGCCAGGCTGGTCTCGAACTCCTGACATCAGGTGATCTACCGGCGTCAGCCTCCCAAAGTGCTAGGATTACAGGCGTGAGCCACCGTGCCTGTCCAAGAAGGCCATATTTTAAAATAGAATAAATGCAATGGAAAAAAAAAAGACTATAATGGATAAATTTCTGAAAATCATAAAAATGAAATGGAAGAACACAACAATGAAAATAGCATTATAGGAAGAATGAGAAATGTGGAAAACAGAAAAATCCAAATGATTTATAATTGATATTTTTGAAAAAGAGAACAAAGCATACGATAATGAATAAAATAATCTAAAATAAATACTTTCAAACATAAAATAAATAAAATAAAATAAATACTTGACTCCAGATCTAATGGACACACCCACCTTTTTTTTTTTTTTTTTTTTTTTTTTTTTTTTTTTTTTTTGAGATGGCCTCACTCTGTTGCGCAGGCTGGAGTGCAGTGGCACAATCATGGTTCACTGCAGCATTGACCTCCCTGGGCTCAGGTGATCCTCTCACCTCAGCCTCCAAGTAGCTGGGACTACAGGTGTGCACTACCATGCCTGGCTAATTTTTATTTTATTTATTTATTTTTTTTAAGACCGAGTCTCACTCTGTTGCCCTAATTGGAGTGCAGTGGCGCCATATCGGCTCACTGCAACCTCCGCCTGCTGGGTTCAAGCGATTCTCCTGCCTCAGCTTCCCAAGTAGCTGGGATTATAGGCACAAGCCACCACGTCCAGCTAATTTTTTATTTTTAGTAGAGATGGGGTTTCACCACGTTGGCCAGGCTGGTCTCAAACTCCTGACCTCAGGTAATCCGCCCGCCTCGGCCTCCCAAAGTGCTGGGATTACAGGATTAAGCCACCACGCCCAGCTAATATTTTTTTGTAGAGACAGGGTTTCCTCATGTTGCCCAGACTGGTCTCGAACTCCAGGCTCAAGTGCGCCACTGACCTTGGCCTCTCAAAGTGCTGGGATTACAGGTGTGAGCCACTGTTCCCAGCCAGGCACATCATGTTCTAAGAAAAGAAAATGATCCAGACTTATCAAAGCCAGGACATATTCTGATAAAGTTATTGCGTTAAGGAAAAATAGCTAGACTTCCATTTCTATCGATTATTTTTCTTTTCTTTCTTTTTTTCTTTTGTTTGTTTGGTTTTTTTTTTTATTTTCAACAGGGGCTTCTGCAATAGAATCTATCTGGTTAAAACATGACAGTGATACTTTTTTTATTTCACAGCTAAGTTCACATTAAAGTAAAGAAAACCCTTCTAGGCCCAAAGCGAAGGGGAAACTAAAAACCAATTAGGCGTGAGTTAATGCTACAGCTGTTCTTGGGAAGGGACGGTTTCTAATCTCAGAAAACAAGGGGCTTCAGTTTTCAAGGACCAATCGTGAAGAGATGGGTCCTTATAACTGCAAGTATCTGGGAATCCGAAAGCCACCTTACATGAAGCAAGGTGCCCCAAGTACCACTTTCTTGGTGAAAGAATGGGCTGAAAGAAAAAACCTCTCATGAGCAAAATGAGATTTCGAGGAAGCTTGTACGTCTTCGCCTGGGCTCTGGATGGAGAAAGTTTTCTTAGAGAAATTTTAACCTTGGGCCTGTCTTCATGCAGATTTGGGATTTTAGTTTACATGGCTGGAATGGTTCAGAAAACCCCAAAGCCAAGAAGTCAACATAAAAAGTAATACTAAACTGGTTTTGGCCTTGGGGCACTTGGGAAAAGCAAAACAAAATTACTTTGAAGACTTATACTCTTAAACCAGATTAACCAGGATTCCCCCAGCTAAAGCTGAGGTTGACATTTTTTAAATTAGATGAAATAGGCAGCTTTGCAGGAAAAAAAATTATATATATGTAAATTTTATATATATGTAAATTATTTATATGTAAAGCTGACCAACATTGACTAAGAAGGAGAAAATCTGAAGACCTATAATCATTAAAGAAATTGATTAGCAGTATAAATCTACCTAACAAAGATAAAATTGATGGTTTTCATAGACAAGTTTACCAAATAAGAAAAAAAATCCTTTTCCACGGTCTCCCTCTGATGCCAAGCCGAAGCTGGACTGTACTGCTGCCATCTCGGCTCACTGCAACCTCCCTGCCTGATTCTCCTGCCTCAGCCTGCCGAGTGCCTGCGATTGCAGGCGCGCGCCGCCACGCCTGACTGGTTTTTGTATTTTTTTGGTGGAGACGGGGTTTCGCTGTGTTGGCCGGGCTGGTCTCCAGCTCCTAACCGCGAGTGATCCGCCAGCCTCGGCCTCCCGAGGCGCCGGGATTGCAGACGGAGTCTCGTTCACTCAGTGCTCAATGGTGCCCAGGCTGGAATGCAGTGGCGTGATCTCGGCTCGCTACAACCACCTCCCAGCCGCCTGCCTTGGCCTCCCAAAGAGCCGAGATTGCAGCCTCTGCCCGGCCGCCACCCCGTCTGGGAAGTGAGGAGCGTCTCTGCCTGGCTGCCCATCGTCTGGGATGTGAGGAGCCCCTCTGCCTGGCTGCCCAGTCTGGAAAGTGAGGAGCGTCTCTGCCCGGCCGCCATCCCATCTAGGAAATGAGGAGCGTCTCTGCCCGGCCGCCCATCGTCTGAGATGTGGGAAGCGCCTCTGCCCCGCCGCCCCGTCTGGGATGTGATAAGCGCCTCTGCCCGGCCGCGACCCCGTCTGAGAAGTGAGGAGACCCTCTGCCTGGCAACCGCCCCGTCTGAGAAGTGAGGAGTCCCTCCGCCCGGCAGCCACCCCGTCTGAGAAGTGAGGAGCCCCTCCCTCCGTCAGCCACCCCGTCTGGGAAGTGAGGAGCGTCTCCACCCGGCAGCCACCCCCGTCCGGGAGGGAGGTGGGGGGGTCAGCCCTCCGCCCGGCCAGCCGCCCCGTCCGGGAGGTGCGGGGCGCCTCTGCCCAACCGCCCCTACTGGGAAGTGAGGAGCCCCTCTGCCCGGCCAGCTGCCCCGTCCGGGAGGGAGGTGGGGGGGGTCAGCCCCCCGCCCGGCCAGCCGCCCCGTCCGGGAGGTGAGGGGTGCCTCTGCCCGGCCGCCTCTACTGGGAAGTGAGGAGCCCCTCTGCCCGGCCACCACCCTGTCTGGGAGGTCTACCCAACAGCTCATTGAGAACCGGCCATGATGACAATGGCGGTTTTGTGGAATAGAAAGGGCGGAAAGGTGGGGAAAAGATTGAGAAATCGGATGGTTGCCGTGTCTGTGTAGAAAGTAGACATGGGAGACTTTTCATTTTGTTCTGTACTAAGAAAAATTCTTCTGCCTTGGGATCCTGTTGATCTGTGACCTTACCCCCAACCCTGTGCTCTCTGAAACATGTGCTGTGTCCACTCAGGGTTAAATGGATTAAGGGCGGTGCAAGATGTGCTTTGTTAAACAGATGCTTGAAGGCAGCATGCTCATTAAGAGTCAACACCACTCCCTAATCTTAAGTACCCAGGGACACAAACACTGCAGAAGGCCGCAGGGTCCTCTGCCTAGGAAAACCAGAGACCTTTGTTCACTTGTTTATCTGCTGACCTTACCTCCACTATTGTCCTATGGCCCTGCCAAATCCCCCTCTGCGAGAAACACCCAAGAATGATCAATTAAAAAATAAATAAATAAATAAATTTAAAAAAAAAAAAAACAAAAGTCAGCCAAAAAAAAAAAGAAAAAAAAATCATACAAACTTAAATTTCCAGAAAATAGAAAAAGGAAATACTGCCCATATGTGGCATATATAAAATAACCTTTATGGTAGAGACTGCTAATTGTCCTATTACCTATTCTCCCCTTGTCTTTCACAGCAAAAGAATCTTTGCTTTTAAGTTCAAATAAAGGCCACACTTCCCAGCCTTCCTTGCAGCTGAGTGTAGCCATATGACTAAGTTCTGGCCAAGAGAAGTAGAAATGGGGTATGCAAGTTTTGATTCATGCTCAAAAGTCAGAGACATGCCGTTTCTTCACCCTGCCACTTAGAAAGTACATGAGCTATTTGGACCATACGAACTAGGGGTGGTTAAGCAGAACCACCAAACCAGCCCTGGACCACCAACCTCCAGATAATACAGGACAGAAAAAAAAAACTTCCCTCTCATTCACGTCACCACTATTTTTGGTATCCGTTACATACAGCCAAACCCATGTACCAAGCAGATCATCCTACATACCAACACCAGAAATGTATCGTATGAGAAAGGAAAATTGAGACCCAATCTCACTTATGATTATAGATGCAAAATCCTAAATAAACTGTTAGCAAATGGAATCAAGTATTATACTTAAGAAAAATTATGACTAAGTTGGGTTTATGTCATGATTGCAGGGATGACTTTAACATTAGAAAATACATTAATGTAAGTCTCCACATTAAGAGATTAAAAATTAAAACCATATGATGATGCCAGAATAAATTCAATACCCATTTATAATAATAACGCTTAATAATCTAGGAATAGAAAGGAACATCTTGACCAACAAGCAAAAACCTACTGCAATCTTATTTTTTTTTTTTTAGTGGGGTTTCACCACGTTGCCCTCACTGGTCTCAAACTCCTGAGCTCAAAGGATCCACCTACCTCGGCCTCCCAAAGTGCTGGAATTACAGGCATGAGCCACCACACCCAGCCTGCAATCTTATTCTTAACATTAAATTATTCTTAACAGTAAATGAATGAACAGTAAATGCTTTAAAATTGTTCCTGTTAAAGTCAAACACAAGGAAAGGATTCTTGCTATTATCACTTTATTCAACATTAATTTGAAGGTTCTGACCATTACACTAAGGAAAACATTTTTTCAAGGTCTAAGGATTGGAAAAAAACAAGGATATGATACAATTGCCTCCAGAGAAGAAACAAGCAGGGCAAAACACAAGGCCTATCAGGATAAAAAGCTGATGCAAGTAAGTCGGGGGCTGATCTGAGGCAACAAGCTTCCTCCCACTGCAAATCCACAGAGCTGGAGGTTTAAATCCAGGGAGACTGCCTTTTCCCAGAGCTGCTTTTTATTTTTTTATTTTTTTATTTTTTTTCCACATGTATGAGTGAATATTTTATTTTTTTATTTTGTATATATATAGATAGATTTTTATTATACTTTAAGTTCCAGGGTACATGTGCACAACATAAAGCTTAAAGGCAAATTCCCATCCAGGATGTTGCCCAGCGGAATGACCGCAAACAAAATGGTGACACTAGTTCTGCAGTGCCTTTGGCTGTCCACACTGAGGATTTCCCCCAATACCTCCAGATGCAGTAGCTGAGAACAACCCCCACTCCAGCCCAGGAAACACAGGCTCACAAGCCAAAATCACCAGAACCTGAGATGTACAGAAATTGTAACAAAATACCCCCCAAAAAGACCAACATGAACCATTTGAAGCATAGTTATTGAAACTGGTAGACCAAAAAGTTAAATTAAGGTAATAAAATCCTCAAAAAGATAAAGGAGAGATTAGTGATAGAAATAAAAACAAGAAGTCATAAAAAAATAACTGTCCAGGCGCAGTGGCTCACGCCTGTAATCCCCGCACTTTGGGAGGCAGAGGCGGGCAGATCACAAGGTCAAGAGATCAAGACCATTCTAGCCAACATGGTGAAACCCCGTCTCTACTAAAAATGCAAAAATTAGCCGGGTGTGGTGGTGTGAGCCTGTAATCCCAGCTACTCAGGAGGCTGAGGCAGGAGAATTGCTTGAACCCAGGAGGCAGAGGTTGCAATGCACCAAGATCGTGCCACTGCACTCCAGCCTGGGTGACAGAGTGTCAATAAAATAATAATAAAATAAAATAAAGAGCATAATCATTGGGAAAAATAAAAGATGGCTACAACTGGAGAATAAATGGATGAGCTAAATGATCAGACTGAGAAACTCTCCCAGAAGGCAGAAGTAGAGAACAAAGAGAATATTTTTAAAGGAGCTAAGTGCTATGGAGAATAGAAGTAGAGTGCTCATATCAGGATAACAGGATTCCCCAGACAGGGAATTAAAAAAAAAAAAAACAGAGAGGAGGAAATAATGAAGTAATAACATTGAAACACTTCTGAGAATTAGAGAAAAAGATCTCAGATAGAAAGGGCTCATAGAATGCTAAATAGGGTAACTGAGGAAAAAAACACATTTAGACTCATATTGAAGTGGAAGAAGATCAAATTCAATTAAAACTCTGAACATTTCCAAAAGCAATAGATTGCCTACAAAGGAATTGAGAAGTAGGTCCGTTGTGCACTGGTTTCAACCTGTCTGAGTCAAGTTAAACAGACACACACAGACACACTCAAGTTACATGAAGCAGGTTTATTACTTACAGATTGAAAGCAGGGGACAACAGAAGCCTCAGATTCATGGCAGGCTGGTACCCCAAGGCTCAGAAAAGCTGCCCAGGAACTACCAGTCATACTGGATTAGAAAAAGAGGAAAAAAAGAAAAAAGAAAAGCTGCCCAGGGCAGATGGAGTCTCAGTTACATGTGCCCCACTTGCATCTCAGCTGAGGGACTCCAAAAAGCATCCTAAGGCTGGGCATGGTGGCTCACGCCTGTAATCCCAGCACTTTAAGAAACTGAGGCAGGAGGATTGCTTGAGGCCAGCAGTTTGAGACCAGCCTGGGGAATATAATGAGACTCCATCTCTAGAAAATAAAAAACAGGCCAGGCGCGGTGGCTCATGCCTGTAATCCCTGTAATCCAACACTTTGGGAGGCCAAGGCAGGCGGATCACCTGAGGTCAGGAGTTTGAGACCAGCCTGGCCAACATGGTGATACTCCCATCTCTACTAAAAATACAAAAAAATTAGCTCGATGTGGTGGTGGGCACCTGTGATCCCAGCTACTTGGGAGGCTGGGGCACAAGAATCGCTTGAACACGGGAGACAGAGGTTTTAGTGAGCAGAGATCGGGCCACTGCACTCCAGCCTGGGCAACAGAGTGAGACTCCGTCTCAAAAAAAAAAGAAAAGGAAAAAGAAAAAAATCAGCTGGGCATGGTGGCACACACCTGTACCCCCAGCTACTTGGGGGACTGAGGAGAACAGATTTCTTGAGCCCAGGAGTTCAAGGCTGCATGAGCCGTGATTATGCCACTGCACTCCAGCCTGGACCACAGAGCGAGACCCTGTCTCAAAAAACAAAACAAAAAAAGCAGCCTGCCCTGGATTTACACCCCTGGGGCAATGTGACATGCTTGGCTAATGAGTTGAAGGACATCCTGTTTCTAGGGGTTACTGGAACGGGGCCCAGGCTGTTCACCAGTCCCTCTTTATCTCGGGATGTTGTATCTCAGCCCATTCTACAGTTATTCCTGAGAGCTCCAAGTGATAAAGGGGAGATAACTGGATAAGGCCAAGGCCATGGGGAGAACTGTCCTGCAGGAACACGAATCAAATTGACATCAGACTTCTCAATAGAAACACTGAATACAAGAAAGTGGCAAGGTTTGTAAGTACTGAAAGAAATTTTAGGCTAGGTGCAGTGGCTCACCCAGTTAATCCCAGCACTTTGGGAGGCTGAGGTGGGAGGTTCACCTGAGGTCCAGACCAGCCTAGCCAACACATTGAAACCCCATCTGTACTAAAAATACAAAAATTAGCCGGACGTGGTGACATGCCCCTGTAATCCCTAACTACTCAGGAGGCTGAGGCACAAGAATTTCTTGAGCCTAGGAGCCTAAGGTTGCAGTGAACCAAAATTGCGCCATTGCACTCCAGCCTGGGAGACAGAGCAAGATTCTATCTCAAAAAAAAAAAGAGAGAGAGAGAGAGAGAGAAAGAAAGAAAAAAAAATTCTGTGTAGCCAAATAGTCATTCAAATTTGAAAATATAGTAAAAAATATTCTCGGCCAGGCGTGGTGGCTCATGCCTGTAATCTCAGCACTTTCAGAAGCCGAGGCGGGCAGATCACCTGAGGTCAGGAGTTACAGACTAGCCAGACTAGCCTGGCCAACATGATGAAACCCCATCTCTACTAAAAATACAAAAATTAGTCGGGCATGGTGGCGCGTGCCTGTGGTCCTAGCTACTCAGAAGGCTGAGGCAGGAGAATTGCTTGAACCCGGGGAGGCAGAGGCTGCAGTGAGCTGAGATTGCGCCACTGCACTCCAGCCTGGGTGACAGAGCAAGACTCTGTCTCAAAAACAAAAAAAAAATTATCGCATTACAAAAGCCTCAGAATGTTTGTCACACAAAGACCTACATTTACAGTTCTCAAAGTATCCAAATAAGAAGAGAAATAAGTTCAAGAGGATAGGATGATGCCTGCAATATAGGAAATAAACATGATTAAATGACATAATAAAATTGAATATCAACAAAAGCTAAAAGGGGGAGAGAGTCTGAGAAAGAAGAGGTGGAGGAGAGTGAGAGATAATCAGAATGGAATGATTGGTTGGAGAGTAGAGTCTCTAGTTACTGTGTCATATATTTGCAGCTGGACTCCGTCCCATAGATGAGCTGAAGCAAAAGGACCTTCACACAGAACTTTTATCATCAGCCTGAGGAAAAGTACTCGAAGGACAAGGCCATTGGTTGGGAACTTACACCAAAAAAAAAAAAAGAAAAAAAACCTGAATTATAGATACTATGAATATGATGAAAATAAGCAGAACGGACCGGGTGCAGTGGCTCACACCTGTAATCCCAGCACTTTGGGAGGCCGAGGCAGACAGATCACCCGAGGTCAGGAGTTCGAGACCAGCCTGGCCAACCATGGCCAACATGGTGAAGCCCCGTCTCTACTAAAAATACAAAAATTAGCCAAGCACAGTGGCGCACACCTGTAATCCCAGCTACTCGGGAAGCTGAGGCAGAATTGCTTGAACCCAGGAGGCAGAGGTTGCAATGAGCCAAGATCGTACCACTGCACTTCAGCCTGGGAGACAGTGCAAGACCCCATCTCAAAAAAAAAAAAAGAGGAAGGAAAAGACAAGACTGATGGGATAGGAGGGTGTGAAAGGAACTTTATTATTAGGAAGAATATAAATAATTAAAAATTATTCAATGAAGTAGCATAAAGTCAAATTAAAGCAACTACATTAACAAGAAAATAGAATGTATAGTTTTCAAAACATGAGAAGAATGTTGGCTCTATGTAATGGAAAGTAACAAAGGTGGGGAAAGAAACAACAAAGAAGGCACAGTACATGAAAAATATAAAATTAAATGGCAGAATAAGTCCTAATATTATAGTAATTGTAATAAAGATGGGTAAAGTAAACACACTTCTTAAAAGACAAACGTTCCTGGGTTGAGTTTCTTCCTTAAGGTTCAGCAATATGTTGCATACAAGAGAAACACTGAAAATAAAAAAACTTTATCACGGGCTGGGCGCAGTGGCTTATGCCTATAATCCCACCACTTTGGGAAGCCAAGGCAGGCGGTTCACCTGAGGTCAGGAGTTCGAGACCAGCCTGACCAACATGGAGAAACCTCATCTCTACTAAAAATACAAAAAAATTAGCCAGGCGTGGTAGCACATGCCTATAATCCCAGCCGCTCGGGAGGCTGAGGCAGGAGAATCGCTTGAATCTAGGAGGTGGAGGTTGCAGTGAGCCAAGATCACACCATTGCACTCCAGCCTGGGCAACAAGAGTGAAACTCCATCTGAAAAAAAATAAAAAACCATTTCAAATATTTAAACAAGAAAATAGAAGGAATAAACAAAAGGAAGAAAATACATGAAGCAAATATAAACCAAAAAAAAATCAGGGAAGTAATTTTAATATTTGACAAAAGAGGATACAAGAGGAAAAATATAAAAGACAAAGAATGAGGTAATACAAGAAAATACAAACACCAGGAACATAAAAGCACCTACTCATATAGCCTCAAAATATATAAAACAACAACTGATAAAATTTCTGAGGCTGGGTGTGGTGGCTCATGCCTATAATCCCAGCATTTAGAGAGGCCAGGGTGGGAGGACTGCTTGAGCCCAGGAGTTCCAAGACCAGCCTGGGCAGAATAGTGGGACCTCATCGCTATTAAAAAATAATAATAATTAATTAAAAATTAAAAAGAAAAAATGTTTTTTGGAAGAAATAGATTAATTATGGTTAGAGATTTTTTACACACCTTTCTCTGAAACTGGTTGATCAAGGAGACAAAAATAAGCAGAGGTATAAAATAGCTGTATAATATCATTGGTAAATTCAAGCTATTGGGCTGGCCATGGTGGCTCATTCCTGTAATCCCAGAACTTTGGAGGGCCAAGATGGGTGGATCACCTGAGGTCAGGAGTTCCAGACCAGCCTGGCCAACATGGCAAAACCCCATCTCAACTAAAAATACAAAAATTAGTTGGGCATGGTGGTGGGCACCTGTAGTCCCAGCTACTAGGGAGGCTGAGGCAGGAGGATCACTTGAACCCAGGAGGCAGAGGTTGCAGTGAGCCGAGATCACACCACCACACTCCAGCCTGGGCAACAGAGCGAGACTCCACCTCAACAACAACAACAAAAAATTTAAGCTATTGGTGTATATAGAATTTCACACCCAACAAAGAGAAAATACATAATCTTTTCTAGCATGTATGTATCACGTAATATTGAATATGTTGGATGCTATAAAGAAAGCCTTGAAAAATTTCAGAGACTCACTATTATCAGATTAAGGCCAGATGTGTTGGCTCACACCTATAATCCCAGCACTTTGGGAAGCTGAAGCAGGAGGATCGCTTGAGCCCAGGAATTCGAGGCTGCAGTGAGTTATGATTGTGCCATTGCACTCCAGCCTGGGCAACAGAGCAAAACGCTGTCTCAAAAAAAAAAAAAAAAAAAAAAAAAAGGGCCACCTGTAATCCCACCACTTTGGGAGCCCAAGGAGGGCAAATCACAAGGTCAGGAGATCAAGACCATCCTGGCTAACACGGTGAAACCCTGTCTCTACTAAAATTAGCCGGGTGTGGTGGCAGGCGCCTGTAGTCCCACCTACTCAGGAGGCTGAGGCAGGAGAATGGCATAAACCTGGGAGGTGGAGCTTGCAGTGAGCTGCCATCACGCCACTGCATTCCAGCCTAGGCGACAGAGCGAGACTCCATCTCAAAAAAAAAAAAAAAAGTTTGCAATATTATACAGATTATGTTTTTCTGACTGCAATGCAACAAAATTTTTAAATTAATAGATAATAACGGCCAAGTGCGGTGGCTCACGCCTGTAATCTCAGCACTTTGATAGGCCGAGGCTGGCAGATCACCTGAGGTCAGAAGTTCAAGACCAGCCTGGCCAACATGGTGAAACCCTGTCTCTACTAAATATACAAAAAATTAGCTGGGCATGGTGGTGAGCGCCAGTAATCCCAGCTACTCAGGAGGCTGAGGCAAGAGAATCGCTTGAACCTGGGAGGCAGAGGTAGCAGTGAGCCAAGATCGAGCCATTGCACTCCAGCCTGGGCAACAGGGCAAGAGTCCGTCTCAAACAAACAAAAATAGATAATAAAATAGTTTTAAAATAAATCACCCAAAAAACTGAAAACAGCCCAATGTCCATCAATAGGACTATAGATAAATAGGGTATTTTCATACAATGAAATATGATAGAGTAGTAAAAATGAATGAACTCCATCAATATAAATCTTAAAATAAATCTCTTATTTTATCTGGGCACGGTGGCTGACACCTGTAATCCCAGCACTTTGGGAGGCCAAGGTGGGTGGATCACCTGAGGTCAGGAGTTCAAGACCAGCCTAACCAACATGGAGAAACCCCGTCTCTACTAAAAATACAAAATTAGCTGGGCGTGGTGGTGCAGGCCTGTAATCCCAGCTACTCAGGAGGCTTAGGCAGGAGAATCGCTTGAACCTAGGAGGCAGAGGTTGCAGTGAGCCCAGATTGAGCCATTGCGCTCCAGCCTAGGCAACGAGAGTGAAACTCCATCTCAAATAAATAAATAAATAAGTAAAATCTTATTTTAAACAAGAGAGGAAGTTGCAGAAGAATTTATATGCTATGATACCATTTATGTAAAGTGCAAAAACATGCAATACTAAATAAAATATTGTTTAAAAATTAGCTGGGCGTGGTGGCGGGCGCCTGTAATCCCAGCTACTTGGGAGGCTAAGGCAGGAGAATCACTTCAACCTGGGAGGCAGAGGTTGCAGTGAGCCGAGATTGTGCCACTGCACTCCAGCCTGGGCAACACAACAAGACTCCATCTCAATAATAATAATAATAATAATATATTGTTTAGAAATTTGTACACATGTGATCAAAAAATTTTTCAATCAAGGGGATCATAAATACACAGTTCAGGATAGTGACTACAGCTGTGGAAAGTGCAAGTACAATACGGAAGTGTACACAGAGGCCTTTAACTGGATCTGTAAGTTTTAGTTATTTATTTAAAGCAATCTAACTCAAATATAGAAAAATGTCCAACTTCAACAAAGCTTATGATTAGATATTGTGTTATTTTCTGTACTTTTCTGTACCTTTGAAATACTTCATCATTAGAACAATAGGAAAAGAAAAAGAATCTTTAAAAAGGAAGAGCATCCATGAACAGAAAGCAAGCTGTGTATCAGGGAGGAGAGTCCAGTTCCCCTGAGATTTTCCCATGAAACACACAATGTCAGCAAACAGTAGAGAGAAGGTTACAGGGCTCAGAGAGAAAGGGTGACCCAAGAATTGTATTCCCTGCCAAGCTGCAACAGACTCGAGTTGAAAGAAACAACTCAGGGAATACATAAAACAAGGGCCCTTTGAAATTCAACCAACCAAATAATAAATCACATTAAGGATGCAGGAATTAAGAAACCAAGCTAAACGCTCTGTCTGTGAGCATCGCATTCAGAGAACTGAAGCTAAACTTACATGGAAATCACGGTTACAAGACAGAATGTAAATACTGTATACATAATATAACTATCAGATAGTGCTACTCTGGGGTACAGGAAATGGAAGTGTAAATGTATTATTTTCCTCATCCCCCTGGAAGAATTCGTAAGTCACCGTCTAAAATGAAAACGTGTAGTAAGGGCCGGGCAAAGTGGCTCATGCTTGTAATCCCAGCACTTTGGGAGGCCGAGGTGAGCAGATCACCTGAGCTCAGGAGTTTGAGACCAGCCTGGCCAACATGGTGAAATCCTGTCTCTACTAAAAGTATTTTAAAAAAAATTAGCTGGGCATGTATTAGCTGGGCATGTATTAGCAGACACGTGTAATCCCAGCTACTCAGGAGGCTGAGGCAAGAGGATTGCTTGAACCCGGGAGGCAGAGGTTGCAGTGAGCCGAGATCGGGCCACTGCACTCCAGCCTGAGCGACAGACTCCATCTCAAGAGAAAAAAAAAATTACCTGAAGTTCAATATTTTGTTCATTTTCCCTTTGGCTAACTACAAGTAAAATAATTTAAATTGTACTTTTTTGATAAATAACATTTATTATGATCTACTTTCATAACTTTTTTTTTTCCAGGATGGAGTCTTGCTCTGTCACCCAGGCTGGAGTGCAGTGGCATGATCTCGGCTCACTGCAACCTCCGCCTCCCAGGTTCAAGCAATTCTCCTGCCTCAGCCTCCAGAGTAGCTGGAATTACAGGCATGCCCACCACACCCAGCTAATTTTTGTTTTAGTAGAGACGGGATTTCACCATGTTGGCGAAGCTGGTCTTGAACTCCTGACCTCAAGTGATCCATCCACCTCGGCCTCCCAAAGTGCTGGGATTACAGTCGTAAGCCACTGCACCCAGCCTGAAGCACATTTTTAAAGAATGATTCTGGCTGCTATATGAGTATATAAGGTGAGTATGTTCCTATAAAGGAACAAGGGGAGATGCTTGGAATGTCTAAGTAAGAGACAACCATGATTCTGATCAATATGGTAGCAGTAGAAGTGGAAAGAGGGATTAATTCTGGATATGTTTTGAAGATGGAACTAGCAGGATTTCAAAACAGACAAGATGTGGGATGCGAAATATAGAAAGGAAGAATGAATGGCTCCATGCTGACAACAGAGCTGCCAGCGAACCAGAGCACGAAGAGCAGGTTGAGGACAAAAGGGGCATATGGAGTCTGCATTTGGACGTGCCTTTTGGACAGACCCTCTTCTCACTCCATGCTTGCCATGGGCAAGCTCATCCGTGCCCAGTACTTAGGTTACCATCTAAATGTTTCTGACTCCCAAATTGCCAATCCAGCCCTCCCCCATGAACTCTAGATGTGGATATCCAACTATCCTTTTTTTTTTTTTTTGAGATGGAGTCTCACTCTGTCATCCAGGCTGGAGTGCAGTGGCGTGATCTCAGCTCACTGCAACCTCTGCCTCCTGGGTTCAAGCAATTTTCCCACCCCAACCTCCCGAGTAGCTGGGATTACTGGTGCATGCTTAGTAGAGATGTGGTTTCACCATGTTGCCAAGGCTGGTTTCAAACTCCTGGCCTCAAGTGATCCACCTGCCTCAGCCTCTCAAATTGCTGGGATTACAGGCATGAGCCACCGCACCTGCCGTGCACCCCCCAACTACCATTTTGTCATCACCACATCACTATCCCAAAGGGATGTCTGAAACTAAACTTGCAGTGTCCACATGTCCTCCTTCCCCACTCACTCTGAAAAAGGGTTCTGGGCCTTTCCCAGCATTGCCTGTATCAATGAATGGCACTACCATTCTGGCTGCACAAGCCAGATATATGGAAGTTGCCTGGACACCTTCCTCTCTCTGGTCCATCAGATTCAGTTCATAAGCAAGGCCTGACTTTTTTACCCCTTACATTTCTCCCAAATCCATCCCATTGTTACATCTCTCCACCAGCCCCATTCCTCAGGACTCACTGTCCTCTTTCTTGCTTTGTTTTTCTCCATATGCCATATGATTTTCTTGTCTGCTTACTGATTGTATATCTCCACCCGAGTGGACTGAGTTCTGTGACGGCAGAGACAGAACAGTGCCTGAGGCTGGGAGTGGTGGCCCATGCCTGTAGTCCCAGCACTTTGGGAGACCGAGATGGGCAGATCACTTGAGCCCAGGAGTTCAAGACCAGCCTGGGAAACATGGCAAAACCCTGTCTCTACAAAAAAATAGTAAAAAATAAAAATTAGCCGGGTGTGGTGGCAGCACGCCTGTAGTCCCAGCTACTCAGGAGGCTGAGGTGGGAGGATCACCTGAATCTGAGAAGTTGAGACCTCAGTGAGCTGTAATTGGGCCACTGTACTACAGCCTGGTTTACAAAGAAAGACTCTGTCTTAAAAAAAAAAAAAAAAAAAGCTGGGCATGGTGGCTCACAACTGTAATCCCAGCACTTTGGGAGGCCAAGGTGGGTGGATCATCTGAGATCAGATGTTCAAGACCAGCCCGGTCAACACGGCGAAACACCGTCTCTACTAAAAATGTAAAAATTAGCCGAGCATGGTGGCAGGTGCCTGTAATCTCAGCTACTCCGGAGGCTGAGGCAGGAGAATCGCTTGAACCCAGGAGGCAGAGGTTGCAGTGAGCCAAGATCACGCCACTGCACTCCAGCCTGGGCAACAGAGTGAGAATCTGCCTCATAAAACAAAAAATAAAAAATAGAACAGTGCCTGGCACATAGTGACCACTGCATAAGTATATGTTGATTGAATGCATGATACATGAGTCCTCACTGTCACCACCCTAGTGCTCAGGAGACAATCACAGTTAAGAACAGAAGCTCTGAAATCAGAGCGTCCGGGTTCCACCACTTATCAGTTCTATGATCTGCAGCAACTTATGTAACTTTTCTGCACCTTGGTTTCCTCATCTGTAAAATGAAAATAATGGAAGTCCTTACTTCATAAGCTCATAAGGATTAGGGAGTTAATACATGCAAAATACTCAGAATAGCACTTGGTATAAAGTAAGTACTCAACAAATATTAGGTGTTATTTTTTGCCTCCTAGCTGATCCTCCTGAATCTGTTCTGCCCCTCTTGATCTTTTCCGTATTGCAGACTGAGTGTAATTTTCCAAAAGGCAAATCTATGTCACATGCACAAGCACACACACACACACACACACATTCTCACATCACTAGAAAAACCATTCCTTGGTTTTTGTGTCCCCCAAGGCCTTGCCTACTTCTCCAGCCTTGCCTACTTCTCCATCCTTGCCTGGTACCTCTCTCCTCCTTGCTCTTGAGCTTCAGCCATGCCTGCTCTCTCTCAGTTACAAACTCATCATGCTCCCTCCTGCCATAGGGCCTTTGCCCATGATGGACCCTCTATCTGGAAAGTCCTTTTCCTCCTCAACTCCACTCTCACCTGCTCCCTTTGCATGGATAACTTACGCTTATCTTTCAGATCTCAGCTCAAGTGTCCCTTCCACAAGGATCTTCCCACACAAACGCTAAGTCAAGTTTCTTTGTTAAAAATTCCTACAAATGTGATCCTTTAGAAGTTATCTCAATTTGTAATTATCCACTTGTTTATGTGACCATGTGGCTGTCTGCTGACTCTTCCTCCAACTTGTAAGCCCCATAAAATCAGAAAGCATGTCTGTTTCTACTCTTTTTGCTATAGCATCTACTGTGTCTGGCATGTACAAGGTACGTTATTCTTTTTGTTTCGTTTTTTTGTTTTTTTGAGATGGAGTCTCGCTCTGTCGCCCAGGCTGGAGTGCGGTGGGGCGATCTTGGCTCACTGCAGCCTCCGCCTCCTGGGTTCAAATGATTCTCCCACCTCAGCCTCCCAAGTAGCTGGGATTACAGGCGTGCACCACCACGCCCGGCTAATTTTTGGGGGTTTTTTTTGTTTTTTGGTTTTTTTTAGTAGAGACGGCATTTCTTCACATTGGCCAGGCTGGTCTCAAACTCCTGCCCTCATGGTTTGCCCACCTCTGCCTCCCAAAGTGCTGGGATTACAAGTGTGAGCCACCACGCCTGGCCTTAAGGTACTTTATTCTTACTGAATGAATAAATGAGTCTGCAGCAGAAACAACACAGCCACTATACAGGGCCTCTGAGGGACACTCTTAGTCCTCCATAATTATTGGGGCCAAAACCGGACAAGAACCTCTGCCCTTTGGGCAGTCCACACAGAGTTAGTAAAAGATGGGGTCTGAGTCACAAGTCTCCTGATCATCAACAGTGAGTCCTTGGCTGAGTCACATCACCTCTCTGAACCTTGACATCTTCATGTGTAAAATGTGGGTCATGATACTTATCTCACTGCAGTTGTTAAGAGGAACAAAAAAACCTTGAATGTGAAAGTGCTCATTAAAACTTTTGCCAGGCGGGCGTGGTGGCTCACATCTGTAATCCTAGCACTTTGGGAGGCCGAGGCGGGCAGCTCACAAAGTCAGGAGTTTGAGACCAGCCTGACCAATAATGGTAAAATCCCATCTCTACTAAAAATACAAAAAAATCAGCCGGGCATGGTGGCAGGTGCCTGTAATCCCAGCTACTCTGGAGGCTGAGGCAGGAGAATTGCTTGAACCCAGGAGGCGTAGATGGCAGTGAGCCAAGATTGCACCACTGCACTCCAGCCTGAGCCATAGAGAGAGACTCTGTCTCAAAAAAACTTTTGCCAGGTGCAGTGGCTCACACCTGTAATCCCAGCACTTTGGGAGGCTGAAGCAGGAGGATCGTTTGAACCAGGGAGTTTGAAGCTGCGGTGAGCTAGGATCATGCCACTGCACTGCAGCCTGGGTGACAGAGTGAGACCTTGTCTCTAAAAAAAAAGAAAAGAAAGAAATCCACTTTTGTGTGTGTGTGTGTTTGTGTGTGTGTGTGTGTGTGTGTGTGTGTGTAGTCTCACTGTGTTTTTCAGGCTGGTCTGGAACTCCTGGGCTCAAACAAACCTCCCTCCTCAGCCTCCCAAAGTGCTGGGATGGGAGCTCACAAGTGTGAGCCACCATGCCGAGCGAAAAACAACACTTTTAACACTGGACAAAGAAAGTATGTTTAGTTTTTCAAAAGGGACTTTACTAGGAATCTAAATGTAAAATAAAACCAAATTTACAGAAAATACAAAAGTTGACACAGATAGTTTCAGGTTTCTTACCCTATGTGACAAAATGAGCTAGGCTCTCACCCTAAAGAATGATAGATCTGAGGCCAGGTGCGGTAGCTCACACCTATAATCCCAGCACTTCGGGAGGCCAAGGTGGGAAGATCACTTGAGCCCAGGAGTTCAAGACCAGCCTGGCCAACATAAAGAGACATCATCTCTACAGAAAACTTTTGAAAATTAGCCAGGCATGGTGACCCTGCACCTGTAGTCCTAGCCATTCAGGAGGCTGAGGTAGGAGGATTGCTTGAACTGGGGAGGTCGAGGCTGCAGTGAGCCGTAATCACACCCCTACTCCAGCCTGGGCAACAGAGCAAGACTCTGTCTCAAAAATAAAAAACAATGACAGGTCTGCTATAGATGGGTTTGACAGGCACAACTTATTGGGCACCCACCACTTCAGTCCCAAGAGGGTCAGACACTGGGCCAGGCCAGCGCTGGACCCCAGACGGAGGAAAGGCCTTCTCTGCTCCACTGTGAGGCCCCACAGAGACCTGCTTCTGGTTCTTCTCTCTCCTGATATGCTCAGGGAGGCACCTGGTTCACAGCTCCTGGGTAAGGGAGGCATGCCCTTCTCTTGCCCCAGCAGTCCTGAGGGAGGCCACAGGCTGAGCCCACTGACCCTCCAGTGGCTGCTTTTTCTCCTTTGGGATCTCTGTGGCTCCAGGCTCTGAAGCCAAAGCTCTGCCTGCTGTTACAGTCCTCTGACCTCCTCTGAAGTTCGGCTTCCTCCCCAGAGCCCTTAAACCCCCTAGCAACAGGCTTCTAATTAGCATCACACACATACTCATTTCCTGCCAGCTGTCCTACAGTCTTGGTAGGGTGGAAGGGCTGGTTTCATCCAAGTACTGCGGGCAGTGAGGGGAGCAAAGCCCATCTTCTCTCAAGAAAGCAGAAGTGGTCCTGGGGACAGAGATGGGGCTGGCCCAAACAGCCTGCAGCTGTTCCCTCACCCCTCCTAAGAGAGTCTCTCTCTTGTCTCTGATGCAGAGATAATATTGCCCTCTCTCACCAGTTTCCAACTCCTTTTATTTATTTATTATTTATTTATTTATTTATTTTGAGACAGAGTCTCGCTCTGTCACCCAGGCTGGAGTGCAGTGGTGCAATCTTGGTTCACTGCAACCTCCAACTCCCAGGTTCAAGCGATTCTCCTGTCTTGGCCTCCTGAGTAGCTAGGACTACAGGTGTGCACCACCACGCCCAGCTAATTTTTTGTATTTTTATTAGAGACGGGGTTTCAACATCTTGGCCAGACTGATCTTGAACTCCTGACAATCTGCCTGCAATCTGCCTGCGTCGGCCTCCCAAAGTGCTGGAATTACAGGCGTGAGCAACCACATCTGGCCCCTTCTCCCTTTGGAAGGAAAGATGGGAATGCTGAGTGGGGTGAGAGGGAACAGGCACAGTATTGAGGACTGGAAAATGAGAGAGGAGGCAGGAAGGGCAGCTCTATCCTGAATTGCCTCCAGGATTTTCCAGGAGATCCCCCATCCCCTGGGCTTCGAGGAGCCACCTCCTTCACCACCACAAGGCCTTGGCACCATCATCTTTGCTCTGTCTTCTAGAAGGCTCTTTGCCTTTTTCCTCCTCACCCCCTCCAGGCCTGCCCCTCTCCTGCCTTCTGTTCCAGCCCAGCTCATGCCTCCTCTAGGAAGCCTTCCTAGGTAGCACCTACTCTGCATTGCTGGTGACCCTGCTGTTCCCTAAAGCAGTAGTCTGTCTTCACAAGGTTTGTTTCTGTGCTCCCTAAAGGAATTGTTCTTTTCTTGAGCCCTAAAGGAATTTCGTAAACTATGTACTGGCTTGCACATTTTTCAGGTTGACAGCTAAGATTTTTCATCATGCTTAAATCATTGCCAAGTGTGCAGTTTCTGAAGTGTTTTACATATTGCAACGTTTTAGAATATAACTGCTAAGATTCTGTTCTAAATATATGTTCAATTAAATCTAAATATCAGGCCGGACGCGGTGGCTCACACCTGTAATCCCAGCACTTTGCGAGGCCGAGGTGGGCAGATCACGAGGTCAGGAGATCGAGACCATCCTGGCTAATACGGTGAAACCCCATCTCTACTAAAAATACAAAAAATTAGCTGGGTGTGGTGGCGGATGCCTGTAATCCCAGCTACTTGGGAGGCTGGGGCAGAGAACTGCTTGAACCCAGGAGGCGGAGGATGCAGTGAGCCGAGACCGTGCCACTGCACTCCAGCCTGGCGACAGAGTGAGACTCTGCCTCAAAAAATAAATAAATAAATAAATAAATAAATCTAAATATTACAATGACTTGATACCCTCCACCATCCATTTATTTATTTAATTATTCATTTATTTTTTGAGACACAGTCTCACTCTTTTGCCCAGGCTGGAGTGCAGTGGCATGATCTCGGCTCACTACAACCTCTGCCTTCCAGGTTCAAGTGATTCTCATGTCTCAGCCTCCTGAGTAGCTGGAATTACAGGCATGTGCCACCACATCCAGCTAATATTTGTATTTTTTAGCAGAGACGGGGTTTCAACATGCTGGCCAGTCTGGTCTCGAACTCCTGACCTCAGGTGATCTGCCCACCTCAACTTCCCAAAGTGCTGGGATTACAAGCATGAGCCACTGCACCCGGCCTCCATCATCCATTTAAAATATGTATGTATGATAGAACAACCATACAGGAGATCAATAAGGAAACAGAGAACCTAAACAACATTATAGACCAATTGTCCCTAAGAGTATATATAGAATACTCCACCTGATGGCCGGGCGTGATGGTTCACGCCTGTAATGCCAACACTCTGGGAGGCCGAGGCGGGTGGATCATGAGCTCAGGAGATCAAGACCATCCTGGCTAACATGGTGAAACCCTATCTCTACTAAGAAAAATACAAAAAAATTAGCCGGGCATGGTGGCGGGTGCTACTCAGGAGGCTGAGGCAGGAAAATGGCGTGAACCCAGGAGGCGGAGGTTGCAGTGAGCCGAGATCGCACCACTGCACTCCAAGCCTGGGTAACAGAGCGAGTCTCCATCTCAAAAAAAAGAAAAAAAGAAAAAAAAAGAATACTCCACCTGATAGCATCCGAATACACATTCTTCCTAAACACACACTGAATATTTTCCAGGAGAGAGCACATGTTAGGTCACACAGAAAACCTTAACAAATTTGAGAAGATTGAAATCATGCCAAATATTTTTTATGATCACAATGAAATCACACTAGAAATCAATAGCAGTAGGAAAACTAGAAAACTCACAAATATGTGGAAATTGCACAACACACTTTTGAACAACCAGTGGGTCAAAGAAGAAACCACAAGGGAAATTATAAAGTATCTTGAGAAAGGCCTGGCATGGTGGCTCATGCCTGTAATCCCGGCGCTTTTGGAGGCCGAGGCAGATGGATCACGAGGTCAGGAGATCGAGACCATCCTGGCTAACACGGTGAAACCCCGTCTCTACTAAAAAAAAAAAATACAAAAAAATTAGCCGGGCTTGGTGGCAGGCGCCTGTAGTCCCAGCTACTCGGGAGGCTGAGGCAGGAGAATGGTGTGAACCCGGAAGGCAGAGCTCGCAGTGAGCTGAGATCGCGCCACTGCACTCCAGCCTAGGAGACAGAGCAAGACTCCATCTCAAAAAAAAAAAAAAATTGAGAAAATAAAAGCAAAAACACAACATACCAACACTTATGAGATGCAGCAAAAGTAGTATAAAGAGGGAAGTTTATAGTGGTAAATGCTAAATTTAAATAAAAGAAAGATGGCCGGGTACGGTGGCTCACACCTATAATCCCAGCACTCTGGGAGGCTGAGTGGGCGGATCACCTGAAGTCAGGAGACCAGACTGGCAACATGGTAAAAACCTTGTCTCTACTAAAAATACAAAAACTTAGCGGGGCCTTGTGGCATGTGCCTGTAATCCCAGCTACTCGGGAGGCTGAGGCACGAGAATTGCTTGAACCTGGGAGGCGGAGGTTGCAGTGAGCTGAGATCGTGCCACTGTTGTCCAACCTAGGCGACAGAGCAAGACTCCATCTCAAAAAACAAAACAAAAGAAAAAGAAAAAGAAGAAAGATCTCAAATTGACAACCTAACTTTACACTTTGAGGAACTAGAAAAAGAAGAATAAACTAATCTCAAAGTTAGCAGAAGAAAGGAAATAATAAAGTTTAGAGCAGAAATAAGTAAAAGAGAATAGCTGGGCACGGTGGCTCACACCTGTAATCCCAACACTTTGGGAGGCCAAGACAGATGGATCACTTGAGGTCAGGAGTTCCAGACCAGGCTGGCCAACATGGTAAAACCCTATCCCTACTAAAAATACAAAAATTAGCTGGGCGTGGTGGCATACACCTATAGTCCCAGCTACTCGCGAGGCTAAGGCAGGAGAATCACCTGAACAAGGGAGGTCAAGATTGCAGTGAGCCAAGATTGTGCCACTGCACTCCAGCCTGGGTGACAGAGCAAGATCTGTCTCAAAAAAAAAAAAAAGAAAAGAAAAAAGAAAGAAAAGAAAAGAAACAGAAAGTAAAATTGTATTCACTGTGGGGAGGGAGAAACAGTTGTTGTTCAAAGGGTATAGGGTTACAGTCGTGCAAGATGAAAAAGTTCTGGAGATCTTTTGTACAATGTATATACGGTTAACAATACTGTAATGCACACTAAAAAAAGAGGTAAATTTGTGTCTTTTTTACCAGTTGACAGATAGCGATAGATAGATAGATAGATAGATAGATAGATAGATAGATAGATGATAGATAGATAGCAGATAGGTAGATAGGTAAGTAGATAAATAGATGATAGATTGATAGATACATAGATGGATGGATGGATAGATAGATAGAACCACCCCCCTCCCCCCGCCACCAACAAGACATGTTAACTCATTCTTTATCATTCAGTCAAGGTAGCATAGTAGGCCGGGCACGGCAGCTCATGCCTGTAATCCCAGCACTTTGGGAGGCTGAGGCAGGTGGATCTCTTGAGGCCAGGAGTTTGAGACCAGCCTGGCCAACATAGTGAAACCCCTTCTCTACTAAAAATACAAAAATTAGCTGAGTGTGGTGGCGCCAGCCTGTAATCCCAGCTACTGGGGGTGGGAAAGGAGGAACAGTACAACACCTTGAGTGCCACCCTGTTCCAGGGCAGATCAATTTTAGAAGGCTGAGGATCTGTAAGTGGATGCCAATAAAACTATTGTGCCTGTGCATCTTTTTGGAAAGTCTTAAGCTGTTCCCATTTAAAAACTGCTGATGCCCAGTTCTGCAGGGTGGGTTTCCTACTGGGATCTCCCTCAGTGCAAGAGCAGGGGAGAAACCAAGGAACTGGCAATGTCCCCTCCAGCAGCTGCAAGTCATGGCTTCCATTCCACCTGGCCTCCCACACTCCTTCTTCCTTGCACCTCTACTTCTCCATCCCACAACTTCTGTCTGTATCGGGATAGTCTACTAATGAGAATTCAGAGCCTCAGTGCCACTCATGGCTCAAGACTAAGGGTCATGGGGGTTCCCTCTCTTGGCTTTGGAGCCCCCCTCCCTCTGTCTCTGTATAGGGGAGCTTCTTCCTTCTCCCTTCCTTCTTGTCCCTCTTGCCTATTAAACTCTCCGCTCCTTAAAACCACTCCACGTGTGTCCATGTCGTTTTATCTAAACTGGCATGAGCACCAAGAACCCTGGTGTTCCTCCACTCATCAGAGCCGTATCATTTTAGTGCGTTGGCCAGGAAAGGAAATTCGTTCATCAGACTGAGTCAAGGAAACTTATTTTAAGCTATTTGTGGCCTTTAATAATTGAGTAAGGTGTACTCCTATGAACAAAATTTGGAGCATGTTTATTTCTCTGCCTGGTTCCTCTAGAATTTGGAAACTATCTGAATCAAGCTTGACAAGCAGAGCCAATAAAAGCCGCTTTGGGAGAACTGGCCTCATACCTTGTCTACACAGTCTCTGGACAGGGTTCCTAATCTGTAGTCAGTAAAGAATGTCATTTTTTAACACGTCTGGGAGCTCCGAGTTTATCTTGGGACCTCAAGAGGAGAGGATCACCCAACTAACAGGTATTTGAGGTTTGTATCCTCAAATACAAACTTTAGGCTTTAATAGTCTTATCTGAAATTCCTTGTGAAACAGAGTTTCATCAAAGCCAATCAAAAGGCCTGTGTACAAATAACCATTCTTGCTGCACTTTATGCAAATAATCAGGGCAAGTATAAGACTACAGTTTATTCATAACTTGTTTTTACCAAGAACGAGGACTAGAGAGAAAAATTGTGCTCCAAAGCTTATCATACATTTTTTTGTTTTTTGTTTTTGTTTTCAAGCTTTTCGCCTACATTTTAGACTAACCCTGCTTATTCCTGTGAATCAAGCAGTGATCTCCTGCAGCTTGGAAGAAAAATTAAGGGATGGGTAATATAAAATCTGAATCAATATATTAGTTCTGGGCAATTATTCTGCAAATTCTACCAGGTAATAAAAGTGAGTAGGGTGCCCATAACCCAGAGGTTTCTTCGTTTAGGAAAATAAAACCAAGGAACTTCATAGACCCCCAAAGGGGAATTCTATATCTTGACAGGTAAAAGTTTAGATGGAAATTATCTACCACACCACACTTATGGAAATAGCTATACTCACTCTATTATTTGCAATAGGATTATACATGGTAGCACCTTCTAACTGAAATATTAAACAGAGAGTTTCCATTGCTGTCATATTTTGCTTAATCATTATCCTTATAGCAGGGATAATAGCTACTAATGAAAAGGAAGCATAAAAGTTTTACTACCACTGAATCTGCTAGGACTTTTTATTGGGTTTAGTGATGCAGTTTTCAATGAAACATGCTGCTTTCGGATTAATGCCTCTAGTTAAAAGAAAATCTACAAGTACTTAAAAATCAAATCAAAATTATTGATCCCCGAGTGGCTACAATGCCTCTTTAATAAATTCCAGTCTTCTTTATGGAATTGGTTAACCCCTTTATTAAGCCCTCTCTTGCTTATGTGTCTTGTATTGATATTTGGACCCTGTATACACAATACTATAACTCAAATTGTTTCTTCTCATCTAGAAGCAATCAAACTCCAAATGGTGCTGTAAACAGAACCACACATAGACACATCATTCTTCTGAGGACCCTTAGATTGACCCCAGGAGGAGCCCTAGCTGCTCTTCCCCATTCGACGCCCTTTTGCAACAAGAAGTAGCCAGAAGGAGTCGTCGCCCAAAACTCCCTAACAGCAGTTAGTGTGGCATCTCCACAGGGGGGAATGTTGTAGGAGTTATTAAGAAATTATTTTAGGCAGATAGAGAGGAAAATGGGTCCTTGGGTCCTTGGGAAGTTTTTTGTTTTGTTTCTTTTTCTTTTTTTTTGAGACGGAGTTTTGCTCTTGTCGCCCAGGCTGGAGTGCAATGGTGCGATCTTGGCTCACCACAACCTCCGCCTCCTGGGTTCAAGCGATTCTCTGGCCTCAGCCTCCCGAGTAGCTGGGATTACAGGCATGCGCCACCACGCCCGGCTAATTTTGTATTTTTAGTAGAGACGGGGTTTCTACATGTTGGTCAGGCTGGAGTTTTCATTTTTTTGAAGCATCTCCAGAAAAGTTTCTTGTAAAGCCCCGGCTCTTAGAGCCAGGTTGGCAACCTTTGATATGCAAATGCAAGCCCTTAGAAACTGGGTCCACCCAAACATGGTGATTCCCCCGGCCTTCTTGCCCTTTCCCCACATGTTCCTGGCAATGTGGCTGCCCTCACATATCCCCAGGTGTGTAGACCTGCATTTGCATATTAAAAGGCTAGGGTGGGGCAAGGTGCGGTGGCTCACGCCTGTAATCCCAACACTTTGGGAGGCCGAGGCGGGCGGATCACCTGAGGTCAGGAGTTCCAGACCAGCCTGACCAACATGGAGAAATCCCGTCTCTACTAAAAATACAACAAAAATAGCGGGGTATTGTGGCACATACCTGTATTCTCAACTACTCGGGAGGCTGAGGCAGGAGAATTGCTTGTACCCGGGAGGCGGAGCTTGCGGTGAGCCGAGATTGCACGCCATTGCACTCCAGCCTGGGCAACAAGAGTGAAACTCCATCTCAAAAAAAAAAAAAAAAAAAAAAAAGGCTAGGGTGTGAGGGCCAGCTTTTTCCGAGGGCTACGTGAATGACACGCATAGTCAAACCAATCCCCTGAGCCCTATACAAATCAGACTCCTCCTCCTCCAGCCTCTGTATATATACCTAGATGGTATCTGTGGCAGGTGGGGTTCCCTCTCTCAGCTTTGGGGCCTCCGTCCCTCTGTCTCTGTACAGGGGAGCTTCTTCCTTCTCCCTTCCGTCTTGCCCCTTCTTGCCTATTAAACTCTCCGCTCCAAAAAAAAAAAAAAAAAAAGACTAAGGGTCATGGTCCCTCTCTCGTGGAATTGCAGTGAGGACTAAACGGGACTTACAGTGTGCCTGGAAGTTGAATTTGAGTCTGAGTCTGGGCTAAAAGGGCCCAGAGATGGTGACCTAAGGCCTTTGGCCCTTTATGGAGGAGGATGGAGGGAGCTGCTGGCCCACAGCTGACAGTGCCTGTTGGAATTTAGGAGTTCTGGCTCCTTTCTTGCTCTGCCTTTGAGGTTCTTCTGTGAGATTCTCTCTTATCACAGGGCCCAAGGGCTAAGACCACCAAAGCATAAAACGTTTCCAAGGAGTGGGAAGGTTTTAATGAGCATCCCAGAGGGACCAGGGGATACAAACTCCAAATCCAGCCTTTATATCATCATTATTTCAAGCAACAGGAGGAGGCTCAGCCTTGCTTAGCTCATTCCCAGATGAAGAGGCAGCTGGAGGGAAGTCCCTGAAAGTGCCTCTCTACCCAGCAGAGGGGCTAAGGGAAAGTGGAGAGGTCTCTGCTGCTGCTGCTGCTGCTGCTGCTGCTGTTGCTGCTACCACTGCCACCAAGAGCAGGGAGACCTCAAGCACCAAGCTGACCTTTGGAGGTCAGGACGGACCCAGAATCAGGCAGGAATTTGGCAGGAACATCAGACATTGGAAGGTTAGATGAGACTGAACAGGTGAGAAAACTCTTAGGGTCCCCAGACAGCATTGAGATCTCACAGAGGGGCCCCAAGGGCCTGCGACTCCAGGAGCTGAGACCCCCCAGGGAGGGAGGTACCTCTAGACTGAGACACTCACAAAGGGACCCCAGTTCAGCAAGGGTCAGAGGAAGGTCTGGAGGGAGAAGAGAGTAAAGGGCCCTGGGTGGGCAGGAGGCTGAGGAGGGAGCCTGGGGAGAGCACCAGGGCGGGGCATCAGGCCAGTGCCTGGAAGGTGTGGCCAAAGGGGTCTCTAGCTGCTGCTCTGCTGCTCCTGCTCATGGATGAGTTTGGCGATGGGGCCGGTGATGCCGCCTATCAAGGTCCAGTACTCATCGAAGCTGATGCGCCCATCATGATTGGCATCCAGGTTCTGGATGAGCTTATCCGCAGCCTTCCGGTTCCCTGTGTCCTGGGGAGGAAGCAGGGTCAGCAATGCTGATGGTGGAAGCCCCAGAGAGACTCCAGGCAGGACCCTAGGCAGAGACCCAGGATCTGGCCTGCACAGCTGCTTCCCTTGGGAAATGCAAATATAGCCCTCACTGGCTAGGCCTAAGCATCCTGAGAAGACAGAGGCCTGGGGGTGTAGAAGACCCTGGAGTTAGCGGGGACACTGGAAGGATAGAGGCCTCAGCAGGGAAAGACACCCTCAGAGGCCAGAGGCTTGCAGGGGAGGGAAGGGGAGAGGGAGGCAAGGCCCTTGGGTGAGAGGCCTTACCGACAGCATGTGGTTCAGCTCTTTCTGGAGCATCTCGCGGAAGCTGCTCTTGCTGATCTTGTTCTTGACCAGGCTGTACTTAGACACATATTTGTAGAAGTTTTCCACCAGGACAATGACTGCCTTCTCCAGCTCCGTGTAGCAGTCTGACATCTCCCTGCTTCGCCTGCTGGCGGGGCCTGGACACCAGGAGGAGGGGAGATGAGAAGAGACACCCACAGGCCATACCTCCTCCTCCTCCACACCCACCCTAGGCCCTGGGTCCCTCCTCCTGCCTTGTTTCTGGTCCCTGGAGAAGAAGGTGGCAGGAAAAGGGGAACAGAGTGGGTGGGGGAGAGTGAGCCCTGGAATGAGAACTATGCGGCTCCTCTAATCCAGGTGCTCCCCAGCTCAACCGCCTCAACAGGTTCTCCAGGCCCTGCCCCAGCCCCAGGCACCAGGTTCCAGCCCTAGGGAGCAAGATCCCTAGTGTCAGAGCCCTACGGGGCAAGAGGCTCTCATGGGAAGAGAAGAGTCCACCTGTTCTCCCACCCTGCTCCACAGCTGGCCCACCTCTCCCGGGGCCAAGCATGGCTGGGACAGCTGGGATGAGCCATGGAGGTTAGGGGCAGAGGCTACTGCCTCCCACTCCCAGGACTGGCTGAGACCCCAGCCCCAGGCAACAAAGCAGAAAGGAAGATGTAGGCCTTCCCCAATCCCTTGCCGGGCTCCAGGACAGTGAGTCCCGGGTCTCAGAACCTGGCTGCCCCTTATGGGAAAGGACAAGGTCCAGATCAATTGGATCAGATTTTGTGCAGCTCTCCCAACACACCCCGCCACACCCTGCTAGCCTCTCCTCCCTTATTCCCATCCCTAAATACACAGCAGGACCCAAGAACACCCCCACCCACACATCGTTACCTAAGGCGGGGGCCAAGCCCAGTTACAGCCCAGCTGGAGTCGGACTCTGGACACAGCAGCAGACTGCCAGAGGGCACATGCGTCACCCTCTCACCCCAGGACAAAAGACACTTTCTAAGCGGATACAGCCTTCTGAATAACAGGATATGAGGGGAGCAGGCGGATCTGGATCTACTCTGTGAGTCACGGCCCATGCCCAAAACCCCCCCACATCAACCCCAGGCAAATCAGACTCCCTTCCCACCCCCAAGCCCAGGAATGTGCTCCAGTCACCCTCACCCGGCGGGTCCTGGTGAAAGGAGATGGACAAAACAGGGTCACAGCCACCATAGGGGCCTGAGCAAGCCACAGTCAGATTTGGAAGGAAAGGCTGCTCGGTCAGGCCCCACCACAGCCTCCTGTCCTGCCACCTGCTTTCCGTTGGCCACTTGTGGCCATTCCTACTCCCATGCCGGCTGCCCTGCCCTCTCCAGCCAGCCTGCCAATCACTCTCGCCCCGCCCAAGCCACGCCTCCGAAGGAAGCCTGCCTTGACCCCTGCACTGGGTGCCATCCTCCCTGACTCCCACAGACGTGTCTGTCATCACCACTCAGCTAGCACTGGCTGGGGCCCACTAACTGGTGAGGCCACGGTGTCTTTCTGGGTCCTGTCTTGTTCCTTGAGACAAGCATAGTTTTTCTTACACATGGCCAATGTATTTTCTGAACCAAGCGGCGGGACTCAGACTTTAGGACAGTTTTTTCAATCCTGGATATACACCACCCCCTGCTTTTAATCTCTGCATCTCTCCAGCCCACATTGCCTGGTCCAGTGCCTTGCTCAAGGTACACGTTCTATAAATATTCCACCTCCTTCCAGCCCTGATAACGGGTATTGCACGTCCTTGACCACCTTTTAAGCTTTTTCTTTCATGAAGCCTCTTCTGAAGGAAGGGTGGGACCAGGAGGGAACAGGCCAGGAAGCAAGAAGGAAGGAGAGTTGAGAGGAAGAGTCAGGCTGCGGCTTCTCTGAAGGGAAATCCTGCCCTTGTCTTCCCTCCTCCGCCTGCCCAAACCCTCTGGTCCTTGGCTGGGAGGATGGAGCAGAGTACCAGGATGGCAGGAAGCCACACGCTTTTCCATATTCTTTTATTTAAGTGTGTAACTGCGTGGTTCCCTGTCTATACCGCTGCAAGACTTTCATACAAACACTTTAACATTTACAGTTGAAGAGGAAGACCATTGTTCAACCTGTGGTCTGTCTGCTGTGCTGCCCTTGGGTTGGAGGTGGCTCAGGTTCATGACCAGTGTTCCAGGTGATTCTGAAAACCGTGCCCATTTCTGGAAGGACTGTGCCAAGTCCACTCCCAACCAAGACTTGGAAGTGGGAAGATAATTCAGAGAAACTCCCCACACTTAACCATCCCAATCCTTGTTCCCTAAATGAGGGATCTTGTGGGAAACGGTCAGGGAGAGGAAGAGGGAAGGAAATGGGTGGTGCACCTCCCTCTGCCACTCTCCCCACAAGCTAGCCCACCTCTCCCACCACCTGCCTCCTTGGAGTCATTTCTCTGAGCTGTCTCCTCCTGGCCTTCCTCAATACCATGACTCAACCCCTGCTTGGCCTCTGGCAGCAGCCAAGTGGCCAAGACACAGATGAGCCCCAGAGATGACTCTGCCACCTGCTCCCAGGAGTACTGGGAGACCCAGAGCGGGAGCTCCAGTGCCTCAGGGCTTCAGCTCCCAGCCCCTCCTCCCAGGAATCCACCCGCTCCCCACCTTCGGTAAAATGGACAGTGCTGGAGATAACCATCTGACAAGTGCTTTTCTGGAGCTTTTTCTGAAGGAAGGATAGGGTAGCAGGCAGGCAGGGATCGTTATCCTCCTCTGCCTCCCTCCCCTGGAGGCCAGGAGACAGGATCTGCCACCCCACCCACCCCACAAGCCACCTGCTCCTCCCGCCTGCCCCATTCCCCCACCAGCCAGGCCCCGGGTCTCCTGGTTCAGGGGTCGGGCAGATGTTCTATCCCATCAGCCGCTTCCTAGAAAGGTCAAGCAGGAGGTCGTTCCTGCATTGGCCCTGCCACAGGTAGATCCTGGCCTGAGTGGACAGTGTACACAGGAGCCTTCCAGAAATGTGGGAATGGGAGGACCACGTGTCCTCCAATGGGCCCTCTCACCTCAGGCCTCCAGCCCTACCCCAATGTTCTCATTGTCTTCCCCTTGGCTGATTCATCATTGAGCAACAAGCAGTCTCCCACCCCCACCCCACCCACCTCAGCCCAGCTTGCTGACTTCTCCAAAAGCCCAAATTGCCCTGACTCCATGCCCCTGGATCCCAGCCACTCCAGCCCCACCCTCCCACCCCCAGGTTCTGGGCTCCACGCCCTCCAAATGCCTCCTAACCACCCCTAGCATCCCCAGGCTCCTTCCGTCTGGAGCTCCAAACATCCACCACACCGTCCTAAGTCCACCTTCTCTTCTCACCCCACAGACACCTCTGGAGTCTTAAGTTTTTTCCAAGTGTTGGGATGTGTCCCTAGACTCCTGTCCCTCCTGGTCACTGTTCTCTCCAGAGCCTAGCCCACTGTCAAGCCTAAGTATGGATTCTCTGTGTCCCTTCCATCTACCTGGAATTCATTTGCTCACTTAGGCACCATGAGTTTGCTTACTCATTCATTTATTGGCTCATTCATTCACTCTCATTCATTCACTTGCTCATTCAATAATGCATTCACTCTCTTGCACATTCATTCATTCATTCCCTTTTTCATTTACTCATTTGTCCTCTCTAACTTCAATATATAGGGAAGGTGCCATCCGAACTGGGCTGACAATGCCACCTCTATCAGCAAGGCTGTTTCAAATGAAATTTCTCCAGCCTCAGCTGTTCCATTCTCTGCTCCTTCCTGTGTTCTTTCTCCAATTCCACAAGGCCCTCTCCAGGAACAGCTCCCGGAGCATAGTGGGGCCTGCTTGGCCCTGCCTCACCCCTTACCATCCTCACAGGATTCTGCGTCTAACTCTCTTTGTCTCTCTCTCACACACACACACACACACACACACACACACACACCGAGCAAGGACCTCGGCCATTCCTGATCCCCTCTGCTTGGGTGACCCATCACCCTTCCACTCACTTCAGTTCTTGGAGCAAGAAGCCAGCCTCTGAAATTTTTCCAGGCAAGTGAAGTTGGAGGAGTTCAGTGTGGATCTTGCCCCCGCCTCCCCCAACACACACACAGCTACCCCAGCCTCAACAACACTTACTAGAATGTGGGGAAAGGCAGAGCCAGCTCCCCAGCACCCCTGCCCTCACCACCATCCCCACTGGGCTGGGCAGGGGAAGGCTCCCATAGTGCAGGTGGCTCTGCCAAGAAAAGCAGCTCAAGCCGGGGCCTGCCTGGGTCCTGAGGTGGAGGAGCTGCCGAGGTTCAGCCCCCCTCTCTCTATCTTTCCCTCTCCCAGGGAGCTTGCAGGCTCCCCACAGCCTCACTCGGGTTCCTCCCAGATCTCATCATCCCTCTCAAGGAACAGCTCCTGGAACACAGTGGGGTCTGCTTGGGTCGTGAGGTAGAGGGGACGCCACCTCAGCCCCCGCCTCCTCTTCTCGGAATCTCAGGCTCCCTGGAAACTGCCTGGTTCCTTCTGGACCCCATCACCTCCCCTAGGACACAGCTCCCAGAGCCCAGCAAGGCCTGTGTCCAAGCTCTGACCACCCCCAACCCAGACCAACACGCATTTGTCCTCTCCTTTTGGGGAGGATCGAGTAGCTGTGGTCAAAGCTTCCAAATACTCTGCCCCTGGAGAGGAGCTCCGTCAGCTGCTGCGGCAGGGAGGGGGTCTCACCATCCCATCCATCCCTCTAAAGGCCTCACCCAGCCCCCAACCCCCCAGGACTCCCCATTCCTAAACTGGCCTGTGGGAGAAAGTTAATAATTACCAAAATCTTCCTGCCTGCTCTCTGGCAGGCCCCTCTCCCCAGGCCCCCTTCACTGCCCCTTCTCCTGGCCTCCCAATACTGTGGGGCCCTCCGGCAGCCGAAGACCTCCCAGGCCGGGCCCAGGGTGCTCACCTGCTGCCTCAGTCTGCCTCCTCTCCAGCAGGGCTCTGGGGCCTGGGCTCTGGCACTGCCAAGCAGCTCCCTGCGCTCAGCCCAGCCGGGACTCCTCCCCGCTGCACTCCCAGAATCTGTCCCACTCCCTCCCAGCCCTGCCCGCTGAGCTGGCTCGGTGGGGAGATAGTGGCTGAGCTCCTTCTTGACTTGGCCCTGGGGTTGGGCCCTTGTTAAAGGGATACACACCTTTTTTCACACCCCTCTACCCCCATCCCAGAGGGAGTGGTGAAAACTGGCACTCCCCCAACCCCACCCTCCCAGCCCCGCAGGGGCTGAGCAGAACCTGACAGGGTAGAGAAAGGAAGGGAAGGACTATCACCTGCCTTTCTCACCTGGGTCACTGGGATCCCAGTTTCAGGGGCTCCCAACAGACAAGTTCAGTTAACATTCCAGGCCAGCCTAACTGGCCACAGAAACCTCCTTGCCACTGGGGTTTCAGGAGTAACGCCCGACTTCTGTGCTCAAATCAGAAGGCAGATGCCAGGGACCTGTCTGGCTCCCTGGTCTTCTGTCTCTAGTCTGACCCATCAGCTCTACTGAGACCCAGCCCTAAGATCCCTCATGTACACCAGAAGACTCCTCTGGAAACTCCCCACACCCCACCGTTTCCCTAAGATACCCAAGGAAACTGGCCAGCTCGACCTCCCTACACTAGGGCAGCAGCTGAAACCAAAGAGGGGCCCACTTGCCCACTCCAGCGGGAATGATATTGGGTCACTGGGCACTCACCATGTGTCAGGCTCTCTGTAAGTGCTTTACATGATGTGTGGCATTGTCCTCCTGGCAATCCTGTGGAAGTAATATTCATATCCCCCATTTTACAGATGAGGAAACTGATACTAAGAGCATGCCCAAAATTCCAATGATAAGTGGCAGATCTGAGATTCAAACTCAGGCCAGTCAGCCTGTTTCTAACCGCCCCCCACCCCCACCCACCCCATTTCCCTGGTTGTGCCAGCCAGGGCTCAGAACACCTGGACTAATATCCTTTTCCCCAAGTGTGCACACATACCCTCCTCTCCTATAAGAGGGCCCGCCCATTGGCAAAGAGGAGCCTGTCCCTCAGAGAGGACCATGTTGCCCTTTTGGACCTGGTACCACCCTCAACCCAAACCCATAGGGAAAAGTGAGTCCCCATTCACTTCCACAGCCAACCACTCCAGCCCCACGTGCCCCACCCTACCAATGACTTTGCCTTTCACCCCCAAGCTCCTCTCACCCGTGGACCCTCAGGGAGGGGGTGTCCAGTCAAGACAACATGTTTCACTTTTTTCATTTTTTTTTATTAATCAAATGATACAAAACAACCATCATTCTGTCAATGCCCAAGCACCCAGCTGGTCCTCTCCCCACATGTCACACTCTCCTCAGCCTCTCCCCCAACCCTGCTCTCCCTCCTCCCCTGCCCTAGCCCAGGGACAGAGTCTAGGAGGAGCCTGGGGCAGAGCTGGAGGCAGGAAGAGAGCACTGGACAGACAGCTATGGTTTGGATTGGGGAAGAGATTAGGAAGTAGGTTCTTAAAGACCCTTTTTTAGTACCAGATATCCAGCCATATTCCCAGCTCCATTATTCAAATCATTTCCCATAGCCCAGCTCCTCTCTGTTCTCCCCCTACTACCAATTCTTTGGCTCTTACACAATTTTTATCCCTCAAATATTCATCCCTGGCCCAACCAGTCCCCTGAGCCTCCCTCTGGTGGAGACTCCTCCACCCATGAGCTCCCCAGAGCATCCAAGACAGAGTGCACAGAGACCTGGGGAAGGAAGCTGAACTTTGCAGAGATGAGGACAGGTGCAGGCTAGGGTACAGGGTGGTGGTAGAGGAGACAAGTTTTATCTCCAGGCCCACAGTCTCTCCCCAACACCCCCCAAGAATTCCAGAGGGAGTTCTCAGTGCCCCCGGACAGGCCTCTCCAGCTTCACACTCTTGGCCGCTTCTCCAATCAGCTCCCAGAAACTCCTGAACTCCAGTTTAGAGTCATTGCAGCTGCCCAGGTTGGCAATTTTCTCTTCCAGGCCACAGTTGCTCTGAGGGGAGTGAAGAAACCATGGCTCAGGGATGCAGCACCTTCCAATCTTCCCACCCCACCCTGCCCACGGGCAGACAGCAGGAGCAGAGGCTACCTAGCACTGGCAAGGGGGAAGAGCTGGGGGTTGCAAGTGCCAGTGTGGGTGGGGTCCCGGAGCACTTGCTTGGGAAGTCAGGGTACTGGCTGAGGTGGGGTGTGCTCCGTCCATACCGGCATGAGATGGGGCAGCTGCTGGGTGACCAGGTCCCGTAGCTCAGAAGGGGTCAGCGTCTCCTTCCCACCCTCCACGGAGTACTGGTGAAAGTTCTTGATGAGGGTCTCAATGGCCCTCTCCACATCACTGAATTCCTGAGCATCCTGAGGGCAGGGGACATCACAAACATCAGTGAAGCTCCATGCACCCCAAAACCCTGCTTCTCCAGGAGCCTAGCAAAGCCCCCAGGGCAGAAGGCAGCTGGAAGGCACACAGCTCCCACCCACTCCAGAGCCCAGAATCTAGCCCCTCTCCCCCACCCCCTGCTCGGCCTCCAGGCCACAGCAGCTACAGGTTGGGGAAGGCTTCCCTCCCCACACCCCCCACCGCAGGCAGAGCAGGTCCCAGCATGCACCCAGGCATCCTCTTCCCAGGAGGACTCCATCTGCATCACCCTGTGTGGGCCTCAGAAGAGGGTTCACATCTCACTCACAGGGTCTGGGGTGCAGGGCAAGGCCAAGGTGAAGGGCAGAAGTCAGTGGGGGGACATAGACCCTCAGGGTGAAGGAGAGGAGTGTGGGAGCAGAAAGGCCAGGAGTGAATGAGCCCACCTCTGCGTTGGCTGACCGACACTGTCCCATGGTGCCCACTGTGTCTGGTCCTTTGGTGAGAGTTCTGTTGTCCTATAGCTGGCCCCAGAGGAGCTGATGGCTCATGATCTGCTTAGAGGAGGGGGTAGGCCTGAGCTGAGGAGAGAGTCTAGCATTTCTTTCTCAGCTGCCCCCTTTGGCTCCATCTCAGATATTCTGTGCCTCACCAGGGGTTCAAAACCAACACCACATAGGCCCAGGCCCCGCCTGGGCTTCAGGAGCCAAGGTCATATCCCCCAGGCCAACGCATCTAGGGGGAATCCCTTGGAACTCACCTTAGCTTAATTCTTTCCACCTCCTCCAACCACCCACCTCTGCTTGAAACACACACACCAACCTCCAGGATCTGATCCCCCAGCTCTTACCCTAAGTGTGCCCTCTGGACAGCAGGCAGTATATTTGGGTGAAAAGCCTTGGGTTTCCTTACCTGTTGGCAGCCGCTGAGACAAGACAGGAGGAGCCAGCTCACCTGAGCTCAGCTCTTATACCTGGGGGAAGGGAGGGGAGGCAGGGGGCTGGGCCTAAGCCACCCCTGCTATTGCAGCAGCCTGGGCTATGAGCCAGCTTTATGGGCCCCACCCTCCGCTGGCCAGAGTTCCAGAGCCTACCATGACCCTGCCACGAGGAGGGAGCCACAGAGGGCTGGGGCTGGGAAACCCCTGGCCTCCGATCAGCATGCAGAGTCACAGAGAAAGAGAAGCGAGAAGGCTGGGGAGACAGAGAGGACTTCGAGACCTCATGGGGTCACCCTAGGAAGTGGAAGGGCCCTGGCGAACTGCAGGGCAGGGAAGGAGAGGGGGTCTGAATCTGTGACCAGGAAGGAGAAGCAGGAGCCTCTGTACCCTCCATGTGTGTCTGTCTGTCTCTCTCTCTCTCTCACGTGCACACACACACACACACACACGCACACGCACACTTCTCCCAGTCAGGCCCAGCTTGGATACTGACACTCAAGCCTGCCTGGATCCCAGAGCCCAGCCTTTACCAGTCCTGGAGGCAGAGAGATGAATGTAGAGAACTTGGATCAGGAGGAAGCCAGAGAAGGGCAGCCTGATGGAGGGAGGCAGATTGAGTGAGTGTTTGCCTGACCTCCCTTCAGCTCCCCTCAGCGGCCCAGAGTGCACAAATGCAAGGCCCACTTGAGCTGCTTGGCAGCTAACACCAACTCCAAACTGGTCGGGCCACGTGTTTCTCTCTCCCTCCCTCAGAGCCCCATGCCTTCCCTAACCCAGCTGCAGAGCAACAGCCCCCCATCCAGGACCCAGAATGACATCCCAGAGAGCCCAACCCCAGTGGCCCTCCTCACCTGCCCAGGCCCAGACACCTAGAACCTGAAGTCACTGGGAGGGGGTAGGAAGAAGGGCAGAGCAGTAGGCATGAGTCAGGGCAAGGATGGGGTGCGGCCCAGAGCCAAAGTTCCCAGGATCCTTTCCTAAACGCTGAGATCAGAGCACACCCCACTACATCCCTCCTCATGTCACCTTCTCAACCTGGGGCCCTGTGTGTCTCAATGGAGAGGACCTTCCAACAATGTCTCATTCTGAGAGTTCCTCTGAAGGGCTTCAACCTGCAGGTCCCTCTGAGGGTCTCTCAGCCTGTGGGTTCCTCTGAGAGTGACTTAGCCTGGGTTCCTCAGGAGGAGGCTCAGGCTAGGGGGTTCCTCACAGGGCTTCTCACGGTAAGGGAGCCCTTCAGTGCAGGAGCCCCTCTTGAATGTCTCTGCCAATGGCCCTTTGGATTCCCAGTCTGGGAGTCTCTCTGAGGTCTCAGTCTGGGGCTCTCTAACGGAGGGTCAGGGAGCTCCCTCAGCCTAAAGGTTCCTCTGGACTCATAGCTGCCCTGCATGGATGCCTGCCAGTGAGGCAGTGACAGCCCTGGGAGGCTGGTCACCGAGATGCCCGCCCCTGCTCCCTCTGGTGGTGGCCGTGTACACCATATGCCCCTCAAGCCAGGAAGGCAAGGCAAGTTCTGCCTCCGGTGGCACCACCACACCCTCACCCCACGGTCCTTGAGCAGAACATCGGGCCCCTCCTTCTGGCTTCCCCACTGCTCCAGAGGGTAAGGGGAGGAGGCCCTAGTGTTCCTGAGCACCCAGCCAGAGAGGATCCTGGTTAATCAGAGCTCTGAAATCCACCTATTCTTGTCTTTATGACTTTAACTAAGATCTGTGTCCTGATCTTTAATACAGGAGTTAAAAATAGTGCCTTCCTCAAAGGACTGTGAGAATTAACTAAGACAATACAGGCAAAATGTTTAGCACTGCACCTGGTACTTAGTAAGCCCTCCATACCTGTTCACCACTATCATTGTCATCCAACGGACAAACTCCAAGAAAAAAGAAGCAGAGCAGGACCATGCAGCTGAGCCCGAGTCACCTCTCCTGCCCCACATCTCTGCCCCTACTTTTCTTTTTTCTTTTTGTTTTGTTTTGTTTTTTGTTTTTGAGATGGAGTTTTGCTCCTATCGCCCAGGCTGGAGTGCAATGGTGCGATCTCGGCTCACTGCAAACTCCTCCTCCTGGGTTCAAGTGATTCTCCTGCCTCAGCCTCCTGAGTAGCTGGGATTACAGGCACCAGCCCAGCTAATTTTTGTATTTTTAATAGAGATGAGGTTTAGCCATGTTGGCCAAGCTGGTCTCGAACTCCTGACCTCAAGTGATCCACCCACCTCAGCCTCCCAAAGTGCTAGGATTACAGGCGTGAGCCACTGTGCCCAGCCCTCTGCCTCTACTTTTCATATATTCATTCAACCATTTATTGGGCACCTGCTCTGTACAAGACCTGGTGCTAGATGCTGCGGAATTCAAAGATGAATAACATTCCCTGTCCTCAAGGGGCTCATAATTTTCAGATCCATCCTCAGGTCAAGAGAGAGCTTTCCCACTCTCTGGTCTCAAGAAAAGAAATCAGGATGGGGTGTAAGTAAGAAACATTTGTGTTTCAAGGAGGAAGCTTTATTTGGGAAGAGTGCGGTTCTGCTCGGCCCTGATCAGCTCTGCCCTGCCCACCCCATCTCAGCCAGGCGGCTTTACTTCTTCCTGATCTTCAGGTCTTTCTTCTTCCTGATTTCCTTGGCCAGCTCCCCAATCAATCTCCAGTACTCATTGAACTTGAGCTCCGAGTCCTGATTCACATCCAAGCTCTTCATCTTCTCATCAAGAGAGCCCACATCCTGAGGAGACACCAAAGGGAAGGGTAGAGTTAGAAACTGGGGTTCTTGAGAAAGTAGGGAGGGAAGAACTGTCAGCTGCTATTCTCTCAAGGCCCTTCCCTCAGAGAGCAGTGGCACCTGCCCCTTCTCTAAAGAAGGAGGCTGCAGCCCCAAAACTGCACCGCCACGGGGTGCCTCTCCAAGGAGCACCAGCAGAGAAAGGTGGGGGGGCCTGAGTCCTAGTGCTTGCCGTTGTGTAAATACTTCCACGATGGCTGCTTACAAACCACAAACAGGTTGTCGCTGAATACAAAGCTGGAAAGAAATCCACACAATCTTCTCTCACCAGCACACCACTGCAGCTGCTGTGGGATCGGCCCAAGGAATGCCAGCATCTCAGGGAGATGCTGCAGGGTTGGACCCAGTCAGAGCCTTCTGGGGCCACCCTCCTCTTTCTCAGAAAGCTGGAGAAGCTCCCAGTACTTAGCTGCTCATTTGCACAACCCTTGTGTCTTTTCATTTATCCAGCTGGGTCACTAGATCAGGGGAATGGCAAGGGCATGGAGTATCTGGGTTTTTAGGGGCCCTTGACAGGGTATCTCTCATAGGCCTGTGAAATCAATGGCAACAGTAAACTGGATGTCCTGATCGAAGGACCTGTTGCCAGATAAACAAGCACAACCAAAAAGTTGACTGTTGAACAATAGTTCAACATCAAACCAGAGAAGGGTGCCTCAGGCAGGGTGTGAGGCTCAAGGTTTGAACCAACATTTGGATGCAGACAGAGAAGACTCACTGAATCTCTAAAGGGAACAAAGCTGATTCACAGAAGAACTAAAAAAGACTTTTTTTTAAGTTACAACCACGTTTAATTATAAAATACTATAAGCACTGCCAGTGGAAGGCAAGGATGGCTACTGTAACATTATATTGGGGGTGCATTCAATCAGTAAAGAGAAATAAATAAGTATTAAGAAAGAAGAAGCAGGAAGGGTGCGGTGGCTCACGCCTGTAATCTCAACGCTTTGGGAGGCTGAGGTGGGCGGATCACTTGAGGTCAGGAGTTTGAGACCAGCCTGGCCAACATGGTGAAACCCTGCCTCTACTAAAAATACAAAAATTAGCCAGATATGGTGGTGGGAGCCTGTAATCCCAGCTACTCGGTAGGCTGAGACAGGAGAATTGCTTGAACCTGGGAGGCGGAGGTTGTGGTGAGCAGAGATCGCGCCATTGCACTCCAGTCTGGGCTACAGAGTGGGACTCTGTCTCAAAAAAAGAAAAAAAAATACAAAAATTAGCTCGGTGTGATAGTGCACACCCGTAGTCCCAACTACTTGGGAGGCTGAATCAGAAGAATCGCTTGAGTGTGGGAGGCAGAGGCTGTAGTGAGCCGAGATCAAGCCACTGCCCTCCAGCCTGGGTGACAGAGTGAGACTATCTAAAAAAAAAAAAAAAAAGAGCTGTGACAGAAACAAAACAAAGGCCAAATACCAAATACCATACCAGTATCAGTGGGTTCCACAGCCCTGGATTCAACCAACCTAGAACCAAAAATATTTGAAGAAAAAAATCCACAAAGTTCCAAAAAGCAAAACTTAAATTTTGCCCCATGCTAAGTACTAAGTTGAATCCATGTGAATGAAGTGATGAGTAGGCACTGCATTATGTATTACAAGTAACCTAGAGTTACTTGTAATTTAAAGTATACAGGAGGATGTGCATAGGTTATATGCAAGTACTATCTGATTTTATATAAGGGATTTGAGGCCAGGCATGGTGGCTCACACCTGCAATCTCAGCACTTTGGGGAGGCCAAGGTGAGAGGATCGCTTGAGCCCAGGAGTTCAAGACCAGCCAGGGCAACATTGTGAGACACCCATCTCTACAAGAAAAGGACAAAAAAAGGTAATTGAGCATCCAAGGATTTTGGCATCCAAGGGGGTTCTGGGAACAATTCCCATGGATACAAAATGACAACTATATATTTCATATTATACCACAGGGATATTAAAAAAAACCTTGAATAAATAGAAAATGGAATAAACATATATTTTTCTTAAAGAGAAAGGCTCAATCAGCTAAAAATGTTGATTTTCCCTAAAATATATCTTTTATATGATCCCAATTAAACTATCTACAGGATTTTTTTTTTTTTTTGAGATGGAGTCTTACTCTGTCGCCCAGGCTGGCGTGCAGTAGTATGATCTCAGCTCACTGCAACCCCCACCTTCTGGGTTCAAGCAATTCTCCTGCCTCAGCCTCCCGAGGAGCTGGGATTATAGGCACCCACCACCACGCCTTGCTAATTTTTCTATTTTTAGTAGAGATGGGGTTTCACCATGTTTGCCAGGCTAGTCTCAAACTCCTGACCTCAGGTGATCCACCCACCTCAGCCTCCAAAAGGTCTGGGATTACAGGCATGAGCCACCACGCCCGGCCTACAGGATTCTTTTTAACATTATAAAATGTTACTGGCTGGGCATGGTGGCTCATGCCTGTAATCCCAGAACTTTGGGAGGCCAAGGCGGGTGGATAACTCGAGGTCAGGCGTTCAAGACCAGCCTGGCCAACGTGATGAAACCCCATCTCGGGCAACCCGCTCGGGTCTCTCACACTGTGGAAGCTTTGTTCTTTCGCTCTTTGCAATAAATCTTGCTGCTGCTCAAAAAAAAAAAGAAAGAAAGAAAGAAAGAAACCCCATCTCTACTAAAAATGCAAAAATCAGCCAGGCATGGTGATGCACGGTTCAAGAATCGCTCGAACCCAAGAGGTGGAGGTTGCAGTGAGCCGAGATCACACCACTGCACTCCAGCCCAGCCTGGGTGACAGAGTGAGACCTCGTCTCAAAAAAATTAAAAAAAAAAAAAATTGAAGTTCCATTTCACTCAGAATTATATAAGCGTAAATCAGAAAAAGATATCATTTTCACATCATAGATTAGCAAAAAGTAAAAGCTCAATAACACCCAGTTTGGACAAGTACACAGGCATCGCATGAAGTGTGGGTAGCCATATAAACTGGTACAACTTTTTTAGGAGGCAAATTGGTAATCACAAAAATTAAAAATGAAAGCTGGTCTCGGTGGCTCACCCCTGTAATCCCAGCACTTTGGGAGGCCGAGGCAGGCAGATCATCTGAAGTCAGGAGTGCGAGACCAGCCTGGCCAACATGGCGAAACCTCGTCTCTACTAAAAATACAAAAATTAGCCAGGCGTGGTGGCACAAGCCTGTAGTCCCAGCTACTCAGGGAGGCTGAGCCAGGAAAATCGCTTGAACCTGGGAGGCAGAGGTTGCAGTGACCCGAGATCATGCCACTGCACTCCAGCCTGGGTGAAAGAGCAAGATCCTTTCTCAAAAACAAATTAAAAATGAACATGCCACTTAACCTAATATTTCTACTGCCAAACATTTACCTTATGTTGTTATTTTTCCACCAGTATGTAGGTATACAAACAGATATTTGCAAGAAGGAAGAAATGGACATAAGAAAAATTTCCATCAATAAAGGATTGGGCTGGGCATAGTGGCTCATGCCTGTAATCCCAACACTTTGGGAGGCCAGGGCAGGAGGATCACTTAAGCCTAGGAGTTCAAGACCAGCATGGGCAATATAATGAGGCCCTGCCTCTACAAAAACATTTAAAAATTAGGCCTCAGTTTCCATATATGTGAAGTGAGGAATGGGGACTGTGTTTTCTCTTGGCCTCCTTCCAGCTGTGATGGTCTGTGAATCTCCTGGAAGCCAGCTCTGGGTCCAGTCCTGTCTTGGGGAAATTAGACCAGAAAAGCACAGAACATACACAAGAACCCAACAGCATCATCTGATACAAGCCCATACTCCCACTGGCACACAGTATCTTTGCTTACCTAATTACATGCACGCACACGTACAGAGGCCCTGTCTCTACAAAAAAATTAAAAAATTAGCCAGACATGGTGGCACATGCCTGTAGTCCCAGCTACTCAGAAGGCTGAGGTGGAAGGATCACTTGAGCGTAGGAGGTAGAGGCTGCAGTGAACTGTAATCACGCCATTGCACTCTAGCCTGGGCAACAAAGTGAGACTCTGTCTCAAAAAAAAAAAAAGAGGTATCAGTTGTAAGCTGGTAAGAACGATACAGTGGAGAAGGAAAATTTGAGGACACAAGAAAGAGAGGAGTAATTTCAAGAGGAAAGTCTTTTTTTTTGAGACGGAGTCTCGCTCTGTCGGTCACCCAGACTGGAGTGCAGTGGGTGAGAGGGGATGGGATCCAGGGCACCAGTGAAGGGTTGGCCTTAGGGGCAGTGACGTATCATTTGCATAACAGAAGACTGCTGATTTCGGGGAGGGAGCACATACAAGTTTCCTGATTGCTCCTATTTTCGTTTCCTTTTTTTTTTTTTTCCTTTGAGACAGTCTCCCTCTGTTGCCCAGGCTGGAGTGCAGTGGTGCAATCTCAGCTCCCTGCAACCTCTGCCTCCTGGGTTCAAGCAATTTTCCTGCTTCAGCCTCCCAAGTAGCTGGGATTACAGGCGCACACAACCATGCCCAGCTAATTTTTTAAATATATTTTTAGTAGAGATGGGGTTTCACTATGTTGGCCAGGCTGGTCTCGAAGTCCTGAACTTCTCAGTGAGTAAACTTCTCAGGAAAAGGGAGAACGTGGAAAGATGTACTGAGCTTTGAGGAGAGAAGACAAATTGTGAAATAATTATCTGAAAGAACTGGTAAATGAATCAACCAGGGAAACACAGAACCGCCAGGTATTGCCAAGGGTCCCTTTTGGGGTCTGTGGTTATAGATTTAAAGTGAGACAAGTCAACAAAGCTATGCATTTTTCTCCAGCCAGATTCAGCTATCCAAGTGCAGGTGCAGAACAGTGGATTTAACTGGCAAGTTACTATAGGTGAAATGGTGGATTAACTGGGTTGAGAACAGAGAGAGACAGAATCAACGGGGTTAAGGCAGTGATTACAATTAGAAGCCTTAGAACCTGAGGTGAGGAGGAAGGGCAATGAGGACCCGAGGGATGTTGATGGAAGATGCAAAAGTGAGAGGGTCGAGAGACTGAAGGTACCTGAGGAGTCAGGGAAGTGCTGAAGTGGAGAAGCTAGAGAGGGGAACAGAACTGGAATGACAGGAGGAGGTCAGCAGATAAAGGGAAACTTGAAATCAAGATTTTGGAAGTTGTGCGTTATTTTGTTAATGACACAGTCTAAAGCATGAACAGAGGAGTGGGATGCTGAGATGTAAGAAGACAAATCTTTTTGGAAATGAGGAGTTGAGAAAATTGAAAGGCCCAGATGTTGGATGAATTGTCTGTGCGGATGCTGAAGCCACTGAGAATAACAACAGAAGCAGTGATGAGAAGAAAACAGTGAGCCAGGAGCTGAAGAGCTGTAAGGAGCGCAATAAGAAGAATGGCAGGTGGCAGATGATCTTCCAAGGCGCTGGGAAGTCTTAGAAAGAAGAAGAAACTAAAATCTAGAGATAATGGAAAGCAGAGAGGTCACTTCCTCCATTTCCAGGCCCAGAGGAAGTTGAATTTAGGAAAAAAAAAAAAAAAACCACAATCACTGCTTGACAAGGATATAAGGAATGCTGTCCCTTCAGGAGAGAACCTGAAGTTTCCAGTAAAAAAGATGAAAAAGGAAACGTCTGGCTGGGCACAGTGGCTCATGACTGTAATCCCAACACTTTGGAAGGCCAATGCAGGAGGATCACTTGAGGCCTAGAGTTTGAGACCAGCTTGGGAAACACAGAGAGACCACATCTCTACAAGTAACTTAAAAATTAGGCCAGGCGCGGTGGCTCACGCCTGTAATTCCAGCACTTTGAGAGGCCGAGGCAGGTGGATCACCTGAGATCAGGAGTTCGAAACCAGCCTGGCCAACATAGTGAAACCCCGTCTCTACTAAAAATACAAAAATTATCCAGGCATGGTGGCGGTTGCCTGTAATCCCAGCTACTCATGAGGCTGAGGTAAGAGAACCACTTGAACCCAGGAGGCAGAGGTTGCAGTGAGCCAAGATCGCACCATTGCACTCCAGCCTCGGTGACAGAGTGAGACTCTGTCACAAAAAAAGAAAAAATTAGCCAGGCAGTGTGGCATGCGCCTGTGGTCCCAGCTACTTGTGAGGCTGGGGCAGGAGGATTGCCTGAGCCCGGAAGGTCAAGGATGCAATGAGCTGTGATCGCACAGTGGCCTGGGCAACAGAGTGAGAAACCCTGTCTCAAAAAAAAGTCTGAGAAGTTGGAAGTTGTAGGGGATTTTGCAGATGAAAGACCATGAGTTTCAGAGACTCACTGTGTTCAAGGAGTCCATATTCACACACTTCAACGTGCCTGTGGATTTTCAGAAAGGATGTAAAACAAACTGTCAACAGCCAGAATGACCAGGCCTCTTCGAGGCCAGAGTCGATGAAATTTAAGACCTGACTCCAGCCTGTGAGTGCGAGAGAAGGAATGACTCTTACACCCTAGTAAGGGGATGCCCATAGCGGGTAGGGAGTCTTCACAGATGCACCCACAGACCCCCTACACTGAGGTCTATGACTCCATGAATTTGGCTGTGTTTTCATTTTTGATAAGCCCCTTTCCACTGCTAGGCCTCAGTTTCCATATATGTGAAGTGAGGAATGCGGACTGTGTTTTCTCTTGGCCTCCTTCCAGCTCTGACAGTCTGTGAATCTCCTGGAAGCCAGCTCTGGGTCCAGTCCTGTCTTGGGGAAATTAGACCAGAAAGGCACAGAGCATACACAAGAACCCAACAGCATCTTCTGACACAAGACCATACTCCCACTGGCACATAGTATCTTTGCTTACCTAATTATATGCATGGACACACAAACACACACATGTACACACCAGGCAAGAAAACTCACAACCGGGTCAGGCGCAGTGGCTTGCGCCTGTAACCACAGCACTTTGGGAGGCCGAGGCGGGTGGATCACCTGAGGTCAGGAGTTCGAGACCAGCCTGGCCAACCTGGTGAAACCCTGTCTCTACTAAAAATACAGAAATAGGCTCGGCGTGGTGGCACACACCTGTAATCCCAGCTACTCAGGAGGCTGAGGCAGGAGAATCACTTGAACCCCGGAGATGGAGGTTGCAGTGAGCCAAGATCACACCACTGCACTCCGGCCTGGGCAACAGAGTGAGACTTTGTCTCGAAAAAACAAAAGAAAACCTGCAACCATTGACACATGCAGCCACCCACACCCTTTCTTGTGGTCACCTCACCGTACTCGGCACCATCACGTCCTAAACACAGTGTCCCATAATCATCATCTCACAAAATCTCAGTCCCAGACTTCTGCCTACCTTGAGCAGATGGGGCAACTGCTGGGTAACCAGCTCTTTGAACTCGTTGACGCTGAGGCTATCCTTCCGGCCCTCCTGCCTTGCAAAGGTGAAGAAGGTGGTGACCACGGTCTCAATGGACTCCTCTAGCTCTGTCAGTGGTTCTGCTGCCATTAGGACCCTGAGGCCAAAGCTGATGTCCTCAAGGGGCTAGCTGACCTTTGTCAGGGCTGACCTGTGGAAGAGAGAAGGAGCAGAGAGGGAGAGTCAGGGAGCCCCAAGATGCAGGAATGGTTCAGAAGGTCCCTGCCTTGGTGTTATCACATCAGTCTCAGCCTGGAGGGGGCATATGGGGAAAGAGGGAGAGGACAGGGGTTGAGCTTGGGGCAGCAGACCAGGCAACGGCATCTCAGTTTTGGTGGGGGCAGGAGATTCAGCTCCAGAAACCCCCTCTTCTGTAGGTCTCACAATCCGGGATCCTTTTTAAATGTCTGTGGCTTAGGGACCCCTCTGTGGTGATCCCTCGATCTGGAGACCCCTCTACTTGAGAGGAGGTCTTCAGTTGAAGGTCCTTCTTGGAGTCCTTCAAGTCTGGTGGCCCCTCTGTGGCGTGTCTGTCTCAAGAATCCCTTCTTGTCTCACCCAGACTCACAGGTCATAAGGTTGTTTGTCTCCAAAGCTTGTTTATGTTGGGCCCTGGTCTCCGGCCACTCGCATCCGCCCACACACACTCTAACCGCTCCTCCCAGCAGAGAAGCACAGGGTCTGGCAAATGTCCCCTGTGGTCAGAGCTGGCTCCGTCTGAACAGACCCATTTTCTCTGCCCCGCTCCACCCTTACCTCTCCTCAGCGGCAGCAGGGCAGAGTGCTGAACCCAGGACCCCACAGATCCTCCCCGCTCCTGTCTCCCGGTGACAAGGGTCCTGGAACGGGGCGTCTCTGACTCCCTGCTCCAGGACGGGTTTAGTACAGGCACTCACAACCCCCTGGGGTGCGGCGGGTGGGGCTGGAAGAGGCATTCTCTTTTCTGTCCACCCCGTCACACACTCCTGCACGCGCTGTTGCTCGATCATCCAAAGCTCCTTCCTGAATTCCTGTCTGAGCTGGCTCTGGGGGAGGGACCTGGGAGCCCAGGAAGAAAAAATGATCTCCAGCCTCCCTCCAGGGTCAGCCATGAGACTCACCCGGCAAGGAGATGGGGTAGAGTGAGCTGGAGCCTCAGGGCTGAGGTTTATAAGCAGCGGGGAAGGAGGAGAGAGCTGCTTCCAAGCCCGGAGGTGTCAAATTTCCGTGGTCGATTCTGAAGACCAGAGACAGCCCAATCAGGCCGCTTGCCCTGAGCCCTCAGGTCTGGACCCGGGCTCCCTGCCAGCCACACGAGCGCCCCCACTTGGTCAGGGAGAGGAGCTGCCTGGACAGATCTCGTTCGGCAGGGGTCCCAGGGTCCTAGTCCTCTCAATACTGGGGGCTGCTGCCACCATACCCATGTCTAATCAGGAGTGTGTATGCTGAGGGGGGAAGAGGGAGGCAACCAATCAAGGGAGCTCAACACTGAGAGGCCCAATCTGAGACACACACAGAGGCCCCTTGGAATGAGATCCCACAAAGGATGCTACAGACCAAGATCCCTCAGAGAACCCCAGGCTGAGGCCCCACACACAGAGGGGGATCCAGGTTGAGACCCCCAGAGAAGAGTCCTGGATTGAAATCCCTCTGTGGGTTCTCAGACTCCCAAGACTAAGTTTCTCACTGAGGGTCCTCTCAGTGAGGCCCCATGGAGGAGCCACAGACTAAGACCCCCTCAGCAGAATTCCCCCCTTACCGGGCTCAACCAGCACAGCCAGCCACAGGTACTGCAAGGCCCAGCTTGGGGTAAGACATCCAGTGTCCCTCCCAGGACCTCCTTCCCACCTCTTTCCCCTGCACCATCCACTGCTGCCTGGAGAGAAAGGAACGGGGCAAGCAAGGCTGGGAAAGAGACAAGGGCCGCCTGTTCCAGCCCAGGAGACAGAGGGCGCCTCTGTCTGCTCCTGGCCCCTTGCCCCACAGGGTGTTCGTCTGTGAAGGGGTGGAGTCGGTGGGGGGGTCAGCGGGGGAGGGACTGTTGAAGACAGGTCTCCACACACAGCTCCAGCAGCCACATTTGCAACCTTGGCCATCTGTCCAGAACCTGCTCCCACCTCAGGCCCAGGCCAACCGTGAGTACCCTGCCCCACTGGGCTAGTCCCTGGCCTGCCAGCTTCAGGGAGAGGGGTCTTCAGAAGGGCTCCAAGAGGCTGGGGACCATAGCACTGTGGAGCACTGAGGATCTGGGAGGAGTCAGTCAGGGTGAGGGCAGTTTGGGATTTGGGGGAGACAGGGTTTGGAAGGTGGTGATGAGAGACAAATGAACTGAAGGTCGGAGAGAGAGCTGGCAGCTCAGCAAAGGAGGAAGCCAGTGGGGAACCCACCATGAGCTTCCTGACCGCCTGGCCCTCCCACAGGGAGCCCTCAAGTCCCTGCCAAGGCCCCCTCTGTCTCCCAGGTGTTGGGAAGGGTCCCAGCCCTCCCCTGCCTCGCCTCCTGTGGGGTAAGAAGAGAGCAGATACAACAGCTGTTTCTGCCCCCACCTCTCCTGCCAGCCTTAGTCTCTGCCACCCCCACCCTGCCTTGCCAAGAGCTCAGGTCCCGGGGGAGTCTGGGGGTGGCAGGGCAAAGCTCCCATGATATGGGGAAGCAGAGATGTAGGGTGCTGTGCCCCTTCCCAACTCGACCTCCACAGGACCTCCCCTTTCTCCTCCTCCCATTTTTGGCCCAGACCTCTTGACTCCTCTTTCCCCCCATTCTTACCTCTTTGTTTCCCCATCTCCCCTGCCCCCAAGTCCTCTCAGAACTGCCACCACGTAAAATCCCAGGCTGCTTTAGGGCTCCAGGTGACCTCCAGCTGCCCCTCTGGCATGGAGCAGGTAATCAAGCTACCAGCACCCCTCCCTCAAGCACCCCTTATCCCCTCATCAGCCACAGCTTGGGTTCCATCTCCCCCATGTCTCTGTGACAACTGCTTCTCAGGTCCGGAGTTCAGATGACACTCACAAGGGCCCCATTGAAGAACTGGGATGTCATTCGATCAGGGGCCATTGTCCAGCCCCCTAGGCCTGGGGAAGGATGGGGACATCTGATCCGAGACACCTGAGCTGCCCCCTCTGGGGTTGTGGAAGGCCAGACTGTCCCAGGGCCAAGGGAAAGAGGCCCCCCGGCTTGGCAGTCTTCTCTCTCAACAGACCACTCCTTTCTCCTTTCTTCTCCTACTCTCTCCCAGCCCCTTGAACTCAAAGGACCGCATGCTTTCAGCCCTTTCTCTCCCCCAACACACAGCAGCCCCATTCCCCTTGCTCCCACTATCCCCGAATCAACCAGGAGTGAGCAGTTGCAGGGACAACGCCTGCAGGTCTCCTCTCCCACTCCCTGGGAACTCTGGCTCCAAGGAAAAGGCTCAGACATTCCTCTCTCCCCTTCTGCCACCCACCAGATGGAAGGGATAATTTTGCAGAGGCAATGGGAGCATATCCCAAAGAAGCCAAAATGACATGTTCAGGAGAGAACAGAGTTGAAGGACCAAAAGGGGCCCCCAGCTGCTGACAGGAAACTCAGAGTCAGTGAGACCTCCCTCCCCCAGAAGGCGTACGCCACCCACTGGGGCTGCCATCCCCTCTACCAGGCTGACCGAGGGTACCAGACTGACTCCTTGCTAGGGGTGGGCAGCAGAAGGAAGGCTGTAGTGGACACCCCAGCCCACCACCCTCAACAGCAGAGCTTGGCTATGCTAGACAGGCAAGGTCCAGGGTAAAAATAGAGCCAGAGGAAGCATGGCCCAGTCCTGTGACCACCCCTGCCTGCCCCACCCTCCTCAATCCCTGCCTGGGCAGCCACTGCAGACATCTACCACAGGCCTCTGGAGCCAGCCCAGCTCCAACTGCTCTCTCTCCATGCCCCAACCCTGATTCCCTCTGGCTGGGGTACAGACTGAGGGACACAGAGAACAGGCCTGCACTTAGGTCTCTTGGGGTTTCCCTCACATTGTAAAATCTCAGGGAAAGATCAATTGCAGTAGGGCTCTAATCCCACAGCTATTTGAGCTGTCAGCCAGGGCCAGTCCTGAGGGTTCCCCTCACCTAGACCCCAGGTACTCCGGGCCTGGTCCTCAGCTCACTTCCATGATGGGGGTGGGTAGGTGCACTGCTGCAATGGGCTCTGAGCTGGAGACGGCGATGGAGACCCTCATCAACGTGTTCCACGCCCACTCGGGCAAAGAGGGGGACAAGTACAAGCTGAGCAAGAAGGAGCTGAAAGAGCTGCTGCAGACGGAGCTCTCTGGCTTCCTGGATGTGAGCATAGAGTGGTGGAGTGGGAGTGGAGTGGGTGAAGGTTGGGGGAATGGGGTGGACACCCCCTTGCTATCTCCCCACCCCACCTCCAGCTCAGCCTAGCCTCTTTCTTTCCTTTCCCAGGCTTCTCTCCTGGGTTTTTCCAGGCTCCCCTACTCCTCCTGGGTCAAGTCAAAATGCCCTGGTTTATTGATCACCTGTTAAGTGTTAGGCCCTGTGTAGATTCATCAATAATAAGACACACAGACTTAGAAGGGAAAGATTGACACTTAAAAGTAAACCATGAACTCCAGGAAATACACAGAGCCTTAACAGATGTACCAGAAAGGGTTATGAGAGATTATTAACCTGATTGAAGTCAGATGGCTTTCCTGAAGAGGTGGCACTTGAACCATGGATTTCCATTGGAAGATTATCTGGGTAAATGCAGACATTTTAGGAGGAGGTAACTGAATGAACAAAAGCATGGGAGAAAGAAGAATGTGGAGCATGTCAGTAGTTTCATTCAACTGGCATGAAGGATGTAGAAAACTAGGCTGCTAAGGCTAACCAGGGCCCCAAAGTAAAGAAGCCTCAGGATACGGTAGAAAGTGCACCGGTTTTGAGGTTTTATTGGACTGGGTTCAAATTCCAGCCCTGCTACTTTCTAGCTGTGGGACTTTGGGCATATTTATTTAACCACCGATTACCAATTTGTTTCTTCTCTAGAATGGAAATAATGAAACATACCTCACATTATTTGTATTAGAATTAAATTAGACAGTGCTTGTAAAGCTCCTAGTGTAGTGCTTGCTTTATTATAGGCACTGAACATACGGTAACTGGTGTCATTATTATTCATTCTGCCAGGTGAAAGAGCTTATGCTGTAGGCAACAGAAGCCCTCAAGACCTTTGAGGAGGCCTAGAAGAGTCCCATAATTCAATGCAGTTCCTCTCGCTCATCTTTGCCTCCTGCTCCTCAACCACCCCCTTGCCTCTGACTCAGTGCTGTACCCTTCCCTATACACCTCCCTCTTCCTCTCCTCCCACCACAGGCCCAGAAGGATGTGGATGCTGTGGACAAGGTGATGAAGGAGCTAGACGAGAATGGAGACGGGGAGGTGGACTTCCAGGAGTATGTGGTGCTTGTGGCTGCTCTCACAGTGGCCTGTAACAATTTCTTCTGGGAGAACAGTTGAGCAGACAGCCACATTGGGCAGCGCCCTTCCTCTCCACCCTCCCAGACCTGCCTCTTCCCCCTGCTTCCACCTCACCCCACTTATCCCTCTCCATAACCCCACCCTTGCCCACCCCACCCCCACCCCCACCAAGGGCGCAAGAGTAGCGGTCCAAGCCTGCAACTCATCTTTCATTAAAGGCTTCTCTCTCACCAGCCATCCGATGTCTGTCTCCTCTGGGATCTGGAAGTGGGTGGAGACGTGAAGACTGTTCACTCTCAACTCCCCTTATTTGGGGAAGTGTCTTATTTAGAAAGAGGTCAAGGTGCATTACATCTTCCTACTTGAGGAATGCTCAAGGTCCAGAAATGTGGGGGTTCAAGGTTCCAGTTGGAAGTCGAGGAGACATCAGCTTCTCAACTATAAAACCAGAGGAAGAAATAATCTTTTTTTTTTTTTTTTTTTTTTGGAGACACAGTCTGGCTCTGTCACCCAGGCTGGAGGGCAGTGGCACGATCTCGGCTCACTGCAACCTCCGCCTCCCAGGTTCAAGCGATTCACCTGCCTCAGCCTCCCGAGCAGCTGGGACTACAGGCGCCTGCCACCACGCCCGGCTAATTTTTTGTATTTTTAGTACAGACGGGGTTTCACCATGTTGGCCAGGATGGTCTCGATCTCCTGACCTCGTGATCCCCCCGCCTCGGCCTCCCAAAGTGCTGAGATTACAGGCATGAGCCACCGCGCTAGGCCGAAAGAATCTTCTTTCAATCAACGAACATTTACTTAAGTGGTACTATGTGTAAACACTGTAGGAACTGAGGCTCCAGCATTAAGCAAAATAACCACGATCCTTACCCTCACATGGGTAAGGATGCTGGGCCATTACTTACACACAGACACACACAAACACATACACACACGCACACGCCCAAGTGCCAGGAAGGAAAATGAAAGGGTCTTGACGTGCCAGTGGAGCAGAGGAAGGGTTGCAGATGTGTCATTCTCTCATTCCTCAAACATATGTACACTGTATTGTGCACATAGTCATTAGAAAAATCCCTTATTGAGGCCGGGCACAGTGGCTCACGACTGTAGTCCCAGCACTTTGGGAGACAGAGGCGGGCAGATCACTTGAGGTCAGGAGTTGGAGACCAGCCTGGTGAAACCCCATCTCTACTAAAAATACAAAAATTAGCGGGGCATGGTGGTACGCGCCTGTAATTCCAGCTACTCAGGAGGCTGAGGCAGGAGAATCGCTTGAACCTGGGAGGCGGAGGTTGCAGTGAGCCGAGATGGTACCACTGCACTCCAGTCTGGGTGACACAGCGAGACTCCATCTGCAAAAAGAAAAAAAAAAGAAAGAGAGAAAAATCCCTTATTGAGCAGGAAACATAGCTTATGCCCATAATCCTAGGAGTCGGGAGGCTGAGGTGAGAGGATCACCTGAGCCCAGTAGGTCAAGGCTGCAGTGATCCGTGATTCATTGCGCCACTGACTCCAGCCTGGACAACAGAGCCAGACCCCGTCTCAAAATAACAACAACAAATCAGAGAGAGAAAAGAGAAATCCCTATGTAGGTCTGCAACAAAATAAACACGGATGGCAGGTGTGGGGGGAGGACATGGAAACGCAATCGAGGACGCAAAGGTGCCCCACCCCAAGAAGGAGTAAACAGTATCTAGGCCAAGTTGGGGAGGGGAGGAAGTGAGGAGGAAAACATGGACGGGCGGTGGTGTTGGCCGGTGCAGGATGGGAGAGGAATTTGCTCCTAATACTGGCCTCCTGGGCCTTGGCTGGAGCATTTACGGCACTTCACAACTCTCAGACTGGGCGAGTGGCCATGAGGGGAAAACCAGTGCAAATTCCCCAGGCCCAATTGTCCGGAAGAAGACGAGGCAAGTCCGCGTAAAGATTTTTAGACGGTGTACCTTGGCTAGGGAACGGAGGGGCGAGGGAATTCGGGACCCAAATCCCCTCTAAGGCCCACATTAATAACTACCCCCAAGAGGTTGCAGCGCAACCACTACTGGAACGTGAAGTCCCCGGCACGCCCCAACAACAGGACCATTGGCCACGCCCCTAGGGGCGGGGCACTGCATGGAAAGCCCCGCCTTCGCCCTAAGGCTCCGCCTCTGACCTCTGCGCAGGCGTAGCTCAAATCTTTCCCGCCCTCTAGTCGTGCGCGGATCTGACGCCTGACGTAATTGCGTAGACGCCATTTTAGCCGGTCAGACAAGCACTGGACGTGGCGGCCATTTTGTTTTGGACACCGAGCAGGAGCTGGCGGCCGCTGCAGACGAAAGGCAGGAAAGGGCAGGCCGGGTGAGCAGACGGATCGGCCGACTAGACAGCCAACCAGCAACAACGAACTGAGCTCGCATACTACCGCTTACGCATCTAACCAACCGCCCATCTAGCTAACCCGAGCCCCTCCACCGTCAACTCAGGTTCGGCCGGTCCCCGGCCCGCCTGCCGGAGCCGTGGTGGCAGCCCCGGGAGGAGCACTGGCGTCTGTTTCCTTCGGTGAGTTTCGGTAGTGAGAAGGAGCCGGGGGAGGTGCGGTCTTGAGGAGCGGAAGGGGCCGGCGGACGCGGAAAGGGGGTGGTGGCATGTGGACATAGCTACGGTGTTGGAGCGTGGAGGCCCCGGGGAGGAGGCGGAGCCCCTGCGAAGGGGCGGGGGAGGGGCTGAACTGGAACCTGGTGGCGGGATTGATGGAGGTTGGGGTTTGATAGGATAAAAAGGAAACTTGGCGGGTAGAGCAGAAGTGGAAGTCTTGACAGGGCTTTGAGGATGGTAGGGAGATTAAGAAGTACAAGACTTTGAGGAATGTTGGAAATTAATGGCGGCTTTAGGGTTAAGTTTTGTGGAGGGCTCTTTGCGAGCTAATTCCCAGGTGAATTTAGAAAACCTTTCCTACTCCCCCAGATCGTCAGTTTCTTGTTAAAGTCCCTACTTGATTCTGGAGTTGAAAGCCACTTTTGAAACTAGGCATGCATATATATATGTATATATATACATACATATATATATATATTTTTTTTTGGGGGGGGACGGAGTTTCGCTCTTGTTGCCCAGGCTGGAGTGCAATGGCACGATCTCAGCTCACTACAACTTCCGCCTCCCGGGTTCAAGCGATTCTCCTGCCTCAGCCTCCGGAGTAGCTGGGATTACAGCCATGCGCCACCACGCCCGGCTAATTTTGTATTTTTAGTAGAGACATTTCTCCATGATGGTCAAGCTGGTCTCGAACTCCCAACCTCAGGTGATCCGCCCGCCTCGGCCTCCCAAAGTGCTGGGAAAACAGGCGTGAGCCACCGCGCCCGGCCCTGCCTGTATTTTCACTGTAGATCAGTGGTTCTCAACTTTAGCTGCACATTAGAAGCACCTAGGTAGCTTTCCCCCGACCCCACAATTGGTTCATTTCCAAACCTCATTACCAGAGATTGTGGTTTAATTGATCTAGGCCCAGATGTCTGTATTTTCTATTTTTTTAATTAATTTATATTTTTATAGAAACGGGGTCTTACCATGTTGCCCAGGCTGGTCTCGAGCTCCAGGGCTCAAGCATTCCTCCCGCCTTGGCCTCCCAAAGTGCTGAGATTACAGGCGTGAAGCACCGCGCCCGCCCTGTCCGGCCCTATGTTTTAAAAGCTCCTTGGATAAGTCATATGTAGTCAAGGTTGAAAATGACTGCTCTAGAGTAAAAGCCAAACTCGGCCCGGTGCGGTGGCTCACGCCTGTAATCCCAGCACTTTGGGAGGCCCAGGTGGGTGGATCAGGTGAGGTCAGGAGTTCAAGACCACCCTGGCCAACGTGGAGAAACCCCGTCTCTACTAAAAATAAAAAAAAATTAGCCGGGCATGGTGGCACGTGCCTGTAGTCCCAGCTACTCAGGAGGCTGAGGCAGGAGAATGGCTTGAACGGGGAGGCAGAGGTTGCAGTGAACTGAGATCACGCCTCTGCACTCCAGCCTGGGCGACAGAGCCAGACTCTGTCTCAAAAAAAAAAAAAAGCCAGACTCCATACTTTGATTGCTAGATTGGCTTCTGCCGTTTTTGAGAAATTCCCGGGTATTTTGTGGGCCTTGAAGTTTGTTTGTTTGTTTGGGGTTATTTGTTTGTTTTAAAGAGATGGGGTCTCAGGCCAGAGTGCAGTGGCATGATCACGGCTCTTTGCAGCCTCCAACCCCTGGGCTCTAGCGATTCTCCCACCTCAGCTCCCCTGAGTAGCTAGGACAACAGGTGCTGGCCACCATGCACCGCTAATTTTTTTTTTTTTTTTTCTTAGTAGAGACTGGGTCTCGCTTTGTTACCCAGGCTGGTCTCTAACTCCTGGCTTCAAACCATCCTGTGCCCTTGCCCTCCCAAAGTGTTAGGGTTACAGGCGGTGAACCACCATACCCAGCCACCTTGAAGTTATAATAATCTGAGGTAATTGCCATAGAAACTTAAGAACTTTTGCTGGGCGTTGGGTCCCAGTGATCCCAACACTGGGAGGCCAAGGTGGGAAAATCCTTTGAGGCCAGGAGATTACGGCTGCAGTGGCCACTGCATTCCAGCCTGAGTGACAGAGCGAGACCCTGTCTCAAAAAAAAAAAAAAAAGAAATTTAAGCACTTGAAATGTGCCCTCGTGTGCTCTTTAGTCATCAGTGATAAGGCCTTTTTATTTATTTTTGGCTTGGGCCTTGCCACTTATAGAAATGATGTCACTATTGTGATTTGCTCATTTTACGTATTGTTCTTTGTAGATTCTCGGGATTCGAAGATGGCTGCACAGTCAGCGCCGAAAGTTGTGCTAAAAAGCACCACCAAGATGTCTCTAAATGAGCGGTGAGGCAGCCAACAGCAACTTCAACTCCTTCCTAAGAAAACATTACTTAACTTGGCCCTGGGGTCCAATGCACAAAGCCAATTTTAAGCTAAATACCAACAGAAGGCTACAGACCTCTGTTCTTAGTTGCATCTCATGTGGTACACAAAACAAATTGGGCGGTTGTTTCAAAACCCCTTATCAGTAGACTTTTATGTTAAGCTGTCTGAAGTATTTATTTGGTGGGATGTATTTTAAAAGACTCCTAACACTCTTCCTTTTCACATTTTTTTACGTTGATACTGGGGTCGTGCAGCACGGTAGCATGGTACCCTGGCTACAGTAGGCTTGCTGCCCAGTCCAAGGCCAGCAGTGTTGTGTCTGGCCTGTAAGAGGCAGGTAGCAAGCCATGAATATGTCCAAAGGCCCTTGAATGTCATTCTTGGGCCTTGTAAGAGGCACTCGCTTTGCTCCATTTCACTTTCTTTCCATTCTGCTTTTAGTTTGGTTTTGTTTTGGATTCTTCTACAGTTAAGTGTTCTTCTCTTCCATTCCATTATACTTCCTTGACAGAAATAATGAGTCTCTTCACAGGCTCATAAATGATCAAACTGATGTAACTTTGAAAAGTAACTACTTGGAGTCAGAAAAAGTGATGATTGGAGACTAAGAAAAGTAAAGATATTCAAAGGCAGTTTCTATCTCTGACAACTTTGTTCATTAAGAGTGCCTTTGTTTAGGCGCGGTGGCTCATGCCTGTAATCCCAGCACTTTGGCAGGCTGAGGCGGGCGGATCACGAGGTCAGGAGTTTGAGATCAGCCTGCCCAACATGGTGAAACCCTGTCTCTACTAAAAATAGAAAAATTAGCTGGGCGTGGTGGCGTGTGCCTATAATCCCAGCTACTCAGGAGGCTGAGGTAGGAGAATCACTTGAACCCGTGAGGCGAAGGTTGCAGTGAGCCAAGATCCTGCCACTGCACTCCAGCCAGGGCAACAGAGGACAGAGTGAGGCTCCGTTTCAAAAAAAAGAATGCCTTTGATCAGTGATTTCATTAAGTTGACTTTCGACCACTGAAATTTACTTAATGTCTATTTTTGCCTCTTCTGAGGCATATGTGCTTCTCTCCTTATCTCTTTGGCTATGATAAGCTAATTATTTATGTTTGCATAATATTTATGTTTGCATGTTAGTGACATATATTTTAAAATGTGATACACTCCTGTAATTTATGAGAGTATGTTCATTGCTGTGAGCTTTGAAGGTGCTCTAATCCTTCCTCATATTTGGCCTTAGAATGCACCTCGGATCCCCCAAGGTTTAGGCTTTCTTCATTTGTCTTTGAAACTATATCTTCTGTCTCTTGTCATATCTGCTTATTGCGTGTTTTTCATACCTTCCACCTCTCTAAAAGCCGTTACCTGAGCCCTCGTTATCACTTTTGGTTGAATGTGCTGCACTTAGCTGCATTTCTAAGTTTCTGATTCTTGCAAGTTTGTGGAAACAGAGGAGTCTTTAACCCACATCAGCCTTGATCTAAGTGTACCACTTTACTTAAAAGTTCGTGGGATCTGGAGCTCCTGGTCTAGCAAGCCATGAAAATGCCAATAAATGTTTGTAATAAAGCTTTTATTTAAACATCCATTTTGTTCGACCTTGAAGCTTTACTAATATGCTGAAGAACAAACAGCCGACGCCAGTGAATATTCGGGCTTCGATGCAGCAACAACAGCAGCTAGCCAGTGCCAGAAACAGAAGACTGGCCCAGCAGATGGAGAATAGACCCTCTGTCCAGGCAGCATTAAAACTTAAGCAGGTGAGAGAATGGGTCTTAATGCTCCAGAAGCAGCTGGTGATCTCTGTGAGGGAGTCCACTGAGGCTGTCAGGACGTGATGGATGATTGCAAAGTGGCTCAGGGCAAAAAGCTGAAACTTCTCTGGAAGAAAGAGAAGTTCAGAGAATTCCAATTTTGGCAGGTACCAATAAGTAACTTTTTACTGTCTTTCTCTTTTAGGGAGTTTGCCATCTATGTGGCCTGTTTCTGTTACCAATGAGTATTAATCTTTTGTTTTCTGATCCTTAACCCTTAACATAGATTAATGGCTTATTCCACAAAGAAACTTTATTTCAGCTTTAGATAATCTCACAGCATCCTTTACTCTCTGTTAAATGATTTACCCAACAGGGAAATAATTTTATTCTTTTTCCCATAGTGCAGGGAGTTTGCATGGCCTTAGTCAAAGGTTTTCTTTTTTTTTTTTTTTTTAGACGGAGTCTTGCTCTGTCGCCCAGGCTGGAGTGCAGTGGCACGATCTCGGCTCACTGCAAGCTCCGCCTCCCGGGTCCATACCATTCTCCTGCCTCAGCCTCCCGAACAGCTGGGACTAAAGGTGCCCGCCACCACACCCAGCTAATTTTTTTGTATATTTAATAGAGACAGGGTTTCACCATACTAGCCAGGATGGTCTCGATCTCCTGACCTCGTGATCCACCCGCCTCGGCCTCCCAAAGTGCTGGGATTACAGGCTTGAGCCACCGCGCCCAGCAGTCAAAGGTTTTCAATGCTAAAATATACAGAGTAGAGTGACCCTCATTTCCACAGCACCTAAAGTTTTACCAGTAAAGTGGAGCAAGAATACTGAGTAATTTGAGTTAGGGGTTCTCTTTTTCAAATTTACAGTGAGAGATAATCCTATTCAGACCTGAAATAAAACCTGCTCTTTATTATTCATAGAATTTATATGCAAGTCCGGACAGTGGCTGTGGAAGGATATGTCCAAGCTGTGGCTGGGCGTCTGGAGGGCAGTGCCATGCAACTGTAAGGGCTTTGGTAGCATTGCATGGCTATGCATAAATTCAGCAGTTAAATATAACACCCTTACACCCCCACCCTGAACCATTGGGCTCACTGACCAAAAATAAACAAGGGTGTCTGCTTCGGCTACCTTAAGCCTTGGAGTGACTGGATTCCTCCCTGACTCAGGAAAGCAGCAAAAGGCACCATTTTCCAAGAGTAAATGGAAGTTGCTGAAGATGAATCTCTGACAGATCATTCCAAAGGACCTTTCAACAAGAAGCTTTAAGTATAGGCTCTGCAGGAAGTAGTCCCTATCCAGAGTAGTACTATTAAATAGAATTTTTTTATGTTTTTGGTTTGGTTTGGTTTGGTTTGTTTTGAGACGGAGTCTTGCTCTGTCACCCAGGCTGTAGTGCAGTGGTGCAATCTCAACTCACTGCAGCCTCCGCCTCCCGGGTTCAAGCGATTCTCCTGTCTCAGCTACAGGCGCCCGCCACCACACCCGGCTAATTTTTGTATTTTTAGTAGAGACGGAGTTTTGTCATGTTGGCCAGACTGGTCTTGAACTCCTGACCTCAAGTGATCTGCCTGCCTCAGTATCCCAAAGTGTTCAGATTACAGGCATGAGCTACCGTGCCCAGCCAGAACTTTCTACAATGATGGAAATGTTCTGTATTTGCTCTCCGGTACAGTAGCCACTAGTCACATGTGGCTATTGAAAACTTTAAATGTGACTAGTGCAATTAAGGAGCTTAATTTTTTTTAATTTAATTTTAGGCCAGGCCTGTAATCCCAGCACTCTGGGAGGCCAAGGCAGGCGGATCACTTGAGGTCAGGAGTTTGAGACTAGCCTGGCCAATGTGGCAAAACCCCATCTCTACTAAAAAAAAAAAAAAGCCGGGCATGGTGGCGCATACCTGTAATCCCAGCTACTCAAGAGGCTAAGGAGAATCTCTTGAACCCAGGAAGTGGAGGTTGCGGTGAGTGGAGTTGGCACCACTGCATTCCAGCTTGGGTGACAGTGAGACTCTGTCTCAAGAAAATAAGTAAAATTTGCTTTTAATTTAGGCTGGGTATGGTGGCTCACACTTGTAATCCCAGCACTTTGGGAGGCCTGGGCAGGTGGATCACCTGAGGTCAGGAGTTCAAGACCAGCCTGGCCAACATGACAAGACCCCGTCTCCACCAAAAATAAGCCAGGCGTGATGACAGCTCCTGTAATCCCAGCTACTCGGGAGGCTGAGGCAGGAGAATTGTTTGAACCTGGGAGACGAAGGTTGCAGTGAGCCAAGATCGTGTCACTGCACTTCAGCCTGGGCAACAGAGCGAGACTGTATCTCAAAATAAAAATAATTGAAATAGCCACATGTAGCTATAGAGGCTGCCTTACACAGCACACCTCTAGAAGGGAAACTAAGTGGTATAGTTGACATCCTTAACTTCCCTGTTAATATTAAAGGCCGGTATTGGTGGCACTTAAGGATTGGAATGGGTAAAGAACTTCCCAGCACTGTACAGTTCTTTTAAAGCACAAAGCTTGGGAGAATTAATATATGCAGGATAACTGAACGCAAGAGACTTGTGGAATGCAGTTCTAACCTGATAATTGTGTGTTAATCGGGAGTAACAGGACAGGCCGTTACGGTTGGTTACACCTACTTATGCTAGATGCATAATGTTTGGAGCCTTCCCCACTGATGAGAAGCAATTTATGATCTTGTGCTAGAAAGTTAATAATGCTTCACAGCATCTTTTTGAGAGGTTGATTAGAAAACACACACATACACGTTGGTAGTCACTTGTGGGTGAAGCCTGAAGGGGCTATACAATTTATTTTCTTTCAGATTGACTGATGGCTTTATGGACAGCCAGGCTTACTAGGAGCTTGGTTGTGTTCAGGGCTATTGCTGTCCCTTTTTCCTTTGAAGGAATTTAATTCTCTGAGATGTAGTCTTAATGGTTTTCTTTTGAGAACAGATTCTTAAAAATACCCTATCTCTGTAGTGTGTCCTTGTTCTTATATATGGCCCTGAGTTTTGTGATCACCTGAATAATTCTAACATACGTTTGGCTGGCTGACTGTGGAGATACATTTGAGTTACATGTTTATTTTTAATTTAAGGTCATCATTGTTTTAAAGGAGCTGTTTGCAAGTGCAGGCATGGAATTAGGGATTTTTAAGAAATGTAAGGAAAGGAGATTTGACTTTCTTGTGTTTATTTACATCTTAAGGTAAAAAGTGGACCGTCTGGAAATAGATTCTCAGAGGAAAAATGGAGCACACGGGCCTTTTTGAGAAATCAATCTTGTTCTTAAGTCACAAGAACTCAAGTGAACTTGTAATTTAAGTTTTGCCCAGAGTGTGATGAACTTCCTATGGTGTTTGAGTAAGCCTTTGAAGACAGTGGTAGTCCATGGGCAGGTATGAATCAAGTCATATAATTGTCAACCTGTAGTTCAAAAGCAGTACAATCCAGGATTGAACTATAGAATGTTCTTACGAAAACTTAAGTTTCAACTGGCAGTGTATGACTTCTGTAGCCAAACTAGTGAGGTAATTTGTGGAGATGCCCATTTCATGGGACCACACTTGAGCTTCTTGGAGTTTCTGCTCTGGATCAAAATTCTGCTGCTTGTATAACATGTTCTGAGGCAAAGGCTTGCTTCTGGTTTGGGATCCTTTTGACACCCACAACAGGTTTATCTCCCTTCACACCAGCATCTCACTTGCTTCTTTTTCTCTGCACTTTGAGTTGCCAAATCCTGTTGGATTGCTTTTTTGATCTCAATCCCCTAACACCTTTTCTTCCAGAAGAGCTTAAAGCAGCGCCTGGGTAAGAGTAACATCCAGGCACGGTTAGGCCGACCCATAGGGGCCCTGGCCAGGGGAGCAATCGGAGGACGAGGCCTACCCATAATCCAGAGAGGCTTGCCCAGAGGAGGACTACGTGGGGGACGTGCCACCAGAACCCTACTTAGGGGCGGGATGTCACTCCGAGGTCAGTGCTGTGTACCCTGATAATTGTCGGGCCCTACTCCCTTCCCTTTTCTCTTGGGCTGCTTATGGACACGTTTGTTTAACATCTTTAAGCCTGAATTTGTATTAATATAATAACTTCTGAAATCACATATTTTTAATAGTGCTGCATGTCTTTTATCAATACCATTCCTTTTCTGATAATGTGCAATGGTGAGAGGCTATGACCTGCGTAACAACAGGTAATTCATGTCATCTCCATTCCATTTTAAAACACCCTGCTGTTGCTTGAATCAAAGCACATTCAAGTTCTAGAAACAAGTCAAACATAAGAAATTTATAGGTCTTTTGGCCTATATCTCTTTGTTCCTGGTGCTAGTAAAACACTGATACAGCTGGAAAAAGAGGACAAGTTGACCCACAGCACTTACCTATATATGTTCATTTGGGGCACTATTACTCTGTTCCCTGTATAGTTCTTGTTCCCTAGAAGAATCTGTTGAGATCAGGAACCATAGCATTTATTTTTAAATTTACCATAATGCTAGGCATCTATCTGATTATTCAGTAGATATTTATTAAATGTATGTACTTACTAATTGAATTAACTCCCAACTTCCAAAAATGGATTTGTGGTCAGACTTGTTGAATTGATTGAATAAAGAGTAGCTTAATCTGTTCACAGTATGCAGCTTGCCCCAGCCAACCTAAAAACTAACTGAATTACCTTCATTTAACCCTCACCGCCTTCCTTTGGTTAGAATCTACTTTGTGTCTCTTGGATTTACCTGCATATACATTGTATGCCTCCTCTCTAAGGTCAAAACCTGCTCCGAGGTGGACGAGCCGTAGCTCCCCGAATGGGCTTAAGAAGAGGTGGTGTTCGAGGTCGTGGAGGTCCTGGGAGAGGGGGCCTAGGGCGTGGAGCTATGGGTCGTGGCGGAATCGGTGGTAGAGGTTAGTCAGCTACCAACTTCAGAGAGTAGCTCCCCCTTACTTTCCTCCCTTAAAAACTCAGAGCCACCTTTCTGCACAGCTTCAAGTCATAGGCAGGCTTCTTTGTTTGTCTTGTTTTGTTATTTGAAACTGGCTTATTTTTCAAATTACCATGCTGGTAGTGCAAAAGTCTCATGATTTTTCCAAGAATCAATCAAGTGCATATTATAGAGCCAGATTATATGCCATCTTCCTCCAAGCTCTTGCAAATTTAAATTGTATAGTTGAAAATACCCCCCAAAATGGTCAGTTTAGGGTTTTGCCTTTCTCTGCCCCTGTCCCACCACCATCACCACCACATACCACCCTGTAGCTCCAAATCCTGGTTTGAGTCACATGAGAATATAGAAGAGAGAGAGAGATACAAAGATGAAGTAGAGTTAAGAGGGTGGTGAGACTTGGAGCTGGGCATTGGCTCTGAAACCAAATAAATTCAATGTCACATTTGGTGCCTGTGGAGAACCAGAGATGACTTTTTTTGCTTAAGGTAGAGAGCAAGATGGAATTATTATCAGTTAACTAACTGGCTCTTATTGATAATCTTGCCTTTGAAATTTATTGATGTTTGTCTTGTGACCTCATGACCCAGATTGGGAAAGAGTTTAATGATGTTGCTGCTGTTAATACTAAATCTCATGGGAGCCTTCTGGTTTAGAGCTTAGTGGAAAACTCCCAACACCTGTCCAGAAAAAAAACACTATTGAAGCCCCTGTGTATATTTGCTTTGGTTCTCTTAAAAGGTGTCTTGGGTCTTCCATAACTTATGACCTTGAAGTTGCCAAGGAATAATAACTGTTAGGAAAGAAAAGTTGATAACCAAGGGCTTGTTTTCTTCTCTCCCATTATATGATACTTACTGAGTGAAGTGCAAGCTAGTTTGGGTTTCAGGATGAAATAACATGTTTCCAAATTATCTTGACTTGGATCCTGAGAGACATCACGAGGGTGGGAGAGACTAAAATAGCTTTTCAAAAAGCTGAGTTTGTTTTGTTAACTGAATTCACACTGCTTCTCAGATAACCACAATTGTCAGTTGTCATAAGGTAACTAGAATTAAAGGTAGAAATAGCTAGGACAACTCAAAATATTTTTTCAAATCTCCCCTACATTGTTCCTGTGTCAGAAAAACTCAGTCTCCTGACACATGAGGTCAGCTAGCTCATTAGACTTGATAAGTTTAAGGACAGGTGAGATGACTTTCCAGAAGGGTCTCCAATAAACTTAATTTGAAAACTGTCTTGTCTTCACACCCCTGATGCTCTGTGCTCTTGTTACCACCTCCCTATCTTACCAAATGGGGTTATCTGTCATGTATTTTAATTATGAACTTAGTGAATCTCAAATGTTAGGTAATTTTATCTTAGGATTGATTAAGGTTTTTTAAAATTATAGTTGCCAGTTAATTATTTTCCTTTATTGATAGAATAAAATTTGTTAAAATAGCATTTAGAGATGATCATGTGATAGAGGATTCATTATGTGTGCTTTCCATGTGTTGCTTTCTACCCATTGTGTTTCCTTTTTTTCCAGATTTCTCCTCTTTGCCCTGCCCTTCAGCTTTTCTCAGCTAGGCCCCACTGCTCTAAGGGGCATTTACTACAGCACCTATTAAACTTACTTGTAACTGTCTCTTTTTTTTTTTTTTTCCCCTTTGGGCCAGGTCGGGGTATGATAGGTCGGGGAAGAGGGGGCTTTGGAGGCCGAGGCCGAGGCCGTGGACGAGGGAGAGGTGCCCTTGCTCGCCCTGTATTGACCAAGGAGCAGCTGGACAACCAATTGGATGCATATATGTCGAAAACAAAAGGACACCTGGATGCTGAGTTGGATGCCTACATGGCGCAGACAGATCCCGAAACCAATGATTGAAGCCTGCCCATCCTCCCATGAGAGACTCTTGTTAGTCAACACATCTGTAAATAACCTTGAGATAACAGATGAGAAGAAATCTGATTGATGCTGGATGGACCTATCACAATAGGCTGTGGACTTACTTGCCACCAGCTTGTGCATTTAGTGTGTTCCTTTTACTTTTTGATACTGTGTTGTATGAAACCCTTTTGTCCTTTGATTTGGTTTTTTGTTTTTGTTTTTTTAGGGGGGAGGGGGGGTTTCCCCTCCTTTGCCCAGACTTCTCTTTGAACACAAATGCATTAGCCTTGTGGCTAGAACACCCTCTTCCTACCTCTGTCTCCCCTCACTTGTCATATGCTCTGACATGCTAACATTTCTTTTGTTCATCCCTGTTGCCCCCACAGAAACATCCCAGAAAAACCGGTCAGTGTTCCTTCCTCCCTGATCCTTAGGTTTCTGAAATAGGGTTCTGTTACATCCTCTTCGATAGCCTGTTTAAAATGTTTAGAAGGTCTGGAGCTCAAAAATGCGTTCTTCCACATTGATAATTTAGTAAACTGAGAACATTGACATCACTACAGGGCAGCATAAGAGGTTGCTTACATGTGGTAGCAGCTCTGGTTTGATTCAAGTTGCTACCATGTACATTGACAGCACATATACCATAACCAGCGTGTTGGGTTGAATTGCACTTTCTACCTTTGTATGAGATTTACAGACTTTCCTTCTGGGTTTGTATCATGACCAGAGGGGTACTATAGGGTTGGTTTATACTGCAATATAGAGGATCAGAAGCCATTTGATTTGGTAGGTGTGTCAGAAGGGAGAATGATGGCAGACGAACTGCTGGAAGAGGTCAGAAGATAGCCATGCTAAAATGCAATTATATCCTCATGTTTATCCCAAACTAATCTTGGACTTTTCCACTCATTAGCTTTGTTTTGCCCTTGTTTCCCTTGAAGGTTTAAGTTCAACCATATTCTGTCAACTGTTCAGTTTCAGTGGAATCTTGTATTTCTGGTTCATTATAACAAACTGTTCGCTTAAATCCACCCAGGACTCTCTTTATTTGAGGTGCCTCAAAATGCCATGGCTACTTTAATGATGTTTTTTTTTTTTTTTCTTGTGACCGAGTCTCGCTCCTGTCACCAGGCTGGAGTGCAGTGGCGCGATCTTGGCTCTGCAACCTCCAACTCTCTGGTTCAAGCGATTCTCCTGCCTCAGCCTCCCGGGTGGCTGTGACTACAGACATGTGCCACCACACCCAGCTAATTTTTGTATTTTTAGTAGAGATGGGGTTTCACCATGTTGGCCAGGATGGTCTTGATCTCTTGACTTGGTGATCCACCCGCTTCAGCCTCCCAAAATGCAGGGATTACAGGCGTGACCCACTTTCAGCCTCCCAAAGTGCAGGGATTACAGGCGTGACCCACTGCACCCAGCCACTTTAATGATGTCTTGATATACCCCTTGTATGGTTGAGAGTTTCTTTCTTCTTACTTGTGTTAAAATTCTGGAGAGCCTGTGGCTTTGAGCAGAAAGTGAAGAATTTGACTTCCTCTGAGCTCTGCAGAAATAACACCACGCCCACAAAAACTCAAGGAAGATTGTCTTGGGCAACATTCTGGGCCCTTGGGCCCTGGCACATATTTCCCTTTTTCCCTATGTTGAGAGCTGAAGAGAAAAGAACCTAGTAGCGCCCAGCCAAGCCAGTTGTCATTGGGCTGCCTTTCACCCTAAACTGCCAGGAGGTTGTACTTACTGGGGGCTGGGAAGGAAATTTTGGTCAGGACAACCCAAACTTGAATCCTGTGATGTGGGGTGTCTGTAGGTCCCAAGGGAGATGGGCAGTGGGGGTCTAGCAGAAGGCTACAGGTTGGACGGTGACTGCAGAACTGAATCCCCAGTTCAGCTCCTTCTGCCTTTTCCAGTGCTAAAGCATGAGGACTTCCCCTCCCAGCCAACCTCCCCAACAACCCAAACAAGTGCAAAATGCCAGGCTCCCTCCTACCCCAGAGGAGACTGATGCTTAAGAGTTCTCTATAAAGGAGGTGACTGCCGTAGCCTAGGCTTCCTTCCTTCTACCTCCATGTCCTTCCTACTTCATTGAAAGAATTTATCCCCAAATCGCTTATGTGGGGCACAGGGAACTCTCCTATCAGCCAAGGGTCCTCCAGCCCCACCTACTGCTCACTACAGTTCCCAGGGTCTCCTGAGGCCTGTGTCCCTGTCATCCTCAGTCACTGGTCGTGTGGGACAAGGTGAGTAAACCTGACCTCCTCTGGGTCAGCCTTTCATTCAGCTGCCATGTGCTGAGGGCTTGCCATACCAACACAAGGCATCCTTTGTAAGGGTAACATTAGGAGCATAGGGAAGAGGTTGATGAGCTGGATCTTTTAAGACAAGGGAAAGTAGAGAAAATACACCAAGCAGAGGGAACCAAGTGTAAAGGTACAGTGCTAAAAGAACACCTGAGGCTGGGCACAGTGGCTTACGCCTGTAATCCCAGCACTTTGGGAGGCCGAGGCGGGTAGATCACCTGAGGTCGGGAGTTTGAGACCAGCCTGACCAACATGGAGAAACCCCGTATCTACTAAAAATATGAAATAAGCTGGGCGTGGTGGCACATGCCTGTAATCCCAGCTACTCGGGAGGCTGAGACAGAAGAATCACTTGAACCCGGGAGGCGGAGGTTGCAGTGAGCCGAGATGGCGCCATTGCACTCCAGCCTGGGCAACAAGAGTGAAACTCCATCTCGAAAAAAAAAAGGTGGTCCTGCTGCTATGAATAGATAGCTCCATGGACCCAGCAGGGGTTAGGGTAGAGGCTCCCACTTATGCCTCGGTGGGCTCTCCCACCTGCGTCACACCCTGGCTAGTGACCCAGTCAGACGTGCTGGGGACCCTGGCTGACCACCTGTACCAGGGGCAAGGAAGGAAGGAGAGGGGAGCATTGTGAAGCAGGGCAGGATGACTCTTGAAGGTGGAGACAGGCCCTGGACAGCTCTGGGACCCTTAATGGTGGCAGCAGCCCCCAGTCATAGGCCTCATTGTGTGGGCAGCCTGGGACAGCTAAGATCCCCATGAGGTCTCTTTAAAGGATTCACTAAATGCTCCATTTAGTCTTGGTTTGTTTTTTTGTTTTGTTTTGTTTTTTGAGATGGAGTCTCGCTCTGTTGCCTGGCTGGAATGCAGTGGTGCAATCTTGGCTCACTGAAAACTCCAACTCCCTGGTTCAAGCAATTCTGCCTCAGCCTCCTGAGTAGCTGGGATTACAGGCATGCGCCACCACACCCAGCTAATTTTTGTATTTTTAGTAGAGACGAGGTTTCACCATGTTGGCTAGGATGGTATCGATCTCCTGACCTCGTGATCCATCTGCTTCGGCCTCCCAAAGTGCCGGGATTACAGGCGTGAGCCACCACGCCTGGCGATTTTGTTTCTTACCCTTTAGTGTAAGGTGATTATCAGCTGAAGATTTAAACACATCCATGAGGAGATGGGGGAAGGGGTTCCTTCAGAAAGTCCTAAAGCTTTCCTCTGGAATTTTTTTTTTTTTTTTGGAACAGAGTTTCACTCTTATTCCCCAGGCTGGAGTGCAATGGCACGATCTGGGCTCACCACAACCTCCACCTCCCAGGTTCAAGGGATTCTTCTGCCTCAGCCTCCCGAGTAGCTGGGATTACAGGCATGCACCACCACGCCCGGCTAATTTTGTATTTTTAGTAGTGATAGGGTTTCTCCATGTTGGTCAGGCTCGTCTCGAACTCCTGACCTCAGGTGATCTGCTCGCCTCGGCCTCCCAAAGTGCTGGGATTACAGGCATGAGCCACCGCACCCAGCATCCCCTTTGGATTTTAATTCAAAGCACATACTCTCAGGAGTTTAATTTCAAGAGGAAAGCCAGTTCAGACAACAGAGAAGAGAAAGGAGGTGGGGGAAAGGTAGACGGGAAAGATAAAAGAAGAAAGGCCCCTAATGTTTTCCTCAGCACTGCCAAGGCAGGACCTCACCCTCAGCCTCTGACCCCTTTGTGATAAGCAGGAGTCCTGGGGCCTGGCCAGATAATTCACCCATGGGGGATGTGGGCAGATGGCAGCTCTCCAGAAGCACCAGTTAAGATAGCTTGAACCACAGACCTGACTACCTGCCCTAACCCCTCCCAGCTCCCACCTCTACTGCTGCCCCTCCAGTTCCTCCACTGAAGCTTCGTAAGGCTCCCCAAACAGAGGTTTGGCCTCCCAGAAAGCAGGATGTACCAGGAATATCCTCATCCCTATCCTTTGGAGCTCACAGAGGCCCAAAGAAGTCTGACTCTCAGGTCTTCCTCCCCAGTTAAAGGCATTACCAGACACCATTCTGTGAACCCTCTCTCCCACAAGAAAGGCCTTCTTCTAAGCCCCACCCAGGCTCTACAGAGGGTGCAGGTTGCAGGTGCCCTCCAGGCAGAGTGCACTATGTGTGCTGCCTGAGAGAATATAGCATGTTCCGGCAGAGCTTCCACCTGGGCCTACCCCAGAACCCACCTTGAGGTAGCCAGCAAGGAGAAGGCAGTTCAACCTAAGCATGGGGAGAACAGAGTCAGAAGAGTCTGAGAGGCAGGGAAGAGCCAGTGCTTCCAGGAGATGAGAAGAGACCTAAAGTCTAGAACAGAAAGGCTTGCAGGCACTGAAATCCCAAAAGCACCCAACTCATCACCCCAAGAAAACAAGCTGCTCCAGGATTCTGGCAGGGATGAGGATTGGCAGTGTGGACACAGCTGGGTTGGCAGTGTATCCTGACCACCAGCTTCCTGCCAAGTGTGTGTTTGTGCCAGTCAGCCTGTGGCAGACACAGCAGCAGGTGGCCCCAGCACATGCGCAGTGGCCATGGGGAGTGAGATCCCTAGGTCTGACTCTTTGGGGGACATTAGCCCTGCCATGGGTGAGTGGGGAGGAAGTCAATAGACTAAGATTATTGGGGGAACATAGGGGCACCCGATCCCATGCAGCCCATAAAACTAGAGGGGTACAGGACGTGAGTATTATGAAGTTTTTCCTAGTGGAGATATGGGAGGGAGCAGGGAGACAGACTGGAAGTGGCCTAGGTAGGAAGTCTGACCTAGGTGTGATTCTTGAGTTGAAGACAGGGAGAAAGTGAGTTGTTATTTCCTAGCCATTACTAACCAGTAGTGGCCAGACACAGTGGCTCACACCTGTAATCCTACCACTTTGGGAGGCTAAGGTGGGAGGATCACTTGAGCCCAGGAGTTTGAGACCAACCTGGTCAACATGGTGAAACCCCATCTCTATAAAAAATACAAAAAAAAAAAAAAAGGTCAGTTGCTGTGGCTCACACCTATAATCCCAGCACTTTGGGAGGCCAAGGCAGGAGGATCACCTGCAGTCAGGAGTTCAAGACCAGCCTGGTCAACATGGTGAAACTTCATCTCTATTTAAAAAATAGAAAAATTAGCCGGGAGCAGTGGAGGGCGCCTATAATCCCAGCTATTGGGGAGGCTGAGGAACAGGAGAACTGCTTGAACCCGGGAGGTGGAGGTTGCAGTGAGCGAAGATTGCACCACTGCACTCCAGCAGGGCAACAGAGCGAGACTCCATCTCAAAAAAAAGAGATTTTGGCCAGGCGCGGTGGCTCACGCCTGTAATTCCAGCATTTTGGGAGGCCAAGGCGAGTGGATCACTTGCGGCCAGGAATTCGAGACCAGCCTGGCCAACATGGTGAAACCCTGTTTCTACTAAAAATACAAAAATTAGCGGGGCATGGGGGCAGGGGGCCTGTAATCCCAGCTACTCGGGAGGCTGAGGCAGGAGAATTGCTTGAACCCAGGAGGCAGAGGTTGCAGTGAGCCGAGATCACACCATTGCACTCCAGCCTGGGCAACAAGGGCAAAACTACATCTCAAAACAGATATATATATAGATATATAGATAGATATAGATATATAGATATATAGATAGATATATAGATATATATAGAAGCTGGGTGTGGTGGCATGTGCCTGTAGTCCCAGCTACTTGAGAGGCTGAAGTGGGAGGGTCACTGGAGCCCAAGAGGTCAAGGCTACAAGGCTACATTGAGCTGTGATCACACCACTGCAGTCCGACCTGGGTGACAGAGTGAGACTCTGTCTCAAACAACAACAACAACAACAACAACAAGCTGGGCGCGGTGGCTCATTCTTGTAATCCCAGCACTTTGGGAGGCCGAGGCAGGTGGATCACTTGAGGCCAGGAGTTTGAGACCAGCGTGGCCAACATGGTGAAACCCTGTCTCTACTAAAAATACAAAAATTAGCCGGGCATGGGGGCAGGGGGCCTGTAATCCCAGCTACTCAGTAGGCTGAGGCAGGAGAATCTCTTGAAACAGGGAGGCAGAGGTTGCAGTGATTTGAGATTGCACCACTGCACTCCAGCCTGGGCGACAGAGCAAGACTCCGTCTCAAAAAAAAAAAAAAAAAAAAAGAAACAAAAACACCCCAAAACAAACTAACCAGTAGAAAGCGAGATGTTTAGAGAGATGGTGGAAAGCTGTATAATACATCAAACTCAACCTGAGCTCCATTTTCTCTGCCCACCCAGGGCTTGCAGAGGTTGCAGGCATCGTGATGGATGCCAGGCAGTAAATACCTATGCATCTGCTGCCTAAGTTTTGTAATGGCTGGCAGCCAGATTAACTGCACCAGATCATCATCCACACCTCCTGCTGAATGGAGATGCAGCTGCACCAGGCACCACAGCTGCTGAACCCAGGTGCTATACACCATACCCAAGCTCAGCTGGGTCCCCAGCCCTAGCTGACCAGGCTGTGTGGCTGCAGGTCAGGGTGCCCCACCAAGCATCAGTCTGCTCAACTGTAAGCATCAGGTGAGAGTTTAGACATAAAAATGCTTGTAAAATATAAGTCCACTATCAGCTGGGCATGGTGGCTCATGCCCATAATCCCAGCATTTTGGGAGGCCAAGGCAGATGGATCACTTGAGGTCAGGAGTTCAAAACCAGCCTAGCCAACATGGTGAAACCCCATCTCTACTAAAAATACAAAAATTAGCCAGGTGTGGTGGCGTGCGCCTGCAGTCCCAGCTACCTGGGAGGCTGAGGCAGGAGAATCACTTGAACCTGGGAGGCAAGAGGTTGCAGTGAGCTGAGATCATGCAACTACACGCTGCACTCCAGCCTGGGTAACAGAGAGAAATTCTGTCTCAAAAAAAAATTATATATATATATAATTTTTTACATACATAATTATATATATATAATTTTATATATATAATACATAGACATATATATATATACACACACACACATATATGTATATAAGTCCCATATAAATAGCTGTAAATCCCCTATGCTGGACAATTGTGGGGAAGATAGAAACCCAACAGGCTCTCTGAGGCAGTCTGCAGAAAGTGGGCTTTGCTTGTGGAGAACCATAGGAGGCTGCTGGAATACAGGAGGATCATGGTCTCTGAATTTTCCTGCACAACGTCTCACTAAATCTGCCCCTCCCTGTCCTCTCCTCCTCCCTTTCTCCTCATATCTCGGTAGGTACCCTCTGCCCTTTTATTGCTCATACTTTTCCTTTATGATACAATTCCTCCTAAGAAAACCAAATACTTGGAACAGAAATGGGGAGGTTGGAAAACAAGACTCATTAGAGAAGCCTTCTGGGTGGTGATCAGGCCTTGGAGGTGGGAACACCATTTCCCTGTGACTTGTGCCCAAGTGAATAAAATCGTACTTTAGATCTAGAGCTTCCTGTAGAGCAGACAAGTGAATTTTCCAGCTGTTGCACAACCAGGAAGAACCTTGTAGCTCTAAATTAATCTTTTTTGCCAGCTCTGTGAAAATGATTCTGAATCCTTTAAATATTTTTCCTTTGACAGCTGGCACAATGTTTGTCAATAGAGGACACTGGAGGAACATTTCAGGAGGAACCATTACTTCCTTGTTCTGGTGGGTCCCGGAACATGACTTCAGGACTCATCTCCGGCAGTGCATGGCAGCCAGTAGTACCCAGTGGGCAGCAGCTTCAGGCTGTTTCATAAGGGAATGCCTCCTGTGAGCCACCTCCCATACACAGCTTTCCCAGGCACTCTAGAGTGTAGAATTCTAGAGGTAAGTTCTGGAAGGCAGATTTCTGGCACATTCCACCAACATGCCATCAGAGCAACTTCTGAGTCATTCAGTGAGCCACAGCCATGCCCTTTTCTTTTTTTCTTTTTTTTGAGATGGGGTCTCACTCTGTTACCTAGACTGGAGTGCCATGGCTTGATCTCGGCTCACTGCAACCTCCACCTCCCAGGTTCAAGAGATTCTCCTGCCTCAGCCTCCCAAGTAGCTGGGCTTACAGGTGCTCACCACCACACTTGGCTAATTTTTGTATTTTTAGTAGAGACAGGGTTTCACCAAGTTGGCCAGGCTGGTCTCGAACTCCTCACCTCAAGTGATACACCCACTTTAGCCTCCTAAAGTGCTGGGATTACAGGCATGAGCCACCACACCCGGCCTTTTTGTGTGTGTGTGAAGCAGAGTCTCGCTCTGTCACTCAGGCTGAAGTGCAGTGGTGCCATCTTGGCTCAGTGCAACTTCCACCTCCTGGGTTCAAGCGATTCTCCTGCCTTAGCCTCCTGAGTAGCTGGGATTACAGGCATGTGCCACCACACCCGTATTTTTAGTAGAGACAGGGTTTTGCCATGTTGGCCAGGCTGGTCTCGAACTCCTGACCTCAAGTGATCCACCTGCCTCAGCCTCCCAAAGTGCTGGGATTACAAGCATGAGCCACTGCACCCGGCCAAGCCATGCCCTTTTCAACAATGTCTGGATCTCAGACCTGGTGGCTAGAGCTCTTCCCTGTGTGCTCTAACTCTAGGAGTAACAGCCGCTCCTAACATCTGCTCTTCCTATGTGCTTTAGAGTTCTCTCTGCTTATTAGCCAATTCCTCATTACTCCAATCCCCCATCACCAAATAGAGTTGATAACTCTTTACAGTAAACTATCCCTGTTGATATTGTGTCATTTGTCTCTCTTCATTGGACCCTGACATACAAACAGCATGGTGGTTGTATGTGCAGTAGTTGGATGGGAAGGGGCATTCTTAGGACCTGCATCTTCAGTCTCTCTGGAAAAGCCAAGGCCTGGAGGAGGGCCACAGCTATACGATACAGGTGAAGGCAGGCAGGAAGGGGCTTTTGTGCTGAATACCTTGGGCCTAAAGTGTGATAAATGTTTAGAGAATGAAAAATTACACTAGCACTGGCCTTCAACCTCTTATCAAATTTCAGGGATTCTTCAAGACCCTTGTCCAGTTTTCCTCACAAGTGTCCCAGGAACAAAGGACAGAGTCTAAAATTCCTTTCAGCACTACTTTTCTCTAAGCAGGGGTATTATGAAATCTGACTGGTATTTCAGAATGCAGACTGACCTGGAATATAGAGACTACAGGCAAGATCAGTCAGGAGGCCTTTGCAATAGACCCCATGAGAAATAAAGTTCAAGAAAAAGGAAAGCATAAAAACAAAACACATGCTTTTCCTCAGAGAACCAGCCTTTGAAGTCAGATTACTAGATAACCATACTAAAAAATTATTTGTTGTTGCTGGGCACGGTGGCATACGCCTGTAATCCCATCACTTTGGGAGGCCAAGGCGGGTGGATCACCTGAGGTCAGGAGTTTGAGACCAGCCTGGCCAACATGGTAAAACTCCGTCTCTACTAAAAATACAAAAATTAGCCAGGCGTGGTGGCAGGCACCTGTAAGCCCAGCTACTCAGGAGGCTGAGGCAGGAGAATTGCTTGAACTCGGGAGGCAGAGGTTGCAGTGAGCCGAGATCGCGCGACTGCACTCCAGCCTGGGAAACAAGAGTGAAACTCCATCTAAAAAAAAAAAAAAAAGAGCCAGGCATGGGGGCGGGCGCATGTAATCCCAACTACTCGGGAAGTTGAGGCTGGAGAATTGCTTGAACCCGGAGGTGGAGGTTGCAGTGAGCTGAGATCATACCCCTGCACTTCAGCCCAGGCAACAAAGCAAGACTCTATCTCAAAAAAAAAAAAAAAAAAAAACTGTTGTTTATCTGAAATTCAAATTTACCTGGTGTCCCAAGTGTTTTGTTTATTCTGTTTGCTAAATCCGGCAATAGGGAGTATTTAATCTAAAGAATTGAAGAGGCACCTGAAAGGACAGTGGCCTAACACACAAGGGCTTCTTGTGCAAACAGTGGGCCATCAACCTCCAAGGCCCTCTCCCAGCCCAGGTCAACACCTGTTCTCTCTTTGCAGTACAAGCCTCAGAGATTTCAACACTTTTCCATTCCTCTTCAACACTGTCACTACTTTCTCCCCTGGGCTTCCTTTTCCCAAGGCCTGACTGTGAAGCAGGTTGCAGTTGCCTTGCCACTTACTCCCAAAATAAGCTCCTAGCCTCTCGCAAGAGCTTTACCTCTAATCACCAGAGAGGAAGATACAGGGATACAAACGTAATCAACGACAAAAAGTGTATAAGGTGGTTTTTGGTGTGTGTGTGTGTGAGACAGAGTCTTGCTCTTTCACCCAGGCTGGAGTGCAGTGGCATGATCACAGCTCACTGCAACCTCTACCTCCCAGGCTCAAGTGATCCTCCCACCTCAGCCTCTCGAGTAGCAGGAACTACAGGTGTGTGCCACCATGCCCAGTTATTTTTTTTATTAATTTTTTTGTAGAGATGGGAGTCTCCCTATGTTGCACAGGCCGGTCTTGAACTCCTGGCTTCAAGCAATCCTCCCGCCTCAGCCTCCCAAAGTGGTGGGATTACAGGCATGAGCCACCCCACCCAGTGTAAGTGTATAAGGTTTTAAAAGTTATCACAGTTGGGGCTGGGCTTGGTGGCTCACGCCTGTAATCCCAGCACTTTGGGAGGCCGAGGTGGGAGGACTGCTTGATGCAGGAGTTCAAGACCAGCCTGGGCAACATAGGGAGGCCTCGTCTCTACAAAAAATAATAATAAAAAAAAAGTTATCACAGTTGGGGTCTTAGGTTTAGAGCTGCTGACCACCAAATCTCACAGTGATTCAAATGCCTTATCTTCCTTTATTACTGAAGATGAAGCTCAAAGCTGAACGTTCTGGTGCCCATTTATCACTATGGATGCCTTTGCCTGTCCTCCAGGAGCATTTCTGCTCATACATCCTTCCCCATGGCCTAGGGAATTGGGAGCCACGGGAACACATTAGAGCCTAGGAGACAGATGTAAATTATCTGGAAAGCCATGAAAAACCAAACCGAACTAAACTAAGGAAGGAATCATTGTCTTCATAATTCTCAGGGAAAAAGAAAACCATGGAAGGGTGTCTTGAGGCCAGGAGTTCGAGAACAGCCTGGGCAACATAGGGAGACCCTGCCTGTACCAAAAAAATTTAAAAAATTAGCCAGGCATGGGGGCAGGTGACTGTAGTCCCAGTTACTTAGGAGGCTGAGGCAGGAGGATGGCTCGAGCCCAGAAGTTTGAGGTTACAGTGAGCTATGATAACATCACTGCACTCCAGCCTCAGCAACAGAGTGAGACCTTGTCTCTAAAAATGAAAGGAAAAATAAGTGAACTAAGGAAACTTTAAAATTTATTTTTATGGCCGGGCGCGGTGGCTCATGCCTGTAATCCTAGCACTTTGGAAGGCCGAGGCGGGTGGATCACGAGGTCAGGAGATCGAGACCATCCCGGCTAACGTGGTGAAACCCCATCTCTACTAAAAATACAAAAAATTAGCCGGGCGTGGTGGTGGGCGCCTGTAGTCCCAGCTACTCGGGAGGCTGAAGCAGGAGAATGGCATGAACCCGGGAGGCGGAGCTTGCAGTGAGCGAGATTGCACCACTGCACTCCAGCCTGGGTGACAGAGCAAGACTCGGTCTCAAAAAAAAATTTTTTTTAATTTTTATTTTTTGAGACAGGGTCTCACCCTGTCACCCAGGCTGAAGTGCATGCAGTGCCACGATCTTGGCTCACTGTAGCCTCAACTTCCTAGGCTCAAGGTCCTCCTACTTCAGCCTCCCAAGTAGCGGGGACCACAGCTGTGAGCCACCATGCCTGGCTAATTTTTTTTTTTTTTTTTTTTTTTGAGATGGAGTCTCGCTCTGTCGCCCAGGCTGGAGTGCAGTGGCGCGATCAGGGCTCACTGCAAGCTCTGCCTCCCGGGTTCACGCCATTCTCCTGCCTCAGCCTCCCGAGTAGCTGGGACTACAGGAGTCCGCCACTGCGCCCGGCTAATTGTTTGTATTTTTAGTAGAGATGGGGTTTCACCGTGGTCTCGATGTCCTGACCTCGTGATCCACCCGCCTCGGCCTCCCAAAGTGCTGGGATTACAGGCGTGAGCCACTGCGCCTGGCCGCCTGGCTAATTTTTTATTTCCTGTAGAGACAGAGTCTCACTAGGTTTGTTGCCCAGACTGATCTCGAACTCCTGGGCTCAGGTGATCCTCCCGCCTCAGCCTCCCAAAGTGCTGGGATTACAGGAGTGAGCCACCATGCCCTGCCTGCATGTTTATATTATTCAGCCTTAAAAAGGAATGAAATTCGGATACATGCAGTTTTTTACATATTTAATGCCATTAAAAATATACTCTTTAGAAATAGACCAGGCGTGGTGGCTCACGTCTGTAATCCCAGCACTTTAGGAGGCTGAGTTGGGAGGATCACCTGAGCCCAGGAGTTCGAGACCAGTCTGGGCAACAAACATAGTGAGACCTCTTCTCTACAGAAAATGAAAAATTAGTCAGGCATGGTGGCTAACACCTGTGGTCCCTGCTACTTGGGAGACTGAAGCAGGAGGACCTCTTGACCCCAGGAGGTGAAGGCTACAGTGAGCCAAGACGGTGGCACTGCACTCCAGCCTAGGCGACAGAGAGAGACCTTGTCTTAAAAACAACCAACCACAATAAACTCTTTAGAAATAGAAAACGATACTATGAATATAATGTGGCTTTCTCATAAAGTGTTTTTGTTTTTGGTTTGTTTTTGTTTGGTTTGGGTTGCTTTTTTTTTTTTTTTTTTTTTTTTTGAGGCGGAGTCTCTCTGTTGCCCAGACTGGAGTGCAGTGGCGCGATCTCGGCTCACTGCAATCTCCGCCTCCCGGGTTCAAGCGGTTCTCCTGCCTCAGTCTCCCAAGTAGCTGGGTGCCCGCCACCATGCCCGGCTATCTCATAAAGTTAACATGGGAAGGCTATGGACAACTGCAGGTATTCGCGTTTATTTTCACCTTTAAAGAAAACGAAAAGTATCCACTCCAAAAACTGGTTCCTTTCTACAACCTGAACTTTGGAGATTTTCAAGACCAGCCACAAGGCCTCTACTCCTACGGCCTGGCCCTCCTCCCCGCCCGGTTCGCGCTAGACTCCATTTCCCAGAAACCCCGGTGTCTTGGTGGAGACAGCATTTCCCGGGCGCCCCCTCACGGGGCGGGGCAGTGCGGCGCGGCTCCGGTTCCCGGCGGCCCTCGCGGCAGGTTTCGGGCTTCAGGACAATTCGTGATGGCGGGGGCTGGTTCCGCCGCTGTATCGGGGGCAGGGACCCCGGTGGCGGGGCCCACAGGCCGCGACCTTTTCGCCGAAGGGCTGCTGGAGTTCCTGCGACCCGCTGTGCAGCAGCTCGACTCTCACGTACACGCCGTCAGGTGCCCGGGAGGGAAGTTGGGGGCGGGGCCTGTCTCTCTGGCTTTGTAGGGGCGGGGCCAAGAAAGTGTTCTGGCTGGGAGTGGGCATAAATTTAGGAAACTGATTCGAGGCGGGGAGGACAGGCGGGAAGGCCGCAGGTGGAGGGTTCAGCGGAGGCCGGCTTCTCTCAGTACTTGGTAAATACGTAGGGGAGTTCGTTTCCTGAGCTCCGGTAACTGCCTGACCTTGTAGGCCTTGTACCTCTTTGCAGAGAGAGCCAGGTAGAGCTCCGGGAACAAATTGACAACCTAGCCACAGGTGAGTGAGCATCCCTGTGTACCCGGAATTCTTCAGCCCACTTTCAGGACCTTAGGTTTTTGCCAACCCCTGGGCTGAGTTTCTGTCACTTGCTTCCAGGGCATCAGGGCTGCCAAAGGACTCCTCCTTTCAGGGATGTCTTAAATCTCTAATGGCTGTGGCCCGTTTGGGTGCAAGTGTTTTCCATCCCATTACCAGCCTGCTTTCCCTCAGAACAAGAGATAAGCCGTTAGATCTTAGCTGCACCTTACTTCCATCCCCAGAACTGTGCCGCATAAATGAGGATCAGAAGGTGGCCCTGGATCTTGACCCCTATGTTAAGAAGCTACTTAATGCCCGGCGACGCGTTGTCTTGGTTAACAACATTCTACAGAATGCTCAGGTAAAAGAATATCTTACCAACAGTGATTCTTTGCCCTTTTTTGTAAGTCCTCAACACAGTGAAAGCCACTGTAATTTTAAAATTCTTTGGGGAAAGGGAAATTCACTTCTCCCAGTACTTGAAAAATACCTAGGAAAATTCGTCTCATTCTCACTATTCAGTTGCTGCCATTTACATTCTTGTGTGTGTGTGTGTGACAGTCTCCCTCTGTCACCCAGGCTGGAGTGCGGTGGCTCAATCTCAGCTCGCTGCAACCTCCGCCCCCTGGGCTCAAGCAATTCTGCCTCCGCCTCCCGAGTAACTAGGACTACAAGCGTGCACAACGCCCAGCTAATTTTTGTATTTTTTTGTAGAAGTAGGGTTTCTCCATGTTGCCCAGGCTGGTCTGGAACTCCTGGGCTCAAGTGAGCTTCCCACCTTGGCCACCCGAAGTGCTGAGACTACAGGAGTGAACCACCACACCTGGCTATTTATTTTTATGATACAAGGTCTATCACCCAGGATGGAGTGCAGTGGCATGATAAAGGCTCACTGCAGCCTCTACCTCCCAGGCTCAAGCGATCCATCCACCTCAGCCTCCCAAGTAGCTGGGACTACAGGCATGCACCACCATGTCCAGCTAATTTTTGTATTTTTTCTAGAGACAGGGTTTCACCATGTTACCCAGGCTGGTCCCAAACTCCTGCATGCGAGTGATCCACCTGCCTGGGCCTCCCAAAACGCTGGGATTACAGGCGTGAGCCACTGCACCCGGCCTGCCTGGCCTTTTTTTTTTTTTTTTTAAATAAAAAGACAGGATCGGCTGGGCGCGGTGGCTCTTGCCTGTAATCCCAGCAGTTTGGGAGGCCGAGGTGGACAGGTCACCTGAGGTTGGGAGTTGGAGACCAGCCTGACCAACATAGAGAAACCCCGTCTCTACTAAAAATACAAAATTAGCTGGGCGTGGTAGCGCATGCCTGTAATCCCAGCTACTTGGGAGGCTGAGACAGAAGAATCACTTGAGCCCGGGGGACGGAGGTTGCGGTGAGCTGAGATCGCACCATTGCACTTCAGCCTGGGCAACAAGAGCGAAACTCCGTCTCGGGAAAAAAAAAAAAAAAAAAAAAAGACAGGCTATCACTATGGTGCCCAGGCTGTTCTCAAACTGGGCTCAAGTGATCTTCCTGCCACTTCCTCCTAAATGGTGCTGGGATAGGCATGAGCACCATGCCTGGCCTACATTTTTTTTTTTTTTTGAGATGGAGTTCTCCCTCTGTCACCCAGGCTAGAGTGCAGTGGCACGATCTCATTTCATTGCAACCTCCACCTCCCGGTTTCAAGCGATTCTCCTGCCTCAGATTACAAGCACCCGCCACCATGCCCAGCTAATTTTTTTGTATTTTTTAGTAGAGACGGGTTTTACCATGTTGGTCAGGCTGGTCTTGAACTCCTGACCTCAGGTAATCCACCCGCCTCAGCCTCCCAAAGTGCTGGGATTACAAGTGTGAGCCACCATGCCCGGCCTACATTCTTATATATACTTTTGAAGACTGACTTTGAGGTAGATCACGCCCGGTATTTTTCAGCACCTAGTTCACTTACACTCTCAAGCCTTTCACAGTGGTTAAGATTCCAAACCTTCCTTGTCTTGTAGGAACGACTGAGACGGCTAAACCACAGTGTTGCCAAGGAAACAGCCCGCAGGAGAGCAATGCTGGATTCGGGAATTTACCCCCCTGGCTCCCCAGGCAAATAACAGATGAGCCTATGGACTCAGTAGCACAAGTACTGTTCCCCAGCTGCCTTGTTTCAACAGACATGCAAAGATCCTAGGAGACAGTCCCCATAGACCTTCAGACATTAAAAAGGGAGCCGTACAGTTTGTTTGAAGCACTTCGTCTTACCCATTTATGTAGGGGCCCCAGGAAACCTACACACAGCCAGAATGAGGTTCCCAAAGGACTTACATTAATTATGGCTCTTGCTTCCTTTCACAAATGAGCTGAGGCCTCTACTTTTTTTTTTAAGCTGCATACGTGAGGCTTACCTTCTTCAGGACTAGTTAACCAGAGGGGCTTCCTTTGTATGTTACATGCCTGGTTACATGGGCCTGGACAGCATGTCCTCTACCTGTGACTTCTCATTTTCCTGTTTACACTGGGGATTTGGAGGGGGCAGGCAAAGTCAAAGTGAATGACCTCTGTCCACCCACTTTTTTATTGCACTGGCTTGAATACAGTAGCAGTGTTGATAGAATCATTTTATTCAATAAATACTTAAAATGATATTCTAGTTTACTCTGGTATATGGAAAGGTTCCAGGAGTTTGTCCTTTAATTCAAAGACAGCTTCAAATTGTGATCTGAGTATTTATAATTAAATGACTCAATTATCATTTTCAACAAAAGAGTACACAAAGCCAAAAGCAAAAAAGGTTGCCACATGCAAAAAAACAAACAAACAAAAAACACCAACCAGAAAGACCAAGAGCCCTACTAGGAAGTACTTTAATAGTTTTTCTTAGAAAAAAAAATTTCCAGACACTTAACATTTCACAACATTTCAACAGCAAAGTATTAGTTGAGAGAGGGGTTTTCAGGAGTTGGAGATTATAGAATATTAGGAAGAAATGTTGGTATCCTCCATTATAGATGGATGGCATAGGTCACAAATGGGAGACTGGCAGCTAAGCCAATATCAAAACCCAGTGGAATGACACTTCTATGGAGTTTACTTTTCTTCCTGCTATCTTCCCTATCCCACGGAAATGTCTGTCACCATGTAAAGCCCAGTAGCAGGCAGCTTAGGCTCCAGTCTTCCCCCTTGGGTAGGAAAAGGAGTGAAGGGAATGTCACTCCTGAGTTTCCATGCTTTCTTCTTCCTCTCCTTGAGGTGGTTCTTCTGTATTCTCCTCTTCTTCCTCTCCTTCCTTCTTCTCTGGTGGCTTCTCATAAGCCTTTTCTGAAGGTGTTACTATCACTCCATCCCAGGTAGATATTTCAGAAGCAAGATCTAGGAAAGAGAAAAAGGTGATTTAGACGAGTAGCCCAGCATAAAAGTCATTACTTACACTGTGGAAATATTAAAGACATTTAAGTAGTGTACAGCTTCTCTGTACCAGATTACAATACAAAACCCCTGACCCACAGTGGTCACTCACAGCTGGCATCACCCTCCTGGCCAAGGATCTTCCTAAAGCCACCATGTGAGAGGATTCGGACGAGAGTCTGAGCTGTATAGCAGACCATGTCCTGAAGGAAAGCAAAGTGAGAGTAAGCAAGGAAAATCAAAGGACCTTATTTGAGTAATACCCTTCTGAAAACAGAGATTAAGACAGCTTTTTAAATCTCAGGACCAAAGTCTTTCAGAATCCCCAAATTCCTGACCCGTAAAGACCATATTCCGCTTTGCCTGCTGAGCAGCAGTATTCAAAAGAGTGGGGCAAAACAACTCAGTTCATATCTGTCCCAATACCTGCTGTTCTAGGGTCATGACTGTGTGTACTCTAAAGTTGCCACTCTCACAGGGGTCAGTGATACCCACTGAACCTGGCAGGAACAGTCCTGCAGCCAGAATCTGCAAGCAGCGCCTAGAACACAGGGAGGTATGAGGTATTAAAGGAATGCACAAAATAGTTTACAACCAACCCTAAACCCAAAGCATGCTGTACCTGTATGCAACGTTTAGGGCCAAAGGCTGTCTGGTGGGGTTGTTCATCACAGCATAATGGCCCTGAAAAATAATAAATCCAGTAGGTGTGCCATCAAAATGGCACTTCTGATAACTAGAACTTTATTTTTTAGAGACAGGGCCTCACTTTGTCATCCAGGCTGGAGTGCAGTGGCGCAATCATAGTTCACTGTAACCGCGAACTCCTGGGCTCAAGCAACCCTCCTGACTCAGCCTCCTGAGAAGCTAGGACTATAAGTTCAAGCCACTACAACTGGCTAATTTTTTTTTTTTTCTCTTGTAGAGACAGAGTCTCGCTATTTTGCCCAGGCTGGTCTCAAACTCCTGGCTTCAAGTGATCCTCTGGCCTCAGCCTCCCAAAGTGCTGGGATTACAGGCATCAAACTAAAACCTTAAATGATCACGAGGAAAACTGGTCATTAAGGTCTAAGTCTAGCCAAAATTTTCATGTTCAGAAGCAATTCTGAAATGGCTGCTCACTCATTTCTCTCTACTACCATGATTAAATGGTAGCAGTCATGAGAAGAAAACGGGACACTATAACTCAGTAACTACTCATTTCATTGAATATACAAAAAAAAAAAAAAACTTTGAATTTTTTCTTTTTTTTTAAACAAATGTCTCTGAGTCATGTAAATGTTGAATTTTTATTGGATTACTTGTCTACCAATAAAATTTCTTTTAAGCTTCACCAAATTTCAGACTCTGGTGAATTTCAGAGTTACTACTACTACTACTACTACTACTACTACTACTACTACTAGTAAATAAGGATGATGAGGAACTCCAATTGCCCATCTTTACTTACTAGTAGGTCAAGGATCCAGGGTGTGAGGGGCTCAAAGCCAGGAAAACGAATCCTCAAGTCCTTCAGTAGTCTGATGAGAACTTTAACTCTGAAAGTAATAGTGACCCAAACATTAAAATCAATACGATCATGTATTTCCATGCCTAAGGTAGAATTGAAGCTGACTATGCTATTTCCAGAACTATACATTCTCTGCTTTCTCTAAATCTTAATTTGCTTCCTTAAGGTAAAAATAAAAATCCAGACACGAGGTCACAGGCAAAATAGTTCTGTCAGAGGAAGTATGGGGGTATCCTGCTATTCACTGCAGTTAAAAAGTTTATCTTAATCCAAATGGTTAGAGAGGGACTCACGTGGACTGAGAAGCATTTTCCTCGAACCAGCGGGCATGTCGGATGGCTGCTAAGGCACTCTGCAATACTTTGATATCCACTAAAAAGACAAGCATGATATGCCAGGATGAAACATTTTCATTAAACAAGCTACTCATTACCACTGCTACAGTCTTAAAAACTTGGAAGGAGGGCAGGATAGACGGAGTCTCGCTCTGTTGTCCAGGCTGGATTGCGTACAGTGGCGTGATCTCAGCTCACTGCAACCTCCGCCTCCCGGGTTCGAGCAATTCTCCTGCCTCAGCCTCCTGAGTAGCTGGGATTACAGGTAACCGCCATCATGCCCCACTAATTTTTTATTTTAGTAGAGACGGGGTTTCATCATGTTGGCCAGGATGGTCTCCAACTCCTGACCTCAGGTGATCTGCCTGCCTCAGCCTCCCAAAGTGCTGGGATTACAGGCGTGAGCCACCGCACCCGACCAACTCTGCAATTCTTTAAGCCACCCTGTGTTTCTCATATCAGCAAATCACTTGTCTAAAAATCACTAGAAACATGCAAGATCTGTTTTCTTCAAAAGCCTATCCCCCTCCATAAATATTTTCTCAGTCCTTTTTAAGTCCTCCAAATGCTTTCTTGGTCACCCCATCTGAAAATTCCACTAGCAAGCTGATAAACTATTTCCAAATTACAGAGGGAGAGAGCAAAGTTCAGAATAAACCTAAGTTCTTCAATTCCCAGGAAGCTGCATGTGGAATAGCAACAAGCTAAGTAAACTAAACAGCAACAATACCATGTTTTGAATATCCCCTAAATTTTCCAGCAATGGAAAAAAAAGAACTAACAATGGAGTTCTGGATCCAGTTTTCGAAGATTGGGTGGCACTGTTGTAATGAGAATCTTCACTGTAGCATCAGAAGAACTGATTTCAAAGCCAGTTTCGTTGGTCAGCATGGTTAAAACTGAAAAAACAGAATAAACAAAAACTATAACTCACATTTCCATTAGATGATCAAAGTTAAATCCAGGGTGGGGGGGAACAGGTGGATTTTTTAAAACAGCACAAAGTCCAGAATGAGAATTTAGAATACAGAGCTTTAGAAGGGAGATCAAACAGATCTCCCTTGAACACCTTGAACACCTGAAGCCCCTGCCAAAAACTCCCACAACATAAAACTCTGCATTTACTCTTCCATCTGGTCTGATCTGATTTTGTTGAAAGTGTACTTACAATTACAAGACCTGGTTCCTATGGCTACTAAATACAGAATCAGCAACAAATGCAAACCTTCAGAAGGATCCTGTGCTCTTAGGCTTTCCACGACTTTGTTCCCCAGGGCAGCAACAGCTTCCACTAATTGACAGAAAATGACATAATGTTATAATAATTTATTTGCCTAGACTTTCTATGTATCTCTAAGCTACTTTGCACTCTCATTTCTGTCCCATATCCAAGGCTGAAGCAAGGGTAAGTAATAGAATATATACTTTTATAAGAGAAAGCCAAGGCCTGGGCAGAAAAATTGGAAGACTCAGGGAACAGGACCCCTCCTGTACTCATATCCTCTTTCTACAGCAGGGTTTTTCAGGTCAGTGGCAGTTAATAACATTTTGGGCTAGACAAATCTTTGGGGTGATGGGGATGTAGGATGTTTAACAGCATCCACGGCCTCTATCCTTTTTCTTTTTTTGAGAAAGGGTCTCACTCTTGTCACCCAGGCTGCAGTGCAGTGGCACAATCACAGCTCACTGCAGCCTCAGCCTCCCGGGCTCAAGCAATCCTCTCACCTCAGGCTGCTGCTTTTTTTTTCTTTTTTTCTTATTTTTGAGACAGGGCCTCACTCTGTCACCCAAGCTGAAGTGCACTGGCACGATCTCTGCTAACTCCAACCTCTGCCTCCCAGGTTCAAGCAACTCTCCTGCCTCAGCCTCCCAAGTAGTGGGGATTACAGACGCCCACCACCACGCCTGGCTAATTTTTATATTTTTGGTAGAGACTGGGTTTTGCCACGTTGGCCAGGCTGGTCTTGAACTCCAGGCCTTGGCCTCCCTAAGTGTTGGGATTACAGGCGTGAGCCACTGCACCCGGCCCCACCTCAGGCTTCTGAGTAGCTGGGACCAAAGCATGCACCACCATGCCCAGCTAATTTTTTTCTTTTTGTAGGTACAGGATCTCTCTATGTTATACAGGCTGGTCAAACTCCTGGGGTCAAGTGATCCTCTTGCCTCAGCCTCCCAAAGTGCTGGGAATACAGCCACCACACCTGGCTTCTACCCTTTTTTGATGCCAGTAGCACCCCCTTGTTTTAACAATCAAAAGTACCGCCAGATACTGCCAGATATCCCCTGGGTGGCAAAATTACCTCCAGTTGAGAAACATGGCCGTACAGTAACCTGCTATACATTCTTTCAGACACACACACTCCAGCGTTTGTCCCTTATCACTCATTAAAAAACATTTGTCAGGCAGGGTGCAGTGGCTCACGCCTGTAATCCCAACACTTTGGGAGGCCAAGGCGGGCGGATCACCTGAGGTCAGGAGTTTGAGACCAGACTAGCTAACATGGTGAAACCCCGTCTCTACTAAAAATAGAAAAATTAGCCTGGCATGGTGGCACTTGCCTGTAATCCCAGCTACTTGGGAGGCCAAGGCAGGAAAACAGCTAGAACCCAGGAGGTGGAGGTTGCAGTGAACCGAGATCACGCCATTACACTCCAGCCAGGGCAACAGAGTGAGATCCGTCTCAAAAACAAAAACTAGAAACATTTGTCTTACAAACATCCTTTCTCACAAGAAATTTGAGCTTTCAAGATCCGTAAGGGCTGGGCACAGTGGCTCACGCCTGTAATCCCAGCACTTTGGGAGGCTGAGGTGGGCAGATTGCTTGAGCTCAGGAGTTTGAGACCAGCCCGAGCAACACGGTGAAACCCTGTATCTACAAAAAATACAAAAATTAGCTGGGTGTGGTAGCACACATCTGTAGTCCCAGCTACTCGGGAGGCTAAGGCGGGAAGATCACTTGCTGTAGTGGAGGTCAAGGCTGCAGTGAGCTACAATGGTACCACTGCACTCCAGCCTGGCCAACGGAGGGAGAATTTGTCTCAAAACAAAAAAAGATACCTAAACCCCTAATCCAAGTGCTATGTTCTGTTCCCATGACCAGAAACAGGCACACTCACACGTTGGCAGAATCTTGAGTATCACCACCAGGTCAGCCACATTGTGTCCTGTAGTCATTGTCCCCTTTTTATAGGATCCCACCTGTCGAACTTCTTCAATTTGCTGTTGGAAAAAGGATTTCGGGGAAAAACAATTTAGAAGAAAAAAAGGTGCCTAGGTCCTCCCAGAACTGTTACAACACAGCTACCTGTTACCCAAATTAAGAAGTAGCAGAGGTGAAATCACCCCCAAAACCACCACATGAAAGCCTGATACATCACAGCTAGCATAACAATGATACAAGTCTTGTCCCCAAGATCAGTACTACAAAGAAATTCCACTGTACTTTCTCATTTTAGGCTTGGCTTTGGATAATAGACAACTGAAAATTAAAAGTCAAGAGCCAAGGCAATTTCCACACTACCAAAGCTGCCCTTTCCTAAAACTAAATCATCAAAAACTCACCACTTCAAATGTCCCTGGAGCCACAATCAGATTATCAATCACATTGTTTATTTTTGTCACCAGAGAAAGGATAGATGCCTGAAAAACAGTATGAAACAATACTTGAAAATGAAAAATTATAAGCAATTTCTCAGAATTTGAATATTTTCTCCTAATCCCTTCCATACAAGCTGACTCAATACTGACATAGGGCTTTAAAAACACTTCATTCTGGCCTTGAATATATGGGAAGAGAACAACTCTTTGTCCCCAGTAAAAATAAGAATGCATATGTAATTTGTTTATATATCCACCTGGCTATCTCCACCCACAATGAGAAATAAGGAGAACAATTAAACCCTTTGTGGATTTCAGGCTCTGTTAACACCATTCTTAACCTTACCAACAGTTACTCTTTACCAATACTTTTAACTGCTTTAGAGACATTTCTGGAAGACAGCCAAAAGAACATACCTGTTCAGCAGAATTGGGAGCCAGGTCCTGATTCCTCTTCAGCAAGGCCTCACTGAAGGAAGTTTCATCAGGTGCTGGCTTGACCCGGGGAAAGGCCATTTCACACTAAACCAGAAGTAAACAACTACATTCTATTTGCCGAAGATAATATACAGGAGAGATTGTTTTTTCTATTACTACGACAGAAAAAGGTTAAAAACAGAAAATTCTACACTTGTTTTTACTGCTTAATTTGTTCAATTAGCTGGGCGTGGTGGCTCACACCTGTAATCCCAGCTACTTGGGAGGCTGAGGTGATAGCTGGGCGTGGTGGCTCACACCTGTAATCCCAGCTACTTGGGAGGCTGAGGTGAGAGAATCCCTTGAACACAGGAAGCGAGGTTGCAGTGAGCCAAGATCGCGCCATTGCAACTCCAGCCTGGGCAACAGAGTGAGACCCTGCCTCAAAAAAAAAAATTTATTCAAAGGCCAGGCACAGTGGGTCACGCACACCTGTAATCCCAGCACCGTGGGAGGCTGAGGTGGGCAGATCACTTGAGGTCAGGAGTTCAAGATCAGCCTGGGCAACATGGTGAAACCCCGTCTCTACTAAACAGACATACAAAAATTAGCTGGGCATGGTGGCAGGTGCCTGTAATCCCAACTACTCAGGAGGCTGAGGCAGGAGAATCGTTTGAACCCTGGAGGCAGAGGTCCTGATTCCTCTGCCTCCCAGGTTCAGTGCAGTGAGCCAAGATTGCACCACTGCACTCCAGCCTGGGTGACAGAGTGAGACTGTCTCAAAAAAAATAAAAAGTTCAAACAAGGATAAAAGCTGGAATAGCCATAATTTAAGCTATCACTATCTTTATAGTAACAGATATACCATAAATACAATTACTTGTTCAGAACAAAGATTATAATCATGTTTAATGCCAACAGTAGCCAAGGAATTATTCTCCCCACCATGCTTACACTGTTTCTGTATGTAAAGCAACACACAGTTGACTCAAAACCCCAAATCTTTTCACAAATCACTTTCCCTCCCTATTTCAACCATCTTTTTTTTTTTGTAGTGGTGCCATCTTGGTTCACTGCAACCTCCGCGTCCCGGGTTCAAGCAATTCTCCTGCTTCAGCCTCCCAAGTAGCTGGGATTAGACACATGCCCAGCCAACTTTTTTATTTTTAGTAGAGACGGGGTTTCACCATATTGGCCAGGCTAGTCTCAAACTCCTGACCTTCAGGTAATCCATCTGCCTCGGCCTCCCAAAGTGCTGAGATTACAGGCGTGAGGCACTGTGTCTGCCCTCTTCAACCACCATCTAACTTCATTAACTGGGAGATACTGGGCTCCATTTCAACAGTGACCAGAAAATGTGTATCATTAACCCAAGGTACTCACCAAATAGAAGTCAAATGGGATATGTGGTACAAAGGGCCTGAACCTAAAACATGAAAAACAGCCAAATTATTCCCTAGGTAGGAATCAAGCGAGATGTAAATAACACGCCAACAATTTTGAAAACATGTCAGTCCTCAGAATGAGTGACAAAGTCTCCGGGGAGGGAAAGAATCATTCTTAGCATAGTGGGGCCAAATTCATTTAACAGGAGTGCAGGAAAAGACCACAGTTGGCTCTCGCAAAACCAAGTGACATTAGTCTACTCTAAAACTCCTATTTAGATGACAAGCAGAAACTAACAACCAAGTGCAGAGATGCTAAAAGCTGGTACTCACCCTCCTCCTGGGCCTCCTCTGGAACCAAAGCGCCCACCACGACCACGGCCTCTGTCACCCCTAGAAATGCAGATTTTATTTTGACCTCATTGAAGGAATACCCACCGGCCATATCATCTTAGGTTGGCTACTTTCATCCCTCGGAACCTCCCAACGGTAGGCAAGAGACCCCACTCACACTTACACTTGTCCCCATTCCAAATGGTGCCCAGTTACACCCCCATAACCTCCTCTAAGTTAATCCAACCCCCATCAAGTAATGATGGGGCTCAGTGAGCCCTACACTTAATAACCCATAATCCTGGGCCACACGAATCCTAATACTTCGGAGGCTAAAGATTGCTCATTTCTTCACTAAGGTACACATTTATCGGGCGTGTCCTAATGTCAAGGCCTTCGCACTGAGGATGAATGCGGCTCGCTCCAGCATTCTCAGCCCGGATGACGGGGGCGGGGGAAAGGTGGGGAGCTCCTCCAGGGGCTTGAGGACACCCCCTCATCGCAACCCTTCAGAGACAAAGGTGTCGAACCCCCCTCCCCACTCCTGGGCCCGAACCCCATCCCGGGCCCAAGTTTCCCCGCCTCTACCGGCCTCCATCTCTCCCACTATCCTAGACCAGGAGTTCTCAGGTTTTTGGCCAGCCCCCGGATACATGGCCCTTTCTGATACTCCGACTTCTTTCGGCCCACGTTCACAAAGTTTTCCGTCGAATACCTGAAACCTTTCGACCGCTTCGACCCACTTACCTCATGGCGCCTTAAAACACGAACAATGGAGGCCGCACCAACCGCCCCTTCCTCTGAGTAGCAGACAACTGAAGAGGCGTCTTGCCGGCGTGTCCCAATAAAACCCGGTGCGATTGGCTCCCGCCTTACCCCATCGCTTATGCCTATTGGCTTACTTTGTCAAACCGGGCTTATGAACCAATAAAAAACGCCTACTGTGTCAGGAACTAGCCAATAAGAACTGGTTCTATAGTAATGACGAATTTTTGATCAGACATTAGGTGGCACTAAAGAAGTCAGGACAACGACTACGTAGTGTTCTATAACAATCATGAGAAATTTTAGTTCTAGATAGCAGAGTGGCGCAGCGGAAGCGTGCTGGGCCCATAACCCAGAGGTCGATGGATCGAAACCATCCTCTGCTATCGGAGTTTTTTCATTGCCCTGTACGGCATACGTAATCTACGTTTCTTTAGTGAAGGAAAATATCTTGCCAATTTTCCTACCTCAAAAATGCAACCAATATCAGCTATTTTTGCCACTAGCAGTTGAAGTTGATGGGGAAAAGGGAGTTTAGGCAACTATGAACACTGCACGTCTACAAACTCGAAGCAGGAGAAACAGGTTTTAGATAGGAGAGGAGTATATTGATTGAATTAGTGTGGAAAACATGGTTTTCCATGTCCATGGAAACAGGTGATCCACCCGCCTCAGCTTCCGAAAGTGCTGGGATTACCGGCGTGAGCCACAGCGCCCAGCTTGGTTACATAAATTCTTTAGTGGTGATTTGTGAGATTTTGGTGCACTCATCACCCGAGCAGTATACACTGAACCCAACTTGTAGACTTTTATCCCTCACCTACCTCCCTTCCATAAGTACTTTTTCGATATTTAATTTACTACAGCAGAACGTAAACATCTTAAGTCTAAACGTATTCTGGCCACGTAACCACCATCCAGATTAAAATAAATATTATTAATTTTTAAAAAACAAGCAAACAAAAAGCGGACCGAGTGCGGTGGCTTGTGGCCACCCAGCACTGTGGGAGGCCGAGACGGGTGGATCACCCGAGGTCAGGAGTTCGAGATCAGCCTGGCCAACATGGTGAAACTCCGTCTCTACTAAAAATACAAAAATTAGCCGGCGTGCTGGCGGGCGCCTGTAATTCCAGTTACTCAGGAGGCTGAGGCAGGAGAATCTCTTGAATCCGGGAGGCGGAGGTTGCAGTGAGCTGAGATGGCGCCACTGCACCCCAGCCTGGGCGATAGAGGGAGACTCCGTTTAAAAAAAAAAAAATCTTACTTGAGGTTTGTTGAGCTTCTTGAATCAATGGCTTCAGGTTTGTCGTCCATTTATTAAATTTATCAGCTATTATCTCTTCAAGTATTAGTTTTACCTATTATTTCCCTCGTTCCTGAACTCCAAATAAAGACGGGTTAGACTTTTCCCCCAGTAATCTCTTTGTCTCTTACCCTCTCTTCTATTATTTCATTTTATTTAGACACAGGGTCTCACTCTGTTGCCCAGGCTGGAGTGCAGTGGTGCACCATCATAGCTCACTGCAGCCTCAACCTCCTGGCCTCAAGAGACTCTCCCATTTCGGCCTCCCTAGTAGTTGGGACTACTCAAAGGCACAGGCCACACCACTCCGAGCTAATTTTATTTTTTTTTTTGAGATGGAGTCTCCCAGGCTGCAGTGCAGTGGCGCTATTTCAGCTCACTGCAACCTCCGCCTCCCCGGTTCAAGCGATTCTCCTGCCTCAGCCTCCCGAGTAGCTGGGACTACAGGCGCCCGCCACCACGCCCAGCTAATTTTTTTTTTTTTGTATTTTTAGTAGAGACGGGGTTTCGCGGTGTTAGCGAGGATGGTCACCATCTCTTGATCTAGTGATCTGCCCGCCTCGGCCTCCCAAAGTGCTGGGATTACAGACGTGAGCCACCATGCCCGGCCCTGCCCAGCTAATTTTTGTATTTTTAGTAGACATGGGGTTTCACCATGTTGGCCAGACTGGTCTCAAACTCCTGACCTCAGGTGATCCTCCTGCCTCTGTCTCCTAAAGTGCTGGGATTACAGGTGTGAGCCACCTCCTTTGGCCCCGGGCTTACTTATTTATTTATTTTTGTAGAGATGGGGTACTTTATATGTTGTCAAGGCTAGTCTTTGTTTTGTTTTTGTTTTTGTTTTTGTTTTTGTTTTTGTTTTTGTTTTTTTTGAGACAGAGTTTCGCTCTTGTTGCCCAGGCTGGAGTGCAATGCGTGATCTTGGCTCACAAACTCTGCCTCCCAGGTCCAAGTGATTCTCCTGCCTCAGCCTCCCGAGTAGCTGGGATTACAGGCATGCACCACCATGCCTGGATAATTTTGTATTTTTAGTAGAGACAGGGTTTCTCCATGTTGCTCAAGCTAGTTTCGAACTCCCAACCTCAGGTGATCCACCCACCTCGGCCTCCCAAAGTGCTGGGATTACAGGCATGAGCCACTGCAAAGGCCTTTTACCCTCTCTTTTTATGCTTTTCATTCCTTTTTATCCATTCTTCATTTTAGGTAGTTTCTGCTGTCCTTTCTTCCAATTTATTACTTGCTCCTCAGTTTAGTCTAACATAGTATTAAATCTATCATTTGGTTCTTAATTTTGGTCTTTTAATATTTTGGGTCTGTATTATTATTATTTTTGAGACAGGGTCTCACTCCTGTTGCCCAGGCTGGAGTTCAGTGGCATAAACACAGCTCACTGAAGCCTCAACCTCTTGGGCTCAAGCGATCCTCCTGTGTCAACCTCCAGAGTAGCTCGGACTATAGGCATATGTCACCACACCCAACTAATTTTTTAATTTTTGGTAGAGATAAGGTCTCACTATGTTGCCTAAGCTGGTCTCCAACTCCTGGGCTCTAGTGATCCTCACCTCAGCCTCCCAAAGTTCTGGGATTACAGATGTGAGGCACCAAGCAGGACCTTAGATTTTCTATTTATTCTACTCCCAGGTTGCCCCTAGGAGTGCAGCCTTTTGAGATCCTAGCCCAAAACACGAAGGTGGTTTACCAAGGTTATCACCTTTGGGGACATTTGGACTCCTTTTTTTTTTTTTTTTTTTGAGAGTGAGTTTCCCCCTATTGCCCAGGCTGGAGTGCAGTGGCGCAATCTCGGCTCACTACAACCTCTGCCTCCTGGGTTCAAGTGATTCTCCTGCCTCAGCCTCCCGAGTAGCTGGGCTTACAGGCATGCACCACCACGCCTGGCTAATGTTTGTATTTTTAGTAGAGATGGGGGGTCTCACCATCTTGTGCAGGCTGGACTTGAACTCCTGATCTCATGATCCATCCATCTCAGCCTCCCAAAGTGCTGGGGTTACAGGCATGAGCGACCGTGCCTGGCCCTTTTTCTTTTTTTTAATTTAAAAAAATTGAAATGGGGTCTCGCTCTGTTGCCCAGGCTGGTCTGAAACTCCTAAGCTCAAGCCATCCTCCCGCCTTGGCCTCCTAAAGTGCTGGGATTACAGGTGTGAGCCACCACACCCGGCCTGGACTTCACCGGCCCCACACAACCTATTTTCTGCCACTAATTCCAAATCAGCAAATGACCCCAGGGTAAAATCAGCCCTACTGCTGGGCTTACTTCTCTACTTTCCTGTACTTTCATGCTGTCACACCAATAATTTCTCACTATCTTATTTTTTTAATTATTATTATTTTTTGAGATGAAGTTTTGCTCGAAATGGAGTGAAATGGTACGATCTCAGCTCATTGCAACCTCCGCCTCCTGTGTTCAAGCAATTCTGCCTCCGCCTCCCAAGTAGCTGGGATTACAGGCACCTGCCACCACGCCCGGCTAATTTTTGTATTTTTAGTAGAGACGGGGTTTTGCCACGTTGGCCAGGCTGGTCTCGAACTCCTGACCTTAGGTGATCCACCTGCCTTGGCCTCCCAACGTGCTAGGACTATAGGCGTAAGCCACTGTGCCTGGCCTCACTATCTTATTAGTTCTTTTATTATTATTTATTTATTTATTTATTTATTGTTTTTTTTGAGACAGGGTCTTGCTCTGTTGCCCAGGCTGGAGTGCAGTGGTGTGATCTCGGCTCACTGCAATCTCTGCTTCTGGGTTCAAGTGATTCTTGTGCCTCAGCCTCCCGAGTAGCTGGGATTACAGGTGTGCACCACCAAGCCCGGCTATTTTTTTTTTTTTTTTTTTGAGACAGAGTTTCACTCTTGCTGCCCAGGCTGGAGTGCAGTGGTGGGATCTCGGCTCACTGCAACCTCAACCCCCTGGGTTCAAGCAATTCTGCCTCAGCCTCCCGAGTAGCTGGGATTACAGGCACCTGCCACCACGCTTGGCTAATTTTTTTTTTTTTTTGAAGAGACGGAGTCTTGCTCTGTCACCCAGGCTGGAGTGCAGTGGCGCGATCTCGGCTCACTGCAAGCTCCGCCTCCCAGGTTCGAGCCATTCTCCTGCCTCAGCCTCCTGAATAGCTGGGGCTACAGGCGCCCGCCACTGTGCCCAGCTAATTTTTTGTATTTTTAGTAGAGACAGGGTTTCACCATGTTAGCCAGGATGGTCTCAATCTCCTGACCTTGTGATCCGCCCATCTCGGCCTCCCAAAATGCTGGGATTACAGGCTTGAGCCACTGCGCCCGGCCCAGTTCTTTTATTTTTATTTTTATTTATTTATTGTTTTTTGAAACAGGGTCTTGCTCTGCTGTCCAGGCTGGAATGCAGGTGCGCAATCTTGGCTCACTGAAACCTCTGCCTCCTGGGTTCAAGTGATTCTTGTGCCTCAGCCTCCCTAGTACCTGGGATTACAGGCATGCACCACCAAGCCCGGCCAATTTTTTTTTTTTCTTTGAGACAGAGTTTCACTCTTGTTGCCCAGGCTGGAGTGCAATGGCATGATCTTGGCTCACCGCAACCTCTGCCTCCCAGGTTCAAGCGATTCTCCTGCCTCAGCCTCCTGAGTAGCTGGGATTACAGGCATGCGCCACCATGTCCGGCTAATTTTTGTATTTTTAGTAGAGACAGGGTTTCTCCGTGTTGGTCAAGCTAGTCTCGAATTCTCAACCTAAGGTGATCCACCCGCCTCGGCCTCCCAAAGTGCTAGGATTACAGGCATGAGCCACCGCACCTGGCCTACACCCAGCTAATTTTTGTATTTTTAGTAGAGACGGGGTTTCATCATGAAGGCCAGACTGGTCTTGAACTCCTGGCCTCAAGTGATCAGCCCACTTCCGCCTCCCAAAGTGCTGGGACTACAGGTATGAGACACCATGCCCAGCCAGTTCTTTGATTTTTAAAAAAGTATTTCATCCAACACTTTTAGTTGTCTGTAGCTTTAGGGCTAGTTCACCATTATTGAAAGGAGCTCAATTACTAAACTATATTTCTAGTCCAGTCATTTCTTCTGAGCTCCAGCTCCACTAGTCCGAGGCCTATCAGACACTTCCACTTGATTATCTATAGGCACCTCACATCCAATAAACTAAAAGTATCATCCTTCCAAAACCTTCTTCAGCTTCTCAGCTAATGGGATCAACATCACCTAGATCTGTTATTTGTATAATGTCCTCACTTCCCAAAGTTCAACTGATTCTACTTACAAAACATCTCCCCATCTGCATCTGCTGTCTACCTCTACAATCTCTGGAATCCGCCATCTCCATTACAGGACAAGAACATTATGCCTGTCACACAAAAGCTTTCATAATCTTCCCTCCACTGCCCTCTTCCCTGCCTCTCTTCCTCAGTCATCCTACATGCACACACCTTACATCCTAGATCAGGGCTGAAAACACAAACTCCTACTACAGCCAGGCAGGTAATGCACCTGAGTGAAGCAGGGTGCCTAGGAACCATAATGAACTAGACTCATTTCAAGGAGATAATGGATACTTGCTCTGGTTAATTGCTCATGGAGGGATGCAGGACAATATATTGCCAGCTCTTCCAATATTTTAAGGAAAGTCAGAAATCCAGGTTGGGCCTGGTGGCTCACACATGTTATCCAGGAATTTTGGGAGGCCAATGCAAGAGGATCGCTTGAGCCTAGGAGTTCAAGACCAGCCTGGGCAACATAGGGAGACCTCCATCTTTGAAGGAAAAAAAAAAAAAAGTCAGAAATCCAAATATTCATGTACCATCTTTTTTTTTTTTTTTTTTTTGAGACGGAGTCTTGCTCTGTTGCCCAGGCTGGAGTGCAGTGGCGCAATCTCGGCTCGTTGCAACCTCTGTCTCCCGGATTCAAGCAATTCTCTACCTCAGCCTCCCAAGTAGCTGGGATTACAGGCGGCCGCCACCATGTCTGGCTAATTTTTGTATTTTTAGTAGAGACGGGGTTTCACCATCTTGGCCAGGCTGATCTTGAACTCCTGACCTCATGATCCACCCACCCTGACCTCCCAAAGTGCTGGGATTAGAGGCTTGAGCCACCTTGCCCGGCCCCATCTTATGATATTTAAGTGTGGGGAATTAAATACAATATACATAAAGAGAATGCAAGCCAAAGCATGCCTGCCATCTCAAGTTGGCCTATCGACCACAATTTGCTCTAGATAATAAGAATATTCAAGTCTCCTAAAATTCCATATATAGGAAATGTACTTCAACATTCTGCTCTGTCTACACAGAATACCTTTCTCATCCTTCCATCCTCTTGAATTATTTCTTTTTTGGAGATTTTCTGGCCCCAATCCAAGCAGAATGAATAGCCCTCATCTGAGTCCTTTAGCAATTTATCCATGTCTCCCCTGTAGTGCTTAATGCATGTTGCATTACGGTTATTTGTCCCAAATGGAGCTCCTCAAAGGCACGGACTATATATATTCATCTTTATGCCCTCGGCACCTAGTGGGTGCTTAATGCACCGAAGGTTCTCTGGAAATGTTTGCTGACCTGAAGTTTGGTGATCTTATGTCCTGCTTAGGCGCAGCGTTGGAGAGGTTGGCGCTGCAATGCCGTCAATAACCCCCGATGACCATTAGAGGGCACACTGATTCCACAGCAGTCTGCACCGGGGGCCCAGCTGTCAAGTGCTCCAAAACCCACTCCCCAATTTACGCCTCCAGTGGTCATCTCCCACAGCCTTCATTTTAACAACCCTCAACACAAAACAGTCATTTTCTTGGGGCGTCCCTGAGGTGTGAACCTCCTCCCTCCCAGACACCCACCCACTCTCCCCATCTTCCTACAATTTGGGCGCTAAAGATTTAATTCCTCTCTGACACCAGATCATTTTTTCACAGCTAATCTGCACAGTCTGGAAGGTGGCAGGGAGGGAAAGAGAGGGAGATCATAGAAGGAATGGGTAACAAGCACTCTGGGCTCACCTTCAACTTTAACGGACTTTCCAGAAACCCGTCACCTTCCACCCCACACCCAAACACACACATCCACGCACTCACTCAGTTTCCTGCCAGGATCCCAAACCAGCACACCTTTCCCTCTTCCCCCGAGGAGACCAGGTAGGAGGCGAGGGAAAAGGTGGGGCGCAAGTGGGCCCCGGTTGCTTCCACACACACCCTCCGTTCAGCCGTCCTTTCCATCCCGGCGAGGGCGCACCTTCAGAGGGTCCTGTCCTCCAAAGAGGTAGGCGTGGGGCGGCCGAGACCGGGGAAGATGGTCCACGGGGAAGCGCGCGGGCTGGGCGGCGGGGAGGAAGGAGTTAAAGATCCTGGATTGGCTCTTCTGTCACTGAGTCTGGGAGGGGAAGCGGCTGGGAGGGAGGGTTCGGAGCTTGGCTCGGGTCCTCCACGGTTCCCTCCGGATAGCCGGAGACTTGGGCCGGCCGGACGCCCCTTCTGGCACACTCCCTGGGGCAGGCGCTCACGCACGCTACAAACACACACTCCTCTTTCCTCCCTCGCGCGCCCTCTCTCATCCTTCTTCACGAAGCGCTCACTCGCACCCTTTCTCTCTCTCTCTCTCTCTCTCTAACACGCACGCACACTCCCAGTTGTTCACACTCGGGTCCTCTCCAGCCCGACGTTCTCCTGGCACCCACCTGCTCCGCGGCGCCCTGCGCGCCCCCCTCGGTCGCGCCCCTTGCGCTCTCGGCCCAGACCGTCGCAGCTACAGGGGGCCTCGAGCCCCGGGGTGAGCGTCCCCGTCCCGCTCCTGCTCCTTCCCATAGGGACGCGCCTGATGCCTGGGACCGGCCGCTGAGCCCAAGGGGACCGAGGAGGCCATGGTAGGAGCGCTCGCCTGCTGCGGTGCCCGCTGAGGCCATGCCGGGGCCCCGGCGCCCCGCTGGCTCCCGCCTGCGCCTGCTCCTGCTCCTGCTGCTGCCGCCGCTGCTGCTGCTGCTCCGGGGCAGCCACGCGGGCAACCTGACGGTAGCCGTGGTACTGCCGCTGGCCAATACCTCGTACCCCTGGTCGTGGGCGCGCGTGGGACCCGCCGTGGAGCTGGCCCTGGCCCAGGTGAAGGCGCGCCCCGACTTGCTGCCGGGCTGGACGGTCCGCACGGTGCTGGGCAGCAGCGAAAACGCGCTGGGCGTCTGCTCCGACACCGCAGCGCCCCTGGCCGCGGTGGACCTCAAGTGGGAGCACAACCCCGCTGTGTTCCTGGGCCCCGGCTGCGTGTACGCCGCCGCCCCAGTGGGGCGCTTCACCGCGCACTGGCGGGTCCCGCTGCTGACCGCCGGCGCCCCGGCGCTGGGCTTCGGTGTCAAGGACGAGTATGCGCTGACCACCCGCGCGGGGCCCAGCTACGCCAAGCTGGGGGACTTCGTGGCGGCGCTGCACCGACGGCTGGGCTGGGAGCGCCAAGCGCTCATGCTCTACGCCTACCGGCCGGGTGACGAAGAGCACTGCTTCTTCCTCGTGGAGGGGCTGTTCATGCGGGTCCGCGACCGCCTCAATATTACGGTGGACCACCTGGAGTTCGCCGAGGACGACCTCAGCCACTACACCAGGCTGCTGCGGACCATGCCGCGCAAAGGCCGAGGTGAGACGCTGGCACACCCCGTCCCGCCGCTTAGCCGCAGGGCCTCCCCTCTGACCTGCCGGAGGCATCGGGACTTTCTCTCTCATCTGGGGGCACTCTTCTTTCTCCTCGCCGTTCTTCATTCTACTTTCAGCTCCCTGGCCCTTTCTACAGCTGAGTTTCTATTTCCCTCTCTTCTTCCGCCACCCCCACCACGTCTCTATCCTCTCATCTCCCCGACCCCCACTCATTCCCTCCCACCCTAGCACAGCTCGGTTCCGGTCCCTTTTTCCCTCCCACATTTTCTCTCTTCCCTATAGCCTTCTCCCTTCTTTCATCCTCTCCTCTCATTGCGCCTCATCCCCTCTCTTCTCCCCCTCCCTCTCCCTCCTCTCTCCCTCCTGGCCCCATCCTTCTCCACCTTCAGCTCCACTATCCCCCTCTCCCTACCCGTTCCTTCCTCCCTTCCGCCTCCCCCTTCCTCCTCCCGCCCACCGCCCCGCACCCGCCCGTTCCACCCTTCGACTTTCTCCTGCTGTGGCCTAGGCTGAGCCGGGAGTTACCACTTAACTCTCACTGGGTCTCTCCTGCACCCTATCTCTAAACTTCCTCCCTTGGGTGCCCCAGCTTTCCTACTCCTGTCTCTCCCGCAGTACCTAGGCTTCTCTCTCTGACTCTCCGTCTTTCTCCAGTTATCTACATCTGCAGCTCCCCTGATGCCTTCAGAACCCTCATGCTCCTGGCCCTGGAAGCTGGCTTGTGTGGGGAGGACTACGTTTTCTTCCACCTGGATATCTTTGGGCAAAGCCTGCAAGGTGGACAGGGCCCTGCTCCCCGCAGGCCCTGGGAGAGAGGGGATGGGCAGGATGTCAGTGCCCGCCAGGCCTTTCAGGTGAGTACCTAGGTTTGAAGCCCAGGCTGTCTCAGCTTGTGGCACATCATTTCTGGGCACTGTGTCCCTCAGCGTCTGAAAGAATTCCAGAAAAGAGGTTTTTGTCTGTTTGTTTCTTTATGCACTCCTGGTAACTCACAGAACAGAAAAGAGGTTGGTGATGCTCACTGGGAATTAGGCAATGAAGGGCAGGGGACTGCCCAGGGGCGCTTCGCCACCAGCAGGCTAAAAAGATAAGAAAATGGGCTTGAGGCGGGAGGAGGATAAAGTCCCACAGCCTGGACAGGACTTGGAGAAGGCATCCCATTGGATCCCCTGCTTTGGAATGGGCATCACTTCATGCAGGGCATAGGGTCCAGTTTGACCTTGAGCTAAGCAGAGACGCAGCTCTGGGAGGTGGGCTCCCAACTGTTGGGGCCCCACAGTACTAGGGAATAGTCAGCTCCCAACTCTCTGCTCTCCACTGACCCCTTTCTCAGGCTGCCAAAATCATTACATATAAAGACCCAGATAATCCCGAGTACTTGGAATTCCTGAAGCAGTTAAAACACCTGGCCTATGAGCAGTTCAACTTCACCATGGAGGATGGCCTGGTAAGAAGGGGTCCCGGGACCCTCCAGCGTGGACCTCCAGCCCCCACTCCATGACCCTCTGCCAGCCTCCATCCTTCCCTATTCCCAGTTCTCCCCTTCCTTCCCTCCCTTCCCATTGTTCCATGTTTCTCGTGATGATGGAGGAGGACACTGGCAAGTTCAGCCTCTGAAACTCAGGTCATCATCAGTAATATGGAGACGATACATCCTGCCCTGTCTACCTAGTAGGATTCAGGAAGTGATGCTAATCCAAAGGCATCGTTTAAATAGTAAAATCTCCCTGTGATATAGGGGTGTTATTTTCTCCCATCCTCTTCCAAAATCCCAGTGCCTCTTGTTCCCTTCCCCACAGCTCCCACCTCCATGCCCTTCATATGCCCACCCCAGCCGACCTCTGTTTGCCCCTACAGGTGAACACCATCCCAGCATCCTTCCACGACGGGCTCCTGCTCTATATCCAGGCAGTGACGGAGACTCTGGCACATGGGGGAACTGTTACTGATGGGGAGAACATCACTCAGCGGATGTGGAACCGAAGCTTTCAAGGTCAGGGCCTGGAGGTGGCTGGAATGGGCTGCCTTGGGGGATGAATCCCAGGTGCCCAGTGTCAAGCCATGAGAAGCCTATTGTCCTGCAGCAGTTACCTATGCACACCAGCCTTTTCCTCCACAGCTTTTTTCAGGCCCATCCCTCAGAAGTCCTACAAAGTGTCCAATCTCAATCATCCCTGCTGGGCACTGAGTTCTTTTACCTTTCTTTTTCTTTTTTCTTTTTTTTTTGAGATGGAGTCTCGCTCTGTCCCCAAGACTGGAGTGTGGTGGTGCAATCTCGGCTCACTTCAACCTCCGCCTCCCAGGTTCAAGCAATTCTCCTGCCTCAGCCTCCTGAGTAGCTGGGATTACAGGTGCCCTCCACCAACACTTGGCTAATTTTTTGTATTTTTTTTAGTAGAGACAGGGTTTCACCACGTTGGTCAGGCTGGTCTTGAACTCCTGACGTCAGGTGATCTGCCCGCCTCAGCCTCCCAAAGTGCTGGGATTACAAGCATGAGCCACAGTGCCCGGCCGTTTTACCATTTACTATCATTCTGTATACATGTATGTTTGGAAGGCAAGGCAAAAAAGATTAGAGGATGAAGAGATGAAGTGGGGCACCCCTGAACTTCTATTCTCTCAAACATAGTCATCTTCCCCCATGTCCTCAGGTGTGACAGGATACCTGAAAATTGATAGCAGTGGCGATCGGGAAACAGACTTCTCCCTCTGGGATATGGATCCCGAGAATGGTGCCTTCAGGGTAAGTTTGTGCACCCAGAAGACAGTGCCAATTCCAAATGACATCTCACCCTCCTACTTCCCCCCCACAGCCCTGCCAGGGCACCTGTTTATCCTGTAGCCATTCCACCATGCCTGGACACTTACAAGAGCCCTGGATAAAACAGACCCAGCTCCAGTCTGGGGAAGCCACCAGAATGATAGGGACTCACAGGCATCACACTTGGGGAGCCCCATGCCTGAGGAGGGAGCACAAGCCTGCCCTCGGGGAGCTCCGAAGGGAGGCAGGCAGGACCGCCTCCCAGCAGAGACAGGGCTGTGAAAGATGCACATTACACAGCTCTGCAAGCGAGCAGGGACAGGAAGGCGCTGAGGCCAATGGCCACAAGGGACAGGTCATCCAGAGAAGGCCTCCTGGAAGACGGGCACATGGACTGGGCCTGCGAATGTAGGCTAAGGTGAACATTACCTTCTCCTGTTTTCTACCAAGAAAATAAGTAGAGAAAAATCAATGCTTGGTTGGTACTTCAACCAAGATTATAAACTCCCTGAGTGTAGAGATCGGGTTCTAAATGGAGTTTTCTTTATAAACCCCTTGATAGTTTTCAGGTGTTTCCACTTGAGTACTATGTGTGTGGTATGAGGTCCTGTGTCCAGTTGCAGTGGGGACTTGGTAAGCAGGTGACAACCCAGATATATATGTAGGCTCTAGAAGCAGAGCTGGGGTAGGTGGGAGGTGAGACTGCTGCACTCACAGCATGCCTTCCCCGCAGGCCCTGGCCTAGCCACCACTCCTGCTCTCCCTTAGGTTGTACTGAACTACAATGGGACTTCCCAAGAGCTGGTGGCTGTGTCGGGGCGCAAACTGAACTGGCCCCTGGGGTACCCTCCTCCTGACATCCCCAAATGTGGCTTTGACAACGAAGACCCAGCATGCAACCAAGGTGACTGCCCCTTGCCTTCCAGGCCTCCATCCCAGAGATGCTGCATCCTTCCCCTAAGCACAGTCGAGTAGGTGCTCCTGTCCCATGCTGAGGGCTTTCTGGAGAATGACTCCTGCCTTTTTCTTCCCTTCATCCATCATCCCAGTTCACTGATGGACTATTAGAAAGTTCTTCCTCCTGCTGTCTAACCCAAATCTCTCTTGCTGCAATATGGACTCTCTCCTGCAGATCACCTTTCCACCCTGGAGGTGCTGGCTTTGGTGGGCAGCCTCTCCTTGCTCGGCATTCTGATTGTCTCCTTCTTCATATACAGGTGAGCTGTGATGTGGGGGGTTGAGTGAGGCTGGGGGACCCGGAGAACCAATAGCAGAGGAGGCGGTGGGGACCCAGAGGGAAGAGGGCAGGGGTGAAGGGGCACCAGGGGAAAACCAAGGGAGATGAGGAAGAAAGGAGGCTTAAAAGCCAGAGGAGAAAGAAAGAGAAGGGAATGGCAGGGCGAGGGGAGGAGACAAGGATAGGAATGGCCAAGGAGAGTCAGAAAGATCCAAGAAGCAGAGAAGTTGATGGGTGACATCATAGGGGCGTGGACTGGTTTTCCTTGCTACTCTTGCAGGCCAGATAGGAAGCAACTTTCTGAACCTTTGCAATCATGCCCATGTTAGCTGAGGAGGGTGAGCCCTGGTGTGTGCCAGGTGCCCAACCTAGAATGGAGAAGGGAGCTGAATGAGCCTTGTTCCTGCCGTCCAGTGGAGGCTAAAATGAAGTACAGGAGGAGTTAATGATATACAAAAGCAAGGAGGGAGGGGAGAAAAATCACTGCTGGTTGAGCATATAATGTGTGCCAGGCACTTCCACGTACACTATTTCTTTCTTTCTTTTTTTTTTTTTTTTTTTTTTTTGAGACGGAGTCTCGCTCTGTTGCCAGACTGGAGTGCAGTGGCATGATCTAGGCTCACTGCAACCTCCGCCTCCCAGTTTCAAGCAATTCTCCTGCCTCAGCCTCCCATGTAGCTGGGACTACAGGCACATGCCACCACGCTCAGCTAATTTTTGTATTTTTAGTAGAGACAGGGTTTCACCATGTTGGCCAGGATGGTCTCGATCTCTTGACCTCATGATCCACCCACCTTGGCCTCCCAAAGTGCTGGGATTACAGGCATGAGCCACTGTGCCTGGCCTCATGTTCACTATTTCTTTTCATTCTTATAATAGTTAAGAATGAAATAGATATTGCGGCCTCATTCCCAAGTAAGGACATTGAGGTGATTCCCCCAAGGTCCCCAGTAAGGCAGAATTTCCCCCAGCCATCCTGATTCTCAGTCCAGAGGATAGAATTCCCCCTCCATCTCTGAGTGCATGGTGTGGTCCCACGGCTCTGAGGAGGGGCTGCTGAGCACCCTGCCCTGGGTCAGCGGCTCAGCCACAGGCTCAGATGCAGCCTTCGTATCCCAGGAAGATGCAGCTGGAGAAGGAACTGGCCTCGGAGCTGTGGCGGGTGCGCTGGGAGGACGTTGAGCCCAGTAGCCTTGAGAGGCACCTGCGGAGTGCAGGCAGCCGGCTGACCCTGAGCGGGGTAAGAACGCTGGTGTTTGTGTTGGGGGGCAATAAAGGAGAGGTGGGTACAAGGGGCAGTGCCTGAGGGATAGGTAAGGGAGCAGGATTCTAGTCCCAGCTCTGCTTTCACTTGCTGTGTGACCTTGAGCGACTCATAGTCCCTCTCCGAGACTGTCTCAGATGATGATTACAGCAGCAGAGCCTCCCTCACAGGGCTCTTTTAAAGGTCAGAGGAGATAGTACCTGTGAAAACACTTTAAAAAAAAAAAAAGTAAATGAGGAGGAAATTTTATGATGTGGAACATAAAGCAGGGTGGGCCAGGCACAGTGGCTCACATCTGCAATCCCAGCACTTTGGGAGACCGAGGCAGGAGGATTGCTTGTGCCTGGGAGTTCAAGACCAGCCTGGGCAACAGAGCAAGACATCGTCTCTACAAAGAATACAAAGATTAGCAGGGCATGGTGGCGCATACCTGTAGTCCCAGCTACTCTGGAGGCTGAGGTGAAAGGATCATCTGAGCCCAGGAGTCTGAGGCGGCAGTGACCTAGGATAGCACCACTGCACTCCAGCCTGGATGACACAATGATACTACATCTCAAAAAAAAACCCAACAACAAAAAGGAAGGGTGACACAAAGATAAGGCAGGATAAGGCAGGGAAATAAAGACCAGAGCACAAGCAATCAGGATGCAGACTGGGCCCACCGGCTGACCATTCCTCCTGCTCTCCCTCCTTTCAGAGAGGCTCCAATTACGGCTCCCTGCTAACCACAGAGGGCCAGTTCCAAGTCTTTGCCAAGACAGCATATTATAAGGTGGGCCTGGGGAAAGATCACTGGGCCTTGGGACTGGGGCAGGAGTGTACTCTGATGGAGGACTGGTGGGGGGTTCTGAGGGAAGGAGTAAGCTGGTGGGGAGCAGCAGATGGGGGCCCTGGGGGTGGGCTATTGGGAACAAGTGAGGGTCCTGAGGGCAGGGATGGGCTGTCGGGAGCAGCTGGAATTCCCAGGACATGGGACCATGCTCTTCACAGTGACAGTCTCCATTCCATGCCCAGGGCAACCTCGTGGCTGTGAAACGTGTGAACCGTAAACGCATTGAGCTGACACGAAAAGTCCTGTTTGAACTGAAGCATGTAATGTGGGGAGTGAGGCAGTGGCATGGAGAAGGGGCCCTCGGGGACGCAAGGGAGACTGGCCAACAGAACTAGTTATGGAGGGACCTCAGGGTACCCCAAGAAAGGGGCAGGGACTGGAGCCCTGGGATGGACCTTCATCTTGTGGGTGGGAGTGGGGGTATCCTAAGCTAGGAGAAGAGACCACTGGAGATAACCTGGAGGAATCTTGAGGGGCCATATGTGATGTCCCTGGGGGAGAGAGGGCTTAGGATGCAGAGGGAGTAGGAGCAGATTCTGGGGAGGGTGGGCTAAAGGACATGGGTGGGAATCACCAGGGAAGATCTTAGTGATGGTTGCAGAAAGTGAATAAGGAGTTAAGAAGAGTGAGGGTCCCTGAAGCTAGTGAGCAGCTTGGTGAGGAGCGAGGTCTCTGTCAAGCTCCTGATGCTGGTCCCACTTGCAGATGCGGGATGTGCAGAATGAACACCTGACCAGGTTTGTGGGAGCCTGCACCGACCCCCCCAATATCTGCATCCTCACAGAGTACTGTCCCCGTGGGAGCCTGCAGGTGAGGGGGACAAGGGGTGTCAAGAAACCTGGGTTCTAGCCCTGGCTCTGCCCCTGACTGGCCATAAGACCCCAGGCATGCCTCGCCCTCTTTCTGACCTTTCTGGCCCCATCTGTAAAAATGGGAGTTGGGGAAGGGCAGTGGCACTAGAGTCAATCCAAAGTTTTGTCCTGTTCTACCAGTTCACATCAGTAGGACCCTGCACCCTCCTCCAACTCCCAGGGGGATCTGCAGGGGATTGGTCTGACTCTTATTGCCCCAGCAGGACATTCTGGAGAATGAGAGCATCACCCTGGACTGGATGTTCCGGTACTCACTCACCAATGACATCGTCAAGGTATGCCCCTAAGCACCTATTGGATGTGTAGAGCAGGGGCCAGGCATGCTTCTCCTGGCCACGGGTGTAGGTCCCACTCCTGGCCAATACCTCTGCCCACTCACATTTCCAGGGCATGCTGTTTCTACACAATGGGGCTATCTGTTCCCATGGGAACCTCAAGTCATCCAACTGCGTGGTAGATGGGCGCTTTGTGCTCAAGATCACCGACTATGGGCTGGAGAGCTTCAGGGACCTGGACCCAGAGCAAGGACACACCGTTTATGCCAGTGAGCCTTGACTCTTGAACCTAACACCTGCCCCCAGCACCACCCAGTAGGGAGACTGATGCAAGGCCTCTGATGGGCTTGGGCATGCTTGTCCTGACTCCAGCCTCAATTCATTCACCCATGAAAAAGGGAAGGCCAGACGAAGTGGTTTCTAAGGCCTCCTCTAGCTCTAACACTCTGTGATGCATCCAGATCAGTTTCGGCCACACCCTTGTTTCCCCCTCACCCCTTAGCTTTGGGCTCCCTCACTCGGTGACTACCGACCTCTGACCCACAGAAAAGCTGTGGACGGCCCCTGAGCTCCTGCGAATGGCTTCACCCCCTGTGCGGGGCTCCCAGGCTGGTGACGTATACAGCTTTGGGATCATCCTTCAGGAGATTGCCCTGAGGAGTGGGGTCTTCCACGTGGAAGGTTTGGACCTGAGCCCCAAAGGTGAGAGGAGCACACCTTCCTTAAACCCAGCCACAGTCTCAACGAACCCCAGCCCCAGGGAGAGGGTCCCCTGGCAGCACCACCACACCTTCCTTCTGTAATGGGGTTCAGTCACCACCCTTTGACCCATTGCTGCCAGTGACCAGTCCCCCGCCCCCATGCCTTGGTCTTGGACTTCCCCTGCCATCTCAGCTGGTTGCCCCAGTCTCTCACTAGGCCCTTGGCCAGCCCCACCCCTCAGCTCCTCTACCCCCCCAATACAGAGATCATCGAGCGGGTGACTCGGGGTGAGCAGCCCCCCTTCCGGCCCTCCCTGGCCCTGCAGAGTCACCTGGAGGAGTTGGGGCTGCTCATGCAGCGGTGCTGGGCTGAGGACCCACAGGAGAGGCCACCATTCCAGCAGATCCGCCTGACGTTGCGCAAATTTAACAGGTCCCTGGTGTTTGTCATGGATCCCCCAGGCCCTTCCTCCACAGCCACCATTTACCTAATGCTTCTGGCTCTGGCTTATCCCAGCAGTGGCAGAGGGAGACCACTCACCTCCTCCCTGTACATAGTCAGCTCCAGCTCAGCACAGCCTCATGACCCTCTTCGCAAGTACAGCATGACTCAGCTGTCCCCACAGTCCCCTGCCATTCATGCCCCTTCCCTCCACCATCGACACCCCACACCCTTCCTGCCCACTCGCCTTGCTGGCCTCTAGACTTCTCAGCAGTGTGTAGGATAGATGGGCCTCCCGCCTCCTGCCCTGTAGGCTCTTGGCCCTCCACGGGAGCTCCTGCCCCACCCCTTGATTTCCCTTCCCCAGCGTGCCCACCAGGCCCAGTTCCTCCAGACACACCCTTCTGTGGACATCACTTTGTCCGCAATTGACCCTTGTCATTCTCCACCTCCTTTACCTCCTTCTAACTCACTGGGTTCAACAAAGATGAACAAAATGTCCATATGTCTGAAGCTTCATACTTGACCTTGGGGTCTCAGAAAAGAATTGAACTTTCTTCCTTCTGTTTTCCCCTGCTCCCCGGTATCCTGCTATGCCCTCAACCCTGAGCGTCTCTAGAGACCTCACTGCAGTCTGGAGGGGGAAGTGCCTAGGGGCGGGCGCTCACGGTAGGCTGTGCTGCTCCTCTCTTACCACCCCCACCGCCACCCTCTGCCCCCAGGGAGAACAGCAGCAACATCCTGGACAACCTGCTGTCCCGCATGGAGCAGTACGCGAACAATCTGGAGGAACTGGTGGAGGAGCGGACCCAGGCATACCTGGAGGAGAAGCGCAAGGCTGAGGCCCTGCTCTACCAGATCCTGCCTCAGTGAGTGCCTGAGTCTGGGGACCCCCCCCAACACAAAGCCCCTGTCCCGACCCCCAACTCTGATCCTGCACCTGCCCTGACCCCTTAGCTCAGTGGCTGAGCAGCTGAAGCGTGGGGAGACGGTGCAGGCCGAAGCCTTTGACAGTGTTACCATCTACTTCAGTGACATTGTGGGTTTCACAGCGCTGTCGGCGGAGAGCACACCCATGCAGGTAGGCCAGGGTTCAGCCACAGGTGCCAGGCAAGCTCAGCATCTGGATCCCACCAGACCTGCCTTCTGGTTCTGCTTTACCCACCTGACCCCAGGTGGGGTCCCCTACTTCCTGTCTCTCTTAGCTTCTCTTCCCTTCCAGGTGGTGACCCTGCTCAATGACCTGTACACTTGCTTTGATGCTGTCATAGACAACTTTGATGTGTACAAGGTGAGGGTGGGAGTGGGGATGGGAAGGGACAGACAGACATGGACAAGGTCAGAAAAAGATGAGGGGTAGGCAGAATGATGTGGAGTCTTAAGAGAGGAGATCGGGGACACGGGCAGAGACAGTGACACAGGGAGACCCGGGAACAGGCAGAGAACCCATGTGGGATGGGGGATGAGCAAAGACAGATGAGGGTACAGAATGACAGACGCTGCACCCGGTGTGACGGTGTGGCCGGCCGCACAGTTGCAGCCGTCAAGTCCTGCACCCCCTCGCCACTCCCACAGGTGGAGACAATTGGCGATGCCTACATGGTGGTGTCAGGGCTCCCTGTGCGGAACGGGCGGCTACACGCCTGCGAGGTAGCCCGCATGGCCCTGGCACTGCTGGATGCTGTGCGCTCCTTCCGAATCCGCCACCGGCCCCAGGAGCAGCTGCGCTTGCGCATTGGCATCCACACAGGTAAGGCCACTGAAGGTGCAGGCGGGCATCCAGAGGCCAAGGCTTCGCAAGGGAAACTTGTCCCCTGGCCCAGCCCCTCGCCCTTTCATCTCTCTCTCTCTCTCTCTCTCTCTCTCTCTCTCTCTCTGTCTCTCTCTCTCTCTCTCTCTCTCTCTCTCTCTCACACACACACACACACACACACACAGAGCTGGGACCTCAGATCCTGCCTCCTGCCTGTCTTGGATTGTCCACCTACCTCCCTTAACACCCCTCCCTCCCTCACTCGCTGATGGGCTCTGCTCCTTCCCTTGCTCCTCCCAGGACCTGTGTGTGCTGGAGTGGTGGGACTGAAGATGCCCCGTTACTGTCTCTTTGGGGATACAGTCAACACAGCCTCAAGAATGGAGTCTAATGGGGAAGGTACAGTGCCCCCTCCTAGAGGGAATGGGGAGGGCAGGGTGGCTGAGGGAAATGCCATCCTGGGGCAGCCTGTGCCTGCACAGCCCGTTTCAGCTCCTAGCCCTTTCGCCTCCCAAGTTCCCCTTCTCATAATATTAAGAGTTCAACCTGGGCTCATCAACTTGACTGTAACCAGAGACTCAGGTTCCTGCTGCCCCTCTTGTCAAACGATGTAAAAGTATTTCCGGGCCAGTGCTGGAGAGTTCCCAGCAGGAATCTGATTTTAAGACCCTCTGTGGGCCGGGCGTGGTGACTCACACCTGTAATCCCAGCACTTTGGGAAGCTGAGGCAGGCGGATCACCTGAGGTCGGGGGTTCGAGACCAGCCTGACCAACATGATGAAATCCCGTCTCTACTAAAAATACAAAAAACTAGCCAGGTGTGATGGCAGGCTCCTGTAATCCCAGCTACTTGGGAGGCTGAGGCAGAAGAATTGCTTGAACCCGGGAGGCAGAGGTTGCGATGAGCCAAGATTACACCACGCACCCCAGCTTGGGCAATAAGAGTTAAACTCTGTCTCAAAAAAAAAAAAAAAAAAAAAAAAAAAGACCCTCTGCTCCACCTTTGATGTGGTAAAGATGGCTTCAGAGCCAGCATAAGTGAGGCTGTGAATCTCAGCTCCACAGCTGGCTGTGTGTCAGTTTGCTATACCTCTCTGAGCCATGGTTTTCCTCATCTGTAAAAAGAGGGAAAAAATCTATCTCACAGGAATTATGTGAGAAACCCATTAAAAATGTCTACCACATAATTGTCATTTAACTTTTCCAAGCCTTAGCGGATTATCTGTAAAATGATGTCTATCTCAGGATTGCAAGAAGCCTAGCACAAACCCTGGTACCCAGCAGGCACCTAATAAATTCTTACTCCTACCCGCCCCTTGCTCTTGCCTCCTGTTTATCTTCTATCCTTCTGCTGTATTCGACACAATTCAATGCAGTAAACATTTATTGAGTGACTACTGAGTGCCAGGCCCTGGGATAGTAACATGGCCCAGATCCAGAGTTAGCTGAGAAATTCATGTGGACCCCATCTAAACCTTATGGTGAAAGAAAGGCTGCTTGGGAGCCAGTCCTGGGAGCCCAGAGGGATCTAGTTCGGCAAATATTCCCTGGGCACTATTTTGGGGGCTGTCAGAGTACAGCCCCTTGTTGAGGGTCCAGTCCTCAAGGAGCACATTCCCAGAAATTGTTCAACATTCTGGGCGCTGGGGGTGCTTGTAATCCCAGCACTTTGGGAGGCCGAGGTGGGCAGATCACTTGAGGCCAGGAGTTGGAGACTAGCCTGGCCAACATGGTGAACCTCCTGTCTCTACTAAAAATACAAAAAATTAGCTGGGCGTGGTGGCACGTGCCCGTAATCCCAGCTACTCAGGAGGCTGAGACATGAAAATCACTTGAACCCAGGAGGTGGATGTTGCAGTGAGCCGAGACTGCACCCCTGGGCAACAGAGCGAGACTCTGTCTCAAAAAAAAAAAAGAGAGAAAGAAAGAAAAGAAAAGAAAGAAACTGTTAAACACAACAAGGCCACTGTGATTGATGCAAACCCCAGAAGTAGGGACATGAGTTCAGACAGTGGTCAAAGAGAGGGTGTGGCAATATTGGGCCCCACTCCATCACTGACCTCCTCAGCCACTTGGGCAGATCACCCTGGGCCTCAGTTCCTCGGCCACAAAATGAGGGTATAGCATGAAATCATGAAAGCAACAATTTACATAGTGCTTCCTAGGTAGCACATTCCGTTTGAATACTTTATGGATGTTAAATTTAATCCTCACAACAAGGTTTTGAGATGGGTACTGACACTATCAGCATTTTACAGATTAGGAAAATGAAGCAGAGAGAATTTATTTTACATACCTAAGCAAGTATCCAAGCTGAGGTTCATACTGAGGCAGTGCAGGATCCAAAGTGCCAGCTCCTAACCACCATGCTGTGTAGAGCCGGGTGACACTCCAGAGAGTGCTGTCCAACAGGATGTTCCATAGTCATGAAAATGTTCTGTATTCTGTGCTGTCCAATACAGTAGCCTCTAGGCACATATGGCTACTTATCACTGGAAATGTGACGGGTGCAACTGAGGCCCTGATTTTTTTTTTTTTTTTTGGAGACAGAGTTTCGCTCTGTCGCCCAGCCTGGATGGAGTGCAGTGGTGCAATCTCGGCTCACTGCAACCTCCGCCTCCCAGGTTCAAGCGATTCTCCTGCCTCAGCCTCCCAAGTAGCTGGAATTACAGGTGAGTGCCACCACACACAGCTAATTTTTGTATTTTTAGTAGAGACGGGGTTTCGCCATATTGGCCAGGATGGTCTCGAACTCCTGGCCTCAAGTGATCCTCCTGCCTCAGCCTCCCAAAGTGCTGGGATTACAGGTGTGAGCCACAGCACCCAGCCTGAATTTTTAACTGTATTTAGTTTAAATTAATTTAAGTTGAAACAGGCACATGTGATTAGTGGCTACTGTATTGGATTACACAGCTCCAGAGTTCTAAATGAGAGGCTAATGTGGTCACGCACTACATTCAGGGGGTGGGGCCCCTCTGAGCTAGAGGGCTTCCTGGCCCAAAAGAGGGAGAGAGGGTACCTGTCCACCTGTCCACCCCCACAGTCCCTGGTCTCTTTTGCCTCTACTTTCCTGCTCTCCTCTCTCACATTGCTCACCTTCCCTTCTCCCCTGTCCTACCCAGCCCTGAAGATCCACTTGTCTTCTGAGACCAAGGCTGTCCTGGAGGAGTTTGGTGGTTTCGAGCTGGAGCTTCGAGGGGATGTAGAAATGAAGGTAGAGGGAGAAGCCTCTGCCCTCCCCACCTTTTGGGGTCCTAGAGGGAGTTACCCTTCTCAAGCAGCCAATGCCACTCCCATCCCTAAGGCTCTCATCTGACTGGGGAAAGGGCATGTGCCACTCCCCAGCCCATCCTCTTTTTTCCCTCCAGGGCAAAGGCAAGGTTCGGACCTACTGGCTCCTTGGGGAGAGGGGGAGTAGCACCCGAGGCTGACCTGCCTCCTCTCCTATCCCTCCACACCTCCCTACCCTGTGCCAGAAGCAACAGAGGTGCCAGGCCTCAGCCTCACCCACAGCAGCCCCATCGCCAAAGGATGGAAGTAATTTGAATAGCTCAGGTGTGCTGACCCCAGTGAAGACACCAGATAGGACCTCTGAGAGGGGACTGGCATGGGGGGATCTCAGAGCTTACAGGCTGAGCCAAGCCCACGGCCATGCACAGGGACACTCACACAGGCACACGCACCTGCTCTCCACCTGGACTCAGGCCGGGCTGGGCTGTGGATTCCTGATCCCCTCCCCTCCCCATGCTCTCCTCCCTCAGCCTTGCTACCCTGTGACTTACTGGGAGGAGAAAGAGTCACCTGAAGGGGAACATGAAAAGAGACTAGGTGAAGAGAGGGCAGGGGAGCCCACATCTGGGGCTGGCCCACAATACCTGCTCCCCCGACCCCCTCCACCCAGCAGTAGACACAGTGCACAGGGGAGAAGAGGGGTGGCGCAGAAGGGTTGGGGGCCTGTATGCCTTGCTTCTACCATGAGCAGAGACAATTAAAATCTTTATTCCAGTGACAGTGTCTCTTCTTGAGGGAGAGAGGGTTGCCAGAAAACAGTCAGTTCTCCACTCTCTACTTCAAATAAGACTCACTTCTTGTTCTACAAGGGTCTAGAAGGAAAAGTAAAAAAAAAAGACTCTCGATTCTTAAGCTGGGAATGCAGGCTCTGAGAGTAGTAACAGCCTATGAATTGCCCAGCAGTGCTGAAACTGGTTTAAGGACCCATTTACATCCTTAAGAATTATTATTATTGGCCGGGCACAGGGGCTCATGCCTGTAATCCCAGCACTTTGGGAGGCTGAGGTGGATGGATCACCTGAGGTCAAGAGTTCAAAACCAGCCTGGCCAACATGGTGAAACCCAGTCTCTACTAAAAATACAAAAATTAGCTGGGTATGGTGGCACGCGCCTGTAATCCCAGCTACTCAGGAGACTGAGGCAGGAGAATCTCTTTTTTTTTTTTTTTTTTTGAGACGGAGTCTCGCTCCTTCGCCCAGGCTGGAGTGCAGTGGTGCCATCTCGGCTTACTGCAAGCTCTGCCTCCCAGGTTCACCCCATTCTCCTGCCTCAGCCTCCCGAGTAGCTGGGACAGGCGCCCACCACCTCGCCCGGCTAATTTTTTGTATTTTTAGTAGAGACGGGGTTTCACCATGTTAGCCAGGATGGTCTCGATCTCCCAACCTCATGATCCGCCCGCCTCGGCCTCCCAAAGTGCTGGGATTACAGGCGTAAACCACCACACCCGGCCGAGAATCTCTTGAACCCAGGAGGCGGAGGTTGCAGTGAGCCGAGATGGCGCCACTGCACTCCAGCCTGGGCAACAGAGGGAGACTGTCTCAAAAAAAAAAAAAAAAAAAAAAAAAAAAAAACCAGGCACACTCTTGTAATCTCAGTACTTTGGGAGGCTGAGGTGGGCAAATCACATGAGATGAGGAGTTCGAGACCAGCCTGACCAACATGGAGAAACCCAGTCTCTACTAAAAATACAAAATTAGTTGCCAGACGCGGTGGCTCACACCTGTAATCCCAGCACTTTGAGAGGCTGAGGCAGGTGGATCATGAGGTCAGGAGTTCGAGACCATCCTGGCCAATATAGGGAAACCCCGTCTTTACTAAAAATAGAAAAATTAGCCAGATATGGTGGCACATGCCTGTAGTCCCAGCTACTCAGGAGGCTGAGGGAGGAGAATCGCTTGAACCTGGGAGGCAGAGGTTGTGGTGAGCTGAGATTGCACCACTGTACTCCAGCCTGGGCAACAGAGCGAGACTCTGTCTCAAAAAAAAAAAAAAAAAATACAGAATTAGCCGGGCATAGCGATGCATGCCTGTAATCCCAGGTACTCAGGTGACTGAGGCAGGAGAATTGCTTGAACCCAGGAGGTGGAGGCTTCAGTGAGCCAAGATCTCACCACTGCACTCCAGCCTGGGCCACAGAGCGAGACTATCTTAAAAAAAAAAAAAAAAGGCTAGGTATAGTGGCTCAACCCTGTAATCCCAGCAGCTTGGGAGGCCAAGGTGGGTGGATCACAAGGTCAGGAGTTTGAGATCAGCGTGGCCTACATGGTGAAACCCCATCTCTACTAAAAATACAATAATTAGCCAGGCACGGTGGCTCATGTCTGTAATCCCAGCACTTTGGGAGGCTAAGGCGGGTGGATCACCTGAGGTCAGAAGTTCGAGACCAGCCTGACCAACATGGAGAAACCCCATCTCTACTAAAAATACAAAATTAGCCAGGTGTGGTGGTACATGCCTGTAATCCTAGCTACTAGGGAGGCTGAGGCAGGAGAATCACTTGAACCTGGGAGGCAGAGGTTGCGGTGAGCCGAGATCGCGCCATTGCACTCCAGCCTGGGCAACAAGAGTGAAACTCCATCTCAAAAAAAAAAAAAAAGGTACAATAATTAGCTGGGCGTGGTGGTGGGTGCCTATAATCCCAGCTACCCAGGAGGCTGAGGCAGGAGAATTGCTTGAACCCGAGAGGCAGAAGTTGCAGTGAGCCGAGATTGTGCCATTGCACTCCAGTCTGGGCAACAAGAGCGAAACTCAATCACACACACAAAAAAGTATTAGGGACCTAAAGAGCTTTTGTTTATGTGGATATCTATTGATATTTACCATAGTAGATATTAAAACAAATCCTTATTTATTTATTTTTTAATTTTTTTTTTTTTGAGTCAGAGTCTTGCTCTGTCACCCAGGCTGGAGAGCAGTGGCGCGATCTCCGCTCACTGCAAGCTCCACCTCCTGGGTTCACCCCATTCTCCTGCCTCAGCCTCCCGAGTAGCTGGGACTACAGGCGCCCGCCACCGTGCCCGGCTAATTTTTTTGTATTTTTAGTTGAGACGGGGTTTCACCATGTTAGCTAGGATGGTCTCGATCTCCTGATCTCGTGATCCGCCCATCTCAGCCTCCCAAAGTGCTGGGATTACAGGCGTGAGCCACCGCGCCCAGCCACAAATCCTTATTTATTTATTTATTTATTTATTTTTTTTTTTTTTTTTTTTTTTTGAGACGGAGTCTCGCTCTGTCGCCCAGGCCGGACTGCGGACTGCAGTGGCGCAATCTCGGCTCACTGCAAGCTCCGCTTCCCGGGTTCACGCCATTCTCCTGCCTCAGCCTCCTGAGTAGCTGGGACTACAGGCGCCCGCCACCGCGCCCGGCTAATTTTTTGTATTTTTAGTAGAGACGGGGTTTCACCTTGTTAGCCAGGATGGTCTCGATCTCCTGACCTCATGATCCACCCGCCTCGGCCTCCCAAAGTGCTGGGATTATAGGCGTGAGCCACCGTGCCCGGCCCGACAAATCCTTATTTATTAACTCATGTAAGATAACAATAATAAGCCTATTACATGTTAATAATTGTTGACTGCTTTATCAAGAACATTCTTATGTGAAACCAGCCTTTTCAGTGTGCAGTGGTGAAGAATGCATGCAATACTAATTGGGTGCCACTGCCTTGATTTATGTAAAGCCACAGCAGTTTTACCCCCATTGCTTTTGCACTTCGATGCAATGTGTCAACTCTGTCAAAAAGGCAAATAACGTATTAGAATTATTATGAAAATCGTTTGACCTCATCTATGCCCTGAAAAAATATTTGGGACTCCCAGGATTTGCGGACCACACCTTGAGAACTGTTATGTTACTCAATGGCTGGCATACAGTAGGAATCAGATAATTAGTATGGACTGAATGGAGAGGCCTGGGAGCTGGGGAGGAAGTGGGGGTCGGGTGGGAACATATGGATGCCTTTCAACCCAGGTGAAATTTGGGGATTGTCCACGTGCTCCTCCATTCCCCATGTCAGTGTAGACAAATGTTGAGTCATAGTTTGCAAAATGCCTCTCAGCTGGGCCAGGAGCCCTGGTTTCCCTGCTGGACCCACCCCTCACCCCTCCTTCCCAGGCAGGCAGGCAGGCAGGAATGCGGGGGAGAGGTGGCTGCAGCTCCACCGCCCTCATGGGGGAGGAAAGTGCCAGACATTTCTTCAGGACCATCCATCAAGTGCAGGCAGGCCTCTCCCCTGACCTCCCAGGCCTCTTCCTGGAGTCCACCCTGTGGGACCTGGACGTAGGGTGGCCACTGGGAGCTTGGAGGTCTGGCGTGGCACTGCTCCCTGGTACACGGCTGGCAGTTTGGGATAAAGAAAGGATAAATTGCTCCCCTCCTGTCCAGTGACTCTTGTTTTGTGCTTCCCGCCCACCCTTTTTGGCACCAGTCAGGCTCAATTTATCGGGAGAGGGAGCAGACATGGTCCAGTCCTCTCACCAGCCAAGCCGGGGATGAACAGCACTGGGAAGGCCTAACCAAGAGTGGTTGTCCTGTCAACCACAGCTACTGAACTTCCTGATGGGCCCCGGTGGCCCTGTAGCCTCCCATGCCCCAGTTCCTCCCCACAAGGGGAGCAGACAGCCCCTGAAGAGACTGGCTATGATAAAGAGAGCTGTGAGGCCTAGGAAGTTAGATCAGGGTGGAGCTGGGACAGCTACGGGGACTTGGGCTCTGGGGAGAGGAGCCTTAAATGAGGTGGGGAAGAGGGGCAGGGAGTGGACGACTGAGGAGCTCCAGAAGCACAATTCTAGGAAATTGCCGGTCAGATCCTTCCGAGGCAGCCTGGCTCCACTGCGGGCACCGGGAGGGGAAGGGGCTGTGCGGCGGAGGTGAGGAGGGGCCTAAGGAGTCGATGATTTCAGCGGCCCGAGAACTTTCACTGGAACTAAGGAGATTTCCTTCCGGAGGAAGGCCCCTGAAGCCAGGAAGAACTGGGAAAGCCATTCCTAAGGGGGCACCAGGAGGGTAGCAATAAAGCCCTCCCCACAGGCCGGGGAGACCGTCTTGTGCCAGGAACCTCCGCCCACATGGGAGGGGCAGTCTAGCCTCTCAGTTTCCCGGGCTGTCCCGCCTAGTACGTTTGGGAGGGGTGAGGGCCACAGGGTTTCCCCAGAGTATGGTAAGAATAACAATAATAATTGGCATTCGATTGTGCCTTGCAGTTGACAAAGGCTTTCACATACATTATCTCATCAGCCCACGTAACGCCCCTGGAAGAGTGGGGCGGGCTGAGAAGGCAGCTCAGCAGGCGGGTGGAAGGGCCAGCTGGAGGCTGTGCAGAGGGAACCCCCGCCCAGCCAGCCCCGAACAAGGCCACGGCCTGGAACAAAAATGGAGCTGACAGAAACAGACAAATAACCTCCTCCCTCACCCGCTCTTTTCTCTACGTCAAAGGGTTTGAGTCATTTATCACAGCAGTATATTTAGTAATAATTATTTTTAAAAAAGATTTATACCTTTCAGGACAGATCCGTGGAATCTAATTAAGCAGAGCCCAGTTTTGCAGACTGAAAGTCAATTTTTTAATTAAATTGCAGGAGCTATAAAAATAAATAAATTAACCATTTAAAAAAAAAAAAAGAATGCGGTCCAGGAAGATTTAATCTCTTTGGGTTGGAACGCAAGTAAGATTCCAGGCGAGGTGTTTACCACCAAGATGAAGGGTCGGGATGCGGATGAATTTGGTGTTGCACAAAGACAGGAGAGGACGCTCTGGAGGAAGATGAGACCACGTCCCATGCCTGCTCCCAGACTGCATTCTACCAGGAACAGGGGAGGTGGTGGCAAAAACCTGCTTGACTGTACCTCAAACCATGGTTAGAGAAGCAGTGAGAGAGTCCAGATAGGAAAAGACCCCAGCCATCCACTTCCATACCACATACACTGGCACCAGTGAGTCAGAGGATAGGCTGGTTGCCCTTTAAGAACCTTTCCAAAGGGAAGATTCCATAATCAGGCATATCTGCTCATGACAGTGGCACCCTGTCTGAACTTGATGCAATCATCCCAGTATGACTATCTGTCTTTGGCTTCCAAATGTGGACTACATATGGTATGCCTTGGCTATTGCATGTCCAATGATCAGGTCAGCCCACTAAACTTCAGGCAGGGAAAAACTAGGCCAAAATACCATGCAGATCTCAGTGTTCAAAACTGGCACAATTACACTCCTCTATCAAATGAGAGGCAGTGCAAAGTTGGGTAAGAGGCTGGACTCTGGAGATAGCCTGCCTGGATTTAGATCCCAGCTCTGTCACTCATAATCAATGTAACCTTATGCAAACTACTCAGCTTCTCTCTGCCCTGAGTTTTCTATTCTGTAACTCAGGAATGATCTTAAAACCTACTTCATAGGTTTGTTTTGAGAATTACATGACTTAATAATTCCTGTTACATGCTCAGAACACTGGCAGGTAATAACAATTAGGTAAGTGTTTGTTGGTATGATTAAGAGTCAACAGTATACAAATCATAACGCTAGATTTTTTTTTTTTAATTGAGACAGAGTTTCACTTTGTCTCCTAGGCTGAGCAAGAGTGCAGTGGAGCAATTATAGCTCACTGCAACCTGGAACTCCTGGGGTGAAGTGATCCACCTACCTCAGCCTCCCGAGCAGCTAGGCCTACAGGAGCACACCACCCCCACCAGCTAATTCTTTTTTTTCTGTTTTGGAGATGAAGTCTCACTCCGTCGCCCACGCTGGAGTGCAATGGCATTATCTCAGCTCACTGCAGCCTCCACCTTCCAAGTTCAAGTGATTCTCCTGCCTCAGCCTCGCTGGGATTACAGGTGCCTGCCACCAAGCCTGGCTACTTTTTGTATTTTTAATTAATTAGTTTATTATTATTATTATTATTATTGAGATGGAGTCTCGCTCTGTCGCCCAGGCTGGAGTGCAGTGGCGTTACCTCTGCTCACTGCAACCTCTGCCTCCCGGGTTCAAGCGATTCTCCTGTCTCAGCCTCCTGAGTAGCTGGGATTACAGGTGTGTGATACCATGACTGGCTAATTTTTGTATTTTTAGTAGAGACAGGGATTCACCATGTTGGTCAGGCTGGTCTCGAGCTCCTGACCTCGTGATCTGCCCACCTCAGCCTCCCAGAGTGCTGGGATTACAGGCGTGAGCTGCCATGCCTGGCCTAATTTTTATATTTTTAGTAGAGATGGGGTTTTGCCATGTTGGCTAGGCTGGTCTGACCTCAGGTGATCCACCTGCCTTGGCCTCCCAAAGTGCTAGAATTACAGGCATGAGCCACCATGCCTGGCCCCCAGCTAATTTTTAAAAATTTTTAGTAGGGACAAAGTTTCACTATGATGCCAAGGGTGGACTCAAACTCCTGGCCTCAAGTGATCTTCTTGCCTTGGCCTCCCAAAGTACTGGGATTACAGGTGTGAGCCAACGCACCTGGCCCATAATGCTAGATTTAAGGAGTTGCTTACATCTGAAGAATAGTGGGAAGTGAAATGCAGCACCTGATTGAACTCCTTAATGAGAGATACTAGTAAGATCTAAAAATCTTTGTATTAGAAAAAGTGCAGATTAGGCCGGGCGCGATGGCTCATGCCTGTAATCCCAGCACATTAGGAGGCTGAGGTAGGCAGATCACCTGAGGTCGGGAATTCGAGACCAGCCTGACCAACATGGAGAAACCCCATCTCTACTAAAAATACAAAAAAAAAAAAAAAAATTAGCCAGGCGTGGTGGCACATGCCTGTAATCCCAGCTACTGGGGAGGCTGAGGCAGGAGAATCATTTGAACCCAGGAAGCGGAGGTTCCGATGAGCCGAGATGGCACCATTGCACTCCAGCCTGGGCAACAAGAGGGCAACTCTGTCTCAAAAAAAAAAAGAAAGAAAAAGAAAAAGTACAGATTATGCAATCTAACTGCTTATCCAGGTCTGAAATCCTTTTAAAAATATCTGTGATCTTCAGCTGGGCACGGTGGCTCACACCTGTAATCCCAGCACTTTGGAAGGCCGAGGCGGGTGGATCTCTTGAGGTTAGGAGTTCAAGACCAGCCTGACCAACATGGTGAAACCCCGTCTCTACTAAAAATACAAAAATTAGCTGGGCATGGTGGCGCATGCCTGTAATCCCAGCAACTCAGGAGGCTGAGGCAGGAGAATCACTTGAACTCGGGAGGCAGAGGTTGCGGTGAGCCAAGATTGCATCATTGCACTACAGCCCGGGCAACAAGAGCGAAACTCCTCAAAAAAAAAAAAAAAAGGCCGGGCGCGGTGGCTCACGCCTGTAATCCCAGCACTTTGGGAGGCCGAGGCGGGCAGATCATGAGGTCAGGAGATTGAGACCATCCTGGCTAACACGGTGAAACCCTGTCTCTACTAAAAATACAAAAAACTAGCCGGGCATGGTGGCGGGTGCCTGTAGTCCCAGCTACTCGGGAGGCTGAGGCAGGAGAATGGCGTGAACCCAGGAGGTGGAGGTTGTAGTGAGCTGAGACTGCGCCAGTGCACTCCAGCCTGGGCGACGGAGTGAGACTCTGTCTCAAAAAAAAAAAAATGGTTAGGCGCGGTGGCTCACGACTGTAATCCCAACACTTTGGGAGGCCAGGGTGGGCAGATTACAAGGTCAGGAGTTCGAGACCAGCCTGACCAACATGGTGAAACCCTGTCTCTACTAAAAGTACAGGAAGATTAGCCGGGCATGATGGCTGGCGCCTGTAATCGCAGCTACTCAGGAGGCTGAGGCACAAGGATTGCTTGAAACCGGGAGGCAGAGGTTGCAGTGAGCCAAGATGGTGCCACTGCACTCTGGGCTGGGTGACAGAGTGAGACTCCATCTAAAAAAACAAAGAAAAAAAAAGAAGAAGAAGAAGATGGAAATGTTTCAATCATCACAATTCCTTTTGAGGGAACAGAAACTCATTTTATTTATGGAAAAGGGGGCTTGACCCTGAAACTGCCATCTAAGGAAGGTGCATCTTTTTTTGCTTTTTGTTTGTTTCTTTGGGTTTCATTTGTCTGTTTGTTTGAGACAGGGTTTTGCTCTGTCACCCAGGCTGGAGTGCAGTGGTAAGATCTTGGCTCACTGTGACCTCCGCCTCCCAAGTTCAAGCAATTCTCCTGCCTCAGCCCCTCGAGTAGCTGGGACTACAGGCACTCACCAACGCACCCAGCTAATTTTGTATTTTTAGTAGAGACGGGGTTTCACTATGTTGGTCAGGCTGACCTTGAACTTCTGACCTCAGGTGATCCACCCACCTCGGCCTCCCAAAGTGCTGGGATTACAGGCATAAGCCACTGAGCCCGGCCTGTTTCTTTGTTTTTTTGAGACAAGAGTCTCACTCTGTCACCCAGGCTGGAGTGCAGTGGCATGATCTCAGCTCACTGCAACCTCCGACTCCCGAGTTCAAGCGATTCTCTTGCCTCAGGTTCCTGAGCAGCTTGGATTACAGGCACACCACCGCGCCTGGCTAAATTTTTTGTATTTTTAGTAGAGACGGGGTTTTGCCACGTTGGTCAGGGTGGTCTTAAACTCCTGACCTCAGGTAATCTGCCCACCTCAGCCTCCGAAAGTGCTGGGATTACAGGTGTGAGCCACTGCGCCTGGTCGAGTTTTTTTTTGTTTTTTTGTTTGTTTGAGATGGAGTCTCGCTCTGTTGCCCAGGCTGGAGTGCAGTGGCACTGTCTCGGCTTACTGCAACCTCCGCCTCCCGGTAAGCAATTCTCCTGCCTCAGCCTCCTGAGTAGCTGGGGCTATAGGCTCATGTCACCACACCTGGCTAATTTTTGTATTCTTAGTAGAGACGGGGTTTCGTCATGATGGCCAGGCTGGTCTCAAACTCTTGACCTCGTGATCTGCCTGCCGTGGCCTCCCAAAGTGCTGGGATTACAGGCGTGAGCCACCAGGCCCAGCCTTTTTTTTTTTTTTTTTTTTTTTTAAGATTAATGACCTTGGGCAGGGTGAGGTGGCTCTCACCTGTAATCCTAGCACTTTGGGAGGCCGAGGTCAGTGGATCACGAGATCAAGAGCTCGAGACCAGCCTGGCCAACATGGCAAAACCCCGTCTCTACTAAGAATACAAAAATTAGCCAGGCATGGTGGCACGAGCCTGTAGTCCCAGCTACTCGGGAGGCTGAGGCAGGAGAATCACTTGAACCCTGGAGGCAGAGGTTCCAGTGAGCCTAGATTGTGCCAGTGCACTCCAGCCTATGCAACAGAGCAAGACCCTGTCGCAAAAAAAAAAAAAAAAAAAGATTAATGACCTTATTATTTCTAGAAATAACATACACTTAGAAAAAGAATTACAGAGAAGAAATAAAAAATCACCTAAGAGGCCAGGCATAGTGGCTCACACCCATAATCTCAACACTTTGAAGGCCCAGGCAAGAGGATCAATTGAGGACAGGAGTTCAAGACCAACCTGGGCAATATAACAAGACCTCATCTCTACAAAAGAAAAAAAAAATTAGCCAGGTGTGGTGGCACATGCCTGTAGTCCTAGCTATTCAATAGGCTGAGGCAGGAGGATCCCTTGAACCCAGGAGTTCAAGGTTACAGTGAGCCATGATGGTGCCACTGCACTCCAGCCTGAGTACAGAGTGAGACGCAGACTTACAAAAAAAAAAAATCACCTAAGATTCTGACATCAAAATAGTCATTATTGGCAGTGCATGGTGGCTTACATCTATAATCCCAGCTTGTTGGGAGGCCAAGGCAGGAGGATCACTTGAAGCCCAGGAGTTTGAGACGAGCCTAAGCAACATAGCAAGACCCTATCTCTACAATTATAAATATAGTATTTGTTAATATTTGGCCAGGCGTGGTAGTACATGCCTGTAGGCCCAGCTACTTGGGGAGAGGAGGCAGGAGGATCACTTGAGGGCCGAAGTTCTGGGCTGTAGTGCACTATGCAATCAGGTGTCCCCACCACATTGGGCATAAATCTGGTGATTTCCTGGGAGCAGGAGACCACCAGGTTGCCTTATAAGGGGTAAACTGGCCCACATCGAAAACAGAGTAGGTCAACATTTCCATGCTAATCAGTAATGGGATCCAGCCTATGAATAACCACTGCACTCCAGCTCGGGCAATACAGCAAGACCCTGAATTTTTTTTCTTTTTTTTTTTGAGACAGTCTTGCTCTGTGGCCCAGGATGGAGTGCAATGGTGTGATCTCAGATCACTACAACCTCCACCTCCGGGATTCAAGCAATTCTTCTGCTTCAGCCTCCCAAGTAGCTGGGATTACAGGTGGGCGCCACCACACCTGGCCGTACCCACATTTTTTAAAAATTAAAAAAATAAAAATAAGGCCAGGCACGGTGGCTCACCCTTGTAATCCCAGCACTTTGGGAGGCCAAGGTGGGCAGATCACCTGAGGTCAAAAGTTCGAGACCAGCATGGCCAACATGGCAAAACCCTGTCTCTAATAAAAATACAAAAATTAGCCAGGCGTGGTGGCGGGCACCTGTAATCCCAGCTACTCGGGAGGCTGAGACAGGAGAATTGCTTGAACCCAGGAACTGGAGGTTTCAGTGAGCCAAGATCGCGCCATTGCACTCCAGCCTGGGCAACAAGAGTGAAGCTCCATCTCAAAAAAAAAAAAAAAATTTAGCCTGGCGTGGTGGCACGTGCCTGTAGTCCCAGCTACCAGGGAGTTTGGGGTTGGAGGATTGCTTGAGCCCGGGAAGCAGAGGTTGCAGTGAGCTGAGATCCTGCCACCACACTCCAGCCTGGGCTACAGAGTGAGACACTGTCTCAAAAAAATAAAAAATAAAAATAAAATGTAAAAAAATCTGATGAACATCATTCCAATGTGAATTATAAATTGTTTGATGTTAGGTATTTATTTATTTATTTATTTTATTTTTTATTTTTATTTATTTATTTGTTTTTTTTGAGATGGAGTTTCACTCGTTGCCCAGGCTAGAGTGCAATGGCGCGATGTCGGCTCACCACAACCTCCACCTCCCGTGTTCAAGCGATTCTCCTGCCTCGGCCTCCTGAGTAGCTGGGATTACAGGCATGCGCCACCACGCCCAGCTAATTTTGTACTTTTAGTAGAGACGTGGTTTCTCCATGTTGGTCAGGCTGGTCTGGCTGGTCTCAAACTCCTGACCTCAAGTGATCCACCCGCCTTGGCCTCCCAAAGTGCTGGGATTACAGGTGTGAGCCACCACGCCTGGCCTATGTTAGGTATTTAATATAAATGCCTTTCATATTTATAGAAAAGCCATTCCAGCTCCCCACCTCTTCCAATGGTCCTAGAGAGGTAGGGGGCAAGACTCAACTCAGGAGGTGGGGCTCAGAAATAGGACCAAGTTGACGACTAGCTAAAACAGGGACTGAAGAGAAGCAGCTTTCCATGACATGCCCAACAGTGTGCCCTGTCAGTTCACCATTGCCATGGCAACACTGGGATGTTTCCGCCCCTTTCCATTGCAACAACCTGATGACCTGGAAATTACCAACCTTTTCCTAGAAATTTCTGCATAGCCCGCTTCTTAATTTGCATGTAATTAAAAGTGAGTTATAGGCTGGGCGAGTTGGCTCACGCCTGTAATCCCGGCACTTTGGGAGGCCGAGACGGGCGGATCACTTGAGGTCAGGAGTTCCAGACCAGCCTGGCCAACATGGTAAAACCCCATCTCTACGAAAAATATAAAAATTACCCAGGAGTGGTGCTGCACGCCTGTAATCCCAGCTACTCCAGAGGCTGAGTCAGGAGAATCGCTTGAACCCAGGAGGCAGTGAGCTGAGATCTCATCACTGCACTCCAGCCTAGGTGACAGAGCAAGACTCCATCTCAAAAAACAAAAACAACAACAACAACAAAAAAAGTGAGTTATAAATATGACTGCAGGCTGGGCGTGGTGGCTGACGCCTGTAATCCCAGCACTTTGGGAGGCCAAGGTGGGTGGATCATGAGGTCAGGAGATCGAGACCATCCTGACTAACATGGTGAAGCCCCGTCTCTACTAAAAATACAAAAAATTAGCCAGGCATGGTGGCGGGTGGCTATAGTCCCAGCTACTCGTGAGGCTGAGGCAGGAGAATGGCATGAACCCGGGAGGCGGAGCTTGCAGTGAGCTGAGATCGCGCCACTGCACTCCAGCCTGGAGAGACAGCGAGACTCTGTCTCGAAAAAATAAAATAAAATAAAATAAAAATGACTGCAAATGGCCTTTGAGCTGCTACTCTGGGTACACTGCCGATGGGGTAGCTGTGCTCCCCAGGGAGCAGCACCTGTGCTGCTGCTGTACCCTGCTGCTTCAATTAAAAGTTGCAGTTTAACACCGCTGGCTCACTATTGAATTCTTTCCTGGGGGAGACCAAGAACCCTCCCAGGCTAAGTGGGGCCCACCTGCCCTGCATAGCACTGGCTTTTTTTTTTTTTTTTTTTTTTTTTTTTTGAGACAGGGTTTCCTTCTGTCACTCAGGTGGGAGTGCAGTGGCTGGAGTGCAGGGATGACTTCTTGGCTCACTGCAACCTCCACTTCCTGGGCTCAAGTGATCCTCCCACCTCAGCCTCCCAAGTAGTTGAAACTACAGGCCCACACCACCACACCTGGCTAATTTTTGTGTTTTTTGTAGAGATAGGGTTTTGCCATGTTGGCCAGGCTGGTCTCCAACTACTGGGCTCAAGCGATTTGCTCACCTTGACCATCCAAAGTCCTGGGATTACAGGCATGAGCCACTGAGCCAGGCCCAGCATTGTCTTTTCTAAGTAGGCAGAGGTCCGCTGTCTCTTCTAACAACAGTGCCCACCCCCTCCTACCCCTCCATTTGGAGTCTCAGCAGTACAACATCACTACAGATGCTCTTTGACTTATGGGGGATGGAGTTACATCCCAATATGTCCGTCCTAAATTGAAAGTATTATAAATTGAAAATATATTTAATACAACTAGCAAGTATCTATAATAATTAAAAATTAAATATTAGCCAGGCACAGTTGCTCACACCTGTAATCACAGCACTTTGGGAGGCTGAGGTGGGCAGATCACATGAGGTCGGGAATTCAAGACCAGCCTGACCAACATGGAGAAACCCCGTCTCTACTAAAAATACAAAATTAGCTAGGCGTGGTAGTGCATGCCTGTAATCCCAGCTACTCGGGAGGCTGAGGCAGGAGAATCACTTGAACCGGGGAGGCAGAGGTTGCGGTGAGCTGAGATCGTGCCATTGCACTCCAGCCTGGGCAACAAGAGTGAAACTCCATCTCAAAAAAAAAAAAAGAAAAAGAAAAATAGTAAGTCAAAGACCATCTGTAGTTTCTTGAGACACTTCTCCAAGATCTTGGCTAGGCATGTGGTTCAAACCTGTAATCCCAGCACTTTGGGAAGCCAAGGCAGGAGGATTCCTTGAAGCCAATAGTTCAAGATCAGCCTGGGAAATATAGAGACTCTATCAAAAAAAAAAAAAAAAAAAGAGACAGAAAGAGGAAGGAAGGGAGGAAGGAAGGAAAGAAGGGAGGAAGGGAGGAAGGAAAGGGGAGGAAGGGAGGGCGGGAGGGAGGGAGGCAAAAGAAAAGAGAAAGAAAGAAAAAGAAAAAGAAGAAAGAAAGAGAAAGAAAGAGAAAGGGAGGGAGGGAAAGAAAAGAAAAGGAAGGAAGGAAAGAAGGAAGGAAGGAAGAAAAAGAAAGAAGGAAAGAAAAAGAAAGAAAGAAAAGAAAGAAAGAGAAAGAAAGAAAGAAAGAAAGAAAGAAAGAAAGAAAGAAAGAAAGAAAGAAAGAAAGAAAGAAAGAAAGAGAGAGAGAAAGAAATCTCCGGGCTCTGACTCCAAACTCTGTCACTCTGGATGAGTGCCTGTGGGTTTGCCCTAGTCTTTCCCTGTCCCTTTGACAACCTGCCTCCTTATCTGGGGCAGAATCTTCCAGGTGCAGCCCGAGGAGTGCAGACAGAAGGCAATTGTCACCTCCATACCTATTATGGAACTTGTGGCCACACATACACTCCTCCCTCTACCCCCACAGAATTTCTCACATTGCTCCTGTTAATCCAAGTCTCTTCCACCTGGTTCTCTGTTAAATTTTAAAGTTAAAAAATAGCTATTTTGCTAAAGATTTCATACAGGATTTGGGGGAAAGGAGGGATATGTCACCTAGAGACCAGTTTTTGTTTTTGTTTTGTTTTATTTAAAAACTCCAGTGGACAGTTTTGCTGTCTCCTCAAAGTCCCTCTGCAGCTGGCCCAAGCCAGGGTGGATCCAGGTTTTGTGGGACTTGGAGTTTACACAGTTTGGTGGGTCCCCTTTAAAAAAAAGAATACAGGCCAGGTGCAGTGGCTCATGCCTGCAATCCCAGCACTTTGTGAGGCCGAGGCAGGCGGATCACGAGGTCAGGAGATTGAGACCATCCTGACCATCATGGTGAAACCCCGTCTCTACTAAAAATACATAAATTATCTGGGTGTGGTGATGTGTGCCTGTGACCCTAGCTACTCGGGAGGCTGAGACACGAGAATCGCTTGAACACAGGAGATCGCGTCACTGCATTCCAGCCTGGTGACAGAGCAAGAGTCTATCTCAAAAAAAAAAAAAATGGTTACGAAATAAATATTTAATTAGAAAGTGAAAAGAAATTACAAATTTCAAAAACCTGACAGAAATCCAAACATCTCACAATCTAGAAGGATATCTTTATTAGTAACTACCCATCTCACTTCTATAATATTAACTACTACTTTTCTCTTTTTTCCTTTTTAAAAAAATTTTTTAAAGTTTTTTTATTTTCTTTTTTTTTTTTTTTTTTTGAGACGGAGTCTCGCTCTGTCGCCCAGGCTGGAGTGCAGTGGCGTGATCTCAGCTCACTGCAAGCTCCGCCTCCCGGGTTCACGCCATTCTCCTGACTCCACCTCCCGAGTAGCTGGGACTACAGGCGCCTGCCACCACGCCCGGCTAATTTTTTTGTATTTTTAGTAGAGACGGGATTTCACCGTGTTAAGCAGGATGGTCTCGATCTCCTGACCTCGTGATCCGCCTGTCTCGGCCTCCCAAAATGCTGGATTACAGGCGTGAGCCACCGCGCCCGGCCTAAAGTTTTTTTATTTTCTGTCAGACACTCTACAGCTCAAACTCCTACTTTTCGCACTGCGTACTCTGATTGTTATTTCATATAACAATGATTTTGTAATACTTCTTTCTTTTTCAGACACGATCTTGCTGTGTCACCCAGGCTGGAGTCCAGTGGCATAATCATAGCTCGCTGCAGCCTCAATCACTCAGGCTCAAGCAATCTTCCCACCTCAGCCTCCTGAGTAGCTGGGACTGCAGGCACACACTCTGTCTAATTTTTAGAATTTTTTTTTTTTTTTTTTTTTTTTTTTTTTTGAGACGGAGTCTCACTCTGTCACCCGGGTTGGAGTGCGGTGGCGCGCTCTCGGTTCACTGCAACCTCTATCTCCCGGATTCAAGCGATTCTTCTGCCTCAGCCTCCAGAGTAGCTGGGATTACAGGCGCCCACCACCACGCCCAGCTAATTTTTTTGTATTTTTAGTAGAGATGGGGTTTTTTCATGTTGCCCAGGCTGGTCTCAAACTCCTGGGCTCAAGTGATCTGCCCGCCTCAGCCTCCCAAAGTTCTGGGATTACAGGCATAAGCCACTGTGCCCAGCCCATGATATCATTTTTTTATGGAGGAAAAAGAAAGATAGTTCAATCTTTTCTCTAGCAAAATCAAATGAAGTTTGTTTATTGATTGATTGATTGATTGATTGATTTTTATTTATTTATTTATTTTGAGACGGAGTCTTGCTCTATTGCCCAGGCTGGAGTGCAGTGACGCGATCTCGGCTCACTGCAAGCTCAGCCTCCCGGGTTCATGCCATTCTTCTGTCTCAGCCTCCCTAGTAGCAGGGACTACAGGCGCCCACCACCACACCCAGCTAATTTTTTTGTATTTTTAGTAGAGACAGGGTTTCACTGTGTTAGCCAGGATGGTCTCCATCTCCTGACCTCGTGATCCGCCTACGTTGGCCTCCCAAAGTGCTGGGATTACAGGTGTGAGCCACCGTGCCTGGCCCAAAAGAAGTTTATTTTTATTTATTTTATTTCTTTTTCTTTTGAGACAGGTCTCACTCTGTCACCCAGGCTGAAGTGCAGTGGCATGATTACAGCACACTACAGCCTTGAACTTCTGGGCTCAAGAGGTCCTCCTGCCTCAGACTCCCAAGTAGCTGGGACTACAGGCATGTACCACCACGCCTGGCTAATTTTTTAATTTTTTTGTAGAGGCACTGTCTCATTATTTTGCCCAGGCTGGTCTTGAACTCCTGGCCTCAATCAATCCTCCTGCCTTGGCTTCCCAAAGTGCTGGGATTACAGGCGTGAGCCACTGTGCCTAGCCCATTTATATATTTTTAATCTTTCACTATTATAAATGCTATGTCTAATCCCATACCTATACCTAATGTGTTATCTCATATCTATGTTTCATTCAATATATCTGTAAGATAAACTCCTAGAAATGGGATTAGTGAGTCAAAAGATATAATATGCATTTGCAACTTTTATATCTATTCCAAATTGACCCTATATAGGGTTTAACAACTTGCACACCCGCCAGCAATGCATGATAGTGACGAATTCCCCAAAACTTTGACAACAGTATCAAACTAAAGTGGCTTCGTTGGCTGGGGTAAATATCCGAGGTTCGTCGTCTGGTACCAAGAAAATTTAGGACACAAACACACAGGAGGAGTTTCGTGGTACCTCAGTTTAGCTTTATTTGGACTTGCAACCCGGGAGGCGGAGGTTGCAGAAAGAAAAAGGAGAACAGCTTTCTCTCTGGCAAGAAAGAGGGGCTTCCCAAAGGAAAAGACTGGCCGGCAGCAGAGTTCGCCGGATTTTATAGGCAGGCTTGAAAGGCGATGTCTGATTTACGTAGGTAAATCAAATTGGTTCAATCAGGTGTGACGTTTATATAGCTTGAGGGGAAGGCTGGCCACCCCACCCTAATCTTATTATGCAAATGAACTCTCCCCTTGCCAGGTGCCATATTATCTGCTCCTTACTGTACACTGTGGCTGACAAAGAGAAGGAAAGATGGAACTGCCATTTTGAACATGATTGGCACAACTGTTGGCATCTATGTCTGCAGCTCGATTTCACAGGCTGCTCTTTGTTAGAAAGGAAAATGATCTGGGGTTGCTTTTCATTAAAAGGAGAACCTCCTGGTGGCTCATGCCGGTAATCCCAGCACTTTGGGAGGCCGAGGCAGGTGCATCATGAGGTCAAGAGTTCGAGACCAGCCTGGCCAACATGGTGAAACCCCGTCTCTACTAAGAATACAAAAATTAGCTGGGTGTGATGGCACGTGCCTGTAACCCCAGCTACTCTGGAGGCTGAGGCAGGAGAATCACTTGAACCCAGGAGGCGGAGGTTGCAGTGAGCCGAGATCCTGCCACTGCACTCCAGCCTGGGTGACAGAGCAAGACTCCGTCTCGAAAATAAATAAATAAATAGGCCGGGTGCGGTGGCTCATGCCTGTAATCCCAGCACTTTGGGAGGCCAAGGCAGGTGGATCACTTGAGGTCAGGAGTTCAAGACCAGCCTGACCAAAATGGTGAAACCCCGTCTCTACTAAAAATACAAAACTTAGCTGGGCTTGGTGGGGCACGCCTGTAACCCCAGCTACTCGGGAGGCTGAGGCAGGAGAATCCGGAGGCAGAGGTTGCAGTGAGCCCAGATTGTCCACTGCACTCCAGCCTGGGCAACAGAGAGAGATTCCATCTCAATAATAATAATAATGGCCAGGTGCAGTGACTCATGCCTGTAATCTCAGCACTTTGGGAGGCCAAGGAGGGCAGATCACCTGAGGTCAGGAGTTTGAGACCAGCCTGACCAATATGATGAAACCCTGTCCATATTAAAAAAATATAAAAATTAGCTGAGCGTGGTGGCATTCACCTGTAATCCCAGCTACTCGGGAGGCTAAGACAGGAAAATTGCTTGAACCCAGGAGGCGGAGGTTGCAGTGAGCTGAGATCGCACCATTGCACTCCAGCCTGGGCAACAAGAGTGAAACTCCATCTGAAAATAATAATCAATCAATCAATCAATAAAAATAAAAGGAGAACCTTACCAAGGACTCCCATATCCTATCTGCCTAAGTAGATTCTTTTTTTGTTTGTTTGTTTAATTTTAAGACAGAATCTTGCTCTGTTGCCAAGGCTGGAGTGCAGTAGCACAATCTCAGCTCACTGCAGCCTCCGCCTCCCAGGTTCCAGCGATTCTCCTGCCTCAACCTCCCGGGTAGCTGGGATTACAGGCACGTGCCACCAGGCCCGGCTAATTTTTGTATTTTTAATAGAGATGGGGTTTCACCATGTTGGCCAGGCTAGTCTCAAACTCCTGACCTCAGATGATCCACCCACCTTGGTCTCCCAAAGTGCTGGGATTACAGGCGTGAGTCACTGCGCCCTGCCATCTTCTTAACTCCTATATCAAAACTGGGATTCTTGTCAACCTGACAGATAAAAAGTGGTACCTCAGTTTAGCTTTATTTGCTCCATTTAAAAAATGAGGTAGTCTGGTGCAGTGGCTCACGCCTGTAATCCCAGCACTTTGGGAGGCTGAGGTGGGTGGATCATCTGAGGTCAGGAGTTCGAGACTAGCCTGGCCAACATGGTGAAACCCCATCTCTACTAAAAATACAAAAATTAGCTGGGTGTGATGGCACATACCTGTAATCCGAGCTACTTGGGAGGCTGAGACAGGAAAATCACTTGTACCTGGGAGGCAGAGGTTACAGTGAGCCGAAATCACACCATTGCACTCCAGCCTAGGCAACAAGAGTGAAACTCCACCTCAAAAAAACAAAAACAAAAACAAAAAAAAAGCAACAAGCTAGGCACGGTGGCTCACGCCTGTAATCCCAGCACTTTGGGAGGCTGAGGCAGGCGAATTACAAGGTCAGGAGTTCGAGACCAGCCTGGCCAACATGGTGAACCCCGTCTCTACTAAAAATACAAAAAATTAGCTGGGCATAGTGGTGGACACCTGTAATCTCAGCTACTCGTGAGGCTGAGGCAGGAGAATAGCTTGAACCTGGGATGCAGAGGTTGCAGTTAGCCGAGATCACGCCACTGCAATCCAGTCTGGGCAACAGAGCGAGACTCCAACTCAAAACACACACACACACACACACACAAAATACATATAGTAAAGTGTACAGCTCAATAAAGTTTTACATGTGTATACATTCATATAACCATCACCCAGAAAAAGATAGGATTGTTCCCAACAACTCAGAGGTTCTTTCCTGTCCCTCCTAATCAATACCTCCCCTGACCTTCAACCCCTTAGATGTAATCATTATTCTTACTTTTTTTTTTTCGATGGAGTCTCGCTCTGCCACCGGGCTGGAGTGCAGTGGCATGATCGCGGCTCACTGCAACCTCCGCCTTCCAGGTTCAAGTGATTCTCCTGCCTCTGCCTCCCGAGTAGGTGGGACTACAGGCGTGTGCCACCACGCCCAGCTAATTTTTGTATTTTTAGTAGAGATGGGGTTTCACCATGTTGGCCAGGATTGTCTCGATCTCTTGACTTTGTGATCTGCCCGCCTTGGCCTCCCAAAGTGCTGGGATTACGGGGTGAGCCACTGCGCCTGGCTTATTCTTACTTTTATTGACATAGATAACTTGTTTGTTTGTTTGTTTGTTTTTTAGAGAGATGGTGTCTGGCTATTGTCATTCCCCAATTGGTTCTTCTGGCCACTGAACACACGAAACCAATCCACTGAGACCCTGTTATTGCAATAAAGAGTTCAATCAATGCAAGGCCAGCTGTGTAGTACAACTAGAGTTATCACTCAAATCAGCCTCTCTGAAGGCTAGAAGGTTAGGGCCTTTCTTTCTTTCTCTTCTTTTTTTTTTTTTTTTTTTTTTTGATGGAGTTTCACTCTTGTCGCCCAGGCTGGAGTGCAATAGCGCAATCTCAACTCAGTGCAACCTCCGCCTCCCAGGTTCAAGTGATTCTCCTGCCTCAGCCTCCTGAGTAGCTGGGATTACAGGTGTTAGCCACCACGCCTGGCTAATTTTTGTACTTTTAGCAGAGATGGGGTTTCACCATGTTTGTCAGGCTGGTCTTGAACTCTGGACTTCAGGTGATCCGCCTGCCTCAGCCTCCCAAAGTGCTGGGATTACAGGCGTGAGCCACCATGCCCGGCTCCCTCCCTCCCTCCCTCCTTTCCTTCCTTTCTCTTTCTCTCTTTCTTTCTTTCTCCCTTCCCTTCCTTTTTTCTTTCTCCCTTCCCTTCCTTTTTTCTGTCTCTCTTTTTCTCTTTCTTTCTTTTCTTTTCTTTCTTTCTTCTTTCTTTCTTTCTCTCTCTTTCTTTTTTTCTTTTTGAGACTCTTTATGTCACTCAGGCTGGACTGCAGCGAAGCAATCTCGGCTCACTGCAACCTCCACCTCCCCGGTTTAAGCAATTCTCATGCCTCAGCATACTGAGTAACTGGGACTAGAAGCTCATGCCACTACGCCCGATTAATTTTTTGTGTTTTTAGTAAAGATGGGGTTTTGCCATGTTGGTTAGGCTGGTCTCAAACTCCTGGCCTCAAGTGATCATCAAAGTTAGGGTTTTTCAAAGATAGTTTGGTGGGCAGAGAACTAGGGAATGCGTGCTGCTGTTTTGTTGGGGATATAATGATAGGGGTGTGGAAAAATGTCCTTGTGTGCTGAGTCGGCCTCTGGGTGGCGGGGGGCGGGCACAAGACCATTTGGTTATATCATGAGCACAAGTCTGGGTAAGGTCAGTAAGTTGCCAGAATGTATTAGGTTGGTGCAAGAGTAATTGCAGTTTTGACCATTTCTTTTGCACCACCCTGATAGAAGTCTGACTTTTTTCTTTTTCTTTTTTCTTTTTTTTTTTGAGACAGAGTCTTGCTCTTGTGGCCCAGGCTGAAGTACAGTGGTGCGATCTCAGCTCACTACAACCTCCGCCTCCCAGGTTCAAATGATTCTTCTGTTTCAGCCTCCTGAGGAGCTGGGATTACAGGCATGCACCACCACACTCAGCTAATTTTTGTATTTTTAGTAGAGATGGGGTTTCACCATGTAGGCCAGGCTGGTCTCGAACTCCCGACCTCAGGTGATCTGCCCACCTAAGCCTCCTAAAGTGTTGGAATTACAGGCGTGAGCCACCTCACCCACCCTGAAAAACATTTTAAAAGACCAATCTTAGGTTCTACAATACTGATGTTATCTATAGGAGCAATTGGGGAAGTCACAAATCTTGAGACCACCGGCCACATGACTCCTGAGCAGTAAGGGATTATAGAAACTATGTCTATATTTTAGTAGAATTCACGTCCCTCCCATAATCCTAATCCTGTGGACTTTCATTAGTCTTATAAGGCAGTTTTCACTCCCTGAGCAAGAAGCGGGTTAGTTTTAGGAAGGCACTATTATCATCCTTGCTTTTAAATTAAGCTATGCACTAAATTCCTCCTATGGGTAGCTTGGCCTATGCCTAGGAATAAGAGAAGATAGCTAGCCTGTGAGGCTAGAAGCAAGATAGAGTCAGCCATGCTAGATTTCTCTAAACGGGCATAATCTTTGCAAAGGCAGTTAAACTATGTTGTCCAGACTGGTCTCAAACTCCTGGCCTCAAGCAATCCTCCCGCCTCAGCCTCCCAAAGTGCTGGGATTACAGGTAGGAACCACCACACCCAGCCATTCTTATACATGCTTTTTAGTAGCCACAGGTACTCATTTCTCTCAGCTATATACTTATAAATGCTGTATCATGGGATAGGCAATTGTTTGGCTTTGGTAGATACTGCTCAACAATTTACCAACGTACTGTTGGGGTTCAAAAAGTAATACCCCAAAGACTGGTGCTTTGACATGCTGTGGCCTTAAACGTGCTTTGATCCTCTGCAGGTGGATCACAAGGTCAGGAGTTAGAGGCCAGCCTGGCCAACATGGTCAAACCCTATCTCTACTAAAAATACAAAATTAGCTGGGTGTGGTGGCACACACCTGTAGTCCCAGCTACTCAGGAGGCTGTGGTAGGAGAGTCACTTTTACCTGGGAGGCGGGGGTTGCCGTGAGCTGAGATCATGCCACTGCACTCCAGCCTGGACGACAGAGGGAGACTCTATCTAAAAAAAAAAAAAAAAGTCCAGGCTCAGTGACTCATACACATACTCGCCAACACTTAGTACTGTCAGTCTTTTCAATTGTAGCTCTTCTAGAAAGTGTTTAGTGATATCTCATAGGTTGCTTTTTGAAATTTTAAAAGTGTGGGCCAGACATGGTGGCTCATGCCTGTAATCCCAGCAATTTGAGAGGCCAAGGAGGGCACATCACCTGAGGCCAGGAGTTCGAGATCAGCCTGGCCAAATTTTTTTTGTTTAAGAGTTGGGGTGGCCAGGTGCAGTGGCTCACGCCTATAATCCCAACACTTCGGGAGGCCGAGGTGGGCAGATCACAAGGTCAGGAGTTTGAGACCAGCCTGGCCAACATGGTGAAACCCCATCTCTACTAAAAGTACAAAAATTAGCTGGGCGTGGTGGCAAGTGCTTGTAATCCCAGCTACCGGGAAGCTGAGGCAGGAGAATCGCTTGAACCCGGGAGGTGGAGGTTGCAGTGAGCCGAGATCACACCACTGCACTCCAGCCTGGGTAACAGAGAGAGACTCCGTCTCAAAAAAAAAAAAAGAAAGAGTTGGGGTGGCTGGGCATGGTGGCTCACGCCTGTAATCCCAGCACTTTGGGAGGCCGAGGTGGGTGGATCACCTAAGGTCAGGAGTTTGAGACCAGCCTGGTCAACATGGTGAAACCCCATCTCTATTAAAAATTCAAAAATTAACCAGGGGTGGTGGTACTTGCCTATAATCCCAGCTACTCGGGAGGCTGAGGCAAGAGAATCACTTGAACCCAGAAGGCGGAGATTGTGGTGTGCCAAGATTGCGCCATTGCACTCCAGCCTGGGCAACAAGAGCGAAACTCCGTCTCAAAAAAATAAAATAAATAAATAAATACATACATAAATTCAAAGCAGGAACCCTCTCATCATCTTTGCTATCCACTAAGAGCCTCACACTTCAGAGCACCTTCTTGCAAGCTGCTGAATCAGTGAATGAACCTCATGTAATAAAGGTTTTTCAAGGCAAGCCAATAAGACATAAAGCCATCTTCTCAAATCCAAAGTAAAGTCTCTTTCTCCAAACCAATTACTCAGATATTCCAAGACAGTAGCTACTGTTGTCTGATTCATTCTGCTAGCAATACTAACCAAGGGAGGAAAACCAATTTGAACATAATTAATTCTAGGACTTTCATTTGTAGCTGTCAGTGACCACACCAGCATATAAACTTTCACTCAGACAAAATTTCTTCTAGCCTTCTTCATCTTTAGATTTTGGCATAGTCACATTACTATCCAACTGTCGTGATTTGCAGTGACTTCTATGTTTGTGCACATTCTGTCTTACGTTGAAAACGGTGCCACTTTCTATTGCCACTGAAGTATTGGGGAATAACCTTCAGGGGCAGGTTGGCATCCTAAAAGAGAAACCTTCACACCTTGCTTCCTTTTCAACTTCATTTTTTTTTGAGATGGAGTTTTGCTCTTGTCGCCCAGGCTGGAGTGCAGTGGTGTGATCTCAGCTCACTGCAACCTCCGCCTCCTGGGTTCAAGTGATTCTCCTGCCTCAGCCTCCCGAGTAGCTGGGATCACAGGCTCCTGCCACCACGCCCAGCTAATTATTGTATTCTTAGTAGATATGGGGTTTCACTATGTTGCCTAGGCTGGTTTTGAACTCCTCACCTCAGGTGATCCACCTGCTTCAGCCTCCCAAAGTGTTGGGATTACAGGCGTGAGCCACCGTGCCCGTCCTTCCTTTTCAACTTATTTGGGTCAGTTTGAGGTACCACAGCATCTGGACATTGAGCTGCTTTGGTATGGACCTTCCTCAGGTATTCCTGAGGCATCCTCTGGGATAACGAGGGATTGAAACCTTCTGTCTGGTGGCAGAGGGCCAGGCATCAACTCCTCTTCCACTGCAGACTCTGCTGGTACCCATGCCATGATTTTCAACCCAGCCAGTTCCCCACAGAATCTTTTTCTATTCCCTTTCTCTTCCCAACTTCTGTATCCATTTAGTTTTATCTATATTTTTATTCCTTCCAATTGAAACAAACTTTAAGTAACTTGTAAAATAGACACAATTATTTTTTCTCAATACTTTTACAACTTTCCTTGCCAAAAATATATCTTGCTTTTATTTATACACTTTGTATACAGAATTGTTTCTTTTATATCTAGTAGGTTTTTTGTTTGTTTGTTTGTCTATTTTGAGATGGAGTCTCTGTCACCCAGGCTGGAGTGCAGTGGCGCCATCTCGGCTCACTGCAACCTCGGCCTGCCAAAGTGCTGGGATTACAGGCATGAGCCACCACACCTGGCCATATCTAGTAGTTTTAATTACATATACTAACTATAATTTTTTTTTTTTAAGATGGAGTCTAGCTCTGTCACCAGGCTGAAGTTCAGTGGAGCAATCTTGGCTCACTGCAACCACCACCTCCCAGGTTCAAGCGGTTCTCCTGCCTCAGCCTCCCGAGTAGCTGGGATTGCAGGCATGCACCACCACGCCCAGCTAATTTTTGTATTTTTAGTAGAGATGAGGTTTCACCTTTGTTGGCCAGGATGGTCTCGATCTCCTGACCTTGTGATCTGCCCACCTCGGCCTCTCAAAGTGCTGGGATTACAGGCGTGAGCTATCGTGCCCAGCCTCTACTAACTATAATTTTAATTCTTAGTAATCCTAATTTCTAGTGAAAACCTAGGAAGTAAGTAATTTTTTTTTAAGAGATAGGGTTTTGCTCTGTCACCCAAGCTGGAGTGCAGTGGCACAATCATAGCTCACTGCAGCCTCGACCTCCCAGGCTCAAATGACTCTCCCACCTCAGCCTCCAGAGTAGCTGGGACTAGAGACATGCACCACCATGCCTGGCTAATTTTTTTTAGTTTTATTGTAGTGATAAAGGTTGCACCATGTTGCCCAGGCTGGTTGAACTCCTGGGCTCCAGTTATTCACTTGCGTTAGCCTCGCAAAATTACAGGCGTGAGTCACCACAATCAGCCCAATTTTTGTTTATTAAAAGATCTATCTAAATATATTTAGGTTTTCTATATTGTATATAAATAAGATGCCACAGTATAAAACTTATGTTTAATAATTAATGTTTCAGTATTTTAACTTATTTAGAAATGACTCAGACATTTCGTGATTATCTGTTACTTAATTTAACATAATATGACATAAGAATTTATTTTATTTTATTTTATTTTATTTTATTTTGGCCGGGCACAATGGCTCACGCCTATAATCCCACCACTTTGGGAGGCTGAGGCAAGCGGATCACTTGAGGTCGGGAGTTCAAGACCAGCCTGAACAACATAGAGAAACCCTGTCTCTACTAAAAATACAAAATTAGCCGAGTGTGGTGGTGCATGCCTGTAATCCCAGCTACTCGGGAGGCTGAGGCAGGAGAATTGCTTGAACCCATGAGGCAGAGGTTGCGGTGAGCCGAGATCACACCATTGCACTCCAGCCTGGGCAACAAGAGTGAAACTCCATCTCAAAAAAAAAGAAATCTCACTATGTTGCCCAGGCTGGTCTTAAACACCCGGACTCAAGTGATCCTCCTGCCTCAGCTTCCAAAAGTACTGGGATTACAGGATTACAGGCATGAGACACCACACACGGCCTTTATTTTACTAACAAATTTAAAGCTAGTTTTATTTATCAAAAATTGTCACATACACATAGCACATATAGGTATATAGACACACAAACAGAAGTACATCTTATAGCTTTCATAAAAAACTATAATTAGCTGGCTTTCAAATAGTTTTTTTTGCCATGTGTGATGGTGCATGCCTGTAATCCCAGCTACACAGGAGACTGAGGTGATAGCATTTAAGCCCAGGACTTTGAGACCATTCTGGACAACATAGTGAGGTACTGCCTCAACAACAAAAAACATAAAACAAAAAACAAAAATAGACTGGGGACAGTGGCTCATGCCTGTAATCCCAGCACTTTGGGAGGCTGAGGCAGGCGGATCATTTGAGGTCAGGAGTTCAAGACCAGCCTGGCCACCACAGTGAAACCCCATCTCTACTAAAAATACAAAAATTAGCCGGGCATGATGGTGCAAACCTATAGTCCTAGCTACTCAGGTGGCTGAAGCAGGAGGCGGAGTTCGCCTGAACCCAGGAGGCGGAGATTGCAGTGAGCCAAGATTACGCCATTGCACTCCAGCCTGGGCGACAGAGCAAGACTCCATCTCAAAAAATAACAAAAATAAAATAAATAAATAAATAGTTTTTCTTCTTGCCATTCAGACTATCAATCTTCTAATTACCTGTTTTATTACCCTAAGCAACAGTTAGCTAGGCAGTCCTAAATTTGCATGTCTAAAGGGATGAATCTTAGGTAAAACAAGGTAGAAAATTTAGATCTCAAAGGCACAGAGCTTAAACCAGGCCCACATATTGTACCATCATTTGCCCAAACCGAGGAAGAGTGGGTAAAAGCCCAGTTAAGACAAGATGCCAACCTTGGCAACAGAATGAAACTCTGTCTCAAAAGAAAAAAAAAGACATGATGCCAAGGAAAAGCACCTTAAACAAAGTTATAACTTGTTATGTAATTCTTTTCTTTTTTCTTTTTTTTCGCCTATAGTTCTAGCTACTTGGGAGGCTAAGGCAGGATCACTTCAGCCCAAGAGTTCAAGGCTGCAGTGATCTATGATTGCAGCACTAAACACCAGCCTGGGCAACAGAGTGAGACTCCAACTCTTCAGTTTTCCATAAAATCCAGATCCTGCACAACACCAACTGTTTTGTTTTTTGTTTTTTTTTTCTGAGACACGGTCTTGTTCTGTCACCCAGGCTGGAGTGCAGTGGTATGATCATGGCTCACTGCAGCCTCGACATCACATTCTCCCACCTCAGCCTCCCAAGTAGCTGGGACTAAAGGCATGTACCACCATGCCAGGCTAATTTTTGTATTTTTTGTAGAGATGGGGTTTCACAATGGTGCCGACTCCTGGGCTCAAGTGATCTGCGCAACTTGGCCTCCCGAAGTGCTGGGATTACAGGTGTGACCCACCACACCTGGCCAACCCCAACCCCCCCCGCCTTTTTTTTTCTGAGACAGAATTTCGCTCTTTGATCCAGGCTGGTGGGAAGTGGCATGATCTTGGCTTACTGCAACCTCTGTCCCCTAAGTTCAAATGATTCTCCTGTCTCAGACTCCAGAGTAGCTGGGAGTAGCTAGGATTATAGGTGCCCGCCACCAGGCCTGGCTAATTTTTGTGTTTTTAGTAGAGATGGGATTTTGTCATGTCGCCAGGCTGGTCTTGAACTCCTGACCTCAAGTGATCCACCCACCTCGGCCTCTCAAAGTGCTAGGATTATGATATGAGCCACTGCACCCAGCCAAACCCCAACTTTTTTTTTTTTTTTTTTTTGAGACCGAGTTTCACTCTTGTTGCCCAGGCTGCAGTACAGTGGCACGATCTCTGCTCACTGCAACCTCTGCCTCCTGGGTTCAAGCGATTCTCCTGCCTCAGCCTCCCGAGTAGCTGGGATTATAGGCAAGTACCACCACCCCTGGTTAATTTTTGAATTTTTAATAGAGATGGGGTTTCACCATGTTGACCAGGCTGGTCTCAAACTCCTGACCTTAGGTGATCCACCCACCTTGGCCTCCCAAAGTGCTGGGATTACAGGCGTGAGCCACCATGCTCGGCCACCCCAAATCTTTCTTTCTTTTTTTTTTTTTTGAGATGGAGTCTATCTGTTACCCAGGCTGGAGTGCAGTGGTGTGATCTCGGCTCACTGCAACCTCCACCTCCCGGGTTCAAGCGATTCTCCTGCCTCAGCTTCCTGGTAGCTGGGATTACAGGCACTCGCCACCACGCCCAGCTAATTTTTGTACTTTTAGTAGAGATGGGGTTTCACCATGTTGGCCAGGCTGGTCTCAAACTCCTGACCTTGTGATCTGCCCACCTCGGCCTCCCGAAGTGTTGGGATTATAGGCGTGAGCCACTGCACCTGGCCACCCCAACTCTTAAACAAAAAAAATTTGGCCAGGCTGATCTCGAACTCCTGGCCTCAGGTGATGTGCCCTCCTTGGCCTCTCAAATTGCTGGGATTACAGGCATGAGCCACCATGCCTGGCCCACACGTTTAAAATTTAAAAAAGCGGCTGAGCCAGGTGGATCACCTGAGGTCAGGAGTTCGAGACCAGCCTGACCAACATGGAGAAACCCCGTCTCTACTAAAAATACAAAATTAGCCGGGCATGGTGGCGCATGCCTGTAATCCCAGCTACTCTGGAGGCTGAGGCAGGAGAATGGCTTGAACCCGGGAGGCAGAGGTTGCTGTGAGCTGAGATCACGCCATTGCACTCCAGCCTGGGCAACAAGAGTGAAACTCCGTCTCAAACAAACAAACAAAAAATTTCAAAAAGCAACCTATGAAATATCAGTAAACACTTTCCAGAATAGCTACAATTCAAAAGACTGACTAAGTGTTGGCGAGTACGTGTAGTGACTGGAACGCTCAGGTTTTGCTGGACCTAGTGAAAATTTGGCTAAGTACTGTAGAGGTCAAGGGGATACTTTCCCTTCCCCCTCTGAAGGCACACTGAAAATCAACTGACAGTAGGACAGATTATTATTATTATTACTATTTTGAGACAAAGTCTCACTCTCTCACTCAGGCTGAAGTGCATTGGCATGATCTCAGCTCACTGCAACCTCCACCTCCCGGGTTCAAGCGATTCTCCCACCTCAGCCTCTCAAATAGCTAGGACTACAGGCGCCCACCACCACACTCAGCTAATTTTTGTATTTTTAGTAGAGACAGGATTTCTCCATGTTGGTCAGGCTGGTCTTGAACTCCTGACCTCAGGTGATCCACCTGCCTCAGCCTCCCAAAGTGTTGGGATTACAGGTGTGAGCCACCATGCCTGGCCTGAATTTATTTATCTGCTTGGTTAGCAGGTATTTTGACCAACGTGATTTAGCTGATGAGCTATCTTGATGTAGCTGATCTCTCAGGGATGGAAGATATTTCTCAAAAAGGCAGCCTAACTATGAGGAAACACAATGTCAATTCAGGTACAGATTGCATCACATCCTTAATACTATGTGAAGGGTTCTCATCTTAACCTGTGCAACTCAAATTGATACTCAGAATATAGATTGCATTGATTAGATGTTTGAAATATCAATGGAAAATCCCACCCACTTTTTGATGAACAGTATGAACAGTTTTTTGTAATCACATGCATTTAAAACAAGTTGAGTGTCATTTATTGGTGAAGCAGCCTGCGTAGAAACTGCATGATGAACAGCTGGGCACAGTGGGTCATGCCTGTAATCCCTGCACTTTGAGAGGCTGAGGTCAACAGATCACTTTAGGCCAGGTGTTTGAGACCAGCTTGGTCAACATGGCAAAACCCCATCTTTACAAAAAACACAAAAATTAGCTGGGTGTGGTGGTGCACACCTGTGGTCCCAGGTACTTGGGAGGCTGAAGTATGAGAATCGTTTGAACCCAGGAGGCCGAGGTTGCAGTGAGTGGAGATCATGTCACTGTATTCCAGACTGGGCAACACAGCAAGACCCTGTTTCTACTGCAAAATAGAAAAATCAGCCAGGTGTGGTGGTATGTACCTGTAGTTCCAGCTATTCTGTAGGCTGAGGTGGGAGGATCAACCGAGCCCAGGAGGTGGAGGCTGCAATGAGCTGAGATCATGCCACTACACTCCAGCCTGGGTGACAGAGTGAGACCCTGTCTCAAAAAACAAACAAACAAAACAACTTACTTTGGGATGTTATAGAGGGCCCCTGTGGCATCCAAAAGAGAGATAATAAACAAGTTTTTTGATATGTTAAATTACATATCAGGTATTGTCAAAAAAGAAATTACTGAGTAAGAAATGATGTTTAGGCCGGGCGCAGTGGCTCACGCCTGTAATCCCAGCACTTTGAGAGGCCGAGGCAGGCGGATCTTAAGGTCAGGAGATCGAGACCATCCTGGCTAACACGGTGAAACCCCGTCTCTACTAAAAATAGAAAAATATAGCTGGGTGCGGTGGCGGGCGCCTGTAGTCCCAGCTACTCGGGAGGCTGAGGCAGGAGAATGGCATGAACCCGGGAGGCAGAGCTTGCAGTGAGCCGAGATCACACCACTGCACTCCAGCCTGGGCAACAGAGCGAGACTTCATCTCAAAAAAAAAAAAAAAAGGAAAAAGAATTGTTGTTTAACCAAGTTATATTTTTATGGATATGTTATTAATATGTATTCCAAAACTGTATGAGATTCCTAAAATTCTGATATATCTTGGTATGTTATTAGTTATATTTATGGTTATTATGTTAAATTATTGTAGAACACAGAAATAACCAAATTTTCTTGCCAATTTTGACTTTTGATTTTAACTTTTGACTTTATGATTTTAAGTGATTTTTTTTTTTGAGATAGGGTCTTGCTCTGTTGCCCAGGCTGGAGAGCAGTGATGCAATCTCAGCTCACTGCAGCCTCCATCTCCTGGGTTCAAGTAATTCTGGTGCTCAGCCTCCTGAGTAGCTGGGATGACAGGCATGCCCCACCACCCCCGGCTAATTTTGTATTTTTAGTAGAGTCGGAGTTTCTCCATGTTGCTCAGGCTGTTCTCGAACTCCTGACCTCAAGTGATCTGCCTGCCTCAGCCTCCCAACGTGCTGGGATTACAGGCGTGAGCCACTGCACCTGGCCCAACTGTCATTTTATTAATACGTATATAAGAAGAACTATAGTTTATGCCCTGACAAATGTATATCCTACTAAAGAAGGGTAATTAAGCTTCTCTCTCTCTCTCTCTCTCTCTATATATATATATATATATATGTATGTATATAGATGTATGTGTGTATATATATATATACACGTGTGTGTGTGTATCAGAGACAGGGCCTCACTCTGTCACCTAGGCTGGTGTGCAGTGGTGTGATCATAGCTCACCACAGCTTTGAACTCCTAAGCTGAAGTGATCCTCCTGACTCAGCCTCCTGAGTAGCTGGGACTACAGGTGCACGACACCTCACCCTGCCAATGTTTTTATTTTTTGTAGAGACAAGGTCTCACTTTGTTGCCCAGGCTAGTCTGAAACTTCTGGCTTCAAGTGATCTTCCTGCCTCTGCCTCTCAAAGTGCGGGATTACAGTCTTGAGCCACTGCACCAGGCTCCCAGCTCCTACTTTAAAAAACCCACAAACAAATGGAAGCATAAAGTACAGTGTTCTACCCTTTACTCTTCTTTTTTCACCTATGTATTTCCAATTACATATATATGTATTTCCAATGACACACAGTAATGTTATTGTAATAACTTGAGTTTGCATTCTTTTAAAAAAATTTTTTTTTTGTAGAGACAGGGTCTTGCTATGTTGCCCAAGCTGGTCTCCAACTCCTGGGCTCAAGTGATCCCCCTGCCTTGTCCTCCCAAAGTGCTGGGATTACAGGCGTGAGCCACTGCACCCAAAGAGTTTGCATTCTTCAGCGGCTATGCAATGTTTTGCACCTAGAAGAAATCCAAGGTATTCTCAATAGAACTATAGACTTTCAGTGCTAGAAAGATATTTAGAGATCAGCAAGTCCACCTCTTATTTTACAGATAATTAATGTACAGAAAGTCAAAATGACTTCCCTAAGGTCTTACACCTACTAATAAAGAAAGGAATGAGTGAGCCAACTTAAAGGAACATTCACATATAGAGTTAAAATGTTAAGCCATTACAAGTGTAAAAGTAAATAGGATTGCCTGTAGTGGTAACTAGTATCTGTACAGTGTATTCCAGTTTAAAATGTGATCTCACATCCATTAGGTCACATAATGTTCCCAAAGCTCACAGGCAACCTTTGTCTCCATTTTACTGGAAGTAAAACAAGCAGGAATGTGGATTTTTTTTTAAAGGCTACCCAAGTGAAGCAGTGGGAGTGGAGAAGGAACAAAGAAATCTGTAACTGGTTGTGATCAATGAGTTGTAAACACTACTGCACTAGGACAAGCCTGTGGATTTTTTTTTTTTTTTAAAGCAGGCTTTAAACATAGCGAAATTTGGCCGGGCGCAGTGGCTTACGCCTGTAATCCCAGCACTTTGGGAATCCCCGGACGGGCGTATCACGAGGTCAAGAGATCGAGACCACCCTGGCTAACACGGTGAAACCTCGTCTCTACTAAAAATAGAAAAAAATTAGCCAGGCGTGGTGGCAGGTGCCTGTAGTCCCAGCTATTCGGGAGGCTGAGGCAGGAGAATAGCATGATCCCAGGCGGCTGAGCTTGCAGTGAGCTGAGATCGCGCCACTGCACTCCAGCATGGTCGACAGAGCGAGACTCCGTCTCAAAAGGAAAAACAAAACAAAACAAAACAAAATTAACCGGGCGTGGTGGTGGGTGTCTGTAATCCCAGCTACTCAGGAGGCTGAGGCAGGAGAATCGCTTGAACCCGGGAGGTGGAGGTTGCAGTGAGCCGAGATCACGCCATTGCACTCCAGCCTGGGCGAAAACAGTTGAGACTCCGTCTCAGGAAAAATAAAAAAAAAAAAAGCGAAATTTGATCTGTCTTTGGGCCTGTGAAAGATAATCCTAAAGTGCTCTTGAAAAAAAAATGCCACTGAGACACACAGATGGAAAACCAAGAAATACAAATGGACTTACAAAACAATCAAGGCCACATTGCATTCGCAACGCATCACAACACTGCATTGGGTGAAAGTGACATGGGTCAGTCCCAGATACTCAAAACAAAAATGAAGTTGGTTCTATCATTTGGAACATTTTTGCTGGAGGTAGTGCTGGCACGATTCGAACGACTTGTTTTGCACAAGTGGGTCAATGCACATTTTTTTTTTTTTTTTTTTGAGACGGAGTTTTTGCTCTTGTCGCCCAGGCTGGAGTGCAGTGGCGCGATCTCGGCTCACTGCAACCTCCGCCTCCCGGGTGCAAGCGATTCTCCTGCCTCAGCCTCCCATGTAGCTGGGACTACAGGCGCCCGCCACCACGCCTGGCTAATTTTTGTATTTTTAGTAGAGACGGGGTTTCACCACGTTGGCCAGGATCGTCTCAATCTCCTGACCTCGTGATCCGCCTGCCTCGGCCTCCCAAAGTGCTGGGATTACAGGCGTCAGCCATCGGACTCGGCCTAAGGGGCAATGCACTTTTTTTGCAAAGTCTGATAATTGCACTTATGTGAGTGCATACACGTGCCTGTGTGATGCACTCTTAGCTCTGGAAGCTGGCTTCATACCACCCGACGGCATTTGCTCTGTGACTGCCTACGGGTTGGGGTACGTTCCCTCCCCCGCCCTGCCACTTCGTGGCAGGCTTCGTGTCTCTCAAAGCCACGCAGGGACATTGCCCAGGTTCCTGCACCCACCCAAATTCTAGGAGGAACAGGGCGGAGGCTGACATCGCGCATGCGCCTCAGCGCACGCCGGCGCAGCCTCTCTCCTTCCTCATCGCCTCGCGCTCCCACCCCACCCCGAGAGCAAAGGAGGGAAGCGATTGGGCACGCTAGTTGTCCATCAGACCAGGCTCTCTTCTCCCTCAACACCATTGGCAGACGGAGAAAAGGCCAGTCCGCCGAGGTCTTCCTACCCCTTGGAGACTCAGCGCCACCGCGGAAGCAGCTATTGGCGGAGGCCAGGGGCCGCGACTGCTCACTTCCGGCGCGGGCCTAGACGATTTCTCCCCCTCCCCCGCCCTCCGCCTTCCCACCCCCCGCCCTTCCACTATGGCCGCTTCTGTGTGGTGTGGGGAGACGCTGGTCCTCCCCGTCCTCCCATAGCGCTTATTGCCTCACCCTCACCCCCTAGGGGCCGGATCCAAAGGCGCTGCACTCCCCAAGCCTTGGGGCATCAGCCAGGAAGGTTTCCTACCTCCTAATTCAGGGGCAGGACTCCTCTTTTCCCCCCACGGGGAAAAGAGGCAGAAACTTAGGGGTTTCCCTCCTTTCTTAGGGTCAGACGCTCTTAGGGTCCACTTCTTCAGGGGCGGAAGCCTCTCCTACCCTTCCCATAGGGACACAGGCCTTTACCCCACTGTACTTCGGAGCCAACGCCTTTCCCTCAGCACTGCCACCCCAGAGTCAGGACCCAGAGGACTGTGCCTTCGCCCCCAACGCAGGCGCGGCCTTTTGGAGAGGAGGGAGGAGTGGAGAGGACAGGGGCCCTTGCTCTCCCCTCCCCAACTTGTTCCTCTTGCCCCCCAGTCCCTGGCAATCCAGAGATCCCGATATCTAGGACTGTCCATCCATCCACTCCCTGACCTTTTCCCGGCTCCTGGCTGCAGCCATGGAGTTGCAGAAGGGAAAAGGGGCGGCAGCAGCAGCAGCTGCTTCGGGAGCAGCGGGAGGTGGAGGAGGAGGAGCGGGAGCAGGAGCCCCAGGAGGGGGGAGGCTGCTACTTTCAACCAGTTTGGATGCCAAGGATGAGTTAGAGGAGGTAGGTGTGGGGGGAGGGAAGGGAGTTAAGAAATTGGGTTTTGGAGGGATACTGGAGCGGATACCGGGTGGGAGGACGGGGGGTGGGGGCGGGGGTGGAGGCTTTCAAGTTTTTTGTGAAGTAACACAAACACTGCTCCAGCTTCCTGCTCCTGAGGGAAGAAATGTGGGCCAACTTCCTGGACAGGTTGTCATAGTAACAGCAGCCACTAGTATGAAAATGGGTGGGGGGTGTTGGTGAAGGAAGGGATACAACATCCAGGTTTACCGAATTTATTTTTGACATTCCTTTCGACATACACACCCCAGCTATTTTTACTATCAACCCTGTTTCAGACTTAGGTCAATATATTGAGTTGAGATGTAATGTATGTCTGTGTAGATGTTTGGGGGCTGGTAAGAGCTGGCAGTAGACCTTGGACCCTCCTGTTAGATGCTATCATTGACTTCGTGTAGACACAACCAATTGCCAGTGATGTTAACTGGGCATCTAGAATGAGTGAAGACTTAAGAAAAGTGAGTAGTGTTTAGTTTGGTGGCATCAGCCACTGTAGTGGGGTGAATGGTACCTAGGGGATTCTCCTTCAGAACCAGATAGCACACACACAGGAGAGAACACATCGCTTCTGAAAAAGAAGGTGGAGCGAAGAAATGGAATGGACCTGAATGAGGACTTCAGGGGACCTGATAGTTGCCCCTCCTGTCCTCTTACCCAGCTTTCTCATTCTGCCATCTCAGAGTTGATCACGTATACCTTTCCACTCCTACAAACGAGAATATGTACTTAAGAATATGAGATCTAGGCTGGGTGCGGTGGCTCACGCCTGTAATCCCAGCACTTTGAGAGACCGAGGCAGGCGGATCACAAGGTCAAGAGATCGAGACCATCCTGGCCAACATGGTGAAACCCCGTCTCTACTAAAAATGCAAAAATTAGCTGGGCATGGTGGCTTGTGCCTGTAATCCCAGCTGTTTGGGAGGCTGAGGCAGGAGAATCGCTTGAACCCGTGGGCAGAAGTTGCAGCGAGCCAAGATTGCGCCACTGCACTCCAGCCTGACGACAGAGCGAGAGACCCCGTCTCAAAAAAAAAAAAAAAAAGAATATGAGATCCAGAGCTGAGACGTGATTGCTTAACTGTTTGTAAGGCCTAATATTCAACTCGGTGGTTATCCAGGGACAGGATGAGTACATTAACAGGCCTTAGCTCTTCACTGGCTGTTTCCCAGCTTCTAACTTTATCAGCTATTAGAGGGTGGGCAGGCAGACAGGTGAAATTCAGAATTTAGATTTGAAAAAATGGGTCAGATACAAGATGGTAGAACATACATGCCAAAATGAACTTTGTGAATCAAGAAGTGGCTGGATAGTAACTTTGTGGATTTTCCACCAGCAAATGTCTACTTGCAGTCTGCCTTCCCGTCATGCTTTTCCCTCATAATTCTGTGGGCATTCAGGTAAATCAGTTTGTTTTCTGCTGTCTGTAGTTATCAGCTAAGGTAGATATAATTATGAATGTGAACAATGTATTCCCAAAACAGGTGAGAATGACTTTAGGACTGCCTGGCAATTGGAATTATTTACTTTTTAAGAAATGGCCACTGTCATTGTCAAAACATTTCTTGATCCCTGTGTACTAACACTGGAGCTCTAGAAGTATAGAAAGTCAATAATGGACTGCCTTTGATCCCTCCATCAGTTTGAGTGGAGGGCAAAAGACCCAGGGGTTGAAATCCCCACCCTGATTCTTAGAGGCGTCATTGTGTCTCTGCTTTAATTCAATTCACTGAATAGTACAGCATCCTGTTCTTCTGAGCAGTGACGTGTTTGCTACTAAATGAAATGATGCAGCAGGAGGGGACCATCGAAGAGGGGAAGCATGCATTTTCTGGCTTTTTTTATACTGAGAGTGAACTTCCAACTGTTTCCAGGGAAAAGGGGGAGGGAGGGTCTTTCTTTTTTTCTGATCTCCATAATGTGGATGTTTCCCAGTATGTCTCAAGCTCCCCCTTCTTTGCCCTTTGTCCTTTGCATTTGAATTTTCTAGCAAGACTTGCCACACTATTTTTTTCCCAATGTGTGTGGTTCGGTTATCCCCACTAGACCAGAGGGTCTCTAAGGGCAAGACTTACTGGCTTCTTCCTCTGGGTCTCCCCACAGATCTCTGCACACAGAAGTTATGAAAACTTGGTGTTGATCGACTGACCTCTGCTTGTTCTGGCTTGGTTATTTTCCCATCACAGACCTACCTATTGCCCAGGAACACAGAGGTAGTTTCCTGACCATATATGCTTACTGTGTGCTGGGTCTGATAGGAAAACAGGTTGGAGGACATCCAAGGTCTGCCTTTCGAAGCTTATCATCTAATGGCTTCATTTAACACGCCCACAAGAAGGTAAAAAAACAAAAACAATAAACAAAAGAAACTAGTTAGAGTAGTGAAGAGACAGGTCATTATAATTGGGTGTGATTAGGAAAGACCTTTAGAGATTTGGAGTAGGAAGCACTGGTCAAGAGCATCCCAGGCAGGAACTCTTAACTCTACTACCCTAGGGAACATTTGGTATATCCTTTCTTCTCTTTGGCCCTGTTTTTCCCTTTGAAGGCGGAAGTCTTCTTGCCCATTCCCATCCCAATTTGGGGAGGGAATGAGATAAAAATAGTGCCAGAGATTGAAGGAGTTTAGAACATGTAGTTCCTAATCTCATGAGCCTTGGTAGCTCCTGGTTTTTCTTCTGCCAAAGAGGGACCAATCACTTTTAAATCAGGCTGAAAGTGGGAGGCCCAAGAGCGTCCTCTTTTTTTTTTTTTTTTTTTTTGAGATGGAGTCTCACTCTGTCGCCCAGGCTGGAGTGGTGCAGTGGTGGGATCTTGGCTCACTGCAAGCTCTGCCTCCCGGGTTCACACCATTCTCCTGCCTCAGCCTCCCGAGTAGCTGAGACTACAGGCGCCTGCCACCACGCCCGGCTAATTTTTTGCATTTTTAGTAGAGACAGGGTTTCACCATGTTAGCCAGGATGGTCTCTATCTCCTGACCTCATGATCCGCCCACCTCGGCCTCCCAAAGTGCTGGGATTACAGACTTGAGCCACCGCACCTGGCCCCGCGTCTTTTTTTAACTTTTTTTTTTTTTTTTTTTTTTTTGAGACAGAGTCTCCCTCTGTCGCCCAGGCTGGAGTGCAGTGGCGCGATCTTGGCTCACTGCAACCTCTGCCTCCCGGGTTCAAGCGATTCTCCTGCCTCAGCCTCCAGAGTAGCTGGGATTACAGGCACTACCACTCCTGGCTAATTTTTGTATTTTTAGTAGAGATGGGTTTCACCATGTTGGCCAGGCTGGTCTCGAACTCCTGACCTCAGGTGATCCACCTGCCTTGGCCTTCCAAATTGCTGGGATTACAGGCATGAGCCACCGAGCCTGGCCAGAGCTTCCTCTTAAGCGCTGGATAGGTCTCAGGGTTGCATTTGGTTAGAGGTATGTCTCTACCTGGTTTTCCCCAAGGAATAATTCATATACATATGTGAGGAGTCTCCAGGGACTGGGCTTTGAGTCACTTCTAGTTTTTGTCCCCTTACAAATCATAATTTCATATACCAGTGACTCATGGTTGTGGAATACTTTGAACGCAGCTTGTTCAATAACTCCTCACCTACGTGAGTCCTTGGGGATTTTTTTTTTTTTTTTAAACGGAGTTTCCCTCTTGTTACCCAGGCTGTAGTGCAATGGCGTGATCTCAGCTAACTGAAACCTCTGCCTCCTGTGTTCAAGCGATTCTCCTGCGTCAGCCTCCCAAGTAGCTGGGATTACGGAAGCCCACCACCACACCCAGCTACTTTTTTTGCATTTTTAGTAGAGACGGGGTTTCACCACATTGGCTAGGCTGGTCTCAAATTCCTGAACTCAGGTGATCCACCTGCCTCGGCCTCCGAAAGTGCTGGGATTACAGGCGTGAGTCACTGTGCCTGGCCATCCTTGGGGATTTTATGAGTTAGATTGTATATTCCTTTTCTGAAAATGAGGAATTTAGTCTTTTTTTTTTTTTGAGATGGAGTCTCACTGTGTTGCCCAGACTGGAGTGCAGTGGCATCATCTCGGCTCACTGCAACCTGCACTTCCCAGATTCAAGCGATTTTCCTGCCTCAGCCTCCTGAGTAGCTAGGAGTAAAGGCACGCACCACCATGCCCGGCTAATTTTTTTGTATTTTTAGTAGAGACAGGGTTTCACCATGTTGGTCAGGCTGGTCTTGAACTCCTGACCTCGTACACCATGTTAGGCTGGTCTCGAACTCCTGACCTCATGATCCACCTACCTCGGCCTCCTAAAGTGCTGGGATTACAGGAATGAGCCACCGTGCCGGGCCAGAATTTAGTCTTTTAAGGCCACTGACTTCCCATAGGGAGCAGTATTTACCGAATGCTTTTTTTTTTTTTTTTTTTTTTTTTTTTTTTTGCAGATGCAGTCTTGCTCTGTCTCCCAGGCTGGAGTGTAGTGGTGCGATCTCGGCTCACTGCAACCTCCGCCCCCTGGGTTCAAGCGATTCTCCTGCCTCAGCCTCCCAAGTAGCTGGGACTGCAGGTGTGCACCACCACGCCCAGCTAATTTTTGTATTTTTAGTAGAGATGGGGTTTCACCATGTTGTCCAGGCTGCTCTCGAAGTCGTGACCTCGTGATCTTCCTGCCTCAGCTTCCCAAAGTGCTGGGATTACAGGCGTGAGCCACCGCACCCAGCTGTCCTTGGGGATTTTATGAGTTAGATTGTATCTTCCTTTTCTGAAGATGGGGAATTTGGTGTTTAAGGCCACTTCCCATAGGGAGCAGTATTTACTGTATGCTTTTTTTTGTGGGGAGATGGATTCTCGCTCCGTCACCCAGGCTGGAGTGCAGTGGCGCGACAGCTCCCTGCAACCTTCGCCTCCCGGGTTCAAGCGATTCTCCTGCCTCAGCCTCCCGAGTAGCTGGGACTACAAGTGTGCGCCACCACACCCGGCTGATTCTTGTATTTTTAGTAGAGATGGGGTTTCACCATGTTGGCCAGGCTGCTCTCGATCTCCTAACCTCGTGATTCGCCCCCCTCAGCCTCCCAGAGTGTTGGGACTACAGGCGTGAGCCACCACACCCAGCCACTGTATGCTTTTTACCAGACTCTATATCCACCTGGCTGAGGGAGGGGAAATGGAAAGGTTAGAGGGGTTCCTCCAGCTTGAGTCTCCAGCTTTGGGTATATACTGGGAAAGAGAAAGGCCTTCCCCCCCTTTCTCCCCCATTTCATCTGCTGCTGCTCTCATGGAAACCATGGTCAGGTAGTCTTAGTATTAGAAAAATTAGTTCAGGAGCTCCTAGAGATTGTAAATATTTACTCAGCTCTCTAAGGTACTGTCATGGAGGGCTTACTCTGAACAGAGCCATTCTGCCAGCAGTTGTTGGCATCTGAACCTATGATTCTATCTTTACTAAGAGACTCTGGAGACTAGGGGAAAAGCGTTGCTATTACTTGATTGTAGGGATCTGGCTTCCTGTGGCTTTCTTTGAAGGGACATGGTCCTTTGTCACCCTGAATGATTTGTAATCAATTTTCCCATCCCTGTTTGGAAAAGTAATTTCTGTAGTCCAGGAAGAGTAAAGTATCCTTTATACTTCTTGTTGCCTGTGAACAGAAAGGACTGGGCCTCTCATTTTTTCCTCATTGCAGTTATCCACCCATCCAAATTCTGGACTCTCACTTTCTACAACCTTAGCTGAGCCTCTCTGTTCCAAGAGGCCACTTTGCTCCTTCACTGAGCAGTGACCCATAGAATTGACTCAGGCCTCTGAGCAGAGCTCACGGGAGCTAGGGAAGGGGCCTAGAGAAACTGTTCAACCCAAGGTCTCTCAGCAATAGATCATTGCTGGAGGCTCAGCTAGCCCTTTGTGTAGCCAGCTTTGCAGGATCTGGTAGAGGGTACATCATTCAGGCCCCTCCCTCTCCCCTACCTTTTCCTCTTGTCTCCTAGAAGGCAAAAGTTTACAGAGAGTAGATAGGAGAGAAAGCTTTTTAGCCTGGTCAGGAATTTATTCATGTCCTGTGGTAGGAGTTTTCAGGAATCTTTAAGGCCATCCCATTAGAATAGAAGTAGTGTCTGGGAGTGGAGAGGTTTTAGTTCTCTAAATTTAGTTGTGCAATTGCTGAGCTTCCCGCAAATTGAATAGTTTTTGTTTTGTTTTGTTTGAGACAAGGTCTTGCTCTGTCACTCAGGCTGGAGTGCAGTGGCGTGATCATGGCTCACTGCATCCTCAACCTCCTGGGCTCAAATGATGCACCCACTTCAGCCTCCCAAGTAGCTGGGACTATAGGCACGCCACCACACCCAGCTAATTTTTAACATTTTTTTTGTAGAGACAGCGGCTTCACTATGTTGCCTAGGCTGGTTTTGAACTCCTGTCCTCAAGTGATTCCTCCCCACCTTGGCCTCCCAAAGCGCTGAGATTATAGGCATGAGCCACCATGCCTGGCCACAGATTGAATAGGTCTAATTTAAGTGAGGCTGTATGCTAGGTGCTTTCACATATGTCATTTTGTTTAATCCTTACAGCAACCTTGTGATAGAGGCATTATCTCTGTTTTGAGGGGTTTTGAGTGGCTAAATTACCCAAGATTAGCCTAAGGCTGGCAAGTGTGGAGGGTTCTTTCTATGTTATGCTTCCTGTCAGTTTGCTTATTAGCTAGCTGCTGTTTGATTTTGCTTGCCTTTCCTCTCCATTGATTCAGCAGAGATTTTTCCCTTTGGTAGGAAGGAATATCTAGAATTTTAGAATGCTGTGCCACTCCTTGTTCACCATCTCCTTCTCCTCTGAAACCGTTAACCTAGGCTGTGTACAGGGCTTCCCCCAGATCTCCTAGTAAGAGCAATCTGAACCTAGCAGCTGGATGTAATTGATTCCCCAGTCCGTGATAATTGTCTTGGGTAGAGAGGGATGATTTTTGAGACAGGGCCTTGCTTTGTCACCCAGGCTGGAGTACAGTGGTGCAATCACGGTTTATTGCAGCCTACAGCTCTTGGGCTCAAGTGATCCTCCTGCCTCAGCCTCCCAAGTACCTGGGACTACAGGTGCACACGACCATGCCTGGCTGATTTATTTAGTTTTTGTAGAGATGGGGTTGGGGGGGTCTCTTTCTGTTCCCCAGGCTAGTCTTGAACTCCTGGCCTCAGGTGATCTACCTGCCTCGACCTCCCAAAGTACTGGGATTACAGGCGTGAGCCACTGTGCCTGGCAAGTGGGATAAGATTTAAAAACAGAGGAAGCCCAGCTGGAGGGTTTTCCTTCCCTCCCCTTATCATATAGGAGGTGGACTAGGTAATACTGGATCTCAGAGCTTGTGGGAGAGGTGGGCTGTGAGAATCATAGCTCAGCCTTCATGTGACCTCACAGCTCCTTTTCACAAGTACACAGGTGCTTTTTATTCAGGCTGAGCTGCCAATCTGACCTAATTTGGAGCATAGTTAGACCTGATATTAAGTTGTAATAAGTGGCTTGGGGCTTATTTTAGCTTGAAGTTTTATAGCTATGGGAGCTACAAACACTTGCCTTGCCTTAACACTCAGTTCTACTCTGTGCCACCTTATGCTCTTACACAGGATAGACATAGGCAACCTGAGGATAATGGTAAAGGAGAAGCATGATTGTCTTTTATCCTTTTTTTTTTTTTGAGATGGAGTCTTGCTCTGTCACCCAGGCTGGAGTGCAGTGGCGCAATCTTGGCTCACTGCAACCTCTGCCTCCCAGATTCAAGCAATTCTCCTGCCTCAGCCTCCCGAGTAGCTGGGATTACAGGCGCATGCCACCACACCCAGCTAAGTTTTGTATTTTTAGTAGAGACGGGGTTTCACCATGTTGGTCAGGCTGGTCTCGAACTCCTAACCTCATAATCCACCCTCCCTCTGCCTCCCAAAGTGCTGAGATTACAGGCGTGAGCCACCGCGCCCAGTCCAATTGTCTTTCATTCTTTTTTTTTTTTTTTTTTTTGAGACGGGGTCTCCCTCTGTCGCCCAGGCTGGAGTGCAGTGGCACAATCTCGGCTCACTGCAAGCTTCGCCGACCGGGTTCACACCATTCTCCTGCCTCAGCTTCCTGAGTAGCTGGGACTACAGGCGCCTGCCACCATGCCCGGCTAATTTTTTGTATTTTTTTTAAGTAGAGGCGGGGTTTGACCTTGTTAGCCAGGATGGTCTCTATCTCCTGACCTCATAATCCTCCTACCTCAGCCTCCCAAAGTGCTGGGATTGCAGGCGTGAGCCACTGCACCTGGCCGTCTTTCATTCTTAAACCTCTATCCTATTATCCATATTTGTCAGTTCTTCAAAATGCTGTGATAGAACCACTTCTCAATAAGATGTGTGGTGATGACCTCTAAGATCAGGTAGAAGTAAACCAGCCTTCCTTTGTCCTTCTTTTGCCAGAATCATTATCACTGGAAATTGGTTTTTCTTAAACAGTTTTTGGGTTAATCCTCAAGATAAAGTTTTAAAAGGACTCAGGAAATAGTTTAGGTGGTGATAATGGAGAGGTTCATTGACTTACGAGTCGCATTTTGTCAGTATCTTACCAATATTGCTTCTTCTGAACAGGGACCAGTGACTAAGGTTCCCTTAGAATGTTGAACACATGACATGGTGGAGTTGAAACCAGAATGACTGTTGGGTAGGCTTTAATGCAGCTATTTTCATCCTTGTTTAACTGGAGACCCTGGTACTTTTTTTTTGGACAGAGTCTCATTCTGTAGCCCAGGCTGGAGTGCAGAGGTGCAATCTTGGCTCACTGCAACCTCTGACTCCCAGGTTCAGGCGATTCCTCTGCCTCAGCCTTCCAAGAGGCTAGGACTACAGGTGCGCGCCACCACACCTGGCTAGTTTTTGTATTTTTAGTAGAGACGGGGTTTTGCCATGTTGGCCAGGCTGGTCTCAAACTCCTGACCTCAAGTGATCCTCCCGCCTCAGCCTCCAAAAGTGCTGGGATTACAGACGTGAGCCACTGTGCCCGACCCCTGGTAGGTTTTCATTTGGCTTTTGGTGCTCTATTTTTCTTTCCTCACACTCTCATTGTTTTTAAAGTTTGTTCTTAACATTTTGGGGGGACATTTCAAATATAAAAAAGTAGAATAGTAAAATCTTCATGTAGCCATCACTCTGCTTCAGTACTTAACAGTAGATAGCAATCTTGTTTTATCTTCTTTCAGCTACCTCTGTATTACTTTGAAGCAAATCCAAGATATACAATTTTATCTGTAAACATTTTATATAAAGTCTATAAGAAAAGGACTTTTAAAAAACATAATCATAATATTTATATCATAACTAAAAACATTAACAATAATGTTCTGTTGCCCAGGCTGGAGTGTAGTGGTACCATCATAGCTCACTATAGCCTTGCCCTCCTGGGCTCAAGTGATCCTCCCACCTCAGCCTCCTGAGTAACTGGGACCACAGGCATGCACAACCATGCTCAGCTAATTTTTTTCTTATTTATAGAGATGGGGGTCTCCCTATATTGCCCAGGCTGGTCTCGAGCTCCTGGGCTCAAGCAGTCCTCCTGCCTCCCAAAGTGCTGGGATTACAGGTGTGAGCTACCGTGCCCAGCCCTTAAGCATTTTTGACAGGCCATTTGTTTTGTAGAATATCCTTCAGTTTGGGTTGTCTGAAATTTCTTCATAATTGGACTGAGTTTATGCATTTTTGGCAAGAAAACCATAAAAGTGATGTTATATCCTTTCAGTGCATCCTGTTAGAGGCACATAGTGTTAACATGTCTCATTATTTAGTGATATTAACTTTGATCACTTGGTTAAGGTAGTGTCCTCCAGGCTCTCCTACAGTGATTATTATATTCCTTTTGTAATTAATAAGTATTTTGAATCTATGTAATTATCTTCTTTCTCTGAAAAGTTTCACCTACTAGTTTTACCATCCATTGATGATGATATTTGCCTGAATCAGTTATTACTTTCACCATTTCATCTACATTTATTAGTTGGCATTGTACTGTAAGGAAGAGCTTTCCTTTCTTGTTTATTATGTATGTATCTATCAAAATGGACTGATGGATTCTCATTTTATTCGATAGATGATAATATTAAGTGTCTTTTTTTTTTTTTTTTTGAGACAGTGTCTCGCTCTTGTCATCCAGACTGGAGTGCAATGATGCCAACTCAGCTCACTGCAAACTCTGCCTCCCAGGTTCAAGCGATTCTCCTGCCTCAGCCTCCTGAGAAGCTGGGATTATAGGCGCCTGCCACCACGCCTGGCTAATTTTTTTTTCTTGTTTTTTTTGAGACGGAGTCTCACTCTGTCGCCCAGGCTGGAGTGAAGTGGCATGATCTCGGTTCACGGCAACTGCCACCTGCCGGGTTCAAGTGATTCTCCTGCCTCAGGCTCTCGAGTAGCTGGGACTACAGGCGTGTGCCACAATGCCCAGCTAATTTTTGTATTTTTAGTAGAGACAGGGTTTTTTCACCATGTTGGCTAGGATAGTCTTGATCTCTTGACCTCGTGATCCACCCGCCTCGGCCTCCCAAAGTGCTGGGATTACAGGCGTGAGCCACCGCGCCCGGCCGGAGTTTCACTCTTGTTGCCCAGGCTGGAGTGCAATGATGCAATCTCGGCTCACCTCGACCTCTGCCTCCTGGGTTTAAGCAATTCTCCTGCCTCAGCCTCCCGAGTAGCTGGAATTACAGACATGTGCCACCATGCCAGGCTAATTTTTGTAGAGACGGGGTTTCTCCATGTTCGTCAGGCTGGTCTCGAACTCCCCACCTCTGGTGATCCAACCCCCTCGGCCTCCCAAAGTGCTGGGATTACAGGTGTGAACCACCGCACCCAGCTAATTTTTGTATTTTTAGTAGAGACAGGGTTTCACCATATTGGCCAGGCTGGTCTCGAACTCCTGACCTCGGGTGATCTGCCCACCTCAGCCTCCCAAAGTGCTGGGATTACAGGCGTGAGCCACTGCATCTGGCCTAAGTCCCTTTTATTTTATTTTCTTTATTAAAATATATTTTTTTGAGACAGAGTCTCGCTCTGTCGCCCAGGCTGGAGTGCAGTGGCATGATGTCTGCTCACTGCAACCTCTGCCTCCCGGGTTCAAGCAATTCTCCTGCCTCAGTCTCCTCCTCCTGAGTAGCTGGGATTACAGGCGCACACCACCATGCCCGGCTAATTTTTTGTATTTTTAGTAGAGACGGAGTTTCACATGTTGGTCAGGCTGGTCTTAAACTCCTGACCTTGTGATCCACCTGCCTCGGCCTCCCAAAGTGCTGGGATTACAGGTGTGAGCCACCGTGCCCGCCCTATTTTATTTTATTTTTTTGAGACAGGGTCTCGCTCTGTCACCCAGGCTGGAGTGCAATGGCGCGATCTCTGCTCACTGCTGCCTCTGCCTCCCGGGTTCCAGAGATTCTCCTGCCTCAGCCTCCCAGGTAGCTGGGATTACAGGTATGTGCCACTGCGCCTGGCTAATTTTTGCATTTTCAGTAGAGACGGGGTTTCACCGTGTTGGCCAGGCTGGTCTTGAACTCCTGACCTCAGGTGATCTGCCCACCTCGGCCTCCTAAAGTGCTAGGATTAGAGGCATGAGCCACCACGCCTGGCCCTAAGTCTCTTAATATATGGGTTTCCCTCACTTTTTTTCTTGCGATTTATGTGTTAAAGAAATCAGGTCACCTGTTTATGGTTTCCACATTTTAGATTTTGCTGGTTTTATCCTCATGGTGACTTTATAAGTAAACTGGCAGCTAGATCAATGGGCATGATCAGGTTTGAATTGTTAAACTTTTAGGGGCCCAGAAGTACTTCCTAAGTGGTGTTATGACACACTGTTCATTTTTTCTCACCCCTTCCCAGAGATTGGAAAGGTGTATGAGCATTGTGACATCGATGACTGCTGGTGTCTCGGAGAGAGAAGCCAATGATGCCCTCAATGCGTATGTAAGTAGAATGCTGTCCCTGCAGCCACTGCTGCTGCTGTGAAGGTCTTGAAACATGGTCAAAAAGATGGAAAGACTAAGTGGTTGGGGGTAGGGGACTGAAATTCATCAAGTCTTGGCTCCCTGAATCAAATTTCTCAATTCTTCTCTTTTACTGTGGGAGCCTATCTCTTGGAGCCTTGGGCATCTTTCAGTACAGCTTTTTATTTTTATAGCAATGTGGTCTCGCTATGTTGCCCAGGCTGGAATGCAGTGATTGTTCACAGGCATGATTATAGTGCACTATAGCCTTGAACTTCTGGGCTCAAGCGATCCTTCTGCTTCAGCCTCTGGAGTAGTTGGGACTACAGGTGTGCACCACCACACCTGTCGTCCTTATCTCTCTTCTTTTTTTAAAAATCTCTTTTAAGAGAAGGAAATCATCAGATTTAAAAGTTGATTATTCTCCTTTGCATCTTCCTTAGGAGTCCCATGTTTTCTGGGAGAAACTGAGTTTGAGAACTTACTGCCTGTGAGTGACAACTAGTTTGTTTTCCTTTCTCACATTCCAGGTGTGCAAAGGCCTCCCCCAGCATGAAGAAATCTGCCTGGGCCTGTTTACTCTCATCCTCACTGAACCTGCCCAAGCCCAGAAGGTAAGGCACCCTGCTCTGGACCCATAAACCCTCCTCATATATGATCTGGGATATGGTGGAACTTACAGTTTAACTGGGGTAGTATGAAACTCTTCGACCAGAGCTGGATCACCTTGTTCTCCAAATATAGTTACAAGTCCCTTTTTACTCAGTGAATTGGTCATCCTCTGACTAAAGTCCTTTCTCTATCTCCAGATTCTGAAGCTAAATGGCAGTCATGAAAGTGAAAAAACAGAGTTTTAAATTTTAAATTTATGAGGCAAGGCTAAAAGGGTTGGGATTAAATCCAGGGAATAGAAGAGAACAATTGTAACCAAGTCCATGAGAGTTCTTATCCAGAAGAGCATGGCCTGTAGTTTGCAGATTCTGCCATTGGCAGGTGAATAGAAAGCAGGCTTAAAATTTTAGTAGGTAGGATTTAGATGAGACAGCTTAATGTTACATGATTGATGCAGTAAATAATGTAGTGATTAGGAGAACACTGGAGTATACTGGAGTCAGACTTCCTGAGGAATATTGTATGAAAACTTGTCTGGGGTTCTTCACAAACTGAAGAGTCCCCTTTATGTGGAACGGTTCAAGTAGGTTCCCTCCTTGAGGTGAGGGACTAGGCAGGGTGATCTCTTTGAATTCTGTGAGATAACTTGGATGTCAGAGATGGTGTCATTTGTTCAAGGGGAACCAAAGGAAAATCATTTCCGGGGATAAGAACAGGATGCTCATGGTTCCTTGGCATAGCTGCTTGAATTAACCTCAAGGGAAGGATTTATGGGCATGGGAAACTGATCTGTTTGTACTTCTGATGCCAGCTGGAATAGGGTCTGGGGTGAGGGTGGGCAGTGAGGCAGCAAGTATTCACAAATTCTTGGTTTCCCAGGAAAGCCAAGCCCATTCTGGGCTGGGACCTTGTCGAGTTAAATTGCTGTTTCATTTTTATACTGAATTTATCATCAAGATCCTTGAAGACAAATGAATGTTTCCAGTTGGGTGGTTTTAAAGAGTGATATGATCCAGTCCAGCACATCCATTTTAAAGAAATTGTTGGCAAAGATGAGAGTAGATGGGATGGAGTTAAAGTTTAACTTCCTCTTGTGTGGGTTTTTTAATCTCTGTGTGTGTGTGTGTGTGTGTGTGTGTGTGCGTGCGCATCATTGGCTGTGTGTGGGTTTTTATAAATACCATTCAAATTCCATTTAGTCATCTCAGTGCAAATTAGTCTTGCCTGCTGGAAAGTTTTGTTTGTTTGTTTCAGGTGATCTGAACCAACCTGGGTAAATCAGTAAACCTAAGTGAAGGGGGCAGAGTATGTGTGGTATTTCTAGCTCTTTGCCTGGCCTATCAGTAAGAGGCCACTGGGTTCTGCAGTGTAAATGCTTATTATGTCATGAATTTGGCCATCCAGACACAGCAAGAGACTAGAGTATCTCCTCTTCTTTTTGCCCTATAACAGCCCCATGTGGGAGGCCCAGGCCCTCTGGGGAAGTGAAGCATTTGCCTCGGGTCTCATAGCTGGTTGACACCTTTGCTAGCATTCATGTTCACATGCTAAAAGTTTCCAAGTAAATCCCCTACCTGTGAGCCTTCCTGGGCCAAGCCTCCAGGTCAGGCCTCTTCAGACAAAGGCAGTAAAGACAGAATTAGGAGGACACAGTTTTAGGCGGGTGAGGAACTATCAAGTAGTGACTCATTCAGAGACCTTGAGCCAGGTCAGAGCATGATGGAAGAATTAGTGACGTATCTCCCTAGAGCTTTGCTCCTTCTCCCTAAAAGGGTGATTATTTTGTAAAAATACTTCTGTCCTACAGAAGTTTTAGGTGGGAGTTACTGATGAGGACTGATTGTAATGCATCATTTTAGGCTTCAGCTTAAAGCAATGGGACTGTTTTCTAAGGATTTGTATTTGGGGTTAATTCTGCCTTTGGAACAGAAACCTCAGGATGTATTTGAGATTTAGTTGTTCTTGAATCTTCATGGGCTGAGATGGGAAGTGGATATGGTGGAGAAGTGTGGAAACTGAGTCTTGAACAAATAGAATACTGCTATAAGGAAGGTTGAGCTGAGGAGCCTCTGTTAGTACTGGCAGGCAGGTTCAAGGAGTTAGGGCCAACTCTCTGGGACTTAGTGGGTGGGATTAGGATGGATTGAACAGGTGAACAAGAGAATTCAGTTAAGGAGAAAGCAGGTCAGTATTGGGAAAGAGTAGAGGATGCATGGGGTGGATTTTGTCTCACTTGTACCTTCTTGATTTGCATCAGCCCTCTTGGCAGCCCTTAGGAATGTTTATATCCTTTGAGTTTATTTATTTTCTATTTGGTGTCTGAACTAAACAGCTGGGAGCAGGCCTGGCTGGGGAACTGTGGCAAGGAGGGAGGCTAAGGTAGAGTCCTAAGCTGTGCAGGTGCTGGCAGTCAATAGATAAAGGTAATGGGAAAGGGTCTAATGTCAAGGTCTGTCTTCATCAAAGGGTCAAGGACTCAGGCCCAGGCAGCTCTTGGTCTAGGTATTTCTCCCAGCAGGCAGCTCTAGAAAGAAGCTTGGGGGCTCTGGGGCCTAGGCTGACACATCACTGCTCTTGACACATTCAGGATAGATGCCATCCAGTCACCAGTCACTTTTACTTTTCTTTGAGACTCTCCACTTCTCTTTTCCTCACTGAGGGTGTGCATGTGCGTGTGTGTGTGTGTGTGTGTGTGTGTGTGTGTGTGTGTGTGTGTTTCATCTGCTGCTTTTCCAAGCTGGTCAGCAAACCGACACAGAGGTCGGTAACACAACTGGCAGCCTTAGGTGTATGAAACTCTCGGTTCTCATTTGTTACCAGCAGTTGTGGTTAGTAAAGATCCCAGATGGAACATGGAACTAGGCAGACAGTATCTGCTGTCTTCATCTGACCCTGTATCTCCTGAGAGAACTTGTCCTGCTTCCCTGTCCTGAGTCTGTTCTGCATTCATTTGAACAACAAGGTTCTTCTCTAGTTAGTAATGTCTGTCTTTGGCCTGACACAGATTTTCCCTCTGCCTCTACTTCCTTTGTCCTCTGCCCATTCTGTGACTTACCTCCAGGGGAGGGTCCAGGACTTAACTATCAATATTTGACAGTAATTCACTGGGACCCTTCATCTCTTTCTTGTTTCCTTATTTGTTTTTTTGGTCTCCCAACCATCAACCATCCCCCAGAGGGAGTCATTCTCTTTTGGGGATGAAGTTTATGGCACATGGAGGATCTCTCACTGTGGGTATTTTCATCATCAGTTGGTTTGACTTAACGACAATAGAGGCAGAAGGAAGTGGCAATAGCTAATCTGTTAGGAGTCTCTCAAGGCTAGAGAGCAGATGGTACTGAGGGGTACATTTCTTTTGAATGCATAGGATGAAAGAGTTTAGAAATGTTGCTGCACGGAGTGGCTCATGCCTGTAATCCCAGTGTTTTGGGAGGCCAAGACAGGAGAAAGGTAGAGTCTCAAAACTATTACAAACTCATACCGCTATTCCCAGCAGCCTCTTCTGGTTATTTCTAACGTTGATACAAGAGGTGGTTAAGCATGTTATAGAATTGGAGTGCCTGGATTTGAATCCTGGTTCTTCCTCTAATCTCTTATGTCATCTGGGGCAAATAACTTTTAAGCTCTCCATGCCTATTTCCTCATCTGTAAAAATAATTATAATAAGTAGTACTATTTTAAAAGGTTGTTATGTATATCAAATGCAGTAATATATACATATATATATATTATTGTTGTTGATGCCATCCTTGCTGTATTATTGCTTGCTATAGTATAACAACATCCTTGCTGTACTTTTTTTTTTTTTTTGAGACAGGGTGTCTCTGTCACCCAGGCTGGAGTGCAGTGGTACGATCTTGGCTAACTGCAACCTCCACCTCCTGGGTTCAAGTGATCCTCCCGCCTCAGCCTCCCTTGTAGTTGGGACTACAGGCACGTGCCACCACACGTAGCTAATTTTTGTATTTTTAGTAGAGATGGAGTTTCACCATGTTGGCCAGGGTGGTCTCGAACTCCTGACCTCAGATGATCCACACGCCTCGGCCTCCCAAATAGTGCTGGGATTACAAGCATGAGCCACCATACCCGGCCCTTGCTATACTATATGATTATTATTTTTGATGCCATCCTTGCTACTGGTCTTCAGAGGTTGTGGGAAGCTACCTGCCTAGTTTCTACTCTTTCTGATGAGATCCTGACGGGATAGAACTCAGCAGGCTAAGGAAGTTGCTAATGAGGCCCCCTAAGGTATTCCTCCAGGAGTCTGGTCTCACAATAGAGACAGAGTGAAAAAAAAAAAAAAACTAAGGGGGGAAGGGAAGCAATAATCTCACAGAAGAAATTAGCATGCCCTCCCTTACCTCCCCCAGGATTTGGTATGCTAAAGCACCTTTCCTTTTTCAATAAGTGGCAGAAGGAAAGGGCATCACAGAGAAAAGAATAAAGATATTTAGTTCAGCTGGGTATGGTTGCTCATGCCTGTAATTCCAGCTACTGAGGAGGCCGAGGTGGGAGAATCACTTGAGGCCAAGAGTTTCAGCCTAGGGAACATAGTGAGACCTTGTCTCTAGAAAAAACTGTTTTAAAAATTATCTGGGCGTGGTGGTGCATGCCTGTAGTACCAGCTACGCAGAAGTTCGAAGCTGCAATGAGCTATGATCATGCCACTGCACTCCAGCCCAGGCAACAAAGTAAGACCCCAAGTATAAAAAAACTAAAAATTCAAAAAAATATCAGTTTTGGTTCTGTCCTTAACTGTCTAGGGCCCTGCCCTGGATCTTCTTCCCTTACTACTCCCTTTGCTGTATCTGACTGGGTCAGTACTGGTCTAAAAACCTCTTTGGGATCCTTTTTGGCTTGTTCAACCAAACCCATTTTGCAGTGACCTTTTACTGACTGGCAGGTGAAAAGCAGATGGCCTCCACCTGGTTTTGCTCAGCCTGTGGCATCAAACAGTATGACACTTCCTAAGATGGGAAGTGGGGGGGACAGGGATAGTACTAGGAGCCTTGCCCAGCAGGCTTTTCTCTCCCCTGCCCCCGAGACAGAGTTTCGCTCCGTCGCCCAGGCTAGACCCAGGCTAGAGTGCAGTGGCGCGATCTCCGCTCACTGCAAACTCCGCCTCCCGGGCTCACACCATTCTCCTGCCTCAGCCTCCCGAGCAGCAGGGACTACAGGTGCCCGCCACCGTGCCCGGCTAATTTTTTTGTATTTTTAGTAGAGACGGGGTTTCACCGTGTTAGCCAGGATGGTCTCGATCTCCTGACCTCGTGATCCACCCGCCTTGGCCTCCCAAAGTGCTGGGATTACAGGCGTGAGCCACTGCACCTGGCTGCCCAGCAGGCTTTTCTGCCTCATTAAAGGATAACCAGTACCTTTTCCCCACTCTGTGTGACAGAACAAGGGATAGGTTGGGAATGCAGGACCCCTGTGGAAAGAAAGTGTCCAGAATGAAAAGTATTTCATTGCTACTCGGTGTCTTATTGGTGTTATTTAAGTTTAAGGGATTAGAGGGCAAGGGGTCCACTGTGGGTGGGGTGAGGACCTTATCCTCAGCTTGCTGGCTGATCACAAACTTTACTTCTCACAGTGTTACCGGGACTTAGCTCTGGTGAGTCGTGATGGCATGAATATTGTCCTGAATAAAATCAACCAGATACTTATGGAGAAGTACCTGAAGCTGCAGGATACCTGCCGTACTCAGGTAAGGCCAGAAAGAAAAGACAAGATCCAGCTCAAAGAGAGAGGATGGATCTTCTCTCTGTCAGGAACGGGAAAGAGGAATCAGGGCTAACACACCCCTATCATTGTGTGTCTAAATTGTAATGTGCTCCTTTCAGTTGTAATTGAATTAGCTCCCTTCTCAAACTCACAGTTCCTGCTCTTCATCTGTTTTTCCCTCTTTCCTTTAGTTGGTGTGGTTGGTACGGGAACTGGTGAAGAGTGGGGTTCTGGGAGCCGATGGTGTTTGTATGACGTTTATGAAGCAGATTGCAGGTGAGTTTGATGGCAGGAGCATAAAGAAGAAAGGAGGAGAGCCCAGAGACTACATAGAGACAATGGAGAATGATTAAGTGCCAAAGGGATGGAATTCTTGGATTGCTTAGACTGTTTCCTTCTGATACAGACATCTTCTGGCCACATATGTTGTAGAAATAAATTGATTGAAAAATCATGGGGGGCCTTTTAAAGCAGTAAGTCTTGCCTCATTTTCTTTCCTGCTAAACCCAGGGCTTGACAGAATATTTGGCCTATTTTAGCCAGTCTTCACTCTGAGATTTTATAGCATTTCAGAGCAGGAAGAAATGGGGAGAGAAGTGAGGGCAATTAATTTGTTCTCAAGTCCCTGTGCTTTCAGAAACCTAGACATCTTCCCTGGCTCCACCCCCATTATCTGAACGCTTGCTCCCTAATAATTAAGCCCTTTACTGGGGCCAGAATGAGGGACAAACTATGTCACAGAACAGACCCTGACATTTAGGTTTTATTCTCATCTTGGCATCGGTGACATCTGTCTGAGCTATCGCATATTCAAGCGGCTACTCCCAAGATTGCATGTGTTTGTTTAAAAGTGACCTGCTACTACCTCACCATTAGCCCACTGGGACTTGCTTCCTCTTTAAAATTTTATGTAACACTGATGCTCCTGTTTTGATGTGTATGAACCTTAATCTATGTGATATGTGACTTTGTGAACATTGAATTTTTTAATTGAGACCTGGGGCAAGGCATAGTTGTAGCTATTTTTATCCTCTTTCCTGGCACTTCTTCCCTGTTTGGCACTTCCAGCCCCTGCTTCTTATCCCAAGACTGGTATGGCATTGCTGTGTGTTAATTCTGCCCCACAGAGTTTCATAGCAAGCACTAAAGACTGTTACCTGGAAATAAGAAACTCTTGGCCTGTTGGGGGCCTCAGTGCAGGACTCAGGACATCCAGTTGCTAGACTGCAGCTGTTGTCAGCCACCTGTACTTCTCAGGCTCTATCTGAGATATCATCCTTTCTTTCCAACTGTGGGCTTCTTATATCTACTTCTCAGACGTTCATTTTCAAGGGCCAAAATGTTCCCACTCCAACTCACAATCTGTGGGAAAGTAGCAGCTCTGGTTTCTAGAAAAATTCAGAACCTTCCCTTTCCTTCTTTCTGGAGGCAAAGGGTGAAACTTTAAAGCCTGACAGAACAGAAGGCAGTTTATCTCAGCAGTGAAGGGATGGCAGTAATGGGATGGCAGTCAGGGTGGACCAGCAGAATGGGTGAAGAGATGTATTGGATTGGCTGACTTGCTAATCGGAGCTATTCTTTTTTTCCCCTTTTGAAATCAGGTGGAGATGTTACAGCCAAAAATATCTGGTTGGCAGAAAGTGTTCTGGATATCCTGACAGAGCAAAGGTAGCATCCACCACGAAGGGTGGGGTACAGGCCAGATAATGGCCATTAGGAGTGTGGGTGTGGGAAATGGGGATGAAAGGATTGTGTGGCCCAAGAACACCTTAAGTTAGAGAGGGGGAGGCAAGGAGAGGGAGAGACAAGTGTATTGTTGGCAAGTGAAGAAATTAATGCCCAAGGAATGAAGGAATGGGAAAGAGGTCTTTGCCAAAATATCGCATAGCCCAGAAAAACTGGCTTCATCTGATAAGGGTTTATTTTTGATCCAGACCTCCTTGGAATGTTTATCTTAGGGGGAAGTTGGGGAGGAATGAGCTCAGTAGAATTGGGCCAGCCAAACACCCACGCCTGGCAGGTATCCTTTTCTCCCCTGCAAGCTTCTCCATCCAACCCCTGCTCTTTTTGAAGTGGCACAGGGGGCAGTTGGGGTGGAGCAGGTAATAGAGATTAGTGAATCCTGCTGGAGTTTGCATATAGGGTTTGGAGGTTCCAGTGGTAGAGGGTGCATCAGGGGGTACATATTGGGCTTTCTGGCTGATTCTTTCCCTTATCCATCAAAATAAAGGGCCAGAAATTTTATGAGGGCTATTCCACATCTGAACTTGTTTGGAGGTGAGGCTTTCCCCTTGGTTTCAGTCTTCCTCTTGCTTGACTTCTAAGTCTCTTTTCTGATTGAGGACACCATAGTAGTCAAATGATTGAGAGGGCTAATAGTGTCCATACTATCTGTAGTTCAGAAGAATGGACCTCCTCCCAACGTTCACACTTGTGAAAGAGATGGCTGTGTGCTGTGCTCTGCCCAGGTCTGAGAGCCCTGCCCTGTCTGCTGTGCAGTGCCACCTAGTGCTCTGGGCACGGATGTGCAGCCACATCTGGGCCTGGAGCCACTTCTGTTATTGGTGTCATTGCACTAGCACGTGAGATCCTAACAGTCTCTTCTTACCAGATAGGTCTTTGTTCCTTTTTACTGTCCTGGGTCAGGGGGCCTTTCAACTCTTTCTTTCTCTTTATTATGCCATTCCAGGATTCAGGTAATTTCGTTACCTTTGCTAGCAATCTTTCTAAAAAGTGATTTTTCTTATTTTATTCGTGGTACCAAATACGTCCTGTCCCCATACCTTAAAGCTGAATTTCCTGTACAGGCATCAGATAACAGCCAGATAACTGCCCTGTTTTCTACCCTCCAAAAAACTTACATCTTTTGGTGAAAGTCAATACCTAGAAATTTAAAACTGTGTCCTCTCCTACACCCTCCTTCTCACTCCCTTCCAAATGTTTCTAGGGCTGTGGAGTTAAAAGGTAGCAGGTAGGGGAGGAAACGTTCCCCAGTAACCTTGGCTAGTGTATCCATTCTGTGAAAAGAAAAGGCCACAGAGTCTTTTAATTAGGTGGCTTGAGTAGTTTTCCGGAATCAGGATGTGGCCTGCTTGGACTAATTAAACACCATCTCATCTTCCTGCAGTTCCCTGCCTTCCAACAGGGGGGCCAAAGCCATTACAAATTGTTTGCTGGGAGGAGACAGCGTCTCAATTTTGTCACTTAGAGACAGGATTAGAGTTTTAGGAATATCCCCACTGTGTCTTTCTCTCTACTCCTTTTAAAGCAACTGGGAACAAATCTTTCATTACCCCCTTTTCCCTCAGGGATATTCTGAAACTCATGGGAAAAGGAGTTTGCCACCCAAAATCGGGTTCTTTTTTTCAGGTTGTGATTTAGGACAGGTGACTCATTGTGTGGGAGTGGGGACTCGTTGTGTATCAGTGACTAGATAGAGCCAGGGAAAGGTTTGTGGCATGGTGAGCTGCTAATGATAAGCAGACTGAGCTAGCACAGTATGTTCTCAAAACTCCAGGTCCTGAAAGGGTCTTGGCAGTCCCCACATGTTCTTGCACCACACTTAAGAACCACTGACTTAGGGACACTTACCCAGCTTTTCCCCATAGTCTGACCTGGGTAGATACTGTGGTTAATTCTGTCCCTAGTACCTCACATGTTGCTTGGCACATGATAGGCACTCAGTAAATGTTTGAATGAATGAGTCAACAAAGAGAGTTATTTTCTTGGAAGCTAAGTAGTTAGGTGGTAAAAAGAGATTGCTTTCATTTGGCACTTATCTTTATAGGCACTTGGAAGAGAAAATTAGGAAGTTGTCCGTAGCTTAGCCAGTTGATAGTCCAAGATAGATACTAGCATGAGTGAGCAAGCAAAAAATCAAAGCATCTACTCCCAGTGTCAAATCATCAATTATTTCTGAGGCACTGTAGCCAAGCCCAAGAAGCGTGAATTGGGAGGGTGAATAGTTCTAGACAGAGCATAGGAGCCAGTGTGTTTCCTCCCTGCAGGGAGTGGGTCCTGAAGAGCAGCATCCTCATTGCCATGGCTGTTTACACGTACCTCCGCCTCATCGTGGACCACCATGGGACTGCCCAGCTCCAGGCCCTGCGACAGAAGGAAGTAGACTTCTGCATCTCACTGCTTCGGGAACGGGTGAGGGAACAGGACAAAAATAATGTGGGGAAGTGAGACTCAGGCTAAGATACCTCTGGAGGTTTATGCAGTGGAGTCAGAAATACCTTGTTAGAGATGAAGGTGCATCAAGATCTGGTGTTTTCCATCATTCATCAACAGATGAGGGTAGAAAGGAGGGGGAGTTAGTGTAAAATAGCCCTAATTCCTAGAAATGCTACCTGTTAAGCTGGCATCTTTGGGATTTCCCTGGTCAGCTTCAAGGATACTGTTGTATACCACAGACATAAGCTGTCCTTGTGTGCCTACCATGACACAGTCCCCCACCTACTCTCCTGGGTAATTCCCATGGTCTAGTGGGATTATGAATTGTCCTCTATCAGACCTCCCATGTGGCAATTAAAAATTTTTTTTACTTTTTATTTTTGTAGATACTGGGCCTTGCTTTGTTGCCCAGGCTGATCTCAAACTCCTGGCCTCAAGTGATCCTCCCACCTCAGTCTCCCAAAGTGTTGGGATTATAGGCGTGAGCCACTCTGCCCAGCCTAAAATTAATGTTAGATAAAAAGTTAAAATTCACTTCTCTAGTTGCATTAGCTACACGTTGCTAATGGGTTTCATTTAGACTACACAGATATAGACATTTCTACCACAGAATCGGACCCACAGAATTAGATACTGCAGAATTTTGTTAGACAAAATAAGTTTGAGGTTAGGGTTTCTGGGGCTCAACTTGCCAGTCCCATCCTTTTGAAACTTTAATCTTCCTTGAACTGGATTGAAACAGTTCTGAGTGGAGAGGGAGGTAGATTAATGTGAAAGCCAGCAGGGCTTCAGCACTTCCCACTAACCTCTCATCCTTGATATCAGTCCCCAGCTTCCAGCTCTCTTCCCCTGAACAGCTAGGAGCCAATCCTTTGGTTCCAGAAGAAATCATAGTTTCTTCAACCCTCTTTCCTTCCCTCCCTAGAACATGTTGTTCCTTTGTCCTCCCTCCAGCAGGTAAACAATCCATGTTTTTATTCTCTTTCCTGTCCCCCACTTCCTCTTCCCTATCAAGTTCATGGAATGTCTGATGATTGGTCGGGATCTCGTAAGACTACTTCAGAATGTTGCTAGGATACCAGAATTTGAACTGCTTTGGAAAGATATTATCCATAATCCTCAGGCCTTGAGTCCTCAGTTCACAGGTAAGTAGGGTCTTAGGCATCCTGTCCTTGAGAGCTGGGAGTTCAATGTGTATGTCTTGCTTGAATCAAGAAGGTAGAGGTTGGTGGGTAGGAGAGTCTTTGGTGGTCAGATTTAGGAAGCCTGGGACAGGGCAAGCTTTGCCAAGTACAACTGCGAATGGCAGAGGTACAGAACAATTCATGTAGTTCCTAGACAGCCCCTACTTGGCAGACTCCAGCTGCCACATTACTACTAAGAAAAAAGTGAGACAGATAACTGTAGTCCTCCTCCCCTCTTCCTGGCAGCTCCTTGGCTCAGGAGGTGAGCCAGTGGCCAGTGTTCAGCTTCACGGAGTCTAGCAGGGGAGTCAGAGGTCAACTCGTGAGACTGAGTCAGTAGAGGGCTGGAATTAGTCCTGTAAGAGAAGGCCCCTCCCTGGGAACAGTCTTGCCTCGAATTCCAAGGATCCAGCTTGGGCAAAATCCACTTTGGAGGAGGGAGTCTCCGTGTGCCTCCTCCCGACAAGGTCCTTTTTATATCCCTTTCCCTTTCCCAGGGTCCTGCTATGTTCTGAACAATAACTGTACAGCTTTGCTCCCCACCCCACCTCAACACACACGTGCTTGTGATCGTGCATGCACCCGCTCCCCTCCTACACACACACACACACACACACACACACTCACTCTGAAGGCAGTTGTCCAGGACCTGGGAAGTCAGGAAAGAAGAAAGTGCTGGAAATTGTAGTACTCTTATATTGAACATCTATTTCATTGCTTTAAGTGCCTCCACTGTGTTAGACAAACATGTGTTACCTCATTTAATCTTCTGGACAGCCCTGTGAGTATTTTAGTTTCTACATTTATACATAAAGAAACTGAGGTTTGAGGCCGGGCGCGGTGGCTCACACCTGTAATCCCAGCACTTTGGGAGGCCGAGGCGGGCGGATCACGGGGTCAAGAGTTCAAGACCATCCTGGGCAACATGATGAAACCCTGTCTATACTAAAAATGCAAAAATTAGCTGGGCATGGTGGCACATGCCTGTATTCCCAGCTACTCGGGAGGCTGAGGCAAGAGAATCGCTTGAACCCAGGAGGTGGAGTTTGCAGTAAGCCGAGATCGCGCCACTGCACTCCAGCCTGGCGACAGAGTGAGACTCTGTCCCAAAAAAAAGAAAAGAAAAGAAAAGAAACTGAGGTTTAAGGAGATGAAGTAATTTGCCCAAGGCTGTACAGCTGGTAGGTTAGGTGACAGAGGCAGGTCTCTTTTTTTTTTTTTTTTTTGAGACGGAGTCTTGCTCTGTCCCTCAGGCTGGTGTGCAATGGCGTGATCTCAGCTCACTGCAACCTCCGCCTCCTGGGTTCAAGCGATTCTCCCGCCTCAGCCTCCCAGGTAGCTAGGATTACAGGCACCTGCCATCATGCCCAGGTAAATGTTGTATTTTTGTAGAGATGGAGTTTCACCATGTTGGCCAGGCTGGTCTTGAACTCCTGACCTCAAGCAATCCACCTGCCTTGGCCTCCCAAAGTGCTGAGATTACAGGCATGAGCCACCGCACCTGGCCTCTTTTTTTTTTTTTTTTTTTCTGTTTTTTAAGATGGGGTGTCACCATGTTGCCAAGGCTGGTCTTGAACTCGTAGGCTCAAGGGAGCCACCTGCCTCGGCCTCCCAAGGTGCTAGGATTACAGGTGTGAGCCACCATGCTGGTCTTTTAAATTATTTTTGTTCTCTCATGTCAGGCAGGTAATGTGGGGACATGGTAACAAGGTTTGAGGGAGGCACATCTCACGCATGAGTGTGAAAAACCAATAATCATGCTTATGAGCTACAATAGGATCTGGATCCACATGTTTCTGACTCCAGGGCTCATGCTCATGCCACAAATAACATTGATTCCAGGACCCAAGGATGGGATCATCAGGAGCAGGAAGAGCAGCCAGGGTTTCCCATATTTTTCCCTTAACTTTCCCATCTGTTACCAGTGGGAATCATGTGGGTAGGAGACTCTGGAAGACCAGCAGAAGACAGGAAGTAATATAGCTGGGTCCTGGGGATAGTGGTTGTTTGGAGCAGAACACGTAAGTGCTGGTTGGAATCCCCACCTGTGCTTGACCTCCCTTGGTCTTGTCTTGGAATTTCTCCGTGAGCAAGACTACTGGCCATCAGTACCTGGCCCAGGTTCCCAACATGCCTTTCATTCTTTCTGGTCCTTAGGCTTCCTCTTTTCTCTTCCCTTCCACATTTGATTCAGGTATCCTACAGCTTCTTCAGTCAAGAACATCCCGAAAATTCCTAGCATGTCGTCTAACCCCGGACATGGAGACTAAACTCCTCTTCATGACATCCCGGGTAAGCTAAGGTGTTGCAGCAAGAGAAGAGGTCACACGCTGGCTGGGCTTCTTGCTTCGGTCTGTGGAGCTGTTACCATTGTTTACTAACCAGTAGAATGGTGGCTAAATGATCGTACCTGATCTACCTGGCTACTGGCTTCTTTGTCCTTTATTCATTCTGTGCCTACATATTGAGCATGGTGCTAAGGATTGGGGGTACACTGTCGAATAAGAGAGATACAGTTCCAGCTGTTGTGAAGCTTTTAGTTTATCTAAAGTAGTCACTAAACCAATAATTATATAGAAATACTAGTATCATTTACAAGTGTGAAATATTCTATAAAGGGGAGAGTGAAAGTGTTCACGCTAAGAAACCCACGATTGCTCCAGGAGAACCATGAGGTCTCAGGAAGAAAGCTATGTATGTTTCCAGACTTGACTGAATAATGGCAGAATTACTTGAGCATGTTAAAGATGCAGCTTCCTGGATCCCACTCTCCTAGATAATTTGATTGAGGAATTTGTGGGGTTTTTTTTTTGGTTTTGTTTGTTTGTATTTTGAGATGGAGTTTCGTTCTTGTTGCCCAGGCTAGAGTGCAGTGGCGCGATCTCGGCTCTCCGCAGCCTCCGCCTGTTGGGTTCAAGTGATTCTCCTGCCTCAATCTCCCAAGTAGCTAGGATTACAGGCATGCACCACACCTGGCAAATTTTGTATTTTTAATAGAGACGGGATTTTTCCATGTTGGTCAGGCTGGTCTCGAACTTCCGACCTCAGGTGATCCACCTGCCTCAGCCTCCCAAAGTGCTGGGATTACAGGCGTGAGCCACTGCACCCAGCCAGAATCTGTTTTTAGCAGACTTCCCAGGCCATTCCTCTGCGGCCAGTCTGGCTGTCGAGAACTGCTTTCCTAATCAGCTTTCCCAAGTCACCCAGAATAATTGTCCAGGTCTGTGTTCTACTGTGTGGTAGCCACCAGCCATGTGTTGCCATTTAAATGTAAGTTAGTCTGCAGGACTAGGTATGATAAAAATTCTTGGCCGGACGCAGTGGCTTATGCCTGTAAACCCAGCACTTTGGGAGGCCAAGGTGGGCAGATCACTTGAGATCAGGAGTTTGGGACCACCCTGGCCAACGTGGTGAAACCCCGTCTCTACTAAAAATACAAACATTTCGCTGGGCGTGGTGGCACACGCCTGTAATCCCAGCTACTTGGGAGGCTGAGGCAGGAGAATCACTTGAACCCAGGAGGCAGAGGTTGCGATAAGCCAAGATTGCGCCACTGCACTCCAGCCTGGGCAACAGAGTGAAACGCTGTCTCAAAAAATATATATATATTAAGTTAGTTAAAATGAGTTAAAATTAAAAATTCACAGCTGGGCGCTGTGGCTCACATCTACAATCCCAGCACTTTGGGAGGCTGAGGCTGGTGGGAACACTTGAGGTCAGGAGTTCAAGACTAGCCGGGCAACATGATGAAACCGTGTCTCTACAAAAAATACAAAAATTAGCTGGGTGTGGTGGTAGCTACTCAGGAGGCTGAGGCAGGAGAATCACTTGAACCCAGACGCAGGAGGCAGAGGTTACAGTGAGCTGAGATCGTGCCACTGCACTCCAGCCTGGGCAACAGAATGAGATTCCATCTCAAACAACAACAAAAAAATTCAGAGCCTGGTGCAGTGGCATGTGCCTGTAATCCCAGCTTCTCAGGAGGCTGTGGTGGGAGGATTGCTTGAACCCAGGAGTTAGAGACCAGCCTGGGCTCAAGCAATCCTCCCATCAATGAGACCCTGTCTCTTAAAAAATAATAATTGGGGCCAAGTGCGGTGGCTCACGCCTGTAATCTCAGTACTTTGGGAGGCCAAGGCGGGTGGATCACTTGAGAGCAGGAGTTCGAGACCAGCCTGACCAACATGGTGAAACCCCGTCTCTACTAAAAATACAAAAATCAGCCAGGCATGGTGGCATGTGCCTGTAATCCCAACTACTTGGGAGGCTGAGGCAGGAGAATCGCTTGAACCTGGGAGACAGAGGTCGTAGTGAACTGAGATTGCACCATTGCACTCCAGCCTGGGCAACAAGAGTGAAACTCTGCCTCAAAAAAAATAAAATAAATAATAATTCGATATCTCAGTTACAATAGCTGCATTTCACATGCATAATAGCAACCATCATTGCCGAAAGTTCTGTTGGATGGTGTTGGTCTGGAAGTATCTTTTTGTTTGTTTTTTTACCTTTTTGCTTTATCTTGGTTGATTTCTTCTGACAGTTGGGGGAATATAAGAAGAGGGAAACCAGATCCTTTTCCTTATTTAGTGTTACTATTTGTGATCACTTAGGGTCTGTTTGAGGAAAAACTTTCCACAAGAAGGTTTGGAGAGTCTAGGCTTTGGATAATGGTCCTGCTAGGTCAGCACCAGGAAATTCTCAGTTGATGTTGAGTGGTGAACAGACCCAGCTCTTACTCTTGAAGAACATTTCTTGCTGTTCACCAGTGGCTCAAGAAAATGAGAAAAGGTTATACTTCTGACTGGAGAGTCAGTGACCAGTGCAAGGAGTAAAGAGCCAAAAACTGGACTGAAGTTGCAGTTGGGGGTAAATGTAGCCTGAGGTCAGTGGCAAGAATGACTGTAACATCAGAATGCAGGGCAAGCTAGAAATTTTCAGCATTTTTTTTTTAATCAAGAAGTTCTCCTAAAGGAGGGGAGACTTACGAGACAGTATGAGCTAATGAATGAATTGTGGAGAAATAGAGGTCTAGGGCAAACCTAGAGTTAAGTGGTGCTCGTTTTCCTCTGGCCAAGGACCCCACACTGTCTTCTAAGGTCTTTTTCTTGCTTCCCCTTTCCCCAGGTGCGATTTGGTCAACAAAAGCGATACCAAGATTGGTTCCAGCGCCAGTACCTGTCAACTCCAGATAGTCAGTCTCTGCGCTGTGACCTCATTCGCTACATCTGTGGGGTAGTCCACCCTTCTAATGAAGTACTGAGTTCAGATATCTTGCCCCGGTGGGCCATCATTGGTTGGCTCCTGACAACGTGCACGGTGAGGGCAAAAGATACTGGGTGGTGAAGGGTGCCTCTTCCATGGTGTTCCCATGTTTCCATTCTTCTTCCTGACTCCAGGGCCACTTGACCCCTAAGGGCCCTTCTTTCACTCTGGTCTTCCAGAGTGTCTCAGCCTTCACTTCCCTTTGTGTCTCTAGAAATTTACTTACACTCATTATTTTCCATCTGGGTTTGAGATTGAACAGGTTCATCTCCCCCATTACTGCCAACCCCCAAAAGCCTGGGTTTCTGGAGCGTCCCTGCCTTTTTCATTTTTGCTTCCAGAAACCATATACAGCTATTCCTCTTAACTGTTTCTTTCTCAGATTCAGAGCTTGCATTCTTTAGACCCTCACCACCATGCCTTTTTGGCATCAGCTTTGTCTACTTCCCTTCTGTAAATGCAGCGAATCTGCAGTGGAGGCATTTCCTTTCAAATGTTTTCCTCTCTGTGCCTAGGGTGGGAAACTATCCATTCTCTGGCATCTGGCTGCCCCCTGACCTCTTCCAACAGGGTTCCTCCTCCCCCATTTGACTGGGTCCTTGGAATGTGCTGATTCAGATATGACAACAGGCTATTCCTGGAGGGGTGGGGGTCTCTTCTTCAGGAATGTGCCTGGAGAGCCCAGAAAGGGCAGCCAAGGGGTGCTAGTCTGACTGTTGCCTCAGCTCAGGGGTGATGAGTGGACTTCTGAGTCCAAGCATTGTCCCCTATGGGAATCAGAGATATGAACTGCTGGATGTATCAAGAACCCAGGCCTGCCGAGCACGGTGGCTCACGCCTGTAATCCCAGCACTTTGGGAGGTTGAGGTGGGCAGATTGCTTGAGCTCAGGAGTTTGAGACCAGCCTGGGCAACATGGCAAGACCCCATCTCTACAAAAAAATACAAAAATTAGCCAAGTGTGTTGGTGTGCGGCTGTAGTCCCAGGCTGAGGTGAGAGGACCGCTTGAGCCTGGGAGGTAGAGGTTGCAGTGAGCTGAGATCCTGCCACTGCACTCCAGCCTGGGTGACAGAGTCAGACCCTGTCTCAACAACAAAAAGAAAAGAACCCAGGCCTGGCCAGGCATGGTGGCTCTCACCTATAATCCCAATACTTTGGGAGGCTGAGGTGGGAGGATCACTTGAGCCCAGGAGTTCAAGACCAGCCTGGGCAACATGGCAAAACCCATCTCTACCAAAACAAAACAAAACAAAACATAAAGCCACGCATGGTGGTGTGCTCCTGTAGTCCCAGCTACCAAGGAGGCTGAGGCTGGGAGGATCACCCGAGCCTAAGAGGTCAAGGCTGGAGTAAGCCGTGATCATGCCACTGCGCTCCAGCCTGGGTGACATGGCAAGACCCTCATCTCTACAAAAAAATAGAAAAATGAGCCAGGTGAGGTGGTGCGTGCCTGTAGTCCCAGGCTGAGGTGAGAGGCTCTCTCGAGCCTGGGCGGTGGAGGTTGCAGTGAGCTGAGATCATGCCACTGCACTACAGCCTGGGCAACAGAGCAAGACCCTGTCTGGAAAAAAAAAAAAAAAGGTTCGGGGGGTACCTGGCCCAATCCCTGTCCTCTGTCCTCTTGGTTAAGACCATAAGACCACAGAGTATTCACTCATACACAACACAAGGGGGGTTAGCATTTCACCGTGTTTCACTAGGAACTGAATTTCATAGATGAAACAGCCAAGTGGGGCCTGGAATCTGTCTTGGGACTCTGAAATGGAGGGGGGTGATTGATGAAACTAGCCCTCTGTTTCTCCCCTCTCTTTTCCAGTCAAATGTCGCTGCCTCCAATGCCAAGCTGGCTTTGTTTTATGACTGGCTGTTCTTTAGTCCAGACAAGGATAGCATTATGAACATAGGTATGTGACCAAGACCAGGCGGCTCCACTTCCCCATCCCCCTAAGCCCCCACTGCCTTCCTTAGTGATAGCAGTCATAAATCTCAGGGCACCGTGGAGTGGAGGCAGTTTATCTGGGAGCAGCTCTGTTGTTCCTCATCAGTTTTCCCTTGACCTAGAAAGAGAATTGCTTTGATAAGGCTAAGCCATCACTGTACCTCCTCCCCACAGTCTTCAGGATGCATGGTCTTCAGGAGGGGAGGGCATGGGCAAAGGAAAAGGCTGTACCATGTCCTGCTTCTCCTCACCTATTACTTCCCTTCTCAAAGCTGAATGCTGGGAACAAGAAGGGAAATGAGGGCTACAAGCTGTTTCGGGGCCTGTCTGCTCTTGGGTCTGCTCAGTGGAAATGGGGGGAATAGACATAGCACTTCCCAGAGCCATTCATGTATATTGACATCCCATTTTATGGAGATAGAAACAGACTGACTTTAGCCTGGCGTGGTGGCGCACACCTGTAATTCCAGCTGCTGGGGAGGTTGAGGCATGAGATTCGCTTGAACCTGGGAGGCAGAGGCTTCAGTGAGCTGAGATCGTACCATTTGCACTCCAGCCTGGGTGACAGAGCAAGACTCTGTTTCAAAAAAAAAAAAAAAAAAAAAAAAAAGAGAGAGAGAGACTGACTGATGTGAGGGGCTCTTTAATTTCACATCCTCCAGAACCAGCCATCCTGGTCATGCACCACTCCATGAAGCCCCACCCAGCCATCACTGCCACACTCCTGGACTTCATGTGCCGCGTAAGTGTTAGAGCTCTCTTTTCTCCCCATGCCTGGATGAGCAGAATTCAGTGTATCTCCCCTAATCTCCCAGTGAACGGGTCTTCTCGGTATGCCTTGACTGAGAGCAGAAATGGTCATGGGTCCTATCCCCCAAGTTAATAAATGCTTCCCTTCCATATTCCACTGTCTGCACTTGGATCTTCCCATTTTCTGTGGGGTTTCTCAATCACAAGGATGGTGACTCAAGGTAGAATCTGGTTTCCTTGGGGAGCAGCCAGGTCCAGTAAGAATTTCTCATTTGAGTGGCCTGGAGTGGTCAGGAAGTCCAGTTCTCTCTGCAGCCATACTCCCCAGTGTCCCCTGATCAAAACCAAAGCAGCTTTTCAGATCTAATTCAGCGGAAGCCTCTGGATGGAGTCCTGTGCTCATTTTTCCCCTCCTTCTTCGCTTCCAGATCATTCCCAACTTCTATCCACCATTGGAGGGCCACGTGCGGCAGGGTGTCTTTTCCTCCCTCAACCACATTGTGGAGAAACGGGTCTTGGCGTAAGGAATTTGGTGGGGGAAGGAGGTTGTTTTCCCATTTTTCATTAGGTCCAGGTGTATCCAAATGTTGCCATAGCACTGCTGGCCCTTTTCTCTGACAGGTGTAAAAAGTATTGGCTCTACCTCAGACTGCTGGGCATATGTCTTCTTGGCTCTTAGAGGAATTTCTCTCCTGCCATCGTATTACAAAGGTCTTCAAATGCCTTCATGTTCCCTGTTGACCCCCTTCAGGGATCTGAGTATGGTCCAGTTAGACTGATTGTGCTTAGACCTATCTCAACTCCATGTTGAGTTAGAAATGAGAAGCTCTGGCCAGACACAGTGGCTCATGCCTGTAATCCCAGCACTTTGGGAGGCCAAGGTGGGCAGATCACCTGAGGTTAGGAATTTGAGACCTGCCTGGCCAACATGGCAAAACCCGTGTCTACTAAAAATACAAAAATTAGCCAGGTGTGATGGTGCACACCTGTAATCCTAGCTACTTGAGAGGCTGAGGCACAAGAATCGCTTGAATCCGGGAGGTGGAGGTTGCAGTGAGCCGAGATTGTGCCACTGCACTCCAGCCTAGGTGATGAGAGTGACACTCTGTCTCAAAAAAAAATAAAAATAAGAGAAGCTCTGATATTGACCTTCATCATGTTCCCCATTTAGACACCTAGCTCCCCTGTTTGACAACCCTAAGTTGGATAAGGAGCTGCGGGCAATGCTGAGAGAGAAGTTTCCTGAGTTCTGCAGCTCACCCTCCCCACCTGTGGAAGGTATGAGGCCCGCCCATTCCATCACCTGTGTCAAAAGAGGGGCAAGACAACCAGGCCTTCAGGCCAGAGCCCCTTTCAGGATGTCCCACACAGTTCTCCACTTCCGTGACACTGTCCATCACAGTTTTTCCTTCCTCAGTTTATCTTTTTTATTCATTTTTGTGTTGTCTGTCTTGATTCTCTTGCTTTATCTAATCTTATTTGACTTGCTCATCTTTCTTGTTCTCTTAACTCTTTTCTCCTAGTAACTCCTGCTCAGTAGTTAGAAGGCTTTCATGTAATATTTACAATATTTATCTCACTTTAACTTGCCCATCTCTCTTCCCAGCTCTAGGCCCTGGCCTCTGATGACAGTTTGTCATGTTGGGCCTCAAACCTTACTCTCAATACAACTGCCATCTCCTTACCACACATACACACTTTGTTTTGGGATAAGGGTCTAAGTCAAGTAGTATTTTCCAACTTGGTTTTAAATTAAAGAGCACTTGGAGGCTGGGCATGGTGGCTCATGCCTGTAATCCCAGTACTTTGGGAGGCTGAGGCGGGTGGATCACTTGAGGTCAGGAGTTCAAGACCAGCCTGGCCAACATCATGAAACTCCGTCTCTACTAAAATACAAAAAAATTTGTATTTGGCGGGCACCTGTAGTCCCAGCTACTCAGAAGGCTGAGACATGAGAATTACGTGAACCTGGGACGGGGAGGTTGCAGTGAGCCGAGATGGCGCCACTGCACTCCAGCCCAGGCGACAAGAGTGAGACTAGCACTTCGGACTGTCCCTGATCTTACTCTAGTTACCAATCCTAATGAGCTGAGCATAGAGGAGTCATGTCCAGTGTTGCTCTTATTCCTGGCAACATCCCTCTGCAGGTCATGGAGGGTTGTGAGGACAAGAGGTTTGTCAAGAGGTTTGTCCTCCCAGGGTCAGTATTCCATTTAGATGATAAACTCCTTATTCTCTCACTTGCCCTCCATTCTCCCTTCCTAGAAGCATGGGGCATGTTAGAGGACCCAGGAGGCCATTAAATGCCTTATCTTTTTTTACTCCCAAGTCAAAATTGAGGAGCCAGTTTCCATGGAGATGGACAACCATATGTCGGATAAGGATGAGAGTTGCTATGACAATGCAGAGGCAGCCTTCAGTGACGATGAAGAGGATCTCAACAGCAAAGGTGAGGCCATCAGCAAGGGCTAGTTCAGGGTTGTGTCAGCCCTGAGAGGACCAGTTCCCAGAAGCAGCCTCTCTGCACTCTTCCTGTCACCCTTATTCCTGTGAGTTAAAGTTTTGTTCACAGGGTATCTGGATGAGACTCCAGAATGCAGAGCCCTGTACTTAACACTCAAGGCAGGAAGGAAAAAAGAAGTGGTTCCTGCCCTTGTTTGCTTGTAAGAGCTAGTACATGTGCACAGTCAGGGAGATGCTTCAGGCACTCACACAGCATTGAGGAAACAGGTGCACACTTAGGGCATGTGAGGAAGGGGATAAGTCATTGAGGGGACTGTCTCTGTTGCTGGCATCTGGGCAAACTGACTTCTTTCCCAAATCACTCCCTTTAGGAAAGAAGAGGGAGTTTCGCTTCCACCCTATCAAGGAGACAGTTGTGGAGGAGCCAGTTGATATCACCCCTTACCTTGACCAGTTGGATGAGTCCCTGAGGGACAAAGTACTCCAGCTACAGAAGGGGAGGTGGGTACAGACCTTGTTCTCAACTTCAGGAGGTTCAGCCCCAGGCTCTCTACCTGGTGCTTAATGGGTATAGCAGGAGATGGGGGTTGGAGGCAAACATGATAGGAGTGTGTGGAGAGGTAGCTGAAGCTTCATGAGGGAGTTCTTCTGCACTTTACGTTAGGGAGTATGAGCTGGGAGTGGGGCAGCCTCATTCCGTAACACCTTGAGTTCCCACTCTGCAGATTCTTGGGAGAAGAACCTCTGAGAACCAAGGCAGGATTGGTGGGGATTTTCCTTTTCTTTGGGCCTCTGCCCAGAGAGCAGCCAATTCTGCCCTAAAGCCTCCCCATCCAAGCTGGGATTTTACACAGAGCTCCTTTGTTTTGTCTCTGTGCATGTGAGTGTGCTTGTGCACTGTTCTGGGTGTGTGTCCTGCCCTCTGCTATCATTTATGTCCCTGGGATTTCCTCTCATTTCTGTCCTGCAGTGATACGGAGGCCCAGTGTGAGGTCATGCAGGAAATTGTGGACCAGGTCCTGGAGGTGAGGAGGAACCCAATCCCTTAGGGAGGAAGCAGCCTAGCCTGCTTAGCTTACACGTCTCCCAGGGAAGACAACTCACTTTTTCCCTCCCCTAGATGAGTCCCTCTTATAGTGGGGAGGGGAGCTTGCTGATCCTGGAGGTGGAAGCAGATGAGTTCCAAGACTGGGATCGTGGGGGCAGGAGGGCTTGGGTGTAGGTAGTGACTCTCCCTCCCTTGTCTCATCACCCAGGAAGACTTTGACTCGGAGCAGCTGTCTGTCCTTGCTTCCTGCCTACAGGAGCTCTTCAAGGCCCACTTTCGAGGGGAGGTCCTGCCTGAGGAGATTACTGAGGAGTAAGGCTGATTTTCCCTCACTCCAGAGCCTCAGGAGCCAGAGGGTGCTCTTACAGCCTGAGTCCAAGAGACCCCTTACTGTAGACTTGAGAAAAATCTGTTCACTTGGTGTTTTTATTCTCACATGTACCAACTCATTTAAACAAGAGCTTATTTCTACCTGCTGAACACCGTGCGTACTGGGGAGGTTGACACCTCCTCATGCTTCCAGCCCTTGCTGCTGGGCCCAGTAACTCTAATCTGCTGAATTAGGTGTGATTGGACCTTGGCCTGGAGCCTGTCTCCAAAGGGCAAGAGCGTGGTCCCATGTTAGGAACCTGTTTTCTCTGTTACCAAGCCTGCGGAGCAGCAGGAAGTTTGCCTTTTGGGTAGGGAAGGAGCAGGCTGGTGTCTAGCCTCCAGCTGGTCCTCCGTATGTGCCAGCAGCCCCCCTCACATGGATTCTCAAATATAACCCTCTTCTTGTAGGTCCCTGGAGGAGTCTGTAGGAAAGCCTCTGTACCTAATATTTAGGTAAGCACGCAGCTATAGGAGATACTGTTCTACCCTCCATCCTCCCTGACAGCACACACATGTGCTCCTGTCCTGGGGTAATGGGACTCGCTTTCCAGGGAGGAGGACATATGCTGTGGGCACAGACAGCCCATGCCACCTGAGAAACTCCATGGGAGAGTCTGCCCTGGGTAAAGTTCTGTTCCTCTCCTCCCATGCCCCACCTCCAGGAACCTATGTCAGATGCAGGAAGACAACAGCAGCTTCTCTCTACTTCTAGACCTTCTCTCCGAGCTATATCAGAAGCAGCCCAAGATTGGCTACCACCTGCTCTACTACCTGAGGGCCAGGTGGGTATGGTCCCCATGTTTCAAATGGTGTCAGGACACATCCTGGAGAGCCTCTCTTCCACACGCTGACTCCCCAACCCTGGACTGTCATCACCAGGGCCTTCTTTGTGGGTCTGTTTGGTTGAGTTGGTTTGTTTTTAAGAGACAGCATCTCACTCTGTCACCTGATGACACTGCGGCTCAGTGCATGTCACTCACTGCAGCTTCAGACTCCTGGGCTCAAGCCATCCTCCCCCCTCAGCATCCTGAGTAGCTGGGACTACACAGGCATGCACTACCATGCCCAGATAATTTTTTAAAATTTTTTTGTAGAGACAGGGTCTTACTTTGTTGCCCAGGATGGTCTCAAACTCCTGGGCTCAAGTGATGGTCCTGCTTCAGCCTCCTGAGTAGCTAGGATTACATACAGGCATGCGCCATCACGCCCAGTTATTGGTTTTGGGTTTTTTTTTCCCCTACTCTGAGTAAGCCTTGTGTACTCCTAAGGCTTTTTTTTAATTTAAATTTTTATTTATTTATTTTTTGAGACAGGGTCTCACTCAGTCACCCAGGCTGGAGTGCAGTGGTACAATCTCAGCTCACTGCAACTTCCACCTCCCGGGTTCAAGCAATTCTCCCACCTCAGCCTCCCAAGTAGCTAGGACTACAGGCACCCACCACCACGCCCAGCTAAGTTTTGTATTTTTAGTAGAGACAGGGTTTCTCTGTGTTGGTCAGGCTGGTCTCGAACTCCCGACCTCAGGTGATCCACCCACCTTGGCCTCCCAAAGTGCTGGGATTACAGGTGTGAGCCACTGTGCCCGGCCTCAATAATTTTTTAGTATATTCACAAAGTTATACAACTATCACTACTATCTGATTTAGAAAGAACATTTTTATCACCCCAAAAAGAAATCTCATACTCATTAGCAATCACTTTGCCATTTTCTCCCCTTCACCCAGCTCTTGGCAACCACTGATCTGCTTTCTGCCTCTATAGATTATTTTGGACATTTTCAGATAAATGGAATCAAACTGTATGTGATCTTTTGTGACTTGCTTTTTTCTTTCTCTTTTTTTTTTTTTTTTTTTTTTTTGAGACAGAGTCTCGCTGTGTCGCCCAGGCTGGAGTACAGTGGTGCGATCTTGGCTCACTGCAACCTCCGCTTCCCAGGTTCAAGCGATTCTCCTGCCTCAGCCTCCCGAGTAGCTGGGATTACAGGCACAGATCTTCACGCCCAGCTAATTTTTGTTTTGTTTATTTGTTTGTTTTGAGATGGATTCTTGCTCTGTCACCCAGGCTGGAGTACAGTGGTATGATCGCAGCTCATTGCAACCTCCGCCTCCTGGGTTCAAGCAATTCTCCTGCCTTAGCCTCCCGAGTAGCTGGGACTACAGGTGCACGCCACCACATCCAGTTAATTTTTGTATTTTTTTGTAGAGATGGGGTTTCACTGTGTTGGCCAGGCTGGTCTCGAACTCCTGACCTCAGGTGATCTGCCCACCTCGGCCTCTCAAAGTACTAGGATTATAGACGTGAGCCACCGGGCCCAGCCATTTGTATATTTTCTTTGGAGAAATATCTATTCAAAAATGTTCCTATTTTTAATTGAGTTATTTGTCTTTTTATTATTGACTTTTAAGATTTTTTTTTTTTTTTTTTTTGAGGCAGAGTCTCGCTCTGCTGCCCAGACTGGAGTGCAGTGGCGCGAGCTCCACTCACTGCAACCTCCGCATGCTAGGTTCCAGCAATTCTCCTGCCTCAGCCTGCTGAGTAGCTGAAATTACAGGCGCACACCACCACGCCCGGCTAACTTTTTGTGTGTGTATTTTTAGTAGAGACAGGGTTTCACCATGTTGGCCAGGCTGGTTGGCCAGGCTGGTCTTGAACTTCTGACCTCAGGTGATCCGCCCTTCTCTGCCTCCCAAAGCGCTGGGATTACAGGCATGAGCCACCATACCCGGCCAACTTTCAAGAATGTTTTTAAGATTTTGTTGCATACCAAAAGTGTTCTTTATATATTCTGGATGCAAGTCTCAGACATAATGATTTGCAAATATTTTTTCTTCCATTCTGCGAGTTTTAACTTTTTTGATAGCATCTTTTGAACAAAAAGTGCTAACTTTTTATGAAGCTAAATTTGTCTATTTTTTTCTTTTACCACTTGTGTTTTTGTTGTCATGAAGATTTACTCCTGTTTTCTCTTCTACAAGTTGTGTGGCTTTAATTCTTACATTTAGGCCTACAAGCCATTTTGAGCTAAGTTTGTATATGCTGTGAGGTGTCACTGCCCTCATGGTTAGAGCCCAGAAAGCAAGAGAGAAAGCCTTCTCCAGCCTGACCTGAGCCCTCCCTCTTCTGTTCCTGACTCTCATCCGGCAGTAGCTTCACTCACTGATCGTGGTTGGAGCCCTTTTGAGCTCTGGGGAAGGATGGACAGAAAGAAGAGTATCCCCTGGTTCCCCTGAGTTATCAAGCCCCTGTGGGAGGCAGTTGGGAGGGACATGAGGCAGATTAGCACAGGGCATCTGGAGCCAGCAAAGCAGTTTTAGAGCGGGAGCCTGCTTCGGGGATGCTTGAAGGTGGGCACTGGGGTCAGGCTGCTGGCTCAGGCCCAGCTGGTCTTGCAGCAAAGCCGCCGCAGGGAAGATGAACCTGTACGAGTCATTTGCCCAGGCTACCCAGCTGGGCGATCTGCACACCTGCCTGATGATGGACATGAAGGCCTGCCAGGAGGACGATGTGCGGCTCCTGTGCCACCTCACGCCCTCCATCTACACAGAGGTCAGTGCCTGCATCCGTATCTGTGCCGGGGGGCTCACAGGAACACACCTCAGTGAACACTCTGAGTACACACAACCCTGAACCCTCTTTTGTTCATCCCCACTAACCTAGGTGGGCCATTGCTTCCCACACTCACAGCTGTCCCCTCCTTCCACTTCTCTTTATTAGTGGTTGAAACATTTCTAAAACTCCCTGAATTCCTATACTTTGGTGTAACTGATGTGCGTTGGGGTCTGAGCCTATATACTTGGCTTCTCAGATTGGGCCCCATCATCTGGACCCAGGACAGATCCCACAAACCAGATCCATGTTCATATGTCCCAGGCCCTCTTGTCCTCTGATGGCTCACCCTTGCTTGGATTCTCTCTGATAGTTCCTGATGACCAGGGCTTCTGTAGTGGAGACTCACTTTCATTTCCCCTGGTTCACTCACACTCTAGGAACTGGGACATAACAGGTATCGGCCCTTTCTCCTCTTGGTAGAAGTTCCCAGGAAGAGGGAAATAAGGACCCAGGGCATGACAGGAGGAACTGTGATCTCAGCCGAGTACTGGAGGGAGGAGGGGTGCAGATCCTGGACACAGGGTACTTTCCTCCCCCTTCTCTAGATGAGGCCCTGCCTACCCCACACACCTCCAGACATAAACTCTCTACACCACCTCTTTGGCCAAAGGTCAGCACAGGTTGGACTTCTTTGCTGCCAGGGATGCAAATATTTATTCTACCACTGCTCCCACACAGAATCAGCCACCATGGCCAGTCCTCTCAGCTCTGGCTTTATCTCTAGTAGTTCCCCATTCCTTTCTGTACACACATGCTTTGGGAAGTATCAGAGAAAACCCACACCCCTGATGGTGTGCACACATAAATAACAAAACTTGGGGGCTTCAAGTTCTTGAAGTCTTCCAGCATCATAGCTGTTGGATCTCTGTTTAGGGGTTTATTTTAGGGCCTGTGTCTGGCTGACCCAGTCAAACCTTGAGATGTAATAAGGAAGGAGAGTGGGCTATGGGATAAAAGCTGAGGAGCCCATCCAGGACTCTTCCCCTCTCTTTTTCCATTTAGTTTCCAGATGAAACCTTGAGGAGCGGAGAGCTGCTGAACATGATCGTGGCTGTTATTGACTCTGCACAGGTGAACATTGAGCTCTGACCTCCCCAGAAGATCTGGGAGGCAGCATTAGGGACATAGGGCCTCTGCTCTCCCTCCAGGCCTGCAGACAGGGAGCCCATGCCTCCCAGGCACCCTCCCTCCTGGCTACAGTGGTGTGCGCTTTCAGCCATGGGGCCTGGGAAGGAAAAGTGGAACACAAGCAAGGCAGGCTGAGGTTAGGCCAATCCTGCCTGGAGTTCCCCTTATTCTCCATATTCTTTGGGCACTCCTGTTCCACAGCAAAAGCTGAGGGGGTTGTGATTTTAGCTCTCAACTGGCCTTTCCTTTGGCTCGGAATGAAAATGGTCAGACCATTTCTACTTGACCTTTTTACCATGCATAAGGTCCCCAAGAGGCTGTAGCTTTGCTCGGGTCCTTCTGAGGCCTGCACTGGGATCCCATTTCTCCTCCTCTCCACTTAGTTCTCATTCATAAAAGAGGAAGCTTAGCACCCAAGAATCCTCCTTCCTTTGTCTTTACCCTGCCCAACCTACATCCAGAGCCCAGCCTCTCAGGGTCCTTTCCTCCTCAGGCTTAGACCAAGGCTGTAACTATTTTTGCCCAAAATAGTCCTAAGGTTCCCACTCAGGCCTTACTTTATCAGCCCCTTCATCCTTCAGAGATGGCAGCATTCGTTGTGTGCCATCTCCTTCCCATTCCTTTAAACTGGGCCTTCACTTCCTCTAATTTTTTTTTTTCCCTTACGAGCCCTCCTGCGTCCCCCTCCATACTAGCTTCCTGGCCCCTTTCAGAGCTGATGGGTTCTGCCTCCTTCCTCCACCTCCTTAGCTCCAGGAGCTGGTCTGCCACGTGATGATGGGTAACCTGGTTATGTTTCGAAAAGACTCAGTTCTCAACATACTCAGTAAGTGATCAAATCTTTAGGTGCCTGGGAGAGGAGAGGAGGGCAGGGTGTCAGTCCTGTGTATTTTACACTATCAGGAAAGCTGGTTCTGGGGCTGGGAAGTTAAGGGGAGAGAATTGTACTCCACCCTGGTGCGGTCTGGGGCAGTATCTTTCTGGATCTGTCCTACCTCTGTAACATCCCTGCTTGGGGTGCTGGTAGTCAGTGGATTGGGGTGTGTGTGTGTGTGTGTGTGTGTGTGTGTGTGTGTGTGTGTGTGCTGGTAGTCAGTGGATGGGGGGGTGGGGGGGGTGTGTGTGTGTGTGTGTTCGTTTGTTCATTCTTGAGAGAGATGTTTCTTTTGTCTCTTCCAGTTCAGAGCCTAGACTGGGAGACCTTTGAGCAGTATTGTGCCTGGCAGCTCTTTCTGGCCCACAATATTCCCCTGGAGACCATAATCCCCATCCTGCAGCACCTCAAATACAAGGGTGAGTAGGCTTTTGGGTAGGGAGCACATCAGATATGACACTTCCTATACAGTTAGGGCAAGGCTGAGGCCTCTAGGCTTCTAGGATGAGCCCAGATCCATTGTCCTCCTTCCCACCAAAGTGCACAAGGGCAGGCTCTCTGTCAGCCACTTTTGTTCTTTAGGTGAGTCCTGTGGGCCCACCATGAGCCAGGCTCTGGGCTGGGGCTCAGGTGGCTCAGGGACTGATAGGAGTGGGGTAGGGGATTCTTCCTGGCTCCTCATCAAAGACTGTCCTTATTCCCTCCAGTGGCTGTTGGGGGATGAGAGAGGTCCCCAGATTCCATCCTGGAATCATACCTTCCCCCTGAACAGCCTCTGCCCTTCCCTCACAGAGCACCCAGAGGCCCTGTCCTGCCTACTGCTTCAACTCCGAAGAGAAAAGTGAGTTCCACTTCTGGGGCTCTTTAGCCCTCAATTTTAACATCCCAAGAGCTGCTGTGGTCTAAAGGGCTTCTGTCCTCCTCCTTATTGCCATATTTTTTCCTGTCGTTAACATCTGCTTATTCTGCCCTTCCCCCAACGTGACTTACAAATGAGCAGCTCCCCTGGGATCTGGGCTTCCTCTCGACTTTACCCCCCTGCCCACCAGGAGCTGCCCTCGGAGGTGGGGAGGTGGGGACCGGACATCCCTGTTTCCTGCTGCCACAGCAGTTCTAATCCCTGGTGGCTCCTGCTCCCCGCCGCGCCCCCCCCACCGCCCCATGCTCCTGCTGGCCACCGCACAGCTAATCCAAGAGGAGGGAGGGTCAGGGTAGAGGGGTCACGCACCATCCTCTCCCTCACCCTGTGCAGAGCAGAGCCAGCTGGACCTACTGTGCCTTGACAGGGTGGGGCAGAGAGGGAGAGGGTGGCAGCCCCCTCTTCCCGCAAAGCCCTTTAGCAACATCCCCCGATAAATGGGGCAGCAGCTGTGTATCTTATCCTTCCTACCTTTCTGCCTTCCTTCCACCCTTTCTGCTCTCTTGCCTGAGAGACTATAAATGGTACAGAGTGTCCTAGAGGAAGTGGGAAGCTTGGAGGCTGTATGGGGCTGTGACTTCACAACCCTCTCCTGCCCCCTTCCTCCAGCTGGAAGCCAGGTTGGCCCACAGCTTTAGCAGGGTAGGGGTAGGGGAGCATCTGCATGCCACATGCTTGTGCTTCTGCCTCCCAGGCCCACTCCCTGACTGTTCTAGGGGAGGAGGAGGAGAACTGAGGGTCCTCCTTCCCAACACACACACGCACACGCCTTCTCCTACCACAGCAAGTGAAGAATCTCACTTCTTCTCTCCTGGCTTCCACAGAGGATGAAACCAGGCATTCCTTGGCCTAAGGAGAAGAGGGAGAGGGATGTGAGAGTAGTGGGTGGGTGGGGAGGCCAGGGCTTGGGAAATAAGTGGGAGAGACCCAGCATGCCCTGCGGCCACTGTGCAAGCAGCACCCAGTGCCCCCTTCCTCCCCCAGGCCCAGCGAGGAGATGGTGAAGATGGTGCTGAGCCGGCCCTGCCATCCTGACGACCAGTTCACCACCAGCATCCTGCGGCACTGGTGCATGAAACATGACGAGCTGCTGGCCGAGCACATCAAGTCCCTGCTCATCAAGAACAACAGCCTGCCTCGCAAGAGACAGAGGTGGGACACGGTCCCTGTCTACCCTCCAGGCCATGGCGGTCTGCAGTGATTGCTGTCGGTGGTGGTGGTGGTGGTGGTGGTGGTGGTGATGGGGGTCAGTGCTGTCCCAGCCTGGTTTGTGGGCGACATCTAGTGGTCCGAAGCCACATGGCATGCGAGACCACCGTGGCCCTTTCTCCCCATCTTCCAGTGCCCCTGTGGCCAGGATCCCCTGTTCTAGGCACACCTTTCTCACCCAACCCCAGCCCTCCCAGGCTGCCTATCCTGTTCCCCATGTAGGCTGCCTCTGTCTTAAGGGGGCCCTGGCGGGTGGAGGGTGTCTCGCACTCTGGAACCCTCCCACACTCAGACTCTGGCTCTGGTGATTCCTGCACAGCCTGAGGAGCTCTAGCAGCAAGCTGGCCCAGCTGACTCTGGAGCAGATCCTGGAGCACTTGGACAATCTGCGGCTCAACCTGACCAACACCAAGCAGAACTGTATGCCTTCCACCCTCGGCGTCCAGTGTAGACGGTGCTGCCCTGGCCCAGACTATGCCTGGAGCCAGGCTGGGGGCAGGGGCAGGACACCCGGGGCCACAACCCACACTCGGGATAAAACAACCTGTGCGTGCTGTTTAATAAGCTCCCAGACATCTGATTGTTTTTCCTTCCCTGCTCTCCCTTTTCTTCCTCTAGTTTTTAGCCAGACGCCAATTCTCCAGGCGCTGCAGCATGTCCAAGCGAGCTGTGACGAAGCCCACAAGATGAAGTGAGGCTCCTGCCACTTTGGGCCTTGGAAAGTAGTAGGGGAAAAGCCTAAGGGAGAGGAAGCCTGCTAGGGACATAAACGTAATGGCCAGCAAGACCTTAGGGTCCAGGGTTGAAGAAAAAGAAGGCCTAGGCCTGGGGGCAGAGAAGAGGATGGGAGGTGCCGTAGGAGCAGCAGGCTCCCACTCAAAGAGCTACCGCTCCTTTTCCTTAGATTCAGTGATCTCTTCTCCCTGGCGGAGGAATATGAGGACTCTTCCACCAAGCCACCCAAGAGCCGGCGAAAAGCAGCTCTGTCCAGCCCTCGAAGTCGAAAGAATGCCACACAGCCCCCCAATGCCGAAGAAGAGTCGGGCTCCAGCAGTGCTTCAGTGAGAACCCAGCCAGTGCACAGGGGGAAAAGGAGCACTGGGTGCAGGTGGAGTCGGCGCCAGCAGCTGCCCAGGCTGTTAACTTCCCATTTCCCCTCCCATCTCTTCCAGGAAGAGGAAGACACGAAACCGAAGCCTACCAAGCGGAAACGAAAAGGGTCCTCTGCAGTGGGCTCTGACAGTGACTGAGGCCCTGCATTCCCCATCCCACCCCCGGCTGGACTGCCCTCTCCTTCTTGGTGATTCAAAGGTTAATAGAGGCTGAGGAGATTGCAGGGGAAACACCCTTGCTGCATCCCCAAGCTCCCCCGGTGGAAGGAGGAGCTTTCTCCTCTGGCTGAGTTTGAGAAGCTGCCATGCAGCCCCTAGCCCCTTCCCTCCTCCTGGGGCCTCCAGCCCCTCACACTGCTGTTCCCAGTGATATTTGGGATCTGACTGAAGCCAGAGGCTCTGTAAAATCAGACCATAGTGGAAGTCCTCAGCCCCCTGGCCCCTTCCGCAATCTCCTCCCCCAGTCTCCCAAAGAGCCATTTCAACAGAGAAGGGAAATGACAAAGGGGCAGCTGGCCAGATAAGCTAGGATGAGAGCAGAGACTCAGTGTGTGGGTGTCCCTTCCTGCTTCCCCTTCAGGTCTTGGTTTGTTCTGAAGGGACGTTTTATAGTCACTATCCACATGCCAGTGTGAAATGGGCATCTATGACGTGGTCAGGGTGTCCATTCCTAATCATGGGGCAGATGCCACAAGCATTCAGAAAGGAGTCTGAAAGGGTGGCCACAGCCCCACGTGGTGTGCCCTGGAGGCTTAGGTTGGTCTGAGGTTGGCACCTCAATCTACACCAGAGCCCAGGGAGTCCCAGAGGCAAGTTTCACAGAATTGTCAAATGATCCCATTTCCTTGAGTCTGTTTTTTTTTTTGTTTTTTTTTGTTTTTTTTTTGGCAGAGATAATCGTGTCTTAAAAGTTGTTTTTAAATGACAATAAAACAAGCCAGAATGTCTTTTGTGCTGGAGTGTCTGCTGGCATTTGCCCCGTGCATGTATAGCTTGGTCTTGATTTGATTGGCACCCCTACTTGTAACCGCAGAACATCCCCCTTTCCCTTCCTGTTCTGCCCCCACTTTTGTCTAGAGCAGAAGGGACTTGGCTTTGGCCACTACCCATCCTTCCTGCTGCCACTGGAGGTGGGAGCCAGGCACTGATCTGTCTATGCAGAACCATCCCCCGTAGGATGAGGCCTGTCCTTACTCATTTCTCAAGAAACAAGATGCTTCCAAAAGGTCTGTCATCCTCCAGTTGAAGTCTGTGTGCCTACCAAGAATGGCCGGAGGACTCGCTGCTTGACGGGAGGGATGCTCCAGCTTGGTCTCCAGGGACAACTGTACCTGGAGATAAAGTCTGGATACCAGGGAGGGACAGAGATGCTCTTCCTTCCACAGTGTGGCCACTTGCTGGGCCATGTGAACCAGCAGAGGAGAGTTCCTTGGCTATGCTGTTGTTCCCCCGCTGTCCAGGGAGAATGGAGGTGGACTGAGGAGTGAAGTTTGGGCGAACTGCACAGAGCTGCTCCTCTTCACCCCGAAAATTTGTCTTTTTACAGAATCCAGGTTCTCCCCTCCCTCATCACTGCTGTTGCTTCCTTTGAAAGTCTAAACCACTGGAGGCTTCTTTTTCCTTCCTCTCTCCTTCCCCAGTTTCCTCTGTCCCAATTAAAACCAGGATGGAGAGCATTTGCTGGCTGGCCCCAATTATTGTACCCTTGCCCAAAGGGAGGGGCCTCTGTCGTGACCCCTCAGAAATCTGGCAGTCTGGGTTTCCACCTTTCCCCTATTTAACTCTCAGCCCCCACCCATCCCCTGGGGTTGCGGCTGGCAGGCCGGGACTTGCAGAACCAAATGGGCCAGGGGCCAAGTTCATTCTTTTGGGAGAGAGCAATGGTACCTTCCCTTAACGGGAAAACGAGAAATATTGAGGGGAAGATGGACTGCGATCCAAACGCCCTGGCTCTCAGGCCTGGACTCTAGGGCTTAGCCAGATGCCTAAACCGCCCAAGCCGAGAAACAACTTAGAAGACAGACATAACCCTGGGATTCAGGGAAGGCGCGAGCACCGCCCAGGACCTGGTAGGGTGCGAGCCGCGAGCAGTCCGGGAGGGAGCGCGCCTAGGGCGGAGCGTAGGCTGTGGGGGGAGGGCTGGGAGTCCGGGGCCGCCCCACACCCGCACTCCTCCCGGGTTTCTGCTCTCCGCCCGTGTGGAGTGGTGGGGGCCTGGGTGGGAATGGGCGTGTGCCAGCGCACGCGCGCTCCCTGGAAGGAGAAGTCTCAGCTAGAACGAGCGGCCCTAGGTTTTCGGAAGGGAGGATCAGGGATGTTTGCGAGCGGCTGGAACCAGACGGTGCCGATAGAGGAAGCGGGCTCCATGGCTGCCCTCCTGCTGCTGCCCCTGCTGCTGTTGCTACCGCTGCTGCTGCTGAAGCTACACCTCTGGCCGCAGTTGCGCTGGCTTCCGGCGGACTTGGCCTTTGCGGTGCGAGCTCTGTGCTGCAAAAGGGCTCTTCGAGCTCGCGCCCTGGCCGCGGCTGCCGCCGACCCGGAAGGTCCCGAGGGGGGCTGCAGCCTGGCCTGGCGCCTCGCGGAACTGGCCCAGCAGCGCGCCGCGCACACCTTTCTCATTCACGGCTCGCGGCGCTTTAGCTACTCAGAGGCGGAGCGCGAGAGTAACAGGGCTGCACGCGCCTTCCTACGTGCGCTAGGCTGGGACTGGGGACCCGACGGCGGCGACAGCGGCGAGGGGAGCGCTGGAGAAGGCGAGCGGGCAGCGCCGGGAGCCGGAGATGCAGCGGCCGGAAGCGGCGCGGAGTTTGCCGGAGGGGACGGTGCCGCCAGAGGTGGAGGAGCCGCCGCCCCTCTGTCACCTGGAGCAACTGTGGCGCTGCTCCTCCCCGCTGGCCCAGAGTTTCTGTGGCTCTGGTTCGGGCTGGCCAAGGCCGGCCTGCGCACTGCCTTTGTGCCCACCGCCCTGCGCCGGGGCCCCCTGCTGCACTGCCTCCGCAGCTGCGGCGCGCGCGCGCTGGTGCTGGCGCCAGGTAAGGCTGGAGCTCCGAACTGACTAAGGCGGGGCCAGCCACAGAAGGGGGCGTGTCGGAGACCACAGAAAGGCTTGGTCTCATCCCTGGGCCTGGGAAGAAGCCGACTATCCCTTGGGGTTCGAAAGTGGGTGGAGATAGGAGTCTCCGGGTTTGAGAAGGGATGAGGCTGAATCTTTGGTGCCCCAAGGATCCCCAAGGAGTCGAGTTCCAGGCCTCAGACCCAAGATGGAATGTCCATACCCTTCACCCTCATCCAAGAGCAGTGTGGGCTGGGATAGGGAGGGGACATGGGTCATAGGCTCTTCTAGGTAGAGCCAGGGCCCCGGCGTTGTGCTTTCCCACCCTTCTAGAGTTTCTGGAGTCCCTGGAGCCGGACCTGCCCGCCCTGAGAGCCATGGGGCTCCACCTGTGGGCTGCAGGCCCAGGAACCCACCCTGCTGGAATTAGCGATTTGCTGGCTGAAGTGTCCGCTGAAGTGGATGGGCCAGTGCCAGGATACCTCTCTTCCCCCCAGAGCATAACAGACACGTGCCTGTACATCTTCACCTCTGGCACCACGGGTGAGGGCCGGGCACCATACTTAGCTCCCCGAAACCAAGGCAGAGGAAGGCAGGGGTCTGCTCCCAGACCACTCCTTCAAAGCCCCCAGAGAGGATGCTGATTTCATTGGCACATCCTTTTTCTCCCCATCATTTCACTCCCCAGTCTCCTCACCTCCTACTCATTTCTCCACCTCCCCCAGACCACCCATATTTCCAGGACAGCCTGGTCTCGGTCCTCAGCTTCTGTCCTGCCTCCGCCTCTTTCTGTGGGAAACCCAGCGGGGGTGCAAACAGATAGGTAGAGCTTGGAGTTTGCCCTTCCCCTGATCGTCCCATAACTGCCACCCCACAGGCCTCCCCAAGGCTGCTCGGATCAGTCATCTGAAGATCCTGCAATGCCAGGGCTTCTATCAGCTGTGTGGTGTCCACCAGGAAGATGTGATCTACCTCGCCCTCCCACTCTACCACATGTCCGGTTCCCTGCTGGGCATCGTGGGCTGCATGGGCATTGGTCAGTCTCCCCAACCCCACCTTCATTAATTCATCCAGTAGACATTTATTAAGCACGTACTATGGTGTGAGTCCTCCAGGGTAGATAATCTAGAGGACGGATGGGGCAGAGCCCTACTCACCAGGAGCTCTGTACAATAGGGCAATGTCACCTGCCTAGACCTACAGACTGAGGAACGGTGAGGGGGGCCATACAGCCACATAACTCCAGGCTGCAGGGTCAAAGGCAGGGAAGGACTGTGTCAGTCCAGGAACAGGCAAGTAAGAGAAGAGGGAGAGAGAGACAAGGAAGTGAGAGTGTGGAGGATGAGATCTTTGGGGCTGGGAAGTAGGGAAAGGGCATTCACCTCTTCTAAGGCTGGGGACAGGGGCCGGGGGAGGGGAAAGAGGGCCAGCACGGCTTCCTGACGGTGTGACTCCCACAGTGGGCCCTTCCCAGGGAAAGACTACAGTGATGGCTGGGGTCTGGAAAGAGGGGCTTGGGCTCCCCACTCTGCTCCTAATCTTACCTCCCTTCTTCCCCCCTGCCCACTTCTGGCAGGGGCCACAGTGGTGCTGAAATCCAAGTTCTCGGCTGGTCAGTTCTGGGAAGATTGCCAGCAGCACAGGGTGACGGTGTTCCAGTACATTGGGGAGCTGTGCCGATACCTTGTCAACCAGCCCCCGGTGCGTGGGCACAGATCCTGGGCAGAGCTGCTGACACAGGGCTAGCTCACGGGGAGCAGGACAGTTGACAGGAGACAGGGAGTTGGAGGGAGAAGCAGCAAGAAGAAAATGGCAGTGTAAGATAAGGAGCCAGAGATGGCCTAGGCCATCTGATGCTTACGGCCTCTGAAGGAGGTCACAGTAGGAGGGGGTTCTGGGGAATGGGGAACAGGAATTCACTTCCGGGAGCGGGCATCTTGATGCTGAAGCTCCGGCCCCTCTCCCACTCATCTCAGAGCAAGGCAGAACGTGGCCATAAGGTCCGGCTGGCAGTGGGCAGCGGGCTGCGCCCAGATACCTGGGAGCGTTTTGTGCGGCGCTTCGGGCCCCTGCAGGTGCTGGAGACATATGGACTGACAGAGGGCAACGTGGCCACCATCAACTACACAGGACAGCGGGGCGCTGTGGGGCGTGCTTCCTGGCTTTACAAGGTGAGGGGCAGAGAGGAAACTGAAAACCCGTGGAACAGCAGAGGGCTGGCAGGAGAGGGGGCTCATGTGACTGCAATGATCCAGTACCCAGGTCTCCCTTTCCCCAGCATATCTTCCCCTTCTCCTTGATTCGCTATGATGTCACCACAGGAGAGCCAATTCGGGACCCCCAGGGGCACTGTATGGCCACATCTCCAGGTTGGTGGTGTTCTGGTGGGGTGGGCGGGGTGCTGAAGCTGGCACAGGAGGACTGGAATTGGAGACTGGGGTGGATGGGGGCAGAAGGCTCTGGGAAAGGTGACACCACTCCTGACCCTGGTGACTCTGCCAGGTGAGCCAGGGCTGCTGGTGGCCCCGGTAAGCCAGCAGTCCCCATTCCTGGGCTATGCTGGCGGGCCAGAGCTGGCCCAGGGGAAGTTGCTAAAGGATGTCTTCCGGCCTGGGGATGTTTTCTTCAACACTGGGGACCTGCTGGTCTGCGATGACCAAGGTTTTCTCCGCTTCCATGATCGTACTGGAGACACCTTCAGGTATCTGTCCATAACTGGTTTTTCATCCTGGACATCTGATCTCTGTGATCCAAAGCTTCTGAACCTCAACTCTCTAATCTGCCACCTCAACCTGGGTCCTAAGCTAATCTCTCATTCTCAGATCTCACCATTTCATCCCTGTGACACTGACCTCTGACCTCATCTCCCCACCAAGCCCATAAGGCCCTGACCCCTGACTCCCAGTTTCAGATCTCTGCTCTCTGACAGGTGGAAGGGGGAGAATGTGGCCACAACCGAGGTGGCAGAGGTCTTCGAGGCCCTAGATTTTCTTCAGGAGGTGAACGTCTATGGAGTCACTGTGCCAGGTGCCTAGGCATGGAAGGTGGGGGAGGCACCCAGCCACCACCCCGAATTGGTAGTACTTGGGCGCAGGGAGCACGAGGCCTTCGTGGTGGTCAGCCATGGAGGGGCTTACTCTGTCTCCCACACCCACCAGGGCATGAAGGCAGGGCTGGAATGGCAGCCCTAGTTCTGCGTCCCCCCCACGCTTTGGACCTTATGCAGCTCTACACCCACGTGTCTGAGAACTTGCCACCTTATGCCCGGCCCCGATTCCTCAGGCTCCAGGTAACCGGCCACTTCCCCCGCCGGCCCCTCACCCCATATATCCTCACCCCACATATCCACCCCGTGTATCAACTTAGGAGTTTGATGGCTCCCAAACTCCACAAAGGGACCCCCAACGTAATACACTCCGTGAAGAGAAAAAACACGGAGACACAAGCTCTTCACCCCACTTCTTTCCTTATCCCTGCCTTCTTCTGGCCTGGCTCTTTCTCCTCCCTGTCACCTCCTCCCCTAAACCTTGACCTCACACTCCCTTTCCCAAGACTTGCTCCTTAACAAAATTCAGGCAACTCCCCTGAACCACGTGGGCAGAGTCCCCTTCCCTCCAAATCCCTGACCCTCCTGTCCCCAGGAGTCTTTGGCCACCACAGAGACCTTCAAACAGCAGAAAGTTCGGATGGCAAATGAGGGCTTCGACCCCAGCACCCTGTCTGACCCACTGTACGTTCTGGACCAGGCTGTAGGTGCCTACCTGCCCCTCACAACTGCCCGGTACAGCGCCCTCCTGGCAGGAAACCTTCGAATCTGAGAACTTCCACACCTGAGGCACCTGAGAGAGGAACTCTGTGGGGTGGGGGCCGTTGCAGGTGTACTGGGCTGTCAGGGATCTTTTCTATACCAGAACTGCGGTCACTATTTTGTAATAAATGTGGCTGGAGCTGATCCAGCTGTCTCTGACCTACAGTATCTGTCATTATCTCTCTGTGGAACTGCTTTTTCCTTGAGAGTTTTCTCCTGGCGTGGAGCCACAGGCCCCACATTCCTGCCCTGACTGGCTGTGGGCCAGAGCCCCGTATCTGGACCTTGGTGTTTTCCTCTCAGGAGACCCTGTGTGACCTTCGTCCTTGGAGAACCTCTGGTGACTGATGTTTGTCTGTGCTCCTGTGTAGCTCGCCCCAGTTTTACTCTCCGAGTGCCAGGCTCCCACTGCTCTGTCTTGGGAACTGGAGGACCCGAGGGGTCGGCTCAAAGGGCAGAGGTGGACAGAAGCACACAGAAATGCCACCTCCGGCAGCCAGCCCAAACTGCTCCCCCAGAATCAGGTGTGGCCGGGCCTGGGGAAGAGTCTTAACCAGCCCAAACAAGTGTTTGACTGTGGGGGAAAGGATGCTCAAGATATCCCTCTGCCTCGCAGCTGTCTCTGAGAAGCCAATCTTTGAGGGGGAAGAGTGGGGTGCCCCTGCCTCCAGATGTTCCTACTCCTACCTGGTGACTGTCAGACATTCCCAGAAGGAGCAGTCCCCAGGGGGGACCCTCCGGTACTGCAGGAGAGTTTGACGGAAGCCCCTCCATGGAGTGAGGCTCAGAGTGCATGTGGTGGCAGGAGGGATGGTGGGAATCAAAAGGACAAAGGCCTCTCGATCCCCAAATGAGGTGTCCAGAAAGTTCATCATCTAAAAGCTTGAAATGATGAAGCTCCTGCTTCTCCTAGGAACTACAGTCCCCCTCTGTTTTGAGCTGTGGGTCCTTGAAATTTTATGCTACTTTGCCTTTCCCCTTCTAGCCCCTCTCCCCAACATGAGAGGTCAGGGGACATGCCCTACTGGCACACTTGGGTCTCTATTGCGGGCCCTCCTGTTCCAAAACTTTACAACTTGCCCCCTTCCACCAGCAAGCCCGGTGCAGCCTCACTGACAGACTAGGTAAGGCACACGCTAAGGTGCAGGGGAAAACTTCATGCGTAGACCAATAAATGTGGAACTTAACTCATTCTGTGCACCTCTCCAATCTGCCCCAGGAGGAGTACAATAGTTTGGGTGTGCCTGGGGGTAGGGCGGGTAGGCAGCCTGTGTTGGCTGGCAGTGGGGCACCTCCTGCAGCTGCTCTCCCACACCTTAACTCAGCCCAGATTTCCCAGACCTGCGAGCTGAGTGGCCACCTCCCCCATCGTAGAACCTCACACCAAGCTTTTTTTTTTTCTGGAGACGGAGTCTCGCCCTGTAGCCCAGGCTGGAGTGCAATGGTGCAATCTCGGCTCACTGCAACCTCTACCTCCCAGGTTCAAGCAATTCTCCTGCCTCAGCCTCCCGAGTAGCTGGGATTGCAGGCACACGCCACCACATCCGGCTAATTTTTTTTTCTATCTTTAGTAGAGACCGGGTTTCACCATGTTGGCCAGGCTGGTCTCGAACTCCTGACCTCGTGATCTGCCCGCCTCAGCCTCTCAAAGTACTGGGATTACAGGTGCCCGGCCTATTTTTGCTTTTTAAAGTGTAGCTACTAGAATATTTAGAATTACATGTGGCTCAGGTTATATTTCTTTTTTTTTTTTTTTTTTTTTTTTTTTTGGAGATGGAGTCTCGCTGTGTCGCCCAGGCTGGAGTGCAGTGGTGCGATCTCTGCTCACTGCAAGCTCCACCTCCCGGGTTCACGCCATTCTCCTGCCTCAGCCTCCTGAGTAGCTGGGACTACAGGCGCCCGCCACAACGCCCGGCTAATTTTTTGTATTTTTAGTATAGACGGGGTTTCATCGTGTTAGCCAGGATGGTCTCAATCTCCTGACCTCGTTATCTTCCCGCCTCGGCTTCCCAAAGTGCTGGGATTACAGGCGTGAGCCACCGCGCCCGGCCGGCTCAGGTTATATTTCTACTGAATAGTGCTGGCCTAAATCCTGACCCCACACTTCACTCTGCAAACCCACAAATGCCAAGTGTAACATGTCAGTTGCACCTGTGCCACCCCTCTCTTGAGTATCTGCACTTTAGCAAGGTAAGCTGGGAGGAGGGGAATTCTGGTAAAGTGGGCTGAGCCAGTCGCTGGGACGCTGGGACAGCATTCTGTCTTCTACTCCTATGTTGGGCTCACGGCTCGGCTCTTTGAACCAGCTTTGTCACAGAGGCTGTAATTAGTGATAGAAATGGAAAGCTGCAAGAAGGCCAACTTTTGATTCAAAAGCATCAGGTTTTCTGTTTGCTATAATAAAAATAAAATAAATTTTAAAAGAATTAGGTTTGACACCAGCCTGGGCAACATGGCCAGGCATGGTAGTGCGCATCTGCAATCCCAGCTACCAGGGCAGAGGGGTGATGCTGAGGTGGGAAGATCCCTTGAGTCTGGGAGGTCGGGGCTGCAGTGAGCAGTGATGGTGCTAACTGCACTACAGCCTGGGCGACAGAGTGAGACCCTGTCTCAAAAGAAAAAAAAAATTAGGTTGCCCCACAAAAAGTTAATTGAAATAAAATTAAATGAGATCATGAGATAGTTTGCAAAGATGAACCAGGGGCCAGGCGCGGTGGCTCACGTCTGTAATTCCAGCACTTTGGGAGGCTGAGGTGGGAGGATCACTTGAGCCCAGGAGTTCAAGACCAGCCTGGGCAACATGGCGAAACCCCATCTCTACAAAAAACAAAAATTAGCCGGGCGTGGTGGTGCACACCTGTAGTCCCAGCTACTTGGGAGGCTGAGGTGGGAGGATCGCTTGTGCCCAGGAGGCCGAGATTGCACCACTGCAATCCAGCCTAGGCAACAGAGTGAGACCCTGTCTCAAAAACAAAAACAAAACAAAAAAAAACAGATGAACTAGGGTGGTCCTCAGGTGGTGAGTGCCCTTTCTCATCAGGTTGGATAGAGGAGGATGATGGATGCAGAGAACCTAGTCCACAAATCGTAGCAATACTCTCAGCCTCGTTGTGTCTGCGGAACCTTCCCTGGGGGTAAAGGGGCCCCCTTCCCAAACCTGCCTCAAAGGCAGGAGTCAGCAAACTATGCTGCCTGTTTTTGTTACATACAGCACACTAAAAAATGGTTTTTATATTTTTAGGTGGTTGAAAAAAAAAAGACTATTTCATAACATGTAAAAATTACACGGGTTCAAATTTCAGTGTCCATAAATAGTTCTGCTGGCACACAGCCGCGCTCGTTCGTTATGATTGTCTATGTCCGCTCTCCTGCCACAACAGCAGGGCCGAGTGTTTATGAGACCCGATGGCCTGCAAAGCAGAAACTACTTCTCGTGCGGCCCTGGACTGAAAGAGTTTGCCGACGCCTCTATCTGCCCCATCCCTCCTGCGCCGCTGGGCTGCGGCTGCTTCCGTGAGCCCCGGGAAGGGGAGGGGAAGTGGAAGGAAGCCCGCGAGCTGCGAGGCACCCGGGGCGGCCGCGCGCGAACCCACAAGCGGGGAGATGGCTTGGCAGGGAGAGTCGGGAGGCACCCCTCGCCCGGAGACCCCCGTGGGGCTTGGCAAAAAAAAAAAAACCCATCTCGGGCGCTGCTGGGGGCGGAAAGGCGTCAGGCGCATGGAGCCAACATACTCCCTGGCAGCCTCCGCCCGGCGGGCCCCTGCAGGGCGGTGCTTCGCGCCTACGTAAACCCGACCTCGCTGCGCAAGCGCAAATCGGTGCCCGCCCGGCGCGCGAGAGGGGCGGGGCAGGCTGGGGAGGCGGGCGGAGCCATTCTTATGGTGGTACAGAAGCTCCTGACTTCCAGCCAAAAAGACAAACGGAGGGGCGAGGCCGGAGTACCTGGAGTTTTCCTCCCAGAGCCTCTTTAAAACTCACCCGTTTAAAGTGTAAAATTTAGTGTTTTTGGTATATTCGCAAAGTTGTGCATCCATGGCCACCACCTAATTTAGAACATTTTTGTCACCTCACAAGGAAATCCCTACTCATTAGCAGTCACTGTCCACTCACCCCTCACCCTAGGCCCTGGCAACCACTAATCCTAGACATTTCATGTAAGTGGAAGTATAGAATATGTTCTTTTTTTTTTTTTTTGAGACGGAATCTCACTCTGTCGCCCAGGCTGGAGTGCAGTGGCCTGATCTCGGTTTACTACAACCTCCGCCTCCTGGGTTCAAGCGATTCTCCTGCCTCAGGCTCCCGAGTAGCTGGGACTACAGGCACATGCCACCATGCCTGGCTAATTTTTTGTATTTTTAGTAGAGACGGGGTTTCACTTGTTAGCCAGGATGGTCTCAACCTCCTGACCTCGTCATCCGCCCGCCTCGGCCTCCCAAAGTGCTGGGATTACAGGCGTGAGCCACCGCGCCCGGCCATATGTTCCCTTTTTGTAACCGGGCACCTTAACTTTAAAATGCATTTAAAATTTTTTTTCTACCTCCTGGGTTCAAGTGATCCTCCCACCTCAGCCTCCCCAGTAGCAGGGACCAAAGATGGGCACCACCACACCCGGCTAATTTTTGTATTTTTTGTACAGATGGGGTTTCACCATGTTGCCCAGGCTGGTCTCAAACTCCTGGACTTGAGTGATCCGCCAACTTCTCAGCCTTCCAAAGTGCTGGGATTAAGGTGTGAGCAACCGCGCCTGGCCTTGAACTTTTTTTTTTTTTTTTTTTGAGACAAGAGTCTCGCTCTTGTCACCCAGGATGGAGTGCAATGGCACGATCTCGGCTCACTGCAACCTCTGCCCCCTGGGTTCAAACAGTTATCCTCCCTCAGCCTCCCAAGTAGCTGGGATTACAGGCACCCGCTACCACGCCCGGCTAATTTTTATATTTTTAGTAAAGATGGGTTTCACCATTTTGGCCAGGCTGGTCTTGAACTCCTGACCTCAGGTGATCTACCTGCCTTGTTGGTCTCCCAAAGTGGTGGGATTACAGGCGTGAGCCACCGCGCCCGGCCTTTTTTTTTTAAGTTAATTTATTATTATTATTATTATTTTTTTTTTTTGAGACAGAGTTTCACTCTTGTTGCCCAGACTGGAGTGCAATGGTACGATCTCAGCTCACAGCAACCTCTGCCTCCCGCATTCAAGCGATTCTTCTGCCTCAGCCTCCTGTAAACTTTTCTTTTTCTCTTGGGTTTTAAGGTATAATCTTGAGGAGAACTGCAGAAGCCTTCTGTCTTAGCCTTAAAATAGACTCCGCATCCCTCCCTTTCCTACAGTATATATTCCCTTCACATTTATCTAACTATATGCTAGTGTCTAATTATGTGCCTTCTTAGAGGTTCCAGGGGCTAATCTTGAGATAGATGAACCAAGTCTGGAGACCCAGCTGCAAAATTCCAGAGATTACTTCAAGGTTGCTAGTTAACAACCCAGCCATTGTTGAGATGACACCAGCCTGAGATCCAGGTGGACTGGGACCCGAGCTAGCCACCAGAACAAGACACAGCTCAATTCTTGCATGCCTTATCAATTTTTTTTTCTTTTTTCTTTCTTTCTTTTTTTTTTTAATCCCTGCCTTCCCCGCAAAAATCAAAGTGGTTGCTTTGGATGGGAATCCGGCCACTTCCCCTTTACTAGTTTTGGTTAATAAAATCATTTTCTTTAAAAAAAATTTTTTTTTAAGACTAGTCAAATGAAGCAGTGGGAGTGGAGAAGGAACAAAGAAATCTGTAACTGGTTGTGATCAATGAGTTGTAAACACCACTGCACTCAGACCAGCCTAAAATCACTTTCTTTCTACCAGACCTTCCTCTTGTTTATTGGACTCTGCAAGCAGCAAGCATCCAGAGCCATATTCAGTTGCATTTTGTGTCTGTCTTCTTTCACTTAGCAGAATGTTTTCTTTTTCTTTCTTTTTTTTTTTTTTTTTTTAAGACAGGGTCTCACTCTGTCACCCAGGCTGGAGTGCAGTGACACAATATCAGCTCACTGCAACCTGCGCCTCCCAGGTTCAAGCAATCCTTCCACCTCAGCCTCCCCAGTAGCTGCCACCATGCCCAGCTAATTTTCTTTTTAATTTTTTGTAGAGATGGAGGTTCGCCATGTTGTTCAGGCTGATCAGAAACTCCTGAGCTCAAGTGATTCACCAGCCTTAGCCTCCCAAAGTGCTAGGATTACAGGTGTGAGCTACCACACCTGGCTTCATTCCTTTTTTATGGCTGTATAATATTCCGGTGTATGGATCTATCACATTTTGTTAATCCATTCATCTGTTGATGGACACTGGGGCTATTTATGCCTTCTGGTTATTTAAATAATATGGCTATCAACATTCATGTACAAATTTTTGTGTGAACATATACATTCAATATTCTTGGGTAGATATCTAGGAATGGAATTGCTAGGTCAAACAGTAACTCTATGTTTAACTTTTTGAAGGAACTGCCAAACTGTTTTCCACAGTAGCTGCACCATTCTACATTCCCACCAGCAGTATATGAGGGGTTCCAGTTTTTCCACATCCCCACTACTTGTTATTATCTGTCTTTTTTTACTATAGCCATCCTACTGGGTGCGATGTGGTATCTCATTGTGGCTTTGATTTGCATTTTCCCATGGCCAATGAGGTTGAGTTTCTTTTCATGTGTTTACTGGCCATTTGCATATCTTCTTTGGAGAGATGTTTATTCATATTTTTTGCTCACTTTGTAACTGGGTTATTTGCCTTTTAATTATTGAGTTGTACAAGTTTTTCTTTTAATCTGGACATAAGTTTCCTATCAGATATATAGTTTGCAAATATTTGATTCTGTTGTCTTTTCACTTTCTTGTCAAAAGCATCCTTTGAAGCACAAAGGTTTTAATTTTTTTTTCTTTTTTTGAGACAGGGTCTCACTCTGTCACCCAGGCTGAAATGCAGTAGCACAATCTTGGCTCACTGCAACCGCCACCTCCAAGGTTCAAGCGATCCTCCTGTCTCAGCCTCCCAAGTAGCTGGGATTATAGGTGTGTACCACCATGCCCAGCTAAATTTTTTTTTTTTTTTTTGAGATGGAGCCTCCCTCTGTCACCGAGGCTGGAGTGCAGTGGAGCGATCTCAGCTCACTGCAACCTCCATCTCCCGGGCTTTACCAATTCTCCTGCCTCAGCCTCCCGAGTAGCTGGGACTACAGGCGCACGCTGCCATGCCCGGCTAATTTTGTTGTTGTTGTTGTTACCCAGGCTGGTCTCAAACTCCGGAGCTCAGGCAGTCCACCTGCCTCAGCCATCTAAAGTGCTAGGATTACAAGCGTGAGCCACTGCGCCTGGCCGATTTTGTATATTTAGTAGAGACAGGGCTTTACCATGTTGGCTAGGCTGGTCTGGAACTCTAGGGCTCAGATGATCTGCCCGCCTTGGCCACCCAAAGTGCTGGGATTATAGGCGTGAGCCATCACGCCTGGCCCAGGCTTTACATTTTGATGAAGAACAGTTTATCTTTGTTTTTTGTTTGTTTGTTTGTTTGTTTTGTACAGTGAGAATTTTGTAATACTTAGTTTTTCCCCAAGGAAGAATAAAGATATCTTATACTTCATTTGGTAATGTACTTGTTAAAGGTAATATGGGTGTTATTACTTGAAACTATTTAATGGCATATTGTATAACAGTGCACATATTAGGGGTCAATATTTCCAGAGAAAAAGTATTTTAGTATAAATAAAACTAATTGAATAAAAATCCTGGCACCCTTAGAGGAATGGTTGATCTCAGGTCTGGGGGAGAAAATACTCTGAATGAGCCTGGGGCAGATGGTTCCAGAAAGCAAAGATACCAAAGAACGGGGGAATAGCAAATGGACACTGAACTCCCACTGGCCTGAGATAGAGACAAATTGAACCTCAGAGAGATTGCAGCAGAAACATTGAATTAAAAAAAAAAGTATCAGTGCAAACTCCCACTAAAGGGACTTCTACTAAAGGGAAGATGGATAAAGGGAGAGAGAAAAAGAAACACATTGGACAGAGTACCAACTCTTTACTCTGATAATTGGCAAACAAAGGAAAAAACTAAGCACTCTCCCTTCTTTCCCATGTGAACTGAATTTCAGGGTTACCAAATTGTCCTAGTTGATGAGGGGACTTTCTTTACAGAAGAATTTCAGTTAATAAATGAGAAAGGAATGACAGAACTGGAAAATCAGCATTTTGCAACCCCTAATGAAATAACTGTCAGGCAATTATTACCAATAGCTATGACTATTGGATAAAAGGTTGATGAGGCTGGGTGTGGTAGCACATGCCTGTAGTCCCAGCCACTTGGAAGGCTACAGAGGGAGAACATTTGAGCCCAGGGGTTTGAAGCTGCAGAGAACTATGATTGTGCCTGTGAATAGCCACTGCACTCCAGCCTGGGCAACACAGGGAGACCTCATCTCTTAAAAAAAAAGGAAAGAAAGAAAGAAAGAAAAGGTTGATGAGGGGCCAGACATGGTGGCTCACGCCTGTGATCCCAGCACTTTGGAAGGCCAAGGCAGGCGGATCACCTGAGGTCAGGAGTTTGAGACCAGCCTGGCCAACACGGTGAAACCCCGTCTCTACTAAAAATACAAAATTAGCTGGGCGTGGTGGTATGCGCCTGTAATCAGGAGGCTGAGGCAGGAGAATCACTTGAACCCAGGAGGCCGGGGTTGCAGTGAGTTGAGATCGCACCATTGCACTCCAGCCTCGGCAAGAAGAGTGAAACTCCATCTCGAAGAAAAAAATTAAAAAAAGAAAAGATTGACAAGGAATCTTGGAGAGATCAGGTTATCAGCACCTGTAGCCCCTAATCAATTTTAGAATCACTAACAGTAAGACAACCAGATATTGTGCATCTCCTGAATGCAGTGTGCAGCATAAAATACCAACAATAAAGTCTTCTTGCCTAAAAGTGGAACCTGAATAAACCAAGCCTCTGAGCCAACATCCATTTATAGAGGAACGTATTCAATAGCACACACACACACAAAAATCAGACAGATCCAGAACATGCAAAATTTTACTGGAAAATTTACCCAGTCTCTTCAACAATTCAATGACATATAAGGGTGAGGGTTGGGGGTGTTTGCCTTTGATAAGATCATTAAGAGACACAATAATCAAATGCAGCGTATAAACCTTGTTCTTGATTCAAAACAGAAAAACAGTAGAAAGACATTTTTCAGACAATCAGGGATATTTGGTTAAGGACTAGGTATTAGATGATATTAAGGAATAATTAAAGAATTTTGTCATATATGATAATGGCATTGTGGTTATGAAGAAAACGTTTGTAATTTTTTTTTTTCTTTATTGAGACAAGGTCCTCACTCTGTCACCCAGGCTGGAGTGCAGGGCGCTTTCTTGGCTCACTGCAACCTCTGCGTCCCAGGCTCAAATGAACCTCCTGTCGCAGCCTCCCGAGTAGCTGGAACTACAGGTGCCCGGCTAATTTTTTGTAGAGATGGGGTTTTGCCCTGTTGCCCAGGCTGACCTCAAGTGATCAGGTGCTGGGATTACAGGCGCGAGCCACCAAGCCCGGCACCTCCTCCCCTTAACAAACATTAACTGAGAGCCCATCCTGTGCCAGACTCTGCTCTGGGCACACAGCTGGGAGCACCACAAAGTCCCCGCCCTCCTGGAGCTCGCTCTGGGGTAGACACGCATGAAAGCCGGTGTGAAATGCAGCGCCCTGGATTGAACATCAGAGACGGAGCCCACAGGAGTCGTGCGTTTCCTGCGGGGGCTGTAACAGATTACCATAGACATAAGGGCTTCAAACATGAATGTCTGATCTGATAGCTTTACAGTCAGACGCCTGACAGGGCTTTCTGGCCTAAAATTAGCGTTGGAAGGCTACGTTTCCTTCTGGAGGCTCTAGGGGAGCACGCGCTTCCTCACCTTTTCCGGTTTCTAGAGGCCGGGCATCCTTGGCTGTGGCCCCTTCCTCCTGCACATCGCGTCTCTGGCTCTCCATCTCTCTCTCCTCTCCACCTTCCTCTTCCGCTTTTAAGGACCCTCATGATGACATTGGGCCCACCTGTATAATCCCGGAGCACCTCTTTAAGATCAGCTGTAGCAACCTTAATTCCTCCCCGCCAGGTAACTTAGCACATTCATAGGTTCCGGGGATGACGACTTGGATCTCTCCAGGGCCCTATTCTGCCGACCACAGATGGGAAGGCCAATGGAGATGGACAGAGAAGGGAAGAGGGAGAAAAAGGCTCGGAGAGAGGCAGAGGACCAGGCTGACAGGAGAGAGGAGGTGGCTGAGAAAGGAGACAGTGTCCTGGGCGTGCTTGGGGACTTTTCGGGGGATTCTGTTTGCCAGCTGAGACTTTCCAGGGACGTTATTCCAGGAAAGCCTGGGCAGCTGTGAAAACTCAGATGACGCCAGAGGACTGTTCGGGGTTGAGCCAATAGGCAATTGTTGGAGAGGGAGGGAAGGAGGGCAGCTCTCAGCAAGTCCATGTTGGCGGCGTTTCCTGAGCTCCAAGGCTATTCCGGGCTCCATCCCTGGGATGGAGCTTCCTAGCCTGCGTCAGGACGGCGTTTGCCAGCGTTCCAGGGAGTGTGGGTCTATCCCCTTGGTGGCAGGAGGGAGGCTTTAATCAAATTCTCAAGGGGGCCTGGGACCAATAAAAGTTAACTCCTATCCTGAGTGTTATAAAAAGAAGTGCTTGGAATGTAAAATGCTGCAGTCACTGTGGAAGACAGTTTGGCGGTTCCTCAAAATACTGTTACCATGTGACCCAGCAACTCCATTCCTAGGCGCATGCCCAGGAGAACAGAAGATGTCCGTCCACACAAAAACATTTCCACGGATGTTTGTAGCAGCATTGCTCATAATAGCCAAAAAGTGGAAACAACCCAAATGTCAGTCTCCTGATGAGCAGATAAACAAAATGTAGTCTATCCATGCAATGGAATCTTATTCAGGGATTAAAAAGAATGAAGTGCTGAGACAGGCTACAAGATGGATGAAACTTGAAGACATTACGCTAAGTGAAATAAGCCAGACACGAAAGGACAAATATCATATGATTCCACTGTATATGAGGTACCCAGAGTAGCCATATTCATAGAAACAGAAAGTAGAATGGTGATTGGCAGGGGCTGAGAGAGGGCAGATGGGGAGTGAATGTTAGTAGGTACTAAGTTTCTTTTCGGGGTGATGAAATGTTTTAAAATAGATTGTGGTAATGGTTGTGCAACTCTGAAAATATACAGAAAGCCACTGAATTCCTTAAATGGGTGATGGGTGAAATTTCTGCTATGTAAATTATATCTCAGTAAAGCTGTTCCTAGAAAAAAGAGGAAGTGGGCCAGGCACGGCAGCTCACGCCTATAATCCCAGCACTTTGGGAGGCTGAAGTGGGGAGATCGCTTGAGTCCGGGAGTTCAAGACCAGCCTGGGCAACATAGTGAGACCCTATCTCTACATACCTACGAAAAATTTTTTAAAATAGCCTGGCATGGTAACACACACCTGCAGTCCCAGCTACTCGGGAGGCTGAGGTGGGAGAATCACTTGAGCCCAGGAGGTGGAGATTGCAGTGAGCTGTGATCTTGCCACTGCACTCCAGCTTGGGCAGCAGAGTAAGACCCTGTCTCAAAAAATAAATTTATCTCTTCTAAAAAAAGAGGAAGTGCTTGGCCCTTAGCACCACATTTCACTTCGTCCTTGCAACTGTGAAAGGCAGGCCTTGACCTTCTCCCCTCTTACAGGTGAGCAGATGGCAGAGAGGCGAGGATCACTAGGCTAAGATGGGATGGCTGTTTAGTGACAGGCCTTGGACCAGGTCTCCTGTATGGGTCATTCTTTGTCCTGCGAGCCATGCTGGAGTGTGGATTTGGAGGTGACAGGCAAGTGGCGCAGTCAGTGATGCATCTTCTCAGTAGCTGTTGGAGAGTGGGCAGTTCTGACAGCAGCAGGGGAAGCTGGCCGGGAGATGGGGCGTCTGAGTCAGCTCGGGCTGCCACAACACCAGACACTACATGGCTTAAACAACAGGACTTTATTTCTCACAGTACTGGAGGCTGGAAAGTCCAAGCTTGAAGGTGCTGGCCAATCCCGTTCCCGGCGATTGGGCCCCTCCCTGGCTTGCAGAGGCCTGAGTTCCCGTGGAGTCACCACGCGCCTTTCCTTGGTATGTGCACGTGGAGAGATCTCTCCTTCTCTTATAAGGTCACTAATCCAGCCGGGCGTGGTGGCTCATGCCTGTAATCCCAGCACTTTGGGAGGCCAAGGTGGGCGGATCACCTGAAGTCAGGAGTTTAAGAACAGCCTGGCCAACATGGAGAAATCCCGCCTCTAATAAAAATACAAAACATTAGCCGGGCATGGTGGCGGGCACCTGTAATCCCAGCTACTCGGGGGACTGAGACAGGAGAATCACTTGCACCCAGAGGCGGAGGTTGCAGTGAGCTGAGATCACGCCACTGCACTCCATCCCGGGCAACAGTGTGAGACTCTGTCTCAAAAAAAAAAAAAAAAAAGAAAAGAAAAAGAAAAAAAGAAAGGTAAATTTGCCTATGCAAGGACACGCAGCTAGTGATTTGTTCCACATCTGACCCCAGGGCCTATGCGCCTTTCCCTACCCAGGCCACCGCCATGACTCAGGAGGCCCCTCTGGGGAAGCAGCGGGAACCCTCATAGGAGGCTCCGGGACAGAGAGATGCAGGGCTGGGACGAGGAGGCCCCGAGGGGAGGCTGCTCGCTCTCCTGTCCCATGGAGGTCTCTGCTAGGGGTAGCCCCGTCCTGGGACACAGACACCAAGGACTGCTGTCTGAGAGGAGGAGGCTGAGTTGGGAGGGACAATGGCCTGAGTTGATTCTGAAGCCTGTGAGCAAGGTGGGACAAGCCGGAGAGGCAGCTGAGCAAGCGGGGGCGAAGACTGAGGGTGAGAGTTTGTGCTGAAGAGGCAAGGGGCAGCCTCAAGTGGGCAGGGCAAGGCCAGATGCAGAGGCTGACAGGAGTGGGCAAGGGGACCGGGATTCAGGGGGAGACTGAGTCAGGGGCCAGACAGGCTGGAGCTCCTAGGGTTGGAAGCTGGGTGATGGGGCCTCATTCTCTGCCACACGAGACTCCCCCAGCCCAGCCTTCCCCCTTATTGTCTCTCACAGATACTCCCATACATCCCTGGTACCCCTGTCATCTTTCCTAAGCTATGCTCTTTTTCAGGAGGGTGGCGTTTAGGGGAGGGTATCCTCCAGAAATAGCAAGTCTCAAAGTCAGCTCTTGCCTGAGTCCCAGTCTCCTTTGGTGGAAGGGTAGTCCCTCTTTTTGCATGTTTTAAGTGGTCAGCCTGGCAAGGGGCGGGAGGCCTGGGTTTCTTTCTTCTCTTTAGGATGGGGCTGGTCCTCCACCTCCCACTGGCTGGCAGCCTCCCGGCCCCTGGTGGCCCCAATCCATTGTCCCAATAAGAATAGAGAAAACAGCTTTGGAAATTGACACTATGAATGGTGCTGGGGCTGCTGGGCTGGGACTGAACTAATGGGATGAGGTCCCCCACTTCAGGCCCAGGCTCAGCACCTGGGACGGTGACTCTACTAGGAGAGTGGGGGCTCTGCACCCCTCCCCAGGACCCCCAAATTAGACTTCAAGCCACCCCTGTCCAGGACATGGATCCCCAGGGATGGGCTTGGGGGACCAGATGCCCCAACTCCTCCTAGAACTTCACTCTCATTCAGTCAAAGTTTGAGAGGGAGTAAGGGGTGGGTAATGGGCTGGGAGAGATTTCTGGAAGCTGAGAAAGGGGCGGGTCTGACCCCCCAACTTTGCCCCGCTCTCATTGGCCCTCGCCCCCTTTCCCCGCCCCAATTGTCTCGGTGTCTGGGTCCTGGCCCTGGGAGGAGGGGACAGTGGGGATAGGAGTGGGGAGGGGGCTCAGGCTGAAAGCAGAGAGAGACCCAGCTCCAGGAACACGAAGGCAAGGACAGTAGCCTTCAGTCTCGACCCCAGAGCTTGGCACCCCAGAACCTGGGCTCCCCAAAGCAAGACCAGGGCCCCCACATTGTGCGCCAAAGTGCGGGGTGGAGAATGCCCACAGCCCAAGGGCCCCCAGGCTGAAGGCAGGAGACTGGGGCTGCTGGAGAAGTTGCCCAGGCTGAGGGGCCGTGCCTGGCAGGGACATGGGGCTGCTGCTGCTGCTGCTCCCAGGCTGGGGTAAGAGGCTGAGCCATGGGGGCCATAGGGAAAGCCAGGGCAGAGGGACGGGGAAGAAAAAGAGGCAGGCATAGGGGTGGGAGAGTTGCGGGGCAAGGTTGGGGAAGCAGAGGGATGGAGGTGGCCGGAGTGGAGATGGAGAAACCCTGAGGACAGCAGAGGAGAGGGGTGAGCAGGAGGGGCAGGCAGGGCTGCGGGAGAGCTGTGGGGGGTGCTCTAGGAGCCCAGGCTTTGGGGCACAGTGGCTAGAAGGGGACCTGGGGGCCACGTGAGGCAAGTGGCTGAGCAGACTGCGGGGCATGCAGAGGCAGGGCCCCAGAGGCTTACCCACAGATGTCCCTGAGCCAACCAAGGCTGGCTGAGCCCCCTGCCCATGTGCCCCTCGGAGGCTCTGTCTGCCCGCCTATCCACCCCATCTGCTGGGGGTCCTGGCTCAGCCTTACAGGCTGAGTTATTGTATTTATGGGGGTGTGTGGGAAGGGAGGCTGTGGGTTCACAGCTCTGCTCATGCATTTCTGGGCCTGTGCTGTTAGTGTCTGTGGCCCTGTGCTTATGTATTTGTGACTTTGAGTCTGTAGGGACATCTATGTGTGACCTGTGTTTGGGGCCTCCTTGAGTGTGCATCTGGGATGGAATCTGTCTGTGTCTAGAAGACCTGGTGGCCAGTGAGGTTGTGATTTTTAATCCAAGTGTGTGTGTGTCCGTGAATGAGTGTGTGTGAGTGTAAGTGTGTTCCTTCCCTATTCAGAGGCCAGGGTCCTGGTGGCGGGAGGGGGAAGGGGGAGAGCCAGGAGTCCTGGGAAGCTGACCCTGCAGGCAGACAGGCAGATGGGCCGGTGGGGGAGGGAGGGGGCGATCCCATTGTCCCCTGGGGAGCACAATGCTCACGCCTCAGCCCCTGACCTCACCATTGTGCCCACCCCGCCCCCTCCCCGTTGCCAGGGCCCAGCTGAAAGAGGCCATCAATCACAGCCGGCCCGCCAGGCCCACACCGCACCCGCCAGCCGGACAGTGGCCCGCCCTGCTCCTCAGATGGCCAGGCCCTGCCCTCTCTTCCCTGTTCCTCCTTTGCTGACCCAAAGTCTCCCTAAAGTCAAGTCCTGTCCCTTGCCCCTCGCCAAGGCTGGGAGGGAATCAAAGCCATGGGGGAGGTGGTGGACAAAGGGTGGGCCTCAGGGGGCCGCCGTGTTCAGGCTGTGCTGGCTGTCCCTACAGGCTGTGCTGCAGGCTCCGAGCTGGCCTTCGTGCAGGAGCTGGGGGACACAGTGGCTGTGTGGGAGCACCCACTGGTGCTGCCCTGCCAGGTGGAGGGTGAGCCGCCTGTGTCCATTTCCTGGCAGCGGGATAGGCTGGCCTTAGCCAATGAGAGTGGTGTCACCCTGATGCCAGATGGCTCCCTGCACCTGGCCGCCCTGCCTTCCCGCCGGAGCCTCCCTTCCCGTGCCCACGAGTACCACTGCGTGGCCCAGAACCGCTACGGGCGGCTGGTGAGCCGACAGGCCCGGGTACAGCTGGCAAGTAAGTGACAGGGCTGCTCCTGGGATTGGGGGATGAGAGTTGGTGGGGCACCCACAGAAGGCACCCATGGGGCCCAGACTCGCTGAGAGTGGGCCTGAGCAGGGCCAGCCCAGCCATTAGACACAGTGTACACACTGGTAGAGCCTCTGATTCTTTTAGGGGCCCACAAAAATGTTTTAACTTCTTCAAAACCAGAAGAAAAAAATGAATACAATAATAAATATGTAAAAATGAGTCCAGACTGGATTATACTTGTCTATATTCCAATGCCATTGTAAACTATGATTTAAAATTTTTGTAATGGAGGAAGGCAAAGTGCTTATAGCCCACAGAAGTCCTAGACATGAGGCTGCAGGGCTCTATACTGAAGAGGATGTGGCAGATGTGGGCACAGAGGTGGGGCCCAGCCCTGGGACTTGGTTGTGGGGGGATAGCCCAGGGCCAGCTCTGCAGGTGCCCAAGTGGCCCCCCCATCCTCTAGGTCTGTCCCGCTTCCACCAACATCCAGAATCCATTGAGGTGGAGCGGGGTGGAGTTGCTCGCTTCCAGTGCCTGATCCAGGGGGTGCCTGAGCCATCCATTTCCTGGGAGCACAATGGCACAGCCCTGAATACTGCCAACCACCGGTGAGCACCTGCCAGGAGTGCAATGGGACGGTGGGCTGTGGGCCAGGGCACAGGCCATGGAGCCCTGACCTCTGCATCCTCAGGGTCACACTGCTGCCTAGTGGCATCCTCCACATCACCAGTGTGAGCCAGACTGACATGGGAACCTACCGCTGCGTGGCATGGAATGTGGCCAGTACCCGCCACAGCCAGGATGCCCAGCTGACCCTGAGTGGTAAGCCAGGCCCAGTGTGGGCACTGGGCAGAGGGGAGGGTATGGTTGCTGTGGTTGTACATGGGACAGGCAGGCATTTTGAGCACCTATGACTGTGCCAGGTGTGGGAGGGCAGCAGGCTTGAGCCATCCCTGGCTTCCTGGAGCTCACAACCTGAGAGAGAAGGTGGTGCTGCGGGAACCCAGGGTTGGGCTGTGGGCAAGGATTGTCAGGGGCTTCTGGAGTAAGCTACCCCAAGCCGGGTGTTGAAGGGTGAGTGGAGAGAGGCAAGCCAAGGTCAGGAGGTAAGGGCGGGGGCATTTCCTTGGACAAATGCACAAGGGTGAGGACAACAAAGTTCACACAGGCAGTTCTGTGTTGCTGGACCACAGAATGGGCAGAATTCAGGGTAGCAAAGTTAATGTTGGCGAGTAGGCAAGGCACATACCATGAAAGGAGTTTGGACTTGATCCAGAGGGTAGTGGGAGCTCTGGAGGGTCTAGCGTTGGGGCTGAGTCAGCCTGTGTTTTGAACACGTGGCCCCCATACACATGGCGTGTAGATGTGCATGTGTTCGTGTATGTGTCTGTGCTTGCATGTACATGTGCATGTGTGCATGGACACTTGCACGTCTCCTTCTTGGGGTGAGGATGAAAATAGCTTTGTACCTGAGATGAAACACCCAGGATGACCCCACTTGCAGGCCAAATGGGGTGGGAGAGTTTTGTGCCCAAAGTGAAGGCCACAGCAGAGCCTATGAGGAGCTGGTGCCTAGCAGGAGAGGCAGGTTAGACCCTGCCTAAACCAGAGATGCCGCAGGTGTTTGTGAGGGAAAGTCATGCCTGAATCAGCCACTAGGGGGCTCCAGGGTATAAATAAGCAAGTGTACCACGGGACACCACTGCTGCACCTGGGCGAACTTTCAAAACATCTCTGACAAAATCTCACCGAAGGCTATATCTATTTTTTTGTTTTTAGACGGGGTCTCGCTCTGTCGCCAGGCTGGAGTGCGGTGGCGCCATCTCGGCTCACTGCAACCTCCGCCTCCCGGGTTCAAGCGATTCTCTTGCCTCAGCCTCCCGCGTAGCTGGGACTACAGGCGCCCGCCACCGCACCCGGCTAATTTTTGTATTTTTAGTAGAGATGGGGTTTCACCATGTTGGCTAGGATGGTCTCCATCTTTCGACCTCGTGATCTGCCCGCCTCAGCCTCCCAAAGTGCTGAGATTACAGGCGTGAGCCACTGCGCCCGGCCGGTATATAATTTTTAAACTTAAGACTGGCAGGGGAAGGGGGAACGGTTGTGTTTCTGATCTGTAACTGACTTAGAAACTCAAAGCGAGGGTGGGGGTCAGCGGCTCCTCTGCAGGAGCAGAGGAGCCCAATGAGGTCCCTCTGGCCTGTGGTGTTCCGTTCCTATCCACAGTCTGGGGCAGGAGGGCAGGGCAGGAGGCTATGTCTCTCAAGGCTATCGAGCAGACATAGGATTCTGCTGCCCGCGGAGCAGGGAGACGAATGGCCAGAGAGCGACAGGAGGTTAGCAGGAGGAGCAGGCGCCTGTTGGGGGCAGAGGACCAATCAGAAACCGAAGGCTCAAGGGTTGCCTAAAGGAGCTGGTGTCAAGAGTAGTCTTCCCCAGGGGCAGGAGCTGGGGACCAAGGCCCCAAGCCATTCACCCCTAATGCACTCAACTGCACACACCTGGACAGGCACTTACCCTGGGCGTGCACCAGGGTGAGACAGAATTTCCCAGACTTCAAGGAGCTCACAGCGGCTAAAGAGGGGATCCTCTTTGTCAGCTGTTCAGTGCTACCAAGATCCAGGAAGTCCCCCAGTTCTGCCAGTGCCTCTGTCATTGGGCAAGTTACTTAACCTCTCTGATCCTTGATCTTCTCATGTAAATGGGGGAAATAACAGTACTCCGCACACAGGCTGTGGTGAGGGCAAAATGGGACAATCTGTGGGGCTCGCAGCCAATGTCTGGCATGGGGAAGGGGTCGGCCCGGGTGGCCCAGCCTCCCCTCACTGAACTGTCTGGCCAGGCAGGACACAGCCTCTTTGAATGAGGCCAGGAGATTCCAGGGCAGCCCACAGCCTGTACTGCAGCTTGCAAGAGGCAAATGGAGAAGGGCTGGGCCCAAAGTAGGCCTTCAATCTATAGTTGCTGAATAAGTGAATGAACAAAACACAATCCTACACCTTGAGGGATAAAGATGTGTAAGACTTTAGACCAGCCCTTGAGAAACTTTCATTTTAGAAACATTTTATCTGAGACATTCTTAATAAAGGGCATTTATGAAAGGAAAGACACGTTAAGTTCTCACATGATACAAGGTGGTAAAGAAAATGAGGATGATGGCCTATGGGAAGGCAGAGCTCTGTTTCACACGATGTTGTTCACAACTGTGCTCCCAGTGTGAGGGTGCTGCCTGGCACATGGGAGCCCCCAGTGATGACCTGTTGAATAAACTAATGAAACGGGGGAGCATGGCATAAAATGAAGATGTGATTTAGACCCAAAACAAGAGTTACTTTGGGAAAACACATCCTTCCTAAGCAGCTAAGCAGGCTGAGGTCTTAGGAGGCTGGTCATGCTTTCTGAGGGAGCGCCTCCTACTAACTTTGTGGGTGCCTCTACCTGCCCCTCAGGGTGAGGCGCCCAGGGAAGGTGGGGCCACCCACAGGGTTTGTAGGAGGAGAATGCTCTCTCCTCTCTCTCCGCACCCCCAGTCTACCAGACCTTCAGCCTGATAGCTACTTCCATGGGACTTTGGGCAGGTCATTTTTAAAATCTGTAAATTGGGGATGGAATAGCAGCTGCAAAGCACACCTCTGAGGTCTGGTGACATTTGTGGGCTGGAAGAGTGTGCTTGGAGTAGAAGTTGAGTATTGGAAGGAGGTTCTCCTTTCCTGATCCAATTTGCTTGTTTCCACCACACAGTGGGACCCCTGAGGCTGCTGCAGGAGCCAGAGATCCTGTCTGGGCCTCAGAACCTGACCCTCACAGTGCACCAGACGGCAGTGCTGGAGTGCATTGCCACCAGTCACCCTTGGCCGCTTGTCTCCTGGAGCCGCCTGGGTGCGCAGCCGCCCCCCACCCCCTTGCTGTCTCTCAGAGCCCTGTTCCCTCGTCCTATCCCAGCCTGACCCCCCAACGCCTTCTTGCAGATGGCCGCTCCATCGGCGTAGAGGGCATCCAAGTTCTGGACATTCTGGACACAGGGAATCTCATGATCTCCGACGTCTCAGTCCAGCACTCAGGTGTCTATGTCTGCGCCGCCAATCGGCCAGGCACCCATGTCCGGCGCACAGCGCAGGGCGTCCTGCTCGTGCAGGGTGAGCCCCAAGGGCCCAACTGGGTGGGGAGAGTGCTGGAGCACCCCAGCTCCCTGACAGGAGCCTGGATCTGGAGAGGGTCCAGGGCAGGAGGCAAGAGGCTGGGTCTCACGGCACCTTCCTCCATGCTATTGCCTGCCCAGCTCCCCGAGTTTGTCCAGTGGCCACAGTCCTTGTCCAAGCCTCCGGGCAGCAGTGCCATCTTCACCTGCGTGGCCCAGGGCGTCCCTGAGTCCCGTCTGGTCTGGCTGAAGAATGGGAAGGTGTTGAGTCCTGGGAATAACATCAGGCTGACTCACAACAATAGGTACTCGTGTCTCACCACTCCCCACTGCCCACTGGCAATGGTAGGTCCCCCTACCCACCCTGGGCGTCCACCCCCACCTACATGCAACACTCACTACCTAAATCTCAAAAATCCACACCCATCCACAAACCCCCAGCAAGTTACCTTCTACTTCCAGCAATTCCCCCCTCCCCCAGGAGGCTCTGCCCTGACTGCTCCATTACAGGTAATGTCCCCACACAGCCTCCTCCTCTAGGGCCACTCCACTAAGTCTTGGTGGGAAAGGGCTCCCAGTAGCTGAGTTTGTCTTTCTCTAGTACGCTGATGCTGGCAGGGGTTTCAGTTGAGGATGAGGCCATCTATCAATGCGTGGCAGAGAACAGCACGGGCTCCAACCAGGCCAGTGCCCGCCTGGTTGTGACAGGGGGCCCAGAGCCACCCCGTCCCCAGGGGCCTGCATGCCATGGCTCTCTCTACTTCTGCCATTCGAGTGTCCTGGGAGCCACCCCCCCCTCCAGCAGGGACATCATTGGCTACGTGCTGCACCTCCGGCCTGTGGGAGGTGGGTGTGGGTGGGTGGAGAGGGCTTTGACCTCAGAGCAGGGCCAGGGGCCAGGAGTCCCTGGCACCAGCCCATCTCTGCTCCTGACTGCTGATGTCCTGGGTGAGTCCCTCTCACTCTCTGAGCCCCAGTCTCCTCCATGACCCCAGACCCTTCTGGATTCTTCCCAGGCCTCTGGGCCTGTGGTTCTCTGGGCTGGCTGCCTCTGTACATGGTCTTTTGGTGCTTCCTTACTGCTTTTCAGCTTGACTCTAGGCCCTTTCCTCATCCTCATCCTCATCCTTTCTCAGCTTAGCTCCAACTTCTGTAGCTCCCTTCCCTGCTCTCCTTGGAGGCTTGGCTGGCCCAGCCAGGCACCAAGAGGGGCTTCGTCCCCAGTTTGTGAAGGTGTGGGGACGTGGCTAGTGAGAAGATGCTGCTTTGCTCCTCAGAGCCATCTGGCCCGGAGCTCCAAGAGGCCATAAGCAAAGGCACTTCTGAGCACGTCTTCTCCAACCTGGAGCCTGCCACAGCCTACACCATCCATTTGCGGGCCTACTCAGCAGAGGGTGCCAGTCAGGACTCTGCTCCCATCTTTGCCTCCACCATGGGCAGCAGTGAGTGACAGCCTCTCCAGCCCTGGGAAGTCCCTGGCCTCAGGTGGGCAGGGACTGCCAACTAGTTTGCTTGTTTTCCTCTGCAGCCCCTGCTGCCCTGGGCTTCTCCACCAAAGTGCTGAATGCCACCTCTGTGCAGGCCTCCTGGGAGCTGCCACCCCAGCTGGGGCCCATCCAAGGCTTCAAACTTTCACCGCAAGCTGCCTGCTGCCCATTTTCAGGGGCCTCTGCTCCTGGCCAGCAGTGTCAGCTCCTTCCTCTACACAGACCTGGGTGAGGCTCTGAACCTTCCTGTGCCACTCAAGGCCTGCCTTTCTCAGTGTGATCTTGCCCCAGGTACTGAGCTTCCTGGCCCAGAAATGCCCGTCCCCTTCACATTCCCCTGCTCCCGGCAGAACCGGCTGCTCTCTATGACATCAAGCTGCAGGCGTTCAATGGCAATGGGGATGGAAATAGCAGTGCCCGCTGTGTCTCATTGTGTGATGTGCCCCTGGCCACTCCTGGTAAGTGGGGTCTGGTAGGAGGGTAGTAGGGCTGGGGTCAGAGCAGGCCCCTCTGATAGGACCCATGGCTGCCAGTCTTCAGGAAGAGGGCTGGGCTTCACCTCCAACCCTGGTCCTCTCTCTGACAGATGGCACAGTGTCCACAGAGTCCAAGACTGGGTGCTCTTGCAGCCAGGGTGAGAGCAGCCCACTGCCTGGGGTTGTGGTGGGCATCCACGTGGGCCTGGCTGCCCTCATCATTTGCCTCCTCTGCCTCTTCCTGGGCTGGAGACATAGCTAAGGGCCAGGTAAGGGCTAATGTGGGAAATCTGCCAGGGAGACAGTCTGCATCACTGTGGCACAGGGCCAAAGAGAGCAAAAAAGCCCCAATCTACAACCAATCAATTTTACCAATGAGGAGACTCAGGCAGAGAGAGGAAGCCAATTCTTTTCAGAGCTGTGTGGTACCAGGGGCAGGAGAAGGCCTGCCATGAGCCGGGAAGAGAGAACTGGGGCTCCCAAAGCAAAGAACAAGGGCAGCAGAAATGAGCTAGAGCCAGTTCCCTGCCATCCAGCAGCATGAAGAGGGGTCCACCCTCTCCATCTCTGGGGAGCATGGAGCAGGAGGAGGGGTTGGGAGCCATGCGAGGCAGAGGGAGGCACCAGACAGACCACACTGCTGACCCTTCCTACCCGGGCAGCCTCCTCTGCAAACAGGAGTCCCAGGAATGCTGGGCAGTGCCTCGGACTGCCTCGGACAGAACTGGGGGCCATCAAGGCCAGACTCAGAGTGGAGGGAAGCTGGGGGAGAAGACTGAACTCACCACCCAGGTGAGGCGGATTCAGTGATGGGGAATGAGTGGGGGAAACTGGAGTGTTTGAGGCCTTGGTCCAGAGGCCTGACCTCCTTCACCCTCAGGTGACTGTGGAACAGCTGGCCTTGGCCTAGGGCCCTCCAAGTTGGCTCCCTCCGAGATGCCACTAACTCCAGATACACCAAAGAATCTACCTCACCTGTCCCTGTCACCCCAGAGTCAGGAAAGAACCAAAAGTCCCTCAGCTCCTCTCCGGGGAGGGGCAGGACTGGCCATAGTGGGAGAGAAGAGGGTGTGGTTTCTCTGTTCCTCCCAGACCTCAAGAAATGGGAGAATCTGCATCCCTTCCCCCAACACACCAAATAACCTCAAACTAAACCAAGCCCAGCTGGGAGTTACCCCCAACCCAGTTACTCCTGCCTCATAACCCCATCCAGTATATTCACCTCTTCTTGATCCAAATATGAACCTGCCCAAAGACACCTAGCTTTAAGGGTTCCCCACAAAATGGCGGCAGGGGAAGAGGCTCTGTCATCACCTCCATCTCACAACCTGAAGCCCTCCAGTCTAAAATCTGTCTCTGTCTCCTCGTGCCCAAGCTGAGCTCTGCCCAGGGACAGGCGACCTGCATTCCTTGTGGTCCGAGTGAGCAGGTGGGCAAAGGGGGTGCAGAGTTTCTTGCCCCCCTTCTCCCTACAACATGACTCTTAAATATCTGAGCTCATATGAGCTTCTCTGAGCAACCAAATACCCATTTCCCCCTTCCCAGATCCAAAGCACTGGCTCCTCCGCAGGGGGTCCTCCTTACCCATTTGATTTTTATTTTTGAAAGAGATTAGTTTGAGTCAGGGTTTTGGCAGTCTTGAATCGCCTGTAGAATGAGCACAGAGGCTGGGGAGCACTCCCCATCTCCCCTCCCTCAACTCTTGGGGTCTGAAGAGCACCTCTTTCCCACTTCTCCCTCTACCAGCCTATTGGCATCCAGAGCACCACAGTCCCTCCTTATCCAGCTCTGCCATGCTCTAAAGCCAAAGCCCCAGCCACTTCCTCAATCACTCTCTCTCCAAGGCTGCCCAGTATTGTGCCAAAAAGGGAAGGGTCTTGGGGGAAGGAAAGCCCATGGCTTAGAGGACCCCAAAACTGTCTCCTGTGCTCTTATAGAGTAATGCTAGTACCAATGACAAGACTCCAGAAAGGCTGGGCTCTGGCCCTCCACAATAGTGCCCTCTGCACAAGGCACAGCAGCAGCTGTAACTAAAAAACGTGGCTGAGGAGCAAGAGGGCTAAGAATAGCCCCAAACATCAAGTCCTTGAGGAAATGACATCCTCTTCTCTGGTTGGGCCTGGTCTAACTGCTTTGTTGGAAATAAATAACCAAAACGGAAAAAATAAATTAGGATCTGGTTAATGCTTTGGGCTGAAAGGAAAACTTGGGGGAGGGGAGTGATGAGATGGTGAGAAAGTGTAGTTCCAGATCTTTCAGGGGATGCTGCATTCAGATTGTTAAAGAACTATATTCGGTAGTTTACTAGAAAACAGCAATGTGAACCCCTGCTGGTAAATAAGGCAACCGTCTAGAGGAACAAGCATGTTACAAAAGATTATTTATTTTCTTTTATAGAGATGGGGTCTCACTACATTGCCCAGGCTGATCTCCTGGCTCAAGTGATCCTCCCACCTTAGCCTCCTGAGTAGCTATAGGCATGCAGCACTGTGCCTGGCTAAAGGATTCTGTCACTAGAGACCAGAGCAGTGTGGTGGGAAGGGCCAAGCACTGCTAGGGGACACCTTTCCCTAGGAGAGAATGGAGACCCAGCCCCCTCCCCATGATACCATTAGACCTAAAGTCATCAGATAACTAAAGTGGGGTTGGTGGCTTCCAGAATACTGGCTCCAGCTAGAGCTGGAGGGGAACAAGAACACAGAAGTAGGTCAGGGCTTTAAACAATCATCACAATCAAAGAGAAGGATACAAACCAAAGGTACTCAGTCCGTGGCTGGACTGACTAGGGAAGACAGCCATAGCTCATCTCCCAATTACCCTGAAAATTCTCCCGCCAAACTGCCACCCCCAGCCCCATAACTAAAGCACAAGCCACAGGAAAGTTTTAGAAACCATTCCTTTCTTTATTAAACATAGCTTGCAAGTGATAAATATTACAAAGTTTTTTTTTCTTTTAATCCTTTCTCCAAAAATTAGCTTATTATTTGAATCTGTCACTGCTGAAATGCTCAGCAGCATCTGAAACAGATGGGAGTGTATTTGCCTTTTTGAAAACCAGTTTCTATTGGTCTTAGTTTTTTCATTTTATTTCCCAAACACAATGCAGAAAATCAGAATGAGTTAAAAAAGAAATAAAGGAAACTTAAAGAGAGTTGTGCAAAAGGGTCTTGTTCCCCTCCCACCCACCCTATTCAGGGAAGGCCATTCCCCATCCCACCTCCCTGCTCCCCACCCCCCAACCCCAATCTATCCTTTCACCTTCACCAGGGCTTCACCCATCACCCTGTACCCTCTCCAGGCTTTATCAGCCCAGAACCTAAAGAAGAGAGTAGGAGTACTCAGCCCAGGCTGTGGGGAAATTGGGCCCCTGAAGGAGACAGACTGTGAAACAGCTGCCTTTAGCGGGGTTCAGATGAAATCTGAGGAAAGGAGACAAAATGTGGGCTGTGTCTGCGCTCTCCTATTTTATCACCAAGATGGGGGAAAAGTTACACATCCTGTAGCTCACAAAGGGAGTAAATAACTAAAGCACCAACCTGGGGCATTCAATTGTCAACCACCCTTAAGGGCTCTGTGGTTGGCTGTGAGATGGGGCTTGAGGCCTAGTCCCCGCCCTCAGATGACTAGAGGCATAAAGGCAAAGATGTCACTGGTCTGATGCCCTGGACATGACTCTGCTGCCTCTCCCAAATCAAGGGTAACCATAGAGGACTGGCAGTTCTCCAAGAGCATTGTCATACACATAACCACTTCAACGCGAGTCACTTTCAGTTCCTCCCTGGTTTCTGGGCCCAACACTTTCCTCACCTCAAGTTGTTTTTTGGTTTTGGCAGGTGAGAAGTATAGAATTTTAAACTTGGTGGCCAGATGATCCCCCTCTTCACTTCACAGATAAGAAAATTGATACTCAGAAAATTAACTCTACCAAAGATCATATAGCAAGTTAGTAGGAGACCCCAGGTCTCCAGATTGTAGCCCCCTCAACCCCTTTTGTGTTGGTGGTTCTTTTTACTCTACAAAGTCCTGGACCAGGAGGTCTTGGCTTTCACAGGAGCTCAGCCTCACCTCGGTTCACGCAGCCTAAGGCTGTGCAGATGGATGTGGCTCTCACTAGGTGAAATTTCCTCAGGATGACTTATTAAAATCCTTTCTATCATCCCCTGACAATCCACCCTCAAAGGCCCATAAGACTAGGTTCTTTCTTTTTTGAGGAGGTGGGGTGGGGGAAATCCCTTGCATAAGAAAGCTTGACACTGAATTTTGTTATATAGGTATATTGTATATATGCTGATGCAATCAGAGGAAAAAAACAGTGCAAATACAATTACAATTCATAATAATACTTGGTTTCGATGCCCCCGGGAACTGCCCCATTCCTCGGCTACCTCCCAGCCCCCAGCACTTCCCCACAGTATCAACCTAATGCTGGGGGATAGGGAGGGTGGGCAGGTTAGGGTAGGGAGTGGGCTCTGCCAAGGCAGTGCTGGTGACCCGGAGGGACTACTCCAGGGTGGGGAGGCAAGGCACAAATTAGGGGTGGGTGGTGGGGGAGGTGGCATCTCTAAGGAGGGATGGGGTTGGAGCAGCTGCCAGTCTCAGTGTGCTGGGCCCGGCCCACTCCCCTACCCACCCTCCACAGCCCTGCCTCCCTACCCCCTCCCCTTCCCCAGAAACCCTTTTGCACGGATCATACACAAACGGGCACATTACAAAATGACATAACACAGTTTCACAATATCCATGGCTAGGGCTTTTTTTTCTCTTTTTCAGGTTTTTTTTTTTTTCTACACAATGTACAATTCCTTTTAAATGGATCAAGAAATAGCTTATATACATGAACGAGTCCTTGTTATAACATCTCGGCAGCAAATATCATAAGCTAATGAAGGTCTTGATGGAAAGGATGGGAGCCTAGGACGGGGGTGGGGGTAGGGGGTGTGGAGAGAAGGGTTATGCCTTCTGGAGGAGTGGGGAGAAAAGGGAATGATTAGGGAAAAGGAACAAAAGTAAAATATCAAGAAGCATCTTTACAAAGCAGTTCTATAGCTAATTCCTTTTAAAGGGGAAAGGAAAGGTAACCAAAGCAGGAAAACATTTATCTCTGTGTCTTAAAAAAAAATTGTCTACCATACATATATCCAAAAATGTGGGAAAAATACTTATTCCAGGGAGAGAGGGAGTTCAGATGCTGTGGTCAAATTATAAAATAAAATCGACAAATAAGAACCTCTGTCCCCTAGTTTTACTCAAGCCTTACCGCTATTCCACCCATTTCAGGCTTCCAGGGAGTAAGACACCAACCTTAAAATACTGCTTTTAGTGCCTCTGGGGATGGAGGAAGCCAGGCAGAACTGGTGGGATCCTCACTCTACTAATAATGCTCCAAACAGAGGGTCTTTCCTCCTGTCCTTAGGGCATGAGGTTTAGTGTCTACACGGCCCAGAGCCTGGAGATGGATAGTAACAAGTAGACTTGGAGGGACACAAGGCAATCAGTGATGAAAAAAAAGAGACGGAGAATTGAGGAAGACAGAAGGATGAGGAAGGAGGAGGGAAGGGAGGAGGTGGAAGGTTAACACTTTACCATGATTAGGGAGACCTCACCTCCATCACTAATCCCTGGGAAGAGTATGAAAATGGGGAGAAGAAAGGGTAAGAAATCAAACCTCAGCGGTTGAACAAAGGGTCACCGAGCTATACTAGTCAAGAAGCAGCTTCTATGTAACTGACCCTGAGGGGATAAAAACAGGGAAGATTCCACCATCTCCCCTGTGACCTCAGCACCTAAGCAGGCACTCGACTATAGGCTTTCCTTCTCCATGATTCCCCAACTCTATACATCTTACTTCCAAACCCCATTCTAAGGTGGCCTGGCTCCCAGGGAAAGGACTCAGCTCAGGGCAGGGCAGGGACAGCCCCCAGCCAGACGGTATTGCACATTCTCTGTTCCTTACTTTTAATCTCAACTGACAAACTTGGGCATCTCGTACCTCTGAGCACCTCTGAGCTTGGGGAGAGGGAGACGTAACAGAAATGGCACTTCATCATGAGGGAGGGAGGAAGAGGCTAGACAGACATGCCACAAGGCAAGATGACTTGTGGGGAAAACATTTTTAAAAAAAGCTTCCAATTTTGTGGAAGAGAGAAAAGCAAAACCAAACAATTTATCCAGTGCTTTCAAAGCACAGAGGGCAAAGAAAAGATGTAAGAATATATCTTTATATATATATATATAATTTTAAAATAATCCCAGACCCAGTTCCATTAACCCCCCTCCCTCTCCCACCACTTACAGTCAGGGGTACCACATTCCCCGGAAAAATACTCAAAAAACCCAATCACTACCTGTTACTAGCATCTAGCTTCCAGATCATTTCACCACTGGGGGAGCCCAGACACTGGCTGCATCTCTGCTCCTTTAAGTGCTCAATGAATTTGGGGTAAGGGAGGAAAGAAAAAAGCCAGGAAGGCCCGTAGGGCCAGTATAGTCACCCACAGTGGCACTGGGGTGTGGGGAGTAGAGGCCAGAGTAGGGGAACTGAGCCTGATTTTAGCTCTTTCTCCCACCCCACCTCCAAATTTTATGGGGAAGGTGTGCAGTTCATGTGTGTGTTAATTTTAAAAGTGCCTTCTTTAAAAAATTACTTAATTTTAAAAAATAAAAGTGGGGAAACTTCCTCAGGTGACTTTCAAGGGCAAAATATTAAACTTCTCCTCATTCTTCTCTGCTGAGAACATTCCCCCCAGTGCACTCTGGCAGCTTCTGGAGCCAGAGAGGCAGGTGGGTGTACACTATGAGAAGAGCAGAAACCCGTACCTTTAAGGGGCTTCCCTTACTTCAAAAACAGCCTGGTCCACTCCGTCTTCCCACAGTGTGGGCAAATGGGATGCTAATCTCCCCAGTCCCCAGAACAGCAACATTGCACAATTCAATTCATTCTCTACATTAGTAGCGCTTAAAAAAAAAAAAAAAAAAAAGGCAAAATTAATATCATTCTGGGGGCGGGCGGGGGGCAGTGGGAAGCAACTATTTGTACAGCAGAGGTCCTAAGCTGGTTTTGCCATGAGCTGTTTGGCTTTGAGCAGTTGGTTCTGCAGCTGGTGCAGCAGAGTAAGGACAGGACTCCAACCTGATTGTGTACCCCCAGCCTCTCATCTCCTGGCACTCAGAGGGTGAAAGAATAGGCAAATATGCGAATCTCAACTGTTGGAAGAGAAATCCTTTCTTTCGTCTAAGTCTATTTCCTCCTGTTGTCACTTGACTCATTTATGTCCACCCAACTTGTGGGACACCCAGCAAACAGCCTTGGAACAGCCGTTCCTCTGTATTATAGATGGGGCTATGGTTAGAGGGGATAGATTAGAATTTTTAAAAGCAGGGTGGGGTGAGGGAGAATTTTACAAAGAATACAAGATGAAATAATTTTGGGCTGGTTGGCCTGGAATAGACTTCCGTGTTCCCAATGGGGTCAGGAGATCGGTCTTATTTCCCCAAGATACAGAAAGGCAGGACCTAGTTTCAATCCTCCCTGGCTCATAATTGAGCCCATCTTCATACCTCTTTCTTCCCGTCTTCTATGGGTAAATTCCAGAGTGGTTGAGTTTTAAGCTCCTCCCCAGGCTCTTTCCCCTCATTCTTAGAGCCCAACTTCAGTACCAAACACTGCCACCCAAATTGTCCAGCCCCCAAACACCCACAGGTAGGGTGCTATTCGTCCTTCTTTGATACCCCCCACCCTGCGCCCTCCTCCGGTTAAGTGCATTCAAAACTTCTGCCCCTAACACTCCTAGTCATGTCCTACTTGGCAGCTGGGACCCCTACTGCAATCTGCAATGCTCGTATCATTGAACTGAATGTCATTTGTGTTTACAAAAAAAAAAAAAAAAAAGGAAGAAAAGGAAAAAGAAAAAGATTGGTTGAGTGGGGGAAGGTTTAACCGTCCACTGAACAAAGGGAGGACACACAACATCATTAAAAATGGTAATAATTATAGCATAAAACAACTTTAGAAACACACATCGGAGGGCTTAGATTCTCCCCAGGACCTCATTCTGACCTCTATCAGAGGTAAAGATCCACCTCACTGTTAAAGAAAACTGAAGAGAGAAGACAGAGCGGCAGAAGAACAGATCGCAGCAGTGTGAAATAAAGGGGAGGTGGCAGGGCAGGGCGTGTGTTTTCTTGCTGATCTCTATTTTTTGTCTTCTGTTTTTCTGTTTTGCTTTCCGTGTATGGTAGGCACCAGTACAGGCACTGCATGCGACAGAAGTTGGGGGAATGAAAGAGGAAAGGGATAAAGGATTCAAGGATGGGGCAGTACAAGTGGAACAGGCGTTATTTCTGTCCACTGATGGACTGCGATATAGACCGGGGAGGGATCATGTCTAAAAGGTATTCACGCTGTCGGTCTGCCAAACTGGGGCCTTTGTGTCCTCCGATGCCAGTATTCAAGTATGCAATGTTGACACCTGGACCCAGGAGACAAAAGTGGAGGGCAGGTATTAAAAGAGGAAATAACATTCCCTTCCACTCTACCCTCGGGCTGCAGAGTTGGAGATGGAAAGGAAGCAGAATTTACCAGTATCTGGTCACACTTGGTTAGCTTTATTTCAACAGCAACTTTCTTTTTCTTTTTTGAGATGCAGTCTCATTCTGTCACCCAGGCTGGAGTGCAGTGGTGTGATCTCCGCTCACCTCTGCCTCCCAGACTCAAGCAATTCTCCTGCCTCAGCCTCCAGAGTAGCTGGAATTATAGGCGCGTGCCACTACTGCCCGGCTATTTTTTGTATTTTTAGTAGAGATGGGGTTTCACCATGTTGGCCAGGCTAGTCTTGAACTCCTGACCTCAAATGATCCAACGGCCTCAGCCTCCCAAAGTGCTGGGATTACAGGCATGACCCACTGCACCCAGCCAATTAATTTTGTTTGCTTATTTATCTGAGACAGAATTTCGCTCGTTGCCCAGGCTGGAGGTGCAGTGGCACAATCTCAGCTCACTGCAAGCCCCACCTCCCAAGTTCAAGCGATTCTCCTGCCTCAGCCTCCCGAGTAGCTGGGATTACAGGCACCAGCCACCACGCCGGGCTAATTTTTTGTATTTTCAGTAGAGATGGGGTTTCATCATGTTGGCCAGGGTGGTCTTGAACTCCTGACCTCAGGTAATCCACTCGCTTTGGCCTCCCAAAGTGCTGGGATTATAGGCATGAGCCACCACGCCCAGCCAATTTTTTGTATTTTTAGTAGAGACAGGGTTTCACCATGTTGGTCAGCCTGGTCTTGAACTCCTGATCTCAAGTGATTCGCCTGCCTCGGCCTCTCAAAGTGCTGGGATTACAGGTGTGAGCCACCGCGCCCTGCACAGCAACTTTATTTCAATCCCCACTCATATTCCTAAGCTTTAGGAAAAGGGGACTTCCTGAAATTTCGGTCCTACCAAGAATAATGAACATGCTTCTGATGGTATGGGAGAGACAAGTGAAACAGTGGTGAGAGGAAGATGAATAAGACAGAGAGATAGAATCATTAAATCAGCTTTGATTTTGAGGCTGCAGATTGTGCAGAAGCATCCCTGGATCATTCAAACAGAACAGTTAACCCTGCTGTCCCGGCCAAAAGAGATCAATAACCACATGTCTACTGAAGGGATATTAAAAGTTAAATTGATAATGGTAGGATCTGGGTCATTTTCACCACCAAAACCCTAGTGCATTGTGGGTGGCACTTAATATGAATTTAGCAAACATTTGCTGAGTAACAGAAGAGTGAGAGTGTATGCCCTAAAGAAAGAACAGAAAGTAAAGGAACAATTCCCTTAAAGGGGCTGCTACAGAACTGTATACTAACTAACAGCTGACCCATGAGAAACATTTTCAGATTAATCCTTCTTACCTGGCATACCAAGGAGGCCACCTGGCACAGACAACTGGGGTGCCTGTGCAAAGTTTGAAAGCATGGAGCGGGCAGATGTGGGTATGCCACGCTGGAGGCTGCTCTGGGGCTGTGGAGCCTGCAATGATGAGGAGACAGTGGATACAACTTTGATATGATAGAATGTTAAGCGGGGGCAAAGATAAGGGAGTACAGAAGAAGACTATGATTTCCCACAATAGAAAGGACAAATTGTGATAAATGGCTGATAAATCTTCTAAAGAAATCAGGATCAGGCAAAAAGTTCCTTACCTGCCGAAGCGTATGATGTCTCATGATGGTCTCTTGTTTACTGACACTGGACACAGCTGGAGCCGTAGTGGGGGAGAGGGCTGCCTGCTGCTGTAATCGCTGTTCAATTTCCTGTTGGGAGTCATCACATCAGGTGATTGAGCAGGACAGCACCCAATACCCAATTTCCTTTTTTTTTTTTTTTTTTAAACAGAGACACAATCTGACTTTGTTGCCCAGGCTGGTCTGGCACTCCTGGGCTCAAGCAATCCTCTCACCTTAGCCTCCCCAAAGTGCTGGGATTACAGGCATGAATCACTGCACCTGGCCCACCCAATTTCCTAACCAGAAAACCTGGAGGTGTTCTTACCTCTAATGTTGTTGGCTAGTTGGTGGAATATGGAAAAGGCAAAAGAGTTTGGTGGGGGTGGTACACTGAGATTTCTGGGTATAAGCAGCTAACTTGCTTCAATGATCAAGGGATCCTCCTCTCTTTCTCCAGGAAAGCTGGCTCTAAGAAGTTGGCTGGAGGTGATGAACCAACTGATATAATTAAGGCTGATGAATTACTGGGGTTTTATTTTATCACTTTTTCTTTTCTCTTTTTAAAAATTTTTATTTATTTATTTTTTACCACCAGTCCTAGAGCATAAATGGGGTTTTATTTTTGACTCCTGCCTACCCGATCTTCCAAAAAGTCCATGATGCTACTCAAACAAGGGACTCTGATGGGTGGAGTGGGAAATAGGAAGAAAAGGATCTGAGTTTCCCAACACATTTTTCCTTCTCTAAGATATTCTCATCCTATAACTGCTACATGAGATGTTCACATACTCTAGAACCACTACTCTTCACTGGGCTACTTCATAATTCACTCTTTCTTTCGTCATTTCTTATCAAACACGCACTGCAAATAACTGTTTCAAAGAGATTTATAGCACAAATATAAATTCCTCCCACCAAAATCTATTATTTGTTTTAGGAAAAAATGAAGATGAGAATAGAGTGCTATGGAAAAGCCAAGAGTCCCAAGCTTTCTGTCCCTTTCTGTTAACCTCAGCCATTATATTTTACCATGTTCTTAATCAGAATACTCGCTCAAATGGAAATAGGACACAATGATAAGGAGACAAAAAGGGAACCTGTGGACCTGTAGGGATCACATGAACCACTCCTGCAAACTAGAAGGCGCGACCCTTTGGAAAAAACAAACTGGGACAGGTGGCCAGTGAGCAGTCAGAATTCTTACCTGTTCCTGCTGTAGGGCTTTCACAAATGCATTTTTCAGCCGGTTGGTGTGTTCAGCTTTTAGAGCCTTTTTCTGGTTGGAGGTCATACACTGCTCACATAGAATCTTACCATTCTTTTCTTGCTTCCAGTGAGGGGTGAAATCTGTGCGGCACTGGGCACATACAAAGGGTTCAACCCGCAGAAGTGAGGCACAGCTTTTGCCTAGATACCAACAAAAATAGTCAGTGGCTTTACATTTCCTATCTCCTCTGTTTCTCTTAATCAAATAGATCTTTTCCAGGAGTTTATTCTGTTGAATTAAAGAAAGAGACTTTACAAAAAGGATATTCTATAATTTACAAAATACTTTTATTTCATCTGATTATAACAGTATCACTTTAGGGAATTCAGACAGTACCATCCTCATTTACAAATGAGGACAGAAGTCGAAGAAATGTAGCTTCTGGCTGGGTGCGGTGGCTCACCCCTACAGTCCCAGCACTTTGGGAGGCTGAGGTGGACGGCTAACGAGGTCAGGAGTTCAAGAACAGCCTGACCAACATAGTGAAAACCCGTCTTTACTAAAAATACAAAAAAATTAGGCGGGCGTGGTGGCACGCGCCTGTAATCCCAGCTACTCAGGAGGCTGAGGCAGGAGAATCGCTTGAACCTGGGAAGTAGAGGTTGCAGTGAGCCGAAATTGTGCCAGTGCACTCCAGCCTGGGTAACAGAACAAGACTCAGTCTCAAACAACAACAACAACAACAAAGGTAGCTTCTAACTGATAAAGCTGGGATGTTTCCTGATTTTCTACTGTATCACACTGAGAAGAAAATACTGTGTCAATTCAAAGTCAAAGGACTCTAACTCAACCAATACTTTTGCTTCTTAATATCTCCTTACCAAAGACTGTACTTATCCCTGTCATATACATTTATAGTTTTAAATAGTTATCAGTGTCTGAATTATTCACTTTGTGATCTATTTATAGCTAATACTGACTCCTCTGGGCACTTTACTGGCAGGCTTTCCCAGAAGTCTACCTGTTTAGAAATTCAAGTTTAATAACTTCAGTTAGTCTAGACTGTATGTTGTTAATACTCTATAGTATGGTTTAGTATTGGTTTACAGCTTTTTATAAGGTCTTTCTTAGTTATCTATGTAAGTGTGTGTTTCTCAACTGTAAGCATTCACAGAAGACTAAACACAGTAATTCAGTACAATGTTGCAAAAACACTCACATTAAAAACAGAAGTTCCAGGCCAGGCATGGTGGCTCACACCTGTGATCCCAACACTTTGGGAGGCTGAGGCAGGCAGATCACTTGAGGCCAGGAGTTTGAGACCAGCCTGGCCCACATAGCAAAACCCTATCTCTACTAAAAACAGAAATAATTAGCTAGGTGTGATGGCACACATCTGTAATTCCAGCTACTTTGGAAGCTGAGACAAAAGAATTGCTTGCGCCGGGCACAGTGGCTCATGCCTGTAACCACAGCACTTTGGGAAGCCGAGGCAGGTGGATCACCTGAGGTCAGGAGTTCGAGACCAGCCTGACCAACATTGTGAAACCCCGTCTCTAAGAAAAACACAAAAATTGGCCAGGTGTGGTGGCAGGCACCTGTAATCCCAGCTACTCAGGAGGCTGAGGCAGGAATATTGCTTGAACCCAGGAGGTGGAGGTTGCAGTGAGCTGAGATCATGCCATTGCACTCTCTAGCCTGGGCAACAGAGCAAGATTCCATCTCAAAAAAAAAAAAAGAATTGCTTGAAACCAAGAGGCAGAGGTAGTCAGCCAGCTAAGATCATGCCACTGTACTCCAGCCTGGGTGACAGAGTAAGACTCTGTCTCAAAAAAAAAAAAAAAAAAAAAAAAAAAAAAACCAACAAAGAAAAAAACTGGCATGGTGGTGCATACCAGTGGTCCCAGTTACTCAGGAGGCTGAAATGGGAGGATGGCTTGAGCCTGGGAGGTCAAGGCTGCAGAGAGCTGAGATCACACCACTGCACTCAAGCCTGGACAACAGGGTCAGACCCTGTCTCAAAAAAACAAAAAAAAAAAACAAAAAAAAAAAAAAGAAAAGAGAAGTTCTATTTATCAAATTATGCAAGCATCATGCTAGCCACCATTTAAAAGAACTAAACAAAATACAGTCAGTCCTCAATGTTGTTGACAGGTTCTCAGAGACTATGATTTAAGTGAAACAACATACAACAAAAACAATCTTTTTTTTTTTACTAATGTTATAATAAAATGATGTTATTTGAGGACCCCCTTCACCGTAGTTGTTTCACTTAAAGTCACAGTTTCTAAGAAACTATTGATGATGTTAAGTGAGAACTTACTGTCCTACAAAAAACACACAAGATAGATAAAATCCAAATAAAAATATCAAGCCTCAATGATAGCTGACCTGCTGAAGGGAAAAAAAAACAAGCCGAAAGATAGATGATAGATTAGATAGAATAGAATAGATAGATTAGATAGATGATAGATTAGATAGATAGATAGATACATAGGCAGGCTGGCCCCGGCCGGCTGACGGGGTACAGTGGCTCATGCCTGTAATCCTAGCACTTTAGGAAGCCGAGGTGGGCAGATCACCTGATGTCAGGAGTTCGAGACCAGCCTGGCCAACATGATGAAACCCCGTCTCTACTAAAAATACAAAAATTAACCGGGTGTGGTGCCACGTGCCTGTAGTCCCAGCTACGTGGGAGGCTGAGGCAGGAGAATTGCTTGAACTCAGGAGGCAGAGGTTGCAGTGAACTGAGATTGTGCCACTGCACTCCAGCCTGGGCAACAGAGCGAGACTGCATCTCAAACAAAACACACACACACACACACACACACACACACACACACACACACTCCGCTTCTAACATGTTGCTCCCAAACAGCTGTAAAGAAGGGAGGGAGGTGGTTTGGTAACAGGAAGGAGAAGTTATTTAATATTGTACAGTACCCTCTGATACTCTGCCTATGTCAATCAGGCTTGGCAACCACTTGCTTAAATAGATTGATTAGAAGAAACAGCCTTACCTTGGCTGTCAATGACACTCTGTACGACTTCTTCCAAGCCTACCATGTAGATGAACTCGCTATTGGCTGCACTAGGCAAGAAATGAAGTAAGGGAGCAGGAGGTTTAGGGGGTGGGATCTCCAGGAGTGTCTTTTCCAGCTGTTTGCGAAGAGCCAATTTGGCTGCAGCCTGTGAGTTGGCAGCATCAGTCATGGCGCTGGGGCTAGGAAGTGGCGAGGACACTCTGTTCACCGTCCCTGGCTGGATATGAGAAGCAAGGTTCATATAGATGGCAGAGGATGTTGTACGCTGACATGGAACAGAAGAACTTGACTGCTGAAATAGATTGAGAATGCGGTCAATCATGGTATGCAGGAGAAAGGGCCAATTCTTACGTTCTTGGCAGAGGACACTGTCTGATCCTGGTTTGGACTACTTAGCTTCTCCAAAAATAGGAGGTGGTCAACTTATTTATTGAAAAAGAACTCTGACACATAGGAAAGGAGAATGATGATGACCATGAGCTAACATTGCTAAGAGAGAAATAAAGGCCACGCGTGGTGGCTCACGCCTATAATCTCAGCACTTTGGGAGGCCGAGGTAGGCAGATCACTTGAGGTGAGGAGTTTGAGACCAGCCTGGCCAACATGGTCAAACTCTGTCTCTACGAAAAATACACAAAATTAGCTGGAAATTCCTTGAACCCAGGAGGCAGAGGTTGCAGTGAGCCAAGATCATGCCACTGCACTCTAGCCTGGGCAACACAGTGAGATTCCAGCTCAAAAAACAAACAAACAAACAAACAAAAAAGAGACAGAAATAAGATTTTGCTTTCTGTCACACATCCTTGTGCTTCTTATTCCCTAGATCACTCTCTTCTAGGCAGATTTTTAGCTTACTGCTGCTCTGCTGTATAACCTCTCTCCTCCACTACTATTTTAATATAATTCCTCAAAGCTTCTACTTTTGGGACTGCTCTCAATTAAATCCCTACCAAAATAACCATTTTTGTCCTAGAGTTTATCTATGTATAAAAACTTAAAACCTATGGCCCTTTCGACAAGCAAAGCAAACAAAGGGATTTCTCTGTTTCCACATTAGGGCTCAGCTCTCTCTTACCGGTTGATAATTGATGGCGGGATTCATGTTGGGTGTTGTGGTGCGTACAAGGCCAGGCTTAGGCGGGCCCCGCTGACCCTGTAGCTGGGCTGGGTTTGGTGCAATAACACGTTGAGACATCAACATGTGTGGAAGGGTGGTATTGGTAGCTGAACGGATGACACTGTGACCCTGGAGGGGAAGAAGAGGAAAAGAACTAATCACAGGTTGTACGCTGTGTATAATACAGCACAAAATGCAAAAGGGAAAACACTGCCTATAATACATAGCTAAGTAGAAACACAGGAACACAGCCAGACTTGGTAATTTCATTTAATGGTCTATGGGATAAATCTACCATCATTGTAAACCCTGATTAGTGGCTGGGAAGTCCTTGGCTTTTTTTGGTATAAACTATCTAATCCTATAGGGTTAGATAGAAAACTATCTACCCCTTCTCTAGAGAAGCTGGAAGCATTCTCTAGACAAGAAAAACTACAGTGGAAACATGAAAGTTACTCATCCTTCTACTGAAGACTAAATCATGCCATAATGGGCCAACAGAACAATCAGTAGTAATAACACCTCTATCATGGCCAGGTTCTTCTATAATCTTCACAAAAGCCCAAAAACAGAGACAGGATTAGACACGGCCCTCCAACACTAAGATCCCACTATGGGTCACATACCTGTAATGTTCTCAAATTTTGAGGTTCAACCCCTTGGGCCCCAGGCCGAGAGGGAAGCTTAGATAGGCCCTGCTGTCCCACATGGGCAGGAGATGGCTGAACAATAGATGCTGCATTCTGTACAACTGGAGTCTGGGAGAGGGAAGAGAAAATAAGACTGTGGCCAATAATCACAGGTGGAAATTTGGTACATTTCTAGACTTTAAAAATTCCTGGTCAGTGTGAGGTTCTTGTCAATCAGGAGGAAAAACCAGAAAAAGGGAGTCAAGGTTTTCTTTTTTTTTTTTTTTTTTGAGACAGAGTCTTGCTCTGTCGCCCAGGCTGGAGTGCAGTGGCCTGATCTCGGCTCACTGCAAGCTCCACCTCCCGGGTTCACGCCATTCTCCTGCCTCAGCCTCCCGAGTAGCTGGGACTACAGGCGCCCGCCACCATGACCGGCTAATTTTTTGTATTTTTAGTAGAGATGGGGTTTCACCATGTTAGCCAGGATGCTCTCGATCTCCTGACCTCGTGATCCACCCGCCTCGGCCTCCCAAAGTGCTGGAGTTACAGGCGTGAGCCACCGCACCTGGCTGGGAGTCAAGGTTTTCTTAAGGCCTAAGATTAAAAAAAAAATCACTACTACTACAGACTAAAAAACTACGGACCCAGAGAAGAAATGAGCCACCCAACTGAACCTACCTGGGGGAACCTACTCTCAAACCAGTTTTTCTTTCCTTTCCCTTAGTCCCTTATTTCTAGGGCACATTACCTTCTGGACCACATTCTCTTTCTGTAGCTGACTCTGTCTCAGTTTCTTTAACAGGACCAGTCGGGCTTCTTCCAATCGTAGCTCATCCCTCAGCTGCTTGATAAGCTGCTGCCGCTCCTCAATGCCTTTCCCCTAAGGAAACAAGAAGACTTTCAGCTATGGCAGCAAGGTACCCAGAATTCCTTCCTGCAAGAGACAATCTTTACTTCTTAGCTCTGAAACCTTCATCTTCCACAAGAAGCAGAAGTGGCAATAGGATTATCTTTGTATCACTGGAGTCTGGCACAGTGCCTGGCATTCAGTAGGTACTCAAAGAAATGCTTACAGAATTAAAGGACAGACCACGTATAAATGCTAATCAGCCAGATTCCTGGCAAAAAGAAGAATGACTAAAGAGAAACATTGTCTTCTTTTAAAATAATGTTCCTAAATCTCTTAAAGCCACATTTCCTCTAGATATACATAAAAACTTAGGAATCCCTTCATATTCAGTTACTTAGGTTAGAGTGCAGAAAGTATCCTTACAGCCAAGAGTTTACTTTATATGACTTAATTATGAACTTTTGTTTTCATTTTCCAAAGATAAATAACACTGAGTATAATGGCCTACATATATGCTTTTCAAACTGTCGTCTCCACTTGCTTCTAATAGTTCCTTTTGAAAGCCCTTGAAGTCAAGAGTTACTATAAAGTTTTCATCAATGGGTATTTATATCCAAAGAGTAAATAGTCAAAAAACAGAACTAAATCTCTTGAGGAATTAAATAAAATAGAAGGAGCATAACAAGAAGAAAGAAATTTTTCTTTCTTTTTACCTTAAACATCTCTAAGTTGGCTGCTTTGAGTCTTTCTTCCATTCTGGAACTGGAACGGGGACTGGAAGCCTCATTGTCAGACAAAACAATGATGTCTGGTGAGGGAGTTAGCCTTCCTCGCTCTGGCTCACTAGACAAGAAAGGGAAAAAATAAGCTATTTCCAACAAAAGTTAAGAAAACTTCTATGCTGAATTAAAAAAATCCAAGGGGGGCCGGGTGCGGTGGCTCACTCCTGTAATCCTAGCACTTTGGGAGACCGAGGCGGGTGGAACACCTGGGGTCAGGAGTTCGAGACCAGCCTGACCGACATGGTGAAACCCCGTCTCTACTAAAAATAAAAAATTAGCTGCGCATGGCGGCGCGCACCTGTAGTCCCAGCTACTCAGGAAGCTGAGGCAGGAGAATCTCTTGAACCTGGGAGGCAGAGGTTGCAGTGAGCCAAGATTGCACCACTGCACTCCAGCCTGGGCAACAGAGCGAGGTTCCCGTCTCAAAAAAAAAAAAAAAAAAGAATAGTCTATCCTGTCAAGAGTAGGTACTGAAGAGTACACAAAAGAAGGAAGTATTAATAATTTGAGGGAATAGTGCCAAGAATATTGTCTACAGCCTTACAGAAAAGGATTAAACCTCCAGAACCAAATATATTGAACTTGCATCTACTTACCAGAGTTTTATCCAGCATCTTACCTCAAAAAGAGTCTAGAAATTACTTTGAAATCTAAATCTCCTGCACTGACTCCTCTTACTCCTAATCCTATTTACTAGATAACTCTCATTTAGGTCATTCTGGGGTTAGCCTTAAAAGCATCATGCTTATTTGTGTAAGATGATAAAAAATGGCACATACTGCTTAAGACCTAGGTAACAAGAATTCCGGAAACTCTAACTGCCTCAGGTTCCCAAATCCGTGACTGTATCTTCTAATTCTCCTCTAATTTCAAAGATACATTCCCAGATCCTACTTTCCTTGAGATTGTCAGCGTAGTTGGTAGTATATAGGTCGAGGGCAATTGTTCTTTGGTCCTTTTTTTTTTCCCTCTTGAGACAGGGTCTCACTCTGTCACCCAGGCTGGAGTCCAGTGGCCCGATCACAGCTCACTGCAGCCTTGACCTCCTGAGCTCAAGCGATCCTCCCACCTCAGCCTCCTGAGTAACTGGGACTACAGGCATGTGCCGCTACGCCCGGCTAATTTTTGTACTTTTTGTAGAGACAGGGTCTTACTATGTTGCCCAAGCTGGTCTTAAGCGACCCTCCCGCCTTGGCCTCCCCTTTGGCCTTAAACAATCAACTTAAACCCTTAATGATCACAGATCGCTAGCTGTCCACTTCTCAGGGTTTCTTGTCCTAGTTGCTGTTGGCACATGGAATTTTTTTTTTTTTTTTTTTTTTTTTTTTTTTTTGAGACAGGGTCTCACTCTATTGCCCAGGCTGGAGTGTAGTGGTGCTTGCTACATTCTCAAACTCCTGGCCCCAAGAGATTCCCCCCGCCTCAGCCTCCTGAGTAGCTGGGACTACAGGTGCACACCACTGTGCCTGGCTAATTTTTTATTTTTTTGTAAGGGGTGGGGGTCTTGCTATGCTGCCCAGGCTAGTCTTGAATTCCTGGGTTCAAGTGATCCTGCTGCCTCAGCCACCCAAAGTGTTGGAATTACAGGTGTGAGCCACCATGCCCAGCCAGGACATGGATACTTTTGAACAGGGAACCCCGATCACTGGAATAAGCAATTTCCTAACAGGGTAAATCTGAGTTGCTAAAATCAACCAAACTTAGGTAAGGAAATAGAATAGGAGGATAGAAAGGTAAGAATGACTATCTTGTGAACTATTAAATTTGTCTAGATTGCTGGCCACAGACACAGCAAGCTGAGAAGGTAGAAATACAGAAAAAGCCACTAGAGGGAGAAAAGAGCCTTTCATTCTCTAACCCCAAATATGAGGAGTAACAGGCCTGAATAAAGTGTCTGCATTCTTTTTTTTGAGATGGATTCTGGCTCTGTCGCCCAGGCTGGAGTGCAATGGCGCGATCTCGGCTCACTGGAACCTCCGTCTCCTGGGTTCAAGTGATTCTCCTGCCTCAGCCTCAGTAGCTGGGATTACAGGTACCCGGCACCGCGCCTGGCTAATTTTTTTTTGTATTTTTAGTAGAGACGGGGTTTCACCGTTTTGGCCAGGCTGGTCTCAAACTCCTGACCTCGTGATCTGCCTGCCTTGGCCTCCCAAAGTGTTGAGATTACAGGCATGAGCGACTGTGCCCGGCCTGAATTCATTTTTAAAGCGTGATTTACTTCTCATTTCTATATTCCTTTATACTCCCCCTCTATGATTAACATGGGTCATTTTGGGTGGGCAGATCACTTGAGGCCAAAAGTTTGAGACCAGCCTGGCCAACGTGGAGAAACCCTGTCTCTACTAAAAATACAAAAATTAGCCGGGCATGGTAGTATACGCCTGTAATCCCAGCTACTCAGGAGGCTGAAGCACAAGAATCACATGAACCTGGGAGGTGGAGGTTGCAATGAGCCGAGATTGCACCACTACACTCCAGCCTGGGTGACAGAGCAAAACTCTGTCTCAAAAAAATTAAAAATAAATAAAAAATAAAACACCGGTAATTTTGGAATCTGGAAGATTTTTCATTTAGAAGCTCTTTCTATTCTGGTCCTGGCTGGATATATACATTACAGATTATTTCTAAGGTAAGGAATTCTTCCTTGCTCAAATGAGTGCCACTTAACTGCTTAGGAACTGCCCAGTACCAAGACAGAGATATTACTGGATGGAGATTTGGGAACTGTATGCCATTTATCAGGAAGTTATATCTGAGAACAACTTTAAATGATTATTTTATTCCCAGATATAAACACACCGGTATTAGGTAGATAGCACAGATAAGGCAAAGCCAAAGCCTCTCTGTTTTTCTTTTGAGTCGGAGTCTTGCACTGTCACCGGGGCTGGAGGGCAATGGTGCAATCTCGGCGCACTGCAACCTCCTCTCAGGTTTAAGTGATTCTCCTGCCTCCTGAGTTGCTGGGATTACATGTGCCCGCCACCACACCCGGCTAATTTTTGTATTTAGAGACGGGGTTTCACTATGTTGGCCAGACTGGTCTCAAACTCCTGACCTCGTGATCCGCCCGCCTCAGCCTCCCAAAGAGCTGGGATTACAGGCATGAGCCACCGCGTCCAGCCTCTTTTCTTGTATTTATTTTTTCTTTTGTTTTTTGAGACAGGGTCTCACTCTGTCACCCAGGAAGGAGTGCAGTGGTGCAATCATTTGTGGCTCACTGCAGTCTCAATCTCCTAGGCCCAAGCGATCCTCCCACCTCAGCCTCCTGAGTAGCTAGTTTTTAAATTTTTTGTAGAGAAGGGGTCTCCTTATGTTACTAAGGCTGGTCTTAAACTTCTAGGCTCAAGTGATTCTCCTGCCTTGGCCTCCCAAAGTGCTGAGATTACAGGCGTGAGCCACCATGCCCTGCCTCATTTCTTAATTTTAAAAAACTAATGAACTAGGATTCTGGCCTCATTTGTTAAACATTCCAAGAGAGAAATTATTTTGCTCTTTTCCTAAACATATATATAATTTACAATATTTGGGGTAGTTAAGTATGAACTCCTACCTATTAGAGAGATATTATTAAAAGACCCACTTGGTGTGACATCACTTGTGACTTAGTCTGGCATATTCTCAGAAGCTATAAAGCTCCTAATCCTTATCCCAGTAGTAAAAACAACTAAGCAGACAACTGCTGTGTCTCTCTAGAATTCTAAAACATTAGTAGTGTTGGTTTCATACATACCTTATTTCACAGGTATCGTAACTTGCCCAACTGATGGCAAAATAAGATATTTAGGCTATTATGACATGGCTATTATGTTAAGAACTTCTCTTGCCTTCTGCTTTCAAATTCTTTCATTTTTTCTTGGTAGAGATGAGGTACCACTATGTTGCCCAGACAGAGCTCAAATTCTTGCCCTCAAGCAATTCTCCCACTTTGGCCTCCCAAAGTGCTGGGAATACAGGCATGCACCACTGCACCCAGCCCTTTCCTCTTTTTATCACTATCAAAGAAACTATGGTTCTCCTTGCTGGGAATCTATCGGTTTTGCTTTTTTTTTTTGTTTTTTTGTTTGTTTTTTTTTTGAGACAAGGTCTTGGTCTGTCACCCAGGCTGGAGTGCAGTGGTGCAATCTCTGCTCACTACAACTCTACCTCCTGGGTTCAAGCGATTCTCCTGCCTCAGCCTTCCAAGTAGCTAGGATTACAGGCACCCGCCACCACGCCTGGCTAATTTTTGTATTTTTAGTAGAGACAGGGTTTCACCATGTTGGCCAGGCTGGTCTCGAACTCCTGACCTCAGATGATCCTCCCGCCTCGGCCTCCCAAAGTGCTGGGATTACAGGCGTGAGCCACTGTGCCCAGCAGTTTTGTTCATTCTTATACATCTCGGGGCTAAGTGGAAATAGCTGTCAGTATATCTGGAGTCCCAAGCTTCCAGAGGATTGTGTTTCAAAAGATCACCCCATGTTGGGTACAGCGGCCCATGCCTAATAGTCCCAGCTACTCAGGAAGCCAAGTGGGGAGGACTGCTTGAGCCCAGGAATTTGAGGAAATAGTGCACTATGACAGTGCTTGTGAACAGCCAATGTACGTCAGCCTGGGCAACACAGCAACACCTCATCTCTTTAAATGATTTTTAAAAATCACCCCAAAATAACATTTTTAAAAAAATTGTTGGGTTTGGCTAGGTGTGGTGGCTCACGCCCATAATCCCGGCACTTTGGGAGGCCAAGGCGGGTGAATCACAAGGTCAGCAGATCGAGACCATCTGGCCAACATGGCGAAACCCCATCTCTACTAAAAATACAAAAATTAGCCAGCATGTAGTCCCAGCTACTCAGGAGGCTGAGGCAGGAGAATCGCTTGAACCCAGGAGACGGAGGTTGCAGCGAGCCAAGATTGCGCCACTTTACTCCAGCCTGGGCAACAGAGCGAGACTCTGCCTTTAAAAAAAAAAAAAAAAAAAAAAAAAGTTGGGTTTTCAGGAAGTCTGACTTTTTAACATATACTGTATCTATCTGCAATATAATACAATTCCAATACCATTAATAAGATCTTATCAAAATGTCTACAGGAGCAGGACTGAAAACAGGAAAAAAAAAAAGAGTGTTAACAAAGTTTCTATGAAAAATGTTGGGCCCGGCATGGTGGCTCATGCCTGTATTCCCAGCACTTTAGGAGGCAAAGGCGGGCAGATCACTTGAGTCCAGGAGTTAGAGACCAGCCTGGGTGACACAGCGAAACCTCGTCTCTACTAAAAATACAAAACAATTAGCTGGGTACAGGGGCACACGCCTATAGTCCCAGCTACTTGGGTGGCTAAGGAGCGAGGATTGCTTGAGCCTGGGAGGTGGAGGTTGCAGTGAACGGACATCATGCCACACTGCACTCCAGCCAGGGCAACAGAGTGAGACCTTGTCAGGAAAGGGAAAGAGAAGGAAAGGAAAGAAAAATGCATTTAAAAGTTCCAATTTGGAATGTGAAGAATCCACCTAACATTTCTTTAACTCTTTCTCCCCAATGAAGTGGGATAAGTTACTTGCTCCAGAAGGGTAAGAGAGATTATAAAAGCCAAGTAGGTTGCTCAGGTTCATGATCTCATTCACCCATATCCTTTTCTTGCAAACAATCTAAAAATGAACCTACTTATATAATATTCTGCTGGCACTACCTATAACTTACAAGTATTTTTCTCCTCTTCCAGGACCTCTAGGGAATCTGCCTGAGGTTTCCTAAGAGGTTTTTTTGTGGTTGTTTTTGCTTTTTTTTAAAATGGAGACAAGAGTCTCACTCTGTTGCCCAGGTTGGAGTGCAGTGGCACGATCTCAGCTCACTGCAACCTCTACCATCTGGGTTCAAGCAATTCTCACGCTTCAGCCTCTCAAGTAGCTAGGAACACAGGTGTGTGCCACCACACCTGGCTAATTTTTTCATATTTTTAGTAGAGACAAGGTTTCACCATGTTGGCCAGGCTGGTCTCAAACTCCTGACCTCAGGTGATCCACCCGCCTCGGCCTCAAAGTGCTGGGATTACAGGTGTGAGCCACCGCTTACTAAGAGTTTTTAATGTTACTACCAAGAATAATGTTTGCTTATGGAGCATGGTTTTAAAAAATAATCCTGGGACAAGACCAGTAAGTAGACATCAAAAGGTAGAGAAAGTAACATGTGTAAAGTTATAACCATTTCTTTCTTCTTCATTCTCCACCAGTCCAGCTTCTTAGAGATTCTGCTTTGGATGAGTCCTACAACAAACTCAGCAAGGTCATTTGGAGGGCAACTCAACACTGAAGACTAATTCTCACAGCTATCAGCTGTTTCTGAACTATTTATAAACTGACTTTTTTTTTTTTTTTCAGACGAAGTCTCGCTCTGTCGCCCAGGCTGGAGTGCAGTGGAGCAATCGCGGCTCACTGCAACCTCCACCTCCCGGGTTCACACCATTCTCCTGCCTCAGCCTCCCAAGTAGCGGGGACTACAGGCACCTGCCACCATGCCTGGCAAATTTTTTGTATTTTTAGTAGAGACGGGGTTTCACGGTGTTAGCCAGGATGGTCTCGATCTCCTGACCTCGTGATCCACCCGCCTCATGATCCACCCGCCTCGGCCTCTCAAAGTGCTGGGATTACAGGCGTGAGCCACCGCACCCAGCCTAAACTGAATGTTTTAAAAGCTAGGGTTGGCTGGGTGTGATGGCTCATGCCTATAATCCCAGCACTTTGGGAGGCAGAGGTGGGCAGATCACCTGAGGTCAGGAGTTCGAGACCAGCCGGGCTACCATGGTGAAACCCCATCTCTACTAAAAATACAAAACTAGCTGGGTGTGCAGGCACGCGCCTGTAATCTCAGCTACTTAGGGGAGTAGAGAGGCAAGAGAATCACTTGAACCCAGGAGGTGGAGGGTGCAGTGAGCCTAGATCGTACCATTGCACTCAGCCTGGGCAAAAAGAGTGAAACTCCATCACACACACACACACACAACTTGGGTTATAAGCTGGGTGTGGTGGCTCACAACAGTAGTCCCAGCACTTTGGGAGGCCAATGTGGGAAGATCACTTGAGGCTGAGAGTTTGAGACCAGCCTGGGCAACATAGTGAGACTCTGTCTCTACAAAAGTATTCAAAAATTAGCTGGGTGTGATGATGCACACCTGTAGTCCCAGCTACTTGGGAGGCTAGGGCGCGAAGATAACTTGAGCCCAGGAGTTGGTGGTTACAATGAGCTATGATCATGCTACTGCACTCAAGACTGTGTGACAAAGTGAGACCCTATCTTAAAAAAAAAAAAAAAAAAAAAACTGGCTGGATGCTGTGGTGCATGTCCATAATCCGGCACTTTAGGAGGCTGAGGAGGGAGGACCACTTGAGCTCAGGAATTCGAGACCAGCCTGGGTAATATGGCAAAAACCTGTTTCTATAAAAATACAAAAATTAGACAGGCATGGTGGGATGTGCCTGTAGTCCCAGCTACTCAAGGGGGGTGGGGTGTGGGTTGGGGTTGAGGGGGGAAGATCGCTTGAATCCAGGGTATCAGGCCACTCACTACACGCCAGCCTAGGCAACAGAGCGAGACCTTGCCTCAAAAAAAAAAAAAAAAGCACCAAAAAAACTCATAAAAAACAAAAAGAAAAAAAAAACCCCAACTAGGGTTATCTATACTATGATTCACTGCACAGGGAGACTCAACCATTGGCCAGTTCCAGGTACCTCTCCTTACTGTGTGCTCTACAGTTTCAAGTACTCAACCTTGAAAGACACCAGAAAAAAAGGCCTGGGAAAACATGTTGCATGTGTGAGTGAAAGAGAGAGTAACATACATGTACAAGTGAATGTATATGTATATGGGGGAGCTGGGGGAAGTGGTACAGATACAGCAAGAATGCAGAGACTTACCACATGAAGATAATTTGCTTTCTGACACAAGAAAAGCTAGGCCCATGTTTTTGGATGTAATAAAAGCTGGGACTCCACAATAAATACATCCTAAAACTCCTGGAATTATCTGACAAAAAGACTATTTTTCTCCTCCTAAGACGGCCATGAAGATTAGAATGAAGGTATATATTAACTCACTTCCATTTGGCCTATCAGCTCTCTAGTGCCCCCTTTATCTAGAAATGACCATTTTTTCTCTTAAGAGTAAGAACTACGATTCTCTGTAGGCTAAGCAGTTTTTGAGGCACCTGGTTTCATTTGGAAATAAAATGAATTTATGGTCAAACTCGATGATATATCTTCTTTTAAGAATCTTTAGGATGAAAAACACCCTCCTCTCATTGGAATTCATTCCATTTTCACAGGCTTTATGAGACGACCCTATCCCTGGAGGCAGCTGAACTGAGCCATACCTCCGTCTAGCACTCATATCCACAGGCTCATCATTGATGTTTTCTTTGCCTGGCCTTCCAGCAGTCCTGTTGTCTCCATGAGGCCTGAGATTCCCGTTAAGTTTTTCTTCATAGCCCTTGACACCACTGCCATCCTGTTTGGTGGGTAACTCATGTGGCACCTCAAGATTTGCCAAATCCTTCCTTTTGAGCAATGCCAACATTTTCAGACGTTCCATGGCCTCATGCCCCTCCATTTTGAGTCGCTTTGCCAGGACATCATCTCGCTCATCTGCTGGGTCCAAGCTCCGCTTCAACAGATTCAAGCGAAGAGCATCTTCTGTCATTCTATCCATCCTATGGAAAGAAAAATACAAGTAAGATCAGAATAAAGTCCCTTAAATAGTCCATTTTTAAAAAGGTGGAATGGTGAAGTTATTAACAAGAATCTCTCTCTCACACATACACACACACACACACACACACACACACACACACACAAAGTTCAAAGTTAACTAAGCTATGTCCTACCTGATATTGTCCTAGAACATTTATATTAAAGGAGATTTCTGGGCATTCAACCCAGCAATTTAAGTAAACTTAAATCTACATAAGCAAGGCCTGTTGACACGTGCCCTTAATTCTACATGGATACAGATTGAAAATCTTTTTTTTTTTTTGGCTTTTATTTTATGTTCAAGGGTACATGTGCAGGTTTGTTATATAGGTAAACTGCATGTCACCAGGGTTAGCAGATTCAAAATCTGAAGACATTTAAGATGCTTTTTAAAATGAAGAACTCAGGTGCTTAGCCTGATAAGAAGCACTATTTTTTTCTTTACTCATGAAGAAAAAGTGTTAACGACAAGCTAATTAATCATTATCTTCCCTTTTCACTTTGATTTTTTTTACACTAACAAAATCTAAATGTAGGCCGGACATGGTGGCTCAACTTGTATTGTCAGCTCCTCCAGAGGCTGAGGTGGGAGGATGGCTTGAGCCCAGGAGTTCAAGACCAGCCTGGGCAAAATGGTGAGACCCCATCTCTACAAAAAAATTAAAAATTTGTCAGGCATGGTGGCACATGCCTGTAGTCCCAGCTACTTGGGAGGCTAAGGTGGGAGGATTGCTTGAGCCCAGGAGGTTGAGGCTGCACTGAGCCTGATCGTACCACTGAACTCCAGCTAGGGCGATACAGCGAGGCTCTCTCTCCAGGAAACAACAAAAAAAAAATCTAAATGCAAATTCAGATTTAGATTTTCTCCAACACTTTCAAATCCAGGTTTGTTGTCCTGGTAGGAAACAGCAAAGATAAAATAGTAAGAAAATCTTTTAAGTCAAAGAAACACAGTTTAAAATTGCTACTTATGTTAACCAGGTCAAATATTTAGTAAGTTATTTTACCTTCCCAAGTTTCAATTTCATTTGTAAAAATGGAGTACTTAAAATTTTTTTCTATTCCAGGGCTGGGCGTGGTGGCTCACACCTATAATCCCAGCATTTTGGGAGGCCGAGGAGGGTGGATCACGAGGTCAGGAGTTCAAGACCAGCCTGGCTAAGATGGTGAAACCCCATCTCTACTAAAAATATAAAAACTTAGCTGGGCGTGGTGGCGGGCGCCTGTAATCCCTGCTACTTGGGAAGCTGAGGCAAAGAATTGCTTGAACCCAGAAGGCAGAGGCTGCAGTGAGCTGAGATCTCGCCACTGCACTCCAGCCTGGGCGACAGAGTGAGACTCCATCTCAAAGAATCAACGAATGAATGAATGAATTAAATTAAAAAGATTCTTTTCCAGTTGCAATGAAAAATAAATAAAACGAAACAGGGGCCGGGTGCAGTGGCTCACGCTTGTAATCCCAGCACTTTGGGAGGCTGAGGTGGGTAGATCACTTGAGATCAGGAGTTCGAGACCAGCCTGGCCAACATGGTGAAACCCTGTCTGCACTAAAAATACTAAAATTAGGCATGGTGGAGCTTTCATGTAGTCCCAGCTACCTGAGAGGCTGAGGCATGAGAATCACTTGAACCTGCAAGGTGGAGGTTGCAGTGTGCCAAGATCACACCACTGCATTCCAGCCTGGGTGACAGAGTGAAACTGTCTCAAAACAAAAACAAAACAAGACCAAAAAATGAAACACACACCCTTTATTATATTTGTATTTATGTATTTATTTGAGATGGACTCTTGTTCTGTTGCCAGGCTGGAGTGGAGTGGTGAGATCTCAGCTCACTGCAACCTCTGCCTCCCAGGTTCAAAGCAATTCTCCTGCCTCAGCCTCCCAAGTAGCTGGGACTATGGGTGTGTGCCACCACGTCCAGCTAATTTTTGTATTTTTAGTAGAGACAGGGTTTCACCATGTTGGCCAGGATGGTCTCAATCTCTTGACCTTGTGATCTGTCTGCCTCGGCCTCCTGAAGTGCTGGGATCACAGGCATTAGCCACTGTGCCCGGCCTGTTTTTATTTTTATTTTATTTTATTTTATTTATTTATTTTTTTTTTTGAGACAGAGTCTCGCTCTGTCGCCCAGGCTGGAGTGCAGTGGCGGGATCTCGGCTCACTGCAAGCTCCGCCTCCCGGGTTCACGCCATTCTCCTGCCTCAGCCTCCCAAGTAGCTGGGACTACAGGCGCCCGCCACTACGCCCGGCTAATTTTTTGTATTTTTAGTAGAGACGGGGTTTCACTGTTTTAGCCGGGATGGTCTCGATCTCCTGACCTCGTGATCCGCCCGCCTCGGCCTCCCAAAGTGCTGGGATTACAGGCGTGAGCCACCGCGCCCGGCCTTTTTATTTTTATTTTTGAGAGACAGGGTCTCACTCTATCACCCAGGCTAGGGTGCAAGTGGCACAATCATAGCTTATTGCAGCTTCAAACTCTAGGGCTCCAACAATCCTCCACACCTCAGCCTCCTGAGTAGCTAGAGACGCGTGCCACCACACTGGGCTAATTTTTTAGTTTTTTGTAGGACAAGGTCTCACTATGTTGCCCAGGCTGGTCTGGAACTCCTGGGCTCAAATGATCCTCCTGCGTCAGCCTCTCAAAGCACTTGGGATTATAGGCAGAAATACACCTTTTAGAGATAAAAGTCACAACCCAAACTTCTGAATTTTGGGTTAATGCTTCTTAATTCCCTCCCTTTTTAAAGAATAGCTTTAGCAGCCATAAAAAAAGAATGAGTTCATGTCCTTTGCAGTTTAAATGGATGAAGCTGGAACCCATCAATCTCAGCAAACTAACAAAGGAACAGAAAACCAAACACTGCCTGTTTTCACTCGTAAGTGGGAGTTGAACAATGAGAACACATGGACACAGGAAGGGGGAACATCACACACCTGGGTCTGTTGGGGGGTAGGAGGCAAAAGGAAGGAGAGCATTAGGACAAATATCTAATACATGTGGGGCTTAAAACCTAGATGACGGGTTGATAGCTGCTGCAAACCACCATGGCACATGTATACCTATGTAATAAACCTTCAGGTTCTGTGCATGTATCCCAGAACTTAAAGTAAAATAATAAAAAAAAAAGAATAGCTTTACTGAGATATAATTCACATATCATACAATTCACCTATGTAAAGTGTACAATTCAATGATGTTTAGTATATTCAGAGCTGTGCAACTATCATTATAATCAACTTTAGAACATTTTTATCACACTTCACCTCCCAATTTACCTCTGAAAAATATCTTCAGATGGAGGGACTAGAAAGTGGAGTGCTATAGACCACTACCCTAACTCTATAGTTAACAATGTCTTTAGTAGTTCAATCAACACTATATAAGTGAGAGCAGTAACTGGACATACCATGGTAAGTTGGGCAGAGTAGGAAAAGTCTGCCACTCAACTGATTATACGCCTAGACGCAAAAAGTACAGCCATGCCTCATTTTATTGCATTTCACTTTATTGTGCTTTGCAGATACTTTGTTAAAGGAAAACAAGGCCAGGCACAGTGGCTCACGCCTGTAATCTCAGCACTTTGGGAAGCCAAGGCGGGCTGATCACTTGAGGTCAGGAGTTCGAGACCAGCCTGGCCAACATGGTGAAACCCCGTCTCTACTAAAAATACAAAAATTAGTCGGGTGTTGTGGCACATGCCTGTAATCCCAGCTATTTGGGAGGCTGAGGCAGGAGGATCACTTGAACCCGGGAGGCAGAGGTTTCAGTGAGCCAAGATCGCACCACTGCACTCCAGCCTAGGCGACAAGAGCAAGACTCCATCTCAAAAAAAAAAAAGTTAGCCAAGTTGTGAATGCAAAGGAAAAGTTCCTGAAGGAAATTAAAAGTGCTATTCCAATGCACACACAAATAATGGCAAAGTGCAAAGGCCTTACTGGCAATATGGAGAAAGTTTTAGTGCACTGGCAAGATCAAACCAGCCACAGCATTCCTTTAAGCCAAAGCGTAATTCAGAATCAGGCCCTAACTCTCTTCAATTCTGTGAAGGCTGGGAGAAATGAGGAAGCTGCAAAAGAAAAGCTGGAAACTAGCAGAGGCTGGTTCATGAGGTTTAAGAAGTCACGCCATAACACCAAAGTACAAGGTACAGCAGTAGCCAAGTCCTGATGTAGAAGCTAACGCAAGTTATCCATAAGATCTAGCTGAGATAACCCACAAAAGTGACACATTAACAGTACATTTTTTTCCCTTTTTAAAATTTTCTAATTTTTATTTTAGATTTAAGGGATACATGTGTAGATTTATTAAATGGATATACTGCATAATGCTGGGGTTTGGGCTTCTATTGAACTCATCACCCAAATAGCTAACATAGTACCCAATGGGTAGTTTTTCAACCCTTATCTCCCACTCCATTCCTCCCCTTTTTGGAGTACTCAGTGTCTACTGTTTTCATCTATAAGCCCATGTGAACAGCACATTTTCAATGTAGATAAAATAGCCTTCTACTAGAAGACTTTCATAGAGAGATGTCAATACCAGGCTCCAAAGCTTCAAAAGACAGGCTGACTCTCTTGTTAGAGGCTAATATGGCTGGTGACTTTAAATTGAAGTCAGTGATCATTTACCATTCCAACAATTCTAAGGCCCTTAAGAATTATGTTAAATAAACTGGGCATAGTAGTGCACACCAGTAGTCTCGGCTATGTGGGAGGCTAAGGCAGCAGAGTTGCCTGAGCTCAGGATTTTGAGGCTGTAGAGCACTATGATTGCACCTGTGAATAGCCACTGCACTCCAGCCTGGACAACATAGCAAGACTCCATCACTTAGAAAAAAGGTAAGAATTAGGCTAAATCTACTCTGCCTGCACTCTCTCAATGGAACAACGACGTCTGGATGACAGCACATCTGTTTACAGTATGGTTTACTGAATATTTTAAGCTCATGGCTGAGATCTACTGCTCAGAAAAAAGATCCCTTTCAAAATATTACTGCTCATTGACAATGCACCCAGTCACCAAGAGCTCTGATGGAGATGAACAAGGAGATTAATGTTGTTTTCATGTGGCTAACACATCCACTCTACAGACCATGAATCAAGGAGTAATTTTAACTTTCAAGTCTTACTATGTAAGAAATATTGCTGGGCATGGGGGCTCACGCCTGTAATCCCAGCACTTTGGGAAGCCGAGGCAGGTGGATCACCTAAGGTCAAGAGTTCGAGACCAGTCTGACCAACATGGTGAAACCCCGTCTCTACTAAAAATACAAAATTAGGCTTGGCAGCACATGCCCGTAATCCCAGCTACATGGGAGGGTGAGGCAGGAGAATAGCCTGAACCTGGGAGGGGGAGGTGGCAGTGAGCCAAGATCATGCCACTGCGCTCCAGCCTGGGCAACGAGAGCAAAACTCAGTCTCCAAAAAAAAAAAAAAAAAAAAGAAAAAAGAAATATTAATATATTTCAGGCCAAGCATGGTGGCTCACAAAAGTAATTCCAGTGCTTTCGAGGCCAACGTGGGAGGATCACTTGAGCCCAGGAGTTTGAGACTGGCCTGGGCAACACAGTAAGACCCTGTCTCTCTCTCTTTTTTTTTATGTTTTTTTTTGGTTGTTTTTTGTTTGTTTTTGAGACAGAGTCTCACTCTGTTGCCCAGTCTGGAGTGCAGTGGCACAACCTCAGTTCACTGCAACCTCCACCTCCTGGGTTCATGCCATTCTCCTGCCTCAGCCTTCCGTGCAGCTGGGATTACAAACGCCCACCACCACGCCCAGCTAATTTTTTGTATTTTTGCTATAGAGATGGGGTTTCACCGTGTCAGCCAGGATGGTCTCGAACTCCTGACCTCGTGATCCGCCCACCTCAGCCTCCCAAAGTGCTGGGATTACAGGCATGACCACCACGCCCAGCCAAGACCCTGTCTCTATAAAAATAAAAATTTAAAAAACCTCCTGGAAATTATTTACCATTGCAGGAGGAAGTAAAACTATTAACATTTTTCTTTTCTTTTTCTTTTTTTTAAGACGGAGTTTTGCTCTTGTTGCCCAGGCTGGAGTGCAATGGTGCGATCTCAGCTCACCTCCACCTTCCAGGTTCAAGCAATTCTCCTGCCTCAGTCTCCCGAGTAGCTGGGATTACAGGCATGTGCCACCCCAGGCCCAGCTAATTTTGTATTTTTAGTAGAGAAAGGGTTTCTCCATGTTGGTCAGGCTGGTCTCGCACTCCCGACCTCAGGTGATCTGCCTGCCTCGGCTTCCCAAATTGCTGGGATTACAGGCATGAGCCACCACGCCCGGCCTAAAACTATCAACACTAACAGGAATTTGAAAGAAGTTGATTATAACTTTCATACATGACCTTTGACAGGTTCAAGGTTTCAATGGAGGAAATGACTGCAAAAGTGGTAGAAACAGCAAGAAAACTACAATTAGAAGGGAGCCTGGGCAAGGCACAGCTGGGATCCCAGCACTGTAATCCCAGCACTTTGGGAGGCTGAGACAGGAGGATCACTTGAGCCCAGGAGTTCGAGACCAACCTGGACAACAAAGTGAGACCCTATCTCTACAGAAAATAAAAAAAAAAATTAGTTGGGCACGGTGGCATGCACCTCACTCAGGAGAGTGAGGTGAGGGGATCGCATGAGCCCAGGAGTTTGAGGCTACAATGAGCTACGATCATGCCACTGCACTCCAGCTTGGGTGACAGACCACAACTGAGTCTCTTTAAAAAACAAACAAAAAACAAAAATTTGAATGGATAAGGAGTTGCTTCTTATGGATGAGCAAAGAAAGTGGTTTCTTGAGATGGAATCTACTCCTGGTAAGATGCTGTGAACACTGTTGAAATGACACCAGAAGATTTAGAATATTCCATAAACTTGAGTTGACAAAGCAGCAGGGTTTGAAAGAAATGACACCAATGTTGAAAGCAGTTCTACTGTGGATAAAATGGTATTAAACAGTACCGCATGCTATATGAAAATCTTTCATGAAAGGAGAGTCAATCCATGTGGCAAACTTCATCATCTTATTTTAAGAAACTGCCAGGTTGGGCAGGCGCAGTGGCTCATGCCTGTAATCTCAAAAAAAAAAAAAAATTGCCAGGTTACCCCAACCTTCAGCAACCACCACACTAATGGGTGAGCAGTCATCCACATGGAGGCAAGACACTCTACCAGCTAAAAGATAATGACTTGCTGAAGGCTCAGATGATTGTTAGTACTTTTTAGCAAGAAAGTGTTTTTTATTTAAGATGTATTCATTGTTTTCTTAGACATAATCCTATTGCACTTAATAGACTACAGCATAATGTAAACATAACTTTTATTTTATTATTATTATTATTTTTTTGAGACAGACTCTTGCTCTGTCGTCCAGGCTGGAGTGGAGTGGCGTGATCTCGGTTCATTACAACCTCTGCCTCCTGAGTTCAAGCGATTCTACTGCCTCAGCCTCCTGAGTAGCTGGGATTACAGGCGCGTACCACCATGCCCAGCTACTTTTTGTATTTTTAGTAGAGACAAGGTTTCACCATGTTGACCAGGCTGGTCTCAAACTCCTGACTTCAAGCAATCCTCCCGCCTCAGCCTTCCAGAGTGCTTGGATTACAGGCGTGAGCCACTGCGTCTGGCCTAAACATAACTTTTATATACACTGGGAAACCAAAAAATTTGTGTGACTTGCTTTATTGCAATATTTGCTTTATTGTGGTGGTCTGGAATGGAACATACAAAATCTCTGAGGTATGTCTATACTTTAGAAAAGTACACAGTAAGGCAGTGGCTTGTGTGTGTAATCCCAGTGACACAAGAGGATCATTGGAGGCTGAGAGTTTGAGACCATCCTGGGAGACTCATCTCTAAAAAAAAATTTGTTTTTTTTTTTTTTTTTTTAGACAGTCTGTCACCCAGGCTGGAGTGCAGTGGCACAGCCTCGGCTCACTGCAAGCCTCCCAGGTTCAAGTGATTCTCATGCCTCAGCCTTCCAAGTAGCTGAGATTACAGGTGTTCGCCACCATACTCGGCTAATTTTTGTATTTTTAGTAGAGACGAGGTTTCTCCATGTTGGCCAGGCTAGTCTTGAACTCCTGACCTCAAGTGATCCGCCCACCTTGGCCTCCCAAAGTGCTGGGATTACAGGCGTGAGCCACTGCACCCAGCCTAAAAAAGTTAAAAAAAAAAGGCATGGTGACTGAAGTGGGAAGATCATTTGAGCCCAGGAGTTTGAGGCTGCAGTGAGCTATGATTGCGCCACTCTACTCCAGCCTGGGTGACAGAGCAAGACCCTGTCTCTTAAGTACACATAGCAAGATATACACATTTAAGTTGATATACTACAGTATTCTAAGTTTTGAGATATATTCACGTGCACTGATAGTATATGACAAAACAACAAAATTCAATAACCTAGAGCTAGAGTTTGGGGTGCCATCATTACCTTGGCTCCTTGAATTGACAATTATACAAACAGCTGAAAGTAAGTCAAATAATTTCCCCTTACTATACATTAATGATTCAAGAAAGAAACTGACCCATCAGAGGTTGTGAGAAACCAGAACCCAGATACCTGAATGTCTGAGGTAAGTCTTTCCTAATAGATAGCTTGAGAATTCTGACCAATCTATCCACGGCTACTCTTTGTCTTTACTAATCTATAAACCTCAACTTTATGCACTCACAACCATGCCTCCCTCAAAATCCAATGTAAAATGGACGAACTTTGAAAACATTATGCGAGTAAAATAAACCAGACACAAAAGGATAAATATTGTATGGTTCCACATATATGAGGTACCTAGAGATAGAAAGTATAATAGAGGGCTGAGCATGGTGGCAAGTGCCTATAATTCTAGCTACTTGGGAGGCTGGTGTGGGAGGAATGCTTGAGTGTCAGGAGTTGAAGACTAGCCTAGGCAACAGAGTAAGATGCCCTTATCTCAAAAACAACAACAACAAAAACAAACAAAAAACCCCAAAAACAAAACAAACAAAAAAAAAAACACAGTAGAATAGAGGTTTCCAGCTAAGGTAGGGGTGGGGAGTGAGGGGTGATTGTTTAATGGGAACAGAGTCTCTGGGATGAAGAAAAAGTTCTGCAAGTAGATAGTGGTGATGGTTGCAAAACAATGTGAATGTACTTAAATCCACTGAATTATATACTTACAAATGGTTAAGATGGTAAATTTCATGTTACATATATTTTACCACAACAAAATTGCAAAAACAAAATCCAACATAACTGATTACGGAAGGGTACACGTGATCTTTTTAGGGTGATCGGAAATGTTCTTCTAAAACAGACTGTTGTGATGGTTGCACAACTTTGTAAATATACTAAAAAAAAATTCTACAGTTAAATTATGTCCCCTATTATAAAACTGTAAAAATAATATTCACTGAAAACTTATCACATAAATATTCCTCTGCAAAAAAAAGAAAATTTTGTAAAATGAATGTTGCATATTGCCTTTTAATGCCTAACCAATCTTTTTTTGTTTCTTCTGTGATCCTAATAATAACAAATACTATTTCTTAACCACCCACTTAAATCCAAACATGCTATTGGACACTTTATCACGTATTCTTACTTATATATTTTTTTTCTCCATTCCAGTTGGAGAAGAAACTTACTTAAATCTTTTCAACAAGCTACTAAGTAGGTAGTATTGTTTCTACTTCACAGGTGGGAAGAGATGTATCCCAACTGCAAAGCTTTAGAAAGTAAATCTGGAATTACAACACAGGTCTAGCTCATTTCCAAAATCTATTACACAGTACAACACCCTTCTCAGAGCCAGACATCTTAAGAAGCAAGTACTGTGTATTCATGTATCTGCACATCTATCCATCCATCCACCCCACAAATATTAATCATACACTATGTGTCAAAGTCAGACATTAGGAGTAAAGATTTTTGGAAAACGACTAGATTACTGTTTTCCAGAATTTCATTCCAATAGAAAGATGTGCATATAACAAAAATACATAATTGGATGTTTACATGAACTCATTTTCTCTGCCTTTTTTTTTGTTTTGAGATGGAGTTTTTGCTCTGTTGCCCAGGCTGGAGTGCAATGGCACAATCTCAGCTCACTGCAAAGAGACGCGCCCTGCCTCTTTTTTTTTCCCCCTTTTTTGAGTCTCACTCTGTCATCCAGTCTGGAGTACAGTGGTGCAATCATGGCTCACTGAAGCCTGGGCCCCCGGGTTCAAGCGACTCTCATGCCTCGGCCTCCTGAGTAGCTGGAACTACAGATGCGAGCCACCATGTGCATATTTTCTCTTTTACATTCAGAGGAAGAAAATAGAATTGATAGGAGTTGGTGACTTAGATTTGGGGTCAGAGAAAAGGATTATTTCCTGGCTTCAGCTTTTGCCTTTGGGTGAATTTTCTCTTTACTGAAATGTGAGGATGAAAAGCAGTATATAAGAAGGCAGAGGCTGGACACAGTGGCTCACGCCTGTAATCCTAACACTTTGGGAGGCCAAGGATGGCAGATCATTTGAGGCTGGGAGTTCGAGATCAGCCTGGCCAGCATGGCAAAAGCTTGTCTCTACTAAAAATACAAAAATTGCCGGGTGTGGTGGTGCATGCCTGTAATCCCAGCTACTCAGGTGGCTGAGGCATGAGAATCACTTGAACCTGGGAGGCAGAGGTTGCAGTGAACTGAGATCAGGTCACTTCACTCCAGCCTGGGTGACAGAACGAGACCCTGTCTCAAAAAAAAAAAAAAAAAAAAAAAAAAGAAAGTTTAAGGAAGAGAGTAGTTGTGTCAAACAACTAGAGCAGAAAAAGAAAAATGTCCAACTTTAAACTTGCTGTTGGACTCCTATAAGAAACAAGAATGCCAAATGAAATAGCTCTACATTCATGCTTGTAAAGTTTCTGACAACATTAAACCAAAACCTGGATTTGCAGCAAAGACTTAAGAGGATCCTGAGAGGCAGACAGAGGATAGGGGAATGAAGAGGGTGAACAAAATAAATTAACATATATAGGAGTACCTGGTCTTCACAAGGCAATGTACAAGGCCCTTTATATTTGTTCTTTGTTCTTCCATCACATCAGAGAACAGAAAAATCTAAATTGTTAGCTAGGTTGGAAAACCTCTAATTCTCAAAAATGATGAAAGTGAAGCCTATAGTTATATAATGTAACTTAAAAGTTTAAAGTAGTAATAGTCTAAAAGATCATAAGATGGTTATGTTACTTATGAAAAGTTATCAGTATTTATAATGAAGGAGACAACAGTCCTAGTATTTAACACATAAAAAGTAAGTTTAAAAAACTGTTTTGAAGGCTGGGTGCAGTGGCTCACACCTGTAATCCCAGCATTTTGGGAGGCCAAAGCAGGCAGATCACTTGAGGTTAGGAGTTTGAAACCAGCCTGACTAACATGGTGAGACCCCATCTCTACTAAAAACACAAAAAATTAGCTGGGCTGGTGGCAGGTGCGTGCCTGTAATCCCAGCTGGTTGGGAGGCTGAGGCAGGAGAATCACTTGAACCTGGGAGGCAGAGGTTGCAGTGAGCTGAGATCATGCCATTGCACCCTAGACCTGGCGACAAAGCGAGATTCTGTCTCAAACAAAAAGCTGTTTTGGTTTTAAAATCCTAAGTAGAAATGAAAATACTTTCTTTTTTTTTTTTTTTTTTTTTTTGAGACGGAGTCTCACTCTTGTTGCCCAGGCTGGAGTGCAATGGCACGATCTTGTCTCACTGCTACCTCCGCCTCCCAGGTTCAAGCGATTCTCCTGCCTCAGCCTCCTGAGTAGCTGGGATTACAGGCACCTGCCATCACGCCCGGCTAATTTTTTGTATTTTTAGTAGAGACGGGGGTTTCACCATGTTGTCCAGGCTGGTCTTGAACTCCTGACCTCAGGTGATCCACCTGCCTCGGCCTCCCAAAGTGCTGGGGTTACAGGCATGAGCCACTGCGCCCTGCTGAAAATACTTATTTTTTTTTTAGGTGGAGTTTTGCTCTTGTTGCCCAGGCTGGAGTGCAATGGCGCGATCTCGGCTCACCGCAACCTCCGCCTCCTGGGTTCAAGCAATTCTCCTGCCTCAGCCTCCCGAGTAGCTAGGATTACAGGCATGCGCCACCACGCCTAGCTAATTTTGTATTTTTAGTAGAGACAGGGTTTCTCTGTGTTGGTGAAGCTGGTCTCGAACTCCCGACCTCAGGTGATCCACCCGCCTCAGCCTCCCAAAGTGCTGAGACTACAGGTGTGAGCCACTGGGCCCAGCCGAAAATACATTCTTAAAAAAATACTTTCATAAGTTCTAGTTTATCTTTTTAAAATCTAAAAACTTTGAAGTAAATATTAATAAGCAGAAAATTTTCATTTTTATGTTTCCACTATTTTTTCTGATTTGTCTCAAATGGTCACAGAGAATTTTACTGTGCACACTGAAGAGATTGTTCTTATTATAAAATATTTCAAAGATGGAGATAGGCCGGGCACGGTGGCTCACGCCTGTAATCCCAGCACTCTGGGAGGCCGAGGAGAGCGGATCATGTGGTCAGGCGATCAAGACCATCCTGGCTGACACGGTGAAACCCCGTCTCTACTAAAAATAGAAAAAGTTAGCCGGGCGTGGTGGCATGTGCCTGTAGTCTGAGCTACTCAGGAAGCTGAAGCAGGAGAATGGCGTGAACCCAGGAGGCCGAGGTTGCAGTGAACCGAGATCAGGCCACTGCACTCCAGCCTGGGTGACAGAGGAAGACTCCGTCTCAAAAAAAAAAAAAAAAAGAAAAAAAGAAAAAAAAAGATGGAGATAAAGAAGATCTCATGTACCCTTTATCTAGTTTCCCCCAATGGTAACATCTTGCAAAACTATAGTACCATATCACCAGCAGGATATCAACATTGATACAATAAGCAGATCTTCAGATTTCCCATTTTATTAGTATTCATTTGTATGTACTTAGTTCTACACAATTTTGTCACATTTGTAAGTTCATGTATCCATCATCACAGTTAAGAAACAGCACCGTTCCATCACCTCAAGGAGCCCTCGTGTTAACTGTTTTATAACAACATCTACCCTATCCCCTCCCATCTCCTGCCACATTCATTCCTAACTCCTAGAAGCCACTAATCTGTTCTCCATTTCTAAAATGTTTGCTTTTCAAACTATTATAAAGTTGGAATCATAGAGTATGTAACTTTTAGGACTGGCCTTTTTCACTTAGGATAATTTCACTGAGATTCATCGAAGTGGCTGCAAGTACCAACAGTTTATTCCTTTTTATTGCTGAGTAGTATTCCATGGTATGGATGTACCATGGTTTATTTACTCACTGAAGGACATCTGAGTTGTTTTCCGTTTTTGGCTATTAGGAATACAGCTGCTATGAACATTCATGGGAAAGTTTTTGTAGAAAAGTTTTCATTTATCTGGGATAAATGCCTAAGTGTGCAACTGCTGAGTCATATGGTAAGTGAATGTTCGGTTTTATAAGAAACTGCCAATCTGTTTTCCAGAGTAGCTATACCATCATATATTCCCAGATGCAATGTATGAGAAATCCAGGTTTTTCACACCCTCACCAGCATTTGGTGGTGTCATTTTTATTACTGTTATTTAATAGATGGGGTCTCACTATGTTACCCAGGCTGGAGTGCAGTGGCTATTCATAGGCACCATCTTAACAATCTGCAGCCTCAAATTCCTGGCCTCATTCCATCCTCCTACCTCAGCCACTAGAGGAGAAGCGACTTGAAGTGTGTGCCACTGCACCTGGCTGGTGTCATTATTTCTTACTTAAGCCATTTGGATAGGTGTGTGGTAATATTTCATTGTGGTTTCAATTTTCATTTCCCTAATGGCTAATGATGTTCTTTTTACATGTTTATTTGCCATCTGTAATTCTCTTCTGTGAAACTTCTGTTCATGTCTTTTGCTCATTTCCTAACCGAGCTCTTTGCTGTTCCTTTTTACTGTTGAGTTTTGAGAGTTCTTTATGTATTTTAGATACTAGTTGTTAGTCATCTATGTGGTCTCCTATTTTTAGTGAGACAAAACATTAGATAAATCTGAAGCACTGTGTAACTTCACTCTCAACCCTTTCTCGCCCTCTCTCCTCCTTCAGATGTTGTTTCCATTCTCATAAATATTAAATAAGTTTATTGCATATACATGTAATCATTAATAATATATAGCATAGTTTGTATATTTTTAGAAATTATCACTTCTGTACTGTTCTTCATTTTTCTTTCCAATATTGTTTTTGCTTTTGTTTTTTAAAATTTTATGTATGTATGTATGTATGTATGTATGAGATGGAGTTTCACTCGTTGCCCAGGCTGGAGTGCAATGGCACAATCTCGGCTCACTGCAGCCTCCGCCTCCCGGGTTCAAGCAATTCTCCTACCTCAACCTCCGGAGTAGCTGGGATTACAGGCGCCTGCCACCACTCCTGGCTAATTTTTTTGTATTTTTAGTAGAGACAGGGTTTCACCATGTTGGTCAGGGTGGTCTTAAACTCCTGACCTCAGGTGATCTGCCCGCCTCGGCCTCCCAAAGTGCTGGGATTACAGGCGTGAGCCACCTCGCCCAGCCTTTTTTTTTTTTTTTTTTGAGACAGAGTCTCGCTGTCGCCCAGGCTGGAGTGCAGTGGACCATGTCGGCTCACTGCAACCTCCGCTTCCTGGGCTCAAGTGATCCTCCCGCCTCAGCCTCCCAAGTAGCTAGGATTATAGGCTCACGCTGCCATGCCAGGCTAATTTTTGCCACTGTGCCTGGCATTTTTTTTTTTAAGAGACAGTATCTCACTCTGTTGCCCAGGCTGGAATGCAGTGGTGTGATCATGTCTCACTGTAACCTTGACCTCCTGGGCTCAAGCAATCCTCCCACCTCAGCCTCCCAAGCAGCTAGGACTACAGGTGCACACCACCACACTTGGCTAATATATGGGGTCTCACTATGTTACCCAGGCTGGAGTGCAGTGGCTATTCACAGGCACCATCTTAGCAATCTGCAGCCTCAAATTCCTGGCCTCATTGCACCCTCCTACCTCAGCCACTAGAGGAGAAGCGACATTTACAAAAAAAAAAGTTATTTGTAAAGATGGGGTTTTGTCATGTTGCCCAGGTTAGTCTTGAACTCCTGGCCTCACACGATCCTCCTGCCTTGGCTTCCCAAAGCACCAGGATTACAGGTATGAGGCACCATGCCCAGCCTTCAATTTTTTATATTTAAAATTTGTCCAAGTAACTGCATAAAGCTCTACTTCATTTGTTTTAACTGCTGTGTAGAATCCCACAGCAGGAATATACAATTAGTTATCCATTCTCCACCTCAACATTTAGGGATCAATTTGTTGATGTTAAAACCAATGCTGCAATTTCCACTTCTGGTCAAGATGATTCAACAGAGACCAGAGATTTACCCTCTCACCTAAAAGAACCACCACCACCACCAAAAAAAAAAAAAAAAAACCCAAACAAAAACCATAAAAACAAGGGTTTTGAAAACAATGGACATCAGGCAACAATGGACAGTGATCCCAGAGTGACAAGAAGCAAATGAAGTGAGCTCTACAACTGGCCTGGCTTATTGCCTTAAGAGAGTTTCCAGGACATGATGCAGGAGGGGAGGGAGATTGAGGCACAGCCTGAGAAACTCCTGAGTTGAAGAGATGGAGCAGAGAACATAATGAGATAATGGCAGCCAGATTTCAAAGGACAGAGTATCACAGCAGAGAAAGCTGCAGAGAAAGTCTCAGAAGCCCAGAGATCTGCAAAATGATCCCCTCAAATACTGAGGATATCAGAGTGCTGATCAGCACATGTGACTGAGGAAACTATCCAAGACTGGGGGAAAAAAAAACATATGAAAGGAATGGAGCAAGCACTACCCAGAACTCACATGGGGCCAGGAATAGTGCCTGTTCTTAGTAGCCAGATTAGAAAAACTCAATTTATGGGGTATCGGGTAGAGTGCACAGGAAAGTCCTACCTTAGCACTAGGGAATTTTTAGCCCTAAACTAAGTACTGCTTAGTTTAAGTACTGGCCTAACAAATTATAAAAAAAAAAAAAAAAAGCAAAGTTGACAAATACAATAACTGAATTGCAAATCAACCCTCAAGATTTATAGGAATAAAAATAATCCAGCACCCAAAAATATAAAATTCACAATATCTGGAATTTGATTAAAGATTAACAGGCTTGGAATACTATGCAGCCATAAAAAATGATGAGTTCATATCCTTTGTAGGGACATGGATGAAATTGGAAATCATCATTCTCAGTAAACTATCGCAAGAACAAAAAACCAAACACCGTATATTCTCACTCATAGGTGGGAATTGAACAATGAGATCACATGGACACACGAAAGGGAATACCACACTCTGGGGACTGTGGTGGGGTGGGGGGAGGGGGGAGGGATAGCATTGGGAGATATACCTAAGGCTAGATGACGAGTTAGTGGGTGCAGCCCACCAGCATGGCACATGTATACATATGTAACTAACCTGCACAATGTGCACATGTACCCTAAAACTTAAAGTATAATAAAAAAAAAAAAGATTAACAGGCTTGCAAAGAGGCAAGAAAACATGACCCCTAATGAGAAGAATAATCAATCAGAAGAAATCTATTTACCCAGAACTAATTCTGTTAGAATTAAAATGACTTTAAAACAGATATTAATATTGTAACTGCATTCCATATTTTCAAAAAGTTACGCAGAGAAATGGAAGATGTACAAAAAGACTCAAATCAAACTTCTAGAGATGAAAACCAGTGTCTGAGATGAAAACTACAATGGATATAACAATAGTGTGGTACTGGCTTAAAGACAGATATGTGATCAATGGAAAAAAACTCAGAAATACACCCTAATATTTACGGTCAATTGATTTTTCAACAAGGGTGCCAAGACAGTTCAATGAGAATTGCTCAAGCACAGGAGGCTGAGGCTGCAGTGAGCCTGATCAAGCCACTGAACTCCTGCCTGGACAACAGAGCCAGACCCTGTATCAGTAAAAAAAAGAAAAAAAAAAAAATTCCAGCCTATGCAAAATAGTGATAGCCTGTCTCTACCATTAATTTAAAACATTAGGCTGGGCGTGGTGGTGGCTCACACCTATAATCCCAGCACTTTGGGAGGCTGAGACGGGTGGATCCCATGAGCTCAGGAGTTCAAGACCAGCCTGGGCAACATGACAAAACCCCACATTTATAAAATATAAAAAATTAGCCAGGTGTGGTAGTGCACGCCTACAGTTCCAGCTACTTTGGCGGGGGGCTGCAAGGGGGGGTGAGGTGGGAGGACTGCTTGAGCCTGGGAGGTTGAGGCTGCAGTGAGCAATTGCACCACTGCACTCAAGCCTGGGTGACAGAGCAAGACTCTATCTCAAAAAAATAAATAAATAAATAAATAAAAATTACCAGGCATGGTGGCATGCGTCCACAGTTCCAGCTACTCAGGAAGCTGAGGTGGAAGGATTGTTTAAGCTCTGGTGTTTGAGACTGCAGTTTACCATGATTGCACCATTGTACTCCACTGGATAATAGAGCAAGACACTATCTCTATAAACTACCGCCCCCCCCCCGCCCCAAAACTGTTCCCTTAATAACTTTTTTTGCCTTAAAGTTTGTCTTATATTAGTATGGTGACATTAACTTTCTGGTTAATATTTACCTACAACATTTTTTTCGTTGTTAATTTCAATTTCTACACCTTTATGTTTTCGACAGTATTTATCTGAATTTGTTTTTCCATTAAACCATTTCTAAAAAACTGACTAGTTTACACTTCTCATGATCACTAACATATTTAGTTTTATTTCTACCATCTTCTGTTCTATTTACCTTGCTTGTTCTGTGCTTCCTTCTTGCTATGTTTGTTTTGAGACAGTCTCACTCTGTCACCCAGGCTGGGGTGCAGTGGTGTGAACCTGACTCACTGCAACCTCTGCCTCCGAGGTTCAAGTGATTCTTCTGCCTCAGCCTCCAAAGTAGCTGGGATTACAGGTGTGTGCCACCAGTGCCCAGCTAATCTTTTTGTATTTTTTTTGTAGAGATGGGGTTTCACCATATTGGCCACGCTGGACTCGAACTCCTGGCCTCAAGTGATCCTCCCATCTCAGCCTCCTAAAGTGCTAGGATTACAGGCATTAGCCACCGTGTCCAACCCCTTCTTGTTCTTTGCGTTCTTTTTTTTTTTTTTTTTTTTTTGAGATGGAGTCTCACTCTGTCGCCCAGGCTGGAATGCAGTCGCGCGATCTCGGCTCACTGCAATCTCCGCCTCCTGGGTTCAAGCAATTCTCTGCCTCAGCCTCCCGAGTAGCTGGGATTACAGGCATCCGCCACCACTCCTGGCTAATTTTTGTATTTTTAGTAGAGACGGGGTTTCACCAGGTTGGCCAGGCTGGTCTCGAACTTCTGACCTCGTGATCCACCTGCTGCGGCCTCCCCAAGTGCTGGGATTACAGGCGTGAGCCACCGCACCTGGCCCTTCTTGCTCTTTTATGCCTTCTATTAAATTCTTATTTTTTATTTCAGTCCTATCTCATTTTTAGTTCCAACGAATTAGTCATGATTAGTGTGTTACATACAGTCAAAGCTATTTTATTTTATTTTGACGGAGTATTGCTCTGTCACCCAGGTTGGAGTGCGATGGCACAATCTCCTGGCTCACTGCAACCTCTGCTTCCTGGTTTTAAGTGATTCTTGTGCCTCAGCCTCCCAAGTAACTGAGCCTACAGACGTGCACCACCACACCTGGCTAGTTTTTGTATTTTTAGTGGAGACAGGGTTTCGCCATGTTGGCCAGGCTGGTCTTGAACTCCTGGCCTCAAGTGATCCGCCTGCCTCAGCCTCCCAAAGTGCTGGGATTACAGGTCTGACCTACTGTGCCTGGCCTGGAACTTCTATTTTTAATGTCAGTATTTTTGCAACATTGTACTTAATTATTGTATTTAGTCCCTGACCTCTGAATGCTTACAGCTGAGAAACTAGACACACTTCTGTAGATAAGTAAAAAAGACCACATCTTTTTGAGATGGAGTCTCCCTCTATCACCCAGCCTGAAGCGCACTGGTAAAATCATAGCTTACTGCAGCCTCACTCCTGAACTCAAGTGATCCTCCTCTTTAGGCCTCCCAAAGCACTGAGATTACAGGCATGAATCACTGAGCCCGGCCTAATTTTCATTCCTTCACAGTAATCTATTTGGCTGCTTTCATAAGATCTTTGTCTTTAGTGTTATTCTTTCAGGATTCACTATTTTTTTTTTCCTTGAAGATTCATATACTTAGAAATTCTGTGAAATTTTCTGCTATTATCTCTTTGAATGTTGCTACTCTCCATTTTCTCTACCCTTCCCTAGAACTCCTATGAGATATATCTTGGACCATCTCATTCTACTGTCCATGTCTCATCTCTTTTTTTCATATTTTCCATTTTTAATATATCTATGCTGCATTCTGTGTAATTTCTATTGTTCCTAATTTTCAACTGTGTTGGATATACTGTTTAACTTATATAACGAGTTAATTTGACTGATCTGCTCCAAAGCAGATCAACTTTGGATGCATATTAGAATCATCTGAGTAACTGTAAAACAAACAAACATACTGATACCATGGTCCAATTCCCAAAGATTTGATTTAATCAGTCTGCCATTGAACTCATGCAGCTATCCTTTAATAAATTCCCCAGTTAGTTCTATTATTTAGCCAGTGTTGAGAATCATCCCCTCACCATACCAACTTGGTATAGTATTTCTTACACCTTAGAAAATTCTTCCCATGACTTCCTGTCGTATTCCAGTCACTGCCCCATGTCCCTGAACCCTTCTACAGCAAAATTCCTCAAGAGTTACCTATACTCATTGTCTCTTTCTTCTGGCTTAAAACCACTTCAGTTCAGGTTTTATTCCCTCAATATAAAGAGATTATTTTTTCCAGGTCACTAATTACCTTCATGTTGCCAAGTCCAATAATTATTTACCAATCCTTATCTTATTTGAACTTTCAGCAGCATTTTATCAACTCAATCTTCCTTCCTTCTTGAACTGCTTTCTTCACTTGGCTTTTGGGACTTCACATCTCTGGGTCTTATTCTACACTCATGATCCTTTATTCTTAGTCTTCACTAGTTTCTACTCATCTTTCCACCTTCTAACTGTAAAAATGAAGTGTTCCCATGGTTTTAAATAGCATTTATATACTAATTCTCAAATTGATATTCCTAGCTGTCATTCTCCTCCGAAACTCTCTTCATGTAGTCAATTGCCTAACATCTCCATTTGGGTGTTGTCTTAGTCCATTATGCATGGTGGCTAACGCCTGTACTTCAAGCACTTTGGGAGGCCGAGGCGGGTGGATCATGAGGTCAGGAGTTCAAGAACAGCCTGGTCAAGATGGTGAAACCCCGTCCCTACTGAAAGTACAAAAAAATTAGCCAGGTGTGGTGGTGGGTGCCTGTAATCCCAGCTACTCAGAAGGCTGAGGCAGAGAACTGCTTGAACCCGGGAGGCAGAGGTTGCAGTGAGCCAATATCGCGCCACTGCACTCTGGCCTGGGCAACAGCGAGACTCATCTCAAAACAAAGCAAAAAACAAACAAACCCCCCCCCTCCCCCAGACTGGGTAATTTATATAGGGGTATGTGGGTGTGTGTGTTCTGTTTTGTTTTGTTTAGAGATGGAGTCTCTCCATGTTGCCAAACTCCTTGAGCTCAAATGATCCTCCCACCTCAGCATCCCAGGTAGCTGGGGCTATGGGTGTATGTCACCGTACCCAGCTTTGGGCACTTTATAATGACCAGAAGTTTATTGGCTATTTATTGGCACACAGTTCCAGAAGTTGGGAAGCCTAACATCAAGGTACTGGCATGTGGTGAAGACCTTCTTGCCATCTAATAACATAGCAGATGGCAAAGAGAGGGTGCCCTTTTATAACAACATTAATCCCACCCATGAGGGTAAAGCCCTAACAACTTAATCACTTCTTAAAGGTCCCACTTCTTAATATTATTACAATGTCAATTAAATTTCAACATGAATTTTGGAGGGACAAACATTCACAAGATAGCAGATATCTAACAGGCATTTTATAATCTTATGTCCAAAATTGTTTCTTCCCCTACTGTTACACATCTTAGCAAATGACACCACTATTCAAACCAAACACTTGGAGTCATTCTTAGTTCCTCTTTCTCATACCCACATGCATTCTATCTGTAAACTCTATCAGCATTACCTTCCAAATATATTTTAAATTTGACCTTGTTTTTTCTTTTTTTGAGACAGTTTCACTCTTTCACCCAGGCTGCAGTACAGTGGCGTGATCTTGGCTCACTGCAACCCCCTCCTTCCGGTTTCAAGCGATTCTCCTGCCTCAGCCTCCTGAGTAGCTGGGATTACAGACATGTGCCACCTCACCCAGCTAATGTTTTGTATTTTTAGCAGAGGTTAGGTCTCACCATGTTGGCCAGGCTGGTCTTGAACTCCTGACCTCAGGTGATCCGCCTGGCTTGGCCTCCCAAAGTGCTGGGATTACAGGCATGAGCTACCATGCCTGGCTGTATTTAATCCTTTTAAATGCACTTATTCTATGGTCTATAGTCAATGAACTGGAGATCTAGTCCTGAGAGGTAGTGTATCTGTGACTCTTATTCATGGTAAATGAGCTGTTTTCTTATTTTTTGTCACTTTTGATTATGAGCCTTGTCACAATCAAGTGGGTTATTCAGTGGGATTTTATCTGTTAGAATCCTGTGTGGCTTAAACTGTGGATCTGTTCCTCCAGAGTAGCTTTACATATGCTTCCGCTGGTTACCCCAAGGGTATTATACAGGGTCCTGAATAATTTTTTTATATTCATTTCCCAGTTTGGGGATCTCAGACCAAGCTGGTGATAATAATTTAAACCCACACAAATAAGCCCATACTTAATTATTTTTCCTTTTTAGGACAGAGTCTCACTCTGTTGCCCAGGCTGCAATGCAGTGGCACAAACTTGGCTCACTGCAGCCTTCACCTCCCGGGTTCAAGTGATCCTCCTGCCTCAGCCTCCTGAGTAGCTGGGATTACAGGCATCCGCCACCATACCCAGCTAATTTTTGTATTTTCAGTAGAGACCAGGTATCACTATGTTGGCGAGGGTGGTCTCGAACTCCTGACCTCAAGTGATCCGCCCACATCAGCCTCCCAAAATGCTGGGATTACAGGTGTGAGCCACTGCGCTCAGCCTAATAAGCCCATACTTAATTTTTAAAAAATTGTTTGTTGGCCAGGTGCGGTGGCTCACACCTGTAATCCCAGCACTTTGGGAGGCCTACGCAGGCGGATTGCTTGAGGTGAAGGAGTTTGAGACCAGCCTGGCCAACATAGTGAAACTTCGTCTCTACTAAATAAACAAAAATTAGCCAGGCGTGGTGGTGTGCGCCTATAATCTCAGCTACTCAGGAGGCTGCGGCAGGAGAATCGCTTGAACCTAGGAGGCGGAGGTTGCAGTGAGCCGGGAACGCGCCACTACACTACAGCCTGGGTGACAGAGCAAGACTCCACCTCAAAAAAAAAAAAGTTTTTTTTTGTTTTATTGTGGTAAAAACACTTAACACAAGATCTACCCTCTTAACAAATTTTCAAGTGTACAATACATTAATGTTGACTATAGGTACAGTGTTGTATGGCAGATCTCTAGAGCTTTTTCCCGTTTGACATTAATTTTACATACATTGTTTAGCAACTCCCCAATTTCTCCTCCCCCTCAGCCTTTGGCAACCACCATTTGACTCTGTCAACCTATGAATCTGACTAGATACCTCACATAAGTAGACTCACATAGTTATTTATCTTTCTGTGACTGTATTATTTCCCTTAGCATAATGTCCTCAAGCTTCATCCATGTTGTCACTCTTTGGGATCCTGATTTTATTTTGGATAAATATCTAGAAGCATGATTGCTAGACCATCTGGTAGTTCTATATTTAATATGTCAAGGAACCTCCATACTGTTTTCCATAGTGGCCGCTTGTACCATTTTGCATTCCCACCAACAGTGTGCAAGGGTTCCAATTTCTTCACTCCCTTGCCACTTAAAAAAAATAGCCATCTTGACATTGACAGGTGTGAAGTGATGATATTTCATTGTGGTTTTGATGTGTACTTCTCTGATGATTAGCAATGTTGAGCAATTTTTCATATACTTGGCCACTTTTATGTCTTCTTTGGAGAATGTCTATTCAGGTCCTTTGTCCATTTTTTTTTTAATCTTACAGTGAATTATATTGAATTCAAAGGTAGTATTCCTATTTGAGAAATAAAAAACTAAAATCAAGTTGTACAAGCAATCATCATGAGATAAATCAGTAAAGAGGCCTGCTCAGATCATACCAGAGCAGACACCAGTTTCTACCCCAGCCCGCATGAAGATGTTTTTATTCAACACAAACAGTAACAGAGGGTAACACAATGGCCACAGAATGAGAACATAAGTGCACTTGAATTTTTTGTGAGTTCTGGCTAGGCTCTAACAAGCCTAGCATTCTTTTCTTACCAGGTGAACAGAAATCATCTGCTAAAGCCAGAAACTTTAAAGCTCTTAATCCAGCTGGAAATAACTATAATTGAGGGCCTTTTTACTAGCTACTTGCTTCCCAATTTAGGGTTGCCTAGCAGGGTTAATTTCAACATAACGAAAGGTGTTAACTGGCTGGCCGCATCATTCACTGGTGACAGGGGCAAGTTTAATGAGTTTTGTGCTCAGATCGCTGGGCCTCCTGGCTGCTCTTGTCCATCTCTGCACTTTGGTCCTAAGCATTCTGAGACTCAGTCAGTTGAGGGTGAAAGGGACCTACCAGCCAGTTGAGGGGCATGTTGTTAACAAGAAATCCATCAAGTCATCTAAAGATTCCTTCATTTTCTGCAGCTGCCCCTTGCTAGAAGTGGAGGCTGTCAGACACTTCCTCAAAGGAGGCAGCATTGCAGAACACTGAGTAGATGTCGCCTGCCATCACCCTCATATGCTTGGCCTGACCTTGGATGTTCTGTGGTCATCATGGATGTTGGACAGAAGGCCGTGGCATGTGGTCTGGAGCTGCTAAGTCAGGTTGCAGGCAATAGCAAGAGTACGTGACTCGATGTGCTCTGCACAGTGGGACTCATCAGTATCATCGTATCCAATATTCCTTTTCCACTCCACCCATGAGAGCTAGAGCTTATCCTGAGCATCCTGAATTTTCTGATTGGCACTATGCACACTCTTCCTGGCAAATTCAATCAAGTGAACAGAAGAACGGAGCTGAGAAATGGTCTCTTGGCTTTTTTGCTTAGCTTCTTTAACCCTGCTGAGAGCCTGCTCATACGAAGTGAAGCTTGGTAGACAGGGAGTGAAGCTTGGTAGACAGGGATCCCAGTCTAACATAACAACTTGGCTTCTGAACCATATCATATCCTTCAACTTTTTTTGCTTCTTTTTCTAGTTCTTCCCCAGTGAGAGGGAGGTACTGTCCTACCAAGAGCTCTGATTTGGTGAGCGCATGTTCCAAGCCACTGCTCATGAGCTGCATTATCTGACTTCCTAAGCTTGTGTTAATGCTGCCACTGACACAGACTTGGGTCTTCTCCACAGTGCCAGTCACTACCCCTTTGGTCTTGTCCATCAACCCTGTGATGAATCCTTGGCCCCAGTCACAGTAGTCGTCACAGCATCTTTTGCCCCAGTCACAGCACCTTTGGCATTGGCAACAACCTGAGTTGATGGCTGATTCAGAATAGGCAGTCTCTCCTCAATCCTGTCTAGCCCCTTACAGACACGGATATTGGCAACTGCAATTTGCAGCTCTAGCTTCTGGATGATGGGCAGAGCACACTGGTCATGGCCACCGAGGTGATGGTCTTCACACCCTTCCCTGCCATCTCACACACAGACTTCAAGTAGGACACTGGTCCTTTGTACTGACATGGGCTGAGGACATGGGGTCATATGTGGAGCTCATCAAGGGCAGGTTGACCACCCGAGTCATCACACTCAGTTGTGGATCAACTGCAACAGATGCCATTTTTCTTCCTGGAGAAATAAATCAACGGACGGCAGTGAAGCGCCTATTTTTTAATATACATATATTTTTTGCTACTGAGTTGTATGAGTTCCTTACATATGTTGGAGATTAACCCCTTATCAAATATATGGTTCACAAACATTTCCTCACATTTTGTAGATTGCCTTTCCATTCTGCTGTTTGCTGTGCAGAAGCTTTTTAGGTTGATGCAGTTCCACTTGCTTTTGTTGCCTGTGTTTTTGATGTCATATCCACGAAATCATTGCCAAGACCAATGTCATAATGCTTTTTCCCTGTTTTCTTCTTATGAGTTTTATAGTTTCAGGTCTTATGTTTAACTCTTTAATCCATTTTGGGTTGATTTTTGTGTACAGTACAAGATAATTTCATTATTTTGCTGTGGATATCCACTTTTCCCAACAACATTTGTTGGAGGGACTATCCTTGCCCTATTGATCCTTTCCTTATTGTATATTCTTGAGTCCAAACATAAATTTTCAGGAGACATTCCCATCTACCCCCAGCCAGAGCCCAAGCTGAGACACAGAAGTTTCCTTGTTTCCTCAAACTAGTAGATGGAATTTTCTGTGGTCCCTTCCTTTCTCTTGAGTATGAACCTTCAAGGCTCCCTGCTTTATATAGAGATTTGCATTTCTAACTCTGTTCCATACAGGCCTAAGGCTCATGGACATTAAAACGAAGCCTTTAGGCCAGGCACGGTGGCTCACACCTGTAATCCCAGCACTTTGGGAGGCTGAAACGGGCGGATCGTGAGGTCAGGAGATCGAGACCGTCCTGGCTAACATGGTAAAACCCCGTCTCTACTAAAAATACAAAAAAATTAGCTGGGCTTGGTGGTGGGCACCTGTAGTCCCAGCTACTCGGGAGGCTGAGAGAGGAGAATGGTGTGAACCCGGGAGGTGGAGCTTGCAGTGAGCCGAGATCTTGCCACTGCACTCCAGCCTGGGCGACAGAGCAAGACTCCGTCTCAAAAAACAAACAAACAAACAAACAAAAACCAAGCCTTTCAGTAACTGAGACTAGGCAAAGCACCCAGAAATACCACAGCATTAAGTAACATGCATACTGCTCATTTTCAGTTCCTCTTTCATTTGCAGTCCCTGAGAATTTTCCTTAATTCTTTCAGGCTCAACTAGCTATACATTTTTAAAAGTTTGTTTAAAAATTAAAAAATAGTTGTTACATTTCATCCAGCATTACTAGGTGTTTTGTAATGAAATAGCAGAAGTGTTTTAGGTTATATAGTCTATTATACTGCCATTATAAAATATGCTGGTCTGGAAATTTAACATTTATTTTCATAAGAACTAGTTCAGTTCATATAAACAAAATAACTCCACAGACGACTAATTGCAAAAGGAAAAACACATCTTAACAATGGAACAATCTTGCTGTTACCTTACCGTAGGGATCAAACTTTTCACTGCAGGCATTGAGACAATTAACATGGAAACAATCTGACAAATCTACAATGTGGAACATATTTCAAATCAATGAGCACGGTCTCTTCAAAAAAGTTGATATAAAAAAAAAGAGGTGGTGATACAGACTGTTCTAGGTTAAGAGAGACTTACAGACATAATCAAATATAATGTATAATCTTTGATTGAATCTTGGTTTAAACACAGCTACAAAAGATACTATGGGGAACTGGGTAAATTTTCAAATGGACTAAGTATTAAATAATATTAGGGAATTATTATTAATCTTGTTGGTTATAATGGTATTGTGGTTGAATAGGAGATTGTCCGTATTTTTTTGAAACGTAACTGTAGCATTAGCTTTCTTTTTGTTTTTTTTTTTTGTTGTTGTTGTTTTTGAGACAGAGTCTTGCTCTGTTGCCCAGACTGGAGTGCAAGATCTCAGCTCACTGTAACTTCTGCCTCCTGGGCTCAAGTGATTCTCTCACCTCAGCCTCCCGAGTAGCTGGGATTACAGACAGGTGTCCCCACGCCCGGCTAATTTTTGTATTTTTAGTAGAGACAGGGTTTTCCTATGTTGGCCAGGCAGGTCTCAAACTCCTGACCTCTAGTGATCCACCCACCTTCCCCCTCCCAAAGTGCTGGGATTACGGGCGTGAGCCCAGCCTACTATTAGTTTTCTATGGCTGCTATAATAAATTACCACAAATTTAGTGGCTTAAACACAATACAAATTGTATTACCTTTCATTCAGAAAGTCATTAAGTCTAAAATGGGTCTAATTAGGCTAAATTCAAGGTATGAGTATGGCTCCTACTTATTTTATATATTTTTTTTTTACACAGGGTCTGGCTCTGTCACCTGGGCTGGAGTACAGTGGCATGATCTCGGCTCACTGCAACCTCTGCCTCCTGCAGCTCAAGCGATTCTCCCACCTCAGCCTCTGGGACTGGGAGTAGCTGGGACTACAGGTGCGCATCACCACGCCCAGCTAATTTTTGTATTTTTTGTAAAGATGGGTTTTTGCCATGTTGCCCAGGCTGGTCTCGAACTCCTGGCCTCAACTGATTCATCCGCCTTGGCCTCCCAAAGTGCTGGGATTACAGGCATGAGTCACCGTGCCCAGTCAGCTCCTACATTTCTTCTGGAGTCTCTAGAGGAAAATCCATTGTCCTGCTGTTCCCTGCTACAGACAATCTACTCTGCTGGGTTCATGGCCACTTTCCTCATCTTCAAGTATCAGGCCTACTCCTCTGACTGCCAACTCTTTGACACTCTTCTGCCTCCTTTAGGACCCTTATGATTATATTGGCCCACCTGGATAATCTAGAATAATTTCCACATTTTAAGGTCAACTGATTAGCAACCTTAATTCCATCTGCCATCTTAATTCTCTGTTGCCATGAAACGGAACATATTCACAGGTTATGGGGGCTGGAGTATAGACATCTTGGGAGAAGGGGCATTATTTTGCCTACCACAGCAATCTTAAGTATTTAGAGGTGAAAGTCTAAAACTTACTTTGAAGTGGTTTAGAAAAAATGTTTATGCTATATATCAACAGCATATTGGTATGTGCCAAGCAAATATGGCAAAATATTCACTGCTGAACAAGATGGTAGTTACACAGCTGTTGCTCGTACTACTCTATTTTTCTATATGCTTAAATATTTTCAATTTAAAATTTAAAAACTAAAAACATTTAAAACTTTAAGATTAAAAAAATTAAAACAAATAAGCTGAACACAATGGATTCCTTTTTCTAAAAATGTCTACTGAGCACGGTAGCACACACCTGTAATCCCAGCACTTTGGGAAACTGAGGTGGAAGGATCACTTGAGGCCAAGAGTTCAAGATCTGGGCAACATAGCGAGACCCCCATCTCTAATAAATAAACCAACTAACCAAAAAAAAGAAAGAAAGAAAAAAGAATGCCTTTAACTTGACCACTCAGAACTGGAAAGTAATGTGGCAGAACATGGACAGTCCATGACATTTAATTGAGCAGTATGAAATGCAAGTAGCCTAGCCCTCCAGATACTATGGATATGGTTACTTGTTGGCTTGTAAGGGATTAAATTCCTTTTTGCATGCAGATGATAGGGTTTCATCTGAAGACTGAAATGATTATGTTAATCATCACAGCCCTATTTGCCTTGGGGAAAAAACATATCAGATAAGAAACCTGGACTACTATGTCTTCCTTTTGTATGTAAAAAGGAATAAACAGTATGCTTTATAATTCCTTATAAAGCATAACTTAAATATACATATGCATATGCATATATATATATATATATATAAATTGGCCGGGCGCAGTGGCTCACACCAGCAATGCCCAGCACTTTAGGAGGCCAAGGCAGGCGGATCACCTGAGGTCAGGAGTTTGAGACCAGCCTGGCCAACATAGTGAAACCCTGTCTCCACCAAAAATACAAAATTTAGCTGGGTGTGGTGGTGCGCACTTGGAGTCCCAGCTACTCGGGAGGCTGAGGCAGGAAAATCGCTTGAACCCGGGAGGCGGAGGTTGCAGTGAGCCAAGATCGCGCCACTGCACTCTAGCCTGGGCGACAGAGGGAGACTCTCAAATGTGTGTGTGTGTAATTATAACTTGCCTTTGATATAGTGTCCCTTCATAGAAAACGGATGCCCTTTTCTACTGTAGGCACTAATTAAATTAGTGGCACCTGATAAACTTTTCACATTGATAAAATATGTAAAACTTAGTCACTATATTCACTATAGTCCCCTTATCAAGTTAGAAAGTGGGAGGTAAAAAAGGAGAGAGAGATGTCTCTGGAATGGTCCTGGAACATGAGTCCTTAAGATATTTATAATCAAGAAGCGCTGAAATCATCATCCATTCTTACATGTGAAGAAGAGCTCCTTTGTAGTTTGCCTTCTGCCACAGGAGACATCAATCAGCCAGAGGTCCAAGACCTGTTTACCCCTACGTAATGTTTTTTAAAACTCTGAATTAGATAATCCAACAAGACCTTCTTTCTGAAGGCTGGAAGCAATAAGAACTTCCATCTCATTGAAGAGGTCAAGTGAAGATTCTTTTGAAATCATTCAGTTTTGAAGCACCTACCTAGTATTGTAAGAAATACAAATAATTTGACAGTGAATTCAAGGATAATATAGTAACTGGAGAAATCTGGAGATGCAATTGCTCTCAAATAGAGAAGAGGCCCAGTAACAAGAATGTTAAAATGTGGCTGACTTCAAGAATAGGATCAAGGTCTCAAACTAGATAGTTCTGAATTCTTCCCCCTTCCTATAAGGTTGTTCTTTCTTCTGCCTGGTGAGTTATGGGAGAGTGACGGGATATCCTTCCTTCCAATCTAACTTATTTCTCTTCTTATAGTCCATATTTATAATAAAGACATCATCATTCCCTTTATTGAGTTAAAAATCCAGAAATCAGGCTGGGGGCATGGTGGCTTACACCTGTAATCCCAGCACTTTGGGAGGCCAAGGTGGGCAAGAGTTCAAGATCAGCCTGGGCAACATGGCAAAACCCCATGTCTACAAAAAACACGAGTTCAAGACCAGCCTAGGCAACATGGCAAAGCCCCATCTCTACAAAAAATAGAAAAATTAGCCCAGGATGGTGGCATGCACCTGCGGTCCCAGCTACCCAGGAGGCTGAGGTGGGAGGATCGCTTGAGCTCAGGAGGTCAAGGCTGCAGTGAGCCGAGATCATGCCATTGCATTCCAGCCTGGGGAACAGAGCGAGACCATGTCTCATAAACAAAGCCCCGGCTACTCAGGAGGCTGAGGCGTGAGGATCACTTGGGTCTATGTAAAGGCTGAAGTGAGCCATGACTGTATCACTACACTCCAGCCTAGGTGACAAGGCAAGACCCTATCTCCAAAAAAGAAAAGAGAAACAATCAAATTGCATATGTATGTGGGTATATATGTATGTTATGTATTTGTAAGTATCATTAAAAAAATTAGACATGAAAAGGGGTCAGAGAGTGGTGTTAGGGTAGGGGAAGAGACTATTCTTAAAAGTATGGTCAGGAAAGTCCTGTCAGAAAAAATAACATTTGAGCAAGTCCTGAATTAAGGGCAGAAGTGAACTGTGCAAATATCTGGGAGAGGAGGTAACAAGTAGAGGTCACAGCAAGGATGTTGCTTGAGACAGGATAGCATTTAGCCTGTGCAAGCAACAGTAAAAAGGTACAGATGAAGTGCTAAATCCAAGACGGAGGGTGGTACTTTAAGACTATATAGGGTGCAGTGGCTCCCAGCACTTTGGGAGGCCGAGGTATGTAGGATGATTGAGCTCAAGAGTCCAAGACCAGCCTGGGCAACATAGCAAGATTCCATTTCCACTAAAAATACAAATAGAAATCAGGCAGGTGTGGTGGAGTGTGCCTGTTGTTCCAGCTACTCAGGAGGCTGGGGTGGGAGGATTGCTTGAGCCTGGGGGATCTAGTCTGTAGTGAGCCATGATTCCACCACTGCACTCCAGCCTGGGTGGCTGCAAGACTTCACCTCAAAAAAAAAAAAAGACCATGCAAGGCGAGGCGAGGCGGCTCATGCCTATAACCCCGGCACTTTGGGAGACCCAGGTGGGTGGATCACCTGAGGTCAGGAGTTCGAGACCAGCCTGGCCAACACAGTGAAACCCTGTCTCTACTAAAAATACAAAAATTAGCCAGGTGTAGTGGCACGAGCCTGTAATCCCAGCTGCTCGGGAGGCTGAGACAGGAGAATCGCTTGAACCCAGGAGGTGGAGGCTGCAGTGAGCTGAGACTGCACCACTCCACTCCAGCCTGGGTAACAGAGTGAGACTCCATCTCAAAAAAAAATAATAAAAAAAAAAAAAGACCATAGACATTACTTTTATGAATAGAGTAATAATATGTCCTAGTTTGTATAGAACATGTCCCAGTTTATTCTCTCATGATGATTAACAATGTTCCTTTCACCTTTAATAGCGTCCTAGTTTGGAGGGTAAATTATATGGTCATCCCTATCTCCATTCCTCCAGGCAATTTTTCCTTTCTTTGTGCTGTCAAGGAATTTTCTTTTCTTTTCTTTTTTTTTTTTTTTTTTTTTTTTTTTTGAGACAGAGCCTTGCTCTGTTGCCCAGACTGGAGTGCACTGGCGCGATCTCAGCTCACTGGAACCTCTGCCCCAGGTTCAAGCGATTCTCCTGCCTCAGTCTCCCAAGTAGCTGGGATTACAGGTGTGGCCACCACGCCCAGCTAATTTTTGTATTTTCAGTAGAGACAAGGTTCCACCATGTTGGCCAGGCTGGTCTCGAACTCCTGACCTCAAGTAATCCACCTGCCTTGGCCTCCCAAAGTGCTGGGATTACAGGTGTGAGCCACTTGCACTCGGCCTGTCAAGGAATTTTGGAAACATGTCATTTTCTGTGTCTTATTACTGAATTACTTGTCCATTTCCCTTAGAAAACTGTGAGCACCCAGAAGTCATGAATGGTATGTAGTTAAACTATTTTCTTTCCTTTTTCTTCCAAAAGACAGGGCCTCACTCTGTCACCTAGGCTGGAGTGCAGTGGTGCAATCAAAACTTCCTGTAACCTTGAACTCCTAGGGTTAGGCAATCCTCCCACCTTAGCTTCCCGAAGAGCTAGGACTACAGGTGCGTGCCACCTCAACCAGCTAACTTTAAAATTTTTTGCAGAGATTGGGTCTTGCTATGTTGCCCAGGCTGGTCTCAAACTCCCAGCTTCAGGTGATCCTCCCACCTTGGCCTCCCAAAACATTAAGATTCCAGGCACGACTCACTGCCACTGGTAGTTAAAATTCATTTTCTTATCTACTTAAAAAAAATTATTTTTGAGAGACAGGGTCTCTTTCTGTCACCCAGGCTGGAGTGCCGTGGCACAATCATAGTTCACTGCAATCTCCAACTCCTGGACTCAAGTGATCCTCTGGACTCAGCCTCCCAAGTAGCTGGTACTACAGGTGCATGCTACCACACATGGCTAATTTTTGGTAGAGACAGGTCTTGCTATGTTGCTGAGGCTGCTCTTGAACTCCTGACCTTAAGTGATCCTCCCATCGTGGCCTCCAAGTCATAAACCACGGGGCCCAGCCCATTTTCTTAACTTTTTCACCTAACCAGTATATAACAGGCACTCAAAACATTTCTTGTTGAATGAACTGGCTTTAAAGGTCTCTGTCTCCTGCAAACATACTCTAAAAAGAGGAGCTAGGCAGAGGAGAGAAAGTGTGTGGAGTTACTTCAGGCAGCAAACTTCAAGCTGAGAGTAAGTCGGAAGAAAGGGTAATCTAAGATTAACAGAAACGGATCCATATACAAGGAGTCTCAGAACTTTAACTGAGAAGGACGCCTGCCTCCAAATTGCTTCTAATCCATTAAAAATATATATATTATAACCTTCAAGAACTTGTCAGAAAAGTAAAAATAGGCCCAGGTTGGTGGCTCATGCCTGTAACCCTAGCACTCTGGAAGGCCAACGCAGGAGGATCACTTAAGGCCAGGAGTTCAAGACCAGCCTGGGCAACATAGTGAGCCACTGTGCCTCCCACCCCGGGCCATCTCTATTTATTTTAAAAATCAGAAATATATACATAAAAAAAGAGGAAAAAAAGGTTCTCAGACATTTCAAAGAAACATCATTAAGTTATATATTTAAAAAATACGGCCGGACACAGTGGCTCATGCCTGTAATCTCAACACTTTGGGATTGATGGGAGGATCACGAGGTTAGGAGTTCGAGACCAGCCTGGCCAATATGGTGAAACTCCATCTCTACTAAAAAAAAAAAAAATTAGCCGGGCGTGGTGGTGCACGCCTGTAGTCCCAGCTACTTGGAGGTCGAGGCAGAAGAATCACTTGAACCCAGGAGGCAGAGGTTTCAGTGAGCTGAGATCACACCACTGCACTCCAGCCTGGGCAACAGAGCGAGACTCCATTTCAAAAAAAAAAAAAAATATATATATATATACACATATGTATATATATGTATATGTATATATGTATGTACGTATATGTATATATGTATATATATGTGTATATATATATATGCATATCACTAAAGTTTAGAGAAGGACTGCACAAGTCTAGGAAAATTTTTAGGATACAGAAACAATTCCGCATACTGCAACCTTGTGGCTAATATACATGTGAATAATAAGCTCCCTGCCATGTATCTCTATATACCTAGTTGCTAAAAGAGTACCTGCTCAAGAAATGTGAAGAATATAACTTACATTAGTTTTTCAGTTTACAACGTATTTTACATACATTATATCCTTTTTTTTTTTTTTTTTTTTTTTAGACTGAGTCTTGCTCTGTCACCCAGGATGGAGTGCAGCGGCGTGATCTCAGCTCACTGCAAACTCCACCTCCCAGGTTCAAGCAATTCTCCTGCCTCAGCCTCCTGAGTACCTGACGTTACAGGCTCATGCCGTCACACCCAGCTAATTTTTTTATTTTTAGTAGAGACGGGGTTTCACCATGTTGGCCAGACTGGTCTCGAACTTCTGACCTCAGGTGATCCGCCCGCCTCAACCTCCCAAAGTGCCAGGATTACAGGCATGAGCCATCACTCCCAGCCTTTACATACATTATATCTTATGTGATCCTCATAACATCCCTATAAAGATGAGCAAAGCAGTAAAACTGTCTCAATTTTATAGACGAAAAAATCAGTCTTCTTGGGGCTTGTAGAAGAAACTAGCTTCCAGCTTGCCAGTTTCCACACACAATCATTTTTATTTTCTGAAGAGCAATGTTACTCAAAGTGTGGGCCACTGACCACTGCAGTTCCATGAACTGCAAAAAGATAAGCACAGAAATTGAGAGTATTTAGAAAAAGCGTTAATTTGCCACTGCGCCTGGCCAATCTCTACTTTATTTCTTTTTTTTTTTTTTTTGAAATGGAGTTTTGCTCTTGTTGCCCAGGCTGGAGTGCAATGGTGCAATCTCAGCTCACCACAACCTCCACCTCCCGGGTTCAAGCAATTCTCCTGCCTCAGCCTCCCAAGTAGCTGGGATTACAGGCATGCGCCACCATACCCGGCTAATTTTGTATTTTTAGTAGAGACAGGGTTTCTTCATGTTGGTCAGGCTGATCTCAAACTCCCGACCTCAGGTGATCTGCCCACCTCGGCCTCCCAAAGTGCTGGGATTATAGGCATGAGGCACTGCGCCTGGCATACTTTTTTTAAGAGAAAAAAATAAATTAAAATGCAGCTTCCCAGGCCCTATTTCATGACATTAAATTTATTTGGGTGGGGCTAAGGAATCTGCATTTTTACTACTCTCTCCTGGTTATTACTAGGCACTGTAAGAATGACTGCTCCAAACTTTCACAAAGAAAAACAGGAAAGTGGCCGAGCACGGTGGCTCACGCCTGTGACCCCAACAGTTTGGGGGGCCGAGGCGGGTGGATCACCTGAGGTCAGGAGTTCAAGACCAGCCTGGCAAAATGGTCTTGAACTGTCTCTACTAAAAATGCAAAATTCTAAAAATACAAAAATTAGCTGGGCGTGGTGGTGCATGCCTGTAATCCAAGCTAATTGGGAGGCTGAGGCAGGAGAATCACTTGAACCCAGGAGGTGGAGGTTGCAGTGAGCCAAGATCACACCAATGCACTCCAGCCTGGGTGACGACAGTGAACCTCCGTCTCAAAAGAAAGAAATAAGAAAAAAAAAAAAACAACAGGAAAGTAAGCAATCTAAGTACATAATTAAATAAAGGAATAGGAGTTAGCTACATTTTTCCAACCTTCTCCAGTACTCATCTATAAAAATTCTGTTTTTCTTTTTTTTTTCCAAGACAGAGTCTCGCTCTGTCTTCAGGCTGGAGTGCAGCTGTGCGATCTTGGCTCAGTGCAACCTCCGCCTCCCAAGTTCAAGCAATTCTCCTGCCTCAGCCTCCTGAGTAGCTGGGACTACAGGCACGTGCCACAATGCCTGGGTAATTTTTTTGTATTTTTAGTAGAGACAAGGTTTCACCATGTTGGCCAGGATGGCCTTGATCTCTTGACCTTGTGATCCACCTGCCTCGATCTCACAAAGTGCTGGGATTACAGGTTATGAGCCACCACGCCCGGCCTAAAAATCCTGTTTTTCTTCATGCAAAGTAGAACGGATGTAGGCTTTCCTTAGGAATATTTTTTATATGAAAGAAAAACAAAAAATTCTTTTTATCCTTTATACCATGGAAGTAATAATAATAGGCACTAGGGGAGCAGAGTTTTGAACAGAGATCCTTCACAATGCTCTGAAAAGCATGATCTCAAATTTGTACACACACACATACTTGAGAGCCTCTTCTTCCCAGACAAAACATGTTGTAAGTGATACATTCATCACACAAGTCTGAGGACAGTTGGGAGAAAGTGCACTCCAAAAGGAAGACAAGTAACAAGGTATGTATTGGGGGCTTGGTGAGAGGGGATACAGGAGAAGGATTAACATCTGAATGAATGCTGATTATCGGAATGGTGAGAGCTAAGAACCAAAAAAACAGTATTTAGGTTCACATGTGTAATTTCAGCACTTTGGGAGGTGGAGGCGGGAGGAGAGCCTAAGCTCAGAAATGCTAGACCAACCTGGGCAATATAGGGAGACCTTGTCTCTACAAAAAATTTAAAAATTAGCTGAGTACAATGGCGCATGCCTATAGTCCCAGCTACTTGGAATGCTGAGACAGGAGGATCAATTAAACCTAGGAGGTCGAGGCTTCAGTGAGCTATGATTGTGCCACTGCAGTCTAGCTTGGGTGACAAAGCAAAACCCTGTGAAAGAAAGAAAGAGAAGAAGAAAAGAAAGAGATGAAAGAGAGGGAGGGAGGAAAAGGAAAGAAAGAAAGCAACAACAAAAAACCAAGTATCTAATTCTCAGAACATTCCTATGAAGTCCATATTATACCCATTCTATGAATGAAAAAACTGAGACTCAGAAATACTAAATACAGCCAGGCACAGTGGCTCATGCCTGTAATCCCAACACTTTGGGTGGCTGAGGTGGGCGGATCACTTGAGGTCAGGAGTTCGAGACCAGCCAGGTCAACATAGTGAAACCCTGTCTCCACTAAAAACACAAAAAATCAGCTGGGCACAGTGGCGTGTGCCTGTAGTCCCAGCTATTTGGGAGGCTGTGACAGGAGAATTGCTTGAACCTGGGAGGCGGAGGTTGCGGTAAGCCGAGATCCCGCCACTGCACTCCAGCCTGGGTGACAGAGAGACACTCCATTTCAAAAAAAATAGTATTATTTAGTATACTACATAATTTCTTATTTAGTATAAACCTGTCCAAGAAACACAACAAATAGGAAAGTCATGATTAAAATCTACGTCTAATTCTGGCCAGGCACAGTGGCTCACGCCTATAATCCCAGCACTATGGTAGGCCAAGGCGGGTGGATCACCTGAAGTCAGGAGTTCGAGACCAGCCTGGCCAACATGGTGAAACCCCGTCTCTACTAAAAAATACAAAAATTTTCTGGACGTGGTAGCACGTGCCTGTAGTCCCACCTACTTAAGAGGCTGAGGCAGGAGAATCGCTTGAACATGGGAGGCGGAGGTTGCAGTGAGCTGAGATCGTGCCACTGCACTCCAGCCTAGGTGACAGAGTGAGACTCCATCTCAAAAACAAATAATTTAAAAAAAAATCTACATCTAATTCTAATGACCAGGACACTCCCCTTCTACCACACCAAGGATGGTAAGTGGCTTTCAATTCCAATGCCAACTACATTTTACCGATGGTGATGACGTGGAACATTCTGTTACATAAGTAAAGACTTTTAATCAATTATTGTCTGCCATAAGAATAACATATAAAAACACTAGCACATATATAAACCAAGTATTTACCAGATTATTCTCATAATCAGACTAAAAATACCAGAGGCAATTTGAATTCAGCAGCCTATAAGGGTAACCACATTTTGCTCTTTAGAGAAACAAGAGCTGAGAGGTGGACATGACAGGGAAAGAGCAATGATTTAAACCTTAGAACGGTCTCAACGGGGTGCAGTGGCACACACTTGTAACCCCAGCATTTAGGGAAGCTGAGGTGGGTAGATCGCTTGAGCCCAGAAGTTTGAGGCCGGGCACAGTGGCTCATGCCTGTAATCCCATCACTTTGGGAGGCTGAGGCGGACGGATCATCTGAAGTCAGGAGTTCAAGACCAGCCTGGCCAACATGGTCAAACCCTGTCTATACAAAAATACAAAACTTAGCCATGTGTGGTGGCACACAGCTGTAATCCCAGCTACTCAGGAGACAGAGGCAGAACAATCGCTTGAACTTGGGAGGCGGAGGTTGCAGTGAGCTGAGATGGTGCCACTGCACTCCAGCCTGGCAACAGAGTGACACTAGGTCTCAAAAAAAAAAAAAAAAAAAAAAATTCATAGCTCTGTACACTAAATTAGTCATAATAGAGAGGTGAGAATGTTATAAGTATAGCTAATCCAGTAGCAGCCTAGCTATATTCTCTAATGACAATTCATGTATTTTAAAAGAGCAAATAATGATCCAAATAAATTATTTCTCAACCAAGCTTCTGAGATTAGTGGGCCTGTGTCCTCTACTTACAACTGTACAGGTGAATGAAAGACGATTTGTCTTCTAAACTGTAAACAAAATGCACTTTCAGTTTCTGGCAAAAATCACATAGCAATGGTCTTGCACCATCTCCAACCTGCCCTAATGCAAACCAGATGGCTGAGCTCGTTCCAAGCTATCTAATGCTTCCTATTATCAATCAATCCCAGTAATTATTCTGCACTTCCCAAGGATATAACCTCTCCATTTCAGTTTCCTAATGAATTTATACACACACACAAACCAAACTGCAAATTCCTCAAATGGGGGTAAAAGGCCCTAAAGAAAAGCAGAATGGGTACAGAAAAGGTTTCATTTTTGATGCTACAAAGAAGTGAAATTATTTCCAATGTACCTTGTTTTGTTTTGTTTTGTTTTGAGACGGAGTCTTGCTCTGTCGCCAGGCTGGAGTGCAGTGGCACAATCTCAGCCACTGCAATCTCCGCCTCCCGGGTTCAATAGATTCTCCTGCCTCAGCCTCCTAAGTAGCTGGGATTATAGGCGCACACCACCACACCAGCTGATTTTTGTACTTTTAGTAGAAACGGGGTTTCACCATGTTGGTCAGGATGGTCTTGATCTCCTGATCTAGTGATCTGCCTGCCTCAGTCTCCCAAAGTGCTGGTATTACAGACTCAAGCCACCGCCACCTGGCCTCCAATATACCATTTTATAGGATTACCTTAGAGGTTGGAATTAACTGTCAGAATGGAAAAGGGTATGGACAAGGGCTTGAGAAGAGCACACCTCGGTGTGGTATGGGAACGCTACTATTTCTAAGAGGAGACTTAGATAACATAGAACCAAAAGAAACCACACTGATCTCCTTACATGACAGAAACAAACAGAACATATCAGACCCCAAACTGCTTATTATACTACAATATATCTGGCAAGGTTAGCAACCAGGAGGTTAGAAATAAATTTGGCAAATCAGAGAAAATAATCTGACATGAATGATTATGGAAGACACCCGCTTGGGAGGCTGAGGCAAGAGGAGTGTCTGGACTCAGGAGTTTGAGGTCACAGTGAGCTATGATTGCACCATTGTACTCCAGCTTGGGTGACAGAGCAAGACCCTGTCTCTAAATAAATAAATAAATAAAATCAAGGACCCCAAAGAGAGCAGTAACTAAAAGAGTCACATAAGAGGCCAGGCGCGGTGGCTCACGTGAGCCTGTAATCCCAGCACTTTGGGAGGCTGAGGCGGGTGGATCACCTGAGGTCAGGAGTTCAAGACCACCATGGCCAACATGGTGAAACCCTGTTTCTACTAAAAATATAAATACAAGCCGGGCATGGTGGTGAGCATCTGTAATCTTAACTACTCAGGAGGCTGAGGCAGGAGAATTGCTTGAACCCAGGAGACAGAGGTTGCAGTGAGCCAACACGGTGCCACTGCACTCCATCCTTGGCGACAGAGTGAGACTCCGTCTCAAAAAACAACAAAAAAAAGAGTCACCATATTAGAAACAGAATTAAAATAAAATTTTAGGCCAGGCACAGTGGCTCACGCCTATAATCCCAGCACTCTGGGAGGCTGAGGTGGGCAGATCACCTGAGGTCAGGAGTTCAAGACCAGCCTGGCCAATATGGTGAAACCCCGTCTTTACTTAAAAAGTACAAAAATTAGCCAGGCGTGGTGGTGCACACCTGTAGTCCCAGCTACTCAGGAGGCTGAGGCAGAAGAACTGCTCGAACCCGGGAGGGAGGAGGTTGCATTGAGCTGAGATCGTGCCACTGCACTCTAGACTGGGTGGACAGAGGCAGACTCCATCTCAAAAAAAAATAAATAAATAAAAGAAAATAAAAATTTTAAAATTATTAATGCATTTAAAAATAAACCCATTCCATGTTAACATAACTTCTTTATGAAAAATATTTTCCAAAATAACAGAACAATTTAGTGAGAAAAGTGGCCTTGTTTTATATTTTTACAAATCTCTTTAATGTCTGGCTTAATAGCAGACAGCTGGATTCTCATAGCTGCCTCTGCATTCAATGTGCAGTGATGTTGTTCTAGTTAACAGCATGGGGGACGGGGTGGGGGTGGATGTGGTCTCACACAGATACACAGGAAGGTAGGAGTTCTTTTTTAAAAAATTTAAAGTCTTTAATAAACTTATGTTTTAAAACTAAGTTCTGAAATAATTTTAGACTTACAGAAGTTTCAAATATTCTTCACCCTGCTCCCCTAAATGTTAACATATAAACACAGTACAATTATTGAAACCAGGAAACAATAGTGTTTATTAACTACTCTACAGATCTTATTCACATGTCACCAGTTTTCCCACTAATATATATACTATATACTTTTTTTTTTTTTTTTTGAGAGATTCTTGCTCCGTCACCCAGGGTGGAGTGCAGTGGCACCATCTTGGCTCACTGCAGCCTCCCCTCCTGGGTTCAAGCCATTCTCCTGCCTCAGCCTCCCGAGTAGCTAGGACTACAGGCACGCACCATCACACCTGGCTAGTTTCGTATTTTTAGTAGAGACGAAGCCAAGATACTTAGAAGCCACTGTGTAAATATCCCATCTCCAATCAAAATTCCACATATTAATTTTAGCATACAAAGACAATTCTTGCTGGGCACAGTGGCTCACGCCTGTAATCCCAGCACTTTGGGAGGTCAAGGCAGGCAGATCACCTGAGGTCAAGAGTTCAAGACCAGCCTGACCAACATGGTGAAACCCCCTCTCTACAAAAATACAAAAGTTAGCCAGGCATGATGGTGGGTGCCTGTAGTCCCAGCTACTTGAGAGGCTGAGCCGGAAGAATCACTTGAACCCGGGAGGCAGAGGTTGCAGTGAGCCAAGATAGTGCCACTGCACTACAGCCCAGGCGACAGAGCAAGACTATATCTCAAAAAAAAAAAAAGACAACTCTTGCCTGCAACAAATACTGTAGTATTTGCCTAATGTTTCCATTATTCCTTTTCTATTTATCAACTTGAGTTTCACTGCAGAAAACAATTGTTTTCTTTCCCATATTTATTTATAGCAGCATAAACTTATGGATATTTATTTTACCCCATGGGTTATAATCTATTTATCATTATTTGTTTTTCAAACTGTCCCAGATCTGGCCATTGAAAGCTCCTTCAAGCTGGTTCTCTATTACTTTTTTGGCAATTTATTAGCTTCTGGTATCCACACGATGTTCCAGGTTCATCATCTTTTTTTATCTGCCCTAGCCATGTCTCCAAGCAGCTCTGGTTCCTCTTATTGGAGAATGGTGTTGCGAAACCAAGATCTGGTGTCAGGTGTGCTCACTGCTAGGTGGTGTCACTACTTCCAGGCCCTTTCAGAAAAGGAAATAAAATGCATGCATACACACGTAACATCCATATCTTTTTCTATATCTATATTTGCATATGTGTGTACCACTTGAAGATCCCTCATCAGAAAATCCAAATTGGGCCAGGTGTGGTGACTCACACCTATAATCCCAGCACTTTGGGAGGCTGAGGCGGCAGATGCCTTGAGCCCAGGAGTTCAAGACCAGCTGGAACAACATGGCAAAACCCTGTCTCTACATTTTCCTTTTTTTGAGATGAAGTCTGGCTCTGTCATCCAGGCACAATCTCGGCTCACTGCAACCTCTGCCTCCCAGATTCCAGCAGCAATTCTCCTGCCTCAGCCTTCTGAGTAGCTGGGATTACAAAGGCCTGCCACTATGCCCAGCGCTAATGTTTTGTATTTTTAGTAGAGATAGGGTTTCATCATGTTGGCCAGGCTGGTCTCGAACTCCTGGCCTCAAAAGATCCACCTGCCTCGGCCTCCAAAGTGCTGGGATTGCAAGCATGAGCCACTGTACCTGGTCACCCTGTCTCTACTTTTTACTAAAAAAAGGAAAAAATCCGGCCAGGCACAGTGGCTCACGCCTGTAATTCCAGCACTATGGGAGGCCAAGGCGGGCAGAATCACGAGGTCAGGAGATCGAAACCATCCTGGCTAACACAGTGAAACCCCGTCTCTACTAAAAAAATTTAAAAAATTAGCCGGACGTGGTGGCGGGCACCTATAGTCTCAGCTACTCAGGAGGCTGAGGCAGGAGAATGGCGTGAACCCAGGAGGCAGAGCTTGCAGTGAGCAGAGATCGCGTCACTGCACTCCAGCCTGGGTGACAGAGCCAGACTCCGTCTCAAAAAAAAGGAAAAAATCCAAAGTACTTCAAAATGTGAAAAAAATTCCACATCAAAATGCTGTCAAATGCAGTCAAAACTTTGCTTTATGCACAAAATGTTGTTATAAAATGACCTTCAAGCTATATGTTTAAGGTATATATGAAACAAATCAATTTTGTGTTTAGGCTTGAGTCTCACCCCCATGATACCTCATTATGTATACAGAAATATCCCAAAATCCAAAAAAATCCAACATTGGAAACACTTCTGGTTTCAGGCATTTTAGATAAGGGATACTCAAACCTGTGTATATGTGTATATATGAGAACCCATTATTTCATACTGATACTAGAGAGAGGTTTTTTTTGTTTTTCCCCAAGACGGAGTCTTGCTCTGTCGCCCAGGCTGGAGTGCAGTGGCACGATCTTGGCTCACTGCAACCTCTGCCTCCCCTCTTGCCTCAGCCTCTGGAGTAGCTGGGATTACAGATGGGTGCTACCACGCCTGGTGTTTTTTGTTTTTTGTTTTTTTTTGAGACAGTCTCGCTCTGTTGCCCAGGCTGGAGTGCAGTGGCGCGATCTCGGCTCACCACAACCTCTGCCTCCCGGGTTCAAGTGATTCTCTTGCCTCAGCCTCCCAAGTAGCTGGGACTACAGGTGAGCACCACCATGCCCGGCTAATTTTTCTATTTTTAATAGAGACGGGGTTTCACTATGTCAGGCAGGCTGGTCTCAAACTCCTGACCTTGTGATCTGCCCACCTCAGTCTCCCAAAGTGCTGGGATTACAGGCGTGAGCGACCACACCCGGCCACTTGTTTTTTTGTATTTTTAGTAGAGATGGGGTTTGCCATGTTGGCCAGGCTGGTCTCAAACTCCTGACCTAGTGATCCATCTGCCTTGGCCTTCCAAAGTGCTGGGATTACAGGTGTAAGCCACTGTACCCAGCCAGAGAAAGAGGCATTTTTAACAGCCTCTTAAATTTATTAGAATCGTGGATATTTTCCTTGATATTACTGAAGCAATTCTCCTGCCTCAGCCTCCCGAGCAGCTGGGACTACAGGTATGCACTGCTAAGTCTGGCTAATTTTTGTATTTTTAGTAGAGACGGGTTTTACCATGTTGGGCAGGCTGGTCTCGACCTCCTGGCCTCAAGTGATCCGCCCACTTCAGCCTCCCAAGGTGCTGGGATTACAGGCATGAGACACCGTGCCCAGCCTGAATTGTACACTTTTAAATGGTTAATTCTTTAGCAGGGCATGGTGGCCCGTGCCTGTAGTCCCAACTACTTGGGGGGCTGAGGCAGGAGGATCACTTGAACCCAGTAGGTCAAGGCTGCAGTGAGCTGAGATCGTGTCACTGCACTCCAGCCTGGGTGAGAAAGTGAGACCCTGTCTCAAAAAATAAATTAATTAGTAAATTAATAAATAAAAGTTAATTTGATGTTTATGTGAAATTTAACTTAATTTTTAAAAAGCAACCTAGGCTAGGCGCGGTGGCTCATGCCTGTAATCCCAGCACTTTGAGAGGCTGCGGTAGGCGGATCACTTGAGGCCAAGAGTTCGAGACCAGCCTGAACAACATGGTGAAACCCCATCTCTACTAAACATATGAAAAAGTAGCTGGGTGTGGTAGCGTGTGCCTGTAATCCCAGCTATTTGGGAAGCTGAGGCAGGAGAATCACTTGAACCCGGGAGGCAGAGGTTGCAGTGAGCTGAGATCCCGCCTCTGCACTCCAACCTGGGTGACAGAGGACTCTGTCTCCAAAAAAAAAAAAAAAAAAAAGCAACCCAGTAATTTCTAAAGGTTAGCAGCAAATGTGAACTCTGAAACCCTATCAATGAACTTTTGTATTATTACATTAAAATACATTGGTCTACTTTATACTTTGAGTGGATCTCTCACCAAATCTGATTTTGTCACATAATATATTGGTCATGTGAAAACTTCTAGTTCACTAAGTCATGCAGCTCTTTCGAAGGTTGACATATTACATAATATCAAAAAAAAAAAACCCCACAAAACTAACTGGGAAGTGGACCGTCTCATGGTGGAGTATATAAACTTTCCAAAATTCTCATTTTTGCTTTAATTTTATCACTGGGCAAAAATAGTTGTTTTCCTTGAAAATTTTCAAGAAAGCATCTGCCAAATACCCAAGTCTAAATAACGTACTTTGTTGGTTATTCTTTCATCAAGTAAAAATGCTGTTCTATGAAGAAGACAACTAGTTAGCTGGAAACCCAAATAACTGTAAAAGTACTTTTCCTTAGACAACCACAGTACTTCAATATATAACAGAAGTGTTTTTTGAGTACTTCCCATTTTATCACACAAAATATTCAAAAGCCAAGTACTAAAAGGTCAAGATTAAATAAAATTAATTTTTACTGCTTCATCAAGAACATTCTTAAATGAAACTTTTTTTTTTTTACTGCAAATTTAAACTGCATGACAATAAAGAACACAATGCCTGCTACTAGTTTGGTGCTATTGCTCAGGGTTACCCTAACGTTTTAATCAGCATTGCTTTTGGATATCACTGCAAATGTTAACACAGGGAAGAAGGCAAATGATGACTTAGTATTATTATGAAACTATTCTGATCTCACAGACTCCATGAAAGGAGTCTATTCTCTAGGATTCCACAGACTACACTTTGAAAACTGCTAGGCTACTCTAACACACTTGTTTAATAGGTAACCTACCAATTCATATTTATTTCCAAGTTTAATGCAAACTACTTGACAGCAAATCTCTCTTCTTTGTACTTCGCTTTAATACCCCGCAACGATTTGAATGTGTCCCCCAGAAGTTCATCTGTTGGATACTTGGTGCCCAATGCAGGCGTGTTAAGAGGCGAGACCTTTAGGAAGTGCTTGAGCCATTCTCAGATTAATGGGTTATTCAGAGAAGGGGCTAGTTAGCACAAGAGTGGGTCTGTAATAAAAGCCAATGTGGCTGTCTCTCGTTAGTCCCCTCACCATGTGATGCCCTGTGCCACTCTGGAACTCTGCAAGGTCCCCACCAGCAAGAAGGCCCTCAGCAGATATGGCCCCTTGACCCTGGACTTTCCAGCCTCCAGAGCCGTGAGAAATAAATTTCTTGGGGCTGGTCATGGTGGCTCATGCCTGTAATCCCAGCACTTTTGAGAGGCCAAGGTGGATATATTGCTTGAGTACAGGAGCTCCACTCCAGCCTAGGCAACATAGTGAGACCCCATCTCTACAAAACATTTTTAAAGCAATTTAGCTGGGTGCAAAGGCACATGCCTGTAGTCCTAGCTACTTGAGAGGCTGAGGCAGGAGGACTGCTTGAGCCTAGGAGTTCAAGGCTACAATAAGCTATGACTGCACAACTGCACTCCAGCCTGGGTGACAGAGAATAAATAAAAAGGAAAGAGGAAAGAAAGAAAGGTAGGGAGGGGACCGGGTGCGGTGGCTCATGCCTATAATCTCAGCACTTTGGGAGGCCGAGGAGGGTGGATCATGAGGTCAAGAGATCGTCTGAGACCATCCTGGCCAACATGGTGAAATCCCATCTCTACTAAAAATACAAAAATTAGCTGGGTGTGGTGGCGTGTGCCTGTAGTCCCAGCTACTTGGGAGGCTGAGGCAGGAGAATCGCTTGAACCCAGGAGGCAGAGGTTGCAATGAGCTGAGATAGTGCCACTGCACTCCAGCCTGGGAGACAGAGCAACACTCCGTCTCAAAAGAAAAAAAAAAGAGAGAGGGAAAGAAATTTATTTATTTTCTTTATAAATTACCCAGTCTCAGGTTATAGCAACAGAAAATGGACTAAGACAACACACTACTATGAAGTGCCCCTAAGAGATTAAAAATAAGTGCTGTTACTGCCTAACCAACTTCAAACGGTACTTTCCTTCACCTAATGCTTATTAGCCATGTCAATAGACCCTCCCTTCTTCAAAATCCTATTCCTAAAAATCTGAAATGATTAATTCCTTCTAGTCCATGTAAGTCTAGTCTATTTTTAAATTTTTATTTATCTATTTTTGGGGTTTTTTTGTTGTTTTTGTTTTTGAGACGGAGTTTCCCTCTGTCACCCAGGCTGGAGTGCAGTGGCGCGATCTCGGCTTACTGCAACCTCCACCTCCCAGGTTCAAGCAATTCTCCTGTCTCAGTCTCCCAAGTAGCTGGGACTACAGGTGCATGCCATCATGCCCAGCTAATTTTTGTATTTTTAGTAGAGACAGGGTTTCATCATATTGCTCAGACTGGTCTTGAACTCCAGACATCAGGTGATCCACTCGCCTTGGCCCCCCAAAGTGCTGAGATTACAGGTGTGAGCCACCACATCCAGCCTATTTATTTATTTTTGAAACAGGGTCTTGTTCTGTCACCCAGGCTGGAGCACAGTGGCTCCATCACAGCTCATGGTTCACTGCAGCCTCAAACTCCCAGGCTCAATCAATCTTCCCACCTCAGCCTCCCAACTAACTGGGACTACAGGGACATGCCACCATGCCCAGCATTTTTTCTTGTAAGCAAAGATGGGGTCTTGTTGTGTTGACCAGGCTGGTCTCAAGCTCCTGGGCTCAAGTGATCCTCTTGCCTAGGCCTCCCAAAGTGCTGGAATTACAGGTGTAAGCCACCACGCCCAGCCAAATTTAGTCTCATTATTTCTCTTCTGATTTCTAGAACTTGCTTCATAGGTCACTTTTCTAGGAAAAAAAGACTCTTGATTAGACCAGGGGCATCCAACCTTTTGGCTTCCCTGGGCCACAATGGAAGAACTGTCTTGGGCCACACATAAAATACACTAACACTAAAGATAGCTGATGAGCTGGAAGAAAAAAAAAATCTCATGTTTTAAGAAAGTTTCTGAATTTGTATTGAGCTGCATTCAAAGCTGTCCTGGGCCGCATGCAGCCCAAGAGTTGCAGGTTAGACAAGCTTGATCTATACCATGCGGTTCTTACAAACTTCTTCTGTAAAGGACCAGATAATAACATTTTAGACTTTGTGGGGCAAGTACTAAACTCTGCTTTTGTAAGCAAGTGGGTGTGGCTGTGTTTCAACAAAATTTCATTTACCAAAACAAGCAGCAGCTATAGTTTGCTGACTCCTGATCTTGATACAGGTCAATAGACCTACCACGAGTTTGGAGGGAAAAAAAAAAAAAAAAAAAAAAGGTAGCCACAAGCTGGCTAAAATAAACTAGTAAGAACAATGAAAATAGTATAAACAAACCCAACAGACAGGAATATCTATCTTGCTAACATTCACTGAGCTCTTACTATGTGCTAGGCATTGCGCTAAAGTGCTTCACAATGCATTATCTCATTTAGAACCTCTGGAGATATAATTATCCTCCTGTTAGAGAGAAAAGAAAAACAGATAAACTGAGTAACTTCATACGATTTCACAGTCCAGGCCAGGCACAGTGGCTCATGCCTGTAATCCCAGCACTTTGAGAGGCCAAAGCAGGCGGATCATGAGGTCAGGAGTTCCAGATCAGCGTGGCCAATATGGTGAAACCCCGCCTCTACTAAAAAATACAAAAATTAGCTGGGTGTGGTGGCGCATGCCTGTAGTCCCAGCTACTCAGTAGGCTGAGGCAGGAGAATCGCTTGAACCCGGGAGGCGGAGACTGCAGTGAGCTGAGATCGCGCCACTACACTCCAGCCTGGGCAACACAGTGAGACTTCGTCTCAAAAAAAAAAAAAAAAAAAAAAAAAAAAAAAAAGATTTCACAGTCCTTAAATGGCTGGGCGTGGTTAAAACACAGGACTGTCTTACCTGAGTCAATGTCCTTAACCATCGTACTATGCTATCTATATTGTCATTTTTGGTTTCCGATCCAACCAGACTGGTAAGAGAGTAATTCTTATGAAAGACTATTACTGTTTACATGCTCTTACAGTGTCTTTTCTGTATCACTGAGTTTACTACACAAACCTTTGGCTCACATTCTTGAAAGAAAGAGCCTAGATGACCTTGCAGTGGGTAACATACTGCTCAGTAATATGCACCAAGGATTGTAAAGGTCGCTATGCTTAAATGTGACAAGTTAGAGTGTGCTGCCTAGAGGTAATGAACAGGAGGTAAACAGCTTTCTCCTACTGTCACCTTACAAATCAGCACAGAAGTTCTGACATACACGAAAGCAAATGTGCCAGACAATCATTTAGAAAAGGTGATATGAGAGGTCAGGGCGGTGGCTCATGCCTATAATCCCAATACTTTGGGAGGCCAAGGCGGGCAGATCACCTGAGGACAGGAGTTTGAGACCAGCCTGGCCAACATGGTGAAACCCCGTCTCTACTAAAAATACAAAAATTAGCTGGGCATGGTGGCAGGCGCCTGTAATTTCAGCTACTCGGGAGGCTGAGGCAGGAGAATCACTCGAACCTGGTGAGGGGAGGGCGGCGGGTGGAGGTTACAGTGAGCCAAGATCGTGCCACTTCACTCCAGCCTGGGTGAAAGGCGAGACTCCGCCTCAAAAAAGAAAAGAAGAACAGGCAGTATTAGAGTGAAAGGTTCTTTGCATTGGCCCATGCCTATAATCCCAGCACTTTGGGGGGCTAAGGCAGAAGGACTGCTTAAGGCCAGGAGTTTGAGACCAGCCTGGGAAAAACAGTGAGCCTCTGTCTCTACCAAAAATAATAATAATGAAATTAGCCAGGCATGGTGACATGCCTATAGTCAGTCCTAGCTACTTGGGAGGCTGGGGCAAAAGGATCACTTGAGCCCAGGAGTTCAAGGCTGCAGTGTGCTATGATCACACTACTGCACTCCAGCCTGGGCAACAGAGTGAGACCCTGTCTCTAATAAATAAATAGAATTAAAGGGACAGACGTGGCCAAAGGGCAGATTTCACATACACTTCAAAATTACTCTTCAGCCACTCCAAAACAGCAATTAAGGCCTATGAGAGTTAAGAAAAAAAAAAAAATTTCTCATCTATCCTTTAAGAGAAGGTACTGGTTTATGCCTTGCTGATTATGACTACATAATCACTAAGATTATCCTCACTAATCTGGCTCCTAACATCAAGAGAAAAGGTAAAAATAAAGGATATAGCTGGACATGGTGGCTCATGCCTGTAATCCCAGCACTTTGGGAGGCTGAGGTGGGGCAACTGCTTGAGCTCAAGAGTTCCAGACCAGCCTGACCAACATGGTGAAACCTCGTCTCTACTAAAAATACGAAAATTAGCCGGGTGTGGTGGCACATGCTTATAATCCCAGCTACCTGGGAGGCTGAGGTGGGAGGATCACTTGAATCCAGGAGGCAGAGGCTGCAGTGAGCTGAGATCATGCCACTGCACTCCAGCCTGGGCAACAGAGTGAGACTCCATCTCAAAAAAACTTAAAAAAAAAAAAAAAAAAGGGTAATTATTACTTCTAAGAACTAGGTAATCCCACAACAACAATGAATGAATCTTTACCTAGCCTCTAGGTTGTAGCAAGTTTGGTCTGTTGCTATTTTGTCTTTCAGTACTCAACAGACTAGGAAATAATACTCCTTAGTTTACTTATAAAGGGACTTAGAAAAGTAGGCTCCAGCTCCTTGGGGTGGGGAAATAATTGCAGGCAGCCTGGGGAATAAGCAGAACAACCATTGTGGTAGGTCCCATCCTGCAATCTTTTTTTTTTTTTCTTTTTTTTTTGAGACAGGGTCTCACTTTGTTTTCCAGGCTAGAGTGCAGTGGTGCAATCATGGCTCACTGCAGCCTCCCACCCCAGCCTCCCGAGTAGCTAGGACCACAGGCACATGCCACGACTAATTTTTTGTAAAGATGGAATCTCCCTATGTTGCCCAGGCTGGTCTCAAACTCCTGAGCTCAAGCAATTCTGCGATGGTCTCCCAAGGTGCTGGGATTACGGCTGTGAGCCACTGTGACCAGCTCATCCTACAATCCTTAAAGAAAGTAATAACCTCATATTCACTTCCTAACAAAAGGAAAAAAAGCACAGATATTAACACCAAAAAATACAGACGTTCAAAGACTATTGCTTGTAAAGATGTGGCAAGAAGAGAAATTTACAGGCTTTAACAAAAATATACAAGTTCCCAATCAAATTAAGGAATTTCCTCTAGACTGCAACCTGATAAAAACTCTTACTACAGGATTAACGAGTTTGAAAGTTCCCTCTCATTCCCAACTCTCCCCATCAGTGCTGTTATTCTGAATGGTCAGAAGCAAAAATAAACTCACATAAAACCAACTGTAACAGTGTGACCCATACTTTATTCCTTTTTTTTTTTTTTTTTTTTTGAGACAGAGTATTGCTGTGTCGCCCAGGCTGGAGTGCAGTGGTGCAATCTAGGCTCACTGCAACCTCCACCTCCCAGGTTCAAGAAATTCTTCTGCCTCAGGCTCCCGAGTAGTTGGGATTACAGGTGCCCACCACCATGCCTGGCTAATTTTTTTTTTTCTTGAGACAGTCTTGCTCTGTCGCCCAGGCTGAAAGTGCAGTGGTACGATCTTGGCTCACTGCAACCTCCGCCTCCCGGGTTCAAGCGATTCTCCTGCCTCAGCCTCCCGAGTAGCTGGGACTACAGGCGCAAGCCACCACGCCCGGCTAATTTTTTGTATTTTCAGTAAAGACAGGGTTTCACTGTCTTAGCCAGGATCGTCTCTTATCTCCTGACCTCGTGATCCGCCCGCCTCAGCCTCCCAAAGTGCTGGGATTACAGGCATGAGCCACCACACCTGGCCAATTTTTTTATTTTTAGTAGAGATAGGGTTTCACCTTGTTGGCCAGGCTGATCTCAAACTCCTGACCTCATGTGATCCACCCACCTCGGCCTCCCAAAGTGCTGGGATTACAGGCATGAGCCACCGCTCTCGGCCCCATACTTTATTCTTTAATATACTTTCTCATTTTCACCTAACACAAAAGCTGCTTCATAAATATCACACCTAGGAGGCACATAAAGAGAATTTAAGAAAAGACATCAGGCCGGGTGCAGTGGCTCACGCCTGTAATCCCAGAACTATGGGAAGTCAAGACGGGCGGATTATGAGGTCAAGAGATCGAGACCATCCTGGCCAACATGGTAAAAACCCCGTCTCTACTAAAAATACAAAAATTAGCTGGGCATGGTGGCGCAGGCCTGTAGTCCCAACTACTCAGGAGGCTGAGGCAGGAGAATCGCTTGAACCCAGGAGTCGGAGGTTGCAGCGAGCCAACAATGCGCCACTGCACTCCAGCCTGGCAACAGAGCGAGACACTGTCTACAAAAAAAAAAAAAAAAAAAAAGACATCATACTAAACTGAGCAGAATTATAATTTCTAAATGAATGCTGATCCCCTAATTGCCAATGAAAGACACAATCACTACAACTGAACCCCAAAATTGTAACACTTGCAATGCATGGACACTTAGAACAATCTCTAATTTTTCCTTCCTTCCATGTGCTGTTTGACTGTCCTTTTGTACAATTCTAACTCTGGCAGATGGCAGGGAAAGAATACCGCATTTTGATAATATCATACTAAACAGAAAAGAAGAAATAAAAAAGAAGGGGGAGTCTCGAATGAGTAGTTAATAGATATTACTTGCTCTATTATCTGGCTTTTTGCTTCTCCTTAAGAACAACCCCTCTCCCCCACCCACCCCTGTACCCTTGGCAATTCTGAATGATTAGAAACAGTCGGCCAAGCGCAGTGGCTCACGCCTGTAATTCCAGCACCGTGGGGGCCGAGGCAGGTGGATGACTTGAGGTCAGGAGATCGAGACCAGCCTGACCAACATGGTGAAACCCTGTCTCTACTAAAAAAAAATTACAAAAATTAGCCGGGTGTGGTGGTGGGCACCTGTAATCTCAGCTTCTCGGGAGGCAGAGGCACAAAAATCACTTGAACCTGGGAGGCAGGGGTTGCAATGAGCAAAGATCACACCACTGCACTCCAGCCTGGGCTACCAAGTGAGACTGTCAAAAACAAAAACAAAAACAAAAAACAAAAAAGCCACACAATGTGGCCTGTCCCCTGCCTCCTTGCTCCTCACCCCTAAGTATCTTAACAAACTACAGCTGTAAAATCCAGGAGGCATTTCTCTTTTAATCATTCTTTTCTCAAGCACATACACCTTTGAATGGGAACAGAAAGAAGAGACCCACCAGCCTGGACAACACAGGAAGACCAAATTTCAATAAAAAATACAAAAATTAGCCAGGTGTGGTGGTACACGCCTGCAGTCCCAGCTACTCAAGAGGCTGAGTTGGGAGGATAGCTTGAACCCAGGAGGTCAAGGTTGCAGTGAGCCGTGATCACATCACTGCACTCCAGCTTGGGTGACAGAGACCCTGTCTCAAAAAAATAAAAAAATAAAAAAGGAGATCCAGGACAGTTACTACTTCTACTAGGAACATGGTCAATAACACTTGCACACAGAAGCTCTCTCGTTTTGCCACAACACAAATACCTTTTTCTTTCTAAGACAGCAAGGAAAAAAGTGTATGTGTGGATGTGTCAAAAGGGTATTTTTCTTGCTCTAAGCCTCCCCCCTCCCTCTCCTTGTCCATCAGCCCAAGCAAGCAGAGATGACGCAGACTTCCTTATATAATGGCCTGTGATTTCCTAGACTGCAGGCCTTTCCCTTTGTGTTCTGTATACACTTACACACACGAGCGCGCGCACATTCTCATTGCTTTGCAGCCCCTGGCATGATGCCAACACTCAGTCAGCTGGTTGACTCCATTCACAGAGCAGGGTTGGAGCTGACATGGAAAAGGGGAGGGGTAGAGAGGGTAAGGGGGAGGCTAGAACCATCACTGCTACAGACAAAAGAAATTTTAAAAAGGGGAGGAAGGAGAAAGAGAAAACCTTAATAAAACACTCTCCTTATTGCTTCAGCTTGAAGACAACTAGAAGCCAGAGACCCTTACCATTATAGCAAATGGATGAAGCAGAGGGAAAGAAGATCCAAACCGAAAGGAGCTTTGTATGAGAAACAATAATTCTGCAACAAATTTTTTTAAAGCAACAGTGTTTATTACTTCAATCCCATTAGAAACCTCAGCATATTACCTTCTACACATAGCCAAAAACTACTAGAAAGAACTCAGAAGAGATTTCGAGTTTCTGCTTTTAGCAAAGAAAAATAAGGATTGGGGAGGGCAAGACAGTTAAAACTACTTAGAGGTATACATTTTTCCGTTCCTTCCTCTAGCTTCCAGAAAAGTGAGAGAGATAAGAAATAGAGAAAGAGAACAGAAAAAGGAGGAAAATAATGAGATGGGTTTAGGTTTTTTTCGTGTGTGTGTGTGTGTGTGGAGGGTCGTGTGTGTGTGGAGGGTCCCCTTTCTTTCTCTGTTCTATCGTCTCTTTTCTACCGTAAGAGAAGCTCTTTCTGTAGCACAGAGGTGGCCCCCATGCGTGCCAGCCCCCTTGAGAGCCCTGCACAAACCCGGTCTCCAAGCGGGCACTGCCCTGCCAATCACATGGTGTACTGTTATATTAAACAAAAGAAACAGGGGGATGCTTACTTTTACCCATGATGCCTAGCGGGGACAGGAGGGAGGGAGAGAAAAACCAGTTGTAGCCGGTTTATAACCTCAGGACATGGAATTATCTCTTAATTTTTAAAAGTCATTTGTGGTACAAAAAAGTCTGTTAGTCTCCCCACCCTAACTATCCCCCCATCATTGCAGCCTAGTGCCAAACTTTGTCTTCATGAATGAGAGCTAGTTTCCTCTCAAATCATGATGCTTTAACTGTTTAGTTTCCAAAGCCAACATCCAAGATAGGAAATCACAGCATCAATACCAAAGCACACCCCAAATTATAACAAAATGAAGACATACTGCCCACCAAACTTCTTTTCTTTATCCCTATTGCTAGTGCTAGGGAACAGGTACTAATAAGACAGCAGGTGTATTCACTAATTTTTCTTTTTTCCTGAAGCTGTCCCACAGATAGGACATCTGATTTAACCCGATCCATTGACACCGTTCAGGGCAGCTGAATCCGCACCTAACACAAAGCATAGCAAGGTTTCACAGCAAAGTAGTCAAGACAGTACCCATGCATTCTTTAAAAACAGCTTAGGCCTTTGTTATGTATATTTTACTGCAATTTAAAAATTTTTTAATGCTTTAAGCCCAGCCATAGTATGATTGCAATATTATTCCACTTTCCTGTGTCATAGCTAGAACACTTTACTCTTTGCATTCTAGCACCTCCTCACCTACCACATCCCACTTACCACACACACATCCCTATGTCATTCTATAGACAAATCCAGATGCTAGACATACCTAAGCCTGGTCTCTGATTAACTTTCCCTTTCCTGTTTTAGAGCAACTTGTTCCAATCATTTTATAAGGACTTTTCACTTCCCCAAAGTGCTGATATGGGGTCAGAAAATAGTGGGGAAGAAATCTAAGTAAACCAAAGAGGAAGAAGGGCAATGGTAATTGTTTTCTTGGAGATCTATTGGCTGAGGACCTTTGCTCTAGGATCTTTCTCTATCTGATCAACTAGTTATAAATTGTAACAAGGAATAACAAGGGGGGAGGGATTTTCTTACTTTTCAACTGATATCTCCCATGAATATGTCATTCCAAATGCTTGCCTCATTTGGACCTCTGAAATTCACATCATAATTACTGCCTCCATCAGAGTCTCTCACAAAGCCCTTGTTCTCAAATATTAAAGTTTCTAGCAAACATGGAGAAAAATAATCTTCACCCTACGCAAAAATATTATTTCTAAATAAAAGTTTTCCTGAGCCATATAATATTAACTTCAATTTTCAGAAAACTAACACCGAGCTAAATCAAAACTAAGTAGTACTGGCCACTGGCATAAGAAATTCAACAATTTACAAACTACAAAGGAAAACCCTTTATCTACAACACAACATGAGCTTCAAGTGGTTGATACCGTACTATCTCAGTCACAATAAGGTCCTCTTAATAGGAGACCATCAGAGGTATCCAGATCTAGACACTGCTATCATTTTACAACATAAAGGAAAACATGATAAATGTCGCAAGCAAAATAGATTATTTCTTCTCATTCATCACATTTCCACAGGAAACCAATTATGAATTTTAAACTGAAGCTCACTAGTTCCATGTTGATGATGGTAAGTATGATTGTCTATTTTTTAACAACCCATTCAAAGATAATTCCCACGTGAGTCTGCTGAATACATCTGACTGCACTGGTCTTTTTTTTTTTTCTTTTTTATCAGTTTTTAATATAAAAAGCTTAGATACAATTAAGCTGTCTGTAGCAATTACCATTGATTGCCATGAGTTAAATCTTCAACATTGTAGAGGCTGAGGCAGTACTCTACGTTTACTATATCTCCCTCTATATGTTGGATTGATTAGTAGTCCAGAGGTACCTTCAGAGCCTTGGAAAATTAAGAACTATATAGTGGGCAGAGACCCTACTCTTTTCAGCTAAATCATACTCACCCAAAACCAAAGTACTTAATTGTGTGAGGTGAAAACTAAATTTAAAAATACTTCCTCTTTGCCAGGCGTGGTGGCTCACGCCTATAATCCCAGCACTTTGGGAGGCTGAGGCGGGCAGACCACCTGAGGCCCGGAGTTCGACACCAGCCTGGCCAACACGGTGAAACCCCATCTCTACTAAAAATACAAAAATTAGCCTGGCGTTGCAGGCACAGTGGCTCATGCCTATAATCCCAGCACTTTGGGAGGCCGAGGCGGGCAGATCACGAGGTCAGGAGATCAAGACCATTCTGGCTAACACGGTGAAACCCGTCTCTACTAAAAATACAAAAAAATTAGCCAGGCGTGGTGATGGCGGGTGCCTGTAGTCCCAGCTACTCCGGAGGCTGAGGCGGGAGAATGGCCTGAACCCGGGAGGCAGAGCTTGCAGTGAGCTGAGATCGCTCCACTGCACTCCAGCCTGGGCGACAGAGCGAGACTCCACCTCAAAAAAAAAATTAGCCGGGCATGGTGGCAGGTGCCTGTAATCCCAGCTACTGGGGAGGCTGAGGCAGGAGAATCGTCTGAACCTGGGAGGATGACGCTGCAGTGAGCCGAGATCGTGCCACTGCACTCCAGCCTGGGGGACAAGAGTGAGACTTCATCTCAAAAACAAAAACAAAAAAACTTCCTCTTGGTAAATATTACTCAAGTTGTGATACCCTAAAGAATACCAAATTATCTAAAGTTAAGAAAAAGATCTACATTCACTGAGCATTTAATGCACCAAGCCAGGAAGGTAGGATCTTTTCTCCATTTTCTTTTTATTTATTTCTTTTTTTCGAGACAGTCTCGCTCCGTTGCCCAGCTGGAGTGCAATGGTGCGATCTCAGCTCACTGCAACCTCTGCCTCCCGGGCTGAAGCAATTCTCCTGCCTCAGCCTCCCAAGCAGCTGGGATTACACGGGCCTGCCACCACACCCAGCTAATTTTTGTATTTTTAGTAGAGACAGGGTTTCACCATGTTGGCCAGGCTGGTCTCAAACTACTGGCCTGAAGAGATCCTCCCGCTTCGGCCTCCCAAAGTGCTGAGATTACAGGTGTGAGCCAATGTGCCCGGCCCTGTTCTCCATCTTCTGGATATGGAAATTAATTCAGTGAAATTTTAAAAAGCTTAAATGAAGTCACTCATACAGCTCACAATTAGAGGCTGGCTCCAAAGCCCATATGCTTTCCACTATACCACGATGCCTTGAGCATTTCTCAGCACTCAAAAGCCCAGTTCTCCAGGGTAACCATGCTTGCCTTGCCAATCTCCACTTTACCCACTGGATTAAAGAAAATATTAGCCAAATATGATGGAAGTAAAAACACATAAAGTCTCTGACAGACATGTATGATCTCCACTCATAGATGATTTCACCCAGGACTACTTCTGAAAAGCTAAGGACATGAGCTTCAAGTCAGTGACAAGTAAAGGAAAAATATTTAAATTTTAAAAAAGGGGCTGGGCATGGTGGCTCACACTTGCAATCCTAGCACTTTGGGAGGCAGAGGCAGGTGGATCATCTGAGGTTAGGAGTTCGAGACCAGCCTGGCCAACATGGTGAAACCCCGTCTCTACTAAAAATACAAAAACTAGCTGAGTGTGGGCTGGGCGCGGTGGCTCATGCCTGTAATCCCAGCACTTTGGGAGGCCAAGGTGGGTGGATCACGAGGAGATTGAGACCATCCTGGCTAACATGGTGAAACCCCATCTCTACTAAAAAGACAAAAAAATTAGCCGGGCGTGGTGGTGGGCACCTGTAGTCCCAGCTACTCAGGAGGCTGAGGCAGAAGAATGGTGTGAACCCAGGAGGCGGAGCTTGCAGTGAGCCAAGACGGCGCCACTGCTCTCCAGCCTGGGCGACAGAGCAAGACTCCGTCTCCAAAAAAAAAAAAAAAAAAGGAAGACTAAAGATCTAAAGATGTACAACCTAGATACAAAAAGAATTTGATAAATGCTGTCTGGGAGGATCAAATCACAAAGAATAGCATAAGAAAAGAGGTGATATCCAGGCTTAGGCAACAGAGTTCAAATTGATTGCAACTGAATGCTTAAAGGTACTCCTACAAAAGAAATGTAAACTTCATAGAACCACTTAACAAAAACTCAGTAATATCATAAACTGGCAAAAACAGTCGTTATCTTTGCCCTTTACAAATTTTATAAATAACTTGTTAAATCTTTGTCCCCATTTTAACATACAGTTATGTGTTGCTTAACAACAGGGATACATTCTGAAAAATACATGATTAGGTGATTTCACCGTTGTGTGAACATTGTAAAGTGTATTTAAACAAACCTAGATGGTATAGCCTATTGCTCCTAGGCTATAAACCTATATAGTATAGTCTGTTACTATACTGGCAATTATAACACAATGGTAAGTATTTGTTTAAACATATCTAAACATAGAAAATGTATGGCAAAAGTATGATGTTACAACCTTATGGGACTACCATTACGTGAGGCATGACTGTATATCCTTGGACTCAGCAATCAGATCAGTATTAGAACCATTACAAACGCTGAAAAATAGTTTTCCTTTTTTTTTTTTTTTTTTTTTTTGAGACGGAGTCTCGCTCTGTCGCCCAGGCTGGAGTGCAGTGGCGCTATCTCAGCTTAGTGCAAGCTCTGCCTCCCGGGTTCACGCCATTCTCCTGTCTGAGCTTCCCGACTAGCTGGGACCTCAGCCTCTCGACTAGCTGGGACTACAGGTGCCTGCCAACACGCCCGGCTAATTTTTTTTTTTTTCGTATTTTTAGTAGAGACGGGGTTTCACTGTGTTAGCGAGGATGGTCTCAATCTTCTGACCTCATGATCCGCCCACCTCAGCCTCCCAAAGCACTGGGATTACAGGCATGAGCCACTGCGTCTGGCCGAAAAATAGCTGTTTTTTTAAAAAGCCAACATTATGCTGAAACATGGCTAAATGGTTAACTTACACTTAAAATTATTCACTGGTGTCCAATAATACAAGCCAAAATTTGTTTATCTAGCTGTTAGTCCTCTCCTACTTCTTATAGTCCTGTCTGCTTTGAGTCGGTCCAGTCTATTTGGAGAAATCAGACCACAATGCTTCAAAATTACTATTACAACAACAAATCAGATCACAGAACAGCCAAACCCCATTCATATGGTCAAAAAGTTACATTTTTTCTTCATTAAACAGAAAATAGCTCAACTGGTCAAAAGAAAACATCAGTTCTTTGGAGATGAGGATTCCTCTCCACATGTTTAGAAATAGCACACCAGGCAATCAAGCACTAATACAAAGAAAACCATTTGCTTTCCCAATCCCTGATACACAAATTGGGAATCACACCCAACCTAATGTGCACTGCTGAGTTCTCTGGAAAAAGGCAGTTTAGTCTAACAAGGGAAGTCAGTTTTCAATCACTTGGGAGTTACCAATCAATGACTGATTGATTGACAAGTGAAGTAAGTGTCTACCACTATTTGGGAAGATGTATTTATCAAAATTTTGGCTAAAGTAAAAACTAGGTACACTACCTTATAATGCAGAATATGGACTAGTTCTTAACACAGACACAAGAAATGAGAACAAGACTTCGAGTCCTGAGACAGCATTTAAATTAGGGAGTACTGTTCTCAAAGTAGTACTCCTATTTTATTTTTTTTAAAGAGACAAGGTTTCGCTGTGTTGTCCCAGTGGCTGGGACTAAGGTGTGTGCCACTGTACACAGTCAAAGCATATTCCTTAATGTGTTAACTCATTATGGGTTTACAGGAAGTAAGATAACTGTAGAGGCCTTCAAGACTTCTATTGACTCAAGTATTGCAAATAAGCATAAAAAATTACTGCAGGCTGGGTGTGGTGGTTCATGCCTGTAATCTCAGTACTCTGGGAGGCCAAGGCAGCTGGATCACTTGAGGACAGGAGTTGGAAACCACCGTGGCCAACATGGTGAAACCCTGTCTCTACTAAAAATACAAAAATTAGCCGGGCATGGTGGCAGGCACCTGTAATCCCAGCTAATCAGGAGGTTAAGGCAGGAGAATCACTTGAACCTGGGAGGCGGAGGTTGCAGTGAGCTGAGATCGCGCCACTGCACTCCAGCCTGGGCAACACAGTGAGGCTCTATCTCAAAAAAAAAAAAAAAATTACTGCCATACACTACTCAATGACTTAATCATCATACAGGAACAGAGAAAATAAACAGATCAACTTTTTCATTTATCATACAGCACAAGATGTGTCTAGGCCAATCTCTTCTGTAAGGGTGGTATACATTTTCCTAAGGCAACTGGGGGATTCCACTGCCTATCCTTGGAAAAAAAACCATGAAAATCATATGGAGCATTATATTAGTATTTAATACCTACAGAATAATTTCTGTCTTCCAAAAGACAAAGTATCTCTAGTAGTGTCTACAAGATAGTACCTAACTAGAATAGTCCTAAATCCCTAACTTATTCTCATCCTGTATCAGCAGCATGCTATTGATTCCCAGTGATGAGGTGTGCAAATACTTCATTTCTTAATACTTGATTGCTGATTATTTTCATTCACTCCGATCTGTACCTTCCCTCTATCTTTGCAGGGGGACCAAGTTCTTTTTAGGCAAGTCACAAATGTTCATACTTTTCTGACAACAAAAATTAAACTTGAACATCTAAATGTGCTAACAACTGTTATCAACTAAGTGCCACAGACGAAAGAGAAAGTAGTTTTAGTAGTCACGTTTATCTCTTTTGCCACAGAGTTTCTAAGCACTTGAGTTCTACTTTTTGGCCTGGCTTTTTGCTGTTACTAAGTATCTAAGTGTCTCTTCCTCTCTAGCGTTCCAAGAGTAGAAATCCCAGCTTATCAACAGTTTCACTTAGAGCTTCAGACATTTTACTCTACATTAAGCTTCTCATCTTTCACTTCTGTTGTGAAGGTTGCTCTTATCTTTATCCTCTGAAATCATAAACAATGCAAAAAAGAAAAAAATATATAGCTACCCTCTATATAGTGACGTTCTACTCAATCTCTGACTTAAGAGCCCCAAACCATGAGGAGTAATAATAGAAAACCTAAGACTAAAATGTAAGTTATCACAGCCATACAGTCAGTGACTTCCATAAATCTTTTAATTTGCCCTCCACTTTAATAATCACCTCACTGAATTGCTATGTTCAACAGGCTATACTAGAACTAGATCTAATTATTGAATAAAAATAGAATGTATCAGGCCGGGTGTGGTGGCTCACCTGAGGTCGGGAGTTCGAGACAAGCCTGACCAACATGGAAAAAACCTATCTCTACTAAAAATACAAAATTAGCAGGGCGTGGTGGCACATCCCTGTAATCCCAGCTACTCGGTGGGCTGAGGCAGGAGAATTGCTTGAACCCAGGAGGCGGACGTTCTGGTGAACCGAGATCGTGCCATTGCACTCCAGCCTGGGCAACAAGAGCGAAACCCCGTCTCCAAAAAAAAAAAAAAAAAAAAAAACACACAAAACAAAGAATGTACCATGTATATTTATAAATCACTCTGGGCAGGCAAGTTCAGAATTTACTTCACTCAAACTTGGTAGACTTGTGAGCCATCCAATTATCGGAATTTCAAGACAATCACACAATTAACCCCCCTCATAATTACACTAATGAGAAAGATGGAGACAACATAAAAGGAAACAGCTGGCAAGAGGAAAGTTGTAGATGCGTGAACGTCAAATTTAAAATACACTCACATGTTACTTATTTTCATATGTTCTCTGTATTTTCAACATTAAAATTAACTGTAAAGAATAGCAAAATGTTAGTAATTTTTGAAGCTTGTGGTGGGCACATGAAAGTTAATTACTTTGTACTCTATTTGGGTATGTAAGTTCTTCAGAATACAAAATAAAAAAAGTCACAGGAAATTTACAAACATCTACATTATCAATAGAAAGATAAGAGGCCAGTGGGGCGCGGTGGCTCACGCCTGTAATCTCAGCACTTTGGGAGGCCAAGGTGGGCAGATCACCTGAGGTCGGGAGTTGGAGACCAGCCTGACTAACATGGAGAAACTTGTCTTTACTAAAGATACAAAAAATTAGCCAGGCATGGGGGCATGCCTGCAATCCCAGCCACTCGGGAGGCTGAGACAGAAGAATCACTTAAACCCGGGAGGCAGAGGTTGCAGTGAGCCAAGATCGCGCCATTGCACTCCAGCCTGGGCAACAAGAGCGAAACTCTGTTTCAAAAAAAAAAAAAAGAAAAAAAAAGAAAGATAAGAGGCCTGGTGTGGTGGCTCACACCTGTAATCCCAACACTATGGGAGGCCGAGGCGAGTGATCACAAAGTCAAGAGATCAAGACCATCCTGGCTAACACAGTGAGACCCCGTCTCTCCTAAAAATACAAAAAATTAGCCGGACGTGGTGGCACGCACCTGTAGTCCCAGCTACTCAGGAGGCTGAGGCAGAAGAATCGCATAAACCCAGGAGGCAGAGGTTGCAGTGAGCCAAGATCACACCACTGCACTCCAGCCTAGGCGAAAGAACAAGACTCCGTCTCAAAAAAAAAAAAAAAAACGACAGAACAAGAAACAGGCTTTCTTGCTTCCCAGCCAGCCTGGCAGCTGCTCTTGGTTGGGGGCCATCCTGAACCTAAGACAGAAAGCTGGTGGCCGCAGAGGATGAAAAAGCGGCTGGAGTTGATCAACTCTAGGCTCCAACTTATTTAAAGTGAAATTGGTCATCCTCACCAACTGCCCATCTTTAAGGAAATCCAAAACAGAGTACTAAACACCATGTTGGCCAAAACTGGCATCCATCATTACAGTGACAATAACTGTAAGGCATGTAGAAAATACTACAGAGTTTGTACACTGGCTATCGTTAACCCAGGTGATTCTGCTATCATTAAACGCATGCCAGAACAGACTGGCAAAAAGTAAACCATGCAAAGTTTTTCTTTAATAAAATGTGCCGACAGGTGCGGTGGCTCACACCTATAATCCCAGCGCTTTGGGAGGCCGAGGTGGGAGGATCACCTGAGGTCAGGAGTTCAAGACCAGCCTGACCAACATGGCAAAACCCCGTCTCTACTAAAAATACAAAAATTAGCCAGGTGTGGTGGTGGGCACCTGTAATCCCAACTACTCAGGAGGCTGAGGAAGGAGAACTGCTTGAACCTGGGAGGCGGAGTTTGCAGTGAGCTGAGATCGCACCATTGCACTCCAGCCTGGGCGACAGCGAGATTCCGCCTCAAAGAAACACACAAATAAAAAAGGAAAAGAAAGGAAAGGAAAAAGGGAAGGGAAAGGAAAGAAAGAGGTGAAAAAAAAAGGAAAGGGAAGAAAAAAGGGAAGGCAGCCGGGAGTGGTGGTTCATGCCAGTAATCCCAGCATTTTGGGAGGCCAAGGTGGGTGGGTCACTTGAGGTCAGCAGTTCAAGACCAGCCTGGCCAGCATGGTGAAACCCCATCCCTACTCAAAATATAAAAAATTAGCTAGGTGTGGTGGCGGGCACCTGTAAATCCCAGCTACTTGGGAGGTTGAGGCAGGAGAACTGCTTGAGCCCAGGAGGCAGAGTTTGTAGTGAGCTGAGATCGTGCCACTGCACTCCAGCCTGGGCAACAAAAGTGAAACTCTGTCTCGTTTAAAAAAAAAAAAAAAAAAAAAAAAGAGGTGGGGGGGAGAGGCAAAGGGAAGGAAAAAGGAGAGGGGAAGGGTAAGAGGAGGTAAGTATGGGGGGGGGGGAGGGGAGGGAAAAGAAGTAGATTAAGTTCTGTCTCCAAAGAAAGAGATGTCCTTTTTTACTGTAAACTTTTTCCAATTGTAAATTCTGTACCATGTGCATATATCACCTATCCAAAAACTGACTAAAATTTAAAAATAAAAGGAATGGCTAGATTTAACATAATTACTAAAAGACATAAGCACAATGAAAATTAGGGACAGAGTTTATGGCCGGGTGCAGTGGCTCATGCCTGTAATCCTAGCACTTTGGGAGGCTGAGGCGGGCGGATCATGAGGTCAAGAAATCGAGACCATCCTGGCCAACATGGTGAAGCCCCGTATCTACTAAAAACACAAAAATTAGCCAGGCATGGCGGTGGCAGACGCCTGTAGTCCCAGCTACTCGGGAGGCTGAGGCAGGAGAATTGCTTAAACCCAGGAGGCGGAGGTTGCAGTGAGCCGAGATCATTTCACTGCACTCTAGCCTGGCAACAGAGTGAGACTCCGTCTCAAAAAAAAAAAAAAAAAAAAAAGAAAAGACAAGACAATTAGGGACAGAATCCCCAGGCCTAGCTAGAAGCAGCATAAGTCACTCACAAAACTCAAGAGTAAAACAGGTAACAAGACTATTATAGTATATAGAACACTACCACTAGTTAAGGTAAGACACACTAAAGGCTAAAGATCAGATATCTAGGAAAAAAGATCTAGCTGACCAAATATTAAACATACTAATAAGTATTCCCTCCTATTGAATCCAAGGGAAAAATAAATAAACTGATAAGTAAAGGGGTCTTTCAGGGTCAAAGCATCATCACTCACCTAGAACTCTCTAGACTGTAGAGGGATACATGAATACATAGCTGCTCATAACAATTGACTAGTAAATGGTCAAGGAGTTTAAAATCAGAATTGATGGATAAGATATGCCAATGTGAAATTCTGGACATTCATCGCTTCTGTCCAACAATATTATAAAATAATTTTGTCATCAAAATGGGCCCAACATTAGACAGTATCCAGTAGACTTGTAAGAAACCTTTTTTTTTTTTTTTTTTTTTTGAGACAGTCTCCCTGTGTCACCCAGGCTGGAGTGCAGTTGTGCCATCTTGGCTTATTGCAACCTCTGCCTCCCGGGTTCGGGCAATTATCCTACCTCCGCCTCCCAAGTAGCTGGGACTACAGGCACGTGCCACCACGCCTGGCTAATTTTTGTATTTTTAGTAGAGACGGGGTTTCACAATGTTGGCCAAGCTGATCTTGAACTCCTGACCTCGTGATCCACCCGCCTCGGCCTCCCAAAGTGCTGGGATTATAGGTGTGAGCCACTGCGCCCGGCCAAGAAATCTTCTTTATTGAAATGAGGGAAGAAAATATTCATGCAGAGGAGTGGATCAAGTTCTGTGAGGCTGTACCTAAACACAGTACAAGAGGAAAAACTTGTCTGGTCTGGATTTTACCTAGAGGAAACTTCTAGCAGTCTATTAGCTGAGATTTGCCCATTAGCATTGATGAGCACATGGAACCTACAGGAAAAACAGTGACACTTTTCTTCAATTCAGTGACATAAAGATTTGTCAAAATTCTGACTGTTGTTACGAGGATTTGGTATAGTAGGCAGGCTTATCATTTTACAGGGCAGTAAATGTTCACCTTAAAAAGTTTATCCCAGCTGGGCACGGGCCGGCTCACATCTGTAATCCCAGCACTTTGGGAGACTGAGGCAGGCAGATCACTTGAGCCCAGAAGTTTCACACCAGCCTGGGTGACATGCCGAAACCCAGTCTCTACAAAAAAAGACAAAAAGTTAGCTGGGCAGGGTGGCACATGCCTGTAGTCCCAGCTACTCAAGAGGCTGAAGTGGGAGGATTGCTTGAGCTGCAGGAGGCAGAGGTTGCAGTGAGCCGAGATCACAACACTGCACTCCAGCCTGGGCAACAGAGCAAGACTCTGTCTCAAAAAAAAAAATAAAATAAGTTTACCCCTTCCCCTAAGTAAAACTGAACTTTTAGAAAAGTTTATTCTTGGCCAGGCACACTGGCTCATGCCTGTAATCCCAGCACTTTGGAGGCCAAGGTGGGTGGATCACAGGGTCAGGAGTTCGAGAACAGCCTGGTCAACATGGTGAAATCCCATCTCTACTGAAAATATAAAAATTAGCCAGGCATCGTGGCAGGTGCCCGTAATCCCAGCTACTCAGGAGGCTGAGACGGGAGAATCGCTTGAACCTGGGAGGCGGGGGCTGCAGTGAGCCGAGATCGCACCACTGCACTTGGCCTGGGTGACTGAACAAGACTCCATCTAAAAAAAAAAAAAAAAAAAAAAAAAAACCCAAAAAATGTCCCCATACTAACTGGAACCACTATATTAAACACCACCAACATGACTTTATCTTCAAGGAGGTTTGTGGCAATTATTACCAAGTCTCAAGCTTGTAGTTGAACACAAATACTACCAGAGGAAGTCAGAATAGTGGCTACCTGTTGGAGTGGAGGAGGGTAATGACTAGGAGAGAACATAAAACAGACTTCTGGGACTGAGCATGTGGCTTACGCTTGTAATCCCAGCACTTTGGGAGGTTGAGGCGGGCAGATCACTTGAGGTCAGGAGTTCAAAACCAGCCTGGCCAACATGGTGAAACCTCGTCTCTACTAAAAATACAAAAATTAGCCAGGTGTGGTGGCACACGCCTGCAGTTCTAGCTACTCAGGAGGCTGAGGCAAGAAAATCGCTTCAACCCAGAAGGCAGAGGTTGCAGTGAGCTGAATTCGTGCCGCCGCACTCCAGCATGGGCGACAGAGCAAGATTCTGTCTCAAAAAACAAAAAAAGACTTCTGGGTCTTCTATATCTCTATCTGGGTGGTCACCTTACAATTAAACTACTTTTCTGTATGTACATTATACCTCAGTTAAAAAAAAAAGTTTACGGGCCAGGTACAGTGGCTCACGCCTGTAATCCTAGCACTTTGGGAGGCCGAGACAGGCAGATCACGAGGTCAGAAGATTGAGACCATCCTGGCTAACACGGGGAAACCCCGTCTCTACTAAAAATACAAAAAATTAGCCAGGCATGGTGGCACGCGCCTGCAGTCCCAGCTACTTGGCAGGCTGAGGCAGGAGAATCGCTTGAACCCGAGAGGCAGAGGTCGCAGTAAGTGGAGATTGCTCCACTGCACTCCAGCCTGGGTGACAGGTCGAGACTACGTCTCAAAAAAACAAACAAAGGCTGGGCGAGGTGGCTCACACCTGTAATCCCAGCACTTTGGGGGGCCAAGGCAGGTGGATCACCTGAGGTCAGGAGCTCAAGACCAGCCTGACCAACATGGAGAAACCCCATCTCTACTAAAAATACAAAATTAGTCAGGTGTGGTGGCACATGCCTGTAATCCCAGCTACTTGGGAGGCTGAGGCAGGAGAATCCCTTGAACCTAGGAGGCAGATGTTGCGGTGAACCAAGATCACATCATTGCACTCCAGCCTGGGCAACAAGAGCGAAGCTCCGTCTCAAAAACAAACAAACAAACAAAAAGTTAGCTGGGCGTGGTGGAACGTGCCTGTAGTCCCAGCTACTTGGGAGGCTGAAGCATGAGAGAATCAGGTGAACCTGGGAGGCAGAGGGTGCAGTGAGCCAAGATCGCGCCACTGCACTGCAGCCTGGGTGACAGAGCGAGACTCCATCTCAAAAAAAAAAAAAAAGTTTACAGAAACTGATAAACAAGAGATTGGCAGTATTTCCTTGGCTTAATGCTGATGACAGTCAGGTACAAGAGGTACAGAACCAACCAGTCGTGGTGGCACATGCATGTAGTCCCAGTTACTTGGGAGGCTGATATGGGAGGATCACTTAAGCCCAAGAGATTGGGGCTGCAGTGAGCCACGATCGTGCCACTGCACTCTAGCCTGGGCAACAGAGTGAGACCCCGTCTCCCACAAAAATAAAAATAAAAAAAAAAGAAGAAAAAATAAAAAGAACGGAGACATCTGAGGGGCAAAGGAGACATGTTACTAAAAATTTATTGACAATATAATGATGTACTCTTGAATCTAAGATATGCAGTATTTGGGTCCTTCCTTTATCCATATAGCTTCAGTTACCTGTTTCTCTTTATCTACAAAGATTCTAAGTCTGATGCTCACAGCTAAGGTTAGGGCTGAGTACGCTGTTCATTGAGACTTTTATACCTCTGACTCTGGAAATAAGAAAGGCTTTTCAAAAATCCATCTGGGCTGGGTGTAGTGGCTCATGCCTATAATCCCAGCACTTTGGGAGGCTGAGGTGGGAGGATCACCTGAACCCAGGAGTTCAAGACCAGCCTGGGCAACATAGCAAGACTCTGTCTTAAAAAAAAAAAAAAAAAAAATTAGCTAGGTGCTGTGGCATGCGCCTGTAGTCCCAGCTCCTCAGGAGGAAGTGGGAGGATCACTTGAGCCCAGTAGTTCTAGGCTGTAGTAAGCTATGATACAGCCACTGCACTCCAGCCTGGGCAACAGAATGAGATTCTGTCTCTTAAAAATATATTTTAAAAAAAATCCATCTAACAAGGAAGTCTCTAAATAGCATTAAAGAAAGCTGCATGAGATGAGGCATAAAACAGATCCTGGCTCCTAATATTAAGATAGTTGCCTATCCTGAATCAAAAGCACCACTCAAAGAAGAACTGGATTCTCCACTCCAACAAATAGGTCAGATAAAGGGGATAATCTGAAACAAAAGGGAAAGTAGGAGGGACCATAAAAACAGAATGGCTTGAGGTCCTGTAAGAGTGAACAGTAAAATTTTCTTTTTTTTTTTTTTTTTTTGGAAATGGAGTTTCGCTCTTGTTGCCCAGGCTGGAGTGCAATGGCATGATCTCTGCTCACCACAACCTCCACCTCCCGGGTTCAAGCAATTCTCCTGCCTCAGCCTCCTGAGTAGCTGGGATTACAAGCATGCACCACCACACCCAGCTAATTTTGTATTTTTAGTAGACATGGGGTTTCTCCATGTTGGTCAGGCTGGACTCCAATTCCCAACCTCAGGTGATCCGCCTGGCTCGGCCTCCCAAAGTGCTGGGATTACAGGCATGAGTCACTGTGCCCAACCATGAACAAGAAAATTTTCAAGGTCAATGAAGCAACTCCTAATACTGACTGAAATATTAACTACAGAGAGTTCAGGAGATCATGCTATATTCTGCTAACACATCCATAAATTTCTTAAGGGAAAAAATGTCATCAAACTACAGATTTTATACTCATTGCTTTTTATATCCAAGGCAACATTAGTAAGACCCATTTTTGAAGGATCTTTTCAAAAAGAGAAATTGGTTAAACAAATACTTCCAGTTAATTAAAAAATACTGTGGTTATGGCTTTGGGAACTAAAATAGCTCTTAGAACACTTTTTTTTTTTTTTTGAGATGGAGTGTTGCTGTCGCCCAGGCTGGAGTGCAGTGGCACGATCTCGGCTCACTGCAGGCTCCACCCCCTGGGGTTCACGCCATTCTCCTGCCTCAGCCTCCCGAGTAGCTGGGATTACAGGTGCCCGCCACCTCACCCAGCTAATTTTTTGTATTTTTAGTAGAGACGGGGTTTCACTGTGTTAGCCAGGATGGTCTCGATCTCCTGACCTCGTGATCCGCCCACCTCGGCCTCCGAAAGTGCTGGGATTACAGGCGTGAGCCACTGCGCCTGGCCAAAACACCAAAACACCTGTTTTTTAAAAATAAGAAGAAAAGATGAAAAGTACTCAAATCATCTGATTTTGGCTTTTCTGTTTCTTCTAATACGATGAGAACAGAATGATCTTATGCAAGATTGGGATATGTGAACAAAAGAGAGTTACCTCAAATAGGATTACTTGACTTTTGGTGCTAACTATCTCAGACTACCCAATGTGGGTGCAAGAGAAAGATGAGTGCTTCTCAGGAAAATAACTGATAAGAGACTAAGTACATATTTTCTACAAAAAGTCAAAACTACATTATATTGCTCTAAAGTGTAAGTTTCTGCTTAAGAAAAATTTCTTCTATAGGGACCCAGAATTTATGTCTTCTAAAAATATCAACTATATTGTAATGGATTCAGATCACCACTCCTGCTATATAGGTTAAGGTCTCAAAGCTAGACAGTTGGCCAATATATTTAAAAAAATTTTTTTAAAGAATTGCTGAAAACGATGCACTTCCTCAGTAACTATATATGTTTCTATATTCAAATATTTCGTTCCCTGGGCCTGGCACGGTGGCTCACACCTGTAATCCCGATGCTTTGGAAGACCTCGACGAACGGATGGCTTGAAGCTAGGAGTTCTAGACTGGCTCAAGCAACATAATGAGACCCTGTCTCAAAAAACAAACAGAAAAAAAAAAACAAAAAAAAAAAAACCCAGGCCAGGCACGGTGGCTAAAGCCTATAATTCTAGCACTCTGGGAGGCTGAGGCAGGCCAATCGCTTCAGTCCAGGAGTCTGAGATCAGCCTATGCAACACGGTAAAACCCCATCTCTACAAAAAGTACAAAAAAATTAGCCAGGTATAACAACACATGCCTGTAGTCCCAGCTACTAGAGAGGCTAAGGAGAGAGAGGATTGCTAGAACCCAAAGTTCAAGCCTGTAGTGAGCTATGACTGCACCACTGCATTTCGGCCTGGGCAACAGAGTAACAGCCTGTCTCAAAAAAAAAAAAAAAAAGAAAAAAAGAAAAAAGAAAAACAAAAACAAAAAGAAAAGAAAAAAGAAATTATAATAAACTACAAAAATACCAATCCCAAATCATATAGCTCTGGCAGGTATTTAAAAGATTCCAATCTTGGCTGGGCACAGTGGCTCACGCCTGTAATCCCAGCACTTCGGGAGGCCAAGGTGGGAAGATTGCTTGAGACCAGAAGTTGGAGACCAGCCTGGCCAATACAGTGAAACCCCATCTCTACTAAACATACAAAAAAAAAATTAGCCAGGTGTGCCAGTGCACGCCTGTAGTCCCAGCTACTCAGGAGGCTGAGGCACCAACAAAGATAACCTTCCTACTCTGACCCTATTCTGAGCAAGTGAAAGCCTCCCAGTAAGTTCTAAATTCATTGAACAAAACCTAAATCTATTGAATAAAATAATCACCTTCACTGTAAAAGCAGAAAAATGAGATGAGGAGAAAGACAAGTGACCTATTAGAGCAAGAAAATCAGTCAGCAAAGTAATCTAACTTTTATTAGGAATTTGCCCTTACCTGCCTTAACATCTCCATTCCCTGAAAACAGTATGACCCTGCTGATGTAGCTGTGTTTGGCTCTCTGCCTCTGCCAATTAGAAGCTCAACTAGGAACCGTACATGCTCCTTACTCCTGAAGTTGCCCCTGATTTTAAAAGATTGTGAGGACAAGAAATCAGATTATCAAAACTTTTACACTTAGACTAAAAGTTGAGACATTTGAGGAACATTTCAAAGAAGACAATTTTTATCTTAAAATGTATACTCCAGCTGGGTGCGATGGTGCACACACCTGTAATTCCAGCTACTTGGGGAACTGAGGCTAGAGGACTGCTTGACCCAGAAGTTCGAAGCTGCAGTGACCATGCCTGTGAATAGCCACTGCATTCCAGCCTGGGCAACATGGCGAGATCTTGTCTCTTAAAATAAAAATTTTAAAAAGCCTCCTTTGCCAGGCACACTGGTTCACACCTGTAATCCCAGCACTTTGGGAGGCCAAGGTGGGCGGATCACCTGAGGTCAGGAGCTCGAGACCAGCGTGGCCAACATAGTGAAACCCCATTTCTACTAAAAATACAAAATAGCCACGCGTGGTTGCACATGCCTGTAATCCCAGCAACTTGGGAGGCTGAGGCAGGAAAATTGCTTGAACCCAGGATGTGGAGGTTGCAGTGAGCCCAAGATCGCGCCATTGCACTCCAGCCTGGGTAACGACGACGAAACTCCATCTTAAAAAGAAAAAAAAAAAAAGCCTCCTTCTTCTCTTTCCAATAATTGGGCTGTAGTCACATGCCTGACAATCAAAATCCAAAGACAACTGTTTTTTTTGAAAGGAAATGCTAATAAGGTATATAAGTGTTCCCAAAGGCACTTGAAGACAGACAGTTCTCATTGCTGGCCAGCCACACTACTTCTCTCAAGTTTACATTTCAATTGAGTTGTTTCAGAAACTCTTATAGCCTGTTGGTGCGGTTGTAAACTGGTACAAATTTTTGGAGAATAACTTAAAGTCTAACAAAATTGTAAAGGGGCATACCATTTGGTTCATTAATTACACTTCTAGAACTTTTACCTACAAATATACTTAAATGTGTAAAGATCTATGTAAGATGTTTCACTGGAAGGCTGGTTATCATAGCACACGTATACACAAATTGCAAACACCCTAACTGTTCCTCAGAAGTGGACAGATTAGGTAAATTAAGGTATATCCATACAATGAAATATTATACAGTCACTAAAACAATGAGCTGCAAATGTCATATATATATTCTATTAAAAATTTCTTTTTTTTTACTGGGCGCAGTGAGTGGCTCATGCCTGTAATCCCAGCACTTTGGGAGGCCGAGGCAGGCGGATCACGAGGTCAGGAATTCGAGACAAATCTGGCCAATATGGTGAAACCCCATCTCTACTTAAAAAAATACAAAAATTAGCTGGACGTGGTGGCACGCACCTGTAATCCCAGCTACTCAGGAGGCTTGAGGCAGGAGAATCACTTGAACCAGGGAGGCGGAGGTTACAGTGAGCCGAGATCATGCCATTGCACTCCAGCCTGGGCAATAGAGACTCCGTCTCAAAAAAAAAAGAAAAGAAAAGAATAGCTTGAGTATCCAGTAATATGACCATTAATCTGGGACCAGAATTCACCTACATCACAGACTGGCAAGCTTATTTTCTTTTTCTTTATTTTTTTGAGACAGGGTCTTGCTCTGTCACCCAGGCTAGAGTACAGTGGTGAGATCACAGCTCACTGCAGCCTCAACCTCTTGGGTTCAATCAACCCTTCCACCTTAGCCTCTCCCAAGTAGTTGCAACTACAGGCGTGTGCCATCAAGCCAGGCCCAGCAAGCCTTTTCTTTAGCCAGATAGTAAATATTTTAGGTTTTGGAGGCCTTAACATCTTTGTTGTGACTAGTAACTCTGACATTGTAGCAGCATGAAAACAACCAAAGACAATATGAAAAAAAATGAGCATAGTTATTTCCAATAAAACTTTACTTATAAACACTGAAATCTGAATTTCATGTAATTTTCACATGTCACAAAATAATCTCTTGATTTTTTTTCAATCATTTAAAAATCATAAAAACTGGCCAGGCGTGGTGGTTTACACCTGTAATCCCAGAACTTTGGGAGGCCAAGGTGGGTGGATCACTTGAGGTCACGAGTTCGAGACCAGCCTGGCCAACCTGGCAAAACCCCATCTCTACTAAAAATACAAAAATTAGCCAGGTGTGGTGGCCTGTGCCTGTAATCCAAGCTACTCAGGAGGCTGAGGCAGAAGAATCCCTTGAACCCGGAAGGCAGAGGTTGCAGTAAGCCGCCATAGTGCCACTGAACTCCAGCCTGGGCAACAGAGCAAAATTCTACCTCAAAAAAAAAAAAAAATTTATATGTTTGTATGTTAAGGCTGAGGCACAAGAATCGTTGGAACCCAGGTGGAGAGGTTGCAGTGAGCCAAGATCATGCCACTGCACTTCAGCCTGGGTGACAAAGCAAGGCTCTGTCTCTAAATAAATAAATAAAACTATCACATCTCCAAGGCAAAATGAGAATCAGGAACTTTAATAACGAGAGTGATGCGTAGAGGGGAAGTGCATTAGAGTTAAATTTATTCAAGATGAGACTTCACTGGACAACACCATTTTGATACTTCCATGAAAGTTAACTAGCTGATTGATTTTTCTTTGGTTAAAATGTCCAACTGCGCCCGATGGCTCACACCTGTAATCCCAGCACTTTGAGAGGCCGAGGCAGGTGGATCATCTGAGGTCAGGAATTTGAGACCAGCCTGGCTAACATGGTGAAACCCATCTCTACTAAAAATACAAAAATTAGCCAGGCATGGTGGCGTGTACCTGTAATCCCAGCTATTTGAGAGACTGAGGCAGGAGAATCACTTGAACCCAGGAGGTGGAGGCTGCAGTGAGCCACGATCGTGCCACTGCACTCCAGCCTGGGAGACAGAGCAAAACTCTTGCTAAAAATAAATAAATAAATAAATAAATAAATAAATTAAATAAAATGGCCCTGGTGTCTACAGCCATACCACCCTGAACGTGCCCGGTCCTGTCTAAAATGGCCTTGGGGCAACAGGGATAATCAGGAGGAGAGCAGGGGCCAATCAGACTCCGTCTCAAAAAAAAAAAAAAAAAAAAGGCCGCGCACAGTGGTTCACACCTGTAATCCCAGCACTTTGGGAGGCTGAGGCAGGCGGATCACCTGAGGTCAGGAGTTCGAGACCAGCCTGACCAACATGGAGAAACCCCATCTCTACTAAACATACAAAATTAGCTGGGCATGGTGGCACATGCCTGCAATCTCAGCTACTCAGCAAGGCTGAGGCAGGAGAATCACTTGAACCCAGGAGGCGGAGGTTGCGGTGAGCCAAGATTGCGCCACTGCGCTCCAGCCTGGGCAACAAGAGCGAAACTCCATCTCAAAAAAAAGAAAAAAAGAAAAAAAAAAGAATTTTCAGGATTTGGTAAGCCTATCATACTTACAGCCAAGGTGTAAAAAGTGCTGAATGAGGGTATAATTCCTACTTAAGGGGTACTTGTTCCTAATATGCAAGTTACTTAATTTACAAACATATTATACCTAGTATTATAATTATTGTATTCCTTTTTTTGAGACAGGGTCTCACTCTTGTCACCCAGGCTCGAGTGAAGTGGCTCAAACATGCCTCAATGCAGCCTCAACCTCCCGGGCTCAAGGGATTCTCTTACCTCAGCCTCCTGTGTAGCTGGGACCACAGGCACATACCACCATACCCTGCTAAGTTTTCTTATATTTTTTGTAAATGGGGTCTCACTTTGTTGCCCACTCTGGTCTCGAACTCCTGGGCTCAAGCAGTCCTCCCACCTCAGCCTCCCAAAGTGTTAGGATTACATGTGTGAGCCACCAAGCCCAGCTGCAGTCTTTTAATACATGTAGTCTTTAGTCTACTGACTGCATCTTCTTGTAATTTATCTTTATATCCTCTAACGTACCTATGTTTATATCTTTTACATACTACTTTACATAGTAGGCATACAAGAAATGTTATGTGGAGGCCTTTGCAGTTTCCCACAACCAGCAGATTTAAGTGGTTACAGCCGGCCGCGGTGGCTCACGCCTATAATCCCAGGACTTGGGGAGGCCGAGGCAGAGGGATCACAAGGTCAGGAGATTGAGACCATCCTGGCTAACACGGTGAAACCTGATCTCTACTAAAAATACAAAAAAATTAGCCGGGCGTGGTGGCGGGCGCCTGTGGTCCCAGCTACTCGGGAGGCTGAGGCAGGAGAATGGAGTGAAACCAGGAGGCGGAGCTTGCAGTGAACCGAGATCGCTCCACTGCACTCCAGCCTGGGCGACAGAGCGAGACTCCATCTCAAAAAAAAAAAAAAGTGGTTACAAAGTAAGCAGCTCTGACAAGCAGGACAAGAGACCAGACCCAAGTTTTCTCTCTATCAGAACAATTAACTATCATTTTTCGAGACAATAGGCCTAAGACAGAGAAAAGCATCTGGAATCTTCACTCCAGAAATTGGAAAAATAAACTCATATCATTGCTCAGAGCCCTGGATTTTCTGCCATAGTTTGAGATTCAGGATTACAGATGAAATTATAAAATAAGACTTCATGAACTAGGCAATCAGCATTCCTAAACTAAGTTTAAATACTTTAAAGTACTTTTGAGTACTAGTAGTACTCAAATTGTTCAATGTTAACAAAATAATAGCGATGAAAATCATTAAATAGCAGAATTGTAAGCAACAGGAAAAGTACAGAATTTCTGTTAACAGGACATATTACAATATACCTAAATACTCTTTACCATATGCCTAAATATTCTTTCCCAATAAAGTTCTAACATTGGCCAAGTGTGGGGCTCACACCTGTAATCCCAGCACTTCGAGAGGCTGAGGCGGGCAGACAGCTTGAGCCTAGGAGTTGAAAATCAGCATGGGCAATATGGCAAATCCCCTCTCTACAAAAAATACAAAAAATTAGCTAGGTATGGTGGCACGCACATGTGGTCCCAGCTACTTGAGAGGTTAAAGTGGTACAATCACCTGAGTTCGGGAAGTGAAGGCTGCAGTGAGCCGTGACTGCACCACTGCACTCCAGCGTTGGCAACAGCATGAGACCTTGTCTTAAAAATAAATAGATATGCCAGGCCCGGTGGCTCACGCCTGTAATCCCAGCACTTCGGGAAGGTAAGGCGGGTGGATCACGAGGTCAGGAGTTCGAGACCAGTCTGGCCAACATGAAGAAACCTCAGTCTCTACTAAAAATACAAATATTAGCCGGGCGTGGTGGCAGGCATCTGTAATCCCAGCTACTTGGAAGGCTGACGCAGGAAAATCATTTGAAACTGGAAGACAGAGGGTTCAGTGAGCCAAGATTACGCCACTACACTCCAGCCTGGGTGAAACACTGAAACTCCATCTCAAATAAATAAATAAATAAATAAATAAATAAATAAATAAATATTAGCTTGTATATGTATAAAGAAACTCTAATATGATAGAAATGGAAAAACAGTGATGGGGTTTAAAACTAGGAAGTTAAAAGACAGTGACAAGAAAGTTTTCACTCTATATCTTAATTTTTTAAAATGTGAAAACAAACTTTAAAACAAGAAGAAAGTGCTCCAACCATAACAAAATGATTCATTTATAAGAGCAAAGATGTATGGAGCAACATAATTTTTCTTTTTGTTTTTCTTTGAGAGACAGAGTCTCGCTCTGTCACTCAGGCTGGAGTAGAGTGGCATGACCTCATCTCACTGCAACCTCCACCTCATGGGTTCAAGCAATTCTCCTGTTTCAGTTTCCCAAGAAGCTGGGACTATAGGCGTGTGCCACCAGGCCCAGCTAATTTTTTTTTTTTTCTCAGACAGAGTCTCTTGCTCTGTCACCCAGGCTGGAGTGCAGTGGCACATCTCGGCTCACTGCAATCTCCGCCTCCCTGCTTCAAGCAATTCTCCTGCCTCAGCCTCCCGAGCAGGTGGGATTACAGGCGCCTGCCACCACATCTGGCTAATTTTTCTATTTTTAGTAGAGACGGGGTTTCATCATATTGGTCAGGCTGGTCTCGAACTCCTGACCTCAGGTGATCTGCCTGCCTTGGCCTCCCGAAGTGCTGGGATTACATGCATGAGCCACCGCCCTGGCCCTAATTTTTGTCTTCTTTAGTAGAGACGGGGTTTCACTATATGTTGGCCAGGCTGGTCTCGAACTCCTGACCTCAGGTGATCTGCCTGCCACAGCTTCCCAAAGTGCTGGGGTTACAGGCATGAGCCACTGCACCTGGCCAAGAGCAACACAATACATAAAGAAAAATACCCAGCCTGACCAATATGGTGAAACTCCGTCTCTAATAAAAATACAAACAATTAGCCGGGCGTGGTGGCAGGCGCCCTGTAGTCTCAGCTACTTGGGAGGCTGAGACAGGGAGAATCTCTTGGACCCGGGAGGTGGAGGTTGCAGTGAGCAGAGATCACGCCACCGCACTCCAGCCTGGGTGACAGAGCCTGACTCGGTCTCAAAAAAAATAAGAAAAATACAGTGATTCAAGGGCCTAGGTGAAATAAAAACTATCTATAACTGAGCAGAATCCCATTCAGATTTTTAGCCCAAAGTAAAAAACTATGTGAAAAGAAAAACCCATCCTAAAATTCATATGGCATCTCAAGGAAGCCCAAACAGCCAAAACAATTTTGGAAAAAAAAAAAAAAAAAAAAAAGAACAAAGTCAGACGACTCATTCTTCCTGATTCCAAAACTTACTACGTAACTACAGTAATCAAAACAGTGTGGTAGCCCGGCATAGTGGCACCTGCCTGTAATCCCAGCTACTCGGGAGGCTGAAGCAGGAAAACTGCTTGAGCCCAGGAGTTTGAAACCATGCCTGGGCAACATAGCAAGAACCAGTCTCTCAAACAAAAAAAAAAAAAGCCGGGTGCAGTGGCTCACGCCTGTAATCCCAGCACTTTGGGAGGCCGAGGTGGGCAGATCACCTGAGGTCAAGAGTTCGAGACCAGCCTGGCCAACATGGTGAAACCCTACCTCTACTAAAAATACAAAAATTAGCTGGGTGTGGTGGCATACATCTGTAATCTCAGCTACTAGGGAGGCTGAGACAGGAGAATCGCTTGAAACTGGGAGTCGGAGGTTGCACTGGGCCGAGATCACGCCACTGCACTCCAGCCTGGTGACAGAGGGAGGTTCCCTCTCAAAAAAAAAAAAAAAAGCTCCCCTCCCCCGCACCCCACACACACACACACAAAACAGTGTGGGGCCAGGCGTGGTGGCTCATACCTGTAGTCTCAGCACTTGGAGAGCCAGAGGCTCTCTTGATCTCACTTGATTTGAGGTCAGGAGTTCGAGACCAGCCTGGCCAATATGGTGAAACCCCATCTCTACTAAAAAATACAAAAATTAGCCAGGTGTGGTGGCGTGTGCCTGTAGTTCCAGCCACTCGGGAGGCTGAAGCAGGAGAATCACTTGAATCTGGGAGGCAGAGGTTGCAGTGAACCAAGATTGTGCCACTGCACTCCAGCCTGGGCGACAGAGCCAGACTCTGTCTTAACAACAAAAAATTAACACAAAATATTGTTCTTTTACAAGTTGCTGTAACACATTTACAGCAATACAAAAATGATACAATACAAAAAGTAAATTTAAAAAAATGAGAAAAAACACAAAATAAATGAAAGACTAAACAGAAGAGCTAACACTCTTAGATGCTTCATGATGTTGGACTTGACAATGATTTATTAGACACCAAAAGCACAGGCAAAAAAGGAAAAAAAAACAACAGATAAACTGGACTTCATCAAAATTAAATTTTTTGTGCATCAAAGGACACTACAGAGTGAAAGGGCAACCCACTGAATGAGAATCATATATGTGGATAATGGATTAAAATCCAGAATATACAAAGAACTCCTACAACTTAGAAACAAAAACAACAACAAAAACCCAATTAAAAACTAAGCAAAGGATCTGAATAGACATGTCTCCAAAGGAAATATACGAATAGCCAATAAGCACCTGAAAAGATGATCAACATCACTAATCTTAGGGAATTACAAATCAAAACCACAATGAGACAGCACCTCACATCCACTAGAATTCCTATTCAAAAACAAACAAACAAAAAATAATAACAAGTGTTGGCAGGGACGTGGAGGGACTGGAACCTTTGTGCATTGCTGACAGAAATGTAAATGATACAGTTACTGTGGAAAACTGTAACAATTACTCAAAAACCGAATTATCATGAATTATCATGATCTAACAATTTCAATTCTGGATATATATCCTATACGCAAAACAATCGAAAGCAGGGACTCAAGCAGATATCTGCCCAGTCATGTTCACAGCAGCCTTGTTTGCAACAGCCGAAGGCGGAAACAATCCAGATATCCACCAACCGATGAATGGATAAACAAAATGAGATATTTACATACAAAGGAATATTATTCAGCCTTAAAAAATGAAATTCTGATACATGCTACAACATGGATAAATCATGAAGATATTTTCAGTGTAATAAGCCAGACACAAAAGGACAAATGTGGTATGATTCCATTTATATGAAGTACCTGAAGTAGTCAAATTTATAGAAACAAAGTAGAATGGTGACTGCCAGGAACTGCGGAGAGGGGAGAATGGGAGTTATAGTTCAATATATACAAAGTTTCAGTTTGGGAAGATGAAGAAGTTCTGGAGATTAATGCTGGTGTTGGTTACACAACATCAATGTATTTAATGCCACTAAACTGTATACTTTAAAAGGGTAAATTTTTTTTTTTTTTTTTTTGAGATGGAGTCTCGCTCTGTCACCCAGGTTGGGATGCAGTGGCGTGAGCTCGGCTCACTGCAACCTCTGCCTCCCAGGTACAAGCAATTCTCCTGTCTCAGCCTCCTGAGTAGCTGGGACTACAAATGCCTGCCACCACACCCAGCTAATTTTTTTTGTGTTGTTTGAGATGGAGTTTTGCTCTGTCACCCAGGCTGGAGTGCAGTGGCATGATCTCGGCTCATTGCAACCTCCGCCTCCTGGGTTCAAGCGATTCTTCTGCCTCAGCCTCCTGAGTAGCTGGGATTACAGGCATGCGCCACCACGTTCAGCTAATTTTTGTATTTTTAGTAGAGACTGGGTTTCACCATGTTGCTAAGACTGATCTTGAACTCCTGACCTCATGATCTGCCTGCCTTGGCCTCCCAAAGTGCTGGGACTACAGGCGTGAGCCATCACGCCCAGCCTAAGATGGTAAATTTTATGTTATGTACATTTTAACACAAACACACACTCACGCACGCACACATCTATGTGCCAGGTTTACCATTATCTTTTTTACAAGAATGACTAACAGGCTGGGTACCATGGCTCATGCCTGTAATCTCACCACTTTGGGAGGCTAAGGTGGGAGGACTGCTTGAGCCTAGGAGTTTGAGACTAGCCTGGGCAACACAGCAAGACCCCATCGCTATAAAATTTTAAAAAATGAAAAGTAAAACATAACTAACATTTACTGGACATTTACAATCTGTCAGGCACAGAGAAGTTAAGTAAAAGATCTTACAACTAACTAAACGGTGGAGCAGAAATTTGAACCCAGGACTTTTTGACACCAGAAACATACTTTTTTTTTTTTTGAGACGGAGTTTCGCTCGTTGCCCAGGCTGGAATCCAATGTCGCAATCTTGCAACCTCCGCCTCCCGGGTTCCAGCGATTCTCCTGCCTCAGCCTTCCCAGTAGCTGGGATTAGAAGCATGTGCCACCACGCCCAGCTAATTTTATGCTTTTAGTAGAAACAGGGATTCTCCATATTGATCAGGCTGGTCTTGAACTCCTGACCTCAGGTGATCCGCCCGCCTGGCCCTCCCAAAGTGCTGGGATTACAGGTGTGAGCCACCGCACCTGGCCTAGAAACATACTTGGAAAAAAAAAAAAAAAAAAAAGAAAGAAAGAAAGAAACAAGGTTGTGTTTTATCCCCAAGGCTGGAACACAGTGGTGCAATCCTAGGTCACTGCAGCCTCTAACTCCTAAGCTCAAGCAATTCTCCTGCCTCAGCCTCCCAAAGTGCTCTGGAACACGGATTACATCTCAGCACTTTAGGAGGCCGAGGTAGGAGGACTGCTTGAGCCCAAGAGTTCGAGACCTGCCTGGACAACACAGCGAGATTCCCATCCCCACAAAATTTATTTTAAAAATTAGCTGGGTATGGTGGCATGTGCCTGTGGTCTCAGCTACTTGGGAGACTAAGGCGCAAGAATCACTTGAGCCCAGGAAGTGAGGGCTGTAGTGAGCCATGATCACACAACTGCATTCCAGCCTGGGCAAGAGAGCAAAATCTTGTCTCATTAAAAATAATTTTTTTTTCTTTTTTGACACGGAGTCTTGCTCTGTCGCCCAGGCTGGAGTACAGTGGCGCAATCTGGGCTCACTGCAACCTCCGCCTCCTGGGTTCACGCCATTCTCCTGCCTCAGCCTCCCGAGTAGCTGGGACTACAGGCGCCCACCACCATGACGACTAATTTTTTGTATTTTTAGTAGAGATGGGGTTTCACTGTGGTCTCGATCTCCTGACCTCATGATCCACCCGCCTTGGCCTCCTAAAGTGCTGGGATTACAGGCGTGAGCCACCATGCCCGGCCACATTAAAAATAATTTTTAAGGCCAGGCACGATGGCTCATGCCTGTAATCACAGCACTTTGGGAAGCCACGGCAGGCAGATCACAAGTCAAAAGATCAAGACCATCCTGGCCAACATGGTGAAACCTGTCTCTATTAAAAATACAAAATTTGGCCAGGCGTGGTAGCTCAAGCCTATAATCCCAGCACTTTGGGAGACTGAGGGGGCGGGGGGGCAGATCACAAGGTCAGGAGTTCGAGACCAGCCTGGCCAACATGGTGAAACCCCACCTTTACTAAAAATACAAAAAAAAAAAAAAATTAGCTGGGTGTGGTGGCACACACCTGTAATCCCAGTTACTTGGGAGGCTGAGGCAGGAGAATCGCCTGAACCTGGGAGGCAGAGGTTGCAGTCAGCCGAGATGATGCCACTGCACTCCAGCCTGGGCAACAGAGCAAGACTCCATCTCAAAAAAAAAAAAAAAAAATTAGCTGGGCATGGTGGCGCATGCCTGTAGTTCCAGCCACTCAGGAGGCTGAGGCAGGCGAATTGCTTGAACCTAAGAGGCAGAGGTTGCAGTGAGCCAAGAATGCGCCACTGTACTCCAGCCTGGCAACAGAGTGAGACTCCGTCTCAAAATAATAATAATAATAATAATTTTTTAAAAAGTAATGTTATATGTATAGATATGTAAGCTTTCTAAAATACTGCCTAAAAATAAACAAGGAATTCATGGTGAATTGGTAAGCTACTAGTGATTTTCACACACAGATTAGAAGACCACTTGCCAAGCATGTACATTCCCCAACTTACAATGGCTCAACTTAAAATTTTTCGACTTTACGATGGTGTGAAGGTGATACACATTCAGTAGAAACTGTACTTCAAGTACACATACAACCATTCTGGTTTACACCTTTGGTATAATATTCAATAAATTACATAAGATATCCAACACTTTATTACAAAATAGGCTTTGGGCTGGGCGCAGTGGCTCATCCCTATAATCCCAGCACTTTGGGAGGCCAAGGTGGGTGGATCACCTGAGGTCAGGAGTTCAAGACCAGCCTGGCCGACATGGTGAATCCCCATTTCTACTAAAAATACAAAAATTAGCCAGACGTGGTGGCGAGCACCTGTAATTCCAGCTACTCAGGAGGCTGAGGCAGAAGAATCACTTGAACCCAGGAGGCAGAGGTTGCAGTGAGCCAAGACTGCGCCACTGTGCTCTAGCCTGGGTGACAGAGCAAGACTCTGTGTCAAAATAAATAAATAAATACAATAAATAAATAAATAAAATAGGCTTTATATTAAATAATTTTGTCCAACTGTAAGCTAATGTAAGCATTTCGAACACATTTAAGGTAAGCTAGGCTAAGCTATGACGTTTAGTAGGTTAGCTGTATTAAATGCATTTCTGACTTAGGCTATTTTCAACTTACAATAAGTTTACAGGGACATAACCTCATCGTAAATCAAAGAGCATCTGTATATAGTACAATAAAAGGTGTTCCCTACAGGTGAGAAGGTAGAGAAATATATCTCTAAAATATTTCGGTTCACAGAAGCTTTAAGAGTATCAGTGAGAAATTCAAGCATATTCTCTGGAACACAGATGTTCCAGGGAATAAAGTGAAAAAAGAGCAAAAGCTATTCTAGTTTAACCAAAGGAGAAAAGCTTTCAAGAAATTAAATGAAAAATATCCACTAAAAGTACCACCAATACTATTTGCTCATATCCAGCCACAAAAATTCAATTTATACACAACACTGAGAATGGTTGGTTTTTTTTAAAGAAAGACAGAGAGCAAGAGGAGAGAATGAGAGAGATACACATACACACAAATCAACAAAGTCTTCACAATAACCAACAAAAGAAAGAGCTAATGTGACACAGTTTAGGCAGCTCATTAAAGATTTACTAAGCAGTGCATCAACAAAATTAACAACAGAATTAAAAATGCACAACTTCCGGGCCAAGTGTGGTGGCTCACACCTGTAATCCCAGCACTTTGGGAGGCCGAGGCGGGTGGATCGCCTGAGGTCAGGAGTTCGCGACCAGCCTGACCAACATGGTGAAACCCTGTCTCTACCAAAAATACAAAAAATCAGCCGGGCATGGTGGTAGGCGCCTGTAATCCCAGCTACTCGGGAGGCTGAGGCAGGAGATTCACTTGAACTCGGGAGGCGGAGGTTGCAGTGAGCAGAGATCGCGCCACTGCACTCCAGCCTGGGCAACAAGAGTGAAACTCCATCTCAAAAAAAAACAAAAAACAAAAAAAACAAAGCCAACTTCCAAAGCCTTCTTCACTCAATTTATAAACCTATAAAATAATGGGTAAAAATCTCACTGTCCTCCTCTAATACCTCCGTGCACCATAACAGTATCCTTTATTCATCAGTCCTTTTATACCCTCAACACAACTGAATCTAGAACACAACACAAAAGTCACACATAAGCTACATTTTAATTTTTCTATTTTGATAAAACTTTATCATATTCTATTTTACTCTCCCTGTAATTATCAAGTATTCGCGGAGCCAGAATAGAAAGTTTAATTTGGAAATTAAAAATGCCCAGATTCTAACCTTAGTTATACTCTTCGGTGATATCTACCCAATATATTTGACAAAGTTAGGAACTTACAGTATAATATTAGGTAGATTTAAAGGCTTTCATAGTACAAAGTCATGCAACAATCAAAATGTTCATAAAGGGTGGTACCTATATATGTAAATTCATGAGTTCTCAAAAGAAATTGAAGAATTTTTTTTTCTTCACCAGCTCAGTTACAACTATCTTCCTGGGAATGCACTGAAGGTGAAGGCTAAGTTGGTTGACACAGCAAGAATCCGTCTCAAAATAAATAAATAAGCAAAACTTTCAAATTCTCTATACACTCAGGTGAGAAACTGAGAATTACTATCTGAATTATAAAATAAGAGAATGACACAGTAACACATAAATTTATGCATGGACACTTATTAAAGGCCAAACTGTAGTGCACAGAAAGAATGTCATGCTATTCACACCAAATTTCACAGAACCTAACGGTGCAATACTTCAAAGGTCTTCTGGCCAACCTGTCCACGGCAGTAGCAATACATGTGACCAACTGTTTCAATCCTTTTGATGGCAACACATCAATCTAGCCATGTAAATGTTAAAGAGTGATTGGAAAACCACCCCTCCTTAAAAAATGTTACCCTATTGAGCAAATTTTTTCAATTTCTTTACTGGTAGATTAAAATTTCACACTGCTAGATAAAAAGTTTGGAATCTAGGAGTGAACATCATTCAGATAACCTTTACGCCTTTATAAGACAGGACAGGCTGGGCACAGTGGCTCACACCTCTAATCCCAGCACTTTGGGAGGTCGAGGCAGGCGGATCACCTGAGGTCAGGAGTTCAAGACCAGCCTGGCCAACATGGTGAAACCCTGTCTCTACTAAAAATACAAAAATTAGCCAGGCGTGGTGGAGGGCACCTCCCAGCTATACGGGAGACTGAGGCAGGAGAATTGCTTGAACCCGGGAGGTAGAGGTTGCAGTGAGCCAAGATCACGATACTGCACTCCAGCCTGGGCAACAAGAGTGAGACTCCGTCTCTAAAAAAAATTGTATTTTTAGTAGAGACAGGGTTTCACCACGCTGGCCAGGCTGGTCTGGAACTGCTGACCTCAGGCGATCCACCCGCCTCAGCCTCCCAAAGTGCTGGGATTACAGGTGTGAGCCACCACACCCAGCCAGGACAAATTTCTTAAAGTTTTGATTTAATTTCAAGACCTACATATAAACTTTTAAAGGACTGGAAAAAAAATAATCAAAGGTATTGTTCCTTTTCTCCTCTGATCCCCAGGCCTGTCTGCATGCCTCACAGAAGAGAAACAATGGTGAGTTTTACAGCTTTCTTAGTGTGATACTGCCATCTTTACAGAAAGCAAGGGTTTCTGCTCATTAACAAAATTGAAACCTTACTCTCCTGTTTCTAGCCTGTTAGATGAAAGGCAGGGGCACCAGCTCAGTTACAACTATCCTCCTGGGAATGCACTGAAGGTGAAGGCTAAGCTGGTTGAACTGCAATATTTGCCTTCGAATTCATGGAGGAAAAATGGCAGCCCTCATACCACTGATGTTTCTAAAAAATATCTGGCCTAAGCTGGGTGCTGTGGCTCACACCTGTAATCTCAGCACTTTGGGAGGCCAAGGCAGGCAGATCACGAGGTCAGGAGATCGAGACCATCCTGGCTAACACGGTAAAACCCTGTCTCTATTAAAAATACAAAAAAAATTAGCCAGGCATGGTGGCGGGCACCTGTAGTCTCAGCCACTCGGGAGGCTGAGGCAGGAGAATGGCGTGAACCCGGGAGGCAGAGCTTGCAGTGAGCCGAGATCGTGCCACTGCACTCCAGCCTGGATGACAGAGCAAGACTCTGTCAAAAAAAAAAAAAAAGAAGAAAAAATTTAGTCAAGAGTTACAAGGGGCCGAGCACAGTGGCTCACGCCTGTAATCCCATCACTCTGGGAGGCCAAGGCAGGCGGATCACAAGGTCAGGAGTTCGAGACCAGCCTGGCCAACACAGTGAAACCCCATGTCTACTAAAAATACAAAAATTAGCTGGGCATGGTGGCAGGCGCCTGTAATCCCAGCTACTGGGGAGGCTGACACAGGAGAATCGTTTGAACCCGGGAGGCGGAGGTTGCAGTGAGCCGAGATCATGCCATTGCACTCCAGCCCCCAGACTCTCAAAAAAAAAAAAAAAAAAAAAAAAAGAGTTGTGAGCAAAGCTCAACTTGTGTAAACACATAATGATTAAAAATAATACAGTGCTTTACAGTTTATAAAGTAACCTTTACATGCATTATCTTATTTGACTGACAAAGAAACCTAGCGAAATAGATAAAGCAGTTACTGATTCTCATTTCTAAGCTGAGGAAACTAAGGCTCAGAGACTTCAAGTGACTCAACCAAGGTCACACAGATGGTAAATGGCAGAACCAAGGCTCCAACCCTTGTTCTGTTCCCAGAACATAACAGAAGGGGCATTTCTAAATTTATGCTGCATTTTCTAAACCCATAGGAGTATTTATTCAGCAAATATTTTAAAATATTTTTTAGGTGACAGGCACCATGCTAGGCAATGGAAATACAATAGTAAAAAGACACAGCAAGGCTGGGTGTAGTGGTTCACACCTGTAATCCCAACACCTTAGGAGGCCAAGGCAGGAGGACTACTTGAGGCCAGGAGTTCAAGACCTGCCTGGGCAACACAGGGAGACCCCATCTCTACAAAAAATTTAAAAATTAGGCTTGGTGGTGTGTACCTGTGGTCTCAACAACTCAGGAGGCTGAGGCAGGACTGCTTGAGCTCAGGAGTTCAAGGTTACACTAAACTATGACTGTGCCATTGCATTCCAATCTGGGCAACAGAGCAAGGCTGTGTTTCAAAAGAAAAAAAAAAGGCCAGGAGCAGTGGCTCACGCCTGTAATCCCAACACTTTGGGAGGCCAAAGCAGATGGATAGCTGAGGCCAGGAGTCTGAGACCAGCCTGGCCAACATGGCAAAACTCTGACTCTGCTAAAAACACAAAAACTAGCCAGGTGTGGTGGCATGTGCCTATAATCCCAGCTACTCAGGAAGCTGAGGCGGGAGGATCACTTGAACCCGGGAGGCGGTGGCTCACGCCTGTAATCCTAGGACTTTGGGAGGCCGAGTCAGGCGGATCACAAGGTCAAGAGATCAAGACCAGCCTGGCCAACGTGGTGAAACCCCGTTTCTACTAAAAATACAAAAATTAGCTGGGCGCGGTGGCATGCTTGTAGTCCCAGCTACTCAGGAGGCTGCGGCAGGAGAATCACTTGAACCTGGGAGGCGGAGGTTGCAGTGAGCCAAGACTGCACCATTGCACTCCAGCCTGGGTGACAGAGCGAGACTCTATCCCAAAAAATAAATAAATAAAAATAAACTTAATAAAAATTATGAGGGCAAAGAAGAAAATGTATCTAACTCTCTTTGGGCAAGTCAGGGAAGGTTTCCCAGAAGAAGTGGCATTCTTTATGAGATTCAGAAGCTACCTGTAATTAAAAAGAACTGTATTTCAAAAATTAGCTGGGCAAAGTGGCACAGGCCTATAGACCCAGCTACTGAGGAGGCTGAGGTAAGAGGATCACTTGAACTCAGGAGGTGGAGGTTGCAGTGAGCCGAGATCGTGCCACTGTGCTCCATGGAGCCTGGGCAACAGAGCCAGAACTTGTCTATATAAAAAAAAAAAAAAAAAAAAGAAAAGAAAAACCACTGTATTTGCTCACACATTAACTATAAGGTACAGAAGTAGGGCTGGATAGGAAGGCAAACACCAACAACATAAAGGGCCTTGAATACCACTCAAAGTTTACATTTTAATCTTTTAATAACTGGAAACTACTAAATACTTTTAAGATGAGGAAAGTAGAATAATCAGTAAGTGTTAGACTATTTTGAAGGCACGATGATAGAGAGTTTACAAGAGAATAAGACAGCCGGGTGCGGTGGCTCACGCCTGTAATCCCAGTACTTTGGGAGGCCCAGGTGGGCGGATCACTTGAGGTCAGGAGTTTGAGACCAGCCTGGGGCAACATGGTGAAACCTCGTCTCCACTAAAAATACAAAAATTATCTGGGTGTAGTGGCAGACACCTGTAATCCCAGCTACTCAGGAGGCTGAAGCAGAACAATCACTTGAACCCAGGAGGTGGAGGTTGCAGTAAGCTAAGATTGCACCACTGCACTCCAGTGACAGAGTGAGACTCCACCTCAAGAAAAAAAAAAAAAAAAGAAAAAGAGAGTAAGACTATAAACAGATGTGTAAGCGATCAAGGCAATATCCCAAAATAAGAGCTGTTGAATGAGAACAGCAATGGAGACACAGAAGAAGCTAGATTCAGAAATATTTAGAAAGTAATAGGTAAGACAGAAGTGACAATGATGCTCACATTTCTGGTTTAGATGACTCAATGAATCACAGGGAAGAAATGATGTTGGAAATGTTGAGTTTGAGTACCAACTTGATACAAAGGTATAGATACGTCTAGCTCACAGTAGACAACCGGAAACAAAGGGCTGGAGTTTAGGAGAGAAATGATAATATATTGAATATATATGAAGTTTTTTTCAATAATCAAGTGTATTTTACCATTTTAACGGGAAGGCAATAATTTCATCATTATTTGCATTATGCTTTAAAGTTCACAAAACATTTTATGCTTGTATTTCATACTTTTGTTACATACAAACATGAGATTAGTATGACAGGTTATTTTTATTCCTATTGGATCAACAAACTTTTATTTGTTTATTTATTTATTTTTGAGAGAGAGTCTCACTCTGTTGACCAGGCTAGAGCACAGTGGCACAATCTCGGCTCACTGCAACCTCTGCCTCCCGGGTTCAAGCTATTCTCTGCCTCAGCCCCCCGAGTAGCTGGGATTACAGGCGCCCACCACCATGTCTGGCTAATTTTTGTATTATTAGTAGAGATGGGGTTTCACCATTTTGGCCAGGCGGGTCTTGAACTCCTGACCTCGTGATCTACCCCCCTCGGCCTCCCAAAGTACTAGGAATACAGGTGTGAGCCCCCGCACCCGGCCTATTTTTTTTTGAAACTGAGTCACACGCTGTCACCCAGGCTGGAGTGCAATGGCACGATCTCAGCTCACTGCAACCTCCACCTCCTGGGTTCAAGCAATTCTCTGCCTCAGCCTCCCGAGTAGCTGGGATTACAGGCAACTGCCACCATGTCTGGCTAATTTTTGTATTTTTAGTAGAGATGGGGTTTCACCATCTCGGCCAGGCTGGTCTTGAACTCCTGACCTCATGATACACCCGCCTCGGCCTCCCAAAGTGCTGGGATTTCAGGTGTGAGCCACCATGCCCCACATATCTTTTTTTTTTTTTGAAACTGAGTCTCACGCTATCACCCAGGCTGGAGTGCAATGGTGCAATCTCGACTCACTGCAACCTCCACCTCCCAGGTTCAAGCTATTCTCCTGCCTCGGCCTCTCAAGTAGCTGGGATTACAGGTGCCCACTGCCACGCCCAGCTAATTTTTGTATTTTTAGTAGACACGGGGTTTCACCATGTTGGCTAGGCTGGTCTCGAACTCCTGACCTCATGTGATCCGCCCGCCTCAGCCTCCCAAAGTGCTGGGATTACAGGCATGAGCCACCAACCCCGGCCAACAAACATTTATTATTAACTACATGCCAGGCACTGTACTAGGCACTAAACAAATTACCAAAACAAATCCATGCCTTCTAAGACCTACATCATAGAAAGAGAACCAATAGGCAATAAATGTAACAAATAAATATATTATAAAAGTGTTAAGTCCTATGAAAAAGAAAATAGAGCAGGCAAGGATAAGCATGAGGGATGGGAACTGACAATACAATTTTAAAGAAAGGAAGGATAAGACTTCATTAAAAAGGTGACATTTAAGCAAAGACGTTAAGGAGGTGAGGCAATCAGCCATTCTCTGTGGGGAAACCTAGCTGTTTTCCCACTAGAAGGAATCACTTGGTCTTAGGAACCTGCCAAGGTTCTAAGATAGAGTGTGACTGATCAGCATTCAAGGAGCAAGTCAGTGTGGCTGGAATGGAGAGAGCAAGAGGGAAGATGACAGCCGATCAAAAATGGAAGAGGTTGGGGAGGGCAAACCATGTAAAGCCTTAAAGGCTATTGCAAGGACTGGCATTACTCTGTCTGCAAGAAATGAGAATTCAAAAATTAGTAGCATTACCCAAAATCAGTTAGCTAATAAATCACAAAGCTAGAATTCAACCCAGGACTTCAAGGCTCTCCACAACCTGTGTTCCACTAGTCCAATCTGCCACATATTAGTTCATCCCCTCTCTTTCAGCAAGTTTGAGTTTAAATACTCTAAAAATGCTAACATTATAAAAATCCTCTGGGCAAGAGATGCACAAGTCTTTCAGTTAACATTTGCAATCCTTCACAATTATAATGAGAATTTATTAATCCTGGTGTCTAATCTAAATCCTACTAACATTCCAGCATGTATTTTTAAAGATTATAAATTCCACCCTCCCTTGAAATGAGACAAGCCGAAGAAAGCTTTGATCAAAAGATTTAAAGTACGACTCTCAGCTTTAGGTAACAGTAACCTGAATTATTTTTTTAAATGGATACTAAGGCCGGGCACAATGGCTCCATGCCTGTAATCCCAGCACTTTGGGAGGCTGAGGTGGGCAGATCACCTGAGGTCAGGAGTTCGAGACCAGCCTGGCCAACATGGTGAAACCGTCTCTACTAAAAATACAAAAATTAGCCAGGCATGGTGACAGGTGACTGTAATCCCAGCTACTTGGGAGGTTGAGGCAGGAGAATCACTTGAACCCAGGAGGCAGAGGTTGCACTGAGCTGAGATCACACCACTGCACTCCAGCCTGGGCAACAAGAGCAAAACTCCATCTCAAAAAATATAAAATAAAATAAAATAAAATGGAACTAGCCAGGTGTGAAAAACAGTAAGAGAATGGCTCAGGAATATGGAATTGCTATAATTTCCCTTAATTTCTTTAGCAGTTTACTAGTTATTATTAATAACAAGTTCACACATTGTCAAAGATGCTTCTGCAGTTACTATGATTCTTTGAGGTCTGGATCTGACCACTTCATATCTCAAAAGTAACGAATGATGTGTTCTTAGTAATCTGCTGCTTTTTGTACTATAACCCAAAACTGTTGATAGTTTCTTGCCAGCTGATGGCAACCTAGGTAAATGGCAAAGGTAAGGGGGATTTTGTGAGAGACAGCAAACATTACCAAGCCACCATCTAAATACCTCAGACAGGTTAAAAGCCCTAATGACCCTGGGACACTCCCTTCTTACTGGATGAATTCAAGCTATACAGGAATATTTCATATATCCACAAGGGAGAAGGTAAAAGATGGAACATGAGGAGGGGTCTGTTTCAAATCAGACCTATTCTTCAGAAGCTTTCATCACTGCTACACAAAGAAAGGAGGTTGCTGCTTCAAGGATTCTGGAGCCACCAAAATCCCCAAACAGGACCTACAGAAAAAGCTTCACAGAGACTACTGAGGATAAACCAAATAATATGGCTAATAGAAGATACACCACAAAATCCAGTCATTGTAACATAAACTGAACTTCCTTATATATCTTTTCCTAGGCTTAGCCAAAAGCAGGAGAACTGCAACTCTATGTGGTATTGTCTGATAGACTGGATTTTTTCCCCAAGCAAGAGGTGGACAGCTTTATGCCAGGACTAGATTTACAGTCAATCTGGGTGTGTGTCTTTACTTTTTCTTTCCCTCCAAACTACCTCAGAAAATGTCTGGCTATTGTGCCTTGATATGTAATAATGCAGGGCTTTAAGTACTGCAAAGGTCTGGAAAAGAAAGTCCCTCAGTCCCAGTTATGGCTCAAATCTTACGATTTCTCTAGCAGTTGTTTTAATCAACCAAAGCTGGTTGGCTTTTCTCAATGAGCCAAGCAACATGAGCCTTCTAAGTTAAGCGCAGAGGGGCTGCTTGTCAGCATGACTCCCAATGGGGTGGCTAACATGGAATATGCTCCAGAGTCTAGAAATCAGGACAGCACAGCTGCTGTTTTCCTCCACATGCACCTCCAGCTTGGTGGGTGGGGGAGGAAAGGAAGAAGAATCAGTAAATTGAAACAGGAGGAATGCTTTACATGCAACACACAAGACTCACTGCTTAAAGGTGAGATGAATTCAGAGGTCTCAACACATGATTAGGATACCTTCACTGACACAATGGTCCCCAAAATTCAACCTGGAGGTCCAGCCTTGCCCGTCTGGCAAAAAAAGGGGAGAAGGGGGCAAAACCCCAAAATGGGGGACAGCATACAAGCTTTTGAAAGTACTTTAAGGTTGTGAGGCTCAGAACAAATTCCTCACACTTCCCTCTGCCACCACCCTGTGGCCCTATGCTAAGCACAGCAGTAAAAGTTACTGCCAGAATTTAGATTTGAAGGGCTGATCAGGGAACCTGGTTAACACTGTTCCTAGAAAAGTATTTGAGTGCAGCCTATATTCAGACCCTACTGGGACTGCCTCTAAACAGGAAGTTAACACACATCACATACGGTCAGGGAAGGCAAACCACAGTGTCATAAAGATGGATGCTGCTGTCAACTACAAATCACTCTCACCTCATGGAGAGTGTTCTCAAGTAAGGAATAATAGGCAGGACAAAAGTCTGTAAGCCTCACCTCTACTCAAACTGGGTCACTCAGCCTATAGATTCAGCCTTCTGATTCCTGCTGATTAGTACTTTTCTACCTTGTTCCATGATGACTATCACTGCCACTGGACTAAAAAAACTCTATTCCCCTAAAAAGTGAAGACAGCCTTACCATCAACTAGTTATTCATATAAGCTATCTGCTTATATGAATCCGATCCTTGACCCAGTCCATTCCCAAATGGCCAGGGACTAGATATCCGTCACAAAAAAAGCAGCACGATCCAACAAGTGTGGGCCTTCCCTCAAAATATACTGAACTCCTCCATAGCACCTCCAGAAGTGGCCTCCTTCCCAACTAAGTACTGACAGAAATACTACTCTAGGACAATACTTGAAAGGCTGCTCCAGCACCAAAATAAGAATCCAAGTTATCAGACTGCAAGGAAGAGTTCAGGTCAGCATACCAAATGAAAAGCAATAAAGTTAGCACTAAACTCCCAAACAGGATAATCACCAACAACATATAGGCACCATGCTGCTGCCAGAAAACATCAAAGTCATCTGTGCTAGGAGGGGAAGGAGACTAGATGGCTGGAGGACAGAGATGGGAAGGAAGCTTACTTTTCACTTTGTACAACCACATGCATGCTTTTCTACTCAAAATATAAATTTTTAGAAAAAATGTCCTAAAAACTACAAAAGCATCAGCTCTTCTCCAACACAGATCTGTTAAACCTGTTTTAATTCCATCAGCTACAAATCCAAATCCCTCTTTTGCAGTCTGGCCTGAAAACACTGCTCTTGCCCTTTGCTGAAATATATTAAGTATCCTTCGCCTCTGCTGAAATGTATTAAGTATCCCCCCATCTCTCTCTCTCTCTTACACACACACACACGCACACACACACGCCCCCCAAATAAGCATTTATCAGAAATGAGAAAACTGGTTCTCAGGAGGCTACCTGATTTTCCAGGGGACAACAGAGAAAAGGTTGCTAGCTAGCTCAGTTAGCATCCACATGCCACCCACCACCAAGCCTCCATCTCCACCTCACTGCCAGCCCTATGAGCTAACATCTTGTGTTTGGAAGTTGATGCTGGGGAAGAATCCAAAGAGGCTACCATACCTTTATGAAACGGGAAAGCTGTACCGGGCGCGCGAATGGCACCTGAACCTCTGCACTCGCATGAGTGGCTCGCTCCTCAATGTAATTGAGAGCAGGGAGGCCAAAAGTACTCTAAGTCCCGGTGTGGTTAGGGAAGGGTAAGTTCCACCGACCCTCAGGAACTGAACTGGAAGACAGATCCAGTGTGTCCCACAAGCCCAGTCGCTGTAGAAGCTAAGTGCCCACATAGCCTGAGACAATTCTCTTCCCCTACGGGAGGGCGAGCGAACGGTGGACGACGAAATAAAGGGGTAAGGTTATGCGCTCCTGATCCCTTTCCCTAAATAAAGATAATTATCTGGTGCTTCCTTTACCCTTAGATTCCCCATTCGTCCCATCCGCCCGCAAACACAAGACTGAGCAGGGAGCGGCCCCCGCACCCTGAGGGCACCACTGGGGGTGGAGAGAGTTAAAAAAAAAAAGGGGGGGGCGCGCTAGAGAGGAAAGGAGGGGAGCATGGCGGGCATGAGGCAGGGAGTGAAAGCGGGGATGGCGGGGGAAACGGGGCGTGAGGGAGGGGAGAAAGAGTACAAGGAGACGAAATGAAGGGACACGAGCTGGGGGCGCGCGAGGCCGAAGTGAAAGACCGGGTCGCGCGCGCCAAGGGGGGAGAGGATGAGGTGAAGAAGGAGCGCGAGGCGGGGGCGCGCCGTGCCGGGGTGGGGGGAGGGGGACGCAAGGCGGGGGCGCGCGGGCGGGCGTCGGCTCGCGGGCGCTTCCCCTCCCCCCGCCCCTCCACCTTTCCCTTCCCCCACCTCCGCCACCACTGCCTCCTCCCAGCCTCCTTCCCTTCCTCGCTCCTCACCGCCCCCGGGCGGGCGGGCGGCCAGGCTGGCCTAGGCCAAAGCTCCTCACCTGGCGGTGGCGGTGTAACTCCCGGCTAGCTCGCCTCCTCAGGCGGCGGCGGAGGCGTCGAAAAAGGAAGAGGCGACGGCACAGGGGATCCAGACCCTGCTGACGGGACTAGGGACGGGGGTAGGGGAGGGGGGCGGGCCGGACCGGGGCGGGCGGGCGGAGCAGACACTGCGGTACAGACGGGGGCAGCGGCGGCGGCGACGGCTGCACCGGCGGCGGCGGCACCACACAAACAAGGACGCTGATTGGGCAGCTGCCAAGCGCCTCGGCTCCGCCTTACCCACACGCCACGACGCCCATTGGGCGACCTAAGCCGGCCACCCCGCCCTCATCTTCTCGGCCATGCCAGTAGAAGACTAGATGCCGGGACTTCACCCCACCCTTGAAGAATGAGTGGCCGGAGAAGTGATGATTGGCGTGCTTAAAACCCAATCATAAACGGAGGAGGGGGGATGGTCTAGCGGGGGCGCGTTAATGGGTACCTCTGCCAGTCCCAGACACATCCGGGTCTTCGACAGCCCATTAAGTGTCGGGGGTCAAAAAATCGCTTCAGGCTGCAACTTTACCTTAGAGACGTTTTGGTCCCCAGGCAGCCGCCGTACCCCAGTCTCTCCAAACCGGGATTCCCCTTTGGCCATCTCTCATTCTTTCAATTCTAAAGATGGAGACTGGCGAACGGCGATGGGGTCTGCGGTGGGCGGTGTTTCGTCGCGACAGACTCTAGGAAATTTCACGATAGAACTAGCTTTAGGCGCTTGAGCCTTGCCGTCTTTTTGGGGTGTGGCCTGTCTCCGTCTGCCAAAGGCTTTGAGCTTCCTGGTGTTCATCGTACCTCCGCTTGGTCCTGTCGTGACTAAACCACGACAGCAGGAAAAAAAAAAAAGCAGCTAGCCAAGTTGCTGAGGAATTACGGTGTGCAGAGCCCTCGCAGCTCCTTCTCTTGGGAACTCCTGGTCTGGTTAGGTTCTCAGCGAGGAAACAGCCTCCCACCCCGCCCGATTCCACCTAATTAACTCAAGGGCCAGCTCCTTTTGCTGGCCTCCCTGCTTCCACGGAGCAGTTAGGCCCGCCTAAACTCAGCGAGCGTTTCTGGAGCACCTTGAGGATAGGGACCAAGTAACAGAGTCCGGGTGTTAAGGTTATGATAGTAGTTAACGTTTTTGGAAAGAGACTGTGTCAGGCTCTGTGCTAAGAACTTTACATGAAGTATTTATTCCTCATGACTGTGAGGTAGGTACTGTTATCCCTACTTTACAAATGAGGAAAATTAGGATCAAAAAATTTGTCCAGTTACACGTTAAGTGGTAGAGCTGAAATTTGAACCCAAGTAGATGAGGAAACTAAGGCTCAGAGAGGTTAAGTAACTTGCCAAAGGTCAGACCGCTAGTTAGTGACTAAGCAGTGGTTTAAACCCAGAAACAACTGGTTCCACAGGCATTTTGTTATTGTTGTTTTCTCACTGTGTCTCCCAGGCTGGAGTGCAGTGGTACAATCTCAGTTCCTGCAACCTCCGCCTCCCAGGTTCAAACGATCCTCCTGCCTCAACAGCCTCCCGAGTAGCTGGGATTACAGGCGCGCGGCTAATTTTTGTGTTTTTAGTAGAGACGGGGTTTCGCCATGTTGGCCAGGCTGGTCTCGAACTCCTGACCTCAGGTGATCCTCCTGCCTCAGCCTCCCAAAGTGCTGGGATTACAGGTGTGTGAGCCACCACGCCAGCCTCCACAGGTATTTGAACATGTTTTTTAAATTATTTAAAAGTCATGCTGTGCAATGGAAATGAAATTATAATGGAGGACATGGCAACTTAAAGCCGTAGGTAGATCCTACACAAACACAGACGCACCCATTTTTTTTTTCTTTTTTTTCTTTGAGACAGTCTCCCTCTGTCGCCCAGGCTGGAGTGCAGTGGCGTGATCTCAGCTGCCTGCAATCTCCACCACCCAGGCTCAAGCCATCTTTCCACCTCAGCCTCCCAAGTAGCTGGCATTACAGGCGCACGTGACCACGCCCGGCTGATTTTTGTATTTTTGGTAAAGACAGGGTTTCACTATGTTTCCCAGGCTGGTCTCATAAATTCCTGGCCTCAAGTGATCCACCCGCCTTGGCGTCCCAAAGTGGTGGGATTACAGGCGTGAACAACCGCGCCCACCGCAGCCCCCACTTTATTTATTTTTTAAATTAGCGATGAGGTCTTGCTATGTTACCCAGGCTGCTCTGAAACTCCTGGGCTCAAGAGATCCTCCCGGCCGGGCGCGGTGGCTCAGGCCTGTAATCCCAGCACTTCGGGAGGCCGAGGCAGGTAGATCACGAGGTCAGGAGATCGAGACCATCCTGGCTAACACAGTGAAACCCCGTCTCTACTAAAAATACAAAAAAGTAGCCGGTCGTGGTGGCGGGCGCCTGTAGTCCCAGCTACTCGGGAGGCTGAGGCAGGAGAATGGCGTGAACCCGGGAGGTGGAGTTTGCAGTGAGCCAAGATCTTGCCACTGCATTCCAGCCTGGGCGACAGAGCGAGACTCTGTCTCAAAAAAAAAAAAAAAAAAGAGATCCTCCCACTTCAGCCTCCCAAATAGCTGGGACTACAGGTGTACATCACTGCAAGCAGCATTCAACTTTTTTTTTTTTTTTTTTTTTTTTGAGACAGAGTCTCCCTCTATTGCCCAGGCTAAAGTGCAGTGGCGCAATCTCGGCTCACTACAACCTCCGCCTCCTGGGTTCAAGCAATTCTCCTGCCTCAGCCTCCTGAGTAGCTGGGATTACAGGTGCCCGCCACCACACCCAGCTAAATTTTGTATTTTTAGTAGAGATGTTGGCCAGGCTGGTATCAAACTCCTGACCTCAAGTGATCTACCCGCTTTGGCCTCCCAAAGTGCTGGGATTTACAGGTGTGAGCCACCACGCCTGGCCTAATTCTTATTTTAAATAGATTAAAACTTGTTTTTATGCTAGTATGGTGTCCAGGTAAAGAATATGGTCTCAAGAGTCAGATTGCCTGAGTTTGGATCTTGGCTCTCCCTCTTACCAGTTGTGTGATTTGGCTGAAAGTTACTTATCTCTATTCTCTATCCCCTAGTTTCCCCATCTATAAAATGGGAATAAGAGTACCCAGCTCACCAGGTAATTATGAGAATTACAAAATAATACCTTCAAAATACTCAGGGCACTGTCAAGAATATAGTTAAAGCATTCAACATAATATATAGTAACTATTTTGAGAACTTTCCTTGCTTTTTCAACAATTTCACTCTCTTACCTCTAAATTCAGCTTCTGTTGGTATTCTACCCATGGTACTGGTCTTATACTGTACTGAAAATTATTTCTCTACTAACTGCAATATTTTAACGCTTTCAGACTCCTTTCAGTCATTGAACACACATGATAGAGCCCCTATTAGGTTATCAGGCACTCATCCATGTGCTCAGGATATAGCAGTGAATTAGACAAAGTCATTGCCCTCTTTGAGGGTACATTCATCTTTCCCTAACCTACTTCTTTGTCCATTATCAGTCCATTGCATTATTTGCTGTCTGAAATGCCACCCTTCAAGGGCTTTGAGGAGATATGAAAAACATGGTAGTATATACCAGCCCAAGGAAGATAAAAGTAAGACCCGAGAAAATACTTTTCAACAAGACCAAAATTTAGGCCATGGAGGGGGACTTTCAATCTGGAATGATCGAGCTTTAAGGAAGACAAGTACATGAGGTCAGTACTGTAGTGGACATGACCTGTGCCCAATGCAGGCTCTACCTGTTTGTTCCCTTTCTGAAGCTATGGATTATATAGTTAATCTTTAAATGACCCCCAATTTGCAGGTGAGGAAGAACTGAGGCACAGCAGTAAAGTAACTTGTATGACATCATAAAATTATTAAGTGGCAGGCACAATATTTTCCTCAATTTTTAAAAAAATTTATGGAGACAGATGGGGTTTTGTCATCATTTAGCCCAGGCTGATCTCGACTTCCTGAAGTCAAGCAGTGTGCCTGCCTCAGCCTCCCCAAGTGCTGGATTACGAGTGCTGGGATTACAGGCGTGAGCCCTCACATCCAGCCAAATTTTTTTTTTTTTTTTTTTTTTGAGACGGAGTCTCTCTCTCTCTCTCACCCAGGCTGGAGTGGAGTGGAGTGATCTCAGCTCACTGCAAACTCCACCTTCCAAGTTCAAGCGATTCTCATGCCTCAGCCTCCTGAGTAGCTGGGATTATAGGCCCCCGCCACCACACCCATCTAATTTTTTGTATATTTTTTTATTTTTTTGAGACGGAGTATCACTCTGTCACCCAGGCTGGAGTGCAATGGCGTAGTCTCAGCATAGTCTTGGCTCACTGCAACCTCTGCCTCCTGGGTTCAAGCGATTCTCCTGCCTCAGCACCCCAAGTAACTGGGATTACAGGCACGTGCCACCACACTTGGCTAATCTTTGTATTTTTAGTAGAGTTGAGGTTTCACTATGTTGGCCAGGCTGGTCTTGAACTCCTGACCTCATGATCCGCCTCCCTTGGCCTCCCCTGGGATTACAGGCGTGAGCCACCGTGCCCAGCCGTAATTTTTTGTATTTTGAATAGAGATGGGGTTTCACCATGTTGGCCAGGCTGGTCTCGAACTCCTGGCCTCAAGTAATCCACCCTCCTCGGCCTCCCAAAGTGCTGATACTACAGGAGTGAGCCACTGCACCTGGCCTCAGGCGACCTTTTTTTTTTTTTTTTGAGACGGAGTCTCACTGTCACCCAAGTTGGAGTGCAATGGTGCAATCTCGGCTCACTGCAACCTCTGCCTCTGGGGTTCAAGCGATTCTCCTGCCTCAGCCTCCCAATTAGCTGGGACTACAGGCGGGTGCCACCACGCCCAGCTAATTTTTGTGTGTGTGTGTGTGTGTGTGTGTGTGTGTGTGTGTGTGTGTGTGTGTGTTTAGGAGAGACGGGGTTTCACTGTGTCAGCCAGGTTGGTCTCGATCTCCTGACCTCGTGATCTGCCCACCTCGGCCTCCCAAAGTGCTGGGATTACAGGCGTGAGCCACCGCGCCCAGCCCAAATTTTTTATACTTGAGCCTATACACTCCAAAGCCTGGGAAGAGAAAATGGGCCAGATAACTTGGGCATATCCTTCCTCTCATACAGCTCCCTAGGCCATAGGACACACAGATGTGTCAGATATCATGTTGAATACTTTGCTATTAAAATTCCCAGATTTTTGTTTTTTTTTTTTCTAAGACAGGGTCTCGCTCTGTCACCCAGGCTAGAGTGCAGTGGCATGATCTTGGCTCATGGCAACCTCCACTTCCTGGGTTCAAGCAAGCCTCAGCCTCCCGAGTAGCTGGGATTACAGGCATAAGCCACCATGCCCGGCTAATTTTTGTATTTTTAGTAGAGATGGGGTTTCGCCATGTTGGCCAGGCTGATCTCAAATTCCTGGCCTGAAGTGATCTGCCCGCCTTGGCCCCCAAAGTGTTGGGATTACAGGTGTTAACCACTGTGCCCAGCCTAGATATTCTTATGGTTAAAGAATTCTGTAGTTCTTCCATCTGACTGCAAGTCTGTAGGAGGCCCAAAAGTGAGAAGCATAAGCTGGGAGAGAGAGTTCATTATTGTTATTGTTTGTGAACAAAGGGGCCCTCCAGACCAGTAAGACTGTATGCTCCATTATGGTAGGGACTGAGCCCTGAAATTCTCTCTATAGTTCAGTGCAGTGCTGAGCTCACTACACTCAACAGAAACTTCATTTTAAAAGGCCAGGTCCTCCCTTGAAAAGGTCTTTGGGGGATGAAACAGGAAGAGGTTTATTCTGGGGACTGCAGTCTGATGAGAAACTGGGGTGGCGTGAGAATTTCCCTCTGAAGAAAGCATCTCCTAGTAAGACAAATAAATGGCATTTCCTGAGCCCCTTGGTTCTCTTCTGTGCAGCTCCTCTAGGACACTGAAAAAGCATCCTAACATGCTCAAGACAGGATAGGAAATGGTCCTCTGGCTTGAAAGACTCAGCATCCAGAAGTAGTACCTCACTCTCCATCCAGTGGTCACCCCCCAGAAATGTGCTCTCGTAAGTTATTTCCTCCATTGATACGCCTGCTCTCCTTCCCCAAGGCATTTGTTTTATTGGCTAATTCCCTTTGGTAATTGGTTTGCCGCTCTTTTAGGAGTCATTTCCTGTGTTTATTTCATTATACAAGAAAAAAAAAAAGCTCTTAAGTGGACCAAAGGGATAAGGAAAATGATGCATGTTTTCCTGATGTCCACATGCAGCAAGTCCCTTAATCTTTGCCCCTGCCTTCCTGGTGCTGTTGCCAGGCTGAGACCCTGGTTGGAGGAATAGTGCCTGCAGCTACAGCAACTCAGGCAGCCTAGGATGACTGCCAGGATGCATGAGGGCTGCCAATACCAACTACTGGGGAGATGATTGTCATCCCTGTGGAGGTACTGGAGAAGGTTGGTGGGGGAAGGTGGAAGAGAGGAAATAAGGCAGAGATGAGCTCAGGGTCCCCAGAGAATGGAGCCTTTGTGTGGGGTATAGATGAGGGACAAGGGGGTGATTGTGTGGGAGGGCCGGAAGTGCCACACGGACTGGCACCACCATAGCCAGCACCAGATTCACCCTTCTCCTGCTCTGAGAACTCCCTGTGCCTCAAGGAGCCGGTACCAGACATGGTCAGGGGACGCAGGGTATGCCTGAACACTATAAAGGATGGGAAGGTAGAAAAGCAGATGTATAGCCTGGGGAAAATGAAAGGTATCCCCGCATTACCCCAGACCCAGGGAACAGGAGGCCGAAGGAAAAAGACAGAAGCAGCTTTTACTATATTTACATCCAACAAAACTTCGCAGGGAACAATCCTTATTGCACAGGTCAGGACCTGGGTGGGTGAGGCATTCCCCAAGGCGGGGCAGGCAAGAAAAATTAGGACTGGAGGGGGCACCAGTTCTTCCTAAGGGGAGCTTGAGACTCCTCTAGCTCCCAGTGCCTGACTTTGAAGGAACTACAAACCACCGGACCATGGTGCCCTATTTCCCTTCCCTTTCTCACTCTCCATAAGAACCTCATAAGCAAGGGGGCTGTGGCTCCAGAATAAATAATTTAAAATAAAATACAAACACTTAGGTAGAAAGGCATGGAGAGCCTTGGGCTCCTTCAGCAACGTCAGGGAAGAGGGACCATTATTGGTGGAGAATGACATCCCTACCTCCCATTCAGGGCAAAGGCTCAGTAGCTCTGCATCTTTCCAGTTGTTTTTTAAAACAAAAACTTCTAAAATGACCAGGGCAATGCAGATCTGTGGGTACCCTGGAGGGGAGTTCCCGGTATAGGACAAGGGAAGAACAGAGCTGTACCAACTCCCCCCAGATCTCCCCCAACATCAGCACGAACAAACTGGGTAGGTTGGTGATGGGGGAATCAGGACTTTTGGTAACAGTGGATCCCTCTTCCTGTTGTCCTCGCTTGGAGCCTTTGACTGGGCATCCTTCCCAGCCTGTTCCCAACTCCATGAAGGCAACAGGGAAGCAGTTTAACTCTAGAATCCCTTCTTCCTCACTTCCCCACCCTAGGCTGGAGAGGGAAGCTTAAGGTCTCTAGCATTCTGGAGGTGCTCCAAAACATTTTCGGCAGTCAATGGCCTTGGGAGTGGGCATCTGCGCCCGCCGGTGCCTCAGCTCCTCCTTGCCCATGCTGCTGGCCAGCTTGTTAAAGGCAGACTTGTACTTCTTATCGAAGGCCACTAGGGAAGAAGGTGGAAGTCAACATGTTAGGACCGCAGCCTCCCACACCTGGCCCCAGATCCCTAAACTCCTCAGCCCCTTGCCTGCAATCTCACCTATGTCCACGTGGTCCTTGCCCAGAGCAGCCATTGTCAGGAATAATATCTCACGGTAGATTCCCCTTTAGTGGAGGCAGAAGTGTATGAGTGAGAGAAAAGGGGTGTGGAGCCCCGGACAGACCAGGGATCACCCAGATGGTAGCACCATACCTCTGCAGGTGCAGGCCAGTGGGTGGGGGCCCTAGAGTTTCCAGCAGGAGCCCCACAGCCTTGTGCACTTCATTGAGTCCAACATGGCGCAGCACTGACTCCAACAGTGCCAAACTAAGGGATGCAGGTACAGGGCCTGGCCATACCACCCGCTGGGGGATCTGGCCTGGATGAAAGGAAAGAAGGCCACCAGAATCACTGAGCCCTCTGGGTATGGGACCCACCCTCCCCACCCAGGCCAAATACCAGACTCACTGTGGACCCTCCAGAGCACATAGAGAGGTGGGCAGCTATTGGGGTCAGGGGTCAGTACATCCCACAGCAGCCGTACCTGAACAGAGGCTGGATCAGGGGTTAGCCAAGGAGATGGGGCCTGGGGGAGCCAAGATAGTGGAGACAGTTAGGCTCAACGAATGGGAGGCAGAGGACAAGAAACGGACAGGTGATGCCAAAGAGACAGAGGGCCATTACAGGACACAGCCAAAGAGAAGTGGGAAAGGAATTCTTATCCCCCACAAGAATGTAAGCTCTTGAGAGCAGGGACTGTTTTGTAATCTGCTACATACCTAGTGCCTAAAACCGTGCCTGGAACATAAAAAGCACTCAATACTGGTGGAACGAATAGACAAATATGAATGAATCATTTGTTTAGGTACCAGGCTCTGCACAAGGTTGTCCACACACCAGCCCAGTGAGATAGGTGCTTATGCCATTTTACAGATGACCAAATTGAGGCTCAGAGTGGTAAAGTGAAACGGCAAGGATCCGAACCAGGTGCAGCAGACTCCAAAGTCTATGCTCTTTCTTTTTTTTTTTTTTTTTTTGAGACAGAGTCTCGCTCTGTCGTCCAGGCTGGAGTGCAGTGGCGCGATCTCAGCTCACTGCAAGCTTCGCCTCCTGGGTTCACGCCATTCTCCTGCCTCAGCCTCCCGAGTAGCTGGGACTACAGGCGCCCGCCACCATGCCCGGCAAATTTTTTGTATTTTTAGTAACACGGGGTTTCACCGTGTTAGCCACGATGGTCTCGATCTCCTGACCTCATGATCTGCCCACCTTGGCCTCCCAAAATGCTGGGATTACAGGCGTGAGCCACCACACCCAGCCAGTCTATGCTCTTTTTTTTTTTCTTGAGACGGAGTTTTGCTCTTGTTGCTCAGGCTGGAGGGCAATGGCGCGATCTCGGCTCACCACAACCTCCGCCTCCCAGGTTCAAGCAATTCTCCCACCTCAGCCTCCCGAGTAGCTGGGATTACAGGCATGCACCACCAAGCCTGGCTAATTTTTTTTGTATTTTTAGTAGAGACAGGGTTTCTCCCAGTTGGTCAGGCTGGTCTCGAACTCCTGACCTCAGGTGATTCGCCCACCTCGGCCTCCCAAAGTGCTGGGATTACAGGCATGAGCCACCGTGCCTGGCCAGTCTATGCTCTTTCTACAGTGCCAAGGACACAGTGGACAAATGGCTGAGAGATGAGGGAGGCACTTAGGAAACAGGGGCCACATGGGGGCACTGACCTGGGAGTGCGAAGGCCCATCACAGGAGGCCAGCACCAGGCCTGGTAGAATACTGGGCAGGCGTAGCCGTTGGAAATACCACAAAAGGTTCCAGAAGATGATGGGGTGGGCAGAGGGCAGTTCAGGCAACGCCAGCACCTCACTGCCCTCGTTCTCTACCAGCGACTCCAGCTCCTTACGCAGCACCAGGGGGCTCAGGTATGCCCATGCCCCACTCTCAACCCGCCGGGAGGCTCCCTATCAGGCACAAAGGGGGAGGGCAGTAGAGGGCATGTACATCCCCAGAGCCTTGCCTCCCACTGAGCCACCACATCCAACAGCTTTTGGGATGCCCCTTGCCCTCAAGGGCAAGAGATGTGCCCATCTCTCCCTGGCACCCCACAGGCCCCACACAGGGCAACATTCCCGTTCCTCATGCCCCTTTGGCCCAGCCCTTACCCCCATGTGCCCGTTGCAGAGCTGGGGCTCATCCAGAGCAAGGCAGAGCCTTCGGTCACTGAGCACAGGGCCAGGACCACCAGGGACAGGAGCATCTTTGCTGCCACTGGCACCAGCAGATTTGGGGCTGGGGACACTGCAGGGGGATAGCAGCAGGGGTCAGCTTTTGGACCTTCACCTCCCTATTCCCACCCACAGCACTTGCCCTGCCTTGGGCACCTGGGCCGGGAATCAAGGGTCTGGACACTGAGCAGGGGCACAAAGGGGCAGGCGCAGAAGGGGCAGGTTGTGTTGAGGTTAGAGTCATCAGGTGCCCAGCCAGCCATGATTTCCTCATCATACACCAGCGAATCACAGGCACGGCACAGGGAGCAGCTGGACAGCAGAATCTGTGGGCAGGGAGAGTCGGGAAGTAGGTGCTGTCTGGCCGCCAGCACTCTGGAGCCCATGCCCCTTCCCCAGCCCCTCCCACCTCCTCCCCATCTCCTGCCTTGGACAGGGTGAGTGTGTGCTATGTGTGTTCAAGCACATCTGTGTGGGAGGGGTTATCCTCACTTCCAGGGAAGGTGACTGGAAGGATCCAGGGGTGTCACTGAGGCGCTCTGAGGAACGGCGAAGACTCAGGTTGCTGAGAGAAGATTCTGAGAGGTCCCACTCACTGCCCAGAGAGGCTGAGCTCTACCATGACATGAGAAACCATGGTCAGCCAACCCCATGCTCTTCCACCCAGGATATGTGTTTCAAGCACCCCTCAGAGCCCCCTTTTTGAGCATTCTTCCAGTCGTAGCCCCTCCCCAAGCCCACTAATGCTAAGGCATCTGGACCCTCCTTCACTGGCTACCTCGGAGGCAGTGGATCCAGGGCGCTCCCGGGGGTGCAGAAGACTGTCCATGGGGCTGCGGCGGGCTGGGGGTGGCAGGTCAGGAGGCAGCTCAGGTGGGGGAATGCGGGAGGCAGGGGAGTGGCGGGAAGGAGTGAGCAGCTGTTGGAGGCGGGCACCCAGCCCTCGTCGGGGGGTGCCTGCCTCATCCTGTCGCCCACCAGCCTTGGGTCCCCGCCCACTTAGCCCTTCCAGGGCCTCAGTGGACTGGGCACTCAGGGCTGAGCCTGAGCCCCCTGGGCTGCCTCCAGGGAGCGGCTCCTCCCCTGTCAGGCTCAGGTCTGAGAGACTTCCATCGTGCCAGGGCACAGGTGATCCCCGGGGTTCCAGGACCCCCAAGGCCTCTATCACTGCAGCACAGAAAAGAATGAGGGAAGATGGACCCCAGCCTCTGCACCAACTTCCCCTTTCCTGAATAAACACAATTCCTGGCTGCACAAACTCTGGTGCCACCACCCCCACCATGATGATATTCTGGGCGAGATTCCCTCAGAATCTACAGCACCCACCACAGAGGGCCGCCCTCCACTCTGTTTCTGGTCTTCCCCACCTCACTAGCAAGTGGTTAGGAAAGCTGACTGGGGGAGTGAGGGAGCCAGACAAGGGCACTCACTGTGGGCCACACCGGCCTCCACAGTGGGCTGTGCCCCTCGGGCACTGCCCAGGCTACCACTCTTCACCAGGCGTCCAGGGGGTGAGGCTGGGTCTCTCAGACTTCGCCCAGCCCAAGTAGTCTGGCGCTGAAGAGGGCGAGTAGGGGAAGGGCGCTCCAAATAGGGCTCTGTAAAAGACGAGAAGGGGTTTAGAGGCGGCCAGCTAGGAACCCAGTCCCCTGTTCCAAAATAGAGCTCCTTAGATGGACCAGGGTTTGCAGGGTTCCTCCCAGGCAAAACTTTATCCGTTTTGTGTTTGTTTGTTTGTTTGTTTTGTTTTGTTTTTTGAGATGGAGTCTTGCTCTGTAGCTAGGTGGAGTGCAGTGGCGCCATCTCAGCTCACTGCAACCTCTGCCTCCTGGGTTCAAGTGATTCTCCTGCCTCAGTCTCCCAAGTAGCTGGGACTACAGGTGCGCGCCACCACGCCCAGCTAATTTTTTTATCCCTTTTGTTACCAGTCAAGTGTAATTTATCAATCCCCAGAAACCCAATGCCAACCATTAGACCAGCCCCAACTCTCTATGCCTTTCCCTGCCTGAGCCCAGCTACTCCATCCCCAAGCCTGTCTCACCAGGCCCTACCCACCTGCCTGGGAGCTGCCTGCCTCTTGATGTGCTGACACCTGCTCCTGCTGCTGCTGCTGCTGCTGCTGCTGTTGCTGCTGCTGCTGCTGTTGCCGTTCTCTCAAGGGCTGGCGGAACTGAGCAGCCCCCAGGACAACATTCCGGAGCTTGGCCCAGCGCAGACGCCCACCTGGTGTGCCAGACGGCCACTTGCTTTCCAACACAGCCTACCAAGCACAGTGCCCATCAGGATGGCCTACCTCGACACCCTAACCCTGCCTCATACCCACTCCCTGTCTTGGAGCCCCAGGGACCGCCCTTCCCCTGCAGACATCCTGTCTAGGACTGTCCGGCCAATGGCTCAGCCAGGAACAAGAGCCCAGAAGAGACAGTAGGCAGCAGCTGCCTCCCAAGGGGCCTAGAAGAACCCAGAGGCAGTGGAGAAAATTTGTACCCAGACCTTGCTGCTTAGAAATATAAAATATATGGCTCTGAAGAAATCATTTCATTTATTTGGTCATTAGTCTCCTCATCTAAAAAACAGGAGGCAGTTTAGTATCATGGCTAAGGGCCTGAATTCGGGAGATATGGATATGCCTCTGCCCATATTCTTTTTTCTTTTTTTTCGAGACGGAGTCTTGCTCTGTCGCCCAGGCTGGAGCGCAGTGGCGCAATCTTGGCTCACTGCAACCTCTGCCTCCCGGGTTCAAGTGATTCTCTTGCCTCAGCCTCCCAAGTAGCTGGGACTACAGGCACCCACCACCACACCAAGCTAATTTCTGTATTTTTAATAGAGACAGGGTTTCACCATGTTGGCCAGGCTGGTCTCGAACTCCTGATCTCAGGTGATCTGCCTGCCTCAGCCTCCCAAAGTGCTGAGATTACAGGCATGAGCCACTGCACCCAGCCCTGTGCCCATATTCTCACTCCTTAACTTCTTTGCTGCGGGACCTTGGACGAGTTACTAACTCTCTACAACCTCATCTCCTCTTCTATAAGATGGGGATAATGATCATCCCACCTCATAGGGCTGTCGTGAAGATAAAATGATGTAAAATGTGTGATGCGTATGGACCCGTGCCTGGCTTAGCGGCTGACACTATTAGTTGTAGGCAGGGCTGTCATGAGTGGGAATCAAAGCAGCCTCGTCTGAGAAACTGTAGGTGCTAAGGCACCACAGGAGTGCAATGTGGATGACAGTGGTTCCAGGACCTAGGCAAACAGTACCAGCCCAATCTCCAAGGAGCGAGGGGAGCAGCAGCAGCCTCCCCTCACACACCCTGGCACAGCTGCCATCCCACCCCTCACCCCAAAGTAGGTACCTTATTGTAGTAGCCATAGGTGATGGTGTTGGGCACAATGCCTGCCTGACGCATCTCCAGCATGACCCGCACAGACAGCACAGGCTGCCCATAGTGTGAGCAGAGCTGCATCAGTACCCGGTAACACACCTGGGCCAGGAGAGGCACAGGACAATGGGAGACTCACTCTCAACCAAAACCAAAGTCTCAGCAAGCACCCTCTTCCTGCCTCCCCAATTCTCACAGACATCACTGGCCCCTGGCAGGTCCTGGGGCTACCTCAGAGCCACCCACCCTTTCTGCTGACCCTGCCACCCTACAGTCTTCACTGCTAAACCCTGAACATGCTTATTCACTCGACGAATGTTTATAGATAATCTGCCCAGCTCTGGGGCTCTGCAACTTCTTTCCTTAGTCTCCACCAAGTTTCCCTCTCACAGCCCTCTCCAGCTGCACAAGGCTCACTGGGCCTGGGTATGAGCATGGTCACATAGATTGCCTACCTCATCAGGGAGCACCACCTTGCCGCTCTCCATCTGGCGCAGCACATGGTAGGCTGTGTGCAGTGCCTGCACTCGGGAGGGTGCCGACCGCACATAGGCAGGCAGACACAGGAACCACAGCCCATAGCAGTGCCCCAGCAGGCACCGGGCCCACAGCTCAGGCACAGCTGCTGACTTCTGTGCCATCCGCTGTGCAACTTTCATCTCCTAGGTAGGACAGGGGACACATCAGGGTGAGTACAATGCCAGGTCTTTCTTACTTATCTATTTATTTATTTATTTATGACGGTCTCGCTCTGTCACCCAGGCTGGAGTGCAGTGGCGCAATCTTGGCTCACTGCAGACTCGGCCTCCTGGGCTCAAGCGATTCTCCCACCTCAGTCTCAAGTAGCTGGGACGCACCACCAAGCCCGACTGATTGTTTTGTACTTTTTGTAAAGACAAGGTTTTGCCACATTGCCCAGGCTAGTCACAAACTCCTGGGCGCAAGTGATCTGCCTGCCTCAGCCTCCCAAAATGCTGGGATTAAAGGCATGAGCCACCAGGACAGACCCTAAAGTGGTGTGGGAAGAAGTAGCACCTTCTCTGAGGAAGGGTCTGTGCTCTAAGGAGGAGAAGGGATGCTGTACTTCACAGGCTGCAGCCCTGCCTGGAGCCCCGTGCAGAGAGGCTGGCCCTTGAGCATGGGCAGGTGCCCTAGAAGACATGGCCAGCCCCTGGATTCCCAGAGTGCTCAGAAGACGGAGGTGATGATGATGATGATAATGACAGTGATAATAGCAACTAATGTTTATACAGGGTTGCTTATGTGCCAAGCACATTTAAACTCCTAACAACCTCATGGGTTAAGTATTATTGTTATACCCATTTTGTAGATGAGGAAACTGAAGCAGCAGCAGCCTTCAGCCTGATCCGGGTCCCTCAGTGCGGTCCACCCACTGCTTACCTGTTTGGTACGGCGAGGAGCAGGACTGCTGGGGGCGCTACGGGAAGGGCCTGGCACAGGCAGGGCCCCAGGTTGCTCTTGAAGAGACTCAAACAACTCAGCCCGTAGCTCTGGGAATCCATCATAGCTGGAGGGGCAGAGAGAAGCAACATCGGGGCAGTCAGCACAGGGCGAAGCGAGTTGGACTGGACCAGTCTATGGGACCCTGGAACATGTGAAGGCTAAGAGACTCTCACCAGTACTGGGGAGTGGATTCACTGCCCTCTGGTAAGGCAGGCTCCTCGGGAGGTGTGATAAAGACAGTGAGCTCACTTCCTGACAGCTCCTCTAGCTCCACTAAGGGTGTCGGCTCAGGCTTCTCCTGCTCTGGGTGGACCTGGAGAAGGATTTTAAGAGAGCAAGTGTTGAGATGGTGGGCATGGAGCAGAGCCAGGGTGTCTAGACGATGGCATCTCCCAGGAAAGCTCATCCACAAGGAAAGAGACACAGCCTGGGAAGATGGCGTCAGGAACGGGAGGACAGTACATTACATGTACGGGGCCAGCTGTGTGTGGCTGCACAGGTTGTGCACTGTATAACTCCAGAAGTGCCATCCCAGTCACAGTTAAGATATAGAGTTGTGTTTACAATGGCCCTGGGGGCCAGACACAGTGGCTCACGCCTGTAATCCCAGCACTTTGGGAGGCCGAGGTGGGCGGATTACTTGAGGCCAGGAGTTCGAGACCAGCCTGGCCAACATGGTGAAACCCTGTCTCTAGTAAAAATACAAAAATTAGCCAGGCATATTGGTGCACACCTGTAATCCCAGCTACTCAGGAGACTGAGGCAGGAGAATCACTTGAACCTGGGAGGTGGAGGTTGCAGTGAGCCGATATCGCGCCACTGCACTCCAGCCTGGGAGACAGAGCAAAACTATCTCAAAAAAAAAAAAAAAGCCAGGCGCGGTGGCTAACGCTTGTAATCCCAGCACCTTGGGAGGCCGAGGCAGGTGGATCATGAGGTCAGGAGATCAAGACCATCCTGGCTAACACAGTGAAACCCCGTCTCTACTAAAAATACAAAAAATTAGCCAGGCGTGGTGGCGGGCGCCTGTAGTCTCAGCTACTTAGGAGGCTGAGGCAGGAGAATGGCGTGAACCCGGGAGGCAGAGCTTGTAGTGAGCTGAGATCACGCCCCTGCACTCCAGCCTGGGCGACAGAGCAAGACTTCGTTTCAAAAAAAAAAAATGAAAAATAAGAAAACTTAAAAAAATATTAAAAATTAAAATAAATAAATAAATAAAATAAAATGGCCCTGGGGTCTACAGCCATACCACCCTGAACATGCCCGATTCCGTCTAAAATGGCCTTGGGGCAACAGAGACAATGAGGGAGACAGCAGAGGCCAATGAGCACATAGAGAAGGGATGATACCTTTTCAACACAAGAGTCAAAGAATTCAAGGGCAGCATGGCGAGCAGAGCCAAAAGAGCACTCCTCAATGAACTGTGAGAACATCTGTGTGTGCAGCAGCTGAGAGTAAAGTTTGTGGCTGGAGCGTTCCCGGGATTTGAGGAAGCCTGAGGGGTATGAGAATGGGGCAGAGGAGGGGTGTGACCAGGGCTCTCCACCACAGCCATAGCTTTTTTGAATCTCTTCTTGGCTCCCTGCCCACTCAGGCCCAAAGCCATAATCTCTTGGACCCTCTGGCACAACTACCCTAATACCAGGCTGACCAGCTCAGCACCCCCAGCACAATGGCCCTAGAGAATCCCTCCCTTTGTCTGCCTGTACCCACTGCCTCAGACTGGGGGGGGTCTCCAAGGGCAGGGTCCCTGCACAGAGCTTTGCCCGTGGGGGCTGCTCACTACAGGGATTACTGTGGCTACCCCAAGCCTGGGGCTCCAGAGGGCAGGACCACAGCTGGTTTCATCTTTGTACCCTGATTCCCCCCCAAGACCAGAAGAGTTAAATGGCTCAAAGCGGGTGCCCATAAAAACATTTGCCTAGTGAAGGAATAAACAATGGAGTGGCTCCCAGTCCCCTCCGCCTTTCTGACAGAGCCCAGCCCCTCGCCACCTCCTCCCATGATACATCTCCAAGCAGAGACAGGCCCTCTATACCCTGCAGGAAGAAAAGGTTGTCAACATCACGAGCTCCCTCGGAGGGGGCCTGGGTGAGTGGGCGCAGGAAGACCCGGTAGCCCTTGAGCAGACAGGCCATGAAGCGGAGGAAGGCTCCTTGGACTTCGCGCTCCAGCCGGGCCCTGCGGCCACACACTGCCTCGTAGTCTGTCAGTAGGAACTCCAGGGATGCTTCCTCCTCAGGTCCAGTGTATGCTGGAGGCCAGGGCAGCCTAAGAGTCAGGGCTGGCTCCCATAGTGTTACCCTCAACTCTGCTCTCATGCCTCCATCTCCACCTCCAGCCTCTGGCAGACCTTGCACCAGTAGCAACTAAAGTATTACCTTCAACTAACAGGTTCAAGCTTGATATTTCCCACATGTTCAGGAATACTGTCTGCCCTTCCTTCTAGCTTCAGTTGGAATTGGAATCTCCCTCAGTTCCACCAAATGCAATCCTAACTTCACTCACCTCCTTAAGAAATGTCTAGCTCCCCACAGACCTCTGCAAACTGGAGGTTTGAGGGCAATGACAGTTCCCAGCCTCCCTCCCCACCCAGGCTTCTCACTCTGGTCCAGCTGCTGGTACAGGTTTGTCAGTGTGGCCAGCAGAACCTTGTAGGGTCTGCGGGGCAGGGTCCGAGGGGAGAGGAGCTTCTTTTCCTCAGTCCTGTGAGAAAAGCATAAGGGGAAAGAGTGGCGAGGCTCTGGGATAGGGTGACGGGGTTCCTTGCCAGCCTCCCTCACTTTGTGCCTGAAGCTCTTTTTGAGCCCGTAGCACTCCACACACTAGCCCATTCCTGCCCACCACCCTGCAGCCCCCAAATGAGACCCAGCCTCTTACTGGAAGAGCGTGTTGGTATCAAGGTCTACACAGATGACATCAGCAGGCGGGTCATGCAGATCAAAGTAGCTGGAGTGGATACCCACAATGAAGGGCACTGGGGCACTCAGCACATCTGCCAGCACCAGCGGGCACAGAGGAATGTAGGGGCACTGCCAGTGCAGTGGGAAGATCATCTGAAGCACCAGGCAGTGAGAACCAGTGAACAGGGGGTTGAGGCAGCAGTGGGAGGCACAGGAGAGAGAAAGAGAGGGCATTGGCCTTGGGGAGTTGGTGCCTGTTGAGAGAGGCTGTTGGAAGTAGGCTCTAGAGAAGAGCTCCTGATGGAAGCTATGTGTTCCTGCAGGCTGTGCCCAGGGAAAGGGGCTGAGGATCCTCCACAAGGAAGGAAAAGGGAAGAGTCCAGGCAGGGATAGGGGCACCAGAAAGAACCATGGTTCTGGGGAAGATGGGCCAGGCGGGGCGGCACTCACCGAGACGAGGGCCTCACAGACGCTGGTGAGCAGGTCTGGCCGCAGCGAGTGGACTAGCAGCTTGTGCTCTGTGAGCACAGCCAGCAGCAGTGTGATAGCCAGCTCAGGGCCCAGGCTCTGCAGCAGCTGCAGGAAGCTGGCACCACTGCAGGCAATGCCGAGGTGGGGAAAGGGTCACCAGGATACCCTGGGGACCCTTCCCCAGATGCCAGGCACAGCCACCACCTGGACCCAGCCTGCATAAACCTCAACAGCTGCACCCACCTGCCCAGCACCTACCATGTCCTTGGTCATTAAAGCTCCCCTCCCCACAATCTGATCACATACCTGAGGGGCAGGGGTGAGGATACAGGCTGACAGAGGAGCAAGTTGTCATAGGGAGACATCTGGAAGGGAAGAAGAGCCACGGCTCAGGGTAATGATGCCAACTCCCCTCCTTCCATCAGCCCGGCCCCAGCCTCAGCTCTCACCTGCACTAGGATGCGGGGTCTCTGTGGGGAAGGGAAGGGAACGTTGTGAATGAAGTGGGAGATGTGCCTGGGGGACAGAGAAACAGGTCAGAGCATACTCCCCCGTCCATCCCTGTCCTCCCTCCACATTTTCTCAGCTCTTTCACTTGTTCTCAAGAACCTTATTCCTTCCTGAACCCCACTTTGAGACCTGTTATCAGCCAACAGAACCTCCATTATGCATATAATTTGTGCAGATCAGAAAAGAAATCCTCCCTGGGCATACACAGCCCTTTGCCAGGACCTAACTAGTAAGTTTAGACTGGATTTCAGGCCCTGCTCCCCTCCTCAGCCCGTGGCGTTTTTACAGTGGATAAACTGTATAACCACACACTGCAGCCCTGTCCCTTACCCTGTGCCCAGCCCTCCCCCCACCCACATCTGAATCTCTCCCATCTCTCCTGGCCCCCTTATCCCTTCCTAACCCCTTCCCAATGGCAGAGGAGCCATGCTCACGCTTCCAAGGGTAGGCGGTGGGGGCCTGAGACGGAGTAGCGGTAAAGGAAGGTGAGGAAGGCGCGGAAGGCAGGGAAGGCAGGCCAGCGGGACAGCACAGCGATGGCACGCCGGCTGCGCACAGCTCTGCCCCCCAGTGCCCGACCCCGCTCCACGGCGCTCAGCAGGCCCAGTGCCCGTGCCTGTCGCTCTGATAGCCTGGCCCTTGGGAACGCCTCGTAGAACTGCAGGGCGGCACCATACACCTGGCAGGGGGCAGAAGGGTAGTCAGGCAGGCCCTGCATAGCCTGGACCCCTTGCCACACTCCACACACCCACCTTATCACCAGCTGCACCCGTGAGCACAAAGGTGGAGAAGACGGGCACGGGGTACTTGGTCTGGGCAGGCCAGCACTCGATAGTGGCCCCCATGGGCAGGCAGAAGACGGGCACTGACTCGGGCAGCGGGAACGCCTCATTGTCCTCCTCCGGGTAGCGGCCCAGCAGCTCTGCACCCCCAGCATAGTTGGGGGTACCCAAAAGGAGCAGGGTCCATCAGACTCCAAGGGAAATGAACCAAGGGATCCCAGAGAAGGCCCGAGTAGCAAAGAGAAAGTAAACTCTGGGGACACTTAAGGTGCCTGCCAAGAGGCACCAGGGCAAAGGGATGTAGGGTCACAGGATTGGAGGGATAAAGGGGCCACTCACCTGCCTCGTACACCAGCGTGTTGGCCTTCGCCAGGCCCACCTTATAGCACAGGTACACTGCTGGGCCCCACTACCCCAGAAATGGCAAGAGACAAGCAGATACATAGCTAACAAAGGTTTCTGGGGTCCACTTTCTCTCTACCACCCCTAAATGTTCTTTTGTCTTTAAAGCTCCCATTAATCCCAGTGCCCCAAGACCAGAGTTACCCCTCTGGACTCACCCCTGTGGTCAGAGCCTTGGTCCTGGGATGCCCTTTGTTCCCAGTGTCCACACCCACTCTTACACCAAGAGGACCAGGTGTCAGCTCTTGGCCCCACTCACCATGCCAGGGTTGAGGTTGCGGGGCAGCCGGCAGTAAGTATGAGGAGTGCCCTCGCCCTTACTGGGCAGCACCAGGCAGAGGTCAGTGATGCCCAGGGCATGCAGCCCTGCCCCCTCTGCTGCCCGCCGGTAAGTGAGGTAGGTGCGGGGGTGCCCGGGGCCTGGAGGGGCCAGGTTTGCTGAGTGGCTGTAGGGTGTCGTGTCAAGCACTTGGAAGCCAGGCTTGGGACGTTCCTTCCCCTCATACAACACCCTTGGCACAGAGAGCAAAGATAGATGTTGAGAGGTCAGGGTAGAGGACAAAGACCCAATCCTGCCAGATCTGCCTATCTAATCCCCTGAACTTGCCTTGTACCCACAGCCTTGTCAAACTCTAACACTAGGGCCCACCTCTTCTTGCTGAACTCTGCCCTCCAGAATCCTGTGCCCTTTCTTTGGCCTTTGGCCTTATTTCATGGTCAGCAACAATCCTGCATGCCTTCTATGGCTCTCATACTCATTAATAAACACTAAGGGTCAGCTGGGCACGGTGGCTCATGCCTATAATCCCAGCACTTTGGGAGGCCAAGGCAGGTGGATCACCTGAGGTCAGGGGTTCAGGACCAGCCTGGCCAACATGGTCAAACCCCATCTCTACTAAAAATTCAAAAATTAGCTGGACGTGGTGGCACATGCCTATAGTCTCAGCTACTCAGGAAGCTGAGGCAGGAGAATTGCCTGAACCCAGGAGGCGAAGGTTGCAGTGAGCCAAGATCACACCACTGCACTCCAGCCTGAGTGACAGAGAGAGACTCTGTCTATAAAAAAAAAAAAAAAAAAAAAAATAGTTATACAAGCTACCACTGACTGACTCTGTTAAGTCTGTCACATGGGTTATCTCATTTAATCTCGACCATCCTATGAGGATGAATTATTTTCCCCATTTGACAGATGAGGAAAACAGGCCCAGAGGAGCTCAAAAACCTGCCTAAGCTCTCAGAGCTAGCAAGGAGCAGCACTAGCACATGAAATCGCATCTGTAAGGACTAAGTACATACAACTTCAGTCCTTCCTTCCTGGCCCCTGGCCCACCAGGCTCCCATCCCCATTGCCCTTCCCTTGTTCCATAGTCCTACCTCTCCCTGTCTCACTGGAGTCCCTCCCAGCCTCCCCTGGTGCCAGCATGGGTAGGGGCACACACCCCAGCTCAACGAGGGGGGGCTTGTCACGGCCCCTGCGGTAGCAGATGACGGGTTGAGTTCCACCCAGAAGTCCAGCACTGAGTTCCAAGGGGTGGCCCCCAGCAGAAGCCTGGATGCATGTGTAGCCCTGGGGCACTTCCTCGCCCAGTGCCCTAGCGATGACTGCCACATCTGTGATGGGCTCAGCTGGCCGGGGAGGGCGCAGGGGCCCACTGGGTTCAGGAACCCACGTTTCCTCAGGGATGGGTGCTCCGTTCCCTGCAAGCCCAGCTACCACGAAGTAATCCACCAGCCGGGGGGGCCGCTCCTCCGCCATGGCCCCCCCCTCACTCACTGCATCTGGAATGGTCAAGTGGGAGAGAGATGAAGCAAGGAAGGCTGGGGATGCCATGGCAACCAGGGTACCCTCTTGCTCCCCTCCTCTTCCTAGTCCTTCCAAAGAAAGGCAGGATAAGGGGTCGGCCAATCCTGAACTCTTCCCCCTGTGACATCACTGCCCACCACAGCTTCTTAAAGAGACCAGATCCCTCCCACTTAATGGTCCTGGCACTCCCCTCAAAGAACCTAAACTCCACCACACACAGCTAACCTGAGCTATGACATTCACATTGTCCATGTGTCCCTTTTAAAGGCTCACCAGTTATAACATCACAGAGATCACAATCTTTTTTGTAATAGCCTTCCATGACATCATTCATGCTGGCCATGACATCATACCAACCTTACAGTCTTTTCAAGGGTTTCTGACCTTCCTACTCTAGTTATGACACCATAAGAACCTTGTGATCCTGCCAATGTTCTTAAAGAGCCCACTCCTAGGTTTTTAAGAGGACCCCATGGGTTTCTGAGAAAGCCCACAAAACCCAAGCTTTAAGAGTCTTTTCAACGAACCCAAGTGTCCTTTCTCCTAGCTTAACTCCACCAATCTGGCCCAAAATCCAGTGTTCTCACACCTCCAGGATCCTTAGGTAGCTCGTTAGATCCAAAGCAGTTGTGAGAGACAAGTCCCGGCCATCCCACACCCTCCACCATGGAGCCCAGAGACAGAAACAGGCCCACAACAGCCTAGTTCTCACCTGCCTCCATGGCCCAACCCCGGGGAGTAGGAGCCCCAAGGGTCCTGAGGCGCCCCAGGGTGCAGAAGCTGGGAAAAAGCCTGGTGGGTAGCTCGCAGCAGGGGCCCAGAAGCGTGGGGGGTGCTTCAGAGGGGAAGGGAGGTTACTTCCTGAAACAGTGGAGGGGAAGCTGCAACTCAGAGGAAGTCAGCCTATGGGTGTGTGTGGTGGCGGTGGCGGTGGTGGGGTTACCATTGAAGGTGCCAGCACAGCATTACGCCAAGTTGGAATCTCAGACTATAGGATCCTGAGCAAGGCAGAGGAGGCTCAGAATGGTTCCAGGATGTGCAGTCCTGCTAACCTCCTGCTGTTCCCCCAGAGAACAGGGAATAAGGAATCTCATAGAGCCAGGCTGGCTTTCTTCATCACCTGGCCTCTGGACACACACACACACACACACACGCACACACACACGCACACACGTACACACACCAACCCCAGCTAAATTTAGACTCCACTTCTGGGAGGTAAAGCCAGGAGTCAGCGTCAGCCTCTTGATTTAATTCTGGGGCACAGACCTGTCCCTCATCCACTGAGGGCGAATGGGAGCCCTATGCCCAAGGCAGCAGGCAGAGGCCATTAGGTGGGACCTTCTGAGGGGCAAGTGGGTGGCACCCATCCGCAGGACCTGCGCACCGGGGCCTCCCCTCACCAAGCCAGGGAAGAGTCCTGCAGAAAGCAGCCCTTTCTCCCTAGGGAAGACAACGGGCACAGGGCCCACTCCGGGTCCCCACGCCCGCGTGCCGGGTGACGGGAAGTTCGGGTTGGGGCAGAGGGCGCGCCGAGGGGGAGGAGGCTGAGGAAGGAGCAGGAGGGCAGAGAAGCAGGCGCGCCGGCGGCCGAGGACGTGACGGCAGCAGCGCCGGCCGCCGCGTGACCCAAGCGGGAGGGAGGGCGGCTCCGACTCCGGCACCCACGGGAGCAGAAGGGGGTGCAGGAGGCCGGGCACGGCGAGCTAATTGCGGGAGGTGCCCTCCCCTCCACTTTCACTTCCCCAGGAGAGAGGAACCGGAACCAGATGTGCAGTGAGGGACAGCAGCTGGGGGCCATCCCCCACCCCGCCTGCCGCCCGCGCTCCCTCCTGCCCGTCCCCGCCTGCCGCCCAGCCCGGTCCAGCCCCTACCTGCCTGTCCCGCGCTTCCCGGCCGGCCGGCCCGCTGGCGGGTGGCTCGGAGGGCGAGCTGGCGGGCCGGCGGGCGGCGGGGCTACCCGGCCCCAGACATGGCGCACCCGACTTGGGCGCCGCTCCCGCCCGGGCAGTGAGTGAAGGAAGAAGAGGCGGCCGAGGACCGCAGAGCGCGGGGCGCAGTGGAAGGAGATCCGGGCGGTCCCCGCGTCCCCGCCGCGCTGCGCCACGCGGGGACTGTGCTGCCGCGCTGCTCGCTCGGCCGGCTCGGTCCTCCCAGCTCCCGCGGCGCCGGGGACCCAGCGTTCCTCCGCGCGCCCCGCTTTCTCTACTCCCCCAACCCCCGCTCCGGGCCGCGGGCGCCGCCGCTACCCCCACCCCTCCTCCTCGGCCGGCGGCCGTGACCCTGGCAAGCGTCTGCCCAAAGCCCAGCCGCCTGCAGCCCGACCCCTGGCGGCTGGGAGGGCCCCCTGCACCCAGGTAGCTTCCCACCATCCAGCCCGTGCCTCAGGACACTGACCCCAGGCGACCCAGAGGGCCGCGGCGCGCTCCCTTCCCGCCTGGGTCCTGCAGTCAGATGTGGCAAGCATGATGTGGGCGCAGGTGAAGTCCCGAAGGTCTAGTCTACGGGGACCCAGGTGGCTCCCCCTACTTCCAGGTTTAGGGCACAGGGCATTCCCTTTGGACCAGAACCAGAAGCTCTCAGTTCTCTTTTTTGAAAATGACAAGAGCTTTGGAAAGAGGAAGAGAGGCCAGGACTGCAGGGTGTGGAATAGAGCAGTGGAGGTGGGGGTAAGGTAACTGCGGGGCTCTACTTTTCTCACTATGCGGGTTGGGGGAGTGAGGGGTGCAGAGGCCCACACGGCTGGTCCAAGGGCTGGCAACCCAATCCAGAAAGAGAAAACCTTCAGAACATGCATGGCACTGAAGGATCTGTTTAATTAAAACTAAAATGAATGAGTGGTGAAGAGTGGAGAGGGTGAAGTGAATGCATGCATAGTGAGGGAGTGAGGATGAAGGCTTGCTTCCCTGAGACCTAGGAGCACTTCAGACCTGTGGGCTCAGCCAGCAATCACCTCCTTACCCGACTCACTGCCAGACCTAGGGTTGAGGAAGAGGAATAACTTGTCTGATCAGTCAAAGCCCCCATCTGATGCTGCAGCAGGGCCCTGGACAGACAGGAGGGCACATGAAGTGATTTCCTGCTGCCGTGGAAGCCTACATCCAGCTGGGTACAAATTCCGAGGCTGTGGGGCCCTTCCACAAAGCACAGTGGTGCTAAGAAGATGCAAAAAGCCTAATAGATAAAAAGACCCATGGCCCTATAACTCCCTAGATCCCCAGCCATGCCCCAAATAACTAACCACACCAAGGGTTTGATATGATTTTTTTATTAACATATAATAATATATTTAATAAAAAATAGTATCCACTCTGGCTCTCTCCTCCACTGCAAGGGGAAGAGTGGTGAGGAGGGGCTGGCACTGCCCACCCCTAGGCATCCGGAAAAGCCCTGCTTCCAGGGCTCCCCTCTACCCCTGCTTTCCAACAGGCTCTGACCTCCAGACAGACGGTTCAAAGTTACAAGTGCTTTAGGCCCTCCCTTGAGTTCCCCCAGGCCCATCCCTTGCGCAGAATTCAGGGGCCACCTGGACAAACCCCTTGCTTTTTCTCATTCTTGGCATCCTTCATTCATGCTAGAAAGAGGATCTGGGGACAGAGAGTAGAGTCTCTACCTGCCAGGGGGAAGGGAGGAAAGGAATGGTGGTGGGGGATGGGGCCAAGAAGAGGGATGGTGATGAGGTGCCCTCATTGGAGCCGGTCACTGCGGAATGACTCCTCCACAGCAGGATCAGGCAGCAGGGCACAGGGGTCACTCAGCATGTTTAGCCCTTCCAGGCCCAGTGGCTCCATGCGCAGCTCATCTTCTAGCCCAAGCCCTAGCTCCAATCCAGCTGCTGACACCTCAAAGCCAGGCACTCCGGCCAGGGCTGCTGCAATCTCCTTAGAGAAACCTGGAGAGGAGTCCCCTGTGGGTAGAAGAGACAGGTGAGGACCCCATGTCCTGTAAACTTTTCCAAGACCCCTCAATCTCCTACTCATTAGTGAATGTGTCACTTCCTCCTTCCATTTCCCATCACCACCCACCCCCATTCACCTGTGAGGATGATGTTAGGCCCTGAGCCATGGCGGGAACAGTGGGTCAAGTTCTGGTGGTTGAAGGTGTGGGGATCCTGGGGGCCACCCATTGGCCCCTCACCCCCTAAAAATCCAGGCCCTTCAGAAAAGCCAGGGGGATCCAGCACCAGGCTGGCTGATGGGCTCTCCATGCTGAACTGCTCCAGCTATAGACATACAGACAAATCTTTAGGAAGTAGGATTTAGAACTGGTGTCCTGCCTAGCCCTGCTAACATATCCCCTTTGCCCAGCAACCTTCATCCACCCCAGGAACAGAGGCAATGACAGAGGGAGGTGGCAGCAAGCAGAGCGACAGAAGCGAGCACGGGGCCCGAAGTAAGTATGGGCACCGTACCTGCTGGGCCAGAGCATGTGCATGCCAGGAAGAGAACGGGTCAAGGCAGAAGTCATCAAAGAGCAAGCTGAGCAGAAATAGAGGGGCAGGAGTAGGGTCAAACGCAGGAAGAGAGGAGCCCCAAGCTGGCAGTGCTATGTTACCTCCGGGGAGAGGAGATCTCCCCACCACCCACCCCACCTAGATCTCCCCATTCACAGTGCACCAGCCATGCCATTCAGGCCCCATTGACCCACCCTCACCCACTCCCCTGCTTTTGAGCAAGGAGCCTGAGTACTCACATTCCCCAGGTTGAAGTCACTCATTGGCCGGTGGTAAGACTGTTGCCCATGCCCACTGGGCCCAGGTGGGTACGGTGTCCCATAATGAGACTGCCTGCCTGGGGGCTGCCCACCTGAGGACTGCACTGAACAAGACTGAGAGGGCAGCCCTGGCTGCTGTAGAGACTTTGGGGTGTGGGGCTGGGTAGGCAGAACCAGACTTGGGGAGCTGTATGGGTATGGGGGTAACCGCTGGTCAGTGGACAGTTTACTGGTATCCAGGGGGACGCCCTGAAAAGAAGTAAAAAGAGGGAAGCTTACTGCTCAGTGTATACCCCAAGAACTCTCAGTCAGAGCTTCCCACCTTCTTTAGCTACAACCATTCCCAAAACAAACATGACAACATTCCACATTCTCACGGGCATCCCTGGGGTTGAGTGCAGTTACTCAACCCCAGGGATGTGTATTAGTTGGCAGGGTGTGGTGGCTCATGCCTGTAATCCCAGCACTTTGGGAGGCCCAAGGCAGGTGGATCACCTGAGGTCAGGAGTTCGAGACCAGCCTGGCCAACATGGTGAAACCCCGTCTCTACTAAAAATATAAAAATTAGCTGGGCATGGTAGCAGGCGTCTGTAGTCCCAGCTATTCGGGTGGCTGAGACAGGAGAATTGCTTGAACCCAGGAAGTGGGAGGTTGCAGTGAGCCAAGATCACACCACTGCACTTCAGCCTGGGCAACAGAGCGAGACTCCGTCTCCAAAAAAAAAAAAGTGCCTATCAGAATGAAAGTGATATAGTGAGGCTAACACAGGGGTAATTTTAAATCTACTCCAGAAGTAAACTATTCTCTTTTTTTGAGACAGGGCCTCACTCTGTTGCCCAGGCTGGAGTACAGTGGTGCAATCATAGTTGGAACTGTAGCATCAACCTTCCTGGTTCAAGTGATCCTCCCATCTCAGCCTCCCCAGTAGCCAGGACTACAAGCGTGCGCGACTGCACCTGGGTAATTTTTTATTTGTTGTAGAGACTGGGTCTCACCATATTGACCAGGCTAGTTTTGAACTCCCGCCTTGGCCTCCCAAAGTGCTGGGATTACAGGCATAAGCCACTGTGCCTAGCCTTAGAAGTAAACCATTCTTAAATCTTGATACTTGAACTATTTATTGTTAGTAAATAAGGAACTAAGGTTGAGAACTGCTGTTCTACAGCCTTGAAGAGGCCAGAGGGGGTGGGAAAAGAAAGAAAGAAAAGGAGAAAGAAAGGAAGGGAAGTCAAGCTCACTCCACACTCTGGGAACAGAGCCCTTGCTAATCTGGCCTCAGTCTTTCCTACAAAAGAGGGGACCTGAGTAAAGATGGAACACAGAACACACATTCCAGGGATAGCAATGGAGGAGGAAAAGTTGGGCAGAGGAGAGGGAAAAGAGCATTTGGATGAAAGAAAAGAGGAGTAGAGATAGAGAACAAGAAGAAAAGGACAGGAAGGGAGACAAGGGCTAAGAATTTCATCTCTGTGGAAAAAGCCCTAAACTAAGAGCTTCGAGTTCTAGTCTCAACTCTTCCTAACTTGCTGGGTAAACTTGGAAAAGTCACTTTCCCTCTAGGTCCCACTTTCCTCATCTATTAAGTGAAGGAATTGGGCTCCACAGTAGGAAATTGACTGATTCTACGAATTCTATGAAATTAGGAGGGGATACAGGGGAGGAGACGGGACAAGATAGAGGCATGAGATAAAAGACAGATATAAAACAGACAGGAACAGAGGAGGCAAATAAAAGGAAAGGGTAAGCTACTATTTGTCAAGCATACCTGGGCTATGTGTGGTGCTAAGTATTTTATGTATGTTACTTCATTTGATCCTTATGAACCATCCTTGTTTTAGAAATGAAAATACTGAGGCTTATAGAAATTAAATAACTTGTCCAAGGTGACTGCTAGTAAGAGGTGGAGCCAGGGTTTGAAGCTAAAAAAGCTTAACCACAGCGTTTGGGTTTGCACTGTGAAGCAAGAGGAGACAAGATGGATAAAAGATGGGGCAGGCGGAGGACAGAGGAATGGAAGGGGATGAGTATAGAGTAGGTATTTCAGGAAAGGAGGGTGGGAGGGAAACAACATGGCAGGAGAAAAGGGAAGGGAGACAGACATGCAGGGAAGGCAGCCACGCATACCTGAGTGATGGAAGACAAGGTGGGTGACATTGTTGGCGAAAACTGTTTGGGCAGCTGCTGTTGGGACCTTCTGGCGTCGGCTGGGCCCGCGAGCAAACTCAGGGGGCTGAGGGGCACACGGCGGTGGTGGGGGGAGGCCCCAGGGGTAGAAGCAGGGTAAGAGGGGGCGCCCAAAACAGGAGATGAAGTGGAGGAGGAGGAAGAGGAGGAGGAGAGAGCCGGAGCACTGAGTGAGGGGTGGCCCAGGGAGGTGGTGGGCAGTACATGGCGGGCCAAGGAGGAGGCAGGCAGAGAGGGGTGGCTGTGGGAGCCCTGAAGCTGGGGCTGAGGACTGCTCAGGGAAGCCTGGAGGTTGGGATTGCTTAGGGAGGACTGCAGGGATGGGTGGCTGAGAGGTGAATGAAGTCCTGCAGGCACAGACAAAAAACCAGAGATGCCAACATTACTGATGGGAACTGAGCCCCTTTCCACCCAGAATGGGTGGCAGTGACCAGACTATGAAAGCGGCAACACAACGTCCTCCCTACTCTATCCCTGACAGCACTGCCCATCTGGGGACTGCCCTTCCTCTTCTTTCTAGGAAACACCACACCTACCAGTTATCACTGGCTGAGAACTGCCGTGAGGGAATCCTGGGGTGCAGAGGTGACAGGCGGTGTGGGTGATCACAGCAGGATCTCAGGTGCTCAAACCTACCTCCCCTTCATCCCTCCAGTCAGGCAGCACCCAGTGGGCACATGGCCAGGACAGTCACTCACCTGGTGCATCATAGCCTGGGCCCAGGCCCATGCCCCTGCTGATGCCCAGGTGAGTCATGGTGTGGGTCAAATTGGAGGTACTGTTGCCCCCACTCAGGCTAGGGTAGGCTGTCTCTTCAGGGTCCAGGGGGGTGGGCAGTGGTGGGGGAAAGTGCAGGTTGGTGAGGTCAGGTAGGGAGCCCCCCGTGTTCATGGCAGGTGGGAGGACAGGCACATTGGCAGGCTGGTCAGGAGATGGAAAGATGCTAGGGGAAGGAGAGAAAAAGAAAGATGTAAATAGGAGGGTGGGTGCAGTGGTCAGGGAAGAGCAGAGATCAGTCTCCTACATCTCCCTGTACTTCCTTCCCCCACCTCTCAGCCAACCTCAGGGAGTACTTACTTAATTCCAGGGACTTCACAGGACCGAGGTCGGGAAGAGGATGAGGATAGCTGAGGAGAGAAGGGAGAATATGGAAAATGAGGACAGTGCTCAGCAGAGAACCCTGGAAGGCCTGCCCCATGGCAAGGGGATAGCAGAGAGACTAGTGGGTGACACCCGGTGGCCTCCTCCTACCTTCTTAGCATCCCATGGCTTCAGCAAATGCTTGTCATCTAGCAAGTTCTCCTCAATAGCAGGTACTTGAAAGAGAAAGACTGGTGATGGGAGAGTTGGAGAAAGAGCCAGTAAGGCAGGACAGGAAGCAGAAGCAGGTGGGAAGGAGTCCTGCTCCCTGAACCTGCACACAATCCCAACACCAGCCCAGAAATTCTTTGGCATTCAGTACCCACAGCAGTGAGGAACACATACCTTTGGGGTCCATTTCACCATCCAGAATACCTGCAAGGGATACAGTGGCATTGGCTGCAGTGCTCACTTGCCTACCTGCTTTAAATAGCTCCATGGAGGCCGGGTATGGTGGCTCATGCCTGTAATCCCAGCACTTTGGGAGGCCGAGGCAGGTGGATCACGAGGTCAGGAGTTCAAGACCAGCCTGGCCAAGATGGTGAAACCCCATCTCTACTAAAAACACAAAAAATTAGCCAGGCACAGTGGCAGATGCCTGTAATCCCAGCTACTCAGGAGGCTGAGGCAGGAGAATCGCTTGAACTCGGAGGGCGGAGGTTGCAGTGAGCCGAGATCACGCCACTGCACTCCAGCCTAGGCGACAGAGTGAGACTCCGTCTCAAAAAAGAAAGAAATAATAAATAAATAAATAAATAAATAAATAGCTCCATGGTTACTCCCAACCCTGGGACAGGGCCACTTACCCCCACGTCGGCTGGGCAGGATGCTGGGAGGTGTGGGGCCTGGGTAGGTATCCTGGGGACTGGGGTTCATCACACTTGTATGAAGGGCAGAGTCAGAGCTTGTCCTATGGGGGGAGCAGGAATGAGCTGACACCAGTGACAGTCTTCCTGGTCCCTAAGCCCTGCCCAGCAAGGGAAAACACTAGCTGGTCTGGAACAGGGTGGGGGTGAGGGAGCAGGGCCCCAGAAACTACAGATAAGAGATCTGGCCTAAAGAAGGCAAAAGCCATCACCTGTTAAGTGCAGATGGTAGTCGAAACAACTGCCCCTTCTCTGCAGGGAAATTGCCCCAGGCCATCGTCCTGGGGTAGAAAAACAAAGTCATGAGGAGGAAGGCTGGCAGTGGACAAGAAGGTGGGCATAGGGGTTGGAAAATGTGGGGCAGCTAAGGTGGAAGTAAAGATGGCTGAGCACCCAGATCATCCCCTTTTCTTTCTGGTTCTTCTCCTGCCTATGATTGACCCCTCCCCCAGTCAATCTAAGAGAGCTGGAAACTTCTCTCTGCCAGGACCAGCTGAATGGGAATCTTGGAGCCCAGCAGCATTCCTGGGTATGAGCATTGAAAGTGAGATGGACAAGGGGAGAGTTTAAGAAATCTAAAAGTGCCAGAACACTACATCTTGCACCCACCCTTGACAGAAGGTTGCCATTTTCACCTGCCCCTCTGCCATTCTCCCCTCCCCCTTACACACACACCCCAGCCTGGCTATGGTTCCCATTGGTTCTGCTCTGGCTGGACTGGGAGGCTTGACCACTAGTGTCAACATGGCCAAGGCTGGACTCTGACCCACCTACTCCAACTGTCTCCACCTCTCTCAGCCCTGGCGTTATAGGAAGAGGTACTGTTGAAACCTTAGCCCAGTAATCCCAGCCCCAACCCAGAAGGGGCAACTCCTTCCAGAAACACGTCAGAGAGTAGGCAGGAGCTTCTGCCCGCCCTGGACACTTACCTTCGCCAGCTAGACTCTGGGGGAGGAGATAAGTAGGCAGGACTATAGGGAGAGCTGTCAATGTGAACAGCACCAGTTAAGGAAAAAAGTAGAGAGGACAGATGAGAGAGGCCAAATGAGGAAAGAACAATGAAGGCAGCAGATAAGTTGTTTCAAGAAACTCATACCTTTCTCCTCTTCTATAAGGGACAACAATAGGATCAAAGAATGGAAGAGAAAAAGGGAATCAGGTCTAAAGGGGCTGAAAAAATCCAGGAGAATGTTCAGGCAGGGCTTGGAGGAGACAGTTATGCAGGTCTCTGAGACTGAAAACTTAGAAATCTGAGAAGAGACCCAATCTCCTTTAGCAGGAGACAAGGAAGGCTTGCCTCTGGCAGCAAGCTGATGTGAAGACAGCCAGAGCCAGCCAGAGACAGGGGGCACAGCCTCAGGAGCAAAACTCCTTGTCACAGGAGCAGGTGCTGACGCAGGGGCTATGGTCGCTTTTCAGGGAAGCTGGGTAAAGAAGAGCTCCAAGAGAAGGAAGGGACGCACAACACTTCAAGTGCTTCCTATGAGTCCCTGAGGAACCCCATCCCACTACCTTTCAGACACTCCCAAGTCCCCTGTGAAGGATATGTGGCGGGTGTATCGGCGAAGTGGGGACACCATTCTTCGAGGATCTCGCTGCACCCGTTCCACCAGCCCATGGTGCCGAGTGCTCCGAGATGAATCCAAAGGTGAGTGGAGGGGGCTCTGCCAAAAAGGACAGAAGTCAGCAGAGGAAGCAGCCTAAGAAACTCCACTCCTCCCTGGCTGGGGTCTACTCACCTGGAACTCGGCCAGGCCAGAGCCAATCTGGTTAACATTGGGCAGAGACCCACCATAATGAGAGCTCCTTGTGTATGCCAGTCGCAGTTTTTGGGCCTGTAACTGAGACATGGGGAACAAGTGGGAATGTCAGGAGGGTCCTGAGCACTATTTCCTTCAGCCATCCTTGCCATCTCTGTCACCAGGATATGCTGCTGCCGCCACTGCTTTTAAAATATCTAGGCCAGGCACAGTAGCTCACACCTGTAATCCCAGCACTTTGGGAGGCCGAGGCAGGCGGATCACAAGGTCAGGAGATCGACACCATCCTGGCTAACACCGTGAAACCCTGTCTCTACTAAAAATACAAAAAATTAGCCGGGCGTGGTGGCGGGCGCCTGTAGTCCCAGTTACTCGGGAGGCTGAGGCAGGAGAATGGCGTGAACCTGGGAGGTGGAGGTTGCAGTAAGCCGAGACTGTGCCACTGCACTGCAGCCTGGGCAACAGAGAGAGACTCTGTCTCAAAAAAAAAAAAAAAAAAAAAGGATCACTTCAGCCCAGGAAGTAGAGGCTGCAGTGAGACATGTTTATGTCACTCCACTCTAGCCGCCTGGGTGACAGACTGAGATCCTGTCTCCAAAAAAAAAAAAGTTAAAAAAAAAATAAAGAAATTATCTGCCAGAAAAAAAAGGCCAGTGTTGGGGTTTGAAAGGTCCACCGAGATTTGGTGCAAATAACCCACCAGAGCCCATCTGCAGACTGCCCTCATCAATGATATCACTACTGCTTGACATCATCCTGCCAGGCAGAGACAGATACTCTGCTGAGGGCCTGTCTCATTTGGCATCACTCTAAGCAGAGTCCCTGAGGGGCTGCCAGGAGCTCCCGGGCTACTCACAAGGGGGAGTGCCTATTAGGAACCTCTGCTTTCTTTCCAGATGCGTCCAGGACTAATTGAGAGATTAAGAGGAAGGCCACAGGTGGATGTCACAGAGCCATTACTGCCAGCCTCTTTCCTTCCCACTCTGGAGAGCACAGGCTTCTGGGCTCTGCCACTTGCCCAGCCTCAGGAAGGCTACACAAAGCCTGCACCTCCCAAACTAGAACATCCAAGGAATAGCAGCTCTCCTAGCTGGAAAAACAGCACCAAAACCAAGGGACATTCTTCCACTGAATCCTAAGGCTCTTGAATTGGCAGGGAAGCCTGGAGAAGGAGGGTGGACAGAGAGCAGCAGCCCACTCCAGCATGGGCCAGGGCCATCTTCCTGGTCTCATCCTCACTTTGGGGAGCTATGTCTGGCATAGGCGTAAGACAGCCTGGCATGGGTTTAGCCTGTGTACAGACATCCTGTCTCTGTGAGAGGTGAGCATCTATTTCCAAGGCTCAGCCCCTGCGACCAGCCAAATAAACAGGCCCAGGGCAAGGCCATGGGGAGGAGGGCAGCTGAGGAGGGGCAAGTTCTAAGAGCTTCCAGGGTCACACTCTTGTACAGAAGCCAACATCAGAACTGACATTCTGTTCCAGGAGGTCAGCCTAGTGAGCACTGTGCTGACCTCTGGACCACTTGAAGACCACTTGAGGTCTCATATATGGCAACCCCAGTATCTCAGTGGTATAGCCTCCCATGGCCATCTCTGTCTCAAATGAGCCCTCCCACCTGGCCAGATAACAGGCTGAGTCCCAGATCTCTTGTCCCTAGCTCTAGACTTTTGGGTCCCCTGGCCATGTATGCCCACTAGACTTTTCTGTGTAGCTGAGAAATTAACCAATAGGAGCAAGGTGGGTAGAAGGGGCCTTTTAAGAGATCGAGGCACCGTAAAGAGAAGCCCCAGCTTTTGAGTTTCGCACAGCCTTTCTTTGCACATACGAGCCCTAAGATCCCACCATGCCTCTGCTAGAATCACAGTCCTGAGGGCAGGGCCTCACGCTATCAAGATCAGCCTCCCATCTTCCTGTCTCTGTCCCCAACATGATGAAAAAGCTCCTAAAGGGGAGCAGTCTACAGTTAGATAATAATCCTCACAATGGTTACAGTGGGTTATGCACACACATGCATTTAAGTGTGCACATGCGTGCACAGACACCCTCCCAGATTTGCCTCCCCACCTAACTTCTGACTCCCACAAACTAGGGCACATAGTCCCTAGAGACTCAAAGGGGAAAGGACGAGAAAAAAAAAAAAGTAACAGAGTCAAGGGGGATACACACAAAAATACAACCAGAGTCACAGTCATAAATGCAACCACAGTCAGACCAGCAGAAAAAGGCTAGAGATGTTGTAGTAATGTTCCACCATCAATCCTTAAATTCCTTCTAGCTCTCTGCCATGAGGAATCATTGCAATATCCTTACCTACTGTTGTTTTAGAAGAATGTGTCCCTAAATTAAGACTGCATACCACCTAGGCGGACTCCTACCCCTTGGTCCCTCTGACCTCCAGCCTTGGAAAGCAAGAAACCAAGCCAGGGGGGCTTCAGAGGCAGCCTGGCAGAGGCCTGAAAGTTCTTTCAAGAACTCCTAGGAATGAATATTCTCAACACATAGAAGACCCTCCAAGGCACCCTACACACTAACCCACAAAGCAGCCAACTCCCTAGAAAGCTCAGCAAACCATAGAGTTCCACACAACTTATGGTCGGACGGTTACCCAGTTGTCGGATTCAAAACCCTACCTCTCCTCCAAGGAGGCCAGGACAAAACACCAAGCAATGGACCTCACCTTCATTCACGTCAGGAAACCACAAGAAGTATTTGAAAAAGGAAGCAAAAGGACGGGACGCAGGAGGGGACTTCCTGCCCCACTATACACAGCACCGCTCGTTCAAACCACTCAAGGGGCCCTTTCCCGGGGGCACCAAAGCGCAGAAGGCAGAGGGACCAGTTTGGAGGAGATCACAAACTCAGAGGAGCCAGGTTACAGACAAGCAGCCCTCCTCCCAGGCCATACCCCAATACCAGGCATGCTTCAGTAGCGTCCTCGAGGGGACTCCGTCAGGGATGCACAAGGACCACTCACCTCCTACCTCCGCCGGACTTCATCTCCCCTCTCCGCCCACTCCCACCTCACGTACTCGGCCCCCAGTCGCCTCTACACCCCGAACCTCTCCGGTGTTTCGGTCTCCCCCGGCAAAATCCTTCTTCCTGCCCCTCGGCCCTCAACCTGCGCCTCCCAAACGGCGGCGCCCGCGTCCCCTGCTCTGTTCCGCCTCCTTCGCTGCGGCGCCCGCCCCCGCCCCGCCTCTCCGGTCTCCGCTCCGTAACTGCTCAGCTCTGCTCCGGCTCCCCGGCGCGGCCCCTCACCCGGGTGGAGCCGATGTCCATCATCACCTCCTCGAAGGCCGCCGTCTCCTCGGCCTGACGCTGCTTCTGCAGCGCAATCTTCTCACTAAATTTGCGCGGATTGGAAGCCGAGGCCGTGGCCGAACCAGGCCCGTTCGCCCCCGACGTCGCCATCTTCCTTCCCCGTCCCTCCCTGCCACCCTCCCAGTACCAGCCGCGGCCTCCGCCGCGGCCTCGGCCCGGCTCCTCCAGCCGTAGCCACCGCCGCCTCAGCGAGCACCGCGAACCCGGCCCCAGCCTAGCCCTGACCTGTTGCGCGCGGGGGCCGCCGGGAATTGTAGTTTGTTTACGAGACTCCTTCACATCCCCAGTCACGCAGCACTAGGAGGAAACGGACTCCACTTCCCAGCAGCCCTGCTGACTCCGGAAACTGGGGACTTGGCTCCACCCTCTCGGCTACTCCCTGAGAGGTGCAAGCTGGGAAGAGTAGTTCTAAATTAGCCCTGAGACTACGAACGGAAAGGAGAGAGGGATTGAAGAGAGAAGAAAGGAAGAGGGAGGGGAGGGAAGAGAAGGGAAGCCGAGGGGTGGAGACCGGGAAAGAAGTACCAAGACACAAAGGAGGAAAAATTAGGTCATCTTCAGGGAAGGGGACTATCGGGTCCTGAGTGAAAACAGTGAGACCAAGAATCTTAAAACAGCTGTAAACATCTGGGACTCAGGCCCTCTCAGGCTGGCCACATGCCCACCCCTTTCCCAAAACAAACGAATCAGATACTGTACAGATGTCTAGAAACATCTTTTATTTGGGTAACAGGTCCCAAAACAGGTCAGTTAATAAAATAGATTCTAAAGAATATGTCCCTATGCACAGCCCTCCCTCCCCAAAAATAACGCTGGGGGTAGGCATTGCCCTTCCCCCTTGGGCTCCTCGGGTGTATTTAAAAAAATGTTTTGGCAGCTCAGTGTTTATCATCTGGGCATGGGACACCATGTCCATGTCCCCATATTCCTAGGGTACAGCAGCAGTAGATGGCTGCAACAACCTTCCTCCTACCCCAGCCCAGAAAATATTTCTGCCCCACCCCAGGATCCGGGACCAAAATAAAGAGCAAGCAGGCCCCCTTCACTGAGGTGCTGGGTAGGGCTCAGTGCCACATTACTGTGCTTTGAGAAAGAGGAAGGGGATTTGTTTGGCACTTTAAAAATAGAGGAGTAAGCAGGACTGGAGAGGCCAGAGAAGATACCAAAATTGGCAGGGAGAGACCATTTGGCGCCAGTCCCCTAGGAGATGGGAGGAGGGAGATAGGTATGAGGGTAGGCGCTAAGAAGAGTAGGAGGGGTCCACTCCAAGTGGCAGGGTGCTGAAATGGGCTAGGACCAACAGGACACTGACTCTAGGTTTATGACCTGTCCATACCCGTTCCACAGCAGCTGGGTACCCACCTCCAGCCTCCCATGTGAGCCTGTCCTTATGTATAGTGTCCAACCTCTGATTCTAGCAGTCAAGTGTCTTCCCCAATCCTAATGTCCCCTGATATGTCTCTAGCGACTTGACCATCTCTTGTTCCTTGGGACTGGGGCCAGCCTCTTGTCTGCCCACTTCCCTCTCATTAGTCAGATAGCCCCAAAGGCTCTATCTTTAGCTCCCAGAGAACTTTTTGGTCCTCAGTATTTCCCTTCCCCTTTCCTTCCTATTCCCCACAACTGGGGGAGGGAAGGGAGAACAGGGGCACCTGATCATCAATCTCCCCTGCCCCTCTCTTGAAGCCCCCTAGATTTGGATGAAGAGCAGGCCAGTGAGCAGGGCAAAGCCTGCTAGGAGCAGAATGACCTTGAGGATCCTTTGCTCAGAACTGGCCAGCTCCTGGGGCAGGATTTCCAGAAAGGTGATATAGAGAAAGGTGCCAGCTGCCATGCCCTCTAGCACAGACTGGGCCAGCTGGTGCAGAGGTCCTGCCGACTCTGCCAGAGCTGCACCCAGCCCGATGCCTAGAGGTGTCATGCATGAGAAGAGGATCCCACAGCCAGCCACCACCTGTGCCCTAAGGTGGCTCTGCAACAGCCGCAGGGACAGGCTGACAGCCAGGATGCCCTTGTGGAGCAGCAAAGCCAGGCACAGCTCCATGGCCCGAGCCCGGTCTCGCTGCAGCCCTACCGCCAGCCCCTCGAACACGGAGTGGAGGGCCAGGGAGAACACCAGTACACAGGCACGCAAGGCTGAGGGGGTTGCTGGGGCTCCACTCGCCTGTGGGACCCCTGGCCCATCATGCCAATGCTGCGGCCCACCATTCACTGTTCCCAGCAGAGCCCTTGTTTCCTCCAGAGGTGACGGCCCTGACTGCTCCTTGTAAGCCAGTGTGATCTGCTCCATCACCAGGACCAGGAAGAAGCCCATGGCCAGGATGAACTCTTGCAGTGGGAACTGGAGCTGTGGGCAGAAGCAGCAGCAAAATGTTCAGGGAAGGAAGAGTGAGATGCAAAATCTGGTGAAAGCCCAGTTACACAGACCTAGGGTCTGACACAGACACAGGGCTACTCTCAGTCACACAAAGATAGAGTGAATTGGTAACACTGACACAGAATGATACGTACACACAGATTATGGTGTCACTCACAGTGTTACGTGTAGACCAAAGTTTCTCAGCTTTGGAACTATTAACATTTTGGGGCCAGGGGCAGTGGCTCATGCCTATAATCCCAGCACTTTGGAAGACCAAAGTGGGAAGATCACTTGAGGTCAGGAGTTTGAGACCAGCCTGGCCAACATGGTGAAACCCTGTCTCTACTAAAAATACAAAAATTGGCAGGGTGTGGTGGTGGATGCCTGTAATCCCAGCTACTCAGGAGTCTGAGCCAGGAGAATCACTTGAACCCAGGAGCCAGAGATTGCAGTGAGTCGAGATTGTGCCACTGCACTCCAGCCTGGGCAACAGAGCAAGACTCTTTCTCAAAAACAAAACAAAACAAAAACAAACAAACAAAAACATTTTGGGCCAGATAATTCTTTGTCATGGGAGCTGTCTTGTGCACTGTAGATTGTTTAACAGCATTTCTGATCTCTACTTACCAGATGCCAATAGCAGGCACAATGTTCCCTCCATCCCCCTCCCCATTGTGACAACTAAAAATATCCCCAGACATTACCAAATGTTTCCTGAGGGGCAAAGCCACACTCCTAGTTGAGAGTCACTGATGTAGACATACATGAAAAGGTCACACATTGCCCATCTCCCCAAATACTCATACATAGAGCCACATATCACAGGACATTCAGGCTTATACGCAGTCACACGGAAACACAGGTCACTCAGTCACAGACACACAAAGGGATACATCCAGTGTTACTTCCTCAGTTTTAGAGGAAAAAAGGAAAGAGCCCAGGATGACTTTCCTGCCCCACTATCCAACGGCCTCAGTTTTTCCTATAATAAACCAAGTCCTATGCCGTGGACTTGATCATTCCTCACAGCCCACTTCCTTGGGCCAAAGCCTAAAAAGGTTAGCAACACCAAGACCCAGGGAATCGCTTCCTATCCTTCTCAGGCCTACAGAGACCTCTATCTCCAGCCCTTTAGGAAAGTGGTGAGAGAGTGAAGATGATTCTTGGAGCACTTGCTGGTAGCTAGAACTGAGAACCCATAGAGCAAGTCACACACCTGAGAAAAAGTGTCTTACTGTCTCAACGGGAATGTAGGGGTCACACAGGGAATGGGGAAGGGGGAGGGAACACATAGAAAGAATTATGCCCCATAACCAAAAATCACAATTCATACCACATGCCAAAAGTCTTCCACACAGTCATGGAGTGGCACATGAATCAATCTCCACAAACCAACACTCCCAGAGGTGTGTGATTCCCCTCCCGCAAGTCACATGCCCAGGCCAGTGCTCACCGTCACGTGCAAGGCTGCCAGGGCCTCATCTATGGCAGCCAGGTAGTCAGGCAGCAGGTCCAGGAGACAAGTGGCCAAAAAGACGCCCCCCGCGAAACAGCTTACTAGGCTCAGGGCTTTCTGGCGGGAAGCTGGGTAGGGGTGAAGCACAGAGGGGAATAAGCAAACAAACCCCCTCCAGGGCCGACCACCCCAACCCAAACAATGGCTACCCTTGCCTTTCCCTCCTCCTTTGGTCACTCCCCGCCAGCCCCAGAGCCCTCCCTAAGCCAAGCATTCATAGCAGTGTGGGGAAAAGGAGAGGCTTACCTGAGCCTTCATGGTTAGCTCCTGGCCGGCGCAGCACACAGATGGGCACCAGGCTGCAGAGGAGGGTGAGCACCAGCAGCAGCACCAGGGCCCCCAACTTCACCTCCAGCCCCACAGGCACTGGAGGCTCTGAAGCTACCGCCTCGGGGCGCCACACCAGGAGCTCTGGCTCTCCCCAGGGCCCCATGATGCTTCTGGTAGCTCCAGTGACTCTCAGACCTAGGAAGACAGACCAGAGTGGTTGGGAAAAATCATGCAAAGGAAGATGGGGCAAGGAATGGGGAAGCTTGGTCAGCAGAGTGCAGCTCCCTGGCCCCAGCCACTTTGTGACCTTCCCCTACCCAGGGTGACTCATCTACTCCTGTACCAGGAACATTCCTCTCTTCTCACACTTTCTTTCCCAAGTGACTTATTCAGGGAGACTGCACGGGGGAAACCGAGGCATGAGAAAGGCTGTATGGATATCTCATCACCCTTTCACCTGGTGCCCCCAGAAAACTAGGAAACTAGGAGCCGCCTCCAAATAGGACCTGGAGCTGGAGTTCCCCTAAGGAATGTAGAGGCCGGGTCCCCAACTCCCGAACGGAGTGGGTGAAGCCAAAAAGGCTAGGGCTGTGCAGAGATGTCTTGGGTAGCTTCGTGGGCCACCTGGACAGGGTAAGTTTGGGTGCTGGATCGCTCCATCGTTCCCCTTTTCCCAGCGCAGAGAACAAGCGCTTCAGGCCCCAGGATGGGACCTAGAGGCAGATGGCCAAAGAGAGGGGCCCTAAGAGTCTGCGGTCCCGGGACGGACTGAGGCGACACTGAGGGCGGTGCCTGAAAGTCCGGGCTCCAGGAGGCGGGGTGCGAGGCCGCCAAGCGTCGCGGGAAGCAGATGAAGAATGCGTGAGCTGGGACTCCTGTTCCCGGGCCCGGGGAGGCCTGGGCAGCCGACATGGACCCCGCTGCCAGACAGCCCGCACTCACCTCGCGAGGGTCTCACTACATGGTCTCCGCGCGCTTCCGGCCTAGAGTCGGGAATTCCCGCCCCCTCCCATAGCTCCCCCCTCCCCCACAGGAGCCGCGTACCCACGACCGACTGCCAATGGCAGCACCGAGTGGGCGGGGACAGACCGGGAGTGACGTCAGTTAGGAGCAATCAGAGATCGGGAGCGGGAGCGGGCGGAGCAGGCGACCTGAGGAGAGTGAGCGAGAGCAAGAGCGGATATTAGGAAAAGGACCTCGGGGCTGGGGCCCTGGGGCGCATCTGTGGAGGACTGAGGGGCCGGAGCGGGCCAGTCAACAAAGGCTTTGATTATATGGATATTTTTAAAAGAGGGAGACCCCGCATTGTCAAGTCTTCCGGCCCACATCTGAAAACATCTTCCTGGCCTTGGGCCAAAGTCTCATCTGTCCCTCAGAAGGCTCTGACACCTCGTCAGTGCCTCTTGGCGCCCAAGGGAAAGCATTCCCCTCTTGGGACCAACTTCCTTGACTGCTTTCCCTCACCAGCACCCACAACAAGGAAAAAGACAAGGCAGAATTGGAAAGGGGGGAAAGCAAAGAGAGGGTATGTCTTGAAAATCATCCCTTCTCGACTACTTATGGCACTCAGTGCAGCCTCCGCCTTCTCCAGGTGGGTGGGGACGTGGTGGGACCGGAATGCGGGGTGCTGAAGCCGCGCCCAGGGAAGAGCCCCCAGCGCATTCCAGGATATCTGCGTACCGCGCCTGCGGGCGTCTGGCCGGTTCTCCCACCTGATTTCCAGCCCAGCTCCCGCCACCCTCGCCGGTCGGTTTGCTGTTTGCTGTTCCTTGAATGCCCCAAGGTAGTTGTTTCAGCTCAGGACTTTCACCGTTTCCTCAACCTGGATTCTTGTGGCCCACAACTCTGTGCCTTGAGAATCCTCTTCTAGCCTCAAGGGACGGTAAGACAAAAGAAAATTTAAAAAGGGGGCTCAGCTGTTCTTTTATGCAAAGGTGAAAAAAGCTTCATTGCCTAAAGAAGGGACAGATGGGATCTTGCTTCCTACAGGAAAATTAATTTTAAAAAAGAAAAAAAAAAGGGGGGACAGTGTAATGCTTCTCACAAGGCTCCAGAAACGAAGCCCAGTAATTCCTTAAGTAAAAGAGGAATGTGAAGACTTCTTAAGGGGCCGGGCGCGGTGGTTCACGCCTGTAATCCAAGCACTTTGGAAGGCCGAGGATGAATCACCTGAGGACAGAAGTTCAAGACCAGCCTGGTCAACATGGTGAAACCCCGTCTCTACTAAATATACAAAAATTAGCCGGGCGTGGTGGCGGGGGCCTGTAATCCCAGCTACTCGGGAGGCCGAGGCAGGAGAATCGCTTGAACCCGGGAGCCGGAAATTGCAGTGAGCCGAGATCGCGCCATTGCGCTCCAGCCTGGGCAACAACAGCGAAACTTCGTCTCAAAAAAAAAAATTATTCGTAATTGGTAACATTAACAAGGAATTATGACTGGGGGGGTCAGGAAACCTGGATTCTGGTCCAAGTTCTACCTTTATAGTTGTCAAATATATATATTTGTTTATTTATACACATACATATGTCATATATGATTAATAATTGTATATATTTATGGTGTACAACATGATGTTTTGAAATATATGTACATTGGGCCGGGCGCGGTGGCTCACGCCTGTAATCCCAGCACTTTGGGAAGCCGAGGCGGGCAGATGACGAGGTCAGGAGTTGGAGACCAGCCTGCTCAACATGGTGAAACCCTGTCTCTACTAAAAATACAAAAATTAGCCAGGCGTGGTGGCGCATGCCTATGATCCCAGCTACTCAGGAGGCTGAGGCAGGAGAATCGCTTGAACCGGGGAGGCGGAGGTTGCAGTGAGCCAAGATCACACCTCTGCACTCCAGCCTGGACGACACAGCGAGACTCCGTCTCAAAAAAAAAGAAAAAAGAAAAGAAATATATGTACATTGCAGAATGGGTAAATCAAGCTAATTAACATATGCATTACTTCACATATTTATTTGTGATGAGAACATTTAAAATCTCTTGGCAACTTTATTTCTTTTCTTTTTCCTTCCTTCCTTCCTTTCTTCTTTCCTCCTTTCTTTCTTGACAGAGTCTTGCTGTGTTGCCCAGGCTGGAATGCAGTGGCATGCTCTTGGCTCACTACAACTTCTGCCTCCCAGGTTTCAAGCAATTCTCCCGCCTCGGCCTCCCGAGTAGCTGGGATTACAGGCGCCCGCCACCACGCCCGGCTAATTTTTGTATTTTTAGTAGAGACGGGATTTCACCATGTTGACCAGGCTGGTCTTGAACTCCTGACCTCAGGTGATCCACCCGCTTCAGCCTCCCAAAGTGCTGGGACTGCAGGTGTGAGCCACCACACCCGGCCCAATAGATCTCCTCAATTTTACCTTACCTTGATGTATGATTTTAGGCAAGTCAGTTTTCCTCACCAGAGTTTGATAAATCAGGGGCAAGGAGGAAGTTAAACAAGCAGATGACTGCAGAGGGTCCTTCCAGTTCTAACATCAACGGAAGCTAACTACATTCCCCACTCAAATCATCTCTGCACATACAGCCCGCAGGAAGCCCTTTGAAATGTATTTAACCACCTTTCTCGCTCTCAGAATGATCTCAACAAGAACAGCTTTGCTTTCCTTGGAGCTCTGCATCAATCTAGGAAGGCTGCTTTGTCTCTTCACTACTTGAGCAGGATGGAGAGATATGAGCGGGAAAGACAGATAAGAAATCTGAGAAAGCCCCACAAGGTGGGTTGATAGTGTGAAGAACATGGGCTGAAGCATCCAAATCTTGGTTCAGCTACTTACAGGGTAACCTTGAGAAAGTTACTTAAACTTGTCAGCTCGGACGGGCGTGGTGGCTCACGCCTGTAATCCCAGCACATTGGGAGGCCGAGGTGGACGGATCACGAGGTCAGATCGAGACCACCCTGGCTAACACGGTGAAACCCTGTCTCTACTAAAAATACAAAAAAATTAGCTGGGCGCCTGTAGTCCCAGCTACTAGGGAGGCTGAGGCAGGAGAATGGCGTGAACCCGGGAGGCGGAGCTTGCAGTGAGCCGAGATCGAGCCTCTGCACTCCAGCCTGGGCCACAGAGCAAAAGAAAAACAAACAAACAAACTTGTCAGCTCCATCTGCTGTAAGAATTATATGAGTAACATGGAAATGCCTGACTAGACCCTGTTCCCGTTTTTACCCTTAGCCCGTTCAAATCTTCATAAGGATAATTAGTAGCAGTTTGAGTTCTGGGATTCACACTCCAAACTACTGTTTTACTCACCCAGCTACCCTTTTCTGAAATACTACTGAAAACCATACCTGTATCAGTTTACCTCCATTGTTTTACTTGAAGTGAATTCCTGGACCATCAGACATTAGACCAAGGCAAAAAAATAAAAATAATCAATCAACCCTGAGTTTTGGTATTACTACTTTCTAGTCATGGATCTGCCTCCTCATAGGTAAAATTTGCAAAATATTACCCGCCGTGTGTGCCTCAGAACTGTTATGGATTAAGGAAGAGAACAATTTTTATGAAAACGTTTTGTAAATTATACAAGTGTGGGACATAATGTTCCCGGTAACTGTATGCAAACAATAAGACAACAAACGCAAAAGGCTTTTTAACTTGTTGCAGTTTTCCTGCCCCGTGTCCCTCCGTGAATGAGCAGCGTGCAGCGAGCGTGTGCGCACAGCTGCTGTTCTCCATTAACGCCACACTGCTCGGCTTGCGGACGGGGAAACCCGCCATCGCGCTCCTGCCGCCTGCCGAGCGAGGATCACCGCTCCACTGGGGTCAGCGGGCTGTTGACTCCCCGCCTGGGTGAAACCGGAGCTTCCGAGTCACGTGGCGCGCGAAGACAAACCTGGCTGCTCAGGGTTTCCCGGAGCTTTCTCCCAGCTTCCCGGCGATTCATATTCTGGCGCTTACCCCTCCCTTTAGGCTGGCGGAACCCAATCCCCGCCTGACAAATAAGTCCCGCCGGCCGGACGCAGTGGCTCGCGCCTGTGGTCCTAGCTGCTCGCGGTGCTGAGGCGGGAGAATCACCTGAGCCCGGGAGGTCGGGGGCTGCATGGAACCGTGATCGCACCACCGCACTCCAGCCTGGGCAACAGAGCGAGACCCTGTCTCCAAAAATAAGAATAAAGAAAAAAAAAAGAAAGAACTGCGGCCCCATTGGCCTGACTCTCCTGAACAGCCAAACTGTCTCCGACCAGTTACGGAAGAGGCGGCCTTGAGAGGGTAGTGTGCCATTGGCTCGATGTCCTGCCCCTCCGAAACCTAAGTCTTCAGCTTCCAATCAGGACTCAGCTTTGGGAAGAGCGCCACGCGGTGGGCGAGGGGATGCCCTAGTAAATTCGCAGGTCTCTTGACTCTTTCCGCCTTTGTTTACAACCCTGCCATGATCTCCCTCTTGCAAAAGCGAGGGCTACAGAACAGGCATTCAGGAGTCCTGTGCTCCAGTCACAGCCTTTTCTGTTCTTCAGCTAGGAGACACCAAACCCTCAGGAAGATTTACTATAGCTAAGAGAAAACTGCAGCAGAAAGGGCGCGGCTACCTACTTCTTAAATTCCGTTTGTGGACCCTCAGACTCTTAGTCCCCTACTCCCAGATACAGCGGCCCTACCGTGGCTCCTGGCAAGGTGGCATCCACTTTTGTAGTGTAAGGCTGGGGGCGGGGTTTGGCTGGCAGGTCCAGGATACGAGATCCTGGAAGAAAGAAAAGGTGTAGTGTTTGGGGAGGTCAACGGGCTATGCTGGCTTGACAGGGCTGGGCTCTTCAGAACAGGTAATGCTTGGGGGGGGCCTCTTTGTCTAAACCTGAGGGATAGGGCTGAAGGTGAAATATCGAGGGGACAGGTGAGGGGGCTTGCTAGTGAGGAAGGAGTGGGGGGGCGGGGATAATGGAAAAGGGAGCAGAGGAGCCCAGAAACTGTAGGGGGTAGTAAGCAGCCATCATTCCGTTTCTGCAACCCTCCGTCCCACACGCCTTCCTGCAGAAGCATGGATCTCGGAATCCCTGACCTGCTGGACGCGTGGCTGGAGCCCCCAGAGGATATCTTCTCGACAGGATCCGTCCTGGAGCTGGGACTCCACTGCCCCCCTCCAGAGGTTCCGGTAACTAGGCTACAGGAACAGGGACTGCAAGGCTGGAAGTCCGGTGGGGACCGTGGCTGTGTGAGTGTGACGAGTGGGAGTGGGGGTGGGGTTGAGACACAACTCTGTGATAAGAGGCTTCAGCTCCCACTTGGAGACAGGTCTGAAAACAGACCACCCCCAAAATAGACGTAAGTTGTATAATAACTGTCTCCATGCCCAAGAAGTGAAAGGACTGAAAATGAAGCATAAGTCAGGGAGGACTTCCAAAATTCTTCCCTGCACATATATATAACCTTTTCCTACTGTAGGGCCTTCAAGAGAGTGAGCCTGAAGATTTCTTGAAGCTTTTCATTGATCCCAATGAGGTGTACTGCTCAGAAGCATCTCCTGGCAGTGACAGTGGCATCTCTGAGGACCCCTGCCATCCAGACAGTCCCCCTGCCCCCAGGGCAACCAGTTCTCCTATGCTCTATGAGGTTGTCTATGAGGCAGGGGCCCTGGAGAGGATGCAGGGGGAAACTGGGCCAAATGTAGGCCTTATCTCCATCCAGCTAGGTCAGTGTTCTTTGTGGGAAGGGGGAAATGGCCCTTCGGGACTGGCCCTAACCATGGGGTTAAGGGGGTTTACCCAACCTGTGCCACTACCCAGGCCCTGCGGCTGTCAGGGTGTTCCTAAGTCTCCTTTCTCCCAGCTACCTGTTTTCTACTCCAGATCAGTGGAGCCCAGCATTTATGGTGCCTGATTCCTGCATGGTCAGTGAGCTGCCCTTTGATGCTCATGCCCACATCCTGCCCAGAGCAGGCACCGTAGCCCCAGTGCCCTGTACAACCCTGGTGAGTCTTGGTGTCAGCCAGAACCACTACTCCTTGATACATATATAATCACACAGACAGAGCAAAGGGATGAGGGAATGGAAACTGATGATGAACTGCCTTTGCCCCGGTTTTTGTGGCATTGGGCCTGAAGACCAAGGAGACATGAACAGTTGAACTATTTTTTATTTTTTGAGCCAGGGTCTTACTCTGTCATCCAGGCTGGAGTGCAGTGGTGCAATCACGGCTCACTGCATCCTCAACATCTTGGGCTCAAGCAATCCTCCTGCCTCAGCCTCCTGAGTAGCTGGGACTACAGGTGTGTGCCACCACGTCTGGCTAATTTTTGTAGAGATGGGGTTTTGGGGTTTTGCCATGTTGCCCAGGCTCAGGCTGGTCTTAATCTCCTGAGTTCAAGTGATCTGCCTACCTCAGCCTCCCAGGGTGGTGGGATTACAGGCATGAGCCACTGTGCCCGACTAACATGAACAATTTTTTTTTTTTTTTTTTTTGAGACGGAGTCTCACTCTGTCACCCAGGCTGGAGTGTGGTGGCACCATCTCAGCTCACTGCAACCTCTGCCTCCCGGGTTCAAGCGATTCTCCTGCCTCAGCCTCCCAAGTAGCTGGGACTACAGGTGCCTGCCACCATGCCTGGCTAATTTTTGTATTTTTAGTAGAGACGGGTTTCCACCATATTGGCCAGGCTGGTCTTGAACTCCTGACCTTGTGATCCGCCTGCCTCTGCCTCCCAAAGTGCTGGGATTACAGGTGTGAGCCACCACGCCTGGCCCAACATGAACAATTTTAAAAGCAGGGAAGGACAAGGGAGAAAGAACCCTTGGGGGTAAGGTAGCAAAAACTCAGTTAAGGTGGGGTGAGGGAATCTGGGGACAGGGCTCAGGAGAAAGCCCAGACTTTGCATGCATTGTATTCTTAGCCAGAGCCATTATCTCAGCCTTGGGTCAGGACACAGAAATGGGACAGGCCACCTGGGAATCCCAACTGGTTATAGGTACAGGAAGAAAGAAAAGCAATAGCAGCAATGTTTCCACTGGAACAGTTGCCCAGGAGGCACCCACTGGCTAGTGCTACAGTGTAGCAGAGGTATCACATTAGATGCCTTCTCAAGGCCGTCTGGGCAGCGTCCAAGGCTGGGTAAAGAGGGGACTATGCTCAGATCACTGTTCCTCCCTTTCCTCTGAAAATTACTCCTTGTACCCAAAAGGCAGGGACCAGGTCCTAGCCTCTCTTCAAATCTGCAGTTGAAGCTGGGACCAGAAGCCAAGCTAAGCATCTTAGAATCTTTTTTTTTTTTTTTTTTTTTTTTTAGACAGAGTCTCGCTCTGTCACCAGACTGGAGTGCAGTGGCATCATCTCAGCTCACTGCAACCTCTGCCTTCCAGGTTCAAGCGATTCTCCTTCCTCAGCCTCCTGAGTAGCTGGGACAACAAGTGTGCGCCTCCAAGCCTGGCTAATTTTTGTATTTTTAGTAGAGATGGGGTTTCACCATGTTGGCCAGGATGGTCTTGATCTCTTGACCTTGTGATCCGCCCGCCTCAGCCTCCCAAAGTGCTGGGATTACAGGCATGAGCCACCGCACCCGGCCAACATCTTAGAATCTTGAGCTGAGGAACCTTTAAAAGTCTGATGCCGGCCGGGCGCGGTGCTCATGCCTGTAATCCCAGCACTTTGGGAGGCCAAGGTGGGCGGATCACGAGGTCAGGAGTTCGAGACCAGCCTGGCCAACATGGTGAAACCCCATCTCTACTAAAAATGCAAAAATTAGCTGGGCATGGTGGCGGGTGCCTTTAATCCCAGCTACTCGAGAGGCTGAGGCAGGAGAATCGCTTGAACCCGGGAAGCAGAGGTTGCAGTAAGTGGAGATTGCGCCATTGAACTCCAGCCTGGGCGACAGGGCAAGACTCCGTCTCAAAAAAAAAAAGTCTGATGCCCCTAAGTTTGGGTATACATTAGAAGCACCATGGTGTTTGTAAATGCTTTGTTATTTCTTTATTGTAGAGACAGTCTCACTATGTTGCCCAGGTTGGTCTCGAACTCCTAGCCTCAAGCAATCCTCCTGTCTTGACCTCCCAAAGTGCTGAAATTACAGGCGTGAGCCACCTTGGCCACTCTGTTTTCTTTTTCTTTTTCTTTTTTTTTTTTTTTTTTTGTTGTTTGTTTTAAATGAAACCCTCTAGGCCTCATTTTCAGTGATTTTGATTAGGTGGACTGGAAGAGACACTCCTCTAATAGTTCCACCAAACAGTCACAGGAACAAGAAAGGCACATCAGGAAAAGCCACACAGGAAATGGTTTTGCCAAAAGCCAAAAACCATGAGCAGGCAAAAACCAAAGTAAATTCTCTGTAAGTCACAAAATGAAGCATACATCTTTTTTTTCTTTGAGATGGAGTTTCGCTCTTGTTGCCCAGGCTGGAGTGCAGTGGTGCAATCTCGGCTCACTGCAACCTCCACCTCCCGGGTTCAAGCGATTCTCCTGCCTCAGCCTCCCAAGTAGCTGGGATTACAAGCACCCACCACCACGCCCTGCTAATTTTTGTATTTTCAATAGACATTGGGTTTTGCCATGTTGGCCAGGCTGGTCTTGAACTTCTGACCTCAGGTGATCTGCCCACCTTGGCCTCCTAAAGTGCTGGGATTACAGGTGTGAGCCACTGTGCCCGGCCACATACATCTTTCAAAAAGAAATACTAGTGAGAAGGGCCATCCACTCTCCGTACATCCTCTCCTGTGATTTGCTGTGAGACGTATGGCTGCCTTTGGGAAGCTCCTTGTATGAGAGGGGACAGAACCTGAGTCTGAGAAGCAGAGCTCAGACCCTAAGGGAGAATGGGCCACTGCCCCAGGGAGCTCCCTGAGGTTGACGGGCAACTGGATAACACACTCTGCTAAATGGAAGTTAATGACTGAAAGTGAATCATGTGCTTGCTGTAAGGAAATTATGCAAACTTCACTGTAGTGAGTTCTTTCAGGTTCTCTTGGGTATGGGGAGACATGGACCAGAATAAGCCTTCTCTAGCTTGCTCAGAGTGCCAAGGTCCTCAGTGTCTGGGTGAAGGATATGACAATACCCTCCTCTCTCCCTTCTTGGCCTCAGGATGTCCCTTTGGCTTGATCTAGAGCCTGTCTGAATTAAAGTCTCTGCCCCTCACCTCACCTCTAGATTAAAGTTGTCTCCCAGTGAGGAAACACTCTCCAGAAGGCATGTGGGGGGAGTAGCCTGGGTGCTGCAAATGGGATGACCCCCTCCTCACTCCTATTGCATCTTCTCCTGCCCCTACCCCCAGCTGCCCTGTCAAACCCTGTTCCTGACCGATGAGGAGAAGCGTCTGCTGGGGCAGGAAGGGGTTTCCCTGCCCTCTCACCTGCCCCTCACCAAGGTAACATGCTTCCCCTAAGGGTATCCCAACCCAGGGGCCTCACCATGACCTCTGAGGGGCCAATATCCCAGGAGAAGCATTGGGGAGTTGGGGGCAGGTGAAGGACCCAGGACTCACACATCCTGGGCCTCCAAGGCAGAGGAGAGGGTCCTCAAGAAGGTCAGGAGGAAAATCCGTAACAAGCAGTCAGCTCAGGACAGTCGGCGGCGGAAGAAGGAGTACATTGATGGGCTGGAGAGCAGGTACGCCTGGGTTATTTCTGGCTTCTTGTGGGCCATGTCTGGGCCCCTTCCTCACCATGGGAGGCAAGGTAAGGGACTCAGGTTGCTGAGCCTTGTCCTACCTCCCTACATTCTAGGGTGGCAGCCTGTTCTGCACAGAACCAAGAATTACAGAAAAAAGTCCAGGAGCTGGAGAGGCACAACATGTGAGTGAAAGCATTGTGTGTGTATGTGTGTTTTGAAGGCAGGTACAGCACACAGGGGTGCCATTCTTGGCCCCTGGTACCCAGATGATACTAACTCTTCATTCCTCCTTTCCCAGCTCCTTGGTAGCTCAGCTCCGCCAGCTGCAGACGCTAATTGCTCAAACTTCCAACAAAGCTGCCCAGACCAGCACTTGTGTTTTGGTACCATTAGTCTATCTACTCCCATCTCCCCCCACACTTCTATCCTTATACCCCGACTACCCGGCCAGATCTACTTCCCACATCCGATAACCCCAGCTGGCCTCCGTTCACTCTACCCCCTGCTCCCTTCATCTGTTCCTCTTGCTTCCTCCCAGATTCTTCTTTTTTCCCTGGCTCTCATCATCCTGCCCAGCTTCAGTCCATTCCAGAGTCGACCAGAAGCTGGGTCTGAGGATTACCAGCCTCACGGAGGTGAGAGGCAAGGGCAGGGAGCAACCCCTGGCTGAGCAAGGGAGGGGGACTCTGTTCTCCAAGGTCGTCAAGAAGCAAGAGGGAGGTCCTGTCCTGTCTAGGGTCTCCCACCCAGGGGAGCACTCTACTACTGCCCTCTTGCCTTCACCTCACAGTGACTTCCAGAAATATCCTGACCCACAAGGACGTAACAGAAAATCTGGAGACCCAAGTGGTAGAGTCCAGACTGAGGGAGCCACCTGGAGCCAAGGATGCAAATGGCTCAACAAGGACACTGCTTGAGAAGATGGGAGGGAAGCCAAGACCCAGTGGGCGCATCCGGTCCGTGCTGCATGCAGATGAGATGTGAGCTGGAACAGACCTTCCTGGCCCACTTCCTGATCACAAGGAATCCTGGGCTTCCTTATGGCTTTGCTTCCCACTGGGATTCCTACTTAGGTGTCTGCCCTCAGGGGTCCAAATCACTTCAGGACACCCCAAGAGATGTCCTTTAGTCTCTGCCTGAGGCCTAGTCTGCATTTGTTTGCATATATGAGAGGGTACCTCAAATACTTCTGTTATGTATCTGTGATTTTATTTCTTCTTTGGGTATAGGGTTGAGGGGAAATAAGTTTTGAGTGAGAAATAAACGTTTTAGCTGAAATTGTATCCCAGAAGTTTGAAATAAGTAGTAGAAGAGGGGGAAAACAAGGGAGAAGTGGTGGGGAAGACTTGGTAGATTGGGGCCTTAAGTAACCACCTCCTTTCCCTCTCTGCCCCCATGACTTCCTGCTCCAAGTTACAGAAGGGAAGGAAACCATTTTACTCTTTTTATTCTGCTCATTAATGATCTGAAAGAAGAAGATGGGGAAAAGGGGATTCCACCACAAGGCTCCAAAGAACCAAGAGTGCAAATCAGTCCATTTCACTTTCACTGTCTGAGATAGGGTCTCTAAGACCCAGGATACAAGGGTGGAATGTAGCTATATGGACTCGATTTGCTTCCGGACCTTTTCCAGAGCCTTTCTGTCCAATTGTCGCTGACGAATGATGACAAGACAAGCGAAGATCAGGGCCACACACACGACAGCCCCTTCGAACTTCCAAAATAAGCGTTGTTCCATCAAAGCTGAGCGGCAGCTGAGGGCAGGAAGGAATAGTTATTCCCAAGGAAGGCCAGACAGCTTCTCCCTCTAATTTCCCTTCTACTTCAGCCTAGCCAGGATACACTCAAGAGGAAATCAGAGCCAGGCTTCTATTGTGTGTATAGTACATAAATCCCTCTCAAATAGATCATTTAATTTATTCTCTGGATAAGCAGAGCTAGTATTAACCAATTTTACTGATGAGAAAATATGGCCAATAACATAGTGCTGAGGAGTAGAGCTGGGACTTGGGTTCAAGTAATTTGGCTCCAAATCCCGTCTTCTTTCTTATTATTTTTGAGATGGTGTCTCGCTCTGTCACCCAGACTGGAGTGCAGTGGCGTGACCTTGGCTCACTGCAACCTCCACCTCCCGGGTTTAAGCAGTTTTCTGCTTCAGCCTCCCAAGTAGCTGGGATTACAGGTGCCCGCCATCATGCCCAGCTAATTTTTGTATCTTTAAGAGAGATGAGGTTTCACCATCTTGGCCAGGCTGGTCTTGAACTCCTAACCTCGTGATCCACCCGCCTCGGCCTCCCAAAGTGCTGGGATTACAGGCGTGAGCCACCCCTCCCAGCCTCTTTTTTTTTTTTTTTTTTTTGACACACAGTCTCGCTCCATTGCCCAGGCTGGAGTGCAGTGGCATGATCTTGGCTCACTCTAACCTCTGCCTCCTGGGTTCAAGTGATTCTCCCTGCCTCAGCCTCCCAAGTAGCTGGGATTATGGGCACCCACCACACCAGCTAATTTTTGTATTTTTAGTAGAGATGGGGTTTCACCACGTTGGCCAGGCTGATCTCGAACTCCTGACCTCAGGTGATCTGTTAGCCTCAGCCTCCCTAAGTACTGGGATTATAGGTGTGAGCCCGGCCCCCTCTTCTTTCAGATATTCCATGCTACCCCCAGACCAGGGGAAAAGGTGGGACCATCCATCTAAAGTCATAGGAGCAAAGGAGGTGATCTCAGAGAAGAGAAACAGCACTCACCTTTTGAACTCATTTCTCTTAGATGAGCTGCATGTGATTTTCTCTACATATCCTGTGGGACCACACTCAGGGGTAGTTTTCTGCCAGGAGAAAAGGAGCAAAGTACATGTTAGGAAGGGGCAACAGGATAAACAAAAAGGCTGCCATTCAGAAGGTGCAGGTGCCCAACTGCTATGGTTTGGAGTGGTAGGCAACAGAGAGCTAATGAAAGAGTTCTGATGCGGATGGTGGAGGTGGTGGTTGCATGATTACGAATGTATGTTAGAACACTTCAGGGGCAACAGTCTAGGAGTGGCAAAGATACATTCCATTCCAGAGCCTACTATACTAAAAGTGAATAAAACATAGTTATTTGAGGCCGGGTGTGGCGGCTCACGCCTATAATCCCAGCACTTTGGGAGGCCGAGGCGGGCAGATCACGAGGTAAGGAGTTAGAGACTAGCCTGGCCAACACAGTGAAACCCGAGTCTACTAAAAATACAAAAATTAGCCAGGCATGGTGCAACGCGCCTTTAGTCACAGCTACTCAGGAGGCTGAGGCAGGAGAATCGCTTGAACCCGGGAGGCGGAGGTTGTGGTGAGCCGAGATCTCGCCACTGCACTCCAGCCTGGGCAACAGAGTGAGACTCCGTCTCAAAAACAAACAAAAAAACCATAGTTATCAGTTGAATACTGCCATTAGCTTGGAAAGAAAGGGGCACATTTTCAGGGGAAAGACAAGTACAGATTTGGACATACACTGAGACTGCAAGAAGAAAGAAAAAAAGATGATGCAAAGGCAGCTTAATAAGACTTGGATGTTAAGATGTTGCTTAAGTGTTTGCTTAGATGTTTAAAAAAAAAAAGGGTAGAGAAATAGATACTCACAGCCCGGAAATTAGAGCATGGAGAGCACTCTTCTGCTACCACAAACTCTTCCACCAGCCAGCATGGCAAATTTGAGGTGCTTGCTGAAAGGAAAGATAAATGCCAGCCCCAGGCCATTCAGAAAACATTTCTCCCAGGCTCTGCCCATCCAACTTCCCGGCACAGCGCTTGCCCTCATTCCATGTGGTGCCGGCCTTTTCCACCTGTGCTCTTGGTATATGGGGAAGATACTAAAACCAAAAACAAACGACGGGACGTGTCGGGTTCCCAGACAATCACCCACCTGACAGCTTCTCTTCCTGCACGGGAGCCTCTGCTTGGCTGTAGCGGAGTTGGGGGAAGGGACAAAAGTCAAAACCCAGAAAATAGGGCACCCCCTCCTGCGCTGTCCATGGATAAGATCTCCCCCAGCCCCGAGGCCGGGAACGATCCTGTCCTCCAGTGACCTCCTTTTCCCTCCCCTTACCTCCTCCTTACCAGAGCTTTAAGGTGAAAGCACAGAGCAACCAGCAGAGGTGGCGGCCCTGGGGGAGGCCAGGCCTCCCGGCACCCGCAAGCATGGAGCGCCAAGTGTCGCACCTGTCGGAACAGAGGGACCTACTCCACAGGCCTCGTGCCTCCGTCGGAGCGCAGAGGCGGCACTTACTCTGCAGCCCTCCCAGAGGTTCCAGGTCAGGGCAGGGAAGGCCGGAGTTGCCTATTGGAGCAGAGGATCTATCAGGACGTCCCCGTTGCCACAGCGAGAAAAATCGATATGTTTTTGCGGGCTAGGGAGGCGAGCGCCTTCTGCGGGGTCCGCAGGGCGCTGGAGGAAGGGCCGGCGGGGGCTCGCGGCCCTAGCGCCCGCTCACCTCCGCTCCCGCCCCCGACGCAGCCATCTAGCCCCGTGGAGGATCCTCGGGCGCGGGACCGAGCTCGGGGCCCGGTGTTCCCGGGGGCGTTCGGTCGTCGCCCGCTGGGGCTTATAGTCTTCCGCGTCGGTGGCGCCTCGCCTGCTGCTCACTGGGAATTAGCTCGGCGCCCCGTTGCATTGTGGTCTTGGTAGTCTTTGCGAGAACGGCAAATGGCGGTTGCAGAGGCTCGTCCGAATTCTCGGCTCGCTGCTCCCTGGCTGGCGCGTGTTTGTTCATTCTGGGCTAGGTGAGCAGGGACAATACGTCGCCCTCTCAGGACTTTGCTCTCTCCTTAAAACCCGAGGATTCACCGTCAAGCTTCTGGTTTCTCTGACATCCTTCCCCAGCCGCCCCTTCATCGCCACCGATGATCCAGTGGAGAAGCTGTGTTGGAGGTCAAGGGATGGAGGCGAAACTGCGCGTTCTCGTCCCTGCAGAAACCGGAATATCCGAGACACATGACGAACATGAAACTTTCTCCTTGTCTCTTGGCTCCCACTCCGCTACACAGATGAACGGTGTTACCTTCCCTCATGTTACTTTGCTAAGCCTACTCCTCAGAGCTGGTCCTTTGCATAACCTCTTCAAATGCTCTCAACTCTCCCTTGCTCCTACATAATGGAGTAATCATAAGTGCAATGAGAAAAGCATGAGATTTGAAGTTCCATAAGTATTGAGTCTAGGTTCTGGTGGTTATTAACTCCATGATCTTAGGAAAGTATCTGTCAGTGTTCTGTGTAAAACGGAAATGCTAATGTGTATTTACCAGGACTTTTTCTTGCGAGAGGCAGATGAAATGTATCTCCGTTTCATGAGTAAGTTCAGAGAATATAAGTGACTTGTCCAAGGTCAGCAAGCTAATGAGTGGGAAAGCTGAGGCTTGAGCCTAGACTGTCAACACCCAGGCCAAAGATTCATTGCCTGCTTTTCATCTTATGGAGTTAAACCTTGATACACACTCAGATCTGCAGTGACTTGACCAGCACTGTGGGTTCATGCTTTACTGTCTGATAACGAATTTTCATTTAATTTTATTTTTTTTCTTAGACAGGGTCTAGCTCTGTCACCTAAACCTGATGAGGGCTGAGCCTTCATTTCGCCGTTTTTTGTTTGTTTGTTTTTGTTTTTGAACGAGATGGACTCTGGCTATGTTGCCAGACTGGAGTGCAGTGGCAAGTCACAGGAGCCATCATAGCGCATTACAGCCTGGAACTTCTCGTCTTCAGGGATCCTCCCAAGTAGCTGGGATTTCAGGCATGTGCCACCATACCTGGCTCTAATTTTGAATTTGTTTCTTTAAATTATTATTTGTGTTTGCTGAAATTGTGTGTGTATTATTTTTGTGTATGTGTGTGAGTAGTTATATGTTACATAAAGTAGGTTGTGGGGTTTTTTCCAGTAATGTTTAGCTATAATTGAAGTTTGGGCCGAAATCTGCTAGTATTTGTTACTCCTCACCAAATCCTACCTTATCTCACAACAAACTGTAAGATCTTGTGATATTTCACTTCCAATAACCTTACCAGGCATCAGAGTGGGGTCTCTACTCTGAAATTAAATATCTGCCATAAGGTATGTTGAAGACGTTAGTCTCTTTCCCAGGAGGCACAAAGTGCAAGTCTTTTCCTCATCGCTTGAGCAAATTAAACCTACCGGACAGTTTACTACAGAACTCAAACACAGCTGGGCGCAGTGGCTCACGCCTGTAATCCCAGCAATTTGGGAGGCCGAGGTGGGCGGATCACCTGAGGTCGGGAGTTCAAGACCAGCCTGACCAACATGGAGAAACCCCGTCTCCACTAAAAATACAGAATTAGCTGGGCATGGTGCCATATGCCTGTAATCCCAGGTACTCGTGAGGCTGAGGCAGGAGAATCACTTGAACCCGGGAGGTAGAGGTTGCGGTGAGCCGAGATCACACCATTGTACTCCAGCCTGGGCAACAAGAGCAAGAATTCATCTCAAAAGAAAAAAAAAAGAACTTAAGCATAAGCCACAAATAAGGTTTATCATTACCTCATCAATGCTTGGATACTTACATTTATCAAGTTATTACATTTTGCTGTGTAAAAAATATTATGTATGGTGAAAGGGGGATATATATATATTATGTATTAAAATATGTATTATATATTATATATTAAACATAATATAATTATATATAATTATATATTAAACATAATATATTATATATTAAATATATAATTATAATATATATTTAATATATATGTATAATATATAATTATATATTATATATAATATGTTATATGTTTATAAACATATACATGTTATATATATTATATATTTCCTATATATTTAATATATAATATATATAATTATACATTGTAATATATAATATAATATAATATATATATACTTAAGGATGCTGTGCATCAAGCCTGAATTTTTTTTTTTTTTTTGAGATGGAGTTTCGCTCTGTCTCCAGGCTGGAGTGTAATGGTGCGAACTCTGCTCACAGTAACCTCTGCCTCCTAGGTTCAAGCGATTCTCCTCCCTCAGCCTCCCAAGTAGCTGGTATTACAGGCACCCACCACCATGCCCAGCTAATTTTTTTTGTATTTTTAGTAGAGATGGGGTTTCGCCATGTTGGCCAGGCTGGTCTCAAACTCCCAACCTGAAGTGATCCACCCACCTCGGCCTCCCAAAGTGCTGGGACTACAGGCATGAAACAACGTGCTCGGCCCAAGCCTGAATTTTCTTTTGCATTTCCAGTAGTTTTGCCATCTTTGTTATTCAGCAAAGAGATGTTTTTGTTTTCGTTTTTGTTTTTTTGAGACAGAGTCTGGCTGTGTCACCCAGGCTGGAGTGCAGTGGTGTGATCTCAACTCACTGCAACCTCTGCCTCCCAGGTTCAAGTGAGTCTCCTGCCTCAGCCTCCCAAGTAGCTGGGACTACAGGCGCCCTCCACCACTCCTGTCTAATTTTTTTTTTTTTTTGTATTTTTAGTAGAGACGGGGTTTCACTATGCTGGCCAGGCTGGTCTTGAACTCCTGTTGTGATCCACCACGCCCAGCCAAAGAGCTGTTTTTGTTAAAGTTTGCTTGTCCCAGGCTGGGCGCAGTGGCTCACGCCTGTAACCCCAGCACTTTGGGAGACTGAGGCAGACTGATCACTCGAGCCCAGGCGTTCAAGACCAGCCTGGCCAACATGACAAAACCCTGTCTCCACTAAAAACACAAAAGTTAGCCAGGTGTGGTGGCACGTGCCTGTAATCCCAGCTACTCGGGAGGCTGAGGCAGGAGAATCGCTTGAACCCGGGAGGCAGAGGTTGCAGTGAGCTGGGATCGTGCCACTGCACTCCAGTCTGGGCGACAGAGCCACACTCGGTCTTAAAAAAGAAAAAAAGTCCTTGTCCCTCTGCTTGTAAGTACCACCAAAGGGCTATATTAACTGACTATTGGCCAGGCATGGTGGCTCACGCCTGTAATCCCAGCTACTTGAGAGGCTGAGGCAGGAGGCAGAGGTTGCAGTGAGCTGAGATCGCACTATTGCACTCCAGCCTCGGAGACAGAGCAAGACTCTGTCCCTAAAAATAAATGAATAAATAAATAAAATAACTGACCATTGTGCCTGGCACTTAGTAGATGCTCAATATACATATATGAATAAATGAACTTCTCATTTTCCTCACTAATAAAAGCAGATATTAATGCCTATCAAATAACTAAATGGATTGCTGGCAGAATCAAAGAAGCTTGCACAAATCACTGGATAAATCACTAGGTGCAGTTATTTCCCTGAGGCTAGGACTGTTAGAGTTCTTCTCGCTGGGAATTTCCTGTGCTCAGGACAAGGCTCTGCCCACAAGGGCATCCGGACCCCATGGCGGAAAGAGGATATCCAGACCTTCAGATCACTCTACCTCCTGCTCTTTGCTATTTTCCTTACCAACAGAACAGCTAGGGAAGAGACAGCAGTAGGATTAGTCCTGGTTCCACAGAAACCGAGCCTGATTTGGGTAAATCAATCACTTTGAAGACACAATAATTGGATTTGAGTGGAGAACAATTCTGACAATAATCCAAGTTACCCAAAACAGGAACATTTGTGCAAATGGTGGCCTTTAATACCAAGAAAGACCATGACAAGTGACAGAACAGGAGCAAATTCCCTAGTGTAGTGCCGAGCTAGCCTTTTGCAGGACCCTAAAACCTGATCTAGTAACAGAATAAATCAGTGTATTTACATTTATGTTTGCCCTGAAAACCCAGGTAAGGTCTGAAGCCTGAGGCATCTCTCCTTCCTTTCCTCCTCCCTCTCTTCCTACCTCCTTGCCTTCTTTCACTTCCTCAATTCATTCCTCTCCCTTCTCCCTTCCTCTCTCTTCCTTTTTTTCCTTTCTGCTTTTCCCTTTTCTCCTTTTTCTCCTCATTCTCTTTACCATCTACCTATGTGACCCTCCAAGCCCCTCTGCTATTTCTCCCCTGCTCACTCCCTCTGCCGTTGTCTCCCTCAGGTTCAGCTTCCGGGGTGGGGAGGCAAGAAAGGGTCCTCAGCCCAGGGAGCACTTGTTGGTGTTCTTCTTGTCACAAGTTTTCAGGTCAGTACTGGGAGGCTTGTTGCCGTTTCCCTAGAGGGAGAAGGGCACAGGTGTCATGGTGTGAATGGATGGTTAGGGTAGGAGGGTATAAACTGTTTAAAGTAAATCCACCCTCATGAGAAATCTTAGCATTGCTCCCCGTTTTTATCAACACCAACACACACACACACACACACACACACACACACATACATACACACACACACACCCCAGAGTTGTACCTAGTCCAGCAAAACCAACTTACTGATCTCCGGCCTCCTGACTTGAGCAAGATGTCCCGGGCCAGGGAACTAAAAGCCTAAAGTGGGGAACAGAGTCAGTTTGGAGGGAGGAGAATCTACCTTCTAATACTTCCTCTCTTGGTCGGGGATGGGGGTGTGGATCTCACCTCATCCACATTCATACTGGATTTAGCACTAGTTTCGAAAAATCGGATTCCATGCTCTCGAGCCAACTATAAGGGGTGAAGTGGGAAGAGAATTGAATTAAGGACAGCAGCCAAGTCCTCTGCAATGCAACCTATCTTGGCCCTCCCAGCCCAGTTCTAGAACATTGCTCAGCCTGGCCCTCACCTTATCGGCCTGCTCCTTCTGCACCTTCCTCTTGGCCTCCATGTCACATTTGTTCCCCAGCAAGAGGCGCTCCACCCCAGCCGAGGCATTCTGGGGGCAAAAGACAAGTAAAAGTTAGGTCCTGCCGGCTGGGAGCGGTGGCTCACGCCTGTAATCCCAGCACTTTGGGAGGCCAAGGCGGGTGGATCACCTGATGCAGGAGTTCAAGATCAGCCTGACCAACATGGAGAAAACCCGTCTCTACTAAAAATGCAAAATTAGCCGAGCATGGTGGTGCATGCCTGTAATCCCAGCTACTTGGGAGGCTGAGGCAGGAAAATCGTTTGAACCTGGGAGGCAGAGGTTGCAGTGAGCCGAGATCCTGCCATTGCACTCCAGCCCGGGCAACAAGAGCAAAACTTCATCTCAAAAAAAAAAAAGTTAGGTCTTGCCTATCCTGATGGACCCCTTCATTCTCCAGGTTCTAACCAGTTTCCCCATCTCTTTTGGAGGGTCCTCACCTCCTTGATGCTTTTCATCCAGTTCTGAATATTCTCGAAAGATTTCTCATCCGTGATGTCGTATACTAGGATAATGCCCTGGGAGATGACAAAATTCACCTTGGACCATGTTCCCATTGAGGCTTCCCACTGCCCTGTAAGTGACCCCGCATCCATGGGTCTAAACACTAGGCCATGTTGGGCCCTCTGCAACCCACACTGCACCCCTCCCATTTTTACCTGCCCCAACCCCTGACCCTTTGTATTCATAATATATTCTGTAGCCTCATCCTTCATCCTTTGTTCAGACCCACACTTCATACCATGGCTCCACGGTAGTAGGCAGTAGTTATTGTCTTGAACCGCTCTTGGCCAGCCGTGTCCCTAAAGAAGGAGAAGTTTTCATGGGATGGAATAGAGGGAAGAATTCTCCAACGGAATAATTCTTCCTCTCTCACAAGAATTTAGCTTTTGTAACATGGTGGGGCAACAGAATAAGGAAACAGTAAAGGGGAACGGGATTAAAGACAGTTGAGCTGATTTCCAGAGATGGTAGTGGCCCAAGAAACAAGATGTCTTTGCTTATTCATTGAATGTTTGCTATGTGTCAAGCACTGTGTATGTATCATTTTATCTAATCCTTACTCTTTCCTTGTAAGACATGTATTATTGTCTCTATTTTAAAAATGAGGAAACACGCCAGGTGCCGTGGCTTGCGTCTATAATCCCAACACTTTGGGAGGCTGAGGCGGGTGGATCACCTGAGGTCAGGAGTTCAAGACCAGCCTGGCCAACATGGTGAAACCTCGTCTCTACTAAAAATACAAAAATTAGCCCGGCCTAGTGGCGGGCGCCTGTAATCCCAGCTACTTGGGAGGCTGAGGTCGGAGAATCACTTGAACCCAGGAGGCGGAGGTTAAAGTGAGCCTAGATTGTGCCATTGCACTCCAGCCTGGGTGACAAGAGCAAAACTCTGTCTCAAAAAAAAAAAAAAAAAAAAAAGAGGAAACAGATTTGGATAGGCTGAATAATTAATGAAGGTCAGGCAGGAGATAACTAAAAGAACCAGATTTGCGCACCAGTCTGCTCTTATATGTCATAGCATAATGCCTCCACTAAGCTTCATACCACTTAAACACCTTCAGGGTCTATATTTGGCTCTCTGGGCTCACCATATTTTGGAGAAAACACTAGACTTAGAGTCAAGTCTTAATTCTGCCTTTGCCATTTAACTGCTCACAGCCTGTTTCCATGTTATGACTGAACAGTTGTTTGTTGTCAAATTAAGAGGATGCTCTGCAGCCAGAGGAGGCAAGAGTTACAAAAGAGTTGGAACTAGTTGGGAGAGCAGGAAGAGAGATGGAAGGACAGCTGAGTGCATCCGGAGAAATGCCAGAAGTGCTCCTTCTAGCACTTCTAGAAGGAGCAATGGGGAAAGGAAGAGAAATGAAACAAAATAGAAGGAAAAACGTGTAGGAGGTAAATGGGGAAGTCTGGCGAGGCATCCCAGAGGACTGACTTACCAGACTTGTAGTTTGATCTTCTTCCCCTCTATATCCACAGTGCGGATCTTGAAATCAATTCCTAGGGGTGGAAGGTATGCACTGAAGTTGAGACATGCATGCACACATGTAAAACTGTGTGATGGAAGGGACAGGAACGGAGCAGTGCTGGCACCAGAAATTCTGCAGGGGAGGCACTTGGGGAACAATCTTGTTGGAAATGCCAAGCTAGGAGAATTTTCCCAAAGCTGTATTTGTATAGCAAGAATACTATTTTTACGTACATTTTATGGATTTTGGGAGGGAAAAGGTGACGAAAATTCTGCATGGAGGCTTAAAATCCTTAGGCTGCCTCTTGGGTCCATTCAGTTATACCAGCTGACAACTCTCTGAATTCAGTCTCTGTCTCCCCCCAGATATTACTTTCACATTCCTCTTCTCTGTTTTCTTAGAGCCCTCTACTCTTGGTATCCCACCTACCCTCCTAGTAGAGAGTAAGGAAAAAAGTAGCTGAAGCCAGTCTATGTGAATTAACTAGTGGGCCAAACTTGGCACTAGGAAAGTCTGAGGCTAAACAGGATTACTTTTGAGACAATTAGGAAAGAGGGGCATTTTTCCTTTTCCTTTGTAACCAGAATTGTCGTGAGACTCTTCCTGTCTATTTCCCAAGCCAGAGGAGATGAAGAAAGAAGAGAAGGGAGGAGGGGAGACAATGTTCTTCTTAGTAGAAACTTGGGCACCTCCCCCAAGCCTGCTGGGGGCCCCTGGGAGGAGGATGAGTCACCAGGCTGACTCAGAGACCCCAAAAGTCCCCTCATTTCCACGTTCCTCACCAAGCTGGCTGCATATTCATGATCACAGTCCTTGGGCCACCCTCCAGCACACCCAGCCACCTTGTTCCACCCTTCCCAAACCCTTGTTCAGCTGAGGTGCAGGGAGACTGGGGCAGGGAACCTGGGAAGTAGATGGTGAGGTGGGGACACAGTGGGAGAGTTTGAAGCTCAGCAAGACAGAAAGAGGCTAGCATCGGATCGGGAGAAAAAGATGTGGCGGACAGGGATACAGGAAACATGGAGATAGGATCGAGAGAGTTCTAGGTGGTGGGGGTAGGGGAAGAGGGGAACAGAGAAAAATAGAGAAGAGTTCTTGTGGATTTGGGGAGACTAAGGCGATGGTACCAAGAAAATGAGGAGCTGGCAGCAGTTGAAGAGTTACCTGAAGGCCTCAGAGAGGTGAGAGGTTTGGTTACTATACAGAGACATGCACGGGGGAAGGGTCAGAGCCAGGGGTTGAGGGACTAGAATTTAGGAGCCTTACTCTAAGGGGACTGAAAAGTGGGGTCACTAGTAATCCGGGAGCCGGAGAAGGAGGTCACAGGAGAGTCGGGGTCTGGGACATGGCCAGCGGGCTCACCGATGGTGGAGATGTAAGTGTTGTTGAAGTTGTCCTCTGCAAAGCGAATGATCAGACAAGTCTTGCCCACCCCCGAGTCCCCGATCAGCAGCAACTTGAAGAGGTGGTCGTAGGCTTTGGCCATGGCGGACACCGGGGGAGCCGGGGGAGGGGTGGGGAGCGCCCGGCACTGGTAGGCGGGACTGGACGGTTGGCAAACAGAGCGGCACGGAGCCCAGGCCAGGAAGAAGTTTTCCTCCCTCTCCGCCCAGGCTCCGGGAAAGAGGAGAGGCGGCACCCCTCCGGGCTCCACCCCCTGCCCGCCCACCCTTTTGAGCAGGCCAAGGCTGCCAGCCCGGCCTCTGTTCTCTCGGTTTTCCCTTCCTAGCTTAGGCCGGCCTGTCTCTCTCGCTATTTTCCACAGCCTTTCGGTAATTGTAGCTCCCCTCTTAGGACCTTACTCTTCCATTCTGAGGCCAGAGAGGCTGGGGTGAAGGGAAGTAGAGGTTTAACCACGACGACCAGAAATTTTAGAAGAGAAATTTTAGAGGGATTAGGGGAAGAGAACCAAGAGTTTTGGGAATAAGGGTGAAGGTAGGGAGAGCACTAGAAATTGAAAAAAAAAAATGGGGCTGAGTTTTGGAGATGCTATTCAACGAAGCTAGAAGATGAGTTATCATCGGTTTCTGGGGCTGAGTAAAAGGCAGTCCTAGAATTTTACTGTTAGTTGTCCAAGCCCTTAGTTCTATGGGTCCCAATTCACTTTGAAAAAAGCGGGATGCGCAGAAGTAGGTTATTTGTTGAGTCAGTCTGCCCCCTGGTGGAACAGGGTGAAAACGTAAATTAGTTATACAGAATCGGCCCCACCACCCCAACACACACAGCCTACCTAGACACATCCTGGGGCTTCAGTTGGAACGATCTCTCTTATGGGGACCCATGTGTGATTTCTCTGACCAAATAGCTTAGGAAAACAGAGATTTGAACTAAAAATGTCATTCTTTACGTGAATCTTTTAATATGGCCCACTTAAGGTGCAGTACTCCTGAAATCTCACTCAATAGGCCATGAATGTGTAGCCTTGGTAACCAGGAAGCTGAAATATGAACAGCACGGGTATAAAGAAACAAGTTTGCCGGGCGCGGTGGCTCACGCCTGTAATCCCAGCACTTTGGGAGGCCGAGGCGGGCGGATCACGAGGTCAGGAGATCGAGACCATCCTGGCTAACATGGTGAAACCCCATCTCTACTAAAAATACACACACACACACAAAATTAGCCGGGCGTGGTGGCAGGCGACTGTAGTCCTAGCCACTTGGGAGGCTGAGGCAGGAGAATGGCGTGAACCCGGGAGGCAGAGCTTGCAGTGAGCCGAGATTGCGCCACTGCACTCCAGCTTGGGCGACAGAGCCAGACTCCGTCTCAAAAAAAAAAAAAAAAGAAAGAAAGAAAGAGAGTAAAAGAGAAACAAGTTTATCTCTGCCTTTAGAAAAAAATTATTCTTGCTATATGTGTGCTGGGGGTGGAAAAAAATACGAAACACGAAAGAAAGAAAATATTATCTAAGACCTGTTGCGGTGGCTCACACTTGTAATCCCAGCACTTTGGGAGGCCAACGTGAGAGGATCCCTTAAGCCCAGGAGTTCAAGACCAGCTTGGGCAACATAGTGAGACTGCTTCGACAAAAAAAAAAAAAAAAAAAAAAAAAAATTAGCCATACATGGTGGTGTGGCCTGTAGTCCCAGCCGCAGCTACTTGGGGGACAGAAGTGGGCAGAACACTTGAGCCCAAGAGTCCAAGGCTGTAGTGAGCCACGATTATGATGCCACTGCTCTCCAGCCTCGGTGATAGAGTAAGATCCTGTTTCAAAAAAATTTTTTATTTATTTTTTAATTAATTAATTAATTTTTTTGAGACAGAGTCTTGCTCTGTCGCCAGGCTGGAGTGCAGTGGCGCAATCTCGGCTCACTGCAACCTCCGCCTCCCGAATTCAAGCGATTCTTGTGCCTCAGCCTCTGGAGTACCTGTAATCCTCTGGGATTACAGGTGCCCGACACCACGCCCAGCTAATTTTTGTATTTTTAGTAGAGATGGGGTTTCACCATGTTGGCCAGATGGTCTCGATCTCTTGACCTTCTGATCCGCCCGCCTCGGCCTCCCAAAGTGCTGGGATTACAGTCGTGAGCCACCACGCCTGGCCCTATTTTTTTTTTTTTTTTGAGACGGAGTCTTGCTCTGTCGACCTAGGCTGGGGTGCAGTGGCGCGATCTCGGTTCACTGCAAGCTCCGCCTCCTGGGTTCACGCCATTCTCCCGCCTCAGCCTCCTGAGTAGCTGGGACTACAGGCGCCCGCCACCACCCGGCTAATTTTTTGTATTTTAGGGAGAGACGGGGTTTCACCGTGTTAGCCAGGATGGTTTTGATCTCCTGACCTCGTGATCTGCCCGCCTTGGCCTCCCAAAGTGCTGGGTTTACAGGCGTAAGCCACCGCGCCCGGCCTATTTTTATTTTTATTTTTTTAATTTTTATTGTTTATTTTGAGGTGGAGTTTCGCTCTTGTTGCGTAGGCTGGGGTGCAATGGTGTGATCTGGGCTAACCGCAGCTTCCGCCTCCCTGGTTCAAGCGATTCTCCTGCCTCAGCCTCGCGAGTAGCTGAAATTACAGACACCCGCACTACCCCCTGCTAATTTTGTATTTTTAGTAGAGACGAGCTTTCTCCATGTTGGTCAGGCTGCTCTCGAACTCCCGACCTCAGGTGATCCACCCACCTCTGCCTCCCAAAGGCCTGGGATTACAGGCGTGAGCCACTGCGCCCAACCTTTGTTTTTACTTTTATTTTATTTTTTGAGACAAAGTTTTGCTCGTCACCCAGGCAGAAGTGCAATGGCTCAATCTCTGGTCACTGCAACCTCCGCCTCTTGGGTTCAAGCGATTCTCCAGCCTCAGCTTCCCGAGTAGCTGGGATTACAGGCGCCTGCCACGACGCCCAGCTAAATTTTTTTTTTTTTTTTTTTTTTTTAGTCGAGACGGGGTTTCACCATGTTGGCCACGCTGGTCTCGAACTCCCGACGTCACGTGATCCGCCCGCCTCAGCCTCCCAAAGTGCTGGGATTACAGGCCTGAGCCACCGCGACCGGCAAAGAAAAAATTATTATTATTATTATTATTATTATTTGAGACGGAGTCTCGCTCTGTCGCCCAGGCTGCAGTGCAGCGGCGCGATCTCCGCTCACTGCAAGCTCCGCCTCCCGGGTTCACGCCATTCTCCTGTCTCAGCCTCCCGAGTAGCTGGGACTACAGGCGCCCGCCACCGCGCCCGGCTAATTTTTTGTATTTTTAGTAGAGGCGGGGTTTCACCGTGCTAGCCAGGATGGTCTCGATCTCCTAACCTCGTGATCCACCCGCCTCGGCCTCCCAAAGTGCTGGGATTACAGGCGTGAGCCACGGCGCCCGGGCAAGAAAAAATTATTCAAGGGAGTCTCTCTCGAGCCTATTCTGGCTGCCTATAAAAAATTAAAGGCCGGACGCGGTGTCTCACGCCTGTATTCTCAGCACTTTGGGAGACCGAGGCAGGTGGATCACGTGAGGTCGGGAGTTCAATACCAGCTTGGCCAACATGGTGAAACCCCGTCTCTACTAAAAATACAAAATTAGCCGGGCATGGTGCCGCATGCCTGTAATCCCAGCTACTCGGGAGGCTGAGGCAGGAGAATCGCTTGAACGCGGGAGGCGGAGGTTGTGGTGAGCCGAGATGGCGCCATCACACTACAGCCTGGGCAACAAGAGCAAAACTGTGTCTAAAAAAAAAATAAAAATAAAAATAAAAAAAAAGAAGGCATCTTTCACTTATCCCCATCACCTTCCGTGTCCATGCTTGTCCCTTCTCAAGCTAAACTATTCAATCTCTTTTTGTCCATTCTCTCACCTCTCATTATCTCCTTGAGTCTTCCCTATTTCTTTTCACTGACCAAACCATGTCTCCCCTGTTTATTTATTTATTTAAGACAGAGTCTTGTTCTGTCACCCAGGCTGGAGTGGATCTCGGCTCACTGTACTTCCGCCTCCCAGGTTCATGCGATTCTCCTGCCTCAGCCTCCAGAGTAGCTGGGATTACAGGCACACGCCACCACGCCTGGCTAATTTTCGTATTTTTAGTAGAGACGGGGTTTCACTATGTTGGCCAGGCTGGTCTTGAACTGCTGACCTCAGGTGATCCACCCGCCTTGGCCTCCCTAAGTGCTGGGATTACAGGCATGAGCCACTGCGCCCGGCCTAAACTGTTAAATTAAACCAATAGAAAAAGAGTTAAGAATATAGGTATTTAAAAAATAGGACGGAAGTCCTGGATATGGCTCCTTCTCCCTGGTGTTTTCCTCAACCTTTCCTATTTATTAGGCTCCAACTGTCAAGGTATGGCACAAAATTTTAAAAGTGTCCATTTATCCCTGGATAGTGATCAAACGCTGACCTCAAATTAGCAAGGTAACCCTCTCAACATGGTGACGCATATGTGTCACAACTAACAGTTAAAGACCTTCCGAAAATGGCAGCTCCCTTGTCTCCCCACTGCGGCGGATCAAAGTAAGACGTTCCAAACATGGTGGCACAAGATCCTTGCGTCATTTCCTGTAGTGTGCTCTATATAAGGGGCAGGATTTCCGCTTTCGCTCCTTTCCGGCGGTGACGACCTACGCACACGAGAACATGCCTGTGAGTGCTTTGGTCCAGGTTTCGGCGGAGATCTCGCTGTTCTGTCCGAACTCTCCCCTCACGCTGATTTCGGATCGTAGAGGGTCCTCATTTACCCTCTGCACTTCTTAGGACATTAACTCCAGGGACCGCAGCGGCCCACGGGCCACCCGCATAGACGGGAGCGGAGAGGAGATAAGATGGCGGCCCAGCTGCGCAGACACCAGGGGCGGCGAGGGGCGAGCTCTCCCCGGTGTGTGACAGTGGGGGCTATTTTCGACCATCCCATTTTCGCTGTTGGTTTCTAAATCTCTGCATTTCTGTCCCTCTTAGCTCGCAAAGGATCTCCTTCATCCCTCTCCAGAAGAGGAGAAGAGGAAACACAAGAAGAAACGCCTGGTGCAGAGCCCCAATTCCTACTTCATGGATGTGAAATGCCCAGGTGAGGAGACGGCTTGCTGTAGTGGGGAAAGCACTGGACCTCAACAGTTGGAAAATGTTGTAGTGTTAGCTGTCTCGTATCCTTGAAGCTGTGCAGCAGCTTCAGTTTCTTCGCCTGTGGAAAATATTTTCCCTGATACTCTTAAAATTTGAATGTATGAGACTGGCAAAGTTTTGCATCTTAGGAGGAGTGATTCATTTCACCGTGATCTCTCATCACATTTCACATACAACCCCTACGTTTTTTTGTGTTGGGAAACAATGTAATGGATGATGAGTTGGGCATAAGTGCAGGAAAGACGGGTGTAATAGAGGAAAAAAATGTTATCTGCTTTTCTTTCAGGATGCTATAAAATCACCACGGTCTTTAGCCATGCACAAACGGTAGTTTTGTGTGTTGGCTGCTCCACTGTCCTCTGCCAGCCTACAGGAGGAAAAGCAAGGCTTACAGAAGGTAAATGGTTTACTAATGTGATTTGGGGCTTTGAGTTTGATTTTTAGAAATGGAAACATTTCTTAGGATTTTTCGGTCTTAACAGTGACAGGGATCATCTATAATGTAAATTTTTAGACAAGAAGTGTTGGATTTGGTTGTTTTAACTAGATACTACCAAAAGCTATGTATTAATCTCAAAGCACTACTGTCTAAAGCGGGGATAAATGGGTGATAAAAGGGCTTAAGTTGATAGGAAGTAACCAGTGATACAAATGCGCAGGTAGCTAAGAGTTGAGAAAAAAGATGTAGCTTTCTGTGGGTGGATCATCATGCATCTGCTTTTTTGGGAGAGGTGGGCAGAATACCTGTACTGATGACAGCTAATCTCTGAATCTTTTTCCTCCAGGATGTTCCTTCAGGAGGAAGCAGCACTAAAAGCACTCTGAGTCAAGATGAGTGGGAAACCATCTCAATAAACACATTTTGGATAAATCCTGTTTATTGTCTTGTTTAAGTGTTAGGAAGTTCCTGTCTCAAGTATTCTGGGGCAACCAGGAAGAGGAGAATATTAGAGTCATTTGGGGCACGTAAGTGGCCAAGTACTTTAAAAGTCCCTTTGGGGGCATTTTTAACCACCTAGGCTCATTGGATAAATTTGTTTTTTTTTTAAACTGTGATACTATCTCAAGTGTTGTGTTTGGTGTTTTTTTTTTTTTTTATAAGAGAGATGGAATCTTGCTCTGTTGCCCAGGCTGGAGTGCAGTGGCACAATCTTGACTCATTGCAACCTCTGCCTCCCAGGTTCAAGTGATTCTCCTGCCTCAGCCTCCTGAGTAGCTAGGATTACAGGTGTGTACCACCATGCCTGGCTAATTTTTGTATTTTTAGTAGAGACGGGGTTTCACCATGTTGGTCAGGCTGGTCTCAAACTCCTAACCTGGTGATCCGCCTGCCTAAGTGCTGGGATTACAGGCGTGAGCCACCGCGCCCGGCCGACAGTTAACTCTTTACAATACAGTCTGACATACCAGTTTTAAGAAACAGCTTAGGATGCTTTATTTATAGTTCTCAGAAGCCTTATCTGGAAACTTAATGTAGAAGTTGCTGTTAGGCTTCTTGTCGAGGACTAGAAATCTTCATTCCCCTGCAGTTAAGAGAAACTTGTCCAAGCAGAGGTTAGTGCCTTATACTCCATAACCAATGTTGCAGCCGACTTTGGGCCAATGGAGGTTGTAGACTCATGAAGTGAGGGGGAGAACTTGTGGAGTTAAAAAAACCTAGAAGAAGAGGGAAAAGTTGAGTGAATTAAACGTGTGTATCTGAGCTTTTCAAAGATGAGGACAGAGGCTTTTTTACCTGGCTGTGGTGTTCCTAGAGTTGGTACATACACAACTGGAACTGTTTGTATCTTGTTTAGGAAGGCATTGTATGCTGGAAAAAGGACAGGAAATGTCACAAGGCATATCTGAGGAAGGCCTTAAAAGGCAAAGTCAACTCTAGAATGAGAATATTGCTAAAAATAATTCTTAAAAATAAGTAATAGTAATGGCACTATTACAGGAAGTTTTTATCCCAATTTAACCCATTTTAGAGTTACTTTCAGCTTTTGGCTGAAAGGGGGAAAATGGCCGGGCACGGTGGCTCACGCCTGTAATCGCAGCATTTTGGGAGGCTGAGGTGGGCGGATCACGAGGTCAGGAGATTGAGACCATCCTGGCTAACACAGTGAAACCCCGTCTCTACTAAAAATATAAAAAATTAGCTGGGCGTGTTGGCGGGTGCCTGTAGTCCCAGCTACTCAGGAGGCTGAGGCAGGAGAATGGTGTGAACCTGGGAGGCGGAGCTTGTAGTGAGCTGAGATCGTGCCACTGCACTCCAGCCTGGGCGATAGAGCCAGACTCTGTCTCAGAAAAAAAAAAAAAAGTGGGGAAATGGAGTAGACAATAGTGTTGTGTTAATTTTTTTTTTTTTAGGCTGTGTGTGGTGGCTCACGCCTGTAATCCCAGCACTTTGGGAGGCCTAGGTGGGCAGACCACCTGAGGTCAGGCATTCAAGACCAGCCTGGCCAACATGCCACTAAAAATAAAAAATTAGACAGGTGTGGTGGCGGGTGTCTGTAATTCCAGCTACTCGAGAGGCTGAGGCAGGAGAATCGCTTGAAACTGGGCGATGGAGGTTGCAGTGAGCCAAGATTGCACCACTTCACACCAGCCTGGGTGACAATGGGACTCCATCTCAAAAAAATTTTTTTTTAGACACACAGTATCACTGGAGTACAGTGGCACAATCATGGCTTACTGCCACCTTGAATTCCCTGTCTCAAGAAATCCTGCCTCAGCTTCCCTAGTAGCTGGGACTAGATGTGTGCCACCACCACACCCAGCTAATTTTAAAGTTTTTTTGTAGAGATGGAGTCTCTCTGTGTTGCCCAGGCTGGTCTTAAATTCCTAGACTCAAGCCATCCTCCCACTTTGGCCTCCCAAAGTGCTAGGATTACAGGTGTGAGCCATTGCACCCAGTCTGTTTTGTTACTTGAATTATCCCTAACTATGAATTTCAGCAAAAGTAGCTGTTATACCTCAAGATTTAGTAGTGGTTTCCACTTCTGAGTGGTGTGTGTTTGCCAAATCCAGTTTGTTGCTTCTTGGTAGTAAGTTGAGGACCTTTTTTTTTTGAAACGGAGTCTTGCTCTGTCACCCAGGCTGAAGTGCAGTGGCACGATCTTGGCTCACTGCAACCTGTGTCTCCCAGGTTCAAGCACTTCTGCCTCAGCCTCCCGAGTAGCTGGGATTACAGGCATGTGCCACCACACTGACTAATTTTTGTTATTTTTAGTAGAGATGGAGTTTCACCATGTTGGCCAGGCTGGTCTCGAACTCCTGAACTTAGGTGACCCACCCGCCTTGGCCTCCCAAAGTGCTGGGATTACAGGCATAAGCCACCATGCCCGGCTGAGGGGGACCTTTAATCCACCACGTTACTAGGACTAGCAAGGCTTAGTTTACACTGTTTGTTAAAATTATATGTGATAAGTGGCTAATTTTCATCCTTATTTGTGAAATAAGGCAGTTTCATCTGGGCGCGGTGGCTCACGCCTGTAATCCCAGCACTTTGGGAGGCCGAGGCGGGTGGATCACGAGGTCAGGAGTTCAAGACCAGCCTGGCCAAGATGGTGAAACCCCGTCTCTACTAAAAATACAAAAATTAGTCGGGAGCAGTGGCCGGCGCCTGTAATCCCAGCTACTCGGGAGGCTGAGGCAGGAGAATTGCTTGAACTCGGGCGGCAGAGGTTGCTGTAAGCCAAGATTGCGCCACTGCACTCCAGCGTGGGCGACAGACTTAAACTCCATCTCAAAAAAAAAAAAAAAAAGGCAGTTTTCATGTCAAAGTCTATGTTATTGAATATAAGGACTCTACCTAGGAAGATGGAAGCTGTTGATGCCAGCACTGCAAAGAGGGTCAAGAGCAGGATCTGGTAAGAGCCAGTGAACCGCTTGAGGATGGCGGAATCTTCACAGTGATCTATACATTGGCCATAACAAAACAAGATAATAGTTAATAGCAACCATGGGCAGATGCTGCATTTTTTAAATTTAATTTTTTTTGAGACAGAGTTTTACTCTCACTCTGTCCCCCAGGCTGGAGGGCAGTGGTGCGATCTCAGCTCACTGCAACCTCCAGCAGATGCTGCATTTTAAAACTTATGACTAAAAATAGTAATAAGAGTATCTGCCAGAAGTATTCAAAACCCAGCCTTCTTAGTAAGAGAGAAGAGAGCTTCAGATGTGAACTATACTTGGCTCAACCGCGTCTTTTTGACTTCTTCCTATCTCCAGAGTAATACAACTCTCTAATTCTTGAGCTTGTTATTTCTTCCTCTTAGATTTCAAAGGATGCTTTAAATCCTCTGCTACTTTAAAATGCTGGTTACCACTTCTTCCTCTTCCAGGGACGTTGTCTGCAGGCACTCAGAATGGTCCAGCGTTTGACATACCAACGTAGGCTTTCCTACAATACAGCCTCTAACAAAACTAGGCTGTCCCAAACCCTTGGTAATAGAATTGTTTACCTTTATACCAAGATGGATGGGAAAGCACCAAAATCTGCATGTGGCATGTGCCCAGGCAGACTTCAAGGGATTCGTGCCGTAAAACCTGAAGTTCTTACGAGATTGTCCAAAACAACATGTCGGGTTCCATGTGTGCTAAATGTGTTCGTGACTGGATCAAGTGTGCTCTCCTTATCGAGGAGCAGAAAATTGTTGTGAAAGTGTCGAAGGCACAAGCACAGTCAGCTAAATAAAAAATGAAACTTTTGAGTAATAAAAATGAGGAGACTTAAAAAAAAAATGCGGCCTGGCGTGGTGGCTCACACCTGTAATCCCAGCATTTTGGGAGGCCAAGGCGGGTGGATCACAAGGTCAGGAGATCAAGACCATCCTGGCTAACATGGTGAAACCCCGTCTCTACTAAAAATAGAAAAAATTAGCTGGGTGTGGTGGCATGCACCTGTAGTCCCAGCTACTTGGGAGGCTGAGGCAGAAGAATGGCGTGAACCCGGGAGGCGGAGCTAGCAGTGAACCGAGATCTCTCCACTGCACTCCAGCCTGGGTGACAGAGCCAGACTCTATTTCAAACAAAACAAAACAAACAAAAACATGCTGTTTACCTTTCCCGTGCACTTTAACCCCAGGTAACATGCTTCCCTTCACTAAACTTGTGATAGTATGCTGATTCCATTTATAATTGTAATCTCTATCTTGAAACATTTTCTTTTCATTTTTTTGAGAGGGAGTCTCTGTTGCCCAGGCTGGAGTGCAGTGGCACCATCTCAACTCCCTGCAACCTCCGCCTCCTGGGTTCAAGCAATTCTTTTGTCTCAGCCTCCCTAGTAGCTGGCATTACAGGTGCCCACCACCATGCCTGGCTAATTTTCGTATTTTTAGTAGGGATGAGTGTCACCATTTTGGCCAGGCTGGCCTCAAACTCCTGACCTCAGGTGATCCACCCGCCTTGGCCTCCCAAAGTGCTGGAATTACAGGCATGAGCCGCTGCACCCAGCCAAAACTTTTTTTTAAGATCATCAGTGACCACTTAAATCCACAGTACCTTTGTCCTACTCAGGATGTCATTTTTTGGGAGCACTCTGATTTGTATCTAACCTTATCCTCAATAAAACTGTAGACTTGCCTTTTTTTTTTTTTTTTTTTTTGAGACAAGGTCTCAGGCTGGAGTGCAGTGGTGCAGTCATGGCTTACTGCAGCCTCCTAAGTAACTAGGACTACAGGTGCACACCATCATGTCCGACTTTTTTTTTGTTTTTGAGATGGAGTTTCACTCTTGTTGCCCAGGCTGCAGTGCAATGGCATGATCTCGGCTCACCGCAACCTCTGCCTCCCAGATTCAAGCAATTCTGCTGCCTCAGCATCCTGCGTAACTGGGATTACAGGGGCCCGCCACCACGCCCAGATAATTTTTGTATTTTTAGTAGAGATGGGTTTTCACCATGTTGGCCAGGATGGTCTCGAACTCCTCACCTCAGGTGATCCAACCACTTCGGCCTCCCAAAGTGGTGGGATTACAGGCATGAGCCATCGCGCTGGCCTTTTTTTTTTTTTTAACACCTGAATAATTTAAATGTTTTTCTTTAACTTTTAATTTTTGTTAGAGATGAGGTCTCTCTATGTTGCGCAGGCTTGCCTTGAGCACCTGACCTCAGGTGATCTGCCCACCTCAGCTTCCCAAAGTGTTGGGATTACAAGCGTGAGCTACCGCACCTGGCCTTTTGGCTGTTTTTCTTTTCTTTTCTGTTTTTTTTTTTTTTTTTCCTGAAACAGCCTTTCTTTCTCACTCAGGCTGCAGTGCAGTGGTGAGATCTCAGCTCACTCCATCTCTGCCTCCCAGGCTCAAGCGATCCTCCCACTTCAGCTTTCAGAGTAGCTAGGACTGCAGGCCATCACACCTGGCTAATTATTTTGTATTTTTTGTAGAGATGGGGTTTTGCCATGTTGCCCAGGCTGGTGATTACTGTATTTGTTTTTTTTTTTTTTTTTGAGACAGAGTCTTGCTCTGTCCTAGGCTGGAGTGCAGTGGTGCGATCTCGACTCACTGCAACCTCCGCCTCCCCATTCAAGCTATTCTCCTGCCTCAGCCTCCCGAGTAGCTGGGATTACAGGTGCATGACACTACACCTGGCTATTTTTATTTATTTTTATTTATTTTTTTTATTTTTAGTAGAGACGGGGTTTCACCATGTTGGCCAGGCTGGTCTCAAACTCCTGACCTTGTGATCCACCCGGCTCGGCCATCCAAAGTGCTGGGATTACAGGCTTGAGCCACTGCACCTGGCCAATTACTGTAATTTTTAAGAGAAATATTTTTTAAATCTGGCAGTAGGAACATGAATATATCTGTGGATTCTTTTTTTTCTCTATACATTCTGAGAAACTTCTCTAGTAATGAACTATAGAAATGATCCCTGAAAGTATAGTCAATGAATTCTGTTGGTGACAAAAGCACACAATACTGCTGATATTATGGTGGTTTGCTGCCTATATTAATAATCAGTGAAAGTGCTAACTTTAAGTTAGTGGTCAATTGAAAATAAAGATGCACGGCCAGGCGCAGTAACTTACGCCTGTAATCCCATCATTTTGGGAGGCCAAGGTGGGTGGATCATTTGAGATCAGGAGTTCGAGACCAGCCTGGCCAACATGGTGAAACCTTGCCTCTACTAAAAATACAAAAATTAGCCAGGCGTGGTGGCGGGCACCTGCAATCCTAGCTACTTGGGAGGCTGAGGGAGGAGAATTGCTTGAACCTGGGAGTGGAGGTTGCAGTGAGCTGAGATGGTGCCACTGCACTCCAGACTGGGCGACAGAGCGAGGTTCTGTCTCAAAAAAAAAAAAAAAAAAGGAAAGAAAAAGATGCAATTTTTCTCCACTTGGGTAATGGACACCTTGAATTCTATCTATGGACCTTTGTGGGGATCCGTGGTCTCTAGATTTAAAAACTCTGTTCCAATACATTCTGTGATAGTATCTAGAGATCCTTTTTTTTTTTTTTTTTTTTTTAATTCCTGAGACAGGGTCTCGTTTTGTCACCCAGGCTGGAGTGCAGTGGTGTGATCATGCCTCACTGCAACTTCAACCTCCTGGGCTTAGGCAGTCCTCCCACCTCAACCTCCTGCCTGGACTTCAGGTGCATGCCACCATGCCTGGCTAATTCTTTTGATTTTTAGTAGAGATAAGGTCTTGCTGTGTTGCTTAGCCTGGTCTTGAACTCCTGAGCTCAAGTGATCCTCCATCTTAGCCTCCCAAAGTGCTAGGATTACAGGTGTGAGCCACTGCACCAGCATCTCAGTTTCCTCAGCTCTTGGGGAAAAATACCTACCTCCTAGAGTTATGAGAATTAAACCAAAAGCATATAAATGTGCTTAGGATAATGATCAATACAAACCAGATGCTCACGTAAACATCAGCAAAAACCTATTTCCCATTAGGAGATACACTATAATTTAGCTTAGATAGTTCCCAGTAATTAAGTAGCTTCCCTTGAGGGGTGGGGAAGTGGGCGTGACAAATACAATATAAGGAGACTGATGGTTCTCTAGCTTTTCTAACACCTTTTCGTAACTATTCCCATCCTATCCAATGTGGCATTATTTCTAAACTAGGTAATGCCTGGAATCAGGATTTGGGAAAGCTAAGTCTTGGTTCTAGGGTTAACATTGGCCCATTGCCTGATGCAAAAAGATTTAAATACTTTTGAAGACAACAAAACATTTATCAATAAGATTGGCCGGGTGCGGTGGCTCATGCCTGTAATCCCAGCACTTTGGGAGGCCAAGGCGGGTGGATCACCTGAGGTCAGGAGTTCCAGACCAGCCTGGCCAACATGGTGAAACCCCATTTCTACAAAAATACAAAAATTAGCAGGGCATGGTGGTGTGTGCCTGTAATCCCAGCTACTCAGGAGTCTGAGGCGGGAGAATCGCTTGAACTTGGGAGGTGGAGGTTGCAGTGAGCCGAGATCACGACATTGCACTCCAGCCTGGGTGACAGAGCAAGACTCTCTCAAAAAAAAAAAAAAAAAAAAAAAGGTTTAAAATAGGGCAAATAGTATACTTACAAAGCTGGCAAACTCGTGTTAAACTGACAACTATTCTTTTTCCTTTTTTTTTTTTTGAGACAGGGTCTTGCTCTGTCACCAGGCTGGAGTGCAGTGGCACAATCACAGTTCACTGCAGCCTTGAACTCCTGGTCTCAAGCAATCCTCCTGCCTCAGCCTCCCGAGTAGCTGGGACCACAGGTCCATGCCACCATGCCCAGGTAATTTTTTTTTTGTACTTTTTTGTTGATACAGAGTTTTGCCTTGTTCCCCAGGCTGGTCTTGAACTCCTGAGCTCAAGGGATCTGCCCACCTCGGCCTCCCAAAGTGCTGGAATTACAAGGCATGGGCCATCATGCCTGGCTGACAACTATTCTTAAATATATAAGTTAAATATAAAATTTAGGTAGTGTTAAGAAAGCTACCTAAAGGTTGTATTTTGGGTAGGTTTGGAAGATTCATGCCTCAACTAGTTTGAGTAATCTTGGTCAAGTGGCTGAATGTTTCCCATTAACTAAACTGTGATAACATCTGTCCCCCCATATCTGTGGGGAATATGTTCCAAGACCCTCAGTGGATGCCACAGATAATATTGAACCCTCTACGTACTATGTTTTCCTTACTGAGTTGAGAACTTCCACTTTTTCACTTAAAGGAAGCACTTTCCAGCTTCTTTTTGGCATACCCGAATTGCAGGCATCACCACTCTTGTGCTTTGGAGCCATTATTAAGTAAAATAAGGGTTACTTGAAACAAGCACTGCACTGTGATACCTTGATACCAGTTGATTTGATAGCAGAGACTGCTACTAAGTGACTAAAGGGCTGATAGTGTATACGGTGTGAACATGCTGGACAAAGAGATGATTCATGGTTGGGGACCAGAGCAGGACAGTGTGAGATTTCCTCATGCTATTTGGAACAGTGCACAATTTAAACTGTTTATTTCAGGAGTTTTTCATTTATTTTTGGACCGTGGTTGACAGTTAAGTGAAATGCGGAAAGCAAAACTGCAGATGGGGGGTACTAATGTAATACATTCTTTCTTCTTTTCCTCTCTAGATTATAAATAGGAATCTCTGATGCTTACCTGCACCCAACTTATCTTTCATAGCCCTCACTACCACTGCCTCACTTTGACTGGTGAGTACACAGGAAATATTGATGAAAACAGGTGATGCCATTTGCTGGAAGGAAGTGAAGTTGACCACTCTTACAGAGTAAATGGCCAGGCCAGGAGTGAGGGGAGAGTGGCTATGGCCAGCGACCACTAGAACTGGGGAGCTGGAGATGACCTTGGAGAAAAGATAAAACCTTTTATTTAAAAGAAGAAAAATCAACTTTGTATCAGTATGTTCCAATCTGAAACATATACAGTACAATAATTGTCAAGATCTGGATTTCTAGCTAGCTAGCCGACAATCAAATCATTTACTTTTTTGTTGTTGTTGAGAGGGAGTCTCGCTCTGTCACCCAGGCTGGAGTGCAGTGGCGCGATCTCAGCTCCCTGCAACCTCTGCCTCCCGGGTTCAAGCAATTTTCCTGCCTCAGCCTCCCGAGTAGCTGGGACTACAGGTGTCCGCCACCACGTCCAGCTAATTTTTGTACTTTTAGTAGAGAAGAGGTTTCACCATGTTGGCCAGGATGGTCTTGATCTGTTGACCTTGTGATCCACCCACTTTGGCCTCCCAAAGTGCTGGGATTACAGGCATGAGCCACCGCGCTCGGCCAATCATTTACTTTTTTTACTCCTTTAGGTATGTTGACAAAGCTTATGACCTAGATTTTGGACTCTGGGAGCCTGCCTGGCATTATGAAGGAGATGGGTTTTCTTCATTTGATTTTGTCATTTCCTATGGTAATTTTTATTAGGTCACTCAGTAACTTCTTTTGCCCTTGAAGTGAGAATGAAAACTATCTTTTCAAATTCCTGATCTCTTGTTCTGTTTTGGTTCAGTTCTTAACATACCTCTAGCTTCCTAAGAACTCTGTCCACTCCCAGTACTCTTATCTCCCCGATATCTTGTTTGTGGCTAAGAACCAATTCTGACTGGTTAATATAAAAGGCTGGGATGAAAGGAATGAGGATTCGTTGCATTCCATTCTTGCTACGTTCACTGACCAGTGTAGCCCACCCATAGACTGAGGTGTCAGCCACACTGAGGGCCTGTAGCAGCTCCTCTGACTGCGGTCGAACCTTGATTATGCAGACATAAACCCCTGGAAAAAAAAGAGGAAAAACTGAGCAGGAAGGTTCAGAGGCTCTATTGAGCCAACTGAATTAGGATAGGAAGGGAAAATTGTGACATGCAAATTCAGCAAAAGAGAAAATGTGAATTTAGTTTTGAGTATTCAATATCAGCACAATATTGGCCACTACGAGGAGGATGCCAAATAAAAAGAAAAATACTCCTAGAGAAACCACAACTAAACTTGTTTTCTGAGAATACCATTCTTTCTTTTTTTTGGAGACAGGGTCTCACTGTGTCGTGCAGGCTAGAGCACAGTGGCGTGATCATGGCATTCTGCAGCCCGACCTCCCAGGCTCTGGCGATCCTCCCACCTCAGCCTCCCGAGTAGCTGGGATTACAGGCATGAGCCACTGTGCCTGGCTAATTTTTGTATTTTTTAGCTGAGGTGGGTGGATCACAAGGTCAAGAGTTCGAGACCAGCCTGGCCAACATGGTGAAACCCCCATCTCTACTAAAAATACGAGGATTAGCCGGGTGTGATGGTGGGTACCTGTAATCCCAGCTACTTGGGAGACTGAGGCAGGGAAATTGCTTGAGATGGACGTTGCAGTGAGCTGAGATCACACCACTGCATTCCAGCTTGGGGACAGAGCAAGACTCCGTCTCAAAAAAAAAAATTATATTTTTTATAGAGAAGGGACTTCATTATGTTGCCCAGGCTGGTCTCAAACTCCTGGGCTCAAGCGATCCTCCTGCCTTGGCCTCCCAAAGTGCTGGGTTTACAGGCGTGAGAAACTGCTCCCTGGCTAAGAATACCATTCTTATTCAACATGTCAGGGAATATTAAATGATATAACACAAGCAGGGCAATTAAGAGCTGGGGATATAGAATGAAGTAGTCAGTGCTGGTGAACTCAGGAAAGGGTTTGTGAAAGACAGACAAGCTTTGAGCATCATTAATAACTTATGTATCAGACCACCTCTTGGTGTCATTATTTTTATCAATGGTAGGAACTGTTTTTCCAGTTACCCATGATTAATCCTTAGCTGTCTTTTTTTTTTTTTTTTAAAGAGACAGAATTTCACACTGTTGCCCAGGCTGGAGTGCAGTGGTGCAATTCTACCTCACTGCAGCCTTAAACTCCTGGGCTCAAGTAATCCTCCCACCTCAGCCTCCCAGGCAGCTAGGACTCCAGGCATGTGCCACCATGCCTGGCTAATTTTTAATTTTTATTTATTGCTATTATTATTATTTTATATATATTTTTGAGACAGAGTCTCGCCCTGTTGCCCAGGCTAGAGTGCAGTGGCGCAATCTCAGCTCACTGCAAGCTCTGCCTCCCAGGTTCACGCCATTCTCCTGCCTCAGCCTCCCAAGTAGCTGGGACTACAGGCGCCTGCCACCACATCCGGCTAATTTTTGTATTTTTAGTAGAGACGAGGTTTTACCTTGTTAGCCAGGATGGTCTCGATCTCCTGACCTCGTGATCCTCCCACCTCAGCCTCCCAAAGTGCTGGGATTACAGGCGTGAGCCACCATGCCTGGACTATTTATTATTTTTGTAGAGACAGAGTCTTGCTCTTGCCCAGGCCGGACTGCAGTGGCACAATCACAACTCACTGAAACCTTGAATTCTTGGGCTCAAGCAATCTTCCTGCCTCAGAGCTAGGGCTACAGGTGCGCGCCACCATGCCTGGCTATTTTATTTTTTGAGAGACAAGGTCTTGCTATGTTGCCCAGGCTGGTTTCAAACTCCTGGGCTCAAGTGATCCTCCCACTTCAGCCTCCTAAAACATTGGGATTATAGGCATGAGCCACTGCACCTGGCCTTAGTTGTCTTTACATCCTTTCCTTCATCCCTATATCCAATCATTTCCAAATCTTGCTTACTCCTTCTCTGAAATGTCTCTGACATCTGCCCCTTCTTAGTATTTCTCTATTAGTCTGGTCTAGACCCTTATCAATGCATGCTTGGATTATTGCAATTGGATAATTATGGATAATTAGTCTGGGCTAGACCCTTACTAGTCTGGTCCAGACCCATTAGTCTGGTCTAGACCCTTATCAATTCATGCTTGCATTATTGCCCCTTCACAGGTATCCTTGCCTGTTTTTTGTTTTTTTTTTTGAGATGGAGTCTCACTCTGTTGCCCAGGCTGGAGTGCAGTGGCGCGATCTTGGCTCACTGCAAACTCCGCCTCCTGGGTTCACGCCATTCTTCTGCCTCAGCCTCCCGAGTAGCTGGGACTACAGGTGCCCACCACCACGCCCGGCTAATTTTTTTGTATTTTTAGTAGAGACGGGGTTTCACCATGTTAGCCAAGATGGTCTCGATCTCCTGACCTCGTGATCCACCTGCCTCAGCCTCTCAAAATGCCAGGATTACAGGCGTGAGCCACTGCGCCCGGCCTTCTTTTTTTTTCTTTTGAGACGAAGTCTCGTTCTGTCGCCCAGGCTGGAGTGCAGTGGTGCGATCTCAGCTCACTTCAAGCTCTGCCTCCCTGGTTCAAGTGATTCTCCTGCCTCAGCCTCCCACGTAGCTGGGATTACAGGTGCCCTACTAATTTTTGTATTTTTAGTAGAGGCAGAGTTTCACCATGTTGGCCAGGCTGGTCTTGAACTCCTGACCTCAAATGATCTGCCCACCTCAGCCTCCCAAAGTGCTGGGATTACCATGCCCTGCCGTTATTCCTCTTTTCTTTCTTTGAGACAGGTTCTCCATCTGTTGCCCAGGCTGTAGTGCAGTGGTGTGATCACGGCTCACTGCAGCCTTGAACTCTTGGGCTCAAGGGATTCCCCCACCTTGGCCTCCTGAGTAGCTGGGATTACAGGCATGAGCCACTGTGGCCAGGCTATTCCTCTTTTCTTTTTTTCTTTTCTTTTCTTTCTTTCTTTCTTTTTTTTTTTTTTTTTGAGATGGAATCTCACTCTATCGCCCAGGCTGGAGTGTAGTGGCATAATTTTGGCTCACTGCAACCTCCACCTCCTGGGTTCAAGCAGTTCTCCTGCCTCAGCCTCCTGAGTAGCTGGGATTACAGGTGTGTGCCACCACGCCCAGTTAGTTTTTGTATTTTTAGTAGAGACAGGGTTTCACCATGTTGGTCAGGCTGGTCTCAACTCCTGACCTTGTGATCCACCCTCCTCGGCCTCCCAAAGTGCTGGGATTACAGGCATGAGCCACCGTGCCCGGCCTCCTCTTTTCTTTTTCTTATCCATTCTACATACTGCCACTAAATCCTTAAAAACTGCCTTCATTATTTATTTATTTATTTATTTTTTTGAGATGGAGTCTTGTCTGTCGCCCAGGCAAAATGGAGTGCAGTGGTGTGATCTCAGCTCACTGCAACCTCCGTCTCCTGGGTTCAAGCAATTCTCCTGCCTCAGCCTCCCAAGTAGCTGGGACTACCCAAGTAGCGTGAGCCACCAGGCCTGGCTAATTTTTGTATTTTTCGTAGATTCGGGGTTTCACCACGTTGGCCAGGCTGGTCTTGAACTCCTGACCTCAGGTGATCCACCGCCTTGGCCTCCCAAAGTGCTTGGATTACAGGTGTGAGCCACCGCGCCCAGTGTTTGTTTGTTTGTTTGTTTGTTTTTTGAGATGGAGTTTTGCTCCTGTTGCCTAGGCTGGAGTGCAATGATGTGATTTCAGCTCACCACAACCTCTGCCTCCCGGGTTCAAGTGATTCTCCTGCCTCAGCCTCCCGAGTAGCTGGGATTACAGGTATGCAACACCACGTCTGGCTAATTTTGTATTTTTGTATTTTTTTTTCTTTTTTTTTTTTGAGACAGCGTTTTGCTCTTGTTGCCCAGGCTGGAGTGCAATGGCGTGATCTCAGCTCACTGCAATCTCCGCCTCCCGGGTTCAAGTGATTCTCCTGCCTGAGCCTCCTGAGTGGCTGGGATTACAGGCATGCGCCATCACACCTGGCTAATTTTGTATTTTTAGTAGAGACGGGTTTCTCCACATTGGTAAGGCTGGTCTCGAACTCCCGACCTCAGGTAATCTGCCCACCTCAGTCTCCCAAAGTGCTGGGATTACAGGCATGAGCCACCGCGCCCCGCCCTAATTTTGTATTTTTAGTAGAGATGGGGTTTCTCCATGTTGATCATGCTGGTCTTGAACTCCCAACCTCAGGTAATCCACCTGCCTCAGCCTCCCAAAGTGTTGGGATTACAGGCGTGAGCCACCGCACCTGGCCAAAAACTGCCTTCATTTTTATTTTATTCATTTATTTATTTAGACAGAGTCTTGCTCTGTCACCAAGGCTAGGGTGTAGTAGCATTATCATGGCTCACTGCAGCCTCAACCTCCTGGGCCCAAGTGATTTCATCTTATTTTTGGAAAAAAAAACAAACTAAACCAAAACTAAAACAAACTTCTCTAGGGCCCTATATTGCCTGGAATGTCCTGTTCTCTTCACATCTAGTTCACTCTTAGTCATACTTCTAAAGGTCATTCCCTCTGTAAAACCTTACTTAATTTGGCTCTAGGTTTCATATAGATACTCCTCCTTTCTTTCTGCTTTATTTTTATTTATTTATTTATTTCTCTGAGATGGAGTCTCACTCTTACCGCCCAGGCTGGAGTGAAGTGGCACGATCTCGGCTCACTGCAACCTCCGCCTCCTGGGTTCAAGCAATTCTCCTGCCTCAGCCTCCCGAGTAGCTGGGACTACAGGCATGTGCCACCATGCCCGGCTAATTTTTGTATTTTTTAGTAGAGATGGGGTTTCACCATGTTGGCCAGGCTGGTCTCGAACTCCTGACCTCGGGTGATCTGCCTGCCTCGGCCTCCCAAACTGCTGGGATTACAGGCGTGAGCCACCATGCCTGGCCTCTTTCTGCTTTCTTACCATGCCATATATATATATATATATATATATGTATATATATAAATATATACATATACATACACACACATACATATGTATACACATATACATATATATACACATATACACATATGTCTGTGTGTGTGTGTGTGTGTGTATATATATATATATATATATTTTTTTTTTTTTTTTAAATGGAGTTTCGCTCTTTCACCCAGGCTGGAGTGCAATGGCATGATCTTGGCTCACTATAACCTCCTCCTTCTATTTCAATCGATTCTCCTGCCTCAGCCTCCCAAATAGCTGGGATTACAGGCGCCCGCCACCATGCCTGGCTAATTTTTGTATTTTTAGTAAAGACGGAGTTTCACCATGTTAGCCAGGCTGGTCTCAAACTCCTGACCTCAAGTGATCTGCCCCCCTCGGCCTCCCAAAATGGTGGATTACAGGCGTTAGCTACTGCGCCGGGCTTATATATATATTTTTTTTGAGACAGATTTTCGCTCTTGTTGCCCAGGTTGGAGTGCAATGGTGCCATCTTGGCTCACCGCAACCTCCACTTCCTGGGTTCAAGTGATTCTCCTGCCTCAGCCTCCCTAGTAGCTGGGATTACAGGCATGTGCCACCATGCCTGACTAATTTTGTATTTTTAGTAGAGGCCAGGTTTCTCCATGTTGGTGAGGCTGGTCGTGAACTCCCGACCTCAGGTGATCCACCCGCCTCAGCTTCCCAAAGTGCTGGGATTACAGGCGTGAGTCATCGCACCTGGCCTATATATTTTTTCTATTTATTTATTTATTGAAACAGAGTCTCACTCTGTTGCCCAGGCTGGAGTGCAGTGGCGCGATCTCGGCTCACTGCAAGCTCCACCTCCCGGGTTCACGCCATTCTCCTGCCTCAGCCTCCTGAGTAGCTGGGACTACAGGCGCCTGCCAACACGCCTGGCTAATTTTTTGTATTTTTTTAGTGGAGACAGGGTTTCACCATGTTAGCCAGGATGGTCTCGGTCTCCTGACCTCGTGATCCGCCTGCCTCGGCCTCCCAAAGTGCTGGGACTACAGGCATGAGCCACTGCGCCCGGCCTTATTTATTTATTTTTGAGACGGAGTCTTGCTCTGTTGCCTAGGCTGGAGTGCAGTGGCACGATTTTGGCTCACTGTAACCTCTGCCTCCTGGATTCAAGTGATTCTCCTGCCTCAGCCTCCCGAGTAGCTGGGGCTACAGGTGCCTGCCACCATGCCTGGCTAATTTTTGTATTTTTAGCAGAGATGGGGTTTCACCATGTCGGCCAGGCTGGTCTCAAACTCCTGACCTCAAGTGATTTGTCCGCCATGGCCTCCCAAAGTGCTGGGATTACGAGCGTGAGCCACTGCACCCGGCCTGATTTATTTTTTCATCAATAAATTGAAGTCACAAACATATATGTGTCTACCCTGTAACTCATCACCTGGTAGGGTAACACTAAAAGTTAAAAGCTTTAGGCTGGACATGGTGGTTCATGCCTATAATCCCAGCACTTTGGGAGGCCGAGGTGGATCACTTGAGGCTAAGAGTTTGAGACCAGCCTGAGCAACATAGGGAGACCCTGTCCCTACACAAACAAACAAACAAGCAAACAAAATAAAGAAACAAAAATGTCTGGGCACGGTGTCTAACGCCTGTAATCCCAACACTTTGGGATGCTGAGGCAGGCGGATCACGAGGTCAGGAGTTCGAGACCAGCCTGACCAACATTGTGAAACCCCATCTCTATTAAAAATACAAAAATTATCTGGGCGTGGTGACACGCGCCTGTAATCCCAGCTACTCAGGAGGCTGAGGCAGGAGAATACCTTGTAACCGGGAGGCAGAGGTGTAGTGAGCTGAAATCGTGCCACTGCACTCCAGTCTGGGAGACAGAGTGAGGCTCTGTCTCAAAAACAAAACAAAACAAAAAAACAAACAAACCAAAAATTACTTTGCTTTTCTTTGTAACTCCACATCTTCTCCTGCTGTCAGGTATTATAAACAGTTTGCTGAATGAACCTTCCTTCAGTGGTTGCTCATGACCCAAACCATTCAGACTGCCTGATCTAGCATTAGAGGTTCTCTCATGATGAAGCACTACCTTATTTATACCTTACATTTTTTTTTTTTTGAGATGAAGTCTTGCTCTTTCGCCCAGTCTGGAGTGCAGTGGTGTGATTTTGGCTCATTGCAACTTCCATCCCCCGGTTCAGGCAATTCTCCCTGCCTCAGTCTCTCCAATAGTTGGGATTACAGGTGCCTCCCACCACGCCTGGCTAATTTTTGTATTTTTAGTAGAGATGGGGTTTCATCATGTTGGCCAGGCTGGTCTCCGAAGCCCTGACCTCAGGTGATCCACCTGCCTCGGCCTCCCAAAGTACTGGGATTACAGGTGTGAGCCACTGCGCCTGGCCCTATACCTTACATTTGATATGAATCCTTTCATTTTTAGATAAGCTGATTTACATAAAGTCATCCTAACATCATGCCTATTTCCACTTTCCACTTGTTAATCCTATTCTTTTATTTGGAATATCTTTCAATTCAACAAAACATCCAAACACTGTGCTACATGCTGGGAATGAAAGATAAATGAGACACAATGCAGAGCCTCACAGAGTGAATGGGGACTAGCAAGAAAATAGTAAATTATAATAGAAAAGCACAGGATATTCTAGGAGGCATGTGTTAAAACTTATTTGAATAGGGCTGGGGGCAGTGGCTTAACACCTGTAATTCCAGCACTTTGGGAGGCTGAGGCAGGAGGATTGCTTGAGGCCAGGAGTTTGAGACCAGCCTGGGCAATATAGGAAGATCACGTTGCTCTTAAAAAAAAAAAAAAAAAAAAAAAAAGGCATGATGGCATGTGCCTGTAGTCCTAGCTACTCAGGAGGCTGAGGCAGGGGGATTGCTTGAGTCTAGGAGTTTAAGGTTACAGTGAGCTATGATCACACCATTTCACTCCAGCCTTAGGCAACACAGCAAGACCCAGTCTCAAAAAAAAAAAAAAAAAGAAAAAAGAGTTGAACGGGTTGAACAAAAATGTTGCCTGACAAAGATTCCACAGTTATATATCAGATGAAACTACAGATATAAATGCAATCCAATAAGAATGGGACAATTATACAAATAGATAAACAGAATGGGGAAACCAGATTCAACTGGTGTAACTTACCTTTCTCCATACTGAAATCTGAATGGACCTGAAAGACTTTACTTGCTGGAATGTCTAGCAAAGTATTACTGAACTGTACATGGCACAGCATGAGGGTCGCTGGAAGAAGTACTTTTGTAATGGCCAAGGCCTGGTTTGGGGTACAGAATCCTGAAAAGCAGAAAAGAGGTAAATAGCTTTGTCACTAACAAGAATTTGTAAAAAGAGAGACCATTATATGGAGGCAATTTTGAAGCATAAAAAAAATAAGCAAGAAAGAGGGTCAGTTATGGCTGGTTTGCCCACCTCTGCTTCAATCAAGGTGAAAGAATAGTGTGAGACCCTCGCATTCTAATTTGTGAATGACTACAGTGGGGCTTCCATTATCAATGTCATACATAGGTAGTGTCTTTTTTCAAAGATTTTTTTTGAAAAATCTTTGAGATGAAGTCTTGCTCTGTCGCCCAGTCTGGAGTGCAGTGGTGTGATTTTGGCTCACTGCAACTTCCATCTCCCGGTTCAGGCAATTCTTCCTGCCTCAGTCTCCCCAGTAGTTGGGATTACAGGTGTCTCCCACCACGCCTGGCGTCAGTGGGAGTAAGATAGATTACAGGGAAGTTAGAAATCTATTAAAAATAGGCCAGGCGCGGTGGCTCACACCTGTAATCCCAGCACTTTGGGAGGCCGAGGCAGGCGGATCACCTGAGGTTGGGAGTTCGAGACCAGCCTGACCAACATGGAGAAACCCCGTCTCTACTAAAAATACAAAATTAGCTGGGGGTGGTGGCTCATGCCTGTAATCCCAGCTACTCGGGAGGCTGAGGCAGGAGAATTGCTTGAACTCAGGAGGCAGAAGTTGCAGTGAGCCGAGATTGCGCCATTGCACTCCAGCCTTGGCAACAAGAGCGAAACTCCGTCTCAAATAAATAAATAAATAAATAAATAAATAAAAATAAAGCAGTACAGTTGGGAGGTAGCTTTTAGGTCTAAGAGAATTTGTTTTTCATATACAATGTTGTAATACAATTACAATATAATTCAAGCCCCAAATCCCTAGAACTTCATCACAAGTGGTGCCTTAAGAGGAATCATATAGACAGCAAGAAGTGGACTGTTGTTATCATTGGGTCAGCTGCAATGAGTGGCATTCTTGAAAAATCTTCAGCAAAATCAAAGGGACTGATGCATGAGGTTTCTCAATAAAATAAGTAGTGATTTTAGAAAGATTCTGGGGAATAAAACGTCAGTCTGTTGGCCAGGCACGGTGGCTAGATTTTTTTTTTTTTTTTTTGAGATGGAGTCTTGCTTTGTCGCCCAGGCCAGAGTGCAGTGGCACAATCTCAGCTCACTGCAACCTCTGTCTCCTGGGTTCAAGCAATTCTCCTGCCTCAGCCTCCCGAGTAGCTGGGATTACAGGCACCCGCCACTGCACCCGGCTAATTTTTGTATTTTTAGTAGAGACAGGGTTTCACCATCTTAGCCAGGCTGGTCTCGAACTCCTGACCTCATGATCCATCCGCCTCGGCTTCCCAAAGTGCTGGGATTACAGGTGTGAGCCACCGCGCCTGGCCATCTCTATTTTTTTTTTTTTTCTGAGAGATGGGGTCTTGCTTTGTTGCCCAGGCTGGTCTCAAACTCCTGGCCTCAAGCGATCCTCCCACCACAGCCTCCTAAATAATTGGGATTACAGGCATGAGCCACCACTCCAGAGTACTAAAATTATCTTAAGTTTTTTTTTTTTTTTTTTTTTTTTTTTGAGATGGAGTCTCACTCTGCCGCCTAGGCTGGAGTCCAGTGGTGCGATCTCGGCTCACTCTAACCCCCGCTTCCCGGGTTCAAGCAATTATCTTGCCTCAGCCTCCAAGTAGCTGGGATACAGGCACACGCCACCACACCCAGCTAGTTTTTGTATTTTTAGTAGAGATGGGGTTTCACCATGTTGGTCAGGCTGGTCTTGAACTCCTGGTCAGGCTGGTCTTGAACTCCCGACCTCAGGTGATCTGCCTGCCTTGGCCTCCCAAAGTGCTGGGATTATAGGTGTAAGCCACCGCGCCCGGCCTAAAATTTGTATTTTTAAAACTAGAAAGACAATAGTGACTAGGATGAGCCTATTTTAAAACCTTAGTCTAGTCATAATTTCTGAGGTCTCATAGAGCTCTATGATTTATTTGTCAAGATGGAGTCAGTTTTGAAATAAAAAGAAAATCTGGATTACTAATCCAAAGGGATAAATGAATTGAGGGAAAACGAGAAAGATAGGAACAATCACTGAAACCATGAAGAGATTCCTGACCTTTAAGATTGACACCATTTCTGCCAGTGGTGATGAAGAGCTTGAATACAGTTGAATTGAGGGTATTGGTGAGATAAGTCTTGAGGTCATAACTGAGCATTAATCTTGATGATGCATTGACCACCACCTGTCAGCAAATCAAAGGAAAATCTGCACCTAAGTTCCTAGAGAATCTGACTCCTTCCAGATCCACCCCTCATAACTTATTTAACCAAAAGTATCTGTTTCACACAAGTACAGATTCCATCTCATGACCACATATTTGAGAACAACAAAATCTGTTTGCCTTTGAAGACAAAATAACTTTTTTTTTTTTTTAATCAGGGTCTTGCTCTGTCACCCAGGCTGGAGTGCAGTGGCATGATCATGGCTGACTGAAGCCTCAAATTCCTAGGCTCAAGCAATCCTCCTGCCTCAGCCTCTAGAGAAGCTGGGACTACACGTATGTGTCACCATGCCTAACCAACAAAAGACGGGGTCAGCCGCGCGCGGTGGCTCACGTCTGTAATCCCAGCACTGGGAGGCCGAGGCGGGCGGCTCACCTGGGGTCAGGAGTTCCAGACTGGCCTGACCAACATGGAGAAACCCCGCCTCTACTAAAAAAAACACAAAATTAGCCGGGCTTGGTGGTGCATGCCTGTGATCCCAGCTACTCAGGAGGCTGACGCAGGAGAATCGCTTGAACCTGGGAGGCAGAGGTTGCAGTGAGCCGACATTGCGCCATTACACTCCAGCCTGGGCAACAAGAGTGAAACTCTGAATCAAAAAAAAAAAAAAAAAACAAAGACGGGGTCTTGGCCAGGCGCGGTGGCTCAGAGCGAGACTCCAAAAAAAAAAAAAGACAGGGTCTCACTATGTTGCCCCAGGTGGTCTAGAACTCCTGGCCGCAAGCCATCCTTCCACCTTGGCCTCCCAAAGTGCTGAGATTACAGGCATAAACTACCATGCCTAGCCCAAAATAACATTTTTTCTAGAAGGAAGTCTTGGGTCCAATTATTCCTTCAGACATATCTTCCCTTTGTATGACTCCCTATTAAAATGCCTTTGAGGCCAGGTGCGGTGGCTCATGCCTGTAATCCCAGCACTCTGGGAGGCTGAGGCGGGTGGATCACTTGAGGTCAGGAGTTTGAGACCAGCCTGGCCAGCATGGCGAAACCTCACCTCTACTAAAAATACAAAAATTAGCCAGGCATGTTGGAGCGTGCCTGTAATCCCAGCTACCAGGGAGGCTGAGGCAGGAGAATTGCTTGAACTCGGGAGGCGGAGTCTGCAGTGAGCTGAGATTGTGCCATTGTACTCCAGCCTGGGCGACAGAGTGAGACTCCATCTCAAAAAAACAAAACAAAACAAACAAACAAAAACAAAAAAAACACACAAAAAAAACAACTGCAACTTTCTTCAGGACATTTTCTCTTTGTCTCTAGTTGCACATAATCTCAATCTTTTCTGAAACTTCAAAGTACATTGTTTTTTCTCAAGAATACTTGTACTATTCTGCCTTATATTGTAAGTTTTTTTGTTTGTTTGTTTGTTTGTTTTGAGACGGAGTCTTGCTCTGTCACTCAGGCTACAGTGCACTGGCGCAATTTCGGCTCACTGCAGCCTCTGCGTCCTGGGTTCCAGCAGTTCTCCTGCTTCAGCCTCCCAAGTAGTTGGGATTACAGGCACGTGCCACCATGCCTGGCTGATTTTTGTATCTTTAGTAGAGATGGGATTTCACCATGTTGGCCAGGCTGGTCTCGAACTCCTGACCTCAAGGGATCCACTGACCTCGGCCTCTAAAAGTGCTGGGATTACAGGTGTGAGCCACCATGCCCAGCCCTTAATATTTTAAATTTAAATGCAATATACTCTACATTCTCCTTAGTATTACCACAGGTTTTTTAAATTCAAGAACCTTAAAACCCAAGTTAGTTACATTAATGGCTTAATAAAGAAAGGAATTTTGTCTTTTTCATATTTGTATTTCTGGAGGCCAGCACAATGCCTGACACTTAATAGGCTTTAATGAGTATCTGCTAATTAGTGAATATTAAATGAGGATTCGATGAAGTACACAAATTAGAATAGGAATGACCTTTGGACTTCCCTGTAGCATCTAACACCACAACCATTTCCTCCTTTGCCTTCTATGACACTGTTTCTCTTTGCTTTTCTGGTTCCTAATCCCTTCTCAGTCTCTTTTTCTAGTACTCTTTTCATGCTACCTCTGTCCTTGAACCTCTTATCTGCTTATAATACAAGTTCTTTTTGGATGTTATCCAAATTTTCCCTCTCTACCCTTATTAATTTTGTATTGAAGTTGCCCTGATTTATTCATTAGTCTTCAAGCACAACATGTACTTTTATTTGCCTATTGTAATTATTTGTGCCATGTATGTAATTGTTTATGTCACCACTAGACTATGAGCTCCTCAAAAGAAGGCACCAGATACCATGTGCACACATATTGAGTAACTTACTCATCTATAAAGTTGGGGCCGGGTGCAGTGACTCACATCTGTAATCCCAGCGCTTTGGGAGGCTGAGGCAGGCAGATCATTTCAGGCCAGGAGTTTGACACCAGCCTGGCCAACATGGCAAAACCCTGCCTCTACTAAAAATACAAAAATTAGCTGGGTGTGGTGGCACACACCTGTAGTCCTAGCTACTTGGGAGGCTGAGGCACGAGAATTGCTTGAACCTGGAAGGTGGAGGTTGCAGTTACCAGAGATTGTGCCACTGCACTCCAGCCTGGGCAACAGAGTGAGATTCTGTTATAAAAATAAATAAATAAAATAAAACAAAGTTGGGAAAATACTTTTTTTTCTTCAACTTTTATTTTAAGTTCCAGGGTACATGTGCAGGATGTGCAGGTTTGTTACATAGGTTAATGTGTGCCATGGTGGTTTGCTGCATAGATCAACCTATCACCCAGGTATTAAGCCCAGCATCCATTAGTTATTCTTCCTGATGCTCTCCCTCCCTCCATGCCCCACATATTTATTTTGCAGAGTTAAAAGTGATACAATTAAAAGTGATAGGTGTACTGGATGTTAAAAAAAAAAAAAAAAAAGACTGGGCTAGATGTGGTGGCAAACACCTGTAATCCCAGCACTTCGGGAGGCTGAGGCAGGTAGAACACTTGAGCCCAGGAGTTCGAGATCAGCCTGGGCAACAGGGTGAAACCCCATCTATCCAAAAACACAAAAAATTGGCTGGGCACAGTGGCTCATGCCTGTAATCTCAGCACTTTGGGAGGCTGAGGTGGGCAGCTCACTTGAGGTCAGGAGTTCGAGACAAGCCTGGCCAACATGGTGAAACCCTGTCACTACTAAAATACAAAAATTAGCTGGGTGTGGTGGCAGGTGCCTGTAATCCCAGCTACATGGGAGGCTGAGGTAGGAAAATTGCTTGAATCCAGGAGGCAAAAGTTGCAGTGAGCTGAGATTCCGCCACTACATTCCAGCTTGGGCAACAGAGTGAGACTCTGTCTCAAAACACACACACACACACACACACACACACCCCACAGAATTAGCCGAGTGTGGTGGTGTGCACCTGTGGTCCCAGCTACTCAGGAGACTGAGGTGGGAGGATCACTTGAGCCTAGGAGGTGGATCTGAGTGATCTGAGATCACACCACTGCACTCCAGCCTGGGTGACACAGCAAGACCCTGTCTCAATAAATAAATAAATAAATAAATAAATAAATAAATAAATAAATAAATAAAAATAAAAAAAATAGATGGCTAGGTGCAGTGGCTCATGCCTATAATCCTAGCACTTTGGGAGGCTGAGGCAGAAAGATGACCTGAATCTAGGAGTTTGAGACCAGCCTGGACAACATAGCGAGACCCTGTGTCTGCAAAAAAATAAAAATAATTAGCCAGGTATGCTGGCACACACTTGTGGTCCTGCTACTTTGGAGGCTGAGGCAGGAGGATGGCTTGAAACCAGGAGTTTGAGGCTGCAGTGAGCCATGATTGCATCATTGTATTCCAGCCTGGGCAACAGTGAGACACTGTCTCTTAAAAGAAAAAAAAAAGATGAGAAGTGCCAAGCCCATAGTAGATACACAAAAAGTTGTAGCTACCATGTTTGAGGAATGAAAAAAGAGGATCAAAGAAGTGCTTTGGGCAAAGAGGAAGGAGACATTACATATATTTAAGAAGGGAATAGAAAATATTTCATTAAAAAAATCCCTTTATTGTTTACCTATCTCACCTACTCAAGAATATTACTCCCTCCAGCAATCCTCTGACTTACATCAAATTTTCTGTTTCCACTGAATCATTCCCAATCCACTATTTCTCTCATAAAAAAAAAAATCCACAAAACAAACTCTTAACCCCAACTCCTTAAAAGAGCTTTCTATATTCACTGTCTCCAAGTCCTTTTCTCCAATTCTCCAATCAAACATTCATTCAGGTCACTCTGTCTGGGCACAGTGGCTCACGCCTGTAATCCCAGCACTTTGGGAGGCCGAGGCAGGCCTATCACTTGGGCTCAGGAGTTCGAGACCAGCATGGGCAACATGGTGAAATGCCATCTCTATCAAAAATACAAAACAAAACAAAACAAAACAAAAAAATTAGCTGGGCATGGCGGCATGCACCTGTAGTCCCAGCTACTAGGGAGGCTGCAGTGGGAGGATAGCTTGAGCCCAGGAAGCAGAGGTTGCAGTGAGCTGAGATCACACCACTGCATTTCAGCCTGGGCAACAGGGCGATACTCCATCTCAAAAAAAAACAAAAAAACACGCACAAAAAAGCCTGGGCGCAGTGGCAGCTCATGCCTATAATCCCAGCAATCTGGGAGGCGGAGGCGAGCAGATCACATGAGGCCAGTAGTTCGAGACCAGCCTGGCCAACATGGTGAAACCCTGTCTCTACTAAAAATACAAAAATTAGCTGGGGGTAGTGGCACGTGCCTGTAATCCCAGCTACTCAGGAGGCTGAGGCATGAGAATTGCTTGAACTCAGGAGGCAGATGTTGCAGTGAGCCAAGATTAAACCATTGCTCTCCAGCCTGGGCAATAGAGCAAGATTCTGTCTCCAACAAAAAAAAAAAAAGGGGGGGGCTCAGGTCACTTTGCTGAAGCTACTCAACAAAGTCACTAGCACCAGTCTCCATACTGCAAAAACCATCAGTCATTTCTCAATTTTCAGCTTAACCCATTAATAGTAATGATGGTTGATCACTCCCTCTTTCCTTGAAATACTTTCTTCATTTGCCTTCCAGGATACACATATCTCTAGATTTTCCTCCCATTTCACTGGTTGTTTCTTTCTTTCTTTTTTTTTTTTTTTTTGAGAGAGTCTTACTCTGTTGCCCCGGCTGGAGTGCAGTGGTGTGATCTTGGCTCACTGCAACCTCTGCCTCCTGGGTTCAAGCGATTCTCCTACCTCAGCCTCCTGAGTAGCTGGGATTACAGGTGTGTGCCACCACGCCCAGCTAATTTTTGTATTTTTAGTAGAGACGGGGTTTCACCATGTTGGTCAGGCTGGGTCTCGAACTTCTGACCTTGTGATCCACCTGCCTTGGCCTCCCAAGGTGCTGGGATTAGAGGCGTGAGCCACGGCACTAAGCCTGGTTGTTTCTTATAAGTCTTTCTTATTGGTTCTTCTCTCAGAGCTCCCTTTTTCCCTTTTGTTTCTTTCTTTTTCCATTTGCCACTAATCAAAAGGCAATCAGAACTCTTAAGATTGAAGTGCTCCCAGAACTTAGTACTTAGGTCTTTTTTCTCTTTTTTTTTCTTTTTTTTGAGAGCGACTCTCACTCTGTTGCCCAGGCTGGAGTACAGTGGCTTGATGTCAGTTCACTGCAACCTCCACCTCCCAGGTTCAAGAGATTCTCGTGCTTCAGCCTCCTGAGTAGCTGGGACTACAGATGTGAGCCACCAGGCCCGGCTAATTTTTGTATTTTTAGTAGTGATGGGGTTTCACCATGTTGGCCAGGCTGTTCTCGAACTCCTGACCTCAGGTGATCCTCCCACTTTGGCTTCCCAAAGTGCTGGAATTACAGATGTGAGCCACCGCGCCTGGCCTTTTTTCTATTTTACATTCATTCTTTGGTGATCTAATGGCCTTAAATATCTCTATTCCAATGACTCCCAGACTTTTATATCCAGCAACCTCAACATATCCAGTTGACATTTAATAGACATACCCAATTTTACATATCCAAAGATGACTGCTTTTCCCTCCAAGACTGTTCCACCTACAGTCTTCCCCATTTCAGTTGACGGTAATGCTGTCCTTTCAGCTGTTCAACCAAAAACCTGAATCATTCTGGATTTTCTTATGTTCTAGATATAATCTGTGAGGAAACTCTATTGGCTCTACCTATAAAATATACCTAGAATCTGATCAACTTCTTATCACCTCCTCTGTCACCACCCTGATCTGCCAACATATGTCACCTGGATTACCGCAGTAGACTCCCAAATGGTCTTTCAACTTCTACCCTGGTGTCTAGTGTCTAGTGCCAACCAGTACCCACTGTGATCTCTTAAAACACAGGTAGTCATTCTGCTGGTTAAGAATCCTGAACACTGTTTAGCTTTGTGTTCCAGTAAAGTTTGCTGGCTGGCTTTATATCTGTTTTATGAGTGTATTTCCTTTCCTAAGATGTATTTTCTCTATGCATATCCTCATATGTGGCAATAGTCACCCTAGTCTCTTAAACTCTGATACAGTTATGTTTACCTCTCGATATGTTTTCACTACTCCTGGGATGTCATGAAAAATCATTGCAGTCCCCGGACTCCTGGCCACTCCTACTCCAGTGACAATGTCTGTCTGTAGAATATTGTTGGCAGAAATCATCCATATCCCAGGTTCACCTAGGAAAAGACAAGAGAAAACACTTGGCTGAAGCCTTTGATATAAATCACTCTGGACTTATTCATACTCCAAATCAGTAAATTTTTCAAGCATGCAGATATCTCTTCCCAGGAGAAACAGCCAGCTTTGAAGATAACTGTTTTCTCAGTGTCAGGTTCCTCTTCGTATATCATGCCAGCAAAATAAAGAATCATAAGAAGAGCTACGTAGTTGGAGAATGTAACTGTTCTCCTTGGGAAAAAGAGAAGCTCTTTTTACATACAGGGATAACTTTCTGAATAAATTTTGTTTAGAAGCTACTAAGGACAAATTTGCTTTGAGCTACTGATTGATGACAGCAAGAAGACTGCAAAAAAGTGACCATGGCAAGAGAAAGGATTTGTTTATTTTGGCTTAAGTCTAAAGATGGCCGAGGAATGCCAAATACTGGGTTAGAGTTTGTACTTAGCCTGCAGGATTACTGATCCTGGCATATGGCTCTTTCCTTCATCACATGATGAAGCCTCCCAAAATTCCAGATTGGAAGACTATGGGACAATCCTGTCAAAAATATAGCTAAAAAGAATAAAAAATAGGCCGGGCACGGTGGCTCATGTCTGTAATCCCAGCACTTTGAGAGGCCGAGGCTGGAGGATCACCTGAGGTCAGGAGTTCGAGACCAGCCTGACCAACATGGTGAAACCCCATCCTACTAAAAATACAAAAATTAGCCAGGCGTGGTGGCGCATGCCTCTAGTTCCAGCTACTTGAGAGGCTGAGGCAGTAGAACCACTTGAACCCAGAAGGTGGAGGTTGAAGTGAGCCGAGATCACACCATTGCACTCCAGCCTGGGTGATAAGAGTGAAACTCTGTCTCAAAAAAACAAACAAACAAACAAAAAAAGAGAGGGTAAAAAATACTCTGCTTCATTGACAAGGGATTTATAATCAGGGGATTGTAACTCTCATTGCCAACCTTAAAGTAGGTTTAGCTCATTGGTCCTGGATTGCATGTTGGTAGTGGTTGTTTGCAAATCAGCTGTTATAGCATTGGGGGATTCAGCTGTATAGAGCCCCTTTGTATCAAGGTCCAAAATACGTATTAATGTTAAAGTCAGGTCCAACATTTACATCACTTTACCTAAACATATGTATCCATAGTTACCAGAAGAGGCTGCAAAGCCAAAACCATACATTACTACAAGCAGTTCTTACTTGGATGTACACATCCAGGCAGTGTACACCACTTTGGGATATGATATTTGGAAACCCAAAGAATTCACACTCATTTCCTAACCAAAGAATGATTTCCTTTTCTTTTTTTTGAGACACAGCCTGTCATCCAGGCTGGAGTGCAGTAGTGCGATCATAGCTTACTGCAGCCTTGATCTCCTGGGCTCATGCAATCTTCCCACCTCAGCCTCCCAATAGTTGGGACCAGAGGCATATGCCACTACACCGGGATAATTTAATTATTACTATTATTATTATTTTTGAGACAGAGTCTCGCTCCATCACCCAGGCTGGAGTGCAGTGGTGTGATCTTGGCTCACTGCAACCTGTGCCTCCTGGGTTCAAGCAATTCTCCTGCCTTGGCCTCCCAAGTAGCTGGGACTACAGGCACATGCCACCATGCCCAGCTAATTTTTGTATTTTTAGTAGAGACGGGGTTTCACCATGCTGGCCAGGATGGTCTTGAACTCCTGACCTTGTGATCCGCCTGCTTCAGCCTCCCAAAGTGCTGGGGTTACAGGCGTGAGTCACTACACCCGGCCTTAATTTTTGTATTTTTAATAGAAACAGGATTTCACCATGTTGGCCAGGCTGGTCTTGAACTCCTGACTTCAGGTGGTCTGCCTGCCTCGGCCTCCCAAATGTTTTCTATGATTTTATTTTATTTATTTATTTTTTGAGATGGAGTCTCACTCTGTTGCCAGGCTGGAGTGCAGTGGCACGATCTCGGCTCACTGCAACCTCCAACTCCCAGGTTCAAGCGATTCTCCTGCCTCAGCCTCCCGAGTATCTGGGACTACAGGCGTGTGCCACCATGCACAGCTAATTTTTGTATTTTTAGTAGAGATGGGGTTTCACCATGTTGGCCAGGATGGTCTCGATCTCTTGACCTCGTGATCCCGCCACCTCAGCCTCCCAAAGTGCTGGGATTACAGGCATGGGCCACCGCACCTGGCTTATGATTTTATTTTTAACTCAGTACTTAGGACAGAAATGCTTTGTTTTCAAGAGTATAGTTGGCCAGGGGCCAACCCCTTGTATAAAAAATATAAAAATTAGCCAGGCGTGGTGTTGTGTGCCTGTAGTCCCAGCTACTTGGGAGGCTAAGGCAGGAGACTCGCTTGAACCCAGGAGTCAGAGGTTGCAGTGAGCAGAGATCATGTCACTGCCCACTGCCCTCCAGCCTGAATGACAGAGTGAGACTCTGTCTCTAAAAAAAAAAACAAAACAAAGTATAGTTTATCCGGGTAAAAGAAAAAACCTTATTACAATGATGATATGTTAGGACTTAGGCCTTCAAATGTGCCTCACAAAATAGCATACACATAACTAGTTCTTAGAACTAAAGCCTTATTGCCCTTTCCTTCCTGTTATCCTTTACTGTCCTTCAATATAGTAATTACCCTCCTTCAAAAGCTGGGAATGGAGGAGAAGACACAGTACCCTGCACTATCTACATAATATAAAATAGAGCTATGTATCCAATAGACTCTTGATCAATATTACTGGCTGGCTTCTAATTGGCTGGCTATTGAGTGAAACAGGCATTAAGCTAAAAATTATCAGTAACATTACAAATAATAAAATACTCAAAATTATTTTCTTTCTCAGAGAGTCCCTCAGATTTTAGATAATTTGGAAAAAAATATTCTAGGGGATTAATTGCTTTCTTGAACTTCTGGCCTTAAGTGACCTCTCCAGCTTGGCCTCCCAAAGGGCTGAGATTATGGGTATAAACCACTATACCAGTCCAAGGGATTAATAACTGCTTTTTTTTTTAATAACTGCTTTTTAATCCCCACAACTATCAATTGTAAGTTTGAGAAAGGGAATGTATACATACCATGCTGGCTGACAAGGTGAGTACTGAAGCAGATGATATCTCCAACAAAGGTAAGCTTGGTGTCTGGCTCAATGGCATGCTCTACAGCAACAGGAATATAATCTGCCATGCCTGGATGTCTCCGGTCCCAAAGCCCCACAAGTGTCAGCCCTCTGTTCACAGCCTGGGCCATGTAAGTATAGTTCTTATTCCCTGGTCCAATATGCAGCAAGTCATCTCTGCAAGTAGACATTAAAGGTAGAAATCTTTAAAAAGAGACAATAGTTAGAAAATAGTTCTGGAGAACACCCTACCACATTTTATATTCAACAGCTCAGAAGTTCAGAAGGAATTCCACAATAAAGAGTAAGTAAGTATGGGCCAAGGATCAGTCTATTACCTTCATACGTATAGTTCCCAGGAAGGCTTTTTTTTTTTTCCAGTAAAGCCTTTTGATAATAATACTCCAGTTAGCTCCCTATGGATCTTTTAGTGAATTAGAACTTGACAGATTTAAGATATCCTGCATTTTTTCTTAAGTGACAACTAATACCATTGCCTAAGTCTGGTCTTTTTTTTTTTTTTTTTTTTTTAAGACAGTCTTAATTGGTCACCCAGGCTGGGGTGCAGTGGCGCAATCTCTGCTCACTGCAACCTCTGCCTCCTGGGCTCAAGTGATCCTCCCACCTCAGCCTCCCTAGTAGCTGGGACTACAGGCACACGCTACCACACCCAGCTAATTTTTGTATTTTTGTAGAGATGGGGTTTCACCATGTTGTCCAGGCTGGTCTCGAACTCCTGGGCCCAAGTGATCCTCCCTCCTCAGCCTCCCAAAGTGCTGAGGTTACAGGTGTGAGCCACCCACCTGGCCTCACTTAAAAAAATTTTTTTTAACAAAAGAAAGATCAACTTCCAAATTCAGAATGTGAGAGGAATTTACTGGAGCTGCTATATAATACTAGCCTAATATGCAAGATTTCTACCATAGTGTCAATACCATTCCTTTGACTTCCATACCTGTTCAGAGCCAGATAAAGCTGGGTATTGTGTGTGTGGAATTTCTCTCCGATACTATTATAAAACTGAACAGTGAAGGTAAGAGACATGCCCAAGGGAAATGCTGACAGGGTCCTTCCTTGGGCTGTGTATAGCTTGGGTTGGCTGCTCACTCGCAGGTATGTCACCGGTGCTACCTGTGGGAGACAAAACCTACTGGTACAGAGAAAGATGCACTGGAGAAGTGCTGCAACCATATTCTGAGACTTATAATCAATGATAAAGAGTGATGTTTCTTTTCCATAGGAAATAGCTTTTGATGTGAGATGACTTAAGTCAGAGTGAAAAGAAATATGACAGCATAGCAGCATAGGAAATTCTTTTCTTTTTTTTTTGAGACAGAATCTCACTCTGTCACCCAGGCTGGAGTGCAGCGGCATGATTTTGACTCACTGCAACCTCTGCCTCCTGCATTCAAGCAATTCTCCTACCTCAGCCTCCCAGGTAGCTGTGATTACAGGCATCTGCCACCACGCCTGGTTAATTTTTCTATTCTTAGTAGAGATGGGGTTTCACCATGTTGGCCAGGCTGGTCTCAAACTCCTGACCTCAAGTGATCTGCCCGCCTTGGCCTCCCAAAGTGTTGGAATTATAGGCGTGAGCCACTGTGCCCGGCTTGAAATGGGTTTTTAATTTTTTTTTTTTTGAGACGGAATTTTGCTGTCTCGCCCAGGCTGGAGTGCAGTGGTGCAATCTCAACTTACTGCAACCTCCGCCTCCTGGGTTCAAGCAATTCTCTGCCTCAGCCTCCTGAGTAGCTGAGATTACAGGCGCCCGCCACAATGCCCGGCTAATTTTTTTGTATTTTTAGTAGAGATGGGGGTTTCACCATCTTGGCCAGGTTGGTCTTGAACTCCTGACCTCGTGATCCACCCGGCTCGGCCTCCCAAAGTGCTGGGATTGGCGTGAGCCACTGTGCCCAGCCAGGTTTTTAATTTTTAAAGCTGTGGGAATGTGAAGAGAAGCTGGAGCTTTATGAGGAAAGGACTATAATTCATCCATTTCATGCAGAGTGCTCAATATTTATGGTTAAATAATCAATTACTTATCAGGAACACAATCTATATTGTGTTTTCACACTGTAAGAGAGCTGTGATACAGTAAGTGAAGCCCGCGTTTGAATCATAGCTTTATCATTTCATAGCCTCATGTAACTTTTCTGGGTCTCAGGTTTCTTATCAGTTAACAGTTAGATGGGGATAATAATGCCTACCTCATAGGGCTTTTGTGGTAGTTAAAAGAGATAATATACATACAATGACGAACATAGTATATAGTAGATGTTTAATGTCTAAAATTTTTTTTCGTGTTAAGACTAACTTATCTCTGAGGTCTTTTCTCAATTTTTTAATTCTTGTAGCAAAGCTTAATTTTTTAAAAAGAAACAGATTGTTGCTTTGTTTTCCAGGCTGCAGTGCAGCAGTTCAATTGCAGCACAAAGCAGCCTCGAACTCCTAGGTTCGTGTGATCCTCCACCTCAGCCTCCCAAGCAGCTAGGACTGCAGACATGTGCCACCAAGCCCGGCTATTTTTTTTTTTTTTTCATTTTTTGTAGAGATAGGGGTCTCATTATGTTGCTCAGGCTGGTCTTAAACTCTTGGCCTCAAGTGATTCTCCTGCCTCAGCCTTCCAAAGTGCTGGGCTTACAGGCGTGAGTCACCCAGCCCAGCCAATTTTGATAGCAATCATTCTACACTCCTCCGATACCAGTCCTTTTGCCAAAGCTGCTAGGAAGACAATCATATAAATTTAGGCTGATCTGTTTTTTTTTTTTTTTTTTTTTTTTTGAGATGGAGTCTTGCTGTCGCCCAGGTTGGAGTGCAGTGGCGTGATCTTGGCTCACTGCAGGCTCCGCCCCCCGGGGTTCACGGCATTCTCCTGCCTCAGCCTCCTGAGTAGCTGGGACTACAGGCGCCCGCCACCTCGCCCAGCTAATTTTTTGTATTTTTAGTAGAGAAGGGGTTTCACCGTGTTAGCCAGGATGGTCTCGATCTCCTGACCTCGTGATCCGCCTGCCTCAGCCTCCCAAAGTGCTGGGATTACAGGCGTGAGCCACCGTGCCCGGCCAGGCTGATCTGTTTTATAACAAGGGCTCTAAAGTTCATTTTAATTTTATGGCTTATAACCATGTCAAGACTGGCCTCTTATAGGTTCATTTCTGACTCCCAGAGAGTTTCTTCTTCTTCTTCTTCTCCTTTTTTTTTTTTTTTTTCTGGTTCATGTTCTCTCATGATACAGAAGTTTCTAATTCTTTTCTTTTTCTTTTTTTCTTTAATGGCATGATAAGAAAATTTCTAGTTTTTTAAAAAAGAAACTCTGCTTTTTAAGGCCAGGGTATGACTTTTATTTATTTGTTTTTTTTAGTAAGTCCATGAACTCACCTGGACCCCAGTTATGGTTGTTTGGTTGACTCCAAAAGGTTCTATAGAAGTGACTTCCAATACAGCAGTACCTGCAATGGAACCAGCTTTCAGGAGCCCTTCACCATCCTCCTCAATGACGGATGAATTAGGGAAACACTTGAGAACACGAGAACTCACGAAGGCAGCTCCTTCCCTAGGGAACAAGGAAAGGAAGTGGCATCTTTTTGGGGTCCTGTCTGACCAGAGAGAAAAGAGTAAAAATTTCCAGGATTACTGTTAGGGGATGTACTCGAGAAAACTGCTTGCCATTCTCCACGTGTGTAATTATTTGTTCCTCAGGTAAAAGTCTGCCTTTGGATTATGCTTATTTCTTTAAAATCAAATCTTATTACATATTTATAATTAAAGAATTATTTAGGCCGGGTGTGGTGGCTCATGTCTGTAATCCCAGCACTGTGGGAGGCCAAGGCGGGAGGATCACCTGAGGTCAGGAGTTCAAGACCAGCTTGGCCAACATGGTGAAACCCCGTCTTTACTAAAAATACAAAAAAAAAAAAAATTTTTAGCTGGGCATGATGGCGGGTGCCTGTAATCCCAGCTTCTCGGGAGGCTGAGGCAGGAGAATGGCTTGAACCTGGGAGGCTGAGGTTGCAGTGAGCCGAGATGACACCATTTGCACTGCAGCCTGGGGGACAAGAGCAAAACTCCGTTTCAAAAAAATAATTATTCAGCCAAAACAATTGAAAGCAGGTATTCAGGTAAATACTTGCAAATGAATATTCATAGCAGCACTATTCACAATAGCCAAAAGGTGAAAACAACCCAAATTTCTTTTCTTTTTTGAGACGGAGTTTCGCTTTTGTTGCCCAGGCTGGAGTTCAATGGCGTGATCTTGGCTCACTGCAGCCTCCGCCTCCCGGGTTCAAGTGATTCCCCTGCCTCAGCCTCCTGAGTAGCTGGGATTACAGGCATGTGCAACCACCCCTGGCTAATTTAGTATTTTTAGTAGAGTTGGGGTTTCTCCATGTTGATCAGACTGGTCTCGAACTCCCAACCTCAGGTGATCCACCTGCATTGGCCTCCCAGAGGCCTGGGATTACAGGCATGAGCCACTGTGCCCAGCCCCAAATTTCTATTAGGAGATGAAATTATAAACTAAATGTGGTATTTCCATATAATGGAATACTATTCAGTCATAAAAAGGAAGAAGTACTGATACATGCTACAACATGGATGAACCTCAAAAACATTATGCTAACTTAAAGAAGCCAACACAAGGCTGGGCGTGGTGGCTCACACCTATAATCCCAGCACTTTGGGAGGCCGAGCCGGGAGGATCGCCTGAGGTCAGGAGTTCAAGACCAGCCTGGCCAACATGGTGAAACCCCATCTCTACTAAAAATACAAAAATTAGCCAGGTGTGGTGGCAGGCACCTGTAATCCCAGCTACTCAGGAGGCTGAGGCAGGAGAATTGCCTGAACCTGGGAGGTGGAGGTTGCAGTGAGCTGAGATTGTGCCACTGTGCGCTGGCCTGGGCAACAGAGCGAGACTGTCTCAAAAAAAAAAAAAAAACAAAAAAAAAAAAACAAAAAACACAAAACGTTGCATACTGTATGATTCCATTTATATGAAATACATTCAGGATAGCTAATACCGTACACAGAAAGCAGATTAGTGATTGCCAGGGGCTGCGAGGAGGAAAGAAAGAAGAGTGACTGCTTCACAGGTATGGGATCTCCTTTGGTGGTGATAAAAATATTTGGAACTAGATAGAGATGCTGAATACACAATATTGTGAATGTACTAAATGCCACTGAATTTTACACTTTACAATAGTTTTACATTATGGGAATTTCACCTCACACAAAAAATTATTTGGGAAAAATCTCCTAGAAGGCAAAAGTGTTCTTTCTATGTCAATGTTTTACTGAAAATACTTAAGCTTAGATCCTGGCACTTCCTTATTCTCCCTTTTCCTTACCTGTTGGTATGGAGTTTGAGCTGAGAATTTATAGGCATCAGAATCTGCTCTGGTTGGCACTCTGGATAGAAGAGTTGGAGTTTTTCAAACACCTATAATGAGAAAATGTTTTCCTCATTTTTGGCAAAGACAAATTATGACTTTTACTTACATATAGACTTCAGTATAATCCCGAAGAGATTACATGCAAATAAATGACAACTACGAATCAACAGTCTGCCTAACTTCTAATTAGTCTAAAATCGTCCACAATACTCCTCTCCAAAATGAACCAGGCACTCAAAACGTAACTAGATATTCTAGAAGATATAACCTAATGTTAGCCCTGTTTCTGACTCTGAGGGACTCAGCATGTAGCAAAGTTTACACTTACCACATCTTCCATATTGCTTAGATATTAGGTATAAAAATACTTTGAAATTTCTAATTTTGGCTCTGGTAAAATGACATGAAGTTTGGGGAAAAGAACTTATAATATTAAATTAGCATGAAATAACATCCAGGTCTTCCACCTTCTAGTAAAGTGCTCCTTCCTCTACTTCACATGGAATCAGAGAACCAAAGCCAAAATAAAGGAAAAAATAAAACAGGAAAAGAAAAAAAAAGTCTCAAAATCAGAGGCAGTGAAACTTACTCGACCCATATAAGTGATAATTTGTTTTTTGAATTCTAAAAACAACAGAGCCATTTAGCTTTTAGCCCAAGAATATCTGTAGAAACTATTCATACTCTTACACCTTATCAAAAGTTAGAATTATGTTTTATCCTAACTGTGAATATATTTAAATGGACTTATATCGGCTGGACGCGGTGGCTCATACCTGTAATCCCAGCACTTTGGGAGACCAAGACGGGCAGATTACCTGAGGTTAGGAGTTTGAGACCAGCCTGGTCAACATAACGAAACTCCATCTCTACTAAAAATACAAAAAGTAGCCAGGCATGGTGGCGCATGCCTGTAATCTCAGGTACTCAGGAGGCTGAGGCAGGAGAATCACTTGTACTTGGGAGGTGGAGGTTGCAGTGAGGCGAGATCATGCTACTGCACTCCAGCCTAAGCAACAGAGTGAAACTCTGTCTCAAAATAAATAAATAATTAAATAAAAATTGTTAATGGACTTATAATATCTATGTCAGGTGGAGTGGATCAGAAATGAATCCCTCTCTAGTTACTATGGTGTTCATATCCTGTGTTCCTGATATGGGGAGTTGAAGGGAGTGTGTGTGCTACAGTTTCTTTTCTTTTTTTTTCCAGACTACTCACCTGCAAGTACTAATAGTTTCTAATGTTAATAGTATATAAAAGCAGCCGGGCGTGGTAGCTCACGTCTGTAATCCTAGCACTTTGGGAGGCCAAGGCGGGTGGATCACTTGAGGTTAGGAGTTTGAGACCAGCCTGGACAACGTGGCGAAACCCCGTCTCTACTAAAAATACAAAAATTAGCCGGGCATGGTGGTGCACGCCTGTAATCCCAGCTACTCGGGAGGCTGAGGCAGGGAGAATTACCTGAACGCTGCAGTGAGTGGAGATTGTGCCACTGCACTCCAGCCTGGGTGACAGAGTGAGACTCTGTCTCAAAAACAAAAAACAAGCCAGGCATGGTGGCTCACACCTGTAATCCCAGCACTTTGGGAGGCTGAGGCGGGCAGATCACGAGGTCAGGAGATCGAGACCATCCTGGCTAACACAGTGAAACCCTGTCTCTACTAAAAATACAAAAAATTAGCCGGGCATGGTGGCAGGCACCTGTAGTCCCAGCTACTTGGGAGAATGAGGCAGGAGAATGGTGTGAACCTGGGAGGAGGAGCTTGCAGTGAGCCAAGATCACACCACTGCACTCCAGCCTGGGCAACAGAGCAAGACTGTCTCAAAAAAAAAAAAAAAAAAAAAAAAAACCACAAAAAAACAAAAAACAGGCCAGGCACAGTGGCTCACGCCTGTAATCCCAGCACTTTGGGAGGCCGAGGCAGGAGGATCACTTGAGGTCAGGAGTTTCAGACCAGCCTGACCAACATGGAGAAACCCCGTCTCTACTAAAATTACAAAATTAGCTGGGCTTGGTGGCACATGCTACTCGGGAGGCTGAGGCAGGAGAATTACTTGAACGCAGGAGATGGAGGTTGTGGTGAGCCGAGATTGTGCCATTGCACTCCAGCCTTGGCAACAAGAGCGAAACTCCGTCTCAAAACAAAACAAAACAAAAACAAAAAACAAAACTATATACAAGCAATTAGCAGGAATTATAAAGATCTAGGAAGTACAAACCTGTTCCAGGAATCGCTCTAACAATTATCTGTCTCTATCCAGACTAAGCTCTTTGTTGATGGTAAGAGAATATAACTTTCTTATCCTTAATATACGAAAATAAGATTTAGATTTGGAAGCTTACCAGGATCTGTACTTCATCAGAGAGTTCCAACAAATTCCCCTCAAACTGCCCAGAGGAACTGTTCATGCAGTGAACAGTGACCTTGATACTGGTCCTGCCTGCTGCTTTTGTATGGACAACCATGGCAAAGTTATGCTCTACTGGGAGCTGTAGAAAAACCTAGACAGTGAAGGGATAGATTAAGAAATATTCATCAATAAACATGGTGTCCTTCCTTTTTTTTTCACTTTTTTAATATTAAATTTTTTTTTAAATTAAAAATAAAAAGTCAGGAAAGGGTGGGAGGGGGCGAGGGATAGAAGACTACAAATAGGGAGCAGTGTATACTGCTTGGGTGATGGGTGCACCAAAATCTCACAAATCACCACTAAAGGGCTTACTCATGTAACCAAATACCACCTGTACCCCAATAACTTATGAAAAAATTAAAATTAAAAATTCACTCAGCCTGGAGTGCAGTGGAACAATCTCAGCTCACTGCAGCCTCGACCTCCCGGGCTCCAGTGATCCTCCCACCTCACTCTCCCTAGTAGCTGGGACTACAGGGGCACACCACCACACTCAGCTAATTTTTGTCTTTTTTGTAGACATGGGGTTTCGCCATGTTGCTCAGGCTGGTCTTGAACTCGTGGCCTCAAGCGATCTGCCCACCTCAGCCTCTCAAAGTGCTGGGATTACAGTTAATTTTTTGTTTTTATTTTTAATCTTTGTGGCTACGTTGTAGGTATACATATTTATGGGGTACATGAGATACTTTGATACAGGCATAGAACCTGTAATAATCACATCAGGGTAAGTGGGGTATGCATCACCTCAAGCACACTTTAAGTTGAAACCTTTTTTGGTTTTTTTTTGAGACAGGGTCTTGTCCTGTTGCCAAGGCTGGAGTGCAGTGGTGAAATCATGGCTTCCTGTGGCCTTGACCTCCTGAGCTCAAGCAATCCTCCCACCTCAGCCTCTCAAGTAGCCGGGACCACAAGCATGTGCCACCATGTGCCAATTAGTCCAGCTAATTTAAAAAAAATTCTTTTTTCTAAAAACAGGGTCTCCCTACGTTGCCCAGGCTGGTCTCAAACTCCTGGGCTCAAGTGATCCTCCTGCCTCAGTCTCCTAAAGTGTTGCAATTACAGGCGTGAGCCACTGTGCCCAGCTGCATTTATCCTTTCTGTTACAGACACAATTATACTCTCTTAGTTATTTTAGTTTATTTTGAGATGGAGTCTTGTTCTGTTGACCAGTTTGGAGTGCAATGGCATGATTTCAGCTCACTGCAACCTCCGCCTCCTGGGTTCAAGCAATTCTCCCTGTCTCAGTCCCCCAAATAGCTGGGATTACAGGCGCCTGCCACTATGCCCGACTAATTTTTGTATTTTTAGTAGAGACAGGGTTTCACCATGTTGGCTAGGCTGGTCTCGAACTCCTGACCTCAGATGATCCACCCACCTTGGCCTCCCAAAGTGCTGGAATTACAGGTGTGAGCCATTGCACCTGGCCTAGTTATTTTAAAATATACAATAAGTTATTGTTGACTGTATTCACCCTGTTGTGCTATCATATACTAGATCTTATTCATTTAATCATTTAATCTAACTATATTTTTGTACTAATTAAGCATCCCCACTTCCCTCCCACCCACCCACTACGCTTTCCAGCCTCCAGTAACCATCATTCTACTCTGTCTCCATGAGTTCAATTGTTTTCATTTTTAGCTCCCACAAATAAGTGAGAACATGCGAAGTTTGTCTATCTATACTTGGCTTATTTCACTTAACATAGTGTCTCCAATTCCATCATCCATGTTGTTGCACATGACAGGATCACATTCCTTTTTTTTTTTTTTTAAGACAGGGTTTCGTTCTGTTGCCCAGGTTGAGTGAGTATAGTGGCACAATCATGGCTCATTGCCACCTCAGTCACCAGGGCTCAAGTGTTTCTCCTGCCTCAGCCTCTCAAGTAGCAGGGACTACAGGCATGCACCACTGCGCCTGGCTAAATTAAAAAAAATTTTTTTTTTTGTAGAGACCGAGTCTCACTATGTTGCCTAGGTTGGCCACAAACTCCTGGGCTCAAGCCCTCCTCCCACCTTGGCCTTCCAAAGTGCTGGGATTACAGGTGTGAGTTACGGCGCCCAGCCATCTCATTCCTTTTTTATGGCTAAGTTGTACTCCATTGTGTATATACACCTCATTTTCTTTATCCATTCATCTGTTGATGGACACTTAAGTTGCTTCCAAATCTTGGCCATTGTGAATAGTGCTGCAATAAATATGAGAGAGCAGATACCTCCTTGATATAATGATTTCCTTTCTTTTGGGTATATGTCTAGCAGTGGGATTGTTGGGATCATATGGTAGTTTTATATTTAGTTTTTTGAAAACCTCCGAACTATGCTCCATAGTGATTGTACTAATTTACATTCCCATCAACAGTATATGAGGGTTCCCTTTTCTCTACATCCTTGCCAGGATTCATTGTTGCCTGTCTTTCAGATATAAGCCATTTTAACTGGGGTGAGATATCTCACTGTAGTTTTGATTTGCATTTCTCTGATGATCAATGATGTTGAGCACCTTTTCATATACCTGTTTGCCATTTGTATGACTTTTTTTTTTTTGGTAGGGGTGGAACACAGTCTCCCTCTGTCACCCAGGCTGGAGTGCAGTGGTGTGATCTTGGCTCACTGCAACCTCTGCCTCCCAGGTTCAAACGACTCTCCTGCCTCAGCCTCCTGAGACATACAGGCCAGGTGTGGTGGCTCATGCCTGTAATCCCAGCACTTTGGGAGGCCGAGGCAGGTGGATCACCTGAGGTTAGGAGTTCGAGACCAGCCTGGCCAACATGGCAAAATCCTGTCTCTACAAAAAATACAAAAATTAGCCAGGTGTGGTGGCATGTGCCTGTAGTCCCAGCTACTCCAGAGGCTGGGACAGGAGAATGGTGTGAACCTGGGAGGTGGAGCTTGCAGTGAGGCGAGATCACACCACTGCACTCCAGATTGCGCCACTGCACTCCAGCCTGGGCGACAGAGCAAGACTACATCTCAAAAGAAAGAAAGAAGAAAAGAAAAGAAAAGAAAAGAAAAGAAAAGAAAAGAAAAGAAAGAAAGAAAAAAAGAAAGAAAGAAAAAGAAGGAAGGAAGGAAGGGAAGGGAAGGAAGGAAATATCTATTCCAATCTTTTGCCCATTTTAAAATCTGATTGTTACATTTTTTTCCTGTTGAGTTGTTTGAGCTGCTTATATAATAGATGTTAATCCTTTGTTAGATGGATAGTTTGCAAGTATTTTCTCCCATTCTGTGGGTTGTCTCTTCACTTGGCTGATTGTTTCTTTTGCTGTGCAGAAGCTTTTTAATTTTATATGATCCCATTTGTCAATTTTTGTTTTGGTTGCCCATGTTTGTGGGGTATTACTCAAGAAATCTTTGCCCAGTCCAGTGTTCTGGAGAGTTTCCCCAATGTTTTCTTGTAATATTTTCATACTTTGAGGTCTCAGATTTAAGTCTTTAATACATTTTGATTTGATTTTTGCATATGGCGAGAGATGGGGTGTAGTTTCATTCTTCTGCATATGGATATCCAGTTTTCCCAGCACCACTGACTGAAGAGACTGTTTTTTCCGCAATGTGTATTCTTGGCACCTTTGTTAAAAGTGAGTTTCCTGCAGGTGTATGAATTTGTTTCTGGGTTCTCTATTCTGTTCCATTGGTCTATATGTTTGTTTTTATGCAAGTGTCATTGCTGTTTTGGTTACTATAGCTCTGTCATATAATTTGAAGTCAGGTAATATGAGTCTTCCAGTTTTATTCTTTTTGCTGAGGACGGCTTTGACTATTCTGTGTCTTTTGTGGTTCCATATAACTTTTACAATTATTTTTTCTATTTCTGTGAAGAATGTCACTGGTATTTTGATAGGGACTGCACTGAATCTGTAGATTACTCTGAGTAGTATGGGTATTTTAACAATATTGATTCTTCCAATCCATGAACATGGGATATCTTTCCATTTTTTGTGTGTCTTCTTCATTTATTTTATTTATTTATTTTTTTGAGATGGTGTCTAGCTCTGTCCCCCATGCTGGAGTTCAATGGCATGATCTCAGCTCACTGCAACCTCTGCCTCCTGGGTTCAAGCAATTTTCATGCCTGGCCATGAATAATCTTTTTAATGTGTTGTTAAATTCAGTTTGCTAGTATTTTCATGAGGGTTTTTGCATCAATGTTCATCAGAGATCTTAGCCTTTAGTTTTCTTTTTTTGATAGGTCTTTGCCTGTTTTTGTTATCAGGGTAATACTGGCCTCATAGAATGAGTTTAGTTGTACTCTCTCCTCCTCTATTTTTCAGAATAGTTTGAGTAGGATTGGTATTAGTTCTCCTTTAAATGTTTGGTAAAATACAGCAATGAGACCATTAGGTCCTGGGCTTTGCCTTGGTAGGAGACTTTTTTCTTTTTTTGAGATGGAGTCTCACTCTGTCACCCAGGCTGGAGTGCAGTGGCATGATCTTGGCTCACTGCAACCTCTGCCTCCTGGTTCAAGTGATTCTCCTGCTTCAGCCTCCCGAGTAGCTGGAATTAGAGGTGCCCACCACCATGCCCAGCTAATTTTTGTATTTTTCGTAGAGATGGGGTTTCTTCATGTTGGCCAGGCTGGTCTGGAACTCCTGACCTCAAGTGATCCACCTGCCTTGGCCTCCCAAAGTGCTGGGATTACAGGAGTGAGCCACTGTGCCCAGACTGCTTTGCTGGGAGACTTTTCATCATGGTGTTGATCTCATTACTTGTTATTGGTCTGTTCAGGTTTTGGATTTCTTCATGGTTAAATCTTGGTAGATTGTATGTATCTAGGAATTTATCTATTTCTTCTAGGTTTTCCAATTTATTGGCTCATAGCAGCCTTAATGATCCTTTGAATTTCTGTGGTATTGGTTGTAATGTCTCTCTCTCTCTCTCTTTTTTTTTTTTTTTTGAGATGGAATCTTGCTCTGTTGCCCAGGCTGGAGTGCAGTGGCACAATCTTGACTCATTGCAACCTCTGCCTCCCAGGTTCAAGTGATTCTCCTGCCTCAGCCTCCTGAGTAGCTAGGATTACAGGTGTGTACCACCATGCCTGGCTAATTTTTGTATTTTTAGTAGAGACGGGGTTTCACCATGTTGGTCAGGCTGGTCTCAAACTCCTGACCTTGTGATCTACCTGCCTCGGCCTCCCAAAGTGCTGGGATTACAGGCGTGAGCCACCACGCCCAGCCAATGTCTCTTTTTCCACCGCTGATTTTATTTATTTTGGTCTTCTCTTTTTCTTAGTCTGTCTAAAGGTTTGTCAATTTTGTTTATCTTTTTAAAAAATGACTTTTTGTTTTGTTGATCTTTTGTATTCTTTTTCATTTCAATTTCATTTATTTGTTCTGATATTTATTATTTCTTTTCCTCTACTAATTCTGGGTATGGTTTGCTCTTGCTTTTCTCGTTCTTTAAGATGCTTCATTAGGCTTTTTATTTTAATTTTTTCTACTTTTTTTTTTTTGAGATGGAGTTTCACTCTTGCTGCCCAGGCTGGAGTGCAATGGCGCGATCTTGGATCACTGCAACCTCCACCTCCCGGGTTCAAGCGATTCTCCTGCCTCAGCCTGCCGAGTGTCTGGGATTACGGGCACTTGCCACCACGCCCAGCTAATTTTTTGTATTTTTAGTGGAGACGGGGTTTCACCATGTTGGCCACACTGGTCTCGAACTCCTGACTTCAAGTGATCTGCCCACCTGGGCCTCCTAAAGTGCTGGGATTACAGGTGACCGGCCTCTACTTTTTTTTGATGTAGGCACTCTTTGGTATCAACTTTTTTCTTTCTTTTTTCTTTTTTGGGGGGATGGAGTCTTACTTTGTCACCCAGGCTGGAGTGCAGTGGCATGATCTCGGCTCATTGCAACCTCCGCCTTTCAAGTTCAAGCAATTCTCCTGCCTCAGCCTTCCAAGTAGCTGAGATTACAGGTACCTGCCACCGCGCCTGGCTAATTTTTTGTATTTTTAGTAGAGACAGGGTTTCACCATCTTGGCCAGGCTGGTCTTGAACTCCTGACCTCGTGATCCACCGGCCTCGGCCTCCCAAAGTGCTGGGATTACAGGCGTGAGCCACCGCGCCTGGCCTATGAACTTTTTTCTTAGTACTGCTTTCACTGTATCTCATAGGTTTTGTTGTGTTTCCATTTTCATTTGTTTCAAGAAATTTAAATTCTTAATTTATTCATTGACCCACTGGTCATTCAGGAGCATATTGTTTAATTACCCTGTGTTTGTATAGTTTCCAAAATTCCTCGTTACTAATTTCTAGTTTTATTCCATTGTGGTCAGAAAAAACACTTGATATAATTTCAGTGTTTTTAATTAATTAAAAAATTTATTTATTTAATGTATAGGACAGTTGGAACATGTGTGTGTGTGTGTGTGTGTGTGTGTGTGTGTGTGTGTGTGTGTGTATAACTTTTTTTTTTTTTTTTTTTTGGAGTTTCACTCTTGTTGCCCAGGCTGGAGTGCAATGGTGTGATCTTGGCTCACTGCAACCTCTGCTTCCTGGATTCAAGCAAGTCTCCTACCTCAGCCTCCTGAGTAGCTGGGATTACAGGTGCCCACCACCGTGCCCAGCTAATTTTTGTATTTTTAGTAGAGATGGGGTTTCACCATGTTGGCCAAGCTGGTCTCAAACTCCTGACCTCAAGTGATCCACCCACCTTGGCCTCCCAAAGTGCTGGGATTACAGGCATGAGCTACCGTGCCCAGCCAGAACATACATATTTTTAAGAGACAGGGTCTCGCTTTGTTGCTCAGGCTGGAGTGCAGGGGCACCATTATAGCTCACTGCTGGCTTGAATTTTTTGGACTTTTTTTTTCTTTTGAGACAGGGTCTCACTCTGTCACCTACGCTAGAGTGCAGTGGTGCAATCTTGGCTCACTGCAACAACCTCTGCCTCTTGGGGTCAAGCCATCCTCCCACCTCAGCCTCCTGAGTAGCTTGGACTACAGGTGCATGCCACCACACCCAGCTAATTTTTGTACTTTTTGAAGAAATGCGGTTTTGACATGTTGCCCAGGCTGGTCTCAAACTACTGAGCTCAAACAATCTGCCCACCCTGGCCTCCCAAAGTGCTGGGAATTACAAGCAAGAGCCACAATGACTGGCCAAAATTTTTTTAATTTTTAAAAACTTGTTTTGTGGCCTGTCATATTGTCTATTCTTGAGAATGAGCCACGTGCTGAGTAGATGAATGTGTATTCTGCAGCTGTTGAATAGAAGTTCTGTAAATATCTATTAGATCCATTTGGTCTATAGTGCAGAGTAAGTCCGAAGTTTCTTTGTTGATTTTCTGTCTGGATGACCTGTCCAATGCTGAAAGTGGGTTATTGAAGTCTCCAGTTAATGTTGTGGGGTCTGCCTCTCTCTTAAACTCTAATATTATTTGCTTTATATATCTGGGTACTCCAGTATTGGGTGCATATATATTTATAATTGTTATGTCCTCTTGCTGAATTGACCCCTTTATCATTATATAATGACCTTCATCTCTTTCTATAGTTTTTGTCTTGAAATCTATTTTGTCTAATGTAAATATAACCATTCCTGCTCTTTTTTGGTGCCCATTAACATGAAATATCTTTTTCCATCTCTTTATTTTCAGTCTATGTGTGTCTTTATAGGTGAAGTGTGTTTATTGTAGGCAACAGATTGTTGGATCTTATTTATTTATTTTTTAAATCCTTTCAGCCACTCTATGTCTTTTATTTTATTTTATTTTATTTTATTTTTTGAGATGGAGACTTGCTCCTCGCCCAGGCTGGAGTGCAGTGGCGTGATCTCAGCTCACTGCAGCCTCCACCTCCTGGGTTCAAGCGATTTCCAGCTAATTGTTGTATTTTTAGTGAAGACAGGGTTTCACCATGTTGGCAAGGCTTGTCTCGAACTCCTGGCCTCAAGTGATCCACCCAACTCGGCCTTCCCAAAGTGCTGGGATTACAGGCATGAGCCACCATGCCCAGCCACTCTATGTCTTTTAAATTGGAGCATTTAGTCCATTTACATGCAATGTTATTATTGATAAATAAGAACTTTTCCTGCCATTTTGTTATTCGTTTTCTGGTTGTTTTGTGGTCTTCTCTTCCTTCTTTCCTTCCTTCCTGTTTTCCTTTTTGTGAAGGTGATTTTCTCCAGTGGTATGTTTTAATTTCTTGCATTTTATTTTTGTTTATCTGTTTTGGTTTATTTTATCTTTTGAGACAGGGTCTTGCTATGTTGCCCAGGTTGGATTACAGTGGTGCAATCTGGGCTCACTGTGACTTCTGCCTCCCAGGCTCAAGAGATCCTCCCACCTCAGCCTCCTGAGTAGCTGGGACTAGAAGTGCACACCACCATGCCCAGTCAATTTTTGTATTTTTGTAGAGACAGGGTTTTTTCTTTTTCTTTTTTTTTTTTTTTTATTTTTGAGATGGAGTTTCGCTTTTGTTGCCCAGGCCAGAATGCAATGGCACAATTTCAGCTCACTGCAACCTCTGCCTCCCAGGTTCAAGCGATTCTCCTGCCTCAGCCTCCTAAGTAGCTGGGATTACAGGAATGCACCACCATGCCTGGCTAATTTTTGTATTTTTTTAGTAGAGACGGGGTTTCACCATGTTGGTCAGGCTGGTCTCAAACTCCTGACCTCAGGTGACCTGCCTGCCTTGGCCTCCCAAAGTACTAGGGTTACAGGCGTAAGCCACCATGCCCAGCAGACACAGGGTTTTTTCATGTTGCCTAGCCTGGACTTGAACTCCTGAGCTCAAGCAATCCACCTGCCTCAACCTCCCAAAGTGCTGGGATTATAGGTGTGAGCCAACGTGCCTGGCTTGTTGTAGGTTTTTTTGATTTGAGGTTACAATAATGCTTGCAAATAACATCTTATAACCTGTTACTTTAAACTGATGACACTTAACACTGGTTGCGTAAACACACAAACTAACAAACAGGAAAGGGAAAACTAATAAAAACTCTGCACTTTATCTCTCCTGTTTTTTAACTTTTTGTCATTTCTATTATATCTTATTATATTGTCTTTGTCTTGAAAATTTGTAGTTATTTTTAGTAGGTTCATCTTTTAGTCTTTCTACTCAAGATACGAGTAGTTTATACACCACAATTACAGCGTTATAATATTCTGTGGTTTTCTGTGTACTTACTATTACCAGTGAGTTTTGTATCTTCAGATGATTTCTTACTGCCCATTAATGTCCTTTTCTTTCAGATTGTAGTATTCCCACTAGCATTTCTTGTAGGACAGGTCTGGTATTGATGAAATCCCTCAGCTTTTGTTTTTCTGGGAAACTTTTTTTTTTTTTTTTTAGATGGAGTCTTGCCCTGTTGCCCAGGCTGGAGTGCAATAGTGTGATCTCAGCTCACTACAACCTCCGCCTCCCGAGTTCAAGCGATTCTCCTGCCTCAGCCTCCTGACTAGCTGGGATTACAGGTGCCTGCCACCACACCCAGCTAATTTTTGTAGTTTTAGTAGAGACGGGGGGTTTCACCATGTTGGCTAGGCTGGTCTCGAACTCCTGACCTCAGACAATCCACCTGCCTCGGCCTCCCAAAGTGCTGGGATTACAGGCGTGAGCCACCGCACCTGGCCTGGAAACTCTTTATTTCTCCTTTGAAGGATAACTTCACTGGATATACTATTCTAGAATAAAAGTTTTTTCCTTCAGCACTTTAAATATGTCATGCCACTCTCTCTTGGCCTATCAGATTCCCACTGAGAAGTCATCTGCCAGACATATTTGAGCTCCTTTGTATATTGTTTCTTTTCTTCTGCTTTAGGATCCTTTCTTTATACTTGACCTTTGGGAGTTTGATTATTGAATGTCTTGAGGTAGCCTTACTTGGGTTAAATCTGCTTGGTGTTCTATAACCTTCTTACATTGGAATATTGATATCTTTCTCTAGGTTTGGGAAGTTCTCTGTTATTATCCCTTTGAATAAACTTTCTACCCTGATTTCTCTATCTCTACCTCTTAAATAGAACACTTAACGAATTTGCAGGTCATCCTTGCGCAAGGGACATGCTAATCTTCTCTGTATCATTCCAATTTTAGTAGGTATGTTGCCAAAGTGAGCACTACTATTTTTTTTAGAAACGGGATCTCGCTCTATCTATCACTCAGGCTGAAGTGCAGTGGTACAGTCATAGGTCACTGCAGCCTGGAACTCCTAGTCTCAAATGATCCTCCTGCCTTAGCTTCCCAAGTAGCTGGAACAACAGGCATGTGCCATGATGCCTGGCTAATCTTTCCTTGTTTGTTGTAACAATAAGGAAAATGTATGTTGGAAATAGCTTTCTAAAAGAACTAGAGGAGCTGGGTGTAGTGGTACACCCTGTAATCCCAGCTGCTTGTGATGCTGAGGCAGGAGGATCGCTTGAGCCTAGAAGTTTGAGATCATCCTGGGCAATATAATAAGACCTTGTATCAAAAAAAAAAGAAGAAAAGAAGAAAAAAGAAAGAATAAAGGAGAAAGAAGGAAGAAGAAGGAGGAGGAGCAGAAGAGAAGGAGGAGGAGAAATAGTGTACAAGAGATTGTTTTCGTAGTGATTTCTTTTCATAGTCCCAGCAGCATAATTACCCCTAAAGTAACCTCTGTTTGTAGTGTTCAATTAATTCTGGCAAGCCTCCCTAAGATTCTTTCTTTCTTTTTTTTTTTTTGAGATGGAGTCTCACTCTGTCGCCCAGGCTGGAGTGCAGTGGCGTGATCTTGGCTCACTGCAAGCTCTGCCTCCCAGGTTCACGCCATTCTCCCGCCTCAGCCTCCCAAGTAGCTGGGACTACAGGCGCCCGCCACCATTCCCGGCTAAATTTTTTTTTATTGTTTTTACTAGAGGTGGGGTTTCACCATGTTAGCCAAGATGGTCTTGATCTCCTGACCTCGTGATCCGCCCGCCTCGGCCTCCCAAAGTGCTGGGATTACAGGCGTGAGCCACCGCGCCCAGCCAGATTCTTTCTTATGTTACCTCAAAGTCAAATTTTTTTATGAAAGAAGAATGGAAATGGTGGAAGCAGTTTCCTTTTTGTGCCTTTTTTTGAGAGACAGGGTCTCACTTTGTCTTCCAGGCTGGAGTGCCGTGGTGCAAACGCAGCTTACTGCAAACTCAACCTCCTGGGCTCAAGTGATCCTCCTGCCTCAGTGTCCCAAGTAGCTGAGACTACAGGTGTGTGCCACCACACCTACCTAATTTTAAAACTTTTTTAACAGATGGGGTCTCATTATGTTATCCAGGCTGGTCTCAAACTCGTGGGCTCAAGTGATCCTCTCACCTCAGCCTCCCAAAATGCTGGGGTAACAGGCGTGAGCCACCGAGCCTGGCCTTTGCCCTACTTCTCTCCTATCCCAGTTTCTACTGTCTGAACCAATTTTGTTTGTTTATGTATTTATGTATTTATTTATTTATTTTGTGTGACAGAGTCTCTGTCACTCAGGCTGGAGTACAGTGGTGCAATCTCAGCCCACTACAACCTCTGTCTACCAAGTTCAAGTGATTCTCATGCCTCAGCCACCTGAGTAGCTGGAATTACAAGCATGTGCCACCGCACCTGGTTAATTTTTTTATTTGTAGTAGAGACGGCGTTTCACCATGTTGGCCAGGCTGGTCTAGAATTCCTGACCTCAAGTGATCCACCTGCCTCGGCCTCCAGGTGTGAACCACTGCGCCCAGCCCACACAGAAATACATTAAATGAAAACTAGAGAAAAAAAAAAAGAAAAGAAAAGAAAAAAAAACTGGCTGACCATCTTCCCACTTGCCTCTCTTATCATTACAGGCTAGACTGGATAGCGAGGATTAGAACTTGATAGACTTCTGATAATAGGGAAGGCAGGACCACCACTAAGGCAAATATTGAAGTAGGCATTTCAGGTCCTGTGTTCCCTGCCTTCTTGCTGTTCACAACCCTCAAAACTTTCCTTCTAGTGCTCTAGAATTACGACAAAGTCCCATGTTCCAAAATCACCTTTCCCCAGTCCCCTACACACACAAAAAAATCCCATTTCCTTTGTGCAGATTTCAATCAGTTATCTGGAAGAGTCTCATGCTAAAAAATGAGTGGTTTATAATTGTTTAATCCAAATGAACCTCTCAATGTTGGCATTTCCACAGTGTAGGAAATCTACCCATTGGAGCAAGAAGGCCTTTCCCTCTCTCTCTCTCTCTTTTTTTTTTTCTGAGACAGGGTCTCACTCTGTTACCCAGGCTGGAGTGGAGTGGTGCGATCACAGCTCACTGCAGCCTTCACCTCCCGGGCTCAGGTGATTCTCCCACCTCAACCTCCCTAGAAGCTGGGACTACAGGTGCATGCCACTATGCCTGGCTAATCTCATGTGTGTTTTTTGTAGAGACAGGGTTTCACTCTGTTGCCCAGGCTGGTCTTGAACTCCTGAGCTCATGCGATCCACTCACCTTGGCCTCCCAAAGTGCTGGGATTATAGCTGTGAGCCGCCGCACCCAGCCCATGAAGGCCTTTTTGTTGTTGTTGTTGTTGTTGTTGTTGTTGAGACGGAGTCTTGCTCTGTCGCCCAGGCTGGAGTGCAGTGGCGCAATCTCGCCTCCCTGCAAGCTCCGCCTCCTGGGTTCATGCCATTATCCTGCCTCAGCCTCCTCAGTAGCTGGGATTACAGGTGCCCGCCACCATGCCCGGCCAATGTTTTTGTATTTTTTAGTAGAGACGGGGTTTCACCATGTTAGCCAGGATGGTCTTGATCTCCTGACCTCCTGATCCACCTGCCTCGGCCTCCCAAAGTGCTGGGATTACAGGCGTGAGCCACCGCGCCTGGCCTTTTTTTTCTTGAGACAAGGTCTCACTCTGTTGCCCAGGCTGGAGTCCAGTGGTGCAATCTCGGCTCACTGCCTCTTGGGTTCAAGGAATCCTCTTGCCTCAGCCTCCTGAGTAGCTGGGATTACAGGTGCATGCCACTATGCCCAGCTAATTTTTGTATTTTTGGTAGAGACGGGGTTTCGCCATGTTGCTCAGGCTGGTCTTGAACTCCTGGGCTCAAGTGACGCACCCACCTTGGCCTCCCAAATTGCTGGAATTACAGCTGTGAGCCACCACACCCAGCCCATTAAGACCTTTTTTTTTTTTTTTTGAGACAGGGTCTTGCTCTGTTCCCCAGGCAGGAGTCAAGTGGTGCAATCTCAGTTCACTGCAACTTCTGCCTCCCGGGTTCAAGGAATCCTCCTGCCTCAGCCTCCTGAGTAGCTGGGATTACAGGTGTGCGCCACTATGCCCAGCTAATTTTTGTATTTTTGGTAGAGACGGGGTTTTGCCATGTTGCTCAGGCTGGTCTTGAACTCCTGGGCTCAAGTGATCCACGCGCCTCGGCCTCCCAAAGTGCTGGGATTACAGGCGTGAGCCACTGCACTCCGCCTTTTTTTTTTTTGAGATGGAGTTTCACTCTTGTTGCCCAGGCTGGAGTGCAATGGCGTAATCTCAGTTCACCACAACCTCCACCTCCCGGGTTCAAGCGATTCTCCTGCCTCAGCCACCCGCGTAGCTGGGATTACAGGCATGCGCCACCACACCCGGCTAATTTTGTATTTTTAGTAGAGATGGGGTTTCTTCATGTTGGTCAGGCTGGTCTCGAACTCCCAAACTCCCGACCTCAGGTGATCCACCTGCCTTGGCCTCCCAAAGTGAGCCACTGTGTAATTACAGGCGTGAACCACTGCACCCGGCCTTTTTTTTTTTTTTTTGAGATAGAATCTCACTTTGTCGCCCAGGCTGGAGTGCAGTGGCGTGATCTCTGCTCACTGCAACCTGCACCTCCTGAGTTCAAGCCATTCTTCTGCTTCCGCCTCTCAAGTAGCTGGGATTACAGGTTTGTGCCACCACACCCAGCTAAATTTTGTATTTTTAGTAGAGACGGGGTTACACCATGTTGGCCAGGCTGGTCTCAAACTCCTGATCCCAAGTCTGCCTCGGCCTCCCAAAGTGCTGGGATTACAGGCCTTATGAAGGCCTTTCTATTGCCCATTTCATTACCCAATTTGCCTATGCTAGATCTGAGGCAGGAAAAGAAAAAATCTGTGTGGCTCTCAATTATTTCTTCTGCTAGAGAAAAGAGTGATGCTTTACATAAAAAAAATTAAAGAAAGGGAGAAGTAGAATAGAGGCCAAGGCCTAGCCATTCCCTCCTTTCACACACTCCTGTCTGTTATTCAAGAAAAAAGCCCGCTGGGCATGGTGGCTCATGCCTGTAATCTCAGCACTTTGGGAGGCCGAGGTGGGTGGATCACTTGAGGTCAGGAGTTTGAGACCAGCCTTGCCAACATGGTGAAACCCCGTCTCTACTAAAAATACAAAAAATTAGCCGGGCCTGGTGGCAGGCACCTGTAATCCCAGCTACTCAGTAGGCTGAGGCACAAGAATCGCTTGAACCCAGGAGGCGGAGGTTGCAGTGAGCCGAGATCGTACCATTGCACTCCAGCCTGGGCAAAAAGAGGGAAACTCTGTCTCAAAAAAAAAAAAAGAAAAAGAAAAAGAAAAAAGCCAAATCCTTACATTAAATTGCATCAAACTAAGTACAGTTCCATTCTTCCACAATTCCAGTATAACTAGACTCTAGGAAGTCACAGACAGAAGATCTAACCACTAGAGTTTCCTTAAATTATAGGTTAAGGATATTTTTAGAAAGATTACAAATTTTTTTTTACTTTTTCCAAAGTTCTCTTTTCTTTTTAGCTGGCTGCCGAAATATCCTCGTAATTCTAGCTCCTGTAACCCCTCTATTATCTCCCAAGATATAACTCTAATTCTTTGTTCTCGTGAGCACTGAATTGTGACCTACTGGGTATCATGGCCCCATGTCCTTTTTCCTAAGGTAAAACCCAGATGTAGCTGGTTGCCACTGTACTCAGACCACCTTGGGTGAGTTTCATTTAGGTAAAATTTGTCGGCAGCAAACTTTACATAGTTTCTGCCAAACTTGCTTTTTTTTTGTCTTTTTCAGGTTTCAGTGTGAGGTTTAATACTATATGCATCAAAACATCAAAGCTTTTTTTCAGAGAAATATACTCTCAAGTTGAACTGTGGATATCCTAGATGTCTATCCTGAGGTCTTCTATGGTTCCAGATACAGCAGGTAGTGAATTGGGAGGAGCCAATACCACCAGATACCAAAGGGAACCATGGAGGGGCAGTTTAATTAATCACTGTTCTTAAACTTGTCGTTGATATAAGACACCCAGTCCAGAATCAGCTGCCCAGTTGATAGGCGACTACAGCTCCGTGGTACCCATGGTGCCTGACATGGGAATCCAGTTCTTCCCCAATTCCAAGTAGGGTGGGCTGGGAGCATGCTAAACAAAGCAATGCCACCTACAGCCCTCTATATTTGCTTTTCTTACTATTAATGTAATCACCCAGCATGTAGCACAACCATGATTATGAATATAATCAAATGTGTGTCTGAACATGATAAAAAATAAAAATTGTATATTTATTTTTTATACTTTATGCATATACTTTATATTCATAGTGTTACTCATCTAACATAGTCATCTGCTCACAAATACAACATTACAACAACATTAATAAATACAATATTAAAAGAAAGATCACTTTTGAGAGCTCTTTCCAGCAAAAAATAAAAATAAATAATCATACAGTATTATCTGCATACTCAAATTTGGATTCTTTATTGCTTTGCAGGTTTCCAGAGTTCAGAGTTCAGAGAACAGTAGGAAAAGTAAATAAGTAATAATATTGTGTAGTTTAGGGAGTGAGTAATCAGTCTAAAACTTATGATAGGATGAGCATGGTGGCTCACGCCTGTAATCCCAGCACTTCGGGAGGTCACAGTGGGTGGATCACCTAAGCTCAGGAGCTCAAGAACAGCCTGGGCAACAAGGCAAAAACCCCATCTCAACAAAAAAGTACAAAAAATTAGCCAGGCATGATGGCATGTGCCTGTGGTCCCAGCTACTCGGGAGGCTGAGGTGGGAGGATCACTTTAGCCTAGGAGGTGGAGGTTGCAGTGAGCTGAGATTGCACCACTGCACTCCAGCCTGGGGGACAGAGTGAGACCTCATCTCAAAACAAAAAGAAACTTATGATAAATTAAAATAAATTTAATATCAAGATCCCTAAGATAACACAATAAACAGGCAAATTCTTACCTCTGAATGCCTGGGCACTAGATCCAATACATCCCTTTTGCTCATAGACCAGTGGAATGTGAGCCCAGGATTAGCATTGCTGAAGGAGAAAGGGGTCTGGGTACTGGTTACTCCCATGACATAAACTGGCATCTGAAAATAAATAGCAGCATTGTGCTATATATTCTGCCCAGTTGCAATTATCAGAATAATGAGCCCTGAACAGAGCCATCATACTGACCTTGGTAGCTGTGATGAGCCGAGTTGCAGCTGCAAGGATCCTAACAGCCCTTAGCTGAACAACTTCAATCTGTACTTCATCCTGCTCAACAGGGTGGAGAGCAAGCTTAGGCTAAGAGGGAGTTTCTGTGGGGTGGACAGAGATGCTTTTGATAACTAGTTTGCTATTGTTTTTAACATTCAGTAAAAAACCTTGCCCATGCTTATTGCAGCACTATTCACAATAGCCAATATTTGGAGCCAACCTAAGTGTCCATCAACAAACAAATGGATAAAGAAAATGTGGTACATATGTACAACAGAGTACTATTCAGCCATAAAAAGAATGAGATCCTGTCATTTGCAACAACATGGATGGAACTAGAGATCATTATGTCAAGTGAAATAAGCCAGGCATAGAAAGACAAAGATAAACTTCCCATGTTCTCACTTATATATTTATGGGAGCTAAAAATTAAAACAGTTGAACTCATGGAGATAAAGAATAGAATGATGGGCTGTGCACGGTGGCTCACGCCTGTAATCCCAGCACTTTGGGAGGCCGGGTGGATCACTTGAGGTTAGGAGTTCAAGACCAGCCTGACCAACATGGTGAAACCCATTTCTACTGAAAATACAAAATTAGCTGGGTGTGGTGGCATGTGCCTGTAGTCTTAGCTACTTGGGAGGCTGAGGCAGGAGAGTCGTTTGAATCCGGGAGGCGGAGGTTGCAGTGAGCCGAGATCATGCCATCGCACTCCAGCCTGGGCAACAAGAGCGAAACTCCGACTCAAAACAAACAAAAAAGTAGAACAATGGTTACCAGAGGCTGGGAAGGGCAGTGGGTGGGTAGGGGGGCTATGGGGATGATTAATGGGCAGAAAAATATAGTTAGAATGAAAAAGGGCTAGTATTTGATAGCACAGCAGGGTGACTACAGTCAACAATAAGTTATTGTTTATTTAAAAATAACTAAAAGAGTATAATTGGATTGTCTGTAACACAGAAAGGATAAATGCTTGAGGTGGTGGATACCCCATTTACCCTGATGTAGTTAATATGCATTGTATGCCTATATCAAAATAACTCATATACTGTTGGGAACAGGCCCCCAAATCTGGCCATAAACTGGCCCCAAAAATGGCCATAAACAAAATCTCTGCAGCACTGTGACATGTTCGTTATGGCCATGATGCCCACGCTGAAGGTTGTGGGTTTACCAGAATGAGGACAAGGAACACCTGGCCCACTCAGGGTGGAAAACTGCCTAAGGCGTTCCTAAGCCACAAACAATAGCATGAGCAATCTGTGCCTTAAGGACATGTTCCTGCTGCAGATAACTAGCCAAAGCCCATCCCTTTGTTTCATGTAAGGAATGCTTTTAGTTAATCTATAATCTATAGAACCAATGCTTATCACTGGCTTGCTGTCAATAAATATGTGGGTAAATCTCTGTTCATGGCTCTCAGCTCTGAAGGCTGTGAGCCCCCTGATTTCCCACTCCACACTCTATATTTCTGTGTGTGTGTCTTTAATTCCTCTAGTGCCACTGGGTTAGGGTCTCCACGACTGAGCTGATCTCGGTAAGTGGTGCCCATACGTGGGGCTCCAACCTGGGTCAAAGGGTCATTGGAGCGACGGTTGGAGAATGTGGAACTAAGCTGGAGGACACCTGAGTACTCTTAAGCAATCCCTGTGGTGAGTAAGAAGGGGAGCTTGGAAGCATCAGGGTAACAATGGAACAAGTGTGGGCTCTAGTTTGTTCCACCTTGGAACATTTTCACACTGATGATGTGGAGGAAGGAAAGTATATCGAAATAACAGAAGAGGTGAAAGAGCAGGTTTGTTTGCCAGCTAAAGCTAAAGTGGCAAAGAGGAAGAGGTTCATCCCTACCCTTCTGCACCCCCTCCTTATTTTGAAGAAAAAGAGTGGCCTGACCCTCCAGATCTTTCTTTTCCAGAGGACACTGGGCAAAAAGTAGTTGCCCCAGTGACTGTTCAAGTAGCGCCTCAAGCAACCGCTCTCAGTTCTATTCAGGCAGGAATCCAGCAAGCTAGAAGAGAGGGTGATATAGAGGCTTGGCAGTTCCCTGTTAGGATACACCCCCCAGATCAACAAGGAAATATTATAGCTATGTTTGAGCTTTTTCCTTTTAAAATACTTAAAGAGTTTAAACAGGCCATTAATCAGTATGAGCCAGGTGTATGCCCGAAGTGTAAAAAAGGAAAACATTGGACTAATCAGTGTCACTCTAAGTTTGATAAAGATGGGAAACCGATTTTGGGAAATGCCATGAGGGGCCTATCCTGGGCCCTGTTCCAAACCAGGGCATTTCTGGCTCAGGCCACTCCCTCACCCCTGTACAATGTCTGTCCCCCACCACAGCTGGTAATGCCGCAGTAGATTTATGCTGCACAAAAGCTGTGAGTCTTCTGCCTGGGGAGCCCCAGCAAAAAGTACCTACGGGAGTCTGTGGACCCTTGCCAGCGGGGATGATAGGATTACTTCTAGGTAGATCTAGTTTAAATTTAAAAGGAGTGCAAGTACATACAGGAGTCCTTGATTCATATTACAGTGGGGAAATTCAAATTGTTATATCTACTTCTGTTCCCTGGAAAGCAGAGCCAGGAGAGCGTATAGCACGGCTCCTGATTGTGCTGTATGTGGAAATGGGGAAAAGTGAAAAACAAGAGGATTTGGGAGCACAAATAAACAAAGCAAAGCAGCTTACTGGGTGAATCAAACTACTGATAAACATCCTCCCTGTGAAATAACTATTCAGGGAAAGAAATTTAAAGGTTTGGTAGATACAGGAGTGGACATTTCAATCATTTCTCTACAGCACTGGCCATCTGTGTGGCCAATTCAACCCGCTCAATTTAACATAGTTGGAGTTGGTAAAGCCCCTGAAGTATATCAAAGTAGTTATATTTTGCATTGTGAAGGGCCCAATGGACAACCTGGGACTATTCAACCAATTATAACTTCTGTACCCTTAAATTTATGGAGAAGAGATTTATTACAACAATGGGGAGCACAAGTTCTAATTCCAGAGCAATTATATACCCCTCAAAGTCAACATATGATGCATGAAATAGGGTACGTCCCTAGTATGGGACTAGAAAAATACTTGCAGGGTTTGAAGGAACCGCTTCAAACAGAAAGAAAAGTTCCTGCCAAGGGTTTAGGATATCATTTTTGATGGCAGCCATTGTTAAGCCTCCAGAATCTATAGCTTTAAAATGGTTAACAGACAAGCCAATTTGGATAGAACAATGGCCGTTAAGTAAAGAGAAACTGGAGGCTTTAGAGGACTTAGTTACTGAACAATTAGAAAAAGGACACATAGCTCCAGCATTTTCCCCTTGGAATTCTCCAGTCTTTGTTATTAAGAAAAAATCAGGTAAATGGAGAATGCTGACAGATCTTAGAGTCATTAATTCAGTTATACAACCTATGGGGGCATTACAGCCAGGACTGCCTTCTCCTGCTATGATTCCAAAAAACTGGCCTTTAATGTCATAGATTTAAAAGACTGTTTCTTTACTATCCCCTTAGCTTAGCAAGACTGTGAATGGTTTGCATTTACAATTCCTGCAGTAAACAACCTGAAGCCTGCTAAGCGTTTTCATCGGAAAGTGTTGCCAGAAGGCATGTTAAACAGTCCAGCAATTTGCCAGAAGTATGTAGGGCAAGCAATTGAACCTACTCATAAAAAATTTTCACAGTATTACATTATTCCTTATATGGACGATATACTTTGTGCTGCCCCCACTCGAGAAATATTACCCCAATATTATGATCATTTACAAAATTCGATTTCTTGCACTGGTTTAATTATAGCTCCTGACAAAATTCAGACTACTACTCCTTACTCCTACTTAGGAACCTTAGTAAGTGACACTACAATAGTGCCACAGAAAGTAACCATATGTAGGGATCAATTGAAAACATTAAATGACTTTCAAAAATTACTAGGGGACATTAATTGGATATGACCTGCTCTAGGCATTCCTACCTTGCCATGAGTAATCTATTTTCTATCCTTAGAGGAGATCCTAGTCTCACTAGCCCTCGACAATTAACAAAGGAGGCTGAGGCAGAGTTACAGCTGATTGAAAAGCAAGTCCATAAAGCTCAAAAGATAGAATAGATCCAGAGAAGACTCCAGATTTGCTAATGTTTTCAATTCAGCATTCACCTACTGGTGTTATTGTCCAAGAGCAGGACTTAGTAGAATGTTTTTTTCTTCCACATACTAATTCACAGACTCTAACTCCTTATTTGGATCAAATTGCTACCTATGATAGGAAATGGGAGAACTCAGATTGTCAAATTACATGGATATGATCCCAGAAAAATTATTGTCCCTCTCACGAAGGCATAAATACAGCAAGCTTTTATAAATAGTCTTTCTTGGCAAATCCATTTAGCTGATTTTGTGGGTATTCTCAATAATCATTTTCCTGAAACAAAATTATTTCAATTTTTGAAATTAACTAATTGGATTCTCCCTAAAATAATTAAATTTAAACCAATTGAAGATGCTGAAAATGTCTTCACAGTTGGGTCTAATAATGGTAAAGCTTCTTATTCTGGCTCAAAAGGTAAAGTTTTTCAGATGCCCTATACTTCAGCTCAAAAAGCAGAGCTTGTAGCTGTAATTGAGGTATTGACTGCTTTTGATATGCCTATTAATGTGAGTTCCAATTCTTCATATGGGGTACATTCTACACAGTTAGTTGAAAATGCTCAGCTACAATTCCACACTGATGAGCAACTGATGACTTTATTTACCCAATTGCAAATAGCAGTTAGGAGTAGAATGCACCCTTTTTACATCACTCACATTAGGGCTCATGTAACTCTTCCAGGACCTTTAACTGAAGGGAATCAAATGGCTGATTGCCTAGTTGCTACTACAATATATAATGCTAGACATTTTCACAATTTTTTTTTTGAGATGGAGTCTTGCTCTGTTGCCCAGGCTGGAGTGCAGTGGCGTGATCTTGGCTCACTGTAAGCTCTGCCTCCTGGGTTCACGCCATTCTCCTGCCTCAGCCTCCCAAGTAGCTGGGACTACAGGCACCCGCTACCACACCCAGCTAATTTTTTTATTTTTATTTTTAGTAGAGATGGGGTTTCACTGTGTTAGCCATGATGGTCTCGATCTCCTGACCTCGTTATCCAACTGCCTCAGCCTCCCAAAGTGCCGGGATTACAGGTGTGAGCCACTGTGCCTGGCCGACACTTTCACAATTTAACCCATGTTAATGTCTCTGGTCACAAAGCGCAGATACAGCATTACCTGGAAAGAAGCTAAAACTATTATCCAGCGATGCCCAACTTGCCAGATGGTACATTTCTCATCTTTTACAGCAGGAGTTAATCCTCAAGGATTGAAAACTAATTCTCTTTGGAAAATGGATGTCACACATGTTCCCTCATTTGGGAGACTAGCTTATGTACATGTATGTGTGGACACCTTTTCTCACTTTGTCTGGGCTACAGGCCAATCAAGAGAGTCTTCTGCCTCTGTTAAACATCACCTTTTGCAGTGTTTCCTGGTGATGGGCATTCCAGCTTCTATTAAAACAGATAATGCCCCAGGCTATAGTAGCCAAGCTCTAGCTACATTTTTCTCTATATGGAATATTAAACACATTACTGGTATCCCATATAATTCTCAAGGACAAGCCATAGTGGAAAGAATGAACCTCTCCCTAAAATAGCAGTTGCAAAAGCAAAAGGGGAGAAACAGGGACTACGGGACCCCCGTATGCAACTGAATCTAGCATTATTGACTTTAAATTTTTTGAGCCTGCCTAAAGGCCAGATGCTATCAGCAGCTGAACAGCATCTACAGAAACCAGCTGCAAAGACAGAAGCAGAACAATTGGTTTGGTAGTGAGATCCGTTAGCAAAAAGTTGGGAAATAGGTAAAATAATAACTTGGGGTAGAGGTTATGCTTGTGTTTCTCCTGGACCAAATCAACAGCCGATTTGGATACCATCACGACACCTGAAACCTTATCATGAGCCAGATGCTGAAGAAGAGATTCTGGGAGAAACCCGAGGATCCCCTGGTTGCAGCCATGTCAAGACTGATGCTGAGGAGGACCCCAACTGTCATGAGCAACACCCGTCGAACACAGCCACCTACCCGGGGACAGATCAAGAAGCTGTCAAAGATGGAGGAAGAAAACCTGAGGAAAGTGGGACAACCAGTCACAATGAGTAATTTAACAATAGTTATGATAGTGGTGATCACCGTTGCTCTGAGTATTCCTTCAACAAGGGCTGACACAGAGAACAATTATACTTATTGGGCATATTTATCAATCTTGGCTGGCAATAATGCCTGGATGTAATCACTCTATGATGCAGTTACACATGCTTTCTGATCTCAGTATTTACCATAATAAATCTGCTCCTCTAATTGAGGCATATTGCCCTCAAAAACCTATTCGTAAACAGAATTGAATCTGGCCAGAAATAATGAATGTACTTGTTTGGGAAGATTGCACTGCAGAACAGGCAGAGATGCTGCACAGTCATTATTGATTGGTCCCCAAAGGGGATGTTTAGCATGAATTGCACCTCCCAGTCTGTGTGCCATAGCCACACTATGTTCAGCTGGTCTGAACAAAATGGTCAGATGGTAGAAATGATAAGAGGTATGGCAAGAGTTCCTACTATCTGGAAACATGGCAGTGTAGTGGCACTTCAACCTCAAATGATATGGCCCGCTCTAGGGGCTAAACATAAGGATTTGTGGAAACTATTAATGGCTCTTAATAAGATCCAAATTTGGGAAAGAATAAAAAAGCATCTAGAAGGACACTCTGCAAACTTGTCTTTGGATATTGCAAAATTAAAAGAACAAATATTTAAAGCATCCCAGACACACCTGACCTTAATGTCAGGAACTGGAGTGCTTGAAGGAGCTGCAGACAGATTAGCAGCTAGTAACCTGTTAACATGGATAAAAACACTTGGAGGCTCTGTGATTTCGATGATGATTGTGCTTTTAATCTGTGTTGTTTGCCTTTATATAGTCTGCAGATGCAGATCCTGACTTCTGAGAGAAGTAGCTCACCATGATAAAGCCGCCTTTGCTTTTATTGTCTTGCAAAAATAAAAAGGGAGAACATGTTGGGAACAGGCCCCCAAATCTGGCCATAAACTGGCCCCAAAAATGGCCATAAACAAAATCTCTGCAGCACTGTGACATGTTCGTTATGGCCATGATGCCCACGCTGAAGGTTGTCGGTTTACCAGAATGAGGGCAAGGAACACCTGGCCCACCCAGGGCGGAAAACCACTTAAGGCATTCCTAAGCCACAAACAATAGCATGAGCAATCTGTGCCTTAAGGACATGTTCCTGCTGCAGATAACTAGCCAAAGCCCATCCCTTTGTTTCCCGTAAGGAATGCTTTTAGTTAATCTATAATCTATAGAAACAATGCTTATCACTGGCTTGCTGTCTATAAATATGTGGGTTAATCTCTGTTCATGGCTCTCAGCTCTGAAGGCTGTGAGCCCCCTGATTTCCCACTCCACACTCTATATTTCTGTGTGTGGGTCTTTAATTCCTCTAGTGCTGCTGGGTTAGGGTCTCCACAACCAACCTGGTCTTGGCAATGTACCCCATAAATACATATATTGTTATGTATTACAAACATTTGGAAAAAACTTATTAGATAGACATATTTGTTTTTCTCTTCTTCAAAGCATTCTTTAAGGATGGGAACCATATCTTATAACAGTGCCAAGTACTCTGTGGGGTTTTCACTAAAGATGACATTTTCCATGCCTGGTTGACAGAATGCCAGGTAGGGGCACTCTAAGGCTTTTCCTGGGCTGCTGACACCCTCCTCATTACCACTGCCTCCCTATCTCCCACAGTATGGTTCCTCAATAGAAGAATAGAAGCAGAGCAGAGCAAATAACCAATACCTGAGAAAACACAATGACTTTGCCAGTATCTTCATTTACTGTCTGGATGGTGCCATGAACCACAGCTGTGCCAACAATCTTCCCTGTAACTTGCCCCCTCCTATTAACAACAGCCACGGTCTGATTACTGATGGAGAAGTGAACGATGGATTGGGGCTGGGGGCCACCTTCAGACATTACCTGGAATTTAAATATACCATTGAATGCCTAGAACATGAGGGAGAAATCATGTCTCTTTTCCCAACATTTTGTCCAAGCAACTTGACTTCTTCATCTTCCCCCATTTCTTGAACAACATATCCCATATCAACTCAAATGCAGAAGAAATGGAAGTACTGCAAATGATCCATGGGATTCCAAGAGAGTTTTTATATGATGTACATCATAGGTCAGGGAAAATACTAATCTTGTTCTTTATCAGATCCACTAGTACTTGGGTGAGAGTAAATAAGAGATCAATAGGAAGAGAGGTGTGTGTGTGTGAGAGAGAGAGAGAGGTAAGGAGAAAAGGTAAATCTTATTTTTTCTGCCTGTAAGTTCACCTGCATCATATTCATTGGAATCAGTGTCATTTTCTCTGGAAGAAGTCTGAATGGAGGAAACACCTTGAAGGAGAAAACCAAAAGGACAACAGTAACTAACTAGAGTCAATTTTATAACATATCATGGTCATTTAAATTTTTTTTTTTTTTAGACAGAGTCTTGCTCTGTTGCCCATGCTGAAGTGCAGTGGCACGATCACAGCTCACTGCAGCCTTGAACTCCTGGGCTCAAGCAATCCTCCGGCTTTGGCCTCCTGAGTGGTTGGGACCAGAAGTGTGCACCACCATGCCTGACTAATTTCTTTCTTTCCTTTCCTTCCTTTCCTTCTCTTTCTTTTCTTTCTCTTTCTTTCTTTTCTTTCTTTCTTTCTTTCTTTCTTTCTTTCTTTCTTTCTTTCTTTCTTTCTTTCTTTCTTTCTTTTTCTTTCTTTCTTTCTCTCTCTCCCTCTCTCTTTCTTTCTTTCTTTCTTTGTCTCTCTCTCTCTCTCTTTTTCTTTTTGAGAAGGAGTTTCGCTCTGTCACCCAGGCTGGAGTGCAGTGGCGAGACCTCAGCTCACTGCAACCTCCGCCTCCCAGGTTCAAGCGATTCTCCTGCCTCAGCCTCCCAAGTAGCTGGGATTTCAGGCACCTGCCACCATGCCCAGCTAATATTTTGTATCTTAGTAGAGACAGGGTTTCACCATGTTGGCCAGGCTGGTCTCAAACTCCTAACCTCAGGTGATCCACCTGCCTCAGCCTCCCAAAGTGCTGGGATTACAGGCGTGAGCTACCACGCCTGTCCATGCCTGACTAATTCCTTAATTTTTGGCAGAGATGGGGTCTCCCTATGTTACCCAGGGTGGTCTCAAACTCCTAGGCTCAAGTCATGCTCCTGCATCAACCTCTCAAAGTGCTGGGATTACAGGCATGAGCCACCAAACCCAGCCCATCATGATCTTATTCTAAGGAAAACTCTTAATTATCTACCAAAAAGTTACACACAAAGATATGTAATTTTATGTGTAATAGCAAAAAATTTAAAAGTATTTAAGTAGGAATACTAAAATAAGTTATATATCTACTCACTAGAGTAAAAGTGATCATTAAAATTATGTTTACAGTTAACTTTCTTTTTTTTGAACACATATAAAAGTAGAACAGCTGGGCTGGCGCAGTGTCTCACACCTGTAATCCCAGCTACTCAGGAGGCTGAGGCAGGAGAATCGCTTGAACCCAGAAGGCAGAGGTTGCACTGAGCCAAGATCGCGCCATTGCACTCCAGCCTGGGCAACAGAGCGAGACTCTGTCTCAAACGAACAAAAAAACAATGGTTGCCTCTAAGTAGTGAAATTACAGGTGATTTTCATTTAACACCTTTAAAATTTGTGCTTTCCACATTTTCTTTTCTTTTCTTTTTTTAAGAGACAGGGTATCATTCTGTCACCCAGACTGAAGTGCAGTGGCACGATCATGGCTTATTTCAGCCTGGAACTCCTCCTGGGCTCAAGTGACACTCCTGTTTCAGTCTCCCAAGTAGCTGGGACCACAGGCATGCACCACTACACATGTTTTTCCAAATTTTCTATAAGAACTGTTTTATACAGAGAGACAAAACCCAAAAATACTGCATGTTGTGCAAGAGTTAGACACCATCCTTTTTTTCAGTCAAATGATTTTTTTTCTTGAGACAGGGTCTCTCTCTGTCACTCAGGCTGGAGTGCAATGGCACAATCACAGCTCACTGCAGCCTCAACCTCCAGGGCTCAAGTGATCCTCCTACTTTAGCCTCTTGAGTAGCTGGAACTACAGGCACACCATGTCTGGCTAATTTATTTTATTTTATTTTTATTTTTGTAGAGACAGAGTCTCACTATGTTGCCCAGGGTGGTTTCATACTCCTGGGTTTAAGTGATGTTCCCACCTCAGCCTCCCAAAGTGCTCACATGGTGGTGTGAGCCACTGTGCCCAGCCAGTCAAATGATTTTTAACTTGTATAAACTAACAGAAAAAGACAAATGATGTTAAGCAAGAAAAAGTACAAATTTTGGATGAGATAATTTCCTTACTTCAATGTGCCGAGGAGTTGATGTGTATTTTCTTCCCATCTTGTCCTTGGCAATAGCCACAAGTGTGGTTTGCCCAATAGTGGTAGCTCGAAGAATATAATTTTCAGAGTATTCGTCCTGTTGCTCCATTGGTCTGCAAAAACCCATGTATTTTCAGGTGAGAAAGATTTTTGTTTTGTTTCAAGACAGGGTCTTACTCTGTCGCCCAGGCTGGAGTGCAGTGGCATGATCTCAGCTCATTGCAGCCTCAACCTCCCAGACTCAATGTATCCTCCCACCTCAGCTTCCTGAGTAACTGGGACTACAGGCACATACCATCACTCCTGGCTAATTCTCTTATTTTTTGTAGAGCCGGGGTCTCACTGTGTTGCCCAGGCTGGTCTTGAATTTTGGATTCAAGCAATCCTCCTGCCACAGCCTCCCATCATGCTGGGATTGCAGCATGAGTCACCACGCTTGGCCAAGATTAGGTTCTGAAAGTGGCCAGTGGTGCATCTTTCCAAGGTGCTTAACATTTTCTGCTCATTTTAACTCTGGTTAGGGGGAATTGCAAGAAAATAAATTTCCAGAGTGAAGACAAATTTCAAGGGAACGGTGGAAGGCTCCTGAGAGGCAAAAATTTGTTCTAAGGCTCCAGAGGAATAAGGGCAATATAAAAATAGACTGGTAAAATTGCAAATACTAAATTGCCTGAAATTCCTGAATTTCTCCTTTCTCAGAGGGGAATACCAGTATGTCTGCCTCTAAATATATTTTTAAAGGGTCCTCTATCCTGAAGCACCCCCAAAAGATATCATCCAAGGAGAGGTTTCAGAAAATGGAAATATTAATGACATGTGACCTTAGCCCCCAAACAAGGCATCTGAGGACCTCGAATGTGTGTGTGTGTGTGTGTGTGTGTGTGTGTGTGTGTGTGTGTGTGTATTTTAAGAGATGTAGGCCGTGCTATGTTGCCCAGGCTGGAGTGCAGTGGCTATTCACAGGCACAATTATATTATAGTGTGCTAGAGCCTCCAACTCCTAGGCTCAAGTGAATCTCCTGCCCTAGCCTCCTGAGTAGCTGGGACTACAGGCATGTACCCTCACGCCAGGCTCAAATGGATATTTTGTAGAGAGCTGAATATGGGAAGAGCGTATGGGCTGAAATGTATTCTAACAGAAAAGGAATGGAGAAAATCTGAAATAATCTAAGGTAAGGGAAAGCTGACCAGGTCACTAGGAGGGAGAGTCTTATGATATGCAGAGTGGGAAGGAAGTATTGAAATGGTACTTACGTCAGGGTGACAATGGCAGAAGCCAACTGCAGTTTGAGTTCCATGTTTCTGAAGTATTTATTTTGGAATGGGCGTTTGGAAGAGCCAAGAACCCTCACAGTCACTAACACAGTTTTGTCTATTTCAACCTAGTAGTTAAAAAGAAAAAGATTTTAGCAAAGGTGTCTCATTCACCAATGGCAGTCTAACTCTTAGAGGGCAGTGTACTTTTTTTTTCTTTCATGCTAAATGATCCTGGTCAGCCTTCAATCAAATAAGCTTAATCTATGTGTATTGTTTTAAGTTGGTTTTTAACAGTCTATTTATCTTCATCTGTTTAATGTTGAAATGTTGTTCTTTAAGGGCAGGTATTTCCATTAACATTACCAGAAGTCCTGGTATACACACACAGTAGCTGAGCAGAGACTATATTAAGGAATGCTGGGTAGTGAGAATAAGTCTTGCTTAATTTCTGAGATAAAACAAACATGTCTCACCTTATCAATCAGATCAAGCTCCAGCTCTTGTATGTCTGACACCCTGAGGTGGGCTGTTGCTGGACCCAAGAAAGCCAAACAAAGATCATAGACCTCCAAGGTAAAAAATCCAGGATGTAATGGAACTAACTGGAAGTAAGAAGATGGTAGCTGGATAAAGAAGCAAACATGCTCCAAGCATAATCAAAGCAACTATTTTCACCCAAAGCAGAATAGAAAACATCTTGCTTTCTTTGAACTGGGGACTCTCAGACGTCACGTAACATTATTCAGGCATAGCATAATATGTACACTTAATGTGATGTTTCCGATTATGGCAAAATCTGTACTTTAACAAATATAGGTTGGGCGCAGTGGCTCACGCCTATAATCCCAGCACTTTGGGAGGCTGAGGCAGGAGGATCACTTGAGCCCAGGAGTTCAAGAACAGCCTGGGGAACAAAGCAAAATCCTGGTCTCTATAAAAACTTTTTAAAAAAAATTAGCAAGGCTGGGCGTGGTGGCACATGCCTGTAATCCCAGCACTTTGAGAGGCTGAGGCAAGAGGATTGCTTGAGCCCTGGAGTTTGAGACAAGCCTGGGCAACATGGTGAAACCCTGTCTTTACCCAAAACAAAACAAAAATTAGCTGGGCACGGTGGTCCGTGCCTGTAGTCCCAGTTACTCAGGAGGCTGAGGGAGGATCACTTGAATTTGGGAGGTTGAGGATGCAGGGAGTTGAGACTGTGCCACTGCACTTCAGCCTGGGAAACAGAGTGAGACCTTGTCTCAAAAAAAAAAAAAAATTAGCTGGGCATGGTGGCACACACCTATAATCCCAGCTACTCAGAAGGCTGAGGTGGATCACTTGAATCTAAGAGTTCAAGGCTACAGTGAGCTATGATCATGCCACGCACTCCAGCCTGAGCAACAGAGTGAGACCCTATTTCTACTGAACAAAACGAAACAAAAACAAATAGTAAAGAGCAGAATTTATGTTGATTGAATTCAAGCAGAATCCAACATATGTATTCAGCTTCTCAATTATAAATAGGGAAAGGATGTCATGAAGAAAAATCGCGTGCATTTATGCCACAATCACTAGTAGGGGGAGAAAGCATTAGGCCAACTAACACTGTTTTTTCTTTCTTTGTGCTACAGTTCCTGCACAATAGCATGTTTTTTTCACATCATTTGTACCTTAGTCTTCCCTTTTTAAAACATATATTATGACTAGGGTAAGTTAAATTACTTTAAGCTGTTAGAAAGGAACTATATACATATATTAATAGATGGTATTATTTTTATTACTATAAATCAACTAAAAACAAATCCTTTGGCATACTGACTATGGAGTTAGGTTAATGTTTTGAGTTGTCATGTCCTGGCTGAAAACATCATATATTCATGTTATAAAGTCAACAGTGGCCTGGCGCAGTGGTTCACACCTGCAATCCTAGCACTTTGGGCAGATCACTTGAGGTCAAGAGTTCAAGACCAGCCTGGCCAACATGGTAAAACCCTATCTCTACTAAAAATACAAAAATTAGCCAGACATGGTGGTGGGCTCCTGTAATCCCAGCTACTCAGGAGGCTGAGGCAGAAGAATTGTTTGAACCTGGGAGGTGGAGGTTGCAGTGAGCCGAGATCGCACCACTGCACTCCAGCCCAGGCAACAGAGCGAGACTCTATCTCAATAAATAAAGTCAATAGTATATTTAAATATTTAAGTATCTACACAGATGTGTGCTTTGAAACTTATAAAAATGAAACTTCTTTTAACGGAAATCTTCTAACTGAGATCTCTTATACTGTCTCTGTTCAACCAGAAGCAAAAAAAGCACTCCCTTTTGGTTGAAGAATCTATATAGGTTAAAGAAAGAAAGGAAAATGTTACTTCTGTAACAAGTTTTAGACACAAAATGGAATTTTTCCAATCTCCTCAGAATGAGCTTTGGCCTGAGACCATCAATCTGGGACTGTCTCTAGAGCTCACCTCAACAGAGCTTTCTGCTTCCATGTAAGTGATGGTGACAACACCCTGCTCACTGCTGTTGACTAAAAAATAACCAGATCCTTCCACAAGGCTAAATGTTTCCTATGGAAAAATCAGACAAACAATATTCTGTTTGCTTCAGTTTATAAATAGCTCAAAGGAAATAATTTCTACCTACCTAAGAAAGAATATGGGATAAAAAGATTAAAGTGAATAGACAAAAGACAAAATACAATTATTAAAGTACAATTTTTAAGGACAGTGCAACTATTATATATGTGTTTTACATATATGTATCAATTATTTTCAACACATAAGTAAGTTTTTTAATTGTTATGCTATTAATTTTAATAACTTCCCCTCCAATATGATTCCATTTAACTAGACTCATACAGCTTCTACCTTTACATCAGGGTGGTTATAGATGGTGGCATTCTCAGGCACTACAGTTACATCATCTACCAGGAGCAGTTCCACATCTACAGATCTGGGCAAGTTGGAAATTTCCTAGAAATATAATAAGAACCACAAAAGTGAATATAAACATCTAATTCTTGGCCGCCCACGGTGGCTTACGCTTGTAATCCCAGCACTTTGGGAGGGTAAGGCAGGCAGATCACCTGAGGCCAGGAGTTTGAGACCAGCTTGGCTAACATGGTGAAACCCCATCTCCACTAAAAATACAAAAATTAGCCAGGCATGGTGGTGGGTGTCTGTAATCCCAGCTAGTTGGGAGGATGAGGCAGGAGAATCGCTTGAACCCGGGAGGCAGAGGTTGCAGTGAGCCAAGATCATGTCACTGCACTCCATCCTGGGTGACAGAGCGAGACTTCATCTCAAATAATAATAATAATAATAATAATAATAAAGTCAATGTCTAATTCTTCAGCTCTATGGGAGAAGTTTCCAGGACTCTCTCAAGGGCCAAAATAACAGAATTACAGAGGTATATAGTCTCAGCTTTATGTAAGTTGTACAACTTTTAAAGAAGAGCTTTACATTCCAATTATTTAATTTATATTTCTTACATTATAATCTCCACTCACTTTTGGGCTTTTCTTCTCTGAATAGCCCACAAAATTGACTCCAATCAGTACAGTCCCTTTTATCTGATGTACTTTAAGGATCTGATGACCTGGAAACATGCAGAAAAATACCCTGTGAGAAACAATAACATGTAGAATACGCAAGTGTTTCTAGAAAACCACATTCTGCCACAGTTTTTCCAAATGGTGCTTTATTGCAGGGGAGGAAAAACTCTCAATGGGGAAATACATAAGAAAAAACTGTTTTTTGTTTTTGTTTTTGTTTTGAGATGGAGTGTCGCTGTGTTGCCCAGGCTGAAGTGCAGTGATGTGATCTCGGCTTACCACAACCTCCCGGGTTCAAGCAATTCTCCTGCCTCAGCCTCCCAAGTAGCTGGGACTGCAGGCGCGTGCCACGATGCCTGGCTAATTTTTGTATTTTTAGTAGAGATGGGGTTTCACTATGTTGGCCAGGCTGGTCTCGAATTCCTGACCTCGTGATCTGCCCGCCTCGGCCTCCCAAAGTGCTGGGATTACAGACACGAGCCACCACGCCCGGCCTGAAAACTGGGTTTTTGTGCTGACCATGCCAATATGTACCCATATGACCCTGAGCAAACACTTTATCTCTTATTTCCTTTATTAAATGAGGGACTGGGCCAGGCGAAATCTAAAATTCTTTCTAGCTTTGATGGTCTATGAGTCCAAAAATAGGCTGACAAGTGTAATTTTTTGTCCAATTTACAAATGGAAGTGAGAAAGGGATAGTCCTTTGGGATCTTTCATCTTTCATTCTCCTAAATTGTCCTCTACATTTACATGTCATGTAAGTCACTTAGCAAAGTGTTTAAATGGCTAACTGTTCTTAATTAGATCAATCCAAACTCCTTAAACTTGTATTTGAAGGCTTCCATATTCTGACTCTGCTTTAATCATTCATTTTTCTTTCTCTTTCTTTTCTTTCCTCTTTCACTCTTCACCTTTCTCTCTCTTTTCTTTTTCCTTTTTTTTTTTTTTTTTTTTTTTGTGTGTGTGTGTGTGTGTGACAGGGTCTCACTCTTCACCCAGGCTGAAGTGCAGTGGTGCAATCACAATTTACTGCAACCTCTACCTACCCGGCTCAAGCAGTCCTCCCACCTCAGCCTCCCAAGTAGCTGGGACCACAGGTGCACGTCAACATGCCTGGCTAATGTTTTGTAGAGACGGGGTCTTGCTATGTTAACCAGGCTGGTCTTGAACTCCCGAGCTCAAGTGATCCTCCTGCCTCAGCCTCCTAAAGTGCTGGGATTACAGGTGTGAGCTACTGCACATGGCCTTTTTTTCTTTTTTTAATTTAACAAACATGAATCTGCCACTTCACTTAGGTCAGTTTTAATTTTGTCCTCAATATATAATCATGCCTAAATCTGTGAGGCAGTTTCTTGTGATGCCACATTCATTCAACAAATATTTATTGAGGGCCTACTACATGCCAGGTGCTATGTTAGGTAATTAGAATACAGAAATTAAGAAGAAAACACAATCCTTGCCTTCAAAGAAACCCATAGTTTAGTGAGGGGAGACTGAGTAGTAAACCAATCAATGCAATACAGTGTGATAAGTGCTATTATAGAAGTACGTACAGAGCACATATAGTATATAAGAGCACAAAGAAGGAATATTTATTTTAGACCGGGAATATAGAGGGACAGAAAACTCCTAGGTTTCCTAGAGGAAGATTTCAGCCCAGTGAAGATGTGAGAAAAGCATGTTTTAAGAAAATAGAACATATGCAATATATGCAAAGGAAAGAAGAATGACAAGCTTTGTCATAGTTAGGGATCTAAAGTTGTTGAGGGTGAGAAAAATATAGGATATGTGTGGATAGTAATAAGAGGTGAAACCAAAGAAGTAAACAGGGTCAGTCTGTTAAGCTACAACATACAAATTTTACCCTGAAAGAATGGGGAATCTCTGAAGACAATATGGTGACAGTATAGTCAGCAGTCAGGACTACAGGCTTTGATGTCAGGGAGTTTGCTGCTTCATCTATTTACCTTTGTAATCTTAGGTCCTAAAACTGAGCCAATTATAGTAAGAACTAAATAAATGTATGATAAATCAACAAATTCACAAAATGGGGATAATAATACCAATCTCTCATGGTGGTTAGAAGATTATGTGAAAAAGTGTATAAAGTAGTTAGTGCAGTGCCTGGCATGTCATGAGAGCTCAGTAAATAGCAACCAAAAAAGGATTTTAAGAGAGATATTCAGACTTGTATTGTGAAGAAGAATCATCTTCCAGTGTAGAAGAAAGTGGTACAAAAGCTAACTTTTAGATTTCCGGGATGAGCATTTGGGTAGATGTAGAACCATTCAATGGAATAGGGAGCACTAAAGTACATATATTATATATATGTATGATATGGTATATTATACATAATATGTATATATTATATATAAATTATATAACACGTCTACATATTTTATATGCATAAATATATTAAATAATATTTTATTATTTTTTAATAGAGGTGGTGGGGGGTCTCACTATGTTGCCCAAGCTGGTCTTGCACTCTTGGGCTTAAGTGATTCTCTTGCCTCAGTTTCCCAAAGTGCTGGGATTACAGGCATGAGCCAATGCACCTGGCCTAAACAGTTATATTAATGGTCCACAGTGAATCATGCCTGCTGGTATCCATGCCTTTGTATAGTCCCACCCACCTTGACTCTGGTTTTTGTCAGGTGACTTACATTAGTGAATGGGACATCAGCGAATGGGACATCAGCAAATATGACACAAGCAGAAGCTTAATAAGCACTTGGGCATGAGGGCTTGTTGCCTTTTTAGAACCTCATCTATGCCTCGTGCCTCTCTGACTTAGTCTCACTCGCCTTCTTAAGCTCATTCTTGCTATTTCCTCTTCCTGTCACCACTCCAGGTCTCAGCATAAATGTCACTTTCTCAGGGTAGCCTTCCCTGTTCAAGACGAGGTTAGGTCTCCCTGAAGCTCTCAAGTCTTCCTGTATTTGCACTTAACACAGTTGTAATGTTTAAAGTCTGGCTTCTCCAGCTATAGTCTGCCTTAGACTATAAGTATATGAGGGAAAAGCCATGTCAATCTCATTCATCATCTCCAGTGCCTAGCAGAGGACCTTACATGTAGCCTTTCAATAAATATTTACTAACAAATAAATAATATTAGGAAAATAGTAGGCAGTCAATACATTTTAAAATTGAGTCAGGCACTGGGCGTGGTGGCTCATGCCTGTAATCCCAGCACTTTGGAAGGCCGAGGCAGGCAGATCACTTGAGGTCAAGAGTTCGAGACCAGCCTGGCCAACATAGTGAAACCCTGTCTCTACTAAAAATACAAAAAATTAGCCAGGTGAGGTGGTGCAGGCCTGTAAGCCCAGCTACTCGGGAGGCTGAGGCAGGAGAATCGCTTGAAACCGGGAGGTAGAGGTTGCAATGAGCCGAGATTGTGCCACTGTATTCCAGCCTGGGAGACAGAGCGAGATTCCATCTCAGTAAATAAATAAATAAAATAAAATAAAATAAAATAAAATAAAATAAAATAAAATAAAATAAAATCAGGTACAATGGCTCATGCCTGTAATCCCAGCACTTTGAGAGGCTGAGGTGGGAGGATCACTTCAGGCCAGGAGTTTGAGACCAGCTTGGGCAACATAGTGAGAACCTGTCTCTACAAAAAATTAAAAAATTAGCTGCTCTTGGTGGCATGCACCTACAGTCCTAGCTACTAGGGCGGCTGAGGCAGGAGGATCACTTCAGTCCAAGAGTTTGAGGTTATAGTAAGCTATGATCTGCTCTACTGCTCTCCAGCCTGGGAGACAGAATAATATCCTGTCTCTAAAGAAAAAGAAATATATTTTAAAAATGATTTAATTTTATGTTCTTGTAAGAAATGTTGGCCCCTCAGCCCTAGCTTTGTAAACAAGGAAAACTACCTTCACATTTTCTAAAAAATACAAGAGTCAAAGATAAAAGGTGACACGTGATAAAATCTAAAATAAAACTCTTGCCCATAAGAAAATATTTAGGGCTGGGTGTGGCAGCTCATGCCTGTAATCCTAGCACTTTGGGAGGCCGAGGCAGGTGGATTGCCTGAGCTCAGGAGCTCGAGACCATCTTGGGCAACATGGTGAAACTCGGTCTCTACTAAAATACAAAAAATTAGCTGGGCATGGTGGCACATGCCTATAGTCCCAGCTACTCAGGAGGCTGAGGCACAAGAATTGCTTGAATCCCGAAGGCAGAGGTTGCAGTAAGCAGAGATAGCACCATTGCACCCCAGCCTGGGCAACACAGTGAGACTCTGTCTCAAAAAAAAAAAAAAAAAAAAAAAAAAGAAAGAAAGAAAATAATTGTAGAAACACTCAGATATACGATTAAGAAACTCACTCAAAATCGCACAACTACATGATGGAAACTGAACAACCTGCTCCTGAATGACTACCGGGTAAACAACGAAATGAAGGCAGAAATAAAGATGTTCTTTGAAATCAATGAGAACAAAGACACAACATACCAGAATCTCTGGGACACATTTAAAGTAGTGGGTAGAGGGAAATTTATAGCACTAAATACCCACAAGAGAAAGCAGGAAAGATCTAAAATTGACACCCTAACATCACAATTGAAAGAACTAAAGAAGCAAGAGCAAACAAACTCAAAAGCTAGCAGAAGGCAAGAAATAACTAAGATCAGAGCAGAACTGAAGGAGATAGAGACACAAAAAACCCTTCAAGAAATCAATGAATCGCTGGGCGCGGTGGCTCACGCCTGTAATCCCAGCACTTTGGAGGCCGAGGCGGGCGGATCACCAAGTCAGGAGATTGAGAACATCCTGGCTAACACGGTGAAACCCTGTCTCTACTAAAAATACAAAAAATTAGCCGGGTGCGGTGGCGGGCGCCTGTAGTCCCAGCTACTCAGGAGGCTGAGGCAGGAGAATGGTATGAACCCGGGAGGCGAAGCTTGCAGTGAGCTGAGATAGTGCCCCTGCACTCCGGCTTGGGCGAAAGAGCGAGACTCCGTCTCAAAAAAACAAACAAACAAACAAAAAATCAATGAATCCAGGAGCTGGTTTTTTTGAAAAGATCAACAAAATTGATAGACTGCTAGAAAAACTAATAAAGAAGAAAAGAGAGAGGAATCAAATAGACGCAATAAAAAATGATAAAGGGGATATCACCACCAATCCCACAGAAATACAAACTACCATCAGAGAATACTATAAACACCTCTACGCAAATAAACTAGAAAATCTAGAAGAAATGGATAAATTTCTGGACACATACACCCTCCCAAGACTAAACCAGGAAGAAGCTGAATCACTGAATAGACCAATAACAGGCTCTGAAATTGAGGCAATAATTAATAGTCTACCAACCAAAAAAAGTCCAGGACCAGACGGATTCACAGCTGAATTCTACCAGAGGTACAAGAGGAGCTGGTACCATTTCTTCTGAAACTTTTTTCCAGTCAATAGAAAAAGAGGGAATCCTCCCTAACTCATTTTATGGGGCCAGCATCATCCTGATACCAACGCCTGGCAGAGACACAACAAAAAAAGAGAATTTTAGACCAATATCCCTGATGGACATTGATGAGAAAATCCTCAATAAAATACTGGCAAACCGAATCCAGCAGCACATCAAAAAGCTTATCCACCAAGATCAAGTTGGCTTCATCCCTGGGATGCAAGGCTGGTTCAACATACGCAAATCAATAAACATAATCCATCACATAAACAGAACCAAAGACAAAAACCACATGATTATCTCAATAGTTGCAGGAAAGGCCTTCGACAAAATTCAACAGTCCTTCATGCTAAAAACTCTTATTAAACTAGGTATTGATGGGACGTATCTCAAAATAATAAGAGCTATTTATGACAAACCCACAGCCAATATCATACTGAAATGCGCAAAAACTGGAAGTATTCCCTTTGAAAACTGGCACAAGACAGGGATGCCCTCTCTCACCACTCCTATTCAACATAGTGTTGGAAGTTCTGGCCAGGACAATCAGGCAAGAGAAAGAAATAAAGGATATTCAATTAGGAAAAGAGGAAGTCAAATTGTCACTGTTTGCAGATGACATGATTGTATATTTAGAAAACCCCATCATCTCAGCCCCAAATCTCCTTAAGCTGATAAGCAACTTCAGCAAAGTCTCAGGATATAAAATCAATGTGCAAAAATCACAAGCATTCTTGTACACCAATAACAGACAAACAGAGAGCCAAATCATGAGTGAACTCCCATTCACAATTGCTACAAAGACAATAAAATACCTAGGAATCCAACTTACAAGGGATGTGAAGGACCTCTTCAAGGAGAACTACAAACCACTGCTTAACGAAATAAAAGAGGACACAAACAAATGGAAGAACATTCCATGCTCATGGATAGGAAGAATCAATATCATGAAAATGGCCATAGTGCCCAAGGTAATTTATAGATTCAATGCCATCCCCATCAAGCTACCAATGACTTTTTTCACAGAATTGGAAAAGTTCATATAGAACCAAAAAAGAGCCCACATTGCCAAGACAATCCTAAGCAAAAAGAAGAAAGCTGGAGGCATCACACTACCTGACTTCCAACTATATTACAAGGCTACAGTAACCAAAACAGCATGGTACTGGTACCAAAACAGAGATATAGACCAATGGAACAGACCAGAGACCTCAGAAATAATACCACACATCTACAACCATCTGATCTTTGACAAACCTGACAAAAACAAGAAATGGGGAAAAGATTCCCTATTTAATAAATGGTGCTGGGAAAACTGGCTAGCCATATGTAGAAAGCTGAAACTGGGTGGGGTGCAGTGGCTCATGCCTGTAATCCCAGCACTTTGGGAGGCCGAGGAGGGTAGATCATGAGGTCAGGAGATCAAGACCATCCTGGCTAACATGGTGAAACCTCATCTCTACTAAAAATACAAAAATTAGCTGGGTGTGGTGGTGGGCGCCTGTAGTCCCAGCTACTCGGGAGGCTGAGGCAGGAGAATGGCGTGAACCCGGGAGGTGGAGCTTGCAGTGAGCCAAGATCATGCCACTGCACTCCAGCCTGGGTGACAGAGCAAGACTCCATCTCATGGATGAAATTGGAAATCATCATTCTCAGTAAACTATCGCAAGAACAAAAAACCAAACACCACATATTCTCACTCATAGGTGGGAATTGAACAATGAGAACACATGGACACAGGAAGGGGAACATCACACTCTGGGGACTGTTGTGGGGTGGGGGAAGGGGGGAGGGATAGCATTAGGAGATATACCTAATGCCAAATGACGAGTTAATGGGTGCAGCGCACCAGCATGGCACATGTATACATATGTAACTAACCTGCACATTGTGCACATGTACCCTAAAACTTAAAGTATAATAATAATAAAATAAAAAAAGAAAGAAAGCTGAAACTGAATCCCTTCCTTACGCCTTATACAAAAATTAATTTAAGATGGATTAAAGACTTAAATGTTAGACCTAAAACCATAAAAACCCTAGAAGAAAACCTAGGCAATACCATTCAGGACATAGGCATGGGCAAGGACTTCATGACTAAAACACCAAAAGCAATGGCAACAAAAGCCAAAATAGACAAATGGGATCTAATTAAACTAAAGAGCTTTTGCACAGCCAGAGAAACTACCATCAGAGTGAACAGGCAACCTACAGAATGGGAGAGAATTTTTGCAATTTACCCATCTGACAAAAGGCTAATATCCAGAATCCACAAAGAACTTAAACAAATTTACAAGAAAAAAATCAAACAACCCCATCAAAAAGTGGGCAAAGGATATGGACAGACACTTTTCAAAAGAAGACATTTATGCAGCCAACAGATACATGAAAAAATGCTCATCATCACTGGTCATCAGAGAAATGCAAATCAAAGCCACAATGAGATACCATCTCATACCAGTTAGAATGGCAATCACTAAAAAGTCAGGAAACAACAGATGCTGGAGAGGATGTGGAGAAATAGGAACGCTTTTACTAAACTGTTGGTGGGACTGTAAACTAGTTCAACCATTGTGGAAGACAGTGTGGCGATTCCTCAAGGATCTAGAACTGGAAATACCATTTGACCCAGCCATCCCATTACTGGGTATATACCCAAAGGATTATAAATCATGCTACTATAAAGACACATGCACACGTATGTTTATTGCAGCACTATTCACAATAGCAAAGACCTAGAACCAACCAAAATGTCCATCAATGATAGACTGGATTAAGAAAATGTGGCACATATACACCATGGAATACTATGGAGCCATAAAAAAGGATGAGTTCGTGTCCTTTGTAGGGACATGGATGAAGCTTGAAACCATCATTCTGAGCAAACTATCACAAGGACAGAAAACCAAACACCGCACGTTCTCTCTCAGAGGTGGGAATTGAACAATGAGAACACTTGGACACAGGGCGGGGAACATCACACACCAGGGCCTATCATGGGGTGCGGGGATGGGGGAGAGATAGCATCAGGAGAAATACCTAATGTAAATGACAAATTAATGGGTGCAGCAAACCAACATGGCACATGTATACATATGTAACAAACCTGCACGTTGTGCACATGTACCCTAGAACTTAAAGCAAAAAACAAAACAAAACAAAACAAACAAACAAAAAAACACTCAGGTATATGAAAAGACTTGTATATTTTCACAATACCATGTAACCGGGTCTGCCCACTGCCATCATCTTTTGCTACCATTTCCACTGATTTATAATCTTCGAAATGGGCTAGTGTTTCATTGGAGGATTTCCATTCTAGCATTAGTGAACTGAAATTATCAAACTTTCTCCTATGTTGATCAAACACTGCTAGTTCCAGGACTGTGTCCCTCAGTCTTGATACAGGAATCTGCATTAAAATAAAAAGTAATAAAACAACAATTTAAAAATCAATAGCCTAAGGGGTAGTAAGATATCTCTAAAGCTAGGAATCGAGTTTTCTCTCAATATTTTTACCTTAAAAATTTGCAAACTTATAGCTATTGAAAGAACAATATAATAAATACCTATATACATACACTTCACCTGGATTCACCAGTTCTTAATATTTAGTTACATTGCCTTTTCTCTCTCTCCCTCTCCTTCCTCACCTTCCATATATGGCTGTTATTTTGTTTTGTTGATGTAGGCATCATTGCACTTCACCCCTAACTATTTCAGCATGTATCCTAAGAATACGAGAACATTCTGCTATGTAAGAAACAGGATATCACACACAATAATATTAACACTAATTCAATGTCAGCAAATGTATAGTCAATATTTCCATTCCCCAAAATGTCGCCCCAAAATATTTTTATACGTTTTTTAGTTTAGATCTAGAAGTTAATCAAGGTGTATGTATGCATTGTATTTGATTGTTTACCTTTTTGGTATATTTTAATCTAGAAAAGGCACATTTGCCCTTTTTTGTTATTGTTTTTCATGATATTGAATTTTTTGTAAAGTCCAGGCCAGTTTTTTGTTTTGTTTTGTTTTTTGTTTTTTGTTTTTTTTTTGAGACAGGGTATCTCTCAGTTGCATGGGCTGGAGTATAGCAGTGTGACCATGGCTCATTACAGCCTCAACCTTCCAGGCTCAAGCCATCCTCCCAATTCAGTCGCCTGAGTAGCTAGGACTACAGGTGCGTGCCACCACACCTGGATAACTTTTTTTTAATTTTTATTAATTTTAATTTTTAAATTTTTTTATGTCCGTAAGTTTTTGGGGAACAGGTGGTATTTGGTTACAAGTAAGTTCTTTAGTGATGATTTGTGAGATTCTGGTGCACTCATCACCCAAGAAGTATACAGTGGACCCAACTTGTAGTCTTTTATCTCTTACCCCCCTCCACCTTTCCCCCGAGTCCCCAAAGTCTATTGTGCCATTCTTTTGCCTTTGCATCCTCATAGTTTAGTTCCTACTTATGAGTAAGAGCACACGATGTTTGGTTTTCCATTCCTGAGCTACTTCACTTAGAATAATAGTCTCCAATCCCATCCAGGTTGCTGCAAATACCATCAATTCATTCCTTTTTTTTTTTTTTTTTTTTTTTTTTGAGATAGAGTCTTGCTCTGTCACCCAGGCTGGAGTGCAGTGGCACAATTTTGGCTCACTGCAACCTCCGCCTCCTGGGTTCAAGCGATTCCCCTGCCTCAGCCTTCCAAGTAGCTGGGATTACAGGTACGTGCCACTATGCCCGGCTAATTTTTTTGTATTTTTAGTAGAGACGGGATTTCACCATGTTAGCCAGGATGGTCTCAATCCCCTGACCTCGTGATCTGCCCACCTCGGCCTCCCAAAGCGCTGAGATTACGGGCGTGAGCCACCACGTCTGGCCCTAATTCATTCCTTTATATGGCTGAGTAGTATTCCATCGCGTGTGTGTGTGTGTGTGTGTGTGTGTATCACAGTTTCTTTATCCACTCGTTAATTGATGGGCATCTCAGTTGGTTCCACATTTTTGCAATTTCAAAGTGTGCTGCTATAAACATGTGTGCAAGTATCTTTTTCATATAATGACTTCTTTTCCTCTGGGTAGCTACCCAGCACTGGGATTGCTGGATCAAATGGTAGCTTTACTTTTAGGTCTTTAAGGAATCTCCACACTGTTTTCCATAGTGGCTGTACTAGTTTACATTTTGACCAGCAGCATAAAGTGTTCCCTGTTCACCATATTTACACCAACATCTATTATTTTTTGTATTTTTTTATTTTAATTATGGCCATTCCTTTTTTTTTTTTTTTTTTTTTTTGAGACGGAGTCTCGCTCTGTTGCCCAGGCTAGAGTGCAGTGGTGAGATCTCGGCTCACTGCAAGCTCCACCTCCCGGGTTCATGCCATTCTCCTGCTTCAGCCTCCCGAGTAGCTGGGACTACAGGCGTCTGCCACCACGACCGGCTAATTTTTTGTAGTTTTAGTAGAGATGGGGTTTCACCGTGTTAGCCAGGATGGTCTTGATCTCCTGACCTCATGATCCGCCCGCCTTGACCTCCCAAAGTGTTGGGATTACAGGCGTGAGCCACCGCGCCTGGCAATTATGGCCATTCTTGCAAACAAAAGCATAATGTGGGGAAATGACACCCTATTTAACGAATGGTACTGGGATAACTGGCAAGCCACATGTAGGAGAATGAAACTGGGTCCTCATCCCTCACCTTATACAAAAATCAATTCGAGATGGATCAAGGACTAAAATCTAAGACTTGAAACTATAAAAATTCTAGAAGATAACATTGGAAAAACCCTTCTAGACTTTGGCTTAGGCAAGGATTTCATGATCAAGAACCCAAAAGCAAATGCAATTAAAACAAAGATAAATAGCTGGAACTTAATTAAACTAAAGAGCTTTTGCGCAGCAAAAGGAACAGTCAGTAGAGTAAACAGACAACCCACAGAGTGGGAGAAAATCTTCACGATCTATACATCTGACAAAGAACTAATATCCGGAATCTACAATGAACTCCAACAAATTAGCAAGGAAAAAACAAACAACCTCATCAAAAAGTGGGCTAAGGATGTGAACAGACAATTCTCAAAAGAAAATATACAAATGGACAACAAACATATGAAAAAATGCTCAGCATCACTAATGATCAGGGAAATGCACATCAAAACCACAATGTGATATCACCTTACTGCTGCAAGAATTTTTTTATTTTTTGTAGAGACGGGGTCTCACTGTGTTGCCAGGGCTGGTCTTGAACTCCTGGGCTCAAGCAATCCTCCCACCTCGGCCTCCCAAAGTATGAAACCCACATCCCTACAAAAAATAAAAAAGATTAGTCACATATGATGGTGTGCACCTGTAGTCGCAGCTACTTGAGAAACTGAGGTGGAAGGATCGCTTGAGCCCAAGTTCAAGGTTACAGTGAGCTATGATTGCACCACTGCCCTCTACCCTAGGTGAGACCATCTCAAATAAATAAATAAATAAGGGCCATGCATCGTGGTTTATATCTGTAATCTCAGCACTTTGGGATGCCAAGGCGAGCAGATCACTTGAGGTCAGGAGTTCGAGACCAGCCTGGCTAACATGGCGAAACCCTGTCTCTACTAAAAACACAAAAATTAGCCGGGCATGGTGGTGCATGCCTGTAGTCCCAGCTACTCAGGAGGCTGAGGCACGAGAATCGCTTGAACCTGGGAGGTGGGGGTTGCAGTGAGCCGAGAATGGACCACTGCACTCCAGCCTGGGCGACAGAGTGAGACTCTGTCTCAATAAATAAATAAATAAATAAATAAATAAATAAATAAATAAATAAATTCAATGGTATACTGGAGCAGGCTCATAGGTAAGCTGATTGTTAGCATCTCTTGACAACTCTGAATAGTGATATCATATTGGTAACCTGAAATCGGCCATGATGGGAGTATTAACACCATAGAATTTGGCACATGTTACAAATTGGGTCCCCCTAAGTTTTTTTTTTTTGTCGTTGTTTTTTGTTTTGGAGAGTCTGTTAAAAATTTACTTGCACATAATATCAGGTTGTACCACTATTAGTGATGCCAAATTTGATTATCTGCTGAAGGTGGTGACTGCCACTGGAGATCTCTCCAGTATAAAGGTATGGTTTCCCCTCTGTGGGTGATAATTTGAAATCTTGAGACTATCCCATTTCCCAACAGGCTTTCACTTACTAGTCTTAATATCCATTGATGATCTTTGCCAGGATCAATTATTACAAGGAGGATTACAAAATCATAAATTTCTAATTCTATGATTCATTTTATATAAGCTGGTATTTTCCTGGAAAAAAGCATCCTTTTTTCTCTTCCATCCCTCCTTCTCTTCCTTCCTCAATTTATTTTTCTTCTCTTTCTCCCTCCTTCTGTCTCTTTCTTCCTTCATTTTTCTCTTGTAACCTTGAGCATCACTATGGGATCACGATTTTTTTTTTTTTTTTTTGAGACGGAGTCTCACTCTGTCACCAAGGATGGAGTGCAGTGGCACGATCTCGGCTCACTGCAACCCCTGCCTCCCCAGTTCAAGTGATTTTCCTGCCTCAGCCTCCCTAGTAGCTGGGACTACAGGCACCCGCCACTACGCCTGGCTAATTTTTTGTGTACTTTTAGTAGAGACGGGGTTTCACTATGTTGGCCAGGCTGGTCTCGAATCCTGACCTTGTGATCTACCTGCTTCGGCCTCCCAAAGTTCTGGGATTACAGGCGTAAGCCACCGCACCCCGCTGGGATCATGAATTTTAAGTTGATATTTCTGTCATTATTTTTTAAAAGATATATTTAAGGGGTACAAGTGCAGATTTCTTACATGCATGTATGACACAATGGTGAAGTCTGGGCTTTTACTGTAGTAAACATTGTACTCAATAGGTAATTTTTCAACCCTCTGCCATTATTTTTTGGATGCTCAGATTATCTACAATTTGGAGAGTAGGGGTCCCTTCAAGCCAGCTGCTTTTTGAGAAGTCACCATTACTCTTTGAGCACTTCTTTGCTTTCTAACGCAAGTTGTTTGAGACTCATTGTTCACTTTCCCTACTGAGCTGGAATCAACTAGTTCTCCAAGAGGCTCTGATTCCTTTAAATGGGGACTAGTATTTAGAAACCCAGATGTTTGTACATCACTATTGGGTTATAGGCCCTTTCAGTGAACAGAGCTTGTAAATAAAATTTGTTTTAAAAAAGTATGAGTTGTACAGCAATTTTAAAACATGTCTCTAAGCTCTCATATATATGTGAGACATACCCACGTATACATATATATACACACACATATACACATTCTTTGACAAGATGACTCAATGACTCAACATCATAAATATTCCACTTACTCCAAGTTAATAAATAAATTTAACATAATCTCAATTAAAATACCAGGAACACAAATAAATATTTGCCAATAATTAGCTGACCATGAAGCTAACTAAGCAGAGACTTTTAGTGGCCACATAGGTCAAAGAGTACAGATGTTACAGAACTAGTTCAGAAAAGACACTAAATAAATGTTCTCAGCAAAAACAAAAAACAAAAGCAGCCACAAAACCAGGGGAGGAGAAGAATCTGATTTCAGAGTTGCTACATTATATTATATAAAATGTTGAGTTTTTAACAAAAGATTATTAGAAATGTAAAGAAATAAGTATGGTCCATACATGAGAATAAAAGCAGTTTCCATAGAAACTGCCTTGAGAATGCCCAGACATTGAGCTTACAAGGCAAATACTTCTTTTTTTTTTTTCCTTTTTTGAGATGGAGTCTTACTTCATTGCCCAGGCTGGAATGCAGTGATGCAATCATAGCTCACTGCATCCTCTGCCTCCTGGACTCAAGCAATCCTCCCACCTCAGCCTCCCAAGTAGCTGAGACTACAGGCATGCACCACCATGCATGGCTAATTTTTGTATTTTTGCAGAGGTGGGGTTTTGCCATGTCACTCAGGCTGGTCTCGAATTCCTGGACTCAAAGGATCCGTCCACCTCAGGCTCCCAGAGTGCTGGAATTACAGGTATGAGCCACCATGCCTGGGCCAGACAAAGACTTCTTTTTTTTTTTTTTTTTTTTGAAACAGAGTCTCACTCTGTTGCCAGGCTGGAGTGCAGTGGCATGATCTCAGCTCACTGCAACCTCCACCTCCCAGGTTCAAGTGATTCTCCTGCCTCAGCCTCCCTAGTAGCTGGGACTACAGGCGTGTGCCACCACGCCCGGCTAATTTTTGTATTTTTAGTAGAGACAGGGTTTCATCAGATTGGCCAGGATGGTCTTGAACTCCTGACCTCATGATCCACCCACCTCAGCCTCCCAAAGTGCTGGGATTACAAACATGAGCCACTGTGCCCGGCCAGACTTCTAATTAACTTTAATGTCCAAAGAACTAAAGGTATTCATGTTTGACTAACTAAAGGAAAATACAAAAGTGCTATCACATTACACAGAGAATACCAATAAAGAGATAGAAGTTATAACAAAAAAGAACCAAAAAGAAATTCTGAAGTTGAAAAGTACAATAATTGAAATGAAAAATTAACTAGAGGAATTCAACAGCAGATTTGAACAGGCTGAAGAAAGAATTGGAGAACTTGAAGCTAGGTCAACTGAGATTATCCAGTCTGATGAATAAAAAGAAAAAAGAATGAAAAAAAAGAACAAACATCAGAGACCTGTGGGACACCATCATACGTACCAGTATATGCAAAAACGGAGTGCTAGAAGGAGAGGAGATAGAAGAATAGAGGAAGAAAGAATATTTGAAGAAATAATGGCCAAAACTTACCAAATTGATGAAAACCATTAAACATTCAAGAAGCTCAAACAACATCAATCCATCAACATCAAGCAGAATAAATTCAAAAAGATCTACATCTAGACACATCATAATCAATCTGTCCAGAGTCAAAGACAGAATCATAAAAACAGAAAGGGAAGGGATTCACCCCTCATAAGGGATCTTCCATGGGATTAATAGCTGATCTTTCATCAGAAACCATGAGGACCAGAAGGCAGTGAGATGACACATTCAAAGTAAAAGAAAAAGGGCCAGGTGCAGTGGCTCGCGCTTGTAATCTTAGCACTTTGGGGGGCCGAGGCAGGTGGATTGCCTGAGCTCAGGAGTTTGAGACCAGCCTGGGCAGCATGGTGAAACCCCGTCTCTACTAAAAATCCAAAAAATTAGCCAGGCGTGGTGGTGTGGGCCTGTAGTCTCAGCTACTCAGGAGGCTGAGGCACAAGAATTGCTTGAATCCAGGAGGCAGAGGTTGCAATAAGCCGAGATCATTCCAGCCTGGGTGACACAGCGATACTCTGTCTCAAAAAAATAAATAAAAATAAAATAAAATAAAATAAAATAAAAAGACTGCCAGCCAACAATTCTATATTGGGCAGAATAATCCTTCAAAAATGGAGAAATTAAGACATTCTAAGATCCAACAAAAATGGAGAGAATTTATTGCTAGCAGACCTGTCTTACAAGAAATACTAAAGGGAGTCCTTCAGGATGCAATGAAAGGTCACTAGACAATAGCTTGAATCACCATGAAGAAATAATCTGGAAAAGATAATTACATAGGTAAATATAAAGGACAGTATAAATGTATTTTCGGTTGTAATTATTCTTTTTTTCTATCTGATTTAAAAGAAAAATATATGGCCGGGTGCGGTGGTCCACGCCTATAATCTCAGCAGTTAGGGAGGCTGAGGTGGGTGGATCACCTGAGGTCAGAAGTTTGAGACCAGCCTGACCAATATGGTAAAACCCTGTCTCTACTAAAAATACAAAAATTAGCCAGTCATGGTGGCATGCATCTGCAGTCCCAGCTACTTGGGAGGCTGAGACAGGAGAATTGCTTGAACCCAGGAGGCGGAGGTTGCAGTGAGCCAAGATCACGCCACTGCACTCTAACCTGGGCAACAGAGTGAGACTCAGTCTCAAAGAAAAAAGAAAAAAATATTTATAAAGTAATAATTATAGGCTGTGTGGTGGCTCAAGCCTGTAATCTCAGCACTTTGGGAGGTCGAGGTGGGCGGATCGCTTGAGCCCAGGAGTTCAAGACCAGCCTGGGCAACACAGCGAGACCTCATCTTTACAAAAAAAAAAAAATTACAAAAATTAGCTAGGCACAGTGGCGTGCGTGTACCTGTAGTCCCAGCTACTAGGGAGGCTGGGGTGGGAGGATCCTTTGAGCTGGGGAGGTGGAGGTTACGGTGAACCATGAATCAGCCAGGAAAACAGAGGAAGATCCTATCTCCAAAAAAAAAGGCCAGGTACAGTGGCTCATGCCTGTAATCCCAACACTTTGGAAGGCCGAGGTGGGTGGATCATTTGAGGTCAGGAGTTCAAGACCAGCCTGGCCAACGTGGTGAAACCCTGTCTCTACTAAAAATACAAAAATTAGCTGGATGTGGTGGCACACACCTGTAATCCCAGCTACTCAGGAGGCTGAAGCAGGAGAATCACTTGAGCCTGGGAGGCAGAGAATGCAGTGAACTATGATCACATCACTGCACTCCAGCCTGGGCAACGAAGTGAGAATCTGTCTCAAAAAAAAAAAAAAGAAAACAATATATATATTTACTGGTTTGATGGGCATAGTATATAAAAATGTAATTTATATGACAAAAACAGCACAAACAAGGGACAGGAAATGGGTTTATATCGGAGCAAAGGTTTTATACACTACTGAAATTAAGTTGGTATGATGCCAAACTAGGTTACTAAAGATTAAGATGTTAATTGTAATCCTTAGGGCAATAATTAATAAAATCACTCAAAACAACACAGCTCCCTAAGCCAACACTAAACAAGAAGGCCATGCAGTTCATCATGAAGCCCAGTGATGAAAAGCTGAATAAGTTTGAGGCCAGCATTGCTCAGGCTTTTCTTATTTATTTATTTTGTAAGGAAAGAACTTTGGAGTACTTCCTTTCTTTCCTTTAAACAAAAATTTTGGCTGAGCATGGTGGCTCACGTCTGTAATCCCAGAACTTTGGGAGGCCAAGGTGGAAGGATTGCTTGAGGCCAGGAGCACAAAACCAGCCTGGGCAAAAAATAAAAATTAGTCAGGCATGGTGCCTCATGCCTATAGTCCTAGCTACTCAGGAGGCTGAGGTGGGAGGATCACTTGAGCCGAAGAGTTCAAGGCTGCAGTGAGCTATGACTGCAGCACTGCACTACAGTCTGGGAGATAGAGTGAAAACCTATCTCAAAAAAAAAGTAAATAAAATAATAAAAATTTTACATTAAAATTTTTTTTTGAGAGGGGTCTTGCTATATTGCCCAGGCTAGGAGCAAACTCCTGGGCTTAAGCAAGCTCCCACCTCACCTTCCAACTAGCTGGGACTACAGGTGTCCGACACCATACCTGGCTTCTCAGGCTCTTCTTTAACCTGGAAATAAACTGGGACCTTAAGGCTCAGCTAAGGGAGTTGAATAGAACAGCAGCCAAAGAAATTGAAGTTGGTGGTAGTCACGAACTATCATAATGTTTGTCCCCATATCTCAACTGAAATCTTTACAGAAAATCTAAGTTCTACCTAGCATGTGAATGGGAGAAAAAGTTCAATGAGAAGCACATTATCTTTATTTGTTAGATGAGAATTCTGCCTAAGCCAATTCAAAAAAGCCATACAAAAAAAAAAAGCAAAAATGTTCCAGGAGGTGCATTCTAATAGCTGTACACAATGAACCATTGATCTTGGTCAAGGTCAAGATCTCTTGGTCAAGGTCAAGATCACTTGGTCTTCCCATGTGAAACTATGGGCAACAGAATATGAGCAGTGGGCTCATAAAGGTTCATCTGGACAAAGCATAGCAGGACAATGTGGAGCACAAGGCTGAAACATTTTTGGTATTTATAAAGAAAGCTCACAGGCAAGGATGCTAATTTTAAATTCCTAGAGTTTCAGTTGTAAACAAAAGTGGCTAAGTAAAATATCATTCACATATACACAAAAATATAGTAAAAGAAAAAATAAAGCAGTTAAAATAGTACACTAGAAAATGTCTAACACAGAAGAAGGAAGAGGCTGGGCATGGTGGCTCACACCTGTAATCCCAGCACTTTGGGAGGCCGAGATGGGTGGATTACCTGAGGTCAGGAGTTTGAGACCAGCCTGGCCAACATGGCAAAACTCCATCTCTACTAAAAATACAAAAATGAGCCAGGCATTGTGGCGCATGCCTGTAATCCCAGCTACTCGGGAGGCTGAGGCAGGACAATCGTTTGAACCTGGGAGGCGGAGGTTGCAGTGAACCAAGATCATGCCATTGCACTCCAGCCTGGGCGACAGAGCAAGACTCCATCTCAAAAAAAAAAAAAGGAAGAAGGAGAAAGAAATGACTGGGCGCAGTGGCTCACACCTGTAATCCCAGCACTTTGGGAGGCCAAGGTGGGCGGGTCACTTGAGGTCAGGAATTCAGGAATTTGAGACCAGCCTGACCAATATGATGAAACCCTGTCTCTACCAAACATACCAAAAAATTTCCCAAGCACGGTGGCGTGCACCTGTAGTCCCAACTACTTGGGAGGAGATTCTGAGGAGAATCACTTGAACCCAGGAGGCAGAGGTTGCAGGGAGCAGAGATGGCACCACTGCACTCCAGCCTAAGCGACAGAGCGAGACCATCTCAAATAAATAAATAAATAAATAACAACAACAAAAACACCCAGCACTTTGGGAGGCCAAGGCAGGTAAATCAGTCAAAGTCAGGAGTTTGAGACCAGCCTGACCAATATGATGAAACCTCGTCTCTACTAAAAATACAAAAATTAGCTGGGCATGGTGGCATGTGCTCTTGGATTCCCAGCTACTCAGGAGGGTGAGACAGGAGAATTGCTTGAACCTGGGAGGTATAAGTTGCAGTGAGTCGAGATAGTGCCACCATACTCCAACCTGGGCAACAGAGCAAGACTGTGCTTCCGAAAAAAAAAAAAAGAAAAGAAAAAAAAAGAAAAGAAAAAGAAGGAAGAAATGGAAGAAGAGGAACAGAAAAGACATATGACATATAGAAAACAAATAGCAAAATGGCAGACATAATGCCTACCTTATCAGTAATTACATTAAGTATAAATAAATTTTATGTTCCATGAAAAGTCTGATTAGCATAATGAAATTTTTAAATGGCCCAGCTATATGTTGTCTGCAAGAGACACTCATGGGTCACAAGTATAAGGATGGAAAAAAAAAAAAGATGTATCATGCAAACAGTAGCCAAAAGAGAGCTGAGGTAGTTACACTAACATCAGACAAAACAGACTTTAATACAAAAATTGTTACTAAAGAAAAGGTCATTTTATAATGATAAAATAATAATCTATAATAAAGAGGTTGTCCTCAGTTCCTGGGAGGTAACCCCTAAACCTTTGGAATTTCTTGAGTAATAGGATTGTGTCTGTTATTTATGGTGGCCCCCTTGGATAACATTTGAGTTTATGCTAATGAGATGACTCAGGATGGAGTTGGATAAGGACAGAAAGACCAATCATGTGATTAGAAGGATGAGGTTTTGGGTCAGGTGATAGCAGCCCCACCTCCAGGGAAAAGAGGAGGGCTGGTGATGGAGTTTAATCACGTGGCCAATTATTCAATTAATCATGTTTACATAATTAATCATGTTTACATAATAATATCCCAATAAAACGCTGGAGCTGGGCATGGTGGTTCACACCTACAATCCCAGCACATTGGGAGGCCGAGACAGGAAGACTGCCTGAGCCCAGGAGTTCAAGACCAGCCTGGGCAACCCAGTGAGACCCTGACTCTACAGAAAAATTTTAAAATTAGCTGAGTGTAATGGCACAGACCTGTGGTCCCAGCTCCTCTAGAGGCTGAGGTGGGAGGATCACTTAAGCCCAGGAAGTGAGGCTGCAGCAAGCCATAATCACGCCATTGCACTCAGCCTGGGCAACAGAGTGAGACCCTGTGTCAAAAAACAAAAAACATTGGACACCAAAACTCAGTGGAATTTCCTGTTTGGTAAACACATTGATGTGTTCCACCTGTTATGTTTTCACCAGATCCTAATCCCATGGAGAGGGCATGGACGCTGCGTGTCTGGGACTCTCTGAAGATTTTTCTCAAAAGGACACAAAATGATTTGTATCCTTTATAACGAAACTGTGAGTCATTCTAACAAATTACCAAACTTGTTGGTCATAAGAGTGGGTAGCCTGTGAGTCCCCCCATTTGCAACTATCATCTGAAGTGAGGGCAGTCTTGTTGGGAACTGTGCCTTTAAAACCGTGGAGTCAGCTAACTGCATATTGGTGTCAGAATTGCATTGTGGTATTGCCAAAGGTCAATCTATTAAAAAGATGTAACAATTGTAAATGCGTATGTACCTAATAACAGAGCCTCAAAATACATGAAGCAAAACCTGACAGAATTGAGGAAGAAATAGACAATTCAATAATAGTTAGAGCTTGTAGATAGTTGAACAGGTGGAGATTCCCAGAGGATGGCATGCTCAGTGAGGGCATGGAAGCTCCACGCCCCATCCCTATATCTCACCCTATGTATCTCTTCATCTGTATCCTTTACAATATCCTTTATAATAAACTGGTAAACATAAGTAAATATTTCCCTGAGTTCCATGAGTCACTCTGCTTCCGTAATTGGTTCCTTCTGGTAGGTTCTTGACCAATTACGGAACTGGTCAGAAACGGAGTTTGTTCCTTCAGATGCGTCCAGAGTTTCTTCCTTCTGGTGGGTTCCTGGTCTCGCTGACTTCAGGAGTGAAGCTGTAGACCTTCGCCTTGAGTGTTACAGCTCTTAAAGGTGGCACGTCTGGACTTGGTCATTCCTCCCAGTGGGTTCATCATCTCGCTGGCTTCAGGAGTAAAGCTGCAGACCTTCACAGTTAGTGTTACAGCTCTTAAAGGTGGCACATCAGAAGTTCTTCATTCCTCCTGGTGGGTTTGTGGTCTCGCTGACTCCAGGAGTGAAGCTGCAGACCTTCGTGGTGAGTGTTACAGCTCATGAAGGTAGTGTGGACCCAAAGAGTAAGAAGCAGCAAGATTTACTGTGAAGACCAAATGAACAAATATTCCGCAGCACAGAAAAGCAACCGAGCAGGTTGCCACTGTCGGCTCGGTGGCCAGCTTTTATTCCCTTATTTGGCCCCGCCCACATCCTGCTGATTGGTCCATTTTACAGAGTGCTGATTGGTCCATTTTACAGAGCACTGATTGGTCCATTTTTACAGTGTGCTGACTGGTGCATTTACAAACCTTTAGCTAGACACAAAGCGCTGATTGGTGTGTTTTTACAGAGTGCTGATTGATGTGTTTACAATCCTTTGGCTAGACAGTAAAGTTCTCCAAGTCCCCACCAGACCCAGAAGCCCAGCTGGCTTCACCTCTCAACTTCAGCAAATTAATTGAACCCAAAGAGGTCAGGGGAACCCCAACTAGAGGCCAGTTGGTCAGAAGTTCTGGAGGCCTGGATTTGCAACTTGTGTCTTAGGTGTGGGCAGTCTTGGTGACTGAGCCCTCAACCTGTGAGATCTGACAGTAACTCCAGGTAGATAGTGTCAGAATTGAATTGGAGAACACCCAGCTGGTGTCTGCTGCTTGATGTGTGGGGAAAAAACCCATACGTTTGGTTACAGAAGTCTTCTTTTTTCTTCTTCCCTCTCTCATATTTTTCATGAAACAGAAATCTTCTGTGTTAATGATTGTTGTGGTGGTGTGAGGGCAGAGGAAAAACACAGTTTGAGAGTTTTTCCTGAACAATTGGTGTGATTGAGGTGGGATTTGATAGAATGGCACTGTGGCACAGAAACGGTGGTTTGGGATGAGAAAGGATGAAAGGGTGGGGGATGAGGAACCTTTAATTCCTGGGTGGCTACCTTGTCATGAATGGTATGAAACTGCAGCTGTGCTGTGTTCAGTTACTAAGGGTAAAAGTTAACCAGTGCAATTTAGAGATGGTGGTAGTCTCAACAGGGTGGTAAACCCTGTTGTTTTTTCTTTCCTTTTCCTTTCTTTTTTTTTTTTTTTTTTTGAGACAGAGTCTCACTCTGTCACCCAGGCTGGAGTGCAGTGGCGCAATCTTGGCTCACTGGAGCTTCCACTTACCTGGCTCAAGCAATCCTCCCACCTCAGCCTCCCCAGTAGCTGGGACTACAGGAGCACGTTACCATGCTTGGCTAATTTTTAATTTTTTTTTTTTTTTTGAGACACAGTCTTGCTTTGTTGCCCAAACTGGAGTGCAGTGGTGTGATCTCGGTTCACTGCAACCTCCATCTCCTGGGTTCAAGCGATTCTCATACCTCAGCCCCCTGAGTAGCTGGACTCACAGGCAAATGCCACCACATCTGACTAATTTTTGTATTTTTAGTAGAGATGGGGTTTCACCGTGTTGGCCAGGCTGGTCTTGAACTTCTGACCTCAAGTGATCCTCCCACGTCAGCCTCCCAAAGTGCTGGGATTAGAAGCATGAGCCACCGCACCCGGCCTTAAATTTTTTGTACAGACAAGGTCTCACTATATTGTCCAGGCTGGTGGAGACCTTGCTTTATTTTTAAAAAATTTTTGTCTATTTATTTATTTATTTATTTTGAGACCAGGTTACAAGACTGGCTAATTTTTGTATTTTTGGTAGAGATGGGGTTTTGCCATGTTGCCCAGGCTGGTCTCCAACTCCTGGGCTCAAGTGATCCACCTGCCTTGGCCTTCCAAAGTGCTGGGATTACAAGCATGAGCCACTGCATCCAGCTGGGACCCATATTTCTTTAAAAAAAAAAAAAGGCTGGGGTTGGGGGGAGGATTTAAATTTAAAAATATGTTCTCTAATCACAGTGGAGTGAAATTAGAAATCAGTAACAGGAAATCTGGAATATTCACAAATGTGTGGAAATTAAAAATACTCCTAAATAACCAATGAGTTACCAGCCACAGTGGCCAGGCTGGTCTTGAACTCCTGACCTTAGATGATCCACCCAATTCGGCCTCCCAAAGTGCTGGGATTACAGGCGTGAGCCACAGCACCTGGCCTAAAAATAAAACTAAAGGCCAGGTGCAGTGGCTCACTCCTGTAATCCCAGCACTTTGGGAGGCTGAGGTGGGTGAATCATGAGATCAGGAGCTTGAGACCATCCTGGCTAACAAGGTGAAACCCTGTCTCTACTAAAAATACAAAAAAAAAATAGCCAGGCTTGGTAGTGGGCGCCTGTAGTCCCAGCTACTCGGGAGGCTGAGGCGGGAGAATGGTGTGAACTCAGGAGGCAGAGCTTGCAGTGAGCCGAGATCGTACCACTGCACTCCAGCCTCAGCGACAGAGCAAGACTCCATCTCAAAAAAAATAAATAAATAAAATAAAATAAAGAAAAAATTCCAATTATGATAGCATCAAAAAAGCAAAATATTTAGGAATAAATCTAATGAGTGTAAAACTTGTATACTCTAAACAGGAAACATTGTTGAAAGAAATTAAAGATACCAATAAACAGAAAGACATCCATGTTCATAAATCAAAAGGCAATATTATCAAAATGGCAATACTCCTCAAACTGATCTACAGATTCAATGCAATCCCTATCAAAATCTCTGCTGGCTTTGACAAGCTGACCCTAAAAATTTATGTGGAAATGCAAGGGACCCAGAATAGCCAAAATAATATTGAAAAAGAACAAAGTTGCAAAATTCATACTTCCCAACCTCAAAACTTACTACAAAACTACAGTGATCAAGACAGTGTGGTACTGACATAAAGATGTATAGATTAATAGATTTTAGAGTCCAAAAATAAACTCTCATGTTTATGGTTAACAGATTTGCAACAAGAGTGCCAAGACAACTCAAGGTATAAGAAATAATCTTTTAAACAAATGGTGCTGTGTCAAGTGGATACCAACATGTAAAAAAAATGAAGTGAGGCTGGGCACAGTGGCTCATGCCTGTAATCCCAGCACTTTGGGAGGCCAAGGCGGGCAGATCATTTGAGATCAGGAGTTTGAGACCAGCCTGGCCAATATGGTGAAACCCTGTCTCTACTAAAAATACAAAAATTAGCCAGGCATGGTGGCGGGCACCTGTAATTCCAGCTACTGGGGAGGCTGAGGCATGAGAATAACTTGAACCCAGGAGGCAGAGATTGCAGTGAGCCAAGATCACACCACTGCACTCCAGCCTGGGCAATAGAGTGAGACTCAGTCTCAAAAAAAAAAAAGAAAGAAAGAAAAGAAAAGAAAAAAACAAAACAAAACCAAAACACAATAATGAAGTTAGATCCCTACCTCACACCATAAAAATGAACTCAAAGTGGATCAGAGAGCTAAATGTAAGAGTTAAAACTATAAAACTCATAGAATAAATCAAAGGCATAAATCTTCATGCCCTTGGATTAGGCAATGATTTCTTAGATTAGATATGACACCAAAAGTACAAACAACAACCATAGTAACAAAATTGATAAATTGGGATTCATCAAAGTTAAAAACTTTTGTGCTTCAAAAGATGTCATTAGAAAAGTGAGGCCAAGCATGGTGGCTTATGCCTGTAATCCCAGCACTTTGGGAGGCCAAGGCCGGAGTATCATTCGAGGCCAGGAGTTTGAGACCAGCCTGGGCAATATAGTGAGACCTCATCTCTACAGAAAAAAAAAAAAATTAGCTGGGTATGGTGGCATGTGACTGTAGTCCCAGCCACTTAGGAGGCTGAGGTGAGAGGATAGTTAGCTTGAGCCCAGGAGTTGGAGGTTACAGTGACCTATGATCATGTCACTGCACTGCAGCTTGAGTGAAAAGTGAGACCCTGTGTCTTAAAAAAAAAAAAGTAAAAGATAACCCATGTGATGAGAGAACATTTTTGCAAATCATATATCTGAAAAGAGACTTGTATGTAGACTATATGAAATGAAGAACTCTTGCAACTCAATAAAAAGACATATAGTTCAATTAAAAATTGGCAAAGGATCTGAATATACATTTGTCAAAAGAAGATATACAAATGGCCAGTAAGCACATAAAAAGATACACAACATAGGCCAGGCACAGTGGCTCACGCCTGTAATCCCAGCACTTTGGGAGGCCGAGGCGGGTGGATCAGCTGAGGTCAGGAGTTTGAGACCAGCCTGGCCAACATGGTGAAACCCCGTTTCTACTAAAAGCACAAAAATTAGCTGGGCATGGTGGTGCATACCTATAATCCTAGCTACTCAGGAGGATGAGGCAAGAGAATCATTTGAACCCGGGGGCTGGAGGTTGCAGTGAGCTGAGATTGCACCACTTCACTCCAGCCTGGGCGAAAAGAATGAAGCTCCATCTCAAAAAAAAAAAAAAAAAAAGGGGCAACATAATTAGACAGTGGAAAATACAAATCAAAACCACAATGAGATACCACTTTATACCCACTAGGAAGGCTATAATCAAAATGACAAATAATAGTAATTGTTGGCAAGGATATGGAGAACCTGGAAGCCTCACACACTGCTAGTGGAAATGTAAAATGGTGCAGCCACTTTGGAAACAGCTGGAAGTTCTTCAAAAGGCTAAGCATGGAATTAACATACAAACCACCAATTCCACTCTTAGCTATATACTCAAGAGAAATGAAGACATATACTCACAAAAAAACTTGTACATGAATGTTCATGGCAGCATTATTCATAATAGCCAAAGGTGGAAACAACACATATATCCATCAACTGATGGCTGGATAAACAAAATGTAGTATATCTACACAATGGAATATTACTTAGCCATAAAAAATGCACTACTGATACAGGCTACCATATCAATGAAACTTGAAAACATGCTAAATGAAAGAAGCTAGGCACAAAGGACACATAATTGTATTATTCCATTCATATGAAACGTCAGAATAGGCAAATCCATAGAGACAGAAAGTCTATCAGTGGGGTTGCCGGGGCTAGGAAATGGAGGAAATAAGGAATGACTGCTAATGGGTATGGAGTTTCTTCCGGAGAAAATGAAAATGACCTGAAGTTAGATAGCACCGATGGTTGCACAACTTTGATTTGAACACTTTAAAAGGGTGATCTGCTGGACGCGGTAGCTCACGCCTCTAATCCCAGCACTTTGTGAGACTGAGGTGGGTGGATCCCTTGAGCCCAGGAGTTCGAGACCAGCCTGGGCAACATGGCAAAACCCCATCTCTACTAAAAATACAAAAAATTAGCCAGCATGGTGGCACACACCTATAATCCCAGCTAACTGGGGGGTTGAGTTGGGAAAATCAACTGACTGGGGAAAGTTGAGGTGGCAGATGGTGCCATGTGCTCCAGCCTGGATGACTGCAGTGAGACCCTGTCTCAAAAAAAAAAAAAGGGTGAATATATGCTAGTGTATGTCAATAGGGTGATGGAGAATCATGTCTGTAACTCACTCTCAAATAGTTCAGGGAAAAAAGTTCTTTTCTTGCAACTTGCCTGTAAATTTGAATTATTTCAAATGAAAAGAAAAATGCCATTGAATGACAATGATGTTATAGGGATAACTTTTATTCTACTCCACTCAGAGTGCTCTAAAAAAATAGTAACTCCTTCATAAACTTCAAATAATATTTGATGTGAAGTCTGACTCAAAAAAATGGGTTCACAACCTGTAACATCCCATACTGTTGTTCTTCATAATAAAAGGCAGTATGGCATAAATAACATGTACTTTGGAGTCAGACAGAATGTGTTCCTTTCTAGCTTTATGACTGGGAAAATTAATCGACTTTTAGGAGGCTCGGTTTTCTCATCCAGAAAATGGGAATAACTAATTGTTCTGTATAGGTTAAGTAATGACTTCTATGCTCCCAAGCTTGGACCTGTACTCAACATTGTTTATTATATAATATGATGTTCTACTTTCTAGGATAGATAACTCATTTATTTTTCATACCCTGTTGCCTACTTAGTAGCTACATTATTGTTTATCACTATTCTTCATGATTGGTTTGGAGAAGAGGTAAATTTTATTATTTATTAATATTGTTAATAAAAGATTTGGTAGCGAAGGATATCAGCAAAATTTGGAAGTTATGTAGTCAGATCTCAAGTGTCTATTGCCATTATCACAAGCTGATTATGTACTTAAGTATAGTAAACAAGTGTAGCCAATTCTAATCAGTTTAATCACCTCTCCTCAGACACTATCAGAAAATGAGTAATGAGTAAAATAGTTCATTCAATGTTGATAAGTGGAGAAATGGGAACCCTTGTGCACTGTTGGTAAGAATGTAAAATGGTACAGCTGCTGTGGAAAACTGTATGGCAGTTCCTCAAAAAATTAAAAATAGAATTACCATATGATCTGGCAATTCTACTTCTGGATATATACCCCAAAGAATTCCAGACTCTATCTCTAAAGCACGGAATATAAAAGTGCCAACTTAGTTGGAAACATACTCTGTACTTACCAGCCATTTGTTGTGCTGTGGCAGAGGACATGGCTGGGCACCAGCTGGCACCTTGTATACTGGAGTTACTGACATACTGGCAGGGTGGGCACAAATGAAGCGAACCTGCAAAACCTCTACAGCTGGACTAGGGTTCAGGACACCTGGATGATTTCCAATTCGGAATGTGAGAACCTTTAAGGAAGTCACAGAGCAAGAGATAATTGTGGGTAGATACTTGATGTCAGTCATGCCAATATAAATGTGTTAGAATTATTCAAATTCCAGTATAGAGAGTCCCTTTCACATTATAATCCGGCAAATCCCTTAAAGACATTATAGTTCTTAATTATCTATGCTAAAGGGCATTAATAATATCATGAAAATTTGAAAACAACTGGAACATTAAAAAAATCTAGGTCAGGCACAGTGGCTCATGCCTATAATCCCAGCACTTTGGGAGGATCACTTGAGCCTAGTTCAAGACCATCACATAGTAAGACCCCATCTCTACAAAAAATCTAAAAATTAGCCAGGCATGGTGGTGCACACCTGTAGTCTCAGTTACTTGGGAGACTGAAGCAGGAGGATCGCTTGAACCCAGGAGGTCAAGGCTACAGTGAGCCATGTTCATGCCATTGCACTTCAGCCTGGGCAACAGAATGAGACCCTGTCTAAAAAAAAAAAATCTAACTTTGACTGGGTGTGGTGATGTGTACCTGTAATCTCAGCTGCTTGGAAGTCTGAGGCAGGAGGATTGCTTGCGCCAAGGAGTTCAAGACCAGCTTGAGCAACATAGTGAGACCCTGTCTCAGGAAAAAAAAAAAAAATCTAACTTTGACCAATTATTTCAGTCTTTTCCTCCGCCAAATATTTTGTTACAAGTTGATAAAAAGTGAAAAAACTAATTTGTGTTTCCACTCATCTCTAGTAGAAGTAGTAATGAATAACGGAATGTGGAAACAAAAAGAAATTAGGAAACTTCAAATGAGGGTTAATCAGACCTGAAATTACTAAATAGCTCACTCAACAAACTAGGAAATGAAGGAAACTATCTCAACATGATAAAAGCCTTACCACAGTTAACATCATACTCAATAGTAAAAGACTGATTCAAAAAATGGGCAAAGGCCCAGTGCGGTGGCTCACACCTGTAATCCCAGCACTTTGGGAGGCTGAGGTGGGCAGATCACCTGAGGTCAGGAGTTCAACACCAGCCTGGCCGATATGGTGAAACCCCGTCTCTACTAAAAACACAAAAATTAGCCAGGCATATTGCCACACGCCTGTAGTCCCAGCTACTTGGGAGACTGAGGCAAGAGAATCACTTGAACCCGGGAGGCGGAGGTTGCAGTGAGCCAAGATCATACCATTGCACTCCAGCCTGGGTGACAAGAGTCAAACTACATCTAAAAAAAAAAAAAGAAAGAAACTGAAAATAACAAGTGTTGGTGAGGTTCTGGAGAAATGGGAACCCTTGTGCACTGTTGGTAGGAAAGTAAAATGGTACAGCTGCTGTGGAAAATAGTATGGTGGTTCCTCAAGAAATTAAAAATAGAATTACCATATGATCAAGCAATTCCACTTCTGGGTATATATACCCAAAACAATTAAAAAGCAGGATCTTGACAGATAGCTGTATTTGTTGACAGCATTATTATTATTATTGCTGTTATTATTATTATTATTATTATTATTATTATTATTATTATTTGAGAAAAAGTCTCACTCTGTTGCCCAGGCTGGAGTGCAGTGGCATGATCTTGGCTCACTGTAACCTCCGCCTCATGGGTTCCAGAGATTCTTGTGACTCATCCTCCTGAGTAGCTAAGACTACAGGCACGTGCAACCACACCCGGCTAATTTTTGTATTTTCAGTAGAGACAGGGCTTTGCCATGTTGGCCAGGCTGATCTCGAATTCCTGGCCTCAACTGATCCACCTGCCTCAACCTCCCAAGATGCTGGGATTACAAGTGTGAGCCACTGTGCCTGCTCAACAGCAGCATTATTCATGATCACTAAAACCTTACTCTAAGCAACCCAAGTGTCCATCAATGGATGAGTGGATAAGCAACATGTCTTTTTCTTTTCTTTTCTTTTCTTTTTTTTTTTTTTTTTGAGAGTGACTTTTGCTCTATTGTCCAGGCTGGAGTGCAATGGCATGATCTCGGCTCACTGCAATCTCCACCTCCCAGGTTCAAGCGATTCTCCTGTCTCAGCCTCCCAAGTAGCTGAGATTACAGGTGCCCACCACCACGTCCGGCTAATTTTTGTATTTTTAGTAGAGATGGGGTTTCACCATATTGGCCAGGCTGGTCTCGAACTCCTGAACTCAAATGATCTGCCCGCTTCGGTCTCCCAAAGTGCTGGAATTATAGGCGTGAGCCACTGCGCCCGGCCACAAAATTTCATATATACATATATATGTATATAATCTTATATGTACATATTTTATATATACATATGCAGCTTTAAAAGGAAGGAAATTCTGACATATACTACAGTGTGAATAAACCTTGAGAACATTATGTTAAGTGAAATAGGCCAGTCATAAAAAGAAAAATACTACATGATTCCATTTATGTGATGTACTTAGAGTTGCCAAAATTACAGAGACAGAAAGTAGATTGGTGGTTGCCAGGGACTGGGGTGAAGCAGAAATGGGGAGCCATTTTTTTTTTTTTTTTTTTTTTGAGACGGAGTCTCGCTCTGTCGCCCAGGCTGGAGTGCAGTGGCATGATCTCGGCTCATTGTAAGCTCCGCCTTCCGGATTCACGCCATTCTCCTGCCTCAGCCTCCTGAGTAGCTGGGACTACAGGCACGCGCCACCACGCCTGGCTAATTTTTTTTTTTTATTTTTAGTAGAGATGGGGTTTCACCGTGTTACCCAGGATGGTCTCGATCTCCTGACCTGGTGATCCGCCCGCCTCGTCCTCCCAAAGAGCTAGGATTACAGGCGTTAGCCACCGCGCCCGGCCTTTTTTTTTTTTACGCAGTCTCACTCTGTCGCCCAGGCTGGAGTGCAGTGGCGCGATCTCAGCTCACCTCAACCTCTGCCTCCCGGGTTCAAGCAGTTCTTCTGCCTGAGCCTCCTGAGTAGCTGAGATCACAGGCACATGCCACCATACCTGGCTAGTTTTTTGTTTTTTGTTTTTTTTTTTTTTTTAGCAGAGATGGGGTTTCATCATGTTGGCTAGGCTGGTCTCATACTCCTGACCTCAAATGATCCACCTGCCTCAGCCTCCCAAAGTGCTAGAATTACAGGCATAAGCCACCACACCCAGCCAAGAGTTATTCTTTAATGGGTATAGAGTTTCTATATGTTTTGTTTGTTTGTTTTTTGAGACGGGATCTTGCACTGTCACCCAGGCTGGAGTGCAGTGACTAGATCATAGCCCACTGTAACCTCAAACTACTGGGCTCAAGTGATCCTCCTGCCTCAGCCTCCCAAGTAGCTAGGACTACAGGTGTCTGCCATGACACCCAGCTAATTTTTTCTTTTTTAGTAGGGACAGGGTCTCACTATGTTGTCCAGGCTGGCCTTGAATTCCTGGCCTCAAGTGATCCTCCTGCCTTGATTCCCCAAAGTGCTGGGATTACAGGCGTGAGCCACTGTGCCCAGCCTTAGAGTTTCAGTTGTATAAGATGAAAAGAGATGGATGGTAGTGATGCCTGCACAAGATTATGAATGTACATAATACTATTGAACTGTACATTTTAAAAAAATGATTAAGATGGTAATTTTAGGCCGGGTGCGGTGCCTCATGCCTGTAATCCCAGCACTTTGGGAGGCCGAGGTGGGCAGATCACCTGAGGTCAGGAGTTTGAGATCAGCCTGACCAACATGAAGAAACCCCATCTCTACTAAAAATACAAAATTAGCCGGGTGTGGTGGTGCATGCCTGTAATCCCAGTTACTCAGGAGGCTGAGGCAGTAGAATCACTTGAACCCAGGAGGTGGAGGTTATGGTGAGCCAAGATTGTGCCATTGCACTCCCACCTGGGCAACAAGAGCGAAACTCCATCTCAAAAAAAAAAGATGGTAATTTTACCACAATAAAAGATTGAGGACCAAAATAAGTAATTAGCCCTGAAATTACTGATAGCTAGTTATATATACAGTAAAGTTCACTACAAATATTAGAAAGAAACCTATGTAGTGAGCTACGATCGTTCCACTACACTCTAGCCTGGGCAGCAGTGTGAGAACCTGTCTCTAAAATATAAAAATAAATAAATAAAATAAAATAGAATGAAGTTCAATGGATTACAGCACAGTTCTTATCAAGTTAAAATCTTACATTGATTCCCTTATGTGCTGGTTAGCTGTGCTGTTTCACAGTCATACCTTGAATTCTCAAGCCCAGTAAAACTGCAAATCTTTGTTACTGATTTTGATAGAAGTACAGCACAGCTGTGAATGAAAACTATGCAAATCCATCAGTACCTCTAAAAATAATTAAAACTCAGCTGGGTGTAGTGCGTCATGCCTATAATCCCAGCACTTTGGGAGGCCAAGGTGGGTGGATCACTTGATTCCAGCAACTTGAGACCAGTCTGGCCAACACAGTGAAACCCTGTCTATAGAAAAAAACAAAAATGGCTGGGCATGGTTGCTCACGCCTGTAATCCTAGCACTTTGGGAGGCCGAGTTGGGCAGATCACAAGGTCAGGAGTTTGAGACCAGCCTGACCAACATGGTAAAACCCCGTCTCTACTAAAAATACAAAAAATTAGCCAGGCGTGGTGGCGTGCACCTGTCATCCCAGCTACTCAGGAGGCCGAAACAGGAGAATCTCTTGAACCCGGAAGGCAGAGGTTGCAGTGAGCTGAGATTGCACCACTGCACTCTAGCCTGGGCAACAGAGCAAGACTCCATCTCAAAAACAACAACAACAACAACAAAAATTAGCTGGGCATGGTGGTGTGTGCCTGTAATCCCAGCTACTCAGGAGGCTGAGGCATAAGAATTGCTTGAACCCAGGAGGCAGAGGGTGCAGTGAGCCGAGATCGTGCCACTGCGCTCCAGCTTGGGCAACAGAGTGAGACCCTGTCTCTAAATAAATAAATAAAAATAATTAAAAATAATTCAACTGATAGAGATAAAATATATTTATTATTCGTATCAGTGTAGCTCTAATTAGTTCCTCAAAATTGCTAACCATAGATGATACTTCAAAGTTTCCCTTCCTTGAATTCTTAAAGTTGGGAAACCAAATATCCTAAAGTCTACAAAACAAGGAAGTGAATTATAATGATAATGTGATTGCAAATAATGTGAAATAAGCTCATTACTACAAAAAGATCTTGTTTAGTTCGTGAACTGCTGGAATTCTTGGATGAGCAAATTGAAACCTCTGGGTATATTTTAAGGATAATAAGGTTTTAGAAAAAACAATCATTTGATCAATAATTAGAATTTTCCTATTTAGTCCATAAACTAAATTCAGCAGAATCTGAAAAGGAATGGCTGGAAGTACAAAGGATTTGGAGTATTACACTAAAGAAAATGTTATAAAAAACTGTTTTCCTACTTGTTCCCCTAAATCCAGGCATTGGATCCGGTAGATGTACTGGTTCTGTTTTCTCTTAGATGGCAGCCACACTTGTGCTATTCCAATCTTCTCTGTCTTCTCCGCATTCAATTCCAAAAAAAATCGGGAGGGCTCCAAGATCCATGGACGAGGACCCCCTTCAAATACCATTTCCTTCACAGACTGCCATGTCACCAATGCCACTTCCACAGGATTTAAAGCCTGATGATATTTAAAGAAATTAATTCCTGATAGGTTAGGGAATTCAATAATTTTCTAAAGTGAAACACTAGTTATCTGAATATGCTGCAAATGACGTTAAACTTAATTCCCAAATTAAGAGATATGTATGCCATGCCTCTCACTTGGAATGCTTCTCAACCTAACTTGGATCCTACCTATCATTTGAACCTAACTATTATGTTACTTTATCCATTAATTTGTGTCCAGTCATTCTAGACCACACCACTTCTGCATCCTCTAAGCTCTTACAGTATTTATCTGTACCATTCATTTGTACCCTGTTCATTTCCTAATGTTATTATATGTGTGTCAAATGCTATGTATAAATCTAATAATTTTTGTTGTTTTCTCTACTTATATAAACTCCTTAAGAGGAGTCAGTATCTTATACCTAATTTGTTTTAGTATTTCTCTTCTTCACTGGGATTTAGTACAATGTTGTGTGCAGAAAAGGTATTGTATAAATAACTGCATAAGCATTTTTTTCAGGCTAAAGAGTGAAAGATAAGATGCATAAGCATTTTAAACTGATATTTTACTAACGTATCAAAGAACTTCTGCCCTAAAAATATAAAAATAATACATCTATACACTTCACCATATTTCTCCAAGAACTTTATAAGCTAAGAAGTAGACAAGATAGGTATTACTCAATTCAGTATAGAGAAGTTGTATCCCATTCACAGATGAGGAAACTGGCATTAGGGGAATGAAGTATTCTCAAAGTGTAGGTTATTTTTGTATGGCACACAATGTCCACAACAGTGACTAATTTTTTTTTATTTTACTTTAAGTTCTGGGATACATGTGCAGAATGTGCAGGTTTGTTACCTAGGTATACATGCGCCATGGTGGTTTGCTGCACCCATCAACCCATCATGTACGTTAGGTATTTCTCCTAATGCTATCCATTCCCGAGGCCCCACCCCTTTACAGGCCACAGTGTGTGATGTTCCCCTCCCTGTGTCCATGTGTTCTCATTGTTCAACTCCCACTACAGTGACTAAGTTTTAAAACGAAGTAGAGAGTTGAAGCAATTATTCTAAAAACGTAAGCAAACTATGCTTTCTTTTCAGAACTGTTCAGTCATATTTATTATTGAGTACTATTAAAACTGAAAATTTCTATCCCTGATGGTAGTATTCTCTTAAATAATGTATATATAATTCAATAAATATTCACTTATGAGGATACAGTAATAGAAATCCAAATAAAGTCTTGTCTCACAGGGGAGCTCACAATCTGGGAGAGACAGACTTAGAGTAGGTAAAGAATATAATAAGTGTTACAAAAAGACATGTGGCCAGGTGCGGTAGCTCATGCCTGTAATCCCAGCACTTTGGGAGGCTGAGGTGGGTGGATCACTTAAGGTCAGGAGTTTGAGACCAGCCTGGCCAACATGGTGAAATCCCATCTCTACTAAAAATACAAAATTAGCTGAGCATGGTGGTGCACGCCTGTAATCCCAGCTACTTGGGAGGCTGAGGCAGGAGAATCAGTTGGAGGCAGAGGTTGCAGTGAACCAAGATTGTGCCATTGCACTCCAGCCTGGGCAACAAGATCAAAACTTGGTCTCAGGAAAAAAAAAAAAGACATGTTACACAGTGCCATACAAGTTTTTGGCCAGGTGTGGTGGCTCATGCCTGTAATGCAAGCACTTTGGGAGGCCAAGGCAGGCGGATCCCTTGAGCCCAGGAATTTGAGACCAGCCTGGCCATCATGGCAAAACCCCATATCTACTAAAAATACAAAAATTAGCTGGGCATCATGGTGTGCACCTGTAATCCCACCCACTTGGGAGGCTGAGGCACAAGAATCGCTTGAACCTAGGGGGTGGAGGTTGCCGAGATTGCACCACTGCATTCCAGCTGGGCCAACAGAGTGAGACTCTGTCTCAAAAAAAAAAATTTTTTTTGACAGAAGAAATGAATGGAAAAAATAAACACAGAGGTCTCATAGATGGCCTTTCTGAAAAAGCAAAACAAATGATTCCTTTTTCTTAGATGTATAGTCAAAAACTAACCAGATGAACCGAATTGAGCTGATAATATAAAAGGACAAATTGAGAACTGTACCATGTACTGAAACATAGTAATGATAACAAGGGTAGAACACACATATTTTTAAACAATTTGTTTTTCATCAGGCAAGGGGAAAGATACGTGACTAACATACTAGGTAGAAAAAGAAAATCATCATCACTTCCTTTCCTTTAAGGACGACTTTCATTCAGGGGAGATCTGATTTGTGGACATTCAATATATATAAAATAAGCCTAAGGACAATGATAAAAGTAAGAAAAAACCTAATGGAACTTTACAATGAGCCACAGCCAAGCACTTGCATTTAATTAGGCAAGAAGGAGGATTCACCCACCCAGGGAACTAGTGAAATATACTTGAACCATATATTTAATATATATGCTACACAATGTACAATGAGGCCAACTTAAAATGCAAATTTGAATGAATAATTTATCTTTTTTCTTTTACCTTACTTTACTTCTTTCATTAGTGTTAACATTTTTCCCTGTGGGTGCTCCTTATTCCAAGAGGCATTGAGTCAGGATTTGTCAGTATCTATCAGCAAGAACTTGTAGATACCAATTTTAGCTACTGCTGGAATCAAATAGGATGTAGAAACCATGCCAGTCTCTATCTACTTTTATTTTGAACTGTTGCAGGATACTTAGGGTGTTGCTTTTCTGGCTGGAAACCTCTGTGGCTGGTGGCACCTTTGCCCAAGTTTTGTTTGGGCCCACTGGGCTCATTCCATCCACTCGGCCTGGCAGGCTGTGCTTGGCTCATGCTACCAGCCTGGATCTCACACCTGCCAAGGGTGAGCCAGGCATGGAGTGGCAACAGGTGTGTGAGTGAGGAAGCATGGGGTCCAGCCACTGCAGTCAGGCACACCAGTTGCTGCAGTGGGACAGGCAGCTCCAGGTGCCAGCATGGGCACTGGCTCTCTGCAAGCCTGTGGCTAGATCAGGTGCACTGCAAGCAGCTTCCACGCTGCCACTGGGGAACACAGTGGTGCCTGGAAGCTTAGAGACTCCAGGAACCACAGGGCCCCAAAGTGGGAGTCACAGCCCTGGCTTGGGGAGCTCCCAGGTCTCGGCTCCCTGAAGAGTCACAGTTCTCTCCTTCTCTTCACCCACAACGTGGTGAGCAAGGGGTATGTTTCAGCCCTGTTTGTGTTATAGCTCTTTCAGCCCTGCCATTGGGAAGGTCCCAAGTTCTTGTCCTGCATCCAGGAAGAATAAGATATGCAGAACAAGTGGAGGGTGAGCAAGGTGAAGAAGAGCTTTATTGAGTAACAGAATAGCTCAGAGGAGGCCCTGGAGTGGGTAGTACCTCTCTGCTGCTGGTCATCCCAGTGTCTGCAGCTCTCAGCAGAGAGGAGGCCCTGGAGTTGGTAGCTCCTCTCTGCAGCTGGTTGCCCAATGTCTTCTGCCCAGCTCCGGCTGAGCCTGGAGCTTTTATGGGCATCAGAGGGGAGGAAGTCCACACTGATTGGTCCATGGGCAGCCATGGGTGGGTCTGGAAAAGGCATCACAAGTTCCCACTCTGGTCTGCGGGACTGGCAGCCTGGACCCCAGGCTTCAGGCCCTACCTGGCCTGAAGGTAGGGCCTCACCAGATACTGCACCTTCTGCCCAGGAACTTGTCTGCCTCCTGCCGCTGTTCATGGCACCGAGGCTGTAGGTGCCAAGGGGCACCTGCGGGCCAGTGCCGAGCTGCCCTCAGCTCCTCTTTGGCTTCCCTCCTATGCTTGTTGGTGCCCAAAGTCTGGAGGGGGCCAAGGCAGCAGGGGCCTGGCATGTTAAAATTGCCCCAAGCGTGTGCTCATCTGGCCAGATTGTGACAGCGCCCAGGATTGGCCCAACTTTGTTCTGAGATTGGAGTTGGTGCTGACAGCAGGAAGAAGCCAGGCAGCGGGAGTGTGCAGAAGGGGCCTTCCTGGGTTCCCAAGAGTACAAGGATGCCTGGGTCCACAGCTGCCATTTGAGTAGCTGCAGTTGCATGGCAAGGGGGTAGTGGGGCTGGGGCAGGGGTGCATCTCCTGCCTGCTCGGTGGAGCAGGAGGCCTGGGTCCGCAGTCATGACTTGGGCAGCCAAAGCTGCACCCAGGGAGCTCCCGCCCCACCAGCTCAGAAGGAGTGGGGCTCCTGGGGCTCCCACTTGGCGTCGGTTCCAAACGGCTCCACGGAGTGTGCAGCCCCAGCTGCATCTCCCTGCTGCAGCTGGCGTGATGGCAGCAGCTGCTCCAGACAGGCTGCCACTGCCATCAGAACCACTTATCATACTGTCTCCATTATAATGAACCAGTCCTTAGGGCTCAATATAATGGCTTCTGTGCTTAAAATCCATAAGTATATAGGGTAAAAGATGATTGACTTCCTTCCATAGGACAGAAATTATCTTTCAGGGTTCTTCAAAAGAGAGTACACTAATATACTAACTTCGGTATTTACAGAGATATATGCACATGTAAAAATTCAGATAGCACCTGAAGATTAGTGTACTTTATGAACTTTTCTGTACATATTTTATACCTCAGTAAAAAAGAAGAAAGGAGAATATCTAAAACTTTCTGATACAACTTAAAGATATTCCTGTGACAGAAGCATGAGGGAGTAAACTCCCTGGAGACTTAGGTTTGAGGAGAGAGCTGTAGATCTAAAAACAAAAAAGTGGCAAGTAAAGAGAACATAAATGTCATTGATCCTTAGTGGGGACCACAGATAGCTAGTAAGCCCATAAGCAGACATAGTTAAGTCCATTAAAAGAAATGCCAGTTCCTTACCATGAAATATCTTACCTTTAGGGGTTCATAAGCAGCAAATGTAGCACTGCTCTCCAAGTACTTGTCACATTCATTCACACTTACTGTTACCAGAGTATGGCCAAGAGATTTAGCTGCGATATGTGTACTGGAACAATGCATTGGTCCAGGTCTTTGAATACCTGTGAATCAAAAACCATGATTTTGGCAGGGCGTGGTGGCTCAGGCTTGTAATCCCAGCACTTTGGGAGGCCAAGGCAGGAAGATTGCTTGAGCTCCGAAGTTTAAGACCCGCCTGAAAAACATGGTGAAACCCCGTGTCTACAAAATATTTAAAAAATTAGCCAGGCATGGTGGCGTGCACCTGTAGTCCCAGTTACTCAGGAGGCTAAGGAAGGAGGATCACTTGAGCCCAGGAGGTCAAGGCTGCAGTGAGTCATGATTGCACCACTACACCCCAGCCTGGGCAAGAGTAAGACCTTACCTAAAAAAAAAAAAAAACCCAAAACAAATATGATTTCAGTGGGGTAACAAGCAGTTAGTTTTTGGCTTTGTTTTTTTTTTTTTTTTTTTTGAGATGGAGTCTCGCTCTTGTTGCCCAGGCTGGAGTGCAATGGTGCAATCTTGGCTCACTGCAACCTCAGCCTCCTGGTTTCAAGCGATTCTCCTGCCTCAGCCTCCTGAGTAACTGGGATTACAGGCACCTGCCACCATGTCTGGCTAATTTTTTATATTTTTAGTAGAGACAGGGTTTCACTGTATTGGCCACGCTGGTCTCGAACTCCTGACCCTGTGATCCACCCACCTAAGCCTCCCAAAATGCTGGGATTACAAGCATGAGCCACCGCACCCAGCCACAAGCAGTTAGTTTTAAAGGAGATTAAGCTATGAAAATATAAGAATTTTAATATATTAAAAATACCATCTTGGGCCAGGCACAGTGGCTCATGCCTATAATCCCAACACTTTGGAAGGCCGAGGCGGGTGGATCACCTGAGCTCGGGAGTTCGAGACCAGCCTGACCAACATGGAGAAATCCCGTCTCTACTAAAAATTCAAAATTAGCCAGGTGTGGCGGTGCATACCTGTAATCCCAGCTACTCAGGAGGCTGAGGCAGGAGAATCGCTTGAACCCAGAAGGCAGAGGTTGCCGTGAGCCGAGATTGCGCCATTGCACTCCAGCCTGAGCAACAAGAGTGAAACTCTGTCTCAAAAAAAAAAAAAAAAAAAAATTTGGCTGGGGGCGGTGGCTCATGCCTGTAATCCCAGCACTTTGGGAGGCTAAAGCAGGTGGATCACCTGAGGTCAGTTCGAGACCAGCCTGGCCAATATGGTGAAACCCCGTCTCTACTAAAAATACAAAAATTAGCCAGGTGTGGTGGCAGGCACCTGTAATCTCAGCTACTTGGGAGGCTGAGGCAGGGAGAATTGCTTGAACCCCGGAGGCGGAGGTTGCAGTGAGCCAAGACGTGCCATTGCACTCCAGCCTGGTGACAGAGTGACACTGTTAAAAACAAACAAACAAACAAACAAAACCCATCTTGATCTCTTACATTAACAATTAGGCCCTTTATATCAAGTTGATATCTGTTCTTTCTATTGAGAGACATATATAAGACAACAGTTGTATGTACAGTGGGAATATATATATATGAGCAAAGATCATGACCTCAAGCATTCATAGTTTCAAGGGGAAAGTGAACATGTAAATAATTCACTTAAAACATTAATAGAAAGTGGTAAGTATTATAGAAATCTAGAAAATAGAAAGATTATTTCAAGCTGGAGAGATCAAGGAAAGTTTAAAGTATCTTAGGCTGAGAAAACAGAATGAACAAAGAAATACAAATGAGATATAAATGAGAATATGAGAGATATATATGAGAGAATTTAAAGTAGTTGATTTAGCCGGGCATGGTGGCTCACGCCTGTAACCCCAGCACTTTGGGAGGCCGAGGCAGGTGGATTACCTGAAGTCAGGAGTTCCACACCAGCCTGGCCAACATGGTGAAACCCGGTCTCTACTAAAAAATTCAAAAATTAGCCAGGTGTAGTGGCACGTGCATGTAGTCCCAGCTACTCAGGAGGCTGAGGGACAAGAATCACTTGAACCTGGGAGGTAGAGGTTGCAGTGAGCCGAGATTGCACCACTGCACTCCAGCCTGGGTGATGGAGTGAGATTCCATCTCAAAAAAACAAAACAAAAATTAAATAAAAATAAATAAATAAATAAAGTAGTTAATTTAGCTAGAACCACATATGAAGCAAAAGTATGAAATCATGAAAAGTAGGTTGGGTTATACCGTAGAGTGGTCTTGAATACCAAACTAAAAGGATTTTGGCTCCATTCCACTGACAATGAGAAGTCTCAAAATTTTTGAGCAGAAAAAGTAATACCAAAGTTGAGTTCATGAAGCGCCATCTGATAGCCATGATGACCAGAAGTAAGAATAGTCAGGAGGATTTTGTTGTCCTACATGGGAAATAAGGGGCTAAAAATTAAAATACTCTGAGAGGAGGGGAAAGATCACTTGAACCCGGGAGTGAGGGTGTGTCTATATGTATGTATGTATGTAGTATAATGAGCAAGGGCAAAGCAAAAGTCCAATTTGATACCAAGCTTATAGATATAAGAATTAAATAGTTAATGTATAAAAAGTATTCAGAACAGAGCTTGGCAAAGAGTAAATGCTAAGCAAATCTTAGATGCTACTACTGTCATTATATTGATGAAAAAACAATGGGGATCAGGATCAAATAAGAAGTTCAATAGCAGGAAAGGATGTTGACCGTTATTCATATTTTCTGTTTTATTAGAAAGAGATATTTTATCCTTTTTCAATAAATTGAATGTATGCATATATTAAATGGCTCTACATTCCTCTTAAAAGACATATGGTATATATATAAGGGGAAGAAAGAAGAAAAGAGCTTGAGGCTAGAAATGGAAAACCTTACTGTGAACTAAAATCTGATATTGACCTTGCACTTGTAATCCCAGCTACTTGGGAGGCTGAGATAGCAGTATAGCTTGGGCCCAGGAGTTCAAGGTTACAATGTTCTATGATTGCACCACTGCACTCCAGCCTGGGTGACACGGTGGTGAGACCCTGTCTCTAATAATAATAATAATAATAATAAATAAAAACTGGCTGGGCGCAGTGGCTCACGCCTGTAATCCCAGCACTTTGGGAGGCTGAGGCGGGCAGATCACCTGAGGTCAGGAGTTCAAGACCAGCCTGGCCAACATGGCAAAACCCCATATTTACTAAAAATACAAAAATTAGCCAGGCATGGTGGTGGACATCTGTAATCCCAGGTACTTGGGAGGCTGAGGCAGGAAAATTGCTTGAACCCGGGAGGTGGAGGTTGCAGTGAGCCGAGATCGTGCCACTGCACTCCAGCCTGGGCAACAAAAGCGAGACACTGGGCCGGGCGCGGTGGCTCACGCCTGTAATCCCAGCACTTTGGGAGGCCGAGGCGGGCGGATCACGAGCTCAGGAGATCGAGACCATCCTGGCTAACACGGTGAAACCCCGTCTCTACTAAAAATACAAAAAATTAGCCGGGCGTGGTAGCGGGCGCCTGTAGTCCCAGCTACTCGGGAGGCTGAGGCAGGAGAATGGCGTGAACCCGGGAGGCGGAGCTTGCAGTGAGCCGAGATCGCGCCACTGCACTCCAGCCTGGGCGACAGAGCGAGACTCCGTCTCAAAAAAAAAAAAAAAAAGAAAAAAAAAAACAAAAGCGAGACACTGTCTCAAAAAACAAAAACAAACAAACAAAAAACTGATATTGGCCAGCTGCAATGTTATTCAGTTTCTGTGCCTGTGTTTCTACATCTGTAAAATGAGGAGTATAACACTTACTACAAGGCATTTGACAAAATAAAGTATTATAAAGAAAAGTAATATGTGAACTTAGACTATAATTGGTAGTTTCTGAATTGTTGATTGCTTCCTTAAAGACAAAGAAAGTAATCTGTCACAGTGGTAGAGTTAAAGATAAATAAATAAAGACAAAGGAAGGAGAAGATAAAAAGGCTACTTTTACCTTCTTTGAGAAGAGTAAAGACTCCTTGTTTATCCATGTTCAGATCCAAGGATAAATGAGAGCAGTCTGTGAATGCCATGGCTTCTTTGGTCTCTTTATTTATGTGATACATTGCAATGGGTATTTCTATAATCTGGCCAATCTCCACATCAGCATGAAATGGTAACAGTTCCATTTTGTTCAGTTTCAGGACATGTATCTGGAGGGGAAAAATTCATCTTTCAAGAAAGTTATGTTAAAAAAAAGTCTTAGGAGGAGGAGAAGCAAGATGGCCAAATAGAACCCTCCAGTGATTGTCCTCCCTGCAGGAACACCAAATTGAATGACTATCCATACAAGAAGTCACCTTCATAAGAATCAAAAATCAGGTGAGCAATCACAGTACCTGGTTTTAACATCATATCAAGGAAGGAGCCACTGAAGGGGCAAGAAAAGAGTCTAGAATTGCCAACATCACCTCTCTTCCTTTCCCAGGCAGTGGCAGCAGCCACATGGGGCAGAGAGAGAATCTGTGCACCTGGGGAGTACAGTGATTGTGGGACTTTGCATTCCACAATCACTGCACTCCCCCAGGTGCACAGATTTGGAGCTCAGTGCTGCCTACTACAGTGGAAAGCAACACAGGGCAGAATTCAGTCAGTGCCTGTGGAAGGAGCATTTAGACCAGCGCTAGCCAAAGGGGAATTACCCATCCCAGTGGTCTGAACCTGAGTTCCAGCTAACCCCGACACTGTGGGCTAAAGCACTCTGGGGTCCTAAATAAACTTGAAAGGCTGTGTAGGCCACAAAGACTGCAATTCTTGGGCAAGTTCTGGTGCTGTGCTGAGCTTGAAGCCAGTGGACCTGGGATGCATATGACCTAGTGAGACACCTGCTGGGGTGGCCAAGAGAGTGCTTGTACCACTCCTCCCCACACCCCAGGTGCACAGCTCATAACTCTGTGAGAGTTTCTCCTTCTTCCTACTAGAGGAGAGGAGAGGAGAGGGGAGAGTAAAAAGGACTTTGTTTTGCAACTCGGATAATAGCTCAGCCACAATAGAGCATGAGGCAGAGTCACAAGGCCCCCATTTCAGACACTAACTCCCTGAAAACATTTCTATACACACCCTGGGGCAGAAGGGAACCTGCTGTCTTGAAAGGAAGGACACTGTCCTGGCAGGATTCAACACTTGCTGATTAAAGAGCCCTTGGGCCTTGGCCGGGTGCAGTGGCTCACGCACGTAATCTCAGCACTTTGGGAGGCTGAGGTGGACAAATCACCTGAGGTCAGGAGTTCAAAACCAGTCTGGCCAACATGGCGAAACCCTGTCTCTACTAAAAATACAAAAATTAGCTGGGCGTGGTGGCGGGCACCTGTAATCCCAGCTATCAGGAGGCTGAGGCATGAGAATTGCTTGAACCCGGGGGGTGGAGGTTGCAGTGAGCCGAGATCACGCCACTGCACTCCAGCCTAGGTGACAGAGCAAAAATCCGTTAAAAAAAAAAAAGAGCCCTTGGGCCTTGAATAAACATTTGGTGGTTTCCAGTATTTGATACAGGCCTTAGGTGACATTCAGTGCCATGCTGGCTTCAGGTGTGACTCAGTACATTCCCAGCTGTGATGACCATGAGCAGAGACTTCTTCTGCTTAAGAAAAGGAAATGGAAAAGTAAAGGGGACTTTGTCTTACAGCTTGAGTACCAGCTCAGCCATAGTGAGGTAGAGCACCAAGTGGGCTTCAGGGGTCCCCAATTTCAGGCCTTGGCTCCTGGATGGCATTTTTGGACCTGCCCTAGGCCAGAGGGGAGCCCACTTCACTGAAGGGAGAGACCCAGGCCTGGTAGCATTCACAAGCTGACTGAAGAGCCTTTGGACCTTTAATGAACATTGGTAGTAGCTAGTCAGTATTTGCCACGGGTCTGGGGCAGTTGTGGCCACAAAGAGAGACTCCCTCAGTTTGAACAAAGGAGAGTCAAGAACGAGAAGGGGGCTGGGTGCGGTGGCTTACACCTGTAATCCCAACACTTTGGGAGGCCGAGATGGGTGGATCACTTGAGGTCAGGTGTTCGAGACCAGCCTGGCCAATATGGTGAAACCCCATCTCTACTAAAAATACAAAAATTACCCGGGCGTGGTGGTGCATGCCTGTACTCCCAGCTACTCGGAAGGCTGAGGCAAGGGAATCGCTCGAACCCAGGAGGCAGAGGTTGCAGTCAGCTGAGATCATGCCACTGCACTCCAGCCTGGGTGACAGAGTAAGACTCCATTCCAGAAAAATAAATAAATAAATAAATAAAAAGATTGGGAAGGGCTTTGTCTTGCAGCTTGGGTGCCAGCTTAGTCGCAGTAGAATAGAGCATCAGGTAGATTTCTAAGGTTCCTGACTCCAGGCCCTGGCTCCTGAATAGAATTTCTGAACCTGCCCTGGGCTGGTGAGGAGCTTCCCATCCTGAAACGAAGGCCACAAGCCTGGCTGAATTTGCTACCCACTAACTGTACAGTCCTTGGGCCTTGAGTGAACACTGGCAGTAACCAGGCAGTGGTCACTGAAGGACTTGGGCAGGACCCAGTGCTATGCTAGCTTTGGGTCTGACCCAGTGCAGTCCTAGTGGTGGTGGCCACAGAGGGGCTTGTGTAACCCCACCCCCAGCTCCAGACAGCTTAGCAGGGAGAGAGAGAGACTCTGTTTGTTTGGGCAAAAGAAAGAGAAGGAACAAGAGTCTGCCTGGTAATCCAGGGAATTCTCCCGGATCTTACCTAAGACCACCAAAGCAGTACCTCTACAAGTCTGCAAGAGTCACAGCTTTACTGGGCTTGGGGTGCCGCCCAACGCAGATATGTACTGCAGTGACCAAAGACTTAGATCACGACACTCAATTCTCTTTGAATACTTGGAAAGCCTTCCCAAGAAGGATGGGTACAAACAAGCACATTGTTCAAAGACTACAATTAATACCTAACTTTTCAATGCCCAGACATCAATGAACATCCACAAAGATCAAGACCATACAGGAAAACATGGCCTAAATAAGGCACCAGTGACCAATCCTGGAGTGACAGAGCTATATGACCTTACAGACAAAGAGTTCAAAACAGCTGTTTTGCATAAGTTCAATGAAATTTAAGAGAAGGATTTCAGAATCCTATCAGACAAATATAACAAAGATATTGAAATAATTTTAAAAAGCAGAAATCCTGGAGCTGAAAAATTCAATTAACATACTAAAGAAATCCCAGCACTTTGGGAGGCCAAGGCAAGCAGATCACGAGATCAGGAGATCGAGACCATCCTGGCTAACACGGTGAAACCCTGTCTCTACTAAAAATACAAAAATTAGCCGGGCGTGTTGGCGGGCGCCTGTAGTCCCAGCTACTTGGGAGGCTGAGGCAGGAGAATGGCGTGAACCTGGGAGGCAGAGCTTGCAGTGAGCTGAGATTGCACCACTGCACTCCAGCCTGGACAACAGAGTGAGACTCCGTCTCAAAAAAAAAAAAAAAACTAAAGAATGCATCAGTCTCTCAACAGCAGAACTGATGAAGCAAAAGAAAGAATCAGTGAGCTTGAGGACAGGTTATTTGAAAATACAGTCATGGGCCAAGTGCAGTGGCTCACACCTGTAATCCCAGCACTTTGGGAGGCCAAGGTGGGTGGATTACTTGAGGCCAGGAGTTTGAGACCAGCCTGGCCAACACAGTGAAAGCCTGTCTCTACTAAAAATAGAAAGAATAAGCTGGGCATGGTGGCGCATGCTATAATCCCAGCTACTTGGGAGGCTGAGGCATGAAAATCACTTGAACCTAGGAGGTGGAGGTTGCAGTGAGCAGAGATCATGCCACTGCACTCCAGCCTGGGTGACAGAGTGAGATGTGGCCTCAAAAAAATAGAAAAGAAAGAAAATACAGTTAGCGGAGACTAAAGAAAAAATAATAGAAAAGAATGAAGTTCTAGAAAATGGCCACAAAATGGCAAATCTAAGAGCTACTGGCCTTAAAGAGGAGGTAAAGAGAGAGATTTAAACTACTGATACCTTGAGTAGAAAGACTAAAAGAAGAACCTATAAAAAGGAATAACTATAACAACTATTCAAGACATAGACAGTATAAGATATAAATAGAAACAACGCAAAGTTAAAAAGCAGGGGAATGAAATTAAAGTGTAGAAGTTTTTGTTTTTGTTTTTGTTTTGAGATGGAGTCTTGCTCTGTCACTCAGGCTGGAGTGCAGTGGCATAATCTCAGCTCACTGCAACCTCGACCTCCTAGGTTCAAGCAATTCTCCTGCCTCAGCCTCATGAGTAGCTGGGATCACAGGCATGCACCACCACAACCAGCTAATTTTTGTATTTTTAGTAGAGACAGGGTTTCACCATGTTGGCCAGGATGGTCTCGAACTCCTGATCTTAGGTGATCTAAGGTTATCCACCCACCTCGGCATCCCAAAGTGCTGGGATTACAGGCATGAGCCACTGCAACCAGCCTAGAGTTTTGATTAGTTTTCTCTTTGCTAATTTGTTAGTTTGTTTATGCAATCAGTGTTAAGACGTCATCAGTTTAAAATAATGAGTTATAAGATCTTATTTGCAAGCGTCATGGTAACCTGACAAAAATAAAACACAAGAAATTAAAACATACCACTGGAGAAAATCACCTTCACAAAAAGGAAGAAGGCAGGAAGGAAGGACAGAAGGAAGAGAAGACCACAAAACAACCAGAAAACAAATTAAAAATGGCAGGAGTAAGTTCTTATTTATCAATAATAACATTGAATTTAAATGGACAAACTCTCCAATCAAAAAAGATAGAGTGACTGAATAGATTTTTTTAAAAAAGGCTGAGCACAGTGGCTCACGCCTATAATCCCAGCACTTTGGGAGGCCAAGGCAGGCAGATCACCTGAGATTGGCAGTTCGAGACCAGCCTGACCAACATGGAGAAACCCCGTCTCTACTAAAAATATAAAATTAGCTGGGCGTAGTAGCACATGCCTGTAATCCCAGCTACTCGGGAGGCTGAGGCAGGAGAATTGCTTGAACCTGGGAGGCAGAGGTTACGGTGAGCCGAGATCATGCCATCGCACTCCAGCCTGGGCAACAAGAGTGAAACTCCATCTCAAAAACAAAAACAAAAACAAAAACCCAACAATCTGTTGCCTACAAGAAACATGCTTCACCTATAAAGACACATGTAGACTGAAAATAAAGAGATGGAAAAAGATTCCATGCCAATGGAAACCAAAAAAGAGCAAGAATAGCTATGCTTATATCAGACAAAATAGATCTCAGGACAAACTATAAAAAGAGAAAAAGAAGGCCATTATGTAATGATAAAGGGGTCAATTCAGCAAGAGGATATAACAATCATAAATATATATACACCCAATACTGGAGGATCCAGATGTATAAGGCAAATATTATTAGAGCTTAAGAGAGCTATAGACCTCACTACATTAATAGCTGGAGACTTCAACACCCTACTTTCAACAATGAACAGATTATCCAGACAGATAATCAACAAAGAAGCATCAAACTTAGTCTACAATGTAGACCAAAAGGATCTAATAGAATTTACAGAACTTTTCATTCAATGGCTGCAGAATACACATTCATCTCCTCAGCAAGAATGAGTATTCTTGATCATATTCAAGAATAGACTACGTTAGGTCCAAAACAATTGTTCAAAAATTCAAAAAAATTGAAACTATGTCAAATATCCTCTCTGACTACAGTGTACTAAAACTAGAAATCAGTAACAAGAGGAATTTTGGAAACTATACAAACACATTGAAATTAAACAACTTGCTCCTGAATGACCAGCATATCAATGAAGAAATTAAGAAAGAGATTTTAAAATTTCTTGAAAAAAACAAAAATGAAAACACAACATAACAAAACCTATGAGATACAGTGAAAGCAGTACTAAGAGGAAAGTTTATAGTAATGAATGCCTACATCAAAAAAGTAGAGGCCAGGTGCGGTGGCTCACACCTGTAATCCCTGCACTTTGGGAGGCTGAGGCAGGTGGATCACCTGAGGTCAGGAGTTTCAGACCAGCCTGGCCAACATGATGAAACCCCATCTCTAATAAAAATACAAAAAATTAGCAGGGCATGGAAACGTGCACCTGTAATCCCAGCTACTCAGGAGGCTGAGGCAGGAGAATCACTTGAACCCAGGAGGCACAGGTTGCAGTGAGCCAAGATCACGCCACTGCACTCCAGCCTGGGAAACAAGAGCAAAACTCTGTCTCAAAAAAAAAAAGGTAGAAAAACTTGAAAAAAACAACCCAATGTTGTATTTTTTTTTTTTGACAGTCTTGCTCTGTTGCCAGGCCAGAGTGCTGTGGTGCAATCTCAGCTCACTGCAACCTCCACCTCCTGGGTTCAAGCAATTCTCCTGCCTCAGCCTCCTGAGTAGCTGGGATTACAGGGGCACGCCACCATGCCTGGCTAATTTTTGTATTTTTAGTAGAGACAGGGTTTCACCATGTTGGTCAGGATGGTCTCAATCTCTTGATCTTGTGATCCACCTGCCTCGGCCTCCCAAATTGCTGGGATTACAGGTGTGAGCCACCGCACCCAGCCGAAGTATCTTAAAGAACTGGAAAAGTTGGCTGGACACAGTGGTTCATGCCTGTAATCCCAATACTTTTGGAGGCTGAAGCAGGTGGATTGCTGGAGCCCAGGAGTTCAAGACCAGCCTGAACAACATGGTGAAACCTTGTCTCTACAAAAAATACAAAAATCAGCTGGCGTGGTGGTGTTCACCTGTATTCCCAGCTACTTGGGAGACTGCGGCTGGAAGATAACTTGGGCCTGGGAGGTAGTGGCTGCAGTGAGCTGTGATCTCACCACTGTACTCCAGCCTGGGCAACAGAGCAAGACCTTGCCTGAAAAAAAAGAAAAACAAAACTGCAAAAGCAAGAGCAAACCAAAGCCAAAATTAGTAGAAGAAATAATAAAGATCAGAGCGGAAATAAATGAAATAAAAAAATACAAAAGATCAACAAAATGAAGAGTTGGTTTTTTGAAAAGATAAACAAAATCGACAAACCTTTAGCCAGACTAAAAAAAAAAAAAAGAGAGAGAGAGAGATGACCCAAATAAGTAAAATCTGGCTGGGCACGGTGGCTCATGCCTGTAATCCCACCACTTTGGGAGGCCAAGGCCGGGAGATCACCTGAGGTCAGGAGTTTGAGACCAGCCCGGCCTACATGGTGAAACCCTATCTGTACTAAAAATACGAAAATTAGCCAGGCGTGGTAGCAGGCGCCTATAATCCCAGCTACTCGGAAGGCTGAGGCATGAGAATCACTTGAACCCAGGAGGCAGAGGTTGCAATGAGCCCAGATCGCACCACTGCACTCCAGCCTGGGCGACAGAGTGAGATTCAGTCTCAAAAACTAGATAAATAAATAAAATATATAAATAATAAATAATAAAAGTAAAATCTGAGATGAAAAAGAAGATATTACAGCCAATACCACAGAAATTTAAAGGATCATTAGGGGCTACTATGAGCAATTATATGCCAATAAATTGGAAAACCTACAAGAAATGGATAAATTCCTAGACATATACAACCTACCAAGATTGAACTATGAAGAAATCCAAAGCCTGAAAAGACTAATAACAAGTAATGAGATCGAAGCTGCAATAAAAGTCTCCCAGCAAAACAAAGCCCAGGACTTGATGGATTCATGGCTAAATTTTACTAAACATTTAAAAAAGAACTAATTCTAATCCTACTCAAAGTATTTTGAAAAATAGAGAAGAGAATACGTCCAAACTTATTCTATGTGGCCAGTATTACCCTGATACAAAAACCAGACAAAGACTTATTAAAAACAAAACAAAACACTACAGGCCAATATCCCTGATGAACATGATGGAAAAACTCTTGACAAAATATTAGTAAACCAAATTCAACAACACTTTTTTTTTGTTTTGTTTTGTTTTTTCAGATGGAGTCTCACTCTGTTGCCCAGGCTGGAGTGCAATGGCGCGATCTCAGCTCACTGCAACCTCTGCCTCCCAGGTTTAAGCAATTCTCCTGCCTCAACCTCCCGAGTAGCTGGGACTATAGGTGCGCACCACCATGCCTGACTAATTTTTTGTATTTTTAGTAGAGAAGGGGTTTCACCATGTTGGCCAGGATGGTCTTGATCTCTTGACCTTGTGATCTGCCTGCCTCAGCCTCTCAAAGTGCTAGGATTACAGGCTTGAGCCACTGCACCTGGCCTCAACAACACATTTTTTTTAAAAATCATTAATGGCCAGACAGAGTTGCTCACTCCTGTAATCCTAACACTTCGGGAGGCTGAGGTGGGAGGATTGCTTGAGCCCCGGAGGCCAAGGCTGCAGTGAGTCATGTTCCTGCCACTGCATTCAAGCCTGGGTGACAGAGCAAGAACTTGTCTCTAAAAAAACATTGCTAAAATAACTAAAATAGTATAACTGGAATGTTTGTAACACAAAGAAAGGATAAATTCTTGAGGTGATGTGATGGATACTCCGTTTACCCTGATGTGACTATTATGCATTGTATGGCCATATCAAAATATCTCATGTATCCCATAAATATATACACCTACCACGTACACCTGAAGATTAAAAATTACAGCACTTTGGGAGGCCAAGGCGGGAAGATCGCTTGAGCCCAGGAGTTCAAGTCCACCCTGGGCAATATAGGGAGACCCTGTCTCTAAAAAAAGTTTAAAAATTAGCTGAGCATGGTGGTATACATCTGTAGTCCCAGCTACTTGAAAAGCTCGGGTGGGAAGATTGGATGAGACCAGGAGGCGGAGGTTGCAGTGAGCTGAGGTTGCATCACTGCACTCCAGCATGGGCAACAGAATGAGACCCTGTCTGGGGAAAAAAAAAAAAAAAAGGCCAGGTGCAGTGGCTCATGGCTATAATCCTAGCGCTTTGGGAGGACAAAGCAGGTGGATCACCTGAGGTCAGGAGTTTGAGGCAAGCCTGGCCAACATGGTGAAACCCTGTCTCTATTAAAAATACAAAAATTGACTGGGCATGGTGATGCATGCCTGTAGTCTCAGCTACTTGGGAGGCTGAGGCAGGAGGATTGCTTGAGCCCAGGAGATGGAGGTTGTAATGAGCTGAGAGTGTACCACTGCACTCCAGCCGGGGTGATGGGAGAGAAACCCTCTCTTAAAAAAAAAAATATATATATATATATAAAATTTAAAACTGTTAAGAAAAAGAAGAAATCATTCCTTAAATATTTACATACACATGAACATATATAAATACATTATATATATATATATGTTATTTACTATTATACACAATGTAATGGTCCAGGTCTCTTTTATATACGCACACACACACATAAACACACCCACAAGGTGCTAAACATATCACTCTACATTTTTAAATTTATTGATCTCTTTAAAGCATCTAACTCCATGTAGGAGGGGTCTGGCAAACTACGGCCTGTATACAACCTGTTTTTGTACAATGAGCTAAGAACAGTTTTTACATTTTTAAAAGGTTGTAAAATAAAACAATAACAACCACAAAAAAGAATATGAGATAGTAACTATATGTGGCCTGTAAAGACTAATGTATTAGGCCAGGCGTGGTGGCTCACGCCTGTAATCCCAGCATTTTGGGAGGCCAAGGCGGGCAGATCACAAGGTCAGGAATTCAACACCAGCCTGGCCAATATGGTGAAACCCCGTCTCTACTAAAAATACAAAAATTAGCCAGGCGTGGTGGCACGTGCCTGTAATTCCAGCTACTCAGGAGGCTGAAGCAGGAGAATCGCTTGAACCTGGGAGGTGGAGGTTGCAGTGAGCTGAGATCTGGCCACGGCACTCCAGCTTGGACAACAGAGCAAGACTCCATCTCAAAAAAAAAAAAAAAAAAAAAAGCCGGGTGTGGTGGCTCACACCTGTAATCCCAGCACTTTGGGAGGCCGAGTTCAGAAGTTCAAGACCAGCCTGGCTAACATGGTGAAACCCCGTCTCTACTAAAAATACAAAAATTAGCTGGGCGTGGTAGTGGGCGCCTGTAATCCCAGCTACTCGGGAGGCTGAGGCAGGAGAATTGCTTGAACTCGAGAGGCGGAGGTTGCAATGAGCCAAGATCGCACCACTGCACTCCAGCCTGGGCAACAGCGCAAGACTCCATCTCAAAAAAAAAAAAAAAATTTGCCAGGCGTAGTGGTACACGTCCCAGCTACTTGGAAGGCTGAGGTGGGAGGATTGCTTGAGGTCAAGGCTGGAGTAGGCCACGATTGTGCCACTGCATTGAACCTGGGCAACAGAAACCCCATCTCAAAAAAATTAATAAATAAAATAAAATAAAATCTTTTATTTTGTCATTTTTGCCACTTTCTATGTTTCTTCTGCTAGTTCCTCTTCCTATGTTTCTTAAAGTGACATTTACATTACACAGGATCCATATGTTCTTCCTGGGAAAACTTATCCAGTCCCAAAGCTTCAGTGACTAACCATATGCAAACTCTCCAGCCCTAATCTTTCAGTTGAACTTCAGACCCCTATTTCCAATTAAAAACATCCACTTAGATGCTCCATAGGTGAATTACGCTAAATGTATCCAAAACTAAATTCATCATCTTTTCCATTTTTTTGTATTTTCTTTTCTTTTTTTAAAGACAGGGTCTCACTCTTGCCTAAGCTAGAGTGCAGAGGCGTGATCATAGTTCACCGCAACCTCAAACTCCTGGCCTCAAGCGACCCTCCTGCCTCAGTAGCTAGGACTACAGGCATGTGCCACTATGCCTGGTTAATTTTTTTTTTAAGAGATGGGGGGGGGGGTCTTGCTTTGTTGTCCAGGCTGGTCTCGAACTCCTGGCCTCAAGCCACTCTCCTGCCTTGGCCACTCAAAGGTGTTGGGATTACATGTGTAAGCCACCACTCCCAGCCTCTTGTATTTTCTATCCACCCCGCTGGCAAAGTGAGAAACCTCCACATCATCTCTGTGGCTTTAAATGTTTAACTCTTCCCTGCTCAATCAAATCGGATTGATTTACCTGTTAAAAAAGATTATCATTTGGTCCATTTCCTGCTATTCTCAATACCATCTCACTAGTTCAAGCTTAACTGAAGTTTTTGCCTTCACTTTCTCCCTTCAATCCATTCTAATCTACTAGTCTATAGCACCAGCAAGTATCTTTTGTTTTTTAGTATAATGGCTGTTATTGTCTGATTATAAAAATAATTAGATATCTTTCAGAACAGAGACCTTACCATACCATTGACCTGTTAAAAGCCTGTATTGGTTCCCCATTGTCTACAGCAAGGATTGGCAAAGCTTTCTGTAAAGAGCTAGATAGTAAACATTTTAGACTTATTGAGGCTACACAGTCTCCGTGGTAACTACTAACTCAGCAGCTGTGGCTTGAAAGCAGCCACAGACAATATGTAAATGAATGGGAGTAGCTGTGTTCTGAAAAAAGTTTATTTACCAAATAAGGAAGCACTCTAAATTTGACCTTTGGGCCTTACTTTTATTCCATCCTCCAAAAGTCTTATTGAAGTTCCCACCTCTTTCATAATAGTCTCTGATAGTCCCATACACAAGGATTTCTCTTTTACAAACTAATAGCACTTACTGTACAATTCAAGTAGTTCTCAGTCATACAGGGCTTTAAATATCTCACATATCATTTTCTTAAAATGTTATTTGACTTTTTTCATGTCAATATATCTTCCTAGTTATACTTTAAATACTTTAAGATAGGGATCATGTGTTATGTATCTCTGAATGTCCAATAATACCTACGAGATAATAAATGTTCACTGAGTGATGGCAAACTATTAAGTCCTATAGAGAACAGCAACATATATTAAAAATGGGGCTGGGGCTGGGCGCAGTGGCTCATGCCTGTAATCCCACCACTATGGAAGGCCGGGGTGGGCGGATCACTTGAGGTCAGGAGTTCGAGATCAGCCTGGCCATAATGGTGAAACCCCGTCTCTACTGAAAATACAAAAAATTAGGCCGGGCGCGGTGACTCATGCCTGTAATCCCAGCACTTTGGGAGGCCGAGGCAGGTGGATCACGAGGTCAGGAGATAGAGACCAGCCTGGCTAGCACGGTGAAACCCCATCTCTATTAAAAATACAAAAAATTGGCCGGGCATGGTGGCACATGCCTGTAGTCCCAGCTACTCGGGAGGCTGAGGCAGGAGAATGGGGTGAACCTGGGAGGCAGAGCTTGCAGTGAGCCAAGATCGCACCACTGCACTCCAGCCTTGGCGACAGAAAGAGACTCCATCTCAAAAAAAAAAAAAAAAAAAATTAGTTGGGTGTGTTGGCGGGTGCCTGTAGTCCCAGCTACTCAGGAGGCTGAGGCAGGAGAATTGCTTGAACCTGAAAGGCGGAGGTTGCAGTGAGCTGAGATCACGCCACTGCACTCCAGCCTGGGCAACAGAGTGAGACTCCATCTCAGGGAAAAAAAAAAAAAAAATGGGGCTGGGTACAGTGGCTCACACCTGTAATCCTTGCACTTTGGAAGGCCAAGACAGGAGGATCACTTGAGGCCAGGAGTTTGGGACCAGCCTGGGCAACACAGTGAGACCCTGTCTCTACAAAAATAATAAATTAACTGTGTGGGGTGGTGCATATCTGTAGTCCTGGCTACTTGGGAGGCCAAGGCGGGAGAACTGCTTGAGTCCTAGGAGTTTGAGGCTGCAGTGAGCTATGATCATGCCATTGCCCTCCAGTCTGGGCAACAGAGCAAGACTCAGTCTCAAAAAAAGAAAAAATAAAGGAGAAAAATAGGAAAATGGTTACATAATATACTAAAAAAGAGTTTTCAATCTTTTAGTAACAGATTGACAAACCAAAATATGACACTAGAGATAAAGTTACTATAAAGGCCATTTAAAAATCATATGTATAACTATAACAAAAAAGTTAACGTTAATTAAATATTAAATATATGCCAAGCACTGGAGTAAACACTATCTCATTTAATCCTGACAATAAAGACTATACTTTCAGTGATCATGTCTATAGTTCATTACAAGGGAAGTTTCTCTGAACTTGTAGAGCACTGTAACAAATGCTCAAAATGTTACCTATTACTGTTTTCAGTTTTACATGTGTTTTTATAATTAGTATAATAAATACAGAATGCATTTCATCATTTTTTTCCTCAAATTTTCCAGTTAAAAACATTTTTCAATAATTCTGATAATAACCTTCGAGGTGGATACTAACATCATCCTATGAGGAAACAAACATAGATGTTAAATAAGTGACTATTAAGTGAAGCAAGATTCAACCTAGTTATAGAAATATTTTTAAAATATGTATTTCTGGCTGGGTGCAGTGGCTTATGCCTGTAATCCCAGCACTTTGGGAGGCCGAGGCAGGCAGATCACCTGAGGTCAGGAGTTTGACACCAGCCTGGCCAACATGGAGAAACCCCACCTCTACTAAAAATACAAAAATTAGCCAGGTGTGGTAGTGGGCACCTGTAATCCCAGCTACTCAGGAGGCTGAGCCAGGAGAATTACTTGAACCGGGGAGGCAGAGGTTGCAGTGAGTGAGCTGAGATCTTGCCACTGCACTGCAGCCTGGGAAACAGAGCAACATCTGTCTCCAAAAAAAAAAGTATTTCTTGACTGAATGTGAGTAATATTTTTAAATAGCCATGTTGGGCTCTTTTTTTAAAGTGTGTTAATTACTTAAATTTAGACAGTAGTGTTGTAGGGGTAATAAGAATATCTGGAGAGTCGTTTACCTTAATTTCTCCATATCGAAAGGGATTTTGTACATCTCGGGCCAAAACAGTACTATTCCCCCTGACCTGACCTGCAGTCACCACTCCTTTCGTGGTTACTATGACCACTGTTTCATTAGAAGAAGTCCAGGTAAAGTTGCCACTGCCACCCTCTACCTGTGAAAACACACATTACATTTAATTACAATCGGAAGAAAATAAAATTTAAGTGAAAATGTAAAACTTGACTGGTGAAATAAAGTTTACAAAATAGTAACATAATATAATAAATTATTTTTGGACACATTAGAAACTGTGACACTAGGCTGGGCATGGTGCCTTACACCTGTAATCCCAGCACTTTGGAAGGCCAAGGTGGGTGGATTACCTGACGTCAGAAGTTCGAGACCAGCCTGGCCAACATGGTGAAACCCTGTCTCTACTAAAAATACAAAATTAGCTGGGAGTGGTGGCACACGCCTGTAATCCCAGCTACTCCGGAGGCTGAGGCAGGAGAATCGCTTCAACCTGGGAGACAGAGGTTGCAGTGAGCCGAGATTGCACCATTACACTCCAGCCTGGGCAACAAGAGCAAAACTCTGTCTCAGAAAAAAAAAGAAAGAAAGAAAGAAAAGAAACTGTGACACTATAGTAAAGTACCTTAACAGGCAAGAGAAATACTAAAGGGAGGCAAAGTAATGGTAGTGTCACAAAATGTCAAAAAAAGACACAACAGAACTTTATAAAACTCACAAGGAAAGGATATTGGGAAGAGAGACAGAAAGCATCTGTAACCAAGTCTTGTTATAGATGACATTTTTCAAGAGTATAATTTTGGTTGTCACCAAAACCCAAGTTATACTTTTAGGATTGGGAGGAAATAAATGTAACATTAATCAAATTTCAATAAATTAAGCTATTAGAGAAACCGGCTTATCTCCTTGTGAAGCCTTATAGGACACCATACCTGTACTTTATAACGATATAACATTCCCATAGGATGATGAGGAAATGCCAGAAATTTGGGTGTAAGCATGATGGGAAAATAAATCTTCACTTCTTGTTGGTGTTTGATTAGAAATTTTATAGGCTGAATATCTTTATTCTATAAGAGCAGGAAAAAAGGAGCAAAATATATTTATAAGGACTATTCTTATAATACACATTCATATACTCAAAACATCAGCAAAATGGTATGCTCATAAATTACTCAACCAGTTTCTATCTATAAAAGAAATAAATAAATATTTCTCTTCATTAAATAAGCATAGTTGCTATGGTTCAATAATAATGAAAATGAAATAATAATGAAAAGGGTTTTGCTAGACCTAAACTAATTATCAGAATCAGGGAAAATAGCTTAAAATTCCCTGAAATAAAAGAGGTTTTTTAAAAAATCAACATAGTAAGGGAAACCATACTTTCAGAAGAAAGACCCCTGGACATCCATAAACTGTAAAGGGAAAGGGATACTATAAGCTATTCAGAAGAAAATGAGAACATTTAAAGGTGCTAAGGTAAGAAATTTGCCTCATACTTAAAAACAAGCAGAACCCACTCATATATAGAGGGCCAACTTTTTGTGTAAGGTTCTACAGGGCTGGCTGGGAGAGGTGGCTCATGTCTATAATCCCAGCACTTTGGGAGGACGAGGTGGGTGGACCACCTGAGGTCAGGAGTTCAAAACCAGCCTGGCCAACATGGTGAAACCCCATCTCTACTAAAAATACAAAAAATCAGCTGAGCGTGTGGTGCATGCCTGTAACTCCAGCTACTTGGGAGGCTGAGACAGGAGAATTGCTTGAACTTGGGAGGCGGAGGTTGCAGTAAGCTGAGATCACGCCACTGCACTCCAGCCTGGGCAACAATAGGGAAACCTGGTCTCAAAAAACAAACAAACAAACAAAAAACCAAATAAATAAATAAATAATAAGGTTCTACAGGGCTGAATGTAGGACTTGAGTATGCGTGGATTTTGGTATATGTGGGGTCCTGAAACCAGTTCCCCACATATACTGAGGGACAATTGTATTTAGAAGTGCATTATCCATGGTGTATATGTGCCACATTTTCTTAATCCAGTCTATCACTAATGGACATTTGGGTTGGTTCCAAGTCTTTGCTATTGTGAATAGTGCTGCAATAAACATACGTGTGCATGTGTCTTTATAGCAGCATGACTTATAATCCTTTGGGTATATACCCAGTAATGGGATGGCTGGGTCAAATGGTATTTCTAGTTCTAGATCCTTGAGGAATCGCCACGCTGACTTCCACAATGGTTGAACTAGTTTACAGTCCCACCAACAGTGTAAAAGTGTTCCTATTTCTCCACATCCTCTCCAGCACCTGTTGTTTCCTGACTTTTTAATGATTGCCATTCTAACTGGTGTGAGATGATATCTCATTGTGGTTTTGATTTGCATTTCTCTGATGGCCAGTGATGAGGAGCATTTTTTCATGTGTCTGTTGGCTGCATAAATGTCTTCTTTTGAGAAGTGTCTGTTCACATCCTTCACCCACTTTTTGATGGGGTTGTTTTCTTCTTGTAAATTTGTTTGAGTTCTTTGTAGATTCTGGATACTATGCAGCCATAAAAAAGGGTGAGTTCATGTCCTTTGTAGGGACATGGATGAAGCTGGAAACCATCATTCTCAGCAAACTATCACAAGGACAAAAAACCAAACACCGTATGCTCTCACTCATAGGTGGGAATTGAACAATGAGAACACTTGGACACAGAAAGGGGAACATCACACCCCGGAGCCTGTCATGGGGTTGGGGGAGGGGGGAAGGATAGCATTAGGAGATATACCTAACGTAAATGATAAGTTAATGGGTGCAGCACACCAACATGGCACATGTATACATATGTAACAAACCTGCACATTGTGCACATGTACCCTAGAACTTAAAGTATAATAATTAAAAAAAAAAAAAAAAAGAAATGCATTATCCAAGGTGGCCAGATCATGAGGTCAGGAGTTTGAGAACAGCCTGGCCAACATGGTGAAACCCCGTCTCTACCTAAAGATACAAAAAATTAGCCAGGCATGGTGGCATGCACCTGTAATCCCAGCTACACAGGAGGCTGAGGCAGGAGAATCACTTGAACCCATGAGGCGGAGGTTGCAGTGAGCTGACATCACACCATTGCACAACAGCCTGGGAGACAGGGCGAGACTCTGTCTCAAAAAAAAAAAAAAAAAAAAAGTAGTGCATTATTAAATTTATAAATATGTACTTTAAAAATCCCTTTATTGTTGATTTTAATCACATGATTGCAGACAAGGTATAATAATCTGGTAGTGAGATCTTCTTCAAGGATAGTCAGAGAAACTTTTAGATCTCTTATGGGGATCTCATGCTGGGAATTTAAAGCCCTGATGTAACCATTTTCTTTCCCCACACTATCCAGCACATTTAGCAACAATGATCAATCATATTAAATCCCTTACTGTCACTGTAATGTTTTAGGGGAGCAACCAGTTGGTTACCTAAAGCTTTGCCTTCTCTATGCACTTGACTGGAGTGTGTCTACAGGTAATAATTTAAACAGCTGTTTTGCTATTGCATGCCATGGAATAGCAGTGCTCACTTTATTACTGGAAACAGGTTCATTAAATCATTTAAGTCTAATATCAGGGAACCCAGAACGAATTTGGAGCACCTATCTATGATAACTAGACTAAAAGATGGCCCCCAAAGATTTCTGACTCCTGGTATTCACCCCCTTCTGTAGTCCCCATTATGTAGTATACATTGTCTTAGGATTGGTCTGAATAACCAATAGAATATGGCAGAAGTGCTTATATTAAAAAAGAAGAAAGATATAACCCAATGATCCATCATAAAGTTCTTCCACCATAAGAAACTTTAAAGGCTGAAAGCGGTGGCTCACGCCTGTAATCCTAGCACTTTGGGAGGCCAAGGCGGGTGGATCACCTGAGGTCAGGAGTTTGAGACCAGTCTGGCCAACATAGTGAAATCCCGTCTCTACTAAAAATACAAAAATTAGCTGGGCATGGTGGCGGGCGCCTGTAATCCCAGCTACTCGGGAGGCTGAGGCAGGAGAATCACTTGAACCCGGGAGGCGGAGGTTGCAGTGGGCCGAGATCGTTCCACTGCTCTCCAGTCTGGGCAACAGTAAGACTCCATCTCAAAAAAAAAAAGAAAAAGAAACTTTAAAAAGAAAAGCAAATTAAATCCAAACGAAGCAAAAGAAAGAGAATAATACAAAAGCATAAATGAATGAAATAGAAAACAGACAAATAGAGAAAAGTCAATGAAACCAACAGTTGCTCTTTGAAAAACTCAATAACATTTATAAACCTCTAGCCAGACTCAGAAAGAAAACAAGAGAGACATAAATGACCAATATCAGGAATTAATAAGGGGACATCACTACAGATTTTATAGACAACAAAAGACTAGTAAAACAATATTTTGAACAACTTTATGTGATAAATTCAACCACTTAGATAAAATGGACAAATTCCTTCAAAGATACAAACTACCAAATAACATGTGAATGGCTGTATATATATTTTTAAAATTGAATTCATAGTTTAAAAACTTCCCATACACTGATCATTAGGAAAAGGAAAATGAAAACCATAGTTAGATACTACTTATTACCCATTAGGATGGCTATTATTTAAAAACAAAACAGGCCCAGCGCGGTGGCTCACGCCTGTAATCCCAGCACTTTGGGAGGCCGAGGCAGGCAGATCATGAGGTCAGGAGATCAAGACCATCCTGGCTAACACAGCGAAACCCCGTTTCTACTAAAAATACAAAAAATTAGCCGGGCATGGTGGCAGGCGCCTGTAGTCCCAGCTACTCAGAGGCTGAGGCAGGAGAATGGTGTGAACTCGGGAGGTGGAGGTTGCAGTGAGCCGAGATTGTGCCACTGCACTCTAGTCTGGGAAACAGAGCAAAACTCCGTCTCAAAGAAAACAAAACAGAAAATAACAAGTGTTGACAAGGATGTGGAGAAATAGGAACACTTATACAATGCTGGTGGAATGTAACATGGTGCAGCTACTGTAGAAAACAGTATGGCAGTTCCAGGGCCAGGTGCAGTGGCTCACACCTCTAATCCCAGCACCTTGGGAGGCTGAGGTGGGTGGAGCACCTGAGTTCAGGAGTTTGAGACCAGCCAGGGCAACATGGTGAAACTCATCTCTACAAAAAAATTAGCTGGGAGTGGTGGAATGCACCTGTAGTCCCAGCTACTCAGGAGGCTGAGGTAGGAGGATCACTTGGGCCCAGGAGGTCAAGGCTGCAGTAAACCATGATGGTGCCACTGCAATCCACCCTGGGTAACAGAGTGAGACCCTGTCTCAAAAAAAAAAAAAAAAAAACCACAAAAAACTACTAGAGCTAATAAATTAATTCAGCGAAGTTGCCATATACAACATCAACACTCCAATGTCAGTTGTATTTCTTTTCTTTTTGAGACGGAGTTTCGCTCTTGTTGCCCAGGCTGGAGTGCAATGGCGCAACCTCGGCTCACTGCAACCTCCGCCTCCCAGGTTCAAGCTATTCTCCTGCCTCAGCCTCCCGAGTATCCGGGATTATAGGCACGCGCCACCACGCCCAGCTAATTTTTGCATTTTTAGTAGAGATGGAGTTTCATCATGTTGGCCAGGCTGGTCTCAAGCTCCTGACCTCAAGTGATCCACCCGCCTGGGCCTTCCAAATGCTAGGATTATAGGCGTGAGCCAACTCGCCCATCTGGATTTGCATTTTCTTAATGACTAATCATGCTGAACATCTTTTAATGTGCTATTAGCCATATGTACATTTTCTTTGTCCTATATACTATTTTTGCAACTTCTGGTAAATCTATAATAATTTCAAAATTAAAAGTTTAAAAAGTTATTAATGGGCCAGTTTCCATGGCTCACTCCTACAATTCCAGCACTTTGGGAGGCCAAGGCGGGTGGATCACTTGAGGTCAGGAGTTCGAGACCACCCTGGCCAACATAGTAAAACCTTGTCTCTACTAAAAATACAAAAATTAGCCAGCCATTGTGGCATGATCCTGTATTCCCAGCTACTCGGGAGGCTGAGGCAGGAGAATCGCTTGAACTCAGGAGGCAGAGGTTGCAGTGAACCGAGATCGTGCCACTGCACTCCAGCCTAGGTGACAGAGTGAGACTGTCTCAATTAAAAAAAAAAAAGAGAGAGAGAGGCTGGGCGCGGTGGCTCATGCCTGTAATCCTAGCACTTTGGGAGTCCAAGGTGGGCGGATCACAAGGTCAGGAGTTCGAGACCAGCCTGGCCAATATGGTGAAACCCCCATCTCTACTAAAAAAAATTACAAAAATTAGCCGGGCGTGGTGGCACACGCCTGTAGTCCTAGCTACTTGGGAGGCTGAGGCAGGAGAATCACATGAACACAGGAGGCGGAGGTTGCAGTGAGCTGAGATCGCGCCACTGCGCTCCAGCCTGGGCAACAGAGTGAGACTCCATCTCAAAAAGAAAAAAAAAAAAAAAGAGAGAGAGAGAGCACAACGGGGATGGTAAAAAAAAAAAAGATTTGACTGGCATTTAGAATTGACATGGCACTTAATAATGTATTGAATACAGAAGCTGAGGGAGAAGGCAGAGTCAAGGGTGACTTCGGATTTTGTCTAAACTGAGTGAAAGGAGCATTGGAGAAAAAGTAGGTTTGGGAGAGGAAAGCAGGTTTGGCAGGCTAGTAAAAATCAGGATACTTATGTATTTTGGAGGCATTAGAAACAGATTCATTCCTTATCCCTTTACTCAATAACTCCATTTCTGTTGTTACACAGTATGGAAATAATCCAAAAGAAAAAAAATGTACAAAGATACTCAGTTATGCCATTTACAACAGTAAAAAAAATGGAAATAATGGAAACATTCAATGTTTGGGGCATGGGTAAATAAATTGGCATATGAAACCTTTGGATTTTTAGAATTAATAGTACTCTATGCACCTGGTAGTGGTGGCTCACACCTGTAATCTCAACATTTTGGGACGCCAAGGCAGGAGGAACACTTGAGCCTAGGAGTTTGAGACCATTGTGGGCAACATAGCAAGAACCTGTCTCTACAAAAAATATAAAAATTAGCTGGGTGTGGTGGCACACGCCTGTAGTCCCAGCTACTTGGAAGGCTAAGGCAGGAGGATCACTTGAGCCCAGGAGGTCGAGGCTGCAGGTAAGCTATGATGATGCCATTGCACTCCAGCCTGGGTGACAGAGTGAGACTTGTCTCCAAAAAAAGAAAAATAAAGTACGCTCTGTGGACCTGATGACACATGGAAATGTGCATATGAAATACATCATGGCTGGGTGTAGTGGCTCACACCTATAATCCCAGCACTTTGGGAGGCTGACATGGGAGGATCACTTGAGCCTAGGAGTTCAAGACCAGCCTGTGCCACACAGTGAAACGCCTTCTTTACAAAAAATTTAAAAATTAGCCAGGTGTGGCCGGTTGTGGTGGCTCATGCCTGTAATCCCAGCACTTTGGGAGGGTGAGGCGGGTGAATCACTTGAGGTCAGGAGTTCAAGGCCAGCCTGGCCAACATGGTGAAACCCTGTCTCTACTAAAAATACAAAAATTTGCCAGGCATGGTGGTGGATGCCTATAACCCCAGCTACACAGGAGGCTGAGGTAGGAGAATCGCTTGAACCCAGGAAGCAGAGGTTGCAGTGAGCCAAGACCACGCCACTGCACTCCAGCCTGGGCAACAGAGTGAGACTCTGCCTCGAAAAACTAAACAAAAACAAAAATTAGCCAGGTGTGGTGGCATGTGCCTGCAGTCCCAGCTACTTGGGGGGCTAAGGTGGGAGGATTGCTTGAGCCTGGGAGGTCCAGGCTGCAGTGAGCCATGAGTGCACCACTGCACTCCATCCTGGCTGATGAAATGAGGCCCTCTCTGAAAGGAAGGAAGGAAGGAAGGAAGGAAGGAAGGAAGGAAGGAAGGAAGGAAGGAAGGAAGGAAGGAAGGAAGGAAGGAAGGAAGGAAGGAAGGAAGGAAGGAAGGAAGGAAGGAAGGGAGGGAGGGAAATGTTTTTTTTTTTTTTTTTTTTTTTTTTTTTTTTTGAGACGGAGTCTCGCTCTGTCGCCCAGGCTGGAGCGCAGTGGCGGGATCTCGGCTCACTGCAAGCTCCGCCTCCCGGGTTCACGCCATTCTCCTGCCTCAGCCTCCCAAGTAGCTGGAACTACAGGCGCCCGCCACCGCGCCCGGCTAATTTTTTTGTATTTTTAGTAGAGACGGGGTTTCACCGTTTTAGCCGGGATGGTCTCGATCTCCTGACCTCGTGATCCGCCCGCCTCGGCCTCCCAAAGTGCTGGGATTACAGGCGTGAGCCACCGCGCCCGGCCAAGAAATGTTTTTAATGAAACCTGAAACCCCAAATGATATATACACAATGACCGCAAATGCAGATATTTTAATGTACAATAACATAGATTAGAACAGAAAATTTGTAGAGGTATACACTTACGAATTTGCTGTTTATCTGTTTATTTTTCTGAAAGATAAAGGTGGTATATGCTATATATCTGCTTGCAAATCAACAAGTCAGCCAAGCCTCTTCAGTGTTCTTAGAATACAAACACTGTCTGTTTAATTCCTACCTGGTAAATGATGGAGGTCAGGGATGCATTTATTACCACAACACCATCTTTCAGGGCTTTTACTATATGGTAAGATCCATTCACGGTAGTTAGTTGCTCTTCAAAGTACTCCTTAGGAAAGTCGTATGTAATCCTGAGATTCTGAAAATCAGCCCCACAGTAACACAAACCTGAAGATATGTTCTTTCCCTGAAGTCATCTTAATCCCAAAGCATCTATAAAACTGTAGCTATGCATTCATGGAATAAAGAGATAAAAACAAAACTTTTGCTCTCCCTCATAGAAATTAAAAGTTGGGGAGATATAATTTTAAAATGGGACTAGTTTTTGAAAGATCTATCAATGGCAAACATCAGGAATAGCAAGAGTCAAAGCTTATGCAAATTTTAGTGTAATTTTTACCATTTTATAAATTGACAGTTCTCAGGATGAAATAAGGACCCTAGAGAGTGAGTACAATACTTCACATCTGATATTCATATTACTACTCTCACCACTACAAAACTCTGGTAACCATCTAGGATGTGAAGTTGTAGAATGAGGACACCTTCCAAAGTGTTATCACTGGTACTCATTTCACCTCTTTTCTATAATTCTGACCAAATTATATCTTTTACTTCTGATTTAGCATTCCTCAAGAACAGAACTAGCTGGGCATGGTTGCTTATGCCTTTAATCCCAGCTGAGGCAGGAGGATTGCTTGAGCCCAGGAGTTGGAGGCTGCAGTGAGCTATGATCACACCACTGTACTCCAGTCTGGGTGACAGAGCGAGACTGTGTCTCTTTAAAAAAAAAAAAAAAAGAAGAAAAAGAAGAAGAAGAAGAAGAGAATTAATGATAATAATAAATTAGCAACTTGCTTTTCCGAAGGTAAAAATCTAGAATCAAAGAAAGAAAGAGGGCTTTCTAGCCAGGAAGATGGTCCACTTTACATCTTATGTATCTTATCCCTACAAGGAGCTCAGAAAAATAAAAAAGACTGACTCACATCTGAAATATAGACCTTTGTGCTGCTTTTATCAAAGACGTCTACTGTAATGACATATACCTGTCCCACCTCTAGACTCCATCGGTTTCCAGGTTGGACAGTGAAACCTATACACAAATCAAGAAACAAAAATATTAGAAGAGGCTAACATTTTTCTACAACGAATTTAAAAATACAACCTTTATAAAGCTGTTCAAACAGCAAAATTTACTAATAGATGGAGATGGTTTCCAAAGTAGGTTCTTTTTTTTTTTTTTTTTTTTTGAGAGTCTTGCTTTGTCACCCAGGCTGGAGTGCAGTGATGATTTCGGCTCACTGCAACCTCTGCCTCCTGGGTTCAACTGATTCTTGTGCCTCAGCCTCCCAAGTAACTGGGATTATCGGTGTGCGTTACCATGCATGCTCAGCTAATTTTTGTATTTTTAGTAGAGATGAGGTTTTGCCATGTTGGCCAGGCTGGTCTCAAACTCCTGGCCTCAAGTGATCTGCCTGCCTCAGCCTCCCAAAGTGCTGGAATTACAGGCCTGAGCCACTGTGCCTGGTCTAAAGTAGATTTTTTTGTTGTTATTTTTTGAAACAGGGTCTCACTGTCACAGATGCTGGAGTGCAGTGGTGTCATCATGACTCACTGCAGCCTCGACCTCCTGGGCTCAGGTGATCCTTCTACCTTAGTCTTCTGAGTAGCTGGGACTACAGGCTTAGAACACTGCGCCTGGCTAATTCTTCCATTTATAGTAGAGACAGGGTTTCATCATGTTGCCCACACTGGTCTCGAACTCCTCAGCTCAAGGGATGTACCAGCCTCAGCCTCCCAAAGTGCTGGAATTAGACATGAACCACTGCACCCAGCTCTCCAAAGTAGATCTTTTAGTTCCTTCTCTCAAATTGTATAAGGCTTGGCCTGGTGGCTCATGCCTATAATCCTAGCACTTTGGGAGGCCAAGGAGGGAGAATTGCTTGAGCCCAGGAGTTTGAGACCAGCCTGGGCAACACGGCAAGATCCCATCTCTACAAAAAAATTAAAAATTAGCTGAACGTGGTGGCTCGCGGCTATAGTTCCATTACTCAGGAGACTGAGGTGGAAGGATCATTTGACCCCAGGAATTGGAGGCTACAGTGGGCTGTAGCCCATTGCATTCCAGCCTGGGCAACAGAGCCAGACACTGATTCAGACCAAAAAGAAAAAATTGTATAATAATTTAGGGTTCCAAAAATCCTGGTTTAATTTAGCTCATCTCAGGTATAAAGAAACACTTTAGGCTGGGCATGGTGGTTCACACCTCTAATTCTGGCACTTTGGGAGGCCGAGGAGAGCAAATCGCTTGAGCTCAGGAGTTTGAGACCAGCCTGGGCAATGTGGCAAAATCCCATCTTTACAGAAAACAAAAATTAGCCAGGCATGGTGGCGCACCTGTAGTCCCAGCTACTTGGAAGGCTAAGGTGTGAAGATTGCTTGAGCCTGAGAGGCAGAGGTTGCAGTCAGCCAAGATCACACCACTGCATTCCAGCCTGGGTGACAGAGCAAGACCCTGTCTCAAACAAAAACAAAAACAAACACAAACAAAAAAAAGAAACACTTTCACTTATATCTGTAGACAAGAAGAAACCATACTTTCAGCTCATTCCTAATGTGTCAGGCAATATTTCAGCTTCTTTCAGTCAGATTCATTGTTTTCATATGGCCTATGAGCGTTAAGATTCTTTTTTCCTTGTATAAAGTTTCTTTTCCTAAACTCAAAATTGTATTACATGGATTTTCATATTTTTTTCACAATCTGTTTCAACATGCTTCACTCTTGTGATAGCATTTAATCAGAACAATTTGATAAAACATGTCAAAGTAAGGTTGAATTTGAAATTAAGTCCCAGAATGAAAGTTGAAAGTTGAAGAAATGCTGTATAATGCACTCATTTTAGTGAAATCATTTAAGCTATCCACCTTTCTGAAAAGTATGATCTAAAATACCTAAAAATCCAGGCTCTACAACATATATGGTGCAATTTGGGAGTCCAGACACAGATCGCATATGAACATCTTAATTTTTGCTTAAGGAAATCATGTGAGCCAGAGTTGGGTGAAAAGGTGAGGTACCAAAGGAGAAAAACAAACAAACAAACAAATGCACAAATGAAAACAAACAAAAATCCTATCTTTTATTATCCTTTGGAAAGCCAAAACTTAAATGTGTATACTTCTGCAAAAAGTCTGAGGGACTCTTAGTCATCTTATGAGTCAGATATTCTTGAATTTCAATTTGAGGAAGATAGAAAGGGAGAAAAAAGATCATGCTTTGTGCTTTTAATATTAACGTAGCTGCAGACCCCTTTCTCCAAATAAATACCTACATAGGAGCCCAGTATGGAAACAGGACGAAGTGGCTCCATTCTGGAGGAAGAGACCTTCTGGCTAAAGGGATGAACTGTTGATGGAGGCAGAGGGAGAGGCATGACTTGCCATCCAGCAACATGCCTAGAACTCCACAGATAGTTTCAAAATTACTAGTTGATTTTCTGTTATTTGCAGTAAATGTTTAATACCAAAATGTTCTCTGCATGCCATCAAAGATACTTCTGGGTCACTTATACCTCATTCTACCACTACCATTTCAGATAATCCTGGCAGAAATATAAATTTATTCCAGTATCAGTCTATATACAATCTAATTAAGAATATGCTTTGTTCTCAAAAATATACTACATCCAAAAGCTAAGAATAAATTACTTCTGCTCTGAGAAACACATAACTGGCCAGGCACGGTGGCTCATGCCTGTAATCCCAGCACTTTGGGAGGCCGAGGTGGGTGGACTGTCTGAGGTCAGGAGTTCAAGACCAGCCTGACCAACATGGTGAAACCCTGTCTTTACTAAAAATACAAAAATTAGCCAGGTGTGGTGGCAGGCACCCGTAATCTCAGCTACTCAGGAGGCTGAGGCAGAAGAATTGCTTGAACCCAGGAGGCAGAGGTTGCAGTGAGCTGAGATTGCGCCATTGCACTCTGTCACCCAGGCTAGAGTGCAACAGCATGATCTTGGCTCACTGAAACCACTGCCTCCCATGTTCAAGCGATTCTTCTGCCTCAGACTCCCAAGTAGCTGGGACTATAGGCGCGCACCACCTCGCCCAGCTAATTATTGTATTTTTAGTAGAGACAGGGTTTTGCCATGTTGGCCAGGCTGGTCTCGAACTCCTGACCTCAGGTGATCCACCCGCCTCAGCCTCCCAAAGCGTTGGGATTACAGGCGTGAGCCACTGCGCCTGGCCCCAATTTTTTTTTTTTTTTTTTTTTTTTGAGACAGGGTCTCACTCTGTCACCCAGGCTGAGTGCAGTGGTACAATCACAGCTCACTGCAGCCTCTCTAACTCCTGGACTCAAGCGATTCTCCTACCCTCAGGCCTCTGAGTAACTGGGACTATAGGCCTGCACCACCACATCTGGCTAACCTTTTACTTTTTGTAGAGACAGGGGTCTCACTATGTTGCCTAGACTGGTCTTAAACTCCTGGACTCAAGCAATCCTCCTGCCTCAGCCTCTCAAAGTGCTGGGGTTACATGCATGAGCCACTGTGCCCGGCCTAAAGCAAATCTTCTAAATACTTTATGGTAACTCTGTGCCAAAGTTAGGTTTAGTTCTGATATGTACTTTACCATAATATTCATAACATATAAGAGCTAGGGCCGGGCGTCGTGAATCACGCCTGTAATCTCAGCACTTTGGGAGGCCGAGACGGGTGGATCACGAGGTCAGAAGATTGAGACCATCCTGGCTAACACGGTGAAACCCCGTCTCTGCTAAAAAAAAAAATACAAAAAATTAGCCAGGCGTGGTGGCAGGCGCCTGTAGTCCCAGCTACTTGGGAGGCTGAGGCAGGAGAATGGCGTGAACCCGGGAGGTGGAGCTTGCAGTGAGCCAAGATGGCGCCACTGCACTCCAGCCCGGGCAACAGAGCGAGACTCCATCTCAAAAAAAAAAAAAAGAAAAGAAAAGAGCTAGAAGGAAAGTCAGCAATAACAACATTCACTTCATTTTACAAATGAGGAAACATCTCAACAGATCTCTAAAACAATTCATTCTTCTGATATCGGAATAAGATATCAGAATAAGATCTAAGCCTTCCATCTGCATTCCAAATCTCATTTTCTGTTGCCTCTCAGAAAACATGCTCCATCAACTGGCTCTCCTTTCTCCCTTATCTCTGCCATCTTTCTCTCTTTAATTAAGAGAAATATTAAGAGAAATGTTCAAGTTTTTCCAATCTTAAAAAAAAAAAGTATTCGTTGTGTCTTTTTCAAACTTATTTGTTTTTGTCCTTATGAAAGCCAAGCTGTTTTTACTGACAAAGTGACCTAAGACCTCCTAGTTACTACAACCTTTCAGTCTTTATCTTGACATCACTACCAGATTTGACCTGTTGAACAGTTTTCTCCTCTTTGTAAATTCCTAATTTGGTTATCAGGAAACTCCTCTTTCTGGTTTTTCTTTCTTTTTTTCTTTTTTCTTTTTTTCTTTAGTTGAGACTCAGTTTCACTCCGTCGCCCAGGCTGGGGTGCAGTGGTGCCATCTCGGCTCACTGCAACTTCTGCCTCCTAGGTTCATGCGATTCTCCTGCCTCAGGAGTTCCTCCCGAGTAGCTGGGATTACAGGCGTGCATCACCACGCCCTGCTAATTTTTATATTATTAGTAGAGATGGGGTTTCTCCATGTTGACCAGGCTGGTCTCAAACTCCTGACCAGTGATCCACCTGCCTCAGCCTCCCAAAGTGCTGGGATTATAGGCATGAGCCACTGTGCCCATCCTTGGTTTTTCTATAATACTACATTTTAAGCATTCCTTCAGATCCTCCTCACACGTTCTCTTTTCCCATACGAACCTTAAAAGCTAGCATTACACAATTTTGTCTTTGGCCAAATTCTCTCACTGTATATAATTTCCCTAGGTGATTTTGTCTACAATAGCTCCAACTATCACCTATCTATAAACTAACTTTCAAATATCTATCTTGATCCTCAATCTTTCTTGATCCTTGAGGATCTATCTTGATCCTCAATCTTTCTCCTCCGGAGGCATAATGAAAATTTCTGCTTGGATATCTATCCCACAGTTTTGATGTTTTAATTTAACATGTGAAAAACTGAACTCGCTATCTTTTTCCTTAAAACTGCTCTTTCTCTTATATTCTCCATCTCCATGAACAGTTCCACCAGCTACTCTATGCCAGGTGCTGGGACATATTATGAATAGTCACCATCCATGTCCTCAAAAAAGATAAATAAACAGACAAATACAATGTATTTTAATATTTGATACTTTGGAAAAAAATAACAATATGAACTGAAAATATGGGGGAAAAAAAGAACATTTAAGTTCACCTGGGGAATTCAGGGAAGTTCCTGACACACAGTTGGGGCTCAATAAATATTGAATAACTTAATTTATTTTGTAGGTATGATTGTATTTGTTGAAAAATGTCCTAGGTACCTTAAAATGACTAAAAAGCAAACAACATTGGATCAATAACTCTCCTTAATGTGTGTTAGACAAATAATATAGGCTGCTAACTAACAATATTATACAAGAAATACTGTACCTTTCAAGTCTGATAGAATTTTTTTGGTGTTGGCAACTTTTCTTGAAGTGGAGTAGCAGAGGTACTGCTCCTTTTGGAGCAGGGCTACGCTATAGACAGTGTGCCCAAAGTAGAGACATTCTTATTCAGAGTAAGCCTACTAGGCCCTACCTAATCTGCCCCTCCCCTACTCTATTACTTCTACTATTTCCTGATTCACTGCACTTTAGCTTCACTGTCTTCCTTACTCTTCTTTAATCATGCCAAATATGTTCCTACTTCAGAACCTTTGCCATTGCTCTTTCCTTTCCCTAGAAGTCTTTCACCAATTATCCACATGGCTTATTGTGCCAGTGTCGCCTCATCAGAGAGGACTTTTCTAACTATGCTAGGTAAAGACTGGGTGTGGTGGATCACACCTGTAATCCAAGCACTTTGGGAGGCCTAGGCAGGAGGTTCATTTAAGGCCAGTAGTTCATCCAGCCTACTCAGCCTAGCAAGACATCTCTACAAAAAAAGACACAATTAGTATGGCACGGTGGTGTATGCCTATAGTCCCAGCTACTCAGAAGGCTGAGGTGGGAGGATTGCTCAAGGCTACTATGAGTTATGATCATGCCTCTGCACTCTAACCTGGGCATCAGAGTGAGACTCTATCTCTAAAAAAAAAAAAAAAAATCTGGCTGGGTGTGGTGGCTCATGCCTGGAATCCTAGCACTTTGGGAGGCCAAGGCAGGTGAATCGCTTGAGTCCAGGAGTTCAAGAGCAGTGTGGGCAACATGGCGAGACCTTGTGTCTATAAAAAAATACAAAAATTAGCTGGGCGTGGTGGCACGTGCCTGTGGTCCCAGCTACTTGGGAGGCTGAGCTGGGAGGATCACTTGAGCCTGGAGTTTACAGGTTGCAGTGAGCCAAGAGCCAAGATTGCACCACTGCACTCCAGCCTGGGCAACAGAGTGAGACCCTGTCTCTACAAAAATAATAATTTTTTGGCCAGGCACAGTGGCTCATGCCTGTAATCCCAGCACTGTGGAAGGCCGAAGTGGGTGGATCATCTGAGGTCAGGAGTTCAAGTCCAGCCTGGCCAACATGGTGAAACCCCATCTCTACTAAAAATACAAAAATTAGCCGGGCATGGTGGCGCACACCTGTAATCCCAGCTGCTTAGGAGGCCGAGGCAGGAGAATAACTCGAACCTGGGAGGCGGAGGTGGGAGTGAGCAGAAATCGCGCCACTGCACTCCAGCTTGGGCAACAAGAGCAAAACTCCACCTCAAAAAAAAAATAATAATAATAATAATAATATTTTAAGAATCTAACTATACTGGACAAAATGGCAATTTGTATACCCAGAGCTTAGAACAATGTTGAGCATATAGTAGAAATATAATAGATATTTGCTGAATGAATTTCTTTCAGATTAAAATATTCAAAAAAAATACCAAATAAAACACAGAGAGATGGAGTCCAAATCATATTTCAATTTTCTGAGAATTTAAATCTTCATTCTCTTCTGTTTTCATTGACTATTACAGATCTCCGTGTACCTTTTTTTTTTTTTTTTTTGAGATGGAGTTTCAGGCCGGGCGCGGTGGCTCACGCCTGTAATCCCAGCACTTTGGGAGGCCGAGGCGGGCAGATCACAAGGTCAGGAGATCGAGACCATCCTGGCTAACACAGTGAAACCCCGTCTCTACTAAAAATACAAAAAATTAGCTGGGCGAGGTGACGGGCGCCTGTAGTCCCAGCTACTCGGGAGGCTGAGGCAGGAGAACGGCGTGAACCCCGGGGGCGGAGCCTGCAGTGAGCCGAGATTGCGCCACTGCACTCCGGCCTGGGCGACAGCGAGACTCCGTCTCAAAAAAAAAAAAAAAAAAAAGATGGAGTTTTGCTCTTGTTGCCCAGGCTGGAGTGCAGTGGTGCGATCTTGGCTCACCGCAACCTCCACTTCCCGGGGGTTCAAGCGATTCTCCTGCCTCAGCCTCCCGAGTAGCTGGGATTACAGGCATGCACCACCACGCCCGGCTAATTTTTGTATTTTTAGTAGAGACGGGGTTTCTTCATGTTGGTCAAGCTGTTCTCAAACTCCCGACCTCAGGTGATCAGCCGGCCTCGGCCTCCCAAAGTGCTGGGATTACATGCGTGAGCCACCACGCCCGGCCTCTGTGTACCTTTCTTTGTTCAATCCTTGCATAGCAGGTTTAGTGAATTTTTAAAAATTGCTCTCAACACAATAAAAATATTAGTTAAACATCTACTGGAGACAATAGCATATTTTCTCAATTATCATGTACAAATAGAAAAGAGAATTAAATAAAATTCTCACATGTTCTTCCAAACTCCGTTTTCCCCATTCCCCTAATTACAGTTTTTTTATTTCCCTAATTACAATTTGATTGAGGTTGCAAATAAGCATTGAAGTTAGTAGATCCCAAGTTCCAACTATACTCCTTTTCTCTACTTACTCTGCTAGAAATTATGACAGTAATAACTTATAATTCTTTATTAAAAATAAAACCTATAGGAAAACACTGTAGTAGTATTATAATCTTTTTTTTTTTTTTGAGACGGAGTCTCGCTGTGCCGCCCAGGTTGGAGTGCAGTGGCACGATTTTGGCTCACTGCAACCTCTGCCTCCCGGGTTCACACCATTCTCCTGCCTCAGCCTCCCGAGTAGCTGGGACTACAGGCGCCCGCCACCACGCCTGGCTAATTTTTAGTATTTTTAGTAGAGTCAGGGTTTCACCGTGTTAGCCAGGATGGTCTCGATCTCCTGACCTTGTGATCAGCCCGCCTCGGCCTCCCAAAGTGCTGGAATTACAGGCGTGAGCCACCGCGCCCGGCCATAATCATTCTTAATAAATTATTTTACCAAAGAACATGTCTAGGATGCTCAAGGAAGTGTAGACTGGCAGCTAAAACTTGAACAAAAGGATACTTTTATGGACAAAGACAAGATTAGTCTGGCCCAGTTGTGAGGCAGTCACCATGGCTGTTTTGTCATCCAGTATAGCCACTTTCTCAGAATGAGACCCGTTAAGTGCAACTCTATGGTCTTGCAATTCCAGTATATAATGTTCCAGGGGAAATTTCACCTCTGTAAGACATGAAAGATACATAAATGTAATGACAGCAGCCATTCCAGTAGATAATGATGTATTCTTGATCATAAAGGAATGATCAGGAAGCAGACATAAAATAAGAGTATGATCTGCTTCTAATGTTTTTCCTGCTATGATGAATTTCTACATGTAACCATTTGGGGGGAGTATATGAGTTAAAATATATTGCTGGAGGCTGGGTGTGGTGGCTCCGCCTGTAATCCCAGCACTTTGGGAGGCCAAGGCGGGTGGATCACCTGAAGTTAGGAGTTCGAGACCAGCCTGGCCAACATGGTGAAACCCCGTCTCTACTAAAAATACCAAAATTAGCCGGGCGTGATGGCGTGTGCCTGTAATCCCAGCTACTCGGGAGGCTGATGCAGGAGAATCGCTTGAACCTGGGAGGTGGAGGTTGCAGTGAGCTGAGATCAAACCATTGCACTCTAGCCTGGGCGACAAAGCATAACTCCGTCTCAAAATAAATAAATAAATAAATAAAAATTAAAAATATATATATACAGAGAGAGAGAGAAAGAAAGAATTGGTTTTGCTTGTATTCTTAAAAACTAGTGAACTGAGTAGCAGGAGGGGTCATCATTAGTAAGAAAAAGATTAACGTTAATGGAGCCAATACATACTTTAAAAGCTCAATGTAACTTTTAGGCCAGGTGCGGTGGTTCACGCCTGTAATCCCAGCACCGTGGGAAGCCGAGGTGGGTGAACCACGAGGTCAGGAGTTCGAGACCAGCCTGGGCAACATGGTGAAACCCCATCTCTACTAAAAATGCAAAAAATTAGCTGGGCGTAGTGGCGGGCTCCTGTAATCCCAGCTACTCGGGAGGCTGCGGCAGGAGAATCGTTTGAACCTGGGAGGCAGAGGTTGCAGTGAGCCGAGATCATGCCACTGCACTCCAGCCTGGGCGACAGAGTGAGAATCCATCTCAAAAAAAAAAAAAAAAAAAAAGCTCAATGTAACTTTTAGTATCAACAGAATATTAAGCTTTCAGTCGATGAATTGAGTTTCTCAAGAAACAACTTTTGCAAAGATCATTGCAATGCTCATTCAGGTCCCTTCTGGTAAAGTGTCTTAACTTGCCCTTCAAAAGCTAGTAAAGCTTTAATTGTTTTATTTATTTAGTTATTTTTAGAGATGAGGTCTCAGCTTGGCACAGTAGCTCACACCTATAATCTCAGCCCTTTGGGAGGGAGGCCAAGGTGGGAGAATCACTTGGGACAAGGAGTTCAAGACCAGCCTGGGTAACATAATGAGATCCCATTTCTAACAAAAAAAAGAGGCCGGGAGTGATGGCTCACGCCTGTAATCCCAGCACTTTGGGAGGCTGAGGCAGATGGATCATGAGGCCAGGAGTTTGAGACCAGCCTGGCCAGCATGGTGAAACCCCGTCTCTACTAAAAATACAAAAAATTAGCTGGGCATGGTGGTGCACACCTGTAATCCCAGCTACTCGGGAGGCTGAGGCAGGAGAACTGCTTGAACCCAGAGGTGGAGGTTGCAGTGAGCCGAGATCATGCCACTGCACTCCAGCCTGGGTGACAGAGAGAGACTACATCTAGAAAAAAAAAAAAAAAGAGCTTGATATGGTGGCAGGAACCTGTAGTTCCAGCCATTCAGGAGGCTGAGGTGGGAGGATCACTTGAGCACAGGAGTTCAATGTTGCAATGAGCCATGATCATGCCACTGTACTACAACCTGGGCAACAGAGTGAGACCCCCATCTCAAAAAAATAAAAATAAAAAAATAATAAAGATATGGGGATCTTGCTCTGTTGCCTAGATTGGTCTCCAACTTCTGGCCTCAAGCAATCTTCCTGCCTCAGCTTCCAGAGTAGCTGGAATTACAAGCGAGAGCCACCATGCCTGGCTAGTTGTTGTTTTAATAGAGAATTCAGATGCCTATTGGCACCGAAGCTAAGCAGCCTAACTATGCCATTAATATGTTCAAGATATGGGGCTATTTCTGTCTAATATTAGTTAAGTACAGCAATTAACACTTTACCACAAAATCTAAAAACACAAGTATTTTTCATATGTAATGTGGAGTTGCTGATCTTGTCAGCAGAAAAGATTTGGGAAATGTGAGTCATAGGAGAAAAAATAAATCACCTTACCTGTCACTCTCCCTTGAACCATTTTTGCAACTTGGTATTTAATATATGTTCCTACTAAGAGATAAATATCATGGGATGGTATAAGAAATATATTCTCCAAAACAAGCAGACGTATTAAGGCTGCTGCCACTTTCTAAAAGAGGGAGGGAAGGAAAAAAAAAAACAGTTTCCATGGACGGAACCCTCACAGTCATCTTTCTTGTTAAAAGCTTACTTCTTTTAAACTTCTTTTAAAATTTTTTATAAAGATTTTTTTAAAAGCTTTCCTAATCACAAGTCATAATTTCAGCTAGCCTTAAAAAGTGATTATGAATCTTAATACCTTATTAACTTTCTAAGATACTCAGACTTAGAACAAAAAAGTCTTCTAAAAGAAAAAAAGTAGGTAAATAAAAAGTCAAGTATGCTGAAATGAGAAAAGGTAAGACTCAATTGTAGAACACAGAAATTCTTTTAGCCAACCTCCAATTAACTGACTTGCCAGATTAAGTTACTTTCCACTCTCTGTTGAACACATTGATTTTTATGAAGATTTACCCAATGCAAGGTTGGTAGGCTTCTCTCTAGGAGGTCCACACACTCATGTTCTTGCCATTGAATTAAATGCTTACCAAAAAACATTTGTTTTTCCCAAACCTATTTATGCAAGTTGTGCTTATAATTATAATCACATTAAAACAAAAACTATACATGTGAAAAGAGAACTGTTATTTCTATTAAAAATTTAAATGTGTCAAAAAAAGTTAAAGGCAAGCTGCTAATATATACTATCAATTAGGTATAAGTGAGAAATGTAAAATATTAGGGAAAATCCTTTAAAATATAAATTTTTGCACACAAATTCTTCCTGCATCTAAATTTTTACTTGACTAGAAATTAGGGCCGGGTGTGGTGGCTCACGCCTGTAATCCTAGCACTTTAGGAGGCCGAGACAGGTGGATCACTTGAGGCCAGAAGTTTGAAACCAGCCTGGCCATCATGGTGAAACTCTGTTTCTACTAAAAATACAAAAATTAGTTGGGCATGGTGACACACACCTGTAATCCCAGATATTCGGGAGGCTGAGGCACAAGAATCACTTGAAACCCCCCCACCCCAAAAAAGGAAGAAATTAGAAACTGTAGTTTATTGGAGAAAGTGTATGTAGATTTCAAATCAGTGAACTCATGGTCAAAGAAAGGCCTTGCACCTACATCAAGGATTGGTGAATAAAATGTAGTTATATATTTTAAGAGAAAATGCCAGTCACATTTGTAATTGTAATCAGGCAATAAAATGTTTAAGATAATTGTTTAATGCTTACCTACTTCAAATAACTTTTTCAATTAAATGACCAACTATTGGCCCAAATCACATCAGACTAGAGGGCTTCTACTATAGATAAACATAAAAAACTATATTTTCCATAGGCAAGACTATTAAATGAAAAATTTATAACACTGGCCAGTTGTGTGGGCTCACGCCTGTAATCCCAGCACTTTAGGAGACTGGGGCAGGCAGACTGCTTGAGCTCAGAAGTTTGAGACCAGCCTGGGCAACCTGGTGAAACCCTGTCTGTCTCTACAAAAACAAACAAACAAACAAAAAAAAAAAAAAAACAGGGCGGGTAGTGCATTCTTGTAGTACCTGGGCAACAGAGTTAGACCATATCTTGAAAAAACAAGTAAGGAAAATTTATAGCACACAAACTTTTTACCTTATAGAATGGTTCATGAATTCGAACTTTTACAACAGCAGCACCAGTTCTAATCCCAGACACTAAAATCACATCTCCTTGTTTCTCCTCTTTTTCCATCTCAGCTATATATATTGGGGGAGCATATTCTGCTTCGGAGTATTTAAGAATCCTAAAGACATAAAATAAAATGTGTTTCTAGCAGAATTAAACGAAGGGTTCTTCCAAAAGTCCCTAAGAGACTTTAAACATAGTTTCTTCAATGTCTATAGAATGTAAAACACTTTTGACTGGGCATGGTAGCTCACGCCTGTAATCCTAGCACTTTGGGAGGCCAAGGCGGGCACATCACTTGAGGTCAGGAATTTGAGACCAGCCAGGCCAACATGGCAAAACTCCATCTCTACTAAAAATACAAAAATTAGCCGGGCGTGGTGGCATGTGCCTGTAATTCCAGCTACTTGGGAAGCTGAGACAGGAGAATCACTTGAACCCAGGAGATGGAGGTTGCAGTGAGCCAAGATTGTGCCACTGCACTCCAGCCTGGGTGACAGAGCAAGACTCCGTCTCAAAAAAAAAAAAAAAAGAAAAAGAAAAAGATAAAGGCAAGGCGCAGTGGCTCACGCCTATAATCCCAGCACTTTGGGAGGCAGAGGCGGGTGGATCACTTGAGGTCAGGAGTTTGAGACCACCCTGGCCAATATGGCGAAACCCCATCTCCACTAAAAATACAAAAATTAGCTGGGCGTGGTGGCAGGCACCTGTAGTCCCAGCTACTCAGGAGACTGAGGCAGGAGAATCGCTTGAACCCAGGAGGTGGAGGCTGTAGTGAGCCGAGATCGTGTCACTGCACTCCAGCCTGAGTGACAGAGCAAGACTCCATCTCAAAAAAAAAAACAGAAAAAGAAAAGAAAAAGAAAAGGCCAGACACGGTGGCTCACGCCGTAATCCCAGCACTTTGGGAGGCCAAAGTGGGCAGATCAGGAGGTCAGGAGATTGAGAACATCCTGGCTAACAGAGTGAAACCCTGTTCTCTACTAAAAATACAACAACAACAAAAAAAATTAGCTGGGCGTGGTGGCGGGCTCCTGTAGTCCTAGCTACTTAGGAGGCTGAGGCAGGAGAATGGCGTGAACCCGGGAGGCAGAGGTTGCAGTGAGCCAAGATCACGCCACTGCACTCCAGCCTGGGAGACAGAGCAAGACTCCATCTCGAAGAAAAAAAAAAAAAAAAAAGAAAGGGATTTATGAGCCTCTGGCTAAAATTGTGGTGGGAGTAAAACTTGGATCTGAGATCTACTCCTTGGTACTGAAGACAAAATTTCATACTATCATCCTTCTCCCTCTACTCCAGCATGTGCAGGTAGCTTGAACAAAAAGAATTTCCAGAAGATATACCTGGCTCAAATAATTGTGTAGTACTTAGCCCATGAACTCCTCCATAATAACTCAGATTAAGCGATCATAAAGGTACCTACATCTATGTCATATTTCATTCTATCAAAGACATTTCTCTCAGTAATTTATCAGTTTCAAAAAAGTAGATAGCAGGGTCATCAAAGTCCACACAAATGGTTGCTTGTTCAGCATGCCGCTTAATGGCAGATGTCTTCTTCATAGTCAGATGATTTATGTTTGGTTTCAAGTTTACCTAATTTTGCTAGACAGTTCTTCTCTTGCTGACTCGTTGTCCTGGGCAATGCTCCACTCAAACATCATCCCTGCCAAACTACTAAAAGTATTTCCTGTAGAGCAAGCCAAAAGCAGACAAGATAGGATCACGTATTTAAAAATATTCAGGTATTTACAACAAGAAAGGGAAACCTAACTAGAAAATTACTTTGAAGCCTCTTTCATTAAGAAATAGAAAGCACTATCATTAATGAATTAAAACATATATATGAGAAAGTTCCCTACACAAACAATAAATGATGTTGCTGCACAAGCTGTCTGAAAGTAAAAAGGGCTCAAGCTGATTAACTTCTGGTTGACAATAATTATGCCATGCTCCTGTTCCTTTCTACATAAAGGCCACCTCATGGTTGACAAAGCATCCTTAATCCTGGTCCCCTCCACACAAATTTTTGTAAAAACTTTCCAGGCCCGGTGCAATAGCTTGTACCTGTAATCCCAGCACTTTGGGAGGCCAAGGCAGGAGGATCGCTGGAACCCAGGAGTTTGAGACCAACCTGGGCAACATAGTGACACCTGGTCTGTAAAATAAAAACTTAGCCAGGTATGGTGGCCTGCACCTGTAGTCCTAGCTACTCAGGAGGTTGAGGTAGGAGGATTGCTTGAGCCTGGGAGGTCAAGGCTGCAGTGAGCCATGCTTGTGTCACCGCACTCCAGCCTGAGTGACAGACTCTGTATCCAAAAAAAAAAAAAAGCTTCCAGAATTCCCGAATAGTTCATTTTTCAGATTAAAAAAACAAATCACTCATGTAATTAACAAAGAAAGTGGCAATACATTATAATTTTTTTTTAATTAACCATGGGAAACTTGGCCTCACAGGATACTTCAACCTCGGCCTCCCAAAGTGCTAGAATTAGAAGCATGAGCCACCACGTCCCACCTAAATTTTTTTTTTACTACCTAAGTGTTTTTTAATACCTCATTATAGCATTAATATAGTATACAGTATTAAAAGCATTAAAGATTAGATCAAGATTGTAACTTTTTTACAGATTTACATTTAATTCTCCTGGTCTATAGAAAGTGGATTGATCAAACAGAGCTAGCAATAAATTCCAAAAAGTGTTCTTCATTGTTGATCTAGGGCCCATCAACAGAAGCTCAGTGGTAGATTTGGGTATCTAAGAAAAGTTCGGAGGCCAGTGCGGTGGCTCATGCCTGTAATCCCAACACTTTGGGAGGCCGAGGAAGGCAGATCACTTGAGGCCAGGAGTTCGAGACCAGCCTGGTCAACATGGTGAAACCCGTCTCTATTAAAAATACAAACATTAACGGGTGTGGTGGCGCGTGCCTGTATTCCCAGCTACTTGGGAGGCTGAGGCACAAGAATCGCCTGAAGCGGGAGGGCAGAGGTTGCAGTGAGCCAAGATCGCACCACTGCACTTGAGCCTAGGCAACAGAGCGAGACTCCATCTCAAAAAAAAAAAAGAAAGTGGCCAGGCGCGGTGGCTCACGCCTGTAATCCCAGCACTTTGGGAGGCCAAGGCGGGTGGATCACCTGAGGTCAGGAGTTCAAGACCAGCTTGACCAACATGGTGAAAGCCCATCTCTACTAAAAATACAAAATTAGCCGGGAGTGGTGGCGCAGGCCTGTAATCCCAGCTACCCAGGAGGCTGAAGCAGGAGAACTGCTTGAACTCAGGAGGCAGAGGTTGCAGTGAGCCAAGATCATGCCATTGTACTCCAGCCTGGGCAACAAAAGCAAAACTCTGTTCCCCTCCCCCTGCCCAAAAAAAAAAAAAAGAAAGGAAAAGTTCTGAGATAACTAACAATAGCAGGAATATTTTATGAAAACGTGTAGTTAATACATTAAATTATACTCAGAATTATTATTCATCTATGAGCTCCAAATGAGAAAATAGATATTACTTCTAATCTACTTTTGCCACTCAAGTTTTTGTTTCCAAGTGCTAAACATAAACAGATATTACTTTATTTTAGGTAATTTTGTTGAATCCTCTGAAGTTCTTTACCTTCAGCATCCAATGCCCTCACCATCAGTTCCAGTGGCGAATCATCTACATAAAGTTCCCGGGCCCGAGATACAATTTCAATGCTGTTTATCACATCAACCTTAACATCACAGCGTAGCTCATGGTCAGTCACTACAATGAACCCAAAAACTGAGTATTTAATTCAATAGGTCATGAATCTATTAAATGTCTCAAATACTCAAAACTGTATTCTAAAGATTATGAAAAAGAAAGACTATGACTGCTGCTTTTACCTATGGAAGAAAATAGCATAATAATAAGATATAAGAGCCTTTCTTTATAACAAGAGGCACTAGACCAGAGATTCCAAAACACTGATCTATGATGTTTCTACTCATCCATGGAAAAATAAGAAAAATAAAAATTGTAATATTTTTCTCCAAATTCTTCAAGATCCTGATAACAAATAAAAATTTTAAAATAGCGAATAATAGGTCTTGCATGGTGGCTCATGCCTGTAATCCCAGCACTTTGGGAGGCTGAGGTGGGCAGATCACAAGGTCAGGAGATCAAGACCATCCTGGCTAACACGGTGAAACCCCGTCTCTACTAAAAATACAAAAAAATTATCCTGGAGTGGTGGCGGGCACCTGTAGTCCCAGCTACTCGGAAGGTTGAGGCAGGAGAAGGTGTGAACCCAGGAGACAGAGGTTGTAGGGAGTCGAGATCACGCCACTGCACTCAAACCTGTGCGACAGAGTGAGACTCTGTCTCAAAAATAAATAAATAAATAAAAAATAAAAAGTGAATAATAAAATAAAGTTGTAGTCGTATTAAAGGATTATACTTTATTCTACGTCTTACTTTTAAAATGGTAAAAAATTTTCTTTTATGAAATAATGGTGTTTAGTAGATTTTTTAAAATGTATTTATTTAGGAAAGTAAAACAGTGGCAACTGTAAGTCAGTCCTATCAATAAACTTTTCTGTCTCTTTCTGTCTTCCTTTCTTTCAGTTATTTTTTCTTGTGGGCCATGAGATTAAAAAGCCTGGGAACCACCGTATTAGATCTAGCTAGAGTCCCAGTCCAACCAGAGTTCTAGTCAATATACCCATAATGAAATTCAGAAACACTAATTGAAACAGTACAGAATAAAATGAGAATGAAATAAAAATTGTTTTGTACCACTATATTTTAACAGCACTCTTTCCTACCACATTTGCCATGTATTTGAGAACTGTCTATATAGCTGTTCCATTCTACTATTGTAACATTTAGTTTTAGCTTCATCCAAAAAAACCAAAAAGCAAAGTTACGACCACTTTCCAATGACCCCAAATTACCAGTAAACATCAGGGATAAACTCTGTCCCTAACCATAGATCTGCTTTTAAGGAATTTTAAAATCAAAGGAGAGGCCGGGTGCAGTGGCTCACGCCTCTAATCCCACCACGTTGGGAGGCTGAGGCAGGGTAGGTGGATCACCTGAGGTCAGGAGTTTGAGACTAGCCTGGCCAACATGGTGAAACTCCGTCTCTATTAAAATACAAAAATTAGCCGGGCATGGTGGTGCACGCCTGTAGTCCCAGCAACTCAGGAGGCTGAGGCAAACGAATTGCTTGAACCCAGGAGGCAGAGGTTACAGTGAGCTGAAATCATGCCACTGCACTCCAGCCTGGGTGACAGAGTGAGACTGTCTCAAAAAAACAAAAAATTAAAAATTAAACATTGGCTGGGCGTGATGGCTCACGCCTGTAATCCCAGCACTTTGGGAGGCCAAGGCGGTCAGACTGCCTGAGGTCAGGAGTTCAAGACCAGTCTGGCCAACATGATGAAACACCATCTCTACTAAAAATACAAAAATTAGCCGGGCGTGGTGGTGCACGCCTGTAGTCCCAGCTACTCGGGAGGCTGAGGCAGGAGAATTGCTTGAACCTGGGAGGCAGAGGTTGCAGTAAGCCAAGATTGTGCCACTGCACTCCAGCCTGGGTGACAGAGCGAGATTCCGTCTACAAAAAAAAAAATTAAACATTGAAAAAAAAATCAAAGGAGAATGTTAATAGGATAATACAGGTAAATGGCCCTCAACAAGGGCTAAGATGCAATAAAGTATGCTTATTTCAGGAAATGGCATGCTTCCTTTCAACAGAAACATTAAAAATTGAATTACTCATCCTGAAATTACTTTATATAGACAACAGAATTGAACAAATAAGTAAATACGTCATAGATAATGAAAGTCACTTTTCTCCCTGTCAGAGAAAGAAGTTACAATAAGCAAGGTGGGAAGGCTAGAATAAACCCTAAGGTGCAAGATTAGAATTGAAGATATCAGTATGAGCTCATGTTTATTTTAATATCTATGCAGATAGATATAGAAATAAGTGTAGATATATGTGTATACAGGAGTTAGCATATATACATATATTTCCTAGTTATGTTGCTGAGAGGGCCTAGAAGCAGTGGATACACCAGTAGCAACAAGCACACTGGCACCCAGATCTTGGTTTCTAAATATAATTCTTGTTGTTGTTGAGATGGAGTCTTGCTACGTTACCCAGGCTAGTCTAGAACACCTGGCCTCAAGCGATCCTCCTACCTCAGCCTCCCAAACCGCTGAGATTACAGGCACTAAATATAATTCTTTAATATAAAGAACCAGGACTCCTTGAAGAAATGGCTAAGATGACCCTGGCCCATCTCATAGAACTAAAAAGTAAGAAAGCACAATCAATCAATCAATCACAAAAATTAAAGAAAAGATAAGGACAAAGGACATAGGAGCCAACCTGAAAGAGCCCCCAGTGGCCAAAGCTGGAAAAACCTGAATAACAGAATAAATTATAACATTGAAATATAGCCCCCAAATTAAATAAATACTCATGAACCCATACTGACATAAATAATTGAATAAATTAACTGGGAAGAAGTTGTTTGTAAGATGTAAGACATCTTTCTTTCAGAAGAATACTAGTTAATAAGTATGGAATATATGAAGGAAATCGCTTAAGCCCAGGAGTTCAAGATCAGCCTGGGCAACATAGTGAGACCTCATATCTACAAATAATAAAAAGAATCTAGCCAGGTATGGTGGCACCCATCTATGGTTCCAGCTACGTGGGAGGCTGAGGTGGAAGAATCGCTTGAGCCTGGGTGGTCAAGGCTGCAGTGAGCTGAGTCCATGCCACTGCAAGAGCAAGATCCCATCCCCCCTCCCCCCCCCACCAAAAAAAGAGCATCACAGTACTAAGATTCATGGATAAACACTAAAATCAGTGGGTAAAGCTTCAAGGAGAAACAGGATACATGAAAGTATCTCCCTCAAATATTTATTAGTTATTGCAGTGGTTAATACATGTGCACAAATCCTTTGGCACTCCTCCTTCCAAGAGGCAAAGGTCACTTCTCCTTCCTTTATTTTTGTTTTGCTTTTTTAAAAACAGGGTCTCACTCTGTCACCGAGGCTGGAGAGCAGTGGCACAATCATAGCTCACTGCAGCCTCGAACTCCTGGGCTCAAGTGATCCTCCCACCTCAGCCTCCTGAGTGGTTGGGATTATAGGCGCATGCCACCGCACCTGGCTAATTTTTAATTTTTTAGTTTTTTGTAGAGACAGGGTCTCACTTTGTTGTCCAGGCCAATTCCCCTTCCTTTAAATTGTGGGCTAGGCTTCATGACCCCTTTTAATGAATAGCATATACAAAGGGGAAAATGGTAGCTTTACAGTGGAGAAACCTGACAGATACCACCACCTTAACCAAGTGATCAAGGTTACCACCACCAGTGATAAATCATGCTGATATCATGAACCCCATGAAATAATGCAATGGGAAGGGCCCTTCAATTCTATGTGGGTTTTTTCCCTGAAAATCATAACCCCAGGCTAATCATGAGAAAAAGTTAGACAAACCCAAATTGAGAAACTTTCTATATACAACATCTGACCAGTACTTTTTTTTTTTCCTTTAAACAAGGTCTCTGGAGTGCAGCAGTTTGATCATGGCTCACTGCAGCCTCAAACTCCTGGACTCAAGCAATCCTCCAGCCTTGGCCTCCTGAGTAGCTGGGGTTACAGGCACGTACCATCATGCCTGGCTAATTTTTTCTTTTTTTTTTTAGTAGAGACTTGGTCTTGCTAATGTTGCCCAGGCTGGTCTTGAACTCCTGGGCTCAAGTGTTCCTCCTGCCTCAGCCTCTCAGAGTGCTGGGATTACAGGCCTCCGGAGCTAGTGCCCTTGGCCCAACACTGTTTGTTTGTTTGTTTGTCTTTGAGACAAAGTCTCTCTCTGTCGCAATGCAGTGGTGCAATCCAACTCACTGCAACCTCTGCCTCTGGGGTTCTGGGGTTCAAGCAATCCTCGTCCCTCAGCCTCCAGAGTAGCTGGGATTACAGGCACACACCACCATGCCTGGCTAATTTTTTGTATTTTTAGTAGAGATGGGGTTTCACCATGTTGGCAAGCCTGGTCTCAAACTCCTGACCTCGTAATCCACCCGCCTCGGCCTCCCAAAGTGCTGGGATTACAGAGGTGAGCCACCGTGCCTGGCCACCCAACACTCTTTAAGTGTCAAGGCCAGGCACGGTGGCTCACACCTGTAATCCCAGCACTCTGGGGGGCCGAGGTGGGTGGATCACTAGGTCAGGAGTTCGAGACCAGCCCGGCCAACATGGCCAACATGGCGAAACCCTGTCTCTATTAAAATACAAAAAATTAGCCAGGCATGGTGGTGCGTGCCTGTAATCCCAGCTACTCAGGAGGCTGAGGCAGGAGAATCGCTTGAACCCGGGAGACGGAGGTTGCAGTCAGCCGAGATTGCACCATTGCACTCCAGCCTGGGCGACAGAGCAAGACTCGGTCTCAGAAAAAAAAAAAAGCATCAAAAGTGACTAAAAGGCTGAACATGGTGACACCCCATCTTTACAAAACTTAGCTGGGCATGGTGGCGTGTGCCTGCAGTCCCAGCTACTGGGGAGGTTAGGGTGGGCAGATCACTTGATACCGGGAAGCAAAGGTTGCAGTGAGCCCAGATAGTGCCAGTGCACTCCAGCCTTGGTGACAGAGACAGACTTTGTCTCAAGAGAAAAAAGTGACTGAGAAACTCACAGATTGGAGGAGACAAAGGAAACATGACAATTTAGTTTAGCAATGTGTATCTTTAATTGAATCCTAGAGAAGATTAGTGAAACATTAGAGCAAACTAGGTAAAGGGTATATGGGAACTTTCTGTATTATCTTTACATCTCTTTTGTAAATCTAAAATCATTTTTAAATTAAAAAGTTTTAAAATTAAGTTAGCCTTCTACTTGATTAACATTTAACTGACAAACAGAACCCCAAGTTAAAATAATTAAAGACAAAGACATGGGGGTCTATGAACAAAAAACAACAAGGTAAGTTGAAATCTCACAGGATCTGCTGGTAGAATTACCACTAAGGAAGTGTTCCAGGATGGTGAAGGAAGGAAGGAAGGGAGGGATGGTAATCTTAGGTAATCCGTAACTTGATAATCAGGCACTGAGTAATCTAGCACTTGTCAAATGAGAAATTAAAGCCCCCTTTTCAGTAGAGAAATGTGTAGCACAATGGCAAACACAAGCAGCTGTGACCTTACATAAAAAAGGAAAAGTCTTGTGCACACAATGCTTACTCATCTGACTACTTCAACAGCAGAAAACTTCTCTTTTTTTTTTTTCCTGAGAAGGAGTTTTGCTCTTGTCGCCCAGGCTGGAGTGCAATGATGCCATTTAGGCTCACTGCAACCTCCACCTCCCGGGTCCAAGTGATTCTCCTGCCTCAGCCTCCCAAGTAGCTGGAATTACAGGTGCCCATCACCACGCCCAGCTAATTTTTGTATTTTTAGTAGAGACGGGGTTTCACCATGTAGGCCAGGCTGGTCTCGACCTCCTGACCTCAGGTGATCCACCCGCCTTGGCCTCTCAAAGTGCTGGGATTACAGGCGTGAGCCACCGTGCCCAGCCTAGAAAACTTTTCAATATAAGGCCATTGACCATAAAGAAAAAAAACTGCCCAGTACAATGGCCCAAGCCTATAAGCTCAACACTTTGGGAAGCTGAGGCAGGATTGCTTGAGCCCAGGAGTTCAAGACCAGCCTGAGCAACCCCACTACCATAGTCTTACAAAAAATAAAAAAACTAGCCAGGCCTGGTGGTGCCCCCCTGTAGTCCCAGCTACTCAGGAGGCTGAAGTAGGGGGATCACTTGAGCCCAGGAGGTCATAGCTGCAATGAGCCATGTTTGTGCCACTGAACTCCAGCCTGGGTGACAGAGTGAAACCCTGTCCCAAAAAATAAAAATAAATAATAAATAAATGAAATTATTTTGGATGATTTACAAGTAAATTTAGAATGATTAGGAGAAATATCAAACATTTAACTTTTAAAGTGAAGAGAATACAACTTTATTAAATAATATAACAGATATTTTTATTTACAGGTCCACATTACTACAGGTACACTTCAGTTGTCCAAACCAGTTCTTCATCTGCCCTGTGAACTTTTTCACCTAAAATTATGCTCTCAGCCGGGTGTGGTTGGCTCATGGCTATAATCCCAGCACTTTGAGAGGCCAAGGTTGGTGGACTGCTTAACTCCAGGAGTTTGAGACCAGCCTAGGCAACATGGCGAAACCCCTACCTCTATAAAAATTACAAAAATTTAGCGGGGCAAGGCCAGGTGTGGTGGCTCACGCCTGTAATCCCAGCACTTTGGGAGGCTGAGGCGGGCAGATCACCTGAGGTTGGGAGTTCGAGATGAGCCTGACCAACATGGAGAAACCACGTCTCTACTAAAAATACAAAATTAGCTGGGAATGGTGGCACATGTCTGTAATCCCAGCTACTCGGGAGGCTGAGGCAGGATAATCGCTTGAACCCGGGAGGCAGAGGTTGCGGTGAGTGGAGATCACGTCATTGCACTTAAGTCTCTCACCTCAAGTCTATCCATCATCTTTGTCATGACCACTTTCTTTACTACACTATCACCAAAACCATCATAAACAAAATTTTATAATAAGCACTTAAGGCTGGGTGCAGTGGCTCACGCCTGTAATCCCAGCACTTTGGGGGGCCAAGGCGGGTGGATCACTTAAGGTCAGGAGTTCAAGACTAGCCTGGCCGACATGGTGAAACACCATCTCTACTAAAAATACAAAAATTAGCCAGGCGTGGTGGCGCATGCCTGTAGTCCCAGCTACTCAGGAGGCTGAGGCAGGAGAATTGCTTGAACCCAGGAGGTGGAGGTTGCAGCGAGCCAAGATCGCGCCATTGCACTCCAGCCTGGATAACACAGCAAGACTCCATCTCAAAAAAAAAAAAAAAAAAAAAGGACTTAAATGCCAATGGCAAGCTTACATCTTTTTACCTTTATATATGCCTTATAAAGTAGGCAACTCAATAAATATCTGTCCAAGGAATTAATGAACAATTTCTCTTAGGCATGCACTTCTCTTTCAAAATGCCCAATCCCACCCCTTTCCTACTACTTGCTCCCATTCAGATGCTCCTAGTAGGACACCAAGACTGGCCCTTACCACTGGGAATCTCATCTATGTACACAATTGTATTAATAGTAAAATTGGGAAAGTTGATTTAAGGATACTTAACTTTGGAAAATTGGTCCCAAGTCAGACGAAGTTAAGCTGAGAGCAAGATTTGACATTTTTCCTAGTACTTCTGTGAATTTTTTTATATCAGAATGAATTTGTGTAGTTAAAAATGATTACATTTTAAAAATCGCATATGTGACCAAATCAATGTTTTTTGTTTTTTCTGACTTTCGTATCCTTCTCTATCCTTTTTAGCTACCCTGCATGACATGGTCTTCAAAGATTCTTATGTTTGAGACTATCATACCATATTTCATTGATTCTTAGACACTCGTTTTTTATCTTTTAACATCTCTGCAATTGGGATTTATCTTATAATTGATGACATCTTACAAGTCCTCTCAGCCAGGCAGCAGTCAAGATATAGTTGTCACTGACTGCACATGTGAGAACATTAAGAGGGCCAGTAACAAAATTTGTAGAATAGGTGTTAGTAGTTGGAAAAAAATCTGGTGAAAAATAGCAGAGGACTCTTATTCCCTAGGAACCAAAAGGTTAAAGGGAGTGGGGGAAAAGTGATGACTCAGATGTACTAGGAAATTTTCCAAAGCTGGAAACAAAAATAGATTAGTTCTATCTAATTGCAAAGTCCACTTAAGAATAGGTTTTAGGTGGTTTTTAAAAATTCTTTTAATTTATTTATTATTATTGTTTTGTAGAGATGGAGTCTCACTGTGTTGCGCAGGCCAGGCAGGATGCAGTGAGCTACTGTCGTGCCATTGCACTACAACCTGTGCAACAAAGCAAGACCCTGTCTCTAAAAAAAGAGAAAATGCTGTCCGGGCACGGTGGCTCACACCTATAATCCCAGCACTTTGGGAGGCTGAGGCAGGTAGATCACCTGAGGTCGGGAGTTTGAGACCAGCCTGACCAACATGGAGAAACCCCCTTTCTACTAAAAATACAAAAATTAGCCAGGTGTGGTGGCAGTGCGCCTGTAATCCCAGCTACTCAAGAGGCTGAGCCAGGAGAATCGCTTGAACCTGGGAGACAGAGGTTACAGTGAGCCAAGATCACGCCACTGCACTCCAGCCTGGGCAACAAAAGCGAAACTCCGTCTCAAAAAAAAAAAAAAAAAGAAAGAAAGAAAGAAAAAATGAAAATCCTGCCTAATACTCTTCATTTTTATTTTATTTTATTTTATTTTATTTTGTTTTATTGAGATGGAGACTCCCTCTGTCGCCCCGCTGGAGTGCAGTGGCACAATCTTGGCTCACTGCAACCTGTGTCTCCCGGGTTCAAGCGATTCTCCTGCCTCAGCCTCCCTGAGTAGCTGGGACTACAGGTGTGCGCCACCACGCCCGGCTAATTTTTTTGTATTTTTAGTAGAGACGAGGTTTTACCATGTTGGCCAGGCTGGTCTCAAATTCCCCACCTCAGGTGATCCACCCACCTCGGCCTCCCAAAGTGGGGGGATTACAGGCGCGAGCCACCGCCCCCAGCCATAATTTTTTTTTTTTTTTTGTAGAGATAGGTCTCACTCTGTTACCCAGACTGTTCTTAAACTCCTGAGCTCAAGCAATCTTTCTGCCTCAGCCTCCCAAAGTGCTGGGATTAAAGGCGTGAGCCACTGCAGCCAGCTAGGAATCATTTATTCTCCCTTTGATCATTTGAAGCCAACACCATTTGTGTTAACTATCTATACAAAATACCAGATTATTCTACCCCAGAAGAAGTGATACATAGTGTTTTTGCTCTCAACATACCTATTTCTCGAGCAAGAATAATACTGCTGAGGCGTATCGGTTGCGTAGATTCAGCAATGAGTACAGCTTTTTGGGAACACAAGGTGCCATTTTCATATAAAGGCTCAACAGTAACTGCATCATGATGGGTGGAATGCCTGCCAGAACAAAATTCTTAAGAGTGTGAAATAGGTGGGTTAAAATTAACTTTTAGTGGAACATAGATTCTCACACTTCTTCCATGTTACATACTACCAGGTATATGTAAATGACACTTTTTAAAGAAGGAACATTGCTTAGGGATGCGATAATTAAACTGAGAGATTGATGAGAACTTTCCCAATGATCCCTTGAACAAAGTCCCAGAAATATCCCTCCCTCAATTTTTTTTAAAAGATTTTTATATTCTTCCCTCAGTATGCAGAAATACGACTGATGTGTTTCTAGTAATGAGAGGGGACTTTCTCATACTCTGAGGAAAGTTTCCTTCAATCCTAGAAACCAGGCTTCTGATATCTAGGATGGAAAAGGTGCCTAAATTATGAGGTGTGAGTCCAACTCAAAATACCAAAAACATTCATAAATATTTTTATTCTTATTTATTATTATGTTTTTGAGACCGAGTCACTTTGTTGCCCAAGCTGAAGTGCAGCAGGGCGATCTCAGCTCACTGCAACATTCGCCTCCAGGGTTCAAGCGATTCTCCTGCCTCAGCCTCTCGAGTAGCTGAGATTACAGGTGTCTGCCACTATGCCCGACTAATTTTTGTATTTTTAGTAGGGATGGGCTTTCATCATGTTGGCCAGGCTGGTCTTGAACTCCTGACTTCAAGTGATCTGCCTGCCCCGGCCTCCCAAAGTGCTGGGATTACAGGCGTGAGCCACTGCGCCCGGCCGAATGTTTTTATTTTAAATAGAGACGGGGTCTCACTATGTTGATCCGGCTGGTCTCAAACTCCTGGCCTCAAGTAATCCTCCTGCCTTGGCCTCCCAAAGTGCTGGGATTACAGGCGTGAGCCACCATGCCTGGCCTCATTAATATTTTTGGAGTGATAGAAGAAATGGCTTTCAATGCTGGAAAGATGCCTTGCATCACCCTCACGGTCAGGAAACACACACGTCACACTGGATCATCTTACAAGCTCACTTTCCTTATACTTCCTCATAAAATGAGAGGTGAATTTATACTCGGAACAAACCTCATTGCTTCTCCTAGGAGATGGCAAAGGGGTATCTACTCCATCTAGGATGAATGCACTGGCATCCTGAAGCTCACTTCGGTTAGGTTCTCTCATACCTTAGGCAACCACATAACCCATCATTGGGTCCTCTCACACCAGAAAATCATGTCTCTTCATCTTCAGTCAGGAAGTCATTATCCCGGAGTTGTGTGTACCCCCTGTCCTCACACTTCAAGCGGGTACCCTTTTATAAATGGGGCAATTTTGATAATACAGACAGATCTCATCTCCACCCACGATAAATCTTCTCATATTCCCAGAAGTTTACACTTCATAGTCTCTGGGCCTCACTTTCCTCGTCTGTGAAATGGGAGTAATAGTACTTACTTCATAAGACTGCAAAAAGCGAATGAGTTAACACATGTAAAGTGCTTAGTTAACCCCCAATACTTGGCTGTTGTGTTTTAAGTCCTTCTCACATTGAATAGCTCATCTATAGTTAGTGGGGACCCTCGCACCCCAAGTTTTCCTGTTCCTACAGAAATTTCCTCAGATATGGGGAACTTCCTCTTACTCTAGTTGTTTACATTGGAAGTCATCAGTACCTGTGGCCTCCAACACAGGGCTTCCCTTTACCCTGACGGCTGCTCATAGTGACCACCCCTTCCCAACACACACAGAGAAGAGGCCAGTCCCACATCCCGAGAATTCCTCACACGTCTGGAAGATTGTCACACAGCTGGAGGATATACCACATGAGTAGGACACGCCACACCCAAGGGTCTGCTCCTCGCCACCTTCACTGACACCACACTCTCCTCCCCTACCGGCTAGGCCCCTTCACGCGGCCCCACACGGTATTCCTGTGGGATCTTACAGAGGGAACCCCCCTCACCCTTACTGGATGGTAGTGAGGGTGCATATCCTTGTCACCCACCACCCCTCACCAAGTGTAGCAGCCCCGCTGGGCCTCCAGCAGGAAAGGCACCCGGCCTGGCTCTCGGCCGAAGGGTAGCAACACCTGTGGCACGTTAAGTTTGTTGGCCAGGGTCCCACGCAAAACCAGAAACAACAACAGGAGGCGGTGTAGACGCAAGAAGAAAAAGAGCCCGAAGCCTCGGCGTCTTGATGACGCCGGACAGCCAGTCATGGCGACTGCCAGGTCTCGGGTTCCCGCTCAACTACAGCCGGCTCACAGCTCCATCAGCCAATCCACAGGCGTGACGTCAGCAGAGGGGGATGGGACCTGCTTCTTGCTCGGATGTGTGGGCATTTTTAAATGCAGTCCTTCAGCAAGCCAATATAATGGAAACTTTTGGCACAAACCCAGCTAAAACACCTCAAACTCTCTTAAAGGGCTTTCCTAAATACTGGATGGCAGACCTTTTTAACAGTAAGGAACAAGCAGAAAAGTCTAAAAAAAACCCTTTAATTTCTTCCAGTTTTAATTTCTTCTGTTGCACACTGTTTATCTTAACACCACACCCTCCGCCCGACAAAAAAACTTTTTGCAATGATTTCCAGTTAGCATTGGTCCATGCCTATCAACGGAAAATTGTGCAGTCTCTGGGATAAACAGCTCGACTTTGTCAAGGGAACCGTGTATTTTTACTAGAAGTCAGATTCACGTCCGGCCTCCAGGCCAGAATGCAGGAAATGCCAGACACTGGCGTCTCAAAAGCAGCTTTCAAAGTTATCCACTCACACAGCCGGCCTCTAAGCAAATACTCTTGAGAGCACTTGTTGTTTTCTCCAAATATCCAAACAGAATATAAACTCAAAGCTGTTTCAGTACAGTTGGTTAAAACCACGCATTTATAGTAGTGATCAGCATTATATATTGTTTTAAGGAGCATAAATCCATAGTTTATAAGGATTGATATGGTTGTGAAGGAAAATGTATATAGTTCAGCCTGAGATGTCAGTGTTAACCTATAAAAGGCCCAGCACATTAAGTGTTCTTTCTAATCTTCATGTTTACTCTGACAATACTTATCTCCATTTTACAGATGATAAAACTAAACATTTGCTCTATATTAAATCCTGTTGCTCCAGCTGGGTGCGGTGGCTCACGCCCGTAATCCCAGCATTTTGGGAAGCTGAGGCAGGTGGATCACCTGAAGGTCAGGAGTTCGAGACCAGCCTGGCCAACATGGTGAAGCCCTGTCTCTACTTAAAATATAAAAAATTACCCGGGCATGGTGGCAGGTGCCTGTAATCCCAGCTACTCGGGAGGCTGAGGCAGGAGAATCTCTTGAACCAGGAGGCGGAGGTTGCAGTGAGCCGAGATCGAGCCATTACGCTCCAGCCCAGGCAACAAGAATGAAACTTCATCTCAAAAATAATAATAATAAAGAATAAATCCTGTTGCTACCACCCACAAAGATGCTATTTTTAACCCAAACCTCATAGCTTCTGTGGAGAAAGCACATTTAGTTTTAATAAATAAAAGTCAAATAGGTCTGAGGGTTGGAGGGACTGGTTCTTTATTTCAAAAAGACACTTGTCAATATTCAGTATCAAAACAGTTGCACTATTGATTTCTCTTTCTCCCAATCGGCCCCAAAGAGACCACATAAAAGGAGAGTACATTTTAAGCCAATAAGCTGCAGGATGTACACCTAACAGACCTCCTAGAAACCTTACCAGAAAATGGGGACTGGGTAGGGAAGGAAACTTAAAAGATCAACAAACTGCCAGCCCACGGACTGCAGAGGCTGTCACAGCCAGATGGGGTGGCCAGGGTGCCACAAACCCAAAGCAAAGTTTCAAAATAATATAAAATTTAAAAAGTTTTGTACATAAGCTATTCAAGATTTCTCCAGCACTGACTGATACAAAGCACAATTGAGATGGCACTTCTAGAGACAGCAGCTTCAAACCCAGAAAAGGGTAATGAGATGAGTTTCACATGGCTAAATCAGTGGCAAAAACACAGTCTTCTTTCTTTCTTTCTTTCAAGGAGGCAGGAAAGCAATTAAGTGGTCACCTCAACATAAGGGGGACATGATCCATTCTGTAAGCAGTTGTGAGGGGGTAGAGATGGGACAAAATTTTGGTCTCAGAGGTCTTACCATCTTAATTTGGTAACTTCTAATGAAAAAAATAAAAAATAGAAATAACATTATCCAAAGATATCTTAAAGCTGAAAACTTGAACAGCACATTTTTTGTTTTTGTTGTTGTTTGGCTAACTCCTCCTGGAATCACCTTTCTGGTTTAGCTAGTACTTTGTACAGAACAATGAGGTTTCCCACAGCGGAGTCTCCCTGGGCTCTGTTTGGCTCTCGGTAAGGCAGGCCTACACCTTTTCCTCTCCTCTATGGAGAGGGGAATATGCATTAAGGTGAAAAGTCACCTTCCAAAAGTGAGAAAGGGATTCGATTGCTGCTTCAGGACTGTGGAATTATTTGGAATGTTTTACAAATGGTTGCTACAAAACAACAAAAAAGGTAATTACAAAATGTGTACATCACAACATGCTTTTTAAAGACATTATGCATTGTGCTCACATTCCCTTAAATGTTGTTTCCAAAGGTGCTCAGCCTCTAGCCCAGCTGGATTCTCCGGGAAGAGGCAGAGACAGTTTGGCGAAAAAGACACAGGGAAGGAGGGGGTGGTGAAAGGAGAAAGCAGCCTTCCAGTTAAAGATCAGCCCTCAGTTAAAGGTCAGCTTCCCGCAGGCTGGCCTCAGGCGGAGTCTGGGTCAGAGGGAGGAGCAGCAGCAGGGTGGGACTGGGGCGTTCTACATCTCATTCAGGTCAAGCAGGGTCTGGTCCAGCATCCTTTGTGTACAGAGGTGCTCCTCTTTGGTGCATTTCAGTTTATCTAATGGGGGTAAAGGAGAGAAGTTACAAGAACTAGAAGTAAATTTCAAGGTCTACCCGCTCTTTGAGACTTGCTCCTGTTGCAGAGAAGCTGCAGACTGATAAAGCAGCTGCCTTCTCAGCCACAGAAGTGAGCTATTACATCACCCAGTTTTGTAGGGCCTTTGGCTTGCCTACTGAAGTTGTAGGTGTTGCTGCACTTCCTGGGTGAGGGAGTTAGGGCCCTTATCAGCCATTTCCTCTCCCTCCCACACCCAACCAACACTTTCAGCTTTCAGTCAATGAAAGAGCAAGCCTTAACCATCAGCCATCCACTTTTCTAGGTTTTGCCCACATAACAATACCCTCTTGAAATGGCTCACCGGAGTTTGAACATTGCAAACAATAGAAACATCAGAATCTCAGATTATAAAGAGCACAGGAAGATCCTCATGCACTACATGTTTTTTCGAAAAAGTAGAGGCCAAAGTAATAACTGATGGGATAAATAAAAGGGCGCTCACAGTTAAGTCAAATAATCTCTAAAGAAAACAAAGCCAAGAATACTACTGAAACAAGTAGTTGTAAGCAAACCTTGAGATTGCTGCAGAGCTATTGAACAGAACTAGCTTGTGACAGTTACTTGAAATTAACATAAAACCAGAAAAAGGACGCAAAAGTCAGAAAGAAAATCAGCAGCTGAACATTAAGGAGAATCTAATCTGTCTAGCAAGCAAACCACTCTGACTGCTCTAAAGAGGTGAGGAAAATACTCAAATCTTCAACTCAGAGAAGGTGATGGCAACACAGACCCATATTCATATCCCACAACTTTTCTTTCACTTCCCTTTTTTCCACCCAGTCAGAAGGACCCATTCCTGGGCCTGCCGATGAAGCAGTTACAACAACTTGTCAAGTCAGTCCTTTTATTGTTAAAAACATCCATGCAAGGGAACATATCCTACAGTCAGTGCCCAAGTGAAAGAGCAGCAAATAAGGGTGGAAAACAAAATTCTCGCAAGTTTTCTCACTATAATCTCTCAGGCCCCTCCCTTCTTCACCCATAATCTCTTCTAAAGGGACAGAAACTTCACAATGGTCAACTTCACAATGCTGTTAGGAAATCAACATTCTAACTGCCCCAATTAAAATGCAATTTGCTCAGGGCAAAATAATAACTTTTAAAAAGACAATCAGCTTTTTGTTGGGGTCCAGGTCAGTGGTGTGAGCAGTAAGCTCAGTTTAATGGGCATCATTGAGCCCTGCCCATCAGTCACACAGATCATGCAGCGTTAGCTTCAGCTCATTAGAAAGCAGGCGGTTTCGCTCAAGTTGGCTGTAGAGACGCTCTGCAGCAGCAACGGAGAGGAGGGGAACACAAGAGAAGGAGAGGAAAAAGAGGAGGAGAAAGAGAAAAAGGGAAAGTTAGTAGAGTACCAGAAGTAAATTATGAGTCTTTCAACTAGCTGGTATATATAACATGCATCTGTAAGGCAGGGTGGATGCAAGGAGGATTCAGATAGAGGGCAATAAGAGTCAGTCAGTTGGTGGAAAGACCAACAGAGGAAATTCAGACTGACAAGTTGGTAGGACAACATTTTGAGGGAGAAAAAATGCTTCCTTCACAATATTTATTCCCTGGGTTGAGAAACTGAAACAAGGGAAATGGCAAAGGAAGGAATACAGTTGGCTTCGAAGAAATGTGTTCACAATAATCAGGGTTTGAAAGGAATGGAAGTGAACAGCTGAACATTTTTCTGTGAAAGCATTCAAGACAGCATTATAAACAGTATACTGGGAGAAATATCCCCACACTCATTCACTCCTATACTTTCTAATGCTTTGTGTTACAGATATTGTGTGATAGACCCATTTCAGTGGCCTAGCCAATAAATATTCAATTTCTTCTTCTTCTTTAAAAGAACCCCAAACCTGTTAAGAGTCAACAAATAGTGTGCCTAGTCCCAGGGAAGGCAAATTACTGGTATAAGCTACTCAAGACTATCCTGTTGTTTTTCAGCCTCCCTTGCAGCTAGGGGTGATCATATGATCCAGTTTTAACCAATGAGATGTAGAAAGATAGTCTGCTGGGGGCTTCTGGGAAAACTTTAGCTTTCCCTCTTGCCTTCAACATGGATGTGATGACCAGAGTTGCATATTTCAATCTTAAGAGAAAAGACCAAGAGAATCATGGAAAGCCCAGCTACAACAGGCCACAGTTGCTCATGGCTAGATGTATGTGATTAAAAAACAAATCCCATATTTATTTAAGCTACTAAGTAAGTTATTTCCTTTTTTTTTTTTTTTTTTTTTACAAATCAGGCTAAAGGACAATTTAGCAAGCATTCCTGATACAAGCAGCTAAGTGCTCAAATCTAATAGGTTTATCTGGATTTTCCATTTGAAGCACACTTTAAAGAGATAGTGGGATATGGAAGATTCAAATACATCTGACTAGCACAGGGATAATACAACTTTGGGGACAGGAAAACCAAACTCTTCCTGGTATACTCCTAGTATCAACCTCTGAAATTCACAAATAAGTTTCTCCCTATATTTTACAGCCCGTTTCAAAATGGTCTCAGGATCTCAATATGAAAAAGATACTTTTCTGTCCTAAAATCATCTGCATATGTGAGCATTGCTCAGGTACCCTGCCTTGTGGGCTGAGGCTCTCCCCAGATTGACTGGGAAGCTAGAGACCAGTATGGTCCCAGTAATACTTGCCACTTTATGTACACTATCAAAACAGAAAGCATATATGTGTAAAAAGCCTGGGAGGGAATGACTAAAAATAATAGCTGTATTAAACAGTAGAATCAGGGTGAACCTTTAACTTGCACTCCCCATTAAACCAATGGTTCTCAATAGGGGTGGTATTGTGCACTCTTCTCTCCAAGGGGAGATTTTGAGTATGTATGGGAGGTTTTGATATCACAGTGACTAGAAGGCCCATACAGGTATCTGTTGGGCAGGGGACAGCAATACACAGGATTGTTCTGTACATCAACAGAACTGTCCTACTCTAAATGACAAACGTTCACCATTGACAAACACTATACAGGCTGAGAACCCAAATCTGAAAGTCCAAAATCCAAAATGCTCCAAAATCTGAAACTTTTTGAATGCCAACATGATGCTCAAAGAAAATGCTCATTGGAGGATTTTGGATTTTACATACACATACAGATGTGTGTGTTTGTGTGTGTGTGTATTAGAGACAAGGTCTTACTGTGTTGTCCAGGCTACAGTGTGGTGACTATTCATAGGCCTAATCATAGTGCACAACAGCCCTGAACTCCTAGGGCTCAAGCAAACCTCTTGCTTCAGCCTCCTGAGTAGCAGGAACTATAGGTGTGCATCACCATGCCTGGTATAAATTTCTGATTTTCGAATTTGGGATGCTCAACTGGAAAGTATAATGCAAATATTAAAAAAAAAAAAAAAAAAAAAAAGCAAAAATCCAAAACACTTCTGCTCCCAAGCATTTTGAATAAGGAATACTCAAAACTATACTAATGGTATATAAGCTTCATGAGGCCTGAGATTGGACCTGTCTTATTCACTGGGGCGTCCTTGTCAAAATAACAGGTGTTGAAATTTGTGAACTAATCTCTCAAATTTCCTGTGATGTTACATTACATATAGATCTCGTGAACAGCCTGAATTTAGATAATACCTATAACCAAGTTAGTTTGTGTGATTCTCACTTGGGAAAGAAGGATGTTATCAGGATCCTTTTTTTTTTTTTTTTTTTTTGAGTTTCACTCTTGTTGCCCAGGTTGGAGTGCAATGGTACGATTTTGGTTCACTGCAACCTCCACCTCCCAGGTTCAAGCGATTCTCTCGCCTCAGCCTCCTGAGTAGCTGGGATTACAGGCACCCACCACCACGCCCAGGTAATTTTTGCATTTTTTTTTTTTAGTAGAGATGGGGTTTCACCATATTGGCCAGGCTGGTCTTGAACTCCTGACCTCAGGTGATCTGCCCGCCTCCCAAAGTGCTGGGATTACAGGCATGAGCCACCGCACCCAGCCGCGTTATCAGGATCTTTATCCCTCAAAGCAGCCTGGTCAATTCTTTTCCATTTAGGGAAGAAATAAAGAGACAGAGAAGGAGTGAGAGCATTTTATTGCCTGACTAAATCACAGAACACAGAGTTTCCTAGGAATTGCATGAGGTCAGAAAGACAAATGCAGCTGTTCTCTCACTTTGAACTTAGTTTCTAACTCTGCTATCTCTAGTTATTAAAAATTAAGACCAGTACTAGCTCCTTAAAGTTTTTGGTTCCCTGATAATAGCTAAAACAAAACAAACGAAAAGGCAAGGCAGAGAACCTATTTGGTCTAGCGTTCTTTTCAGCTATATCTAATTAAGAAACAACCCCATGGCCAGGTGCAGTGGCTCAAGTCTGTAACCCCAGCACTTTGGAAGGCCGAGGCGGGCAGATCACGAGGTCAGGAGTTTGAGATCAGCCTAACATGTTGAAACCTAGTCTCTACTAAAAACACAAAAATTAGCCGGGCTTGGTTGCACGTGCCTGTAATCCCAGCTATTCAGGAGGCTGAGGCAGGAGGATCACTTAAACCCAGGAGGCGGAGCTTGCAGTGAGCCAAGATCACACCACCGCACTCCAGCCTGGGCAACAGAGCAAGACTCCGTCTCAAAAAAAAAAAAAAAAAAAAACACAAACCAACCCCATGGAGTTGGATAGTATTCAACCAACACCATGTGAAAGGAAGAGATTTGGTTGGGGCTAAGATAAAGCTGCCAAACAGAATAGGTCTAAGATAAAGCTGCCAAACAGAATAGGTCAGTTGTACCTATCAGATAACTTGGGGTTACTACATCTTATTCCTTATCTCAATGATGGTAACAAGGAAGGGCAAAATGGGCCTGTGGTTCTTAGAAATTAAGAGGGGGTAACATTAAGGGGACAAATGTTTTACTCTGATGCTTGACTTCACCCCAATACTAGTCCAGGCTCAAGTAACACAGGATGGCTTCTGCAAGGATATTAAGCCTTAAACAAAGGAATGAATTTAGCATTAGCACTAATTACATAGTACTTCATTGTCCACTTTGGTACCCCAGTTTGTTGGTCTCTATCCTTGGCTCACACTAGTCATACCGCAAGGAAAACAGGAGATACCACAGATCAGAGCTATAACACCTTACTTTTCTCCCAATCTCCCTCTTATTTCCTTCTTTTTTTTCTCTCCTGCCTCAGCCTCTCGAGTAGTTGGGACTACAGGCATGTGCCACCATGTCCAGCTAATTTTTGTATTTTTAGTAGAGACAGGTTTTCACCACGTTGGCCAGGATGGTCTTGATCTCTTGACCTTGTGATCCACCTGCCTCGGCTTCCCAAAGTGTTGGGATTACAGGCATGAGCCACCATGCCCGGTCTACTTCCTTCCTTTCTAAGAAGTCTTTCTTCATGTCAAAGCCAACTTCTGCCCAGGATCTGAATATTTAGAAATGCATTGTCCAATATAATAGCCACTAGCCACAGGTAGCCAAATTTAAATGAACTACAATGAAATACAATTAAATTTTAGCCCCTCAGCCACACTAGCCATGTTTTGAGTGCTTGACTGCCACATGTGGCTAATGTACTAGACATCATTACCAAAAGTTCTGTTGGAAAGCCCTGCTCTAAAGTAAATTATATTGCCTATATAATCTTCCTACCAATACACTCTTTTGCCCCTGAAAATGACTCCTCCTCTTCACTTCTTAACACTCAAAATGTACCCTCAAATTACTAAAGTATCAATGCATGTCCCATTTTCAGTTATCTTCCTTCTTAGCCTCTCTGTTGAAAAACCACTAGAAAGCATCCAACCCGGAACTTTTTAAAGAACTACTCAACCGTCTTCTTTCCCTCCAATCAGTTCCATTTGGTTCCTCCTCTTACATAACGTTTTCCTCATTGTTTAATTTTTTTTTGAGACAGAGTCTTGCTCTGTCACCCAGGCTGGAATGCCGTGGCACAATCTCAGCTCACTACAAGCTCCGCCTCCCGGGTTCACGCCATTCTCCTGCCTCAGCCTCCCAAGTAGTTGGGACTACAGGTGCCCGCAACCACGCCCAGCTAATTTTTTGTATTTTTAGTAGAGACGGGGTTTCAACGTGTCAGCCAGGATGGTCTTGATCTCCTGACCTCGTGATCCGCCCACCTCGGCCTCCCAAAGTGCTGGGATTACAGGCGTGAGCCACCGTGCCTGGCCTCTTTTTTTTGTATTTGCAATTGTCCTTCATGGTTCTAATTTACCTCCATGGCATAAACTACCTGTACCCCATATGGATTCCCAACTCTCTTATGTCAACCTCTCTGCCTCACGCCCTAGAATTTTGTTTTCACCCAGATACCTGCCAGATTGTCAGCCGTATCTTCTTTCCCTTCCCCCAGCTCCCCAAACCAGGACAACATGATCTCCCTACATCTTTAACCCCACCACTTTCCTACTCTTTTTTTGGGGGGGGTCTCATTCTGCCACCCAGGATGGAGTGCAGCAGTGTGATCACAGCTTGCTGCAGCCTCAGACTCCTGGGCTCAAAGGATCCTCTGGCTTCGGCCCTCCAAGTAGATAGGACTGCAGGCACGCACCACCATGTTTGGCTAAGTTTTTATATTTTGTAGAGACAGGTTCTCACTTTATTGCCAGGCTGGTCTCGAACTCCTGGATTCAAGAAATCCTCTCACCTCAGCCTCCTAAAGTGCAGGGATTACAGGCATGAGCCACTGCACCCGGCTAATTCTCCTACTCTAAAAACCAGTCATCCTTGTCTTTCCTCCTCACATCAAGTGGCCAGGCCTTTCACAATGCCTGTCTTTATTTAGTGCTATCTCTCCTGCCACTACTCTAGCTCAGACCCTGATTATTCTCTCCTAGAAAACTAAATTAACCTAACCCAATTTTTTCCAAAGTGTGGTGTATTCACTGCTATAGTTACTTTAATGTGATTAGGAAAAAACACTAACACATCAAAACTTTGATTTCAAAATAGAATTGTGTCAAGTAAGAACAAAATAAATCTGGAAATGAGTAGATCTGAAGAAAACAATGTAGGCAGCAATGAATATGGAAAAAGCCATCAAAAATGGTAACATAAATGGCTGAAATGTGAGAAACACCATGTTAGTGAATCACTTTGCTAATCTGCAAATTAGTTACCAAATTAATTCTTCTTATATGTTATTCAGATCACAACATATCCTATTCAAAATCTCCAGTGGCATCCCCATTAACTCCAAGTAAAATTATAACTCCTCAGCCTCATTTTAAGACACAACCTGTTCCCTACTCTGTCTAAATCTACCTTTAGAGCTATTGTGGCCTTCTCATCTCTATCAATGCCTTTATTATTTTGTTTCTCTTTAAATGGAATGCTCAGGCCAGGTGCAGTGGCTCACGCCTGTAATCCCAACACTTTGGGAGGCAGAGGCGGGTGGATCACTTGAGGTCAGGAGTTCGCGACCAGCCTGGCCAACATGCTGAAACCCCGTCCGTACTAAAAATACAAAAATCAGCTGGGCATGGTGGTGGGTATCTGTAATCACAGCTCCTCGGGAAGCTGAGACAGGAGAATCGCTTGAACTCAAGAAGCAGAGGTTGCAGTGAGCCATGATCTCACCACTGCACTCCATCCAGCCTGGGTGACAGAGCGAGACTCCATCTCAAAAAGAGAAAAATAAATAAATAATGGAATGCTCAATATTCACTATCCCACAACCCAACTCTGCTTGTCAAAAATCCACTTTTGGAACCCAATAAAAATGAATATGCAAGTTTAACATGTTGGCTGGGCGCAGTGGCTCAAGCCTGTAATCCCATCACTTTGGGAGGCTGAGGTGGGTGGATCACTTGAGGTCAGGAGTTCCAGACCAGCCTGGCCAACATGGTGAAACCTCACCTCTACTAATAATACAAAAATTAGCTGGGTGTGGTGGCAGGCGCCTGTGATCTCAGCTACTCGGGAGGCTGAGGTGGGAGAACTGCTTGAACCCAGGAGGCAGAGGTTGCAGTGAGCTGAGATCAGGCCACTGAACTCCAGCCTAGGTGACAAGAGTCAAACTCCGTCTCAAAAAAAAAAAAAAAAAGAAAAAAAGAAAAAAGTTTTAACATGTTTATGAAGTACCCATTACATGCCTTCTTCCATGAGTTTTTCCAATTCATTCCCACTAGGATCAATCTCGTCCCCTCTACTCAATTCCCATAACACTATTATTTGTGGCATTCATCACACAGTATCTGTAGCTTTATGTATGTTTTCTCTCCTAGTAGATTCTAAGCAACTTGAGAGTAGGAATGGTGCCTCCATCTTTATTTCTGTCTCCATCTTAATATCCTATACCTAGAAGATACCAGGAAGTGTCAGCTGAATAAATGAATCTGAACCTTAATCTCAAAGGCTATGCGGCAGTAAGAAATGGAATGGACAAAAGGAAACGTGAATTTGATATGACTTAAAGTTTTAGATTAAGGAAAACTTCCCTACCTGATTATATCTGTTTAAAAGAAGAGCAAAAGTGTTTTTAACAGATGGAATCTTGCTGTGTTGCCCAGGCTGGAGTACTACAGTGGCTATTTATAGGTGCAATCCCACTACTGATCAGCACAGGAATTTTGACCTGCTCCATTTCCGACCTGGGCCAGTTCACCCCTTCTTAGGCAACCTTGTTGTTCTCCACTCCCAGGAGGTCACCATACTGATGCCAAATTTAGTGAGGACATCTGACCTGCATAGCACACTACAGTGCAGAACTCCTGGGCTCAAGCAATCCTCCTGCCTCAGCCTCCCAAGAAGCTACAGGCAGTACAGGCAAGTGCCATTGCACCCAGCTAAAAGAAAAGCAAATTTTAAATACATACCCTGCTGGGAAACTAAAGTACTAAGTGAACAACACTTACGTGCTTGGATTAGTATAATTCACAGCTATACTATTAAGAAATCTCTGCTGTGTAAATTGGAATGCGAATTCCTTTTTTTTTTTTGAGATGGAGTCTCTCTGTTGCCCAGGCTGGAATGCAGTGGCGCGATCTCCGCTCACTGCAACCTCCGCCTCCCAGGTGCAAGCGATTCTCCTGCCTCAGCCTCCCGAGTAGCTGGGATTACAGGCACCCACCCACCATGCCCAGCTAATTTTTGTATTTTTAGTAGAGACGGGGTTTCACCATGTTGGCCGAGCTGGTCTCGAACTCATGACCTCAGGTGATCCACCTGCCCCAGCCTCCCAAAGTGCTGGGATTATAGGCGTGAGCTACCACGCCCGGCCTATAATGGGAATTTCTAAAATGTTGATATTTAATTCCACAATATGAACCAAGGAAAATTTTACTAGCAGAAATTTATGTATGTAATAAATCATTAGCCTCATATGCACATTATTTGAAATATGCATGATTGGTCATTTTAGTTTTCCCAATAATAATTTATCACTTATCTTATATCCCACTAGTCACACACTAGCAGGCAAATGGTAGCAAGTCTCAAATATGTAAGAAAGGTTTAAAGAAGAAAAAGTAAAAAAACCGTCCAGAATTCTATCCATTGTGTATTTTTCTGTGACTGGAGTTGACATAATTAGTCAATCTTAGCAATAATGTATTGGGTTCACTGGGTGTTCTGAGGATGCACCATTTGAACCACCGGTAAAAGGGTACAGAATGTGTATTGAGAGTCACTTCAATGGCTTCTCAATGACACCACACCAAAGGAGGAATACCTGAAGAGAGAATGGAAACACTGCAGGCAGGATGATTTAAGAACCTGGAAATAAGGAATTTAATCTTGTTCAGCTTGAGGAGTATAACTAAAATTACTATCCTGAGTAACCTGTACTAAATCCATCACTCTGGTAGAATCAGATCAGCTGAGTTTAAATGTCAAGAAAAAATAGACACACACAAAAGTGGCTTTGATTACATAAGTCAGAGGAGGGGGAGCCTACAATAGCTCTTCCCCACATCACACCCCCAAGGCTCCTTCTTAGGGACAGCAACAGCTTTGTCAATGACACAAATGCAGGGTGGCATGAGGTTTCCAGCAGCTTAACATTTTAATTTGGGGTGGGGGTGGAAGAAAATACATAAGTTGCTTTTTGCTCCCCCATCCTAATGCCTTGGGGACCAGCCAGGCTGACCCAAATGGAATCCAGAGCGAGAGTGGGGCCTTGGGTTCCCCGAGGAGTAAAGGGGGCAGATCCAGAACAGAGCAGAAACGGTGATAATTATCTGTATGAAAAAGTAAGGATACTCTAGGTGAGAAGGACTAGCATCAATCTAGATAGCAAACTGGGAAAAAGGAAGAGGAAAAAAAGGAAGAGGTGGCAGCAGGAATAATAAAAGAGAGCCAGACACTTCAGCCTGAGAAATGTGGCTTCTTTTCAGGGTTAGTGGGAAAGATACAAAGAGGCAGATTAGCATCAAGGATCAGGGATCCACAGCAAACAGATGAAGCCCCAACAACTCTTTTTGGTGCTGTTTATCACTTGGCTTGCTTCTGGGACTCAGCTCAATTCTTAGGTGAATTTGGTATTTCCCATCTTGGGTAGTTCCCTGAACTTTAATATCAGGGAACCAATTAAACACACCCAGGAGGCCTGAATTTTGTCTTAATGTGTCAGGGCCCAAGTTACTGGCTCTGTGGGCCCTATTTCCTTAGTTGTATGGATTCTACCTCTAGCAGTATCCCTTCTGAGAAGACTAAATTTGAGAAGCAAATAGAAAAATCACAGTATAATGAAGAAACTATGAATACAAAATATAAAAATTACAAGTCAGTCAGGGTTCTCCTTCTGATCCAAGATTAATTGCCTCCAGAGCTTTTTTTTCTTAGACAGTCTTGCTCTTCAACCCAGACTGGAGTGCAGTGGCATTATCTCGGCTCACTGCAACCTCCATCTCCTGGTTTCAAGTGATTCTCCTGCCTTAGCCTCCCGAGTAGTTGGGATTATAGACATGCGCCACCAAGCCCAACTAATTTTTTAAATATTTTTTAGTAGAGACAGGGTTTTGCCATGTTGGCCAGGCTGGTCTTGAACTCCTGGCCTCGAGTCATCCGCCCACCTCAGCCTCCCAAAGTGCTGGGATCACAGGTGTGAGCCACTACGCCCAGCCTTTAATGTTTTTCTTTTTTTTTTTTTTTGAGATGGGGTCTCACTCTGTTGCCCAGGCTGAAATGCAGTGGCACATCTTGGCTCACTGTAACCTCTGCCTCCCAGATTCAAGCGATTCTCCTGGCTCAGCCTCCTGAGTAGCTAGGATTACAGGTGCACTGCCACCATGCCTGGCTACTTTTTGTATTTTTAGTAGAGACGGGGTTTCACCATGTTGGCCAGGCTGGTCTCCAACTCCTGACCTCACGTGATCCACCTGCCTCGGCCTCCCAAAGTGCTGGGATTACAGGCGTGAGCCACCGCGCCCGGCCATGCCTCCAAAGCTTTTGCCAAACAAATAACCAGCACCAATGTTTCAAAGATAAGGGTGGAGATTCTAGTTTCCAAAGGATAAAACCAAAGCACACCACTATGCATAGCTTGTACCCCCATCCACCCACAAGCCAAGATCCCAGCCCCACTCTACTGTCAGATAGTTACATAGAGGTCATGTCATTGAGGGCGTGGTCCAGCTCCTCGCTAATGGCCTTGTACTTCAGTTTCTGGGCATAGAGCTCATCTGGACAGGCACAGGAACCACAGGGAGGAATGAGGGGACAGAGTGAAGAGTTTCAGAAGCAGATGAAGAGAGGGAATCATTAGAAATTAGGAAAGTGTGACTGTGGGTCTAATACCACAGTTAGGAAAATATCTACTCTGGCAACCATGACTGGACATTTTCAGATCTACTCTCTCCTATGACCAACTTCCTTTCTTGATACTCCAAATCGACTGCAGCAAGGGCTGAGAACCTGGGCACAGTCATAACTAGAAATTCCTATTACCAAAAGCACTCAAGAGGATACCACTCCCATCCAGGTACCCAATTCCTAGCAGTGATAACACTTAATTGAACAAAAATAGCAAAGGGAGAGAGTATATATCCATATTCAGACACTTCTCTGCCTACAAAATGTGAACCTATTAGTGGCCCCTCTGCTCCACAGGCTGCCCCTGCAACTCTGCCAAGAGAGTGTACCAAAGGAGCATACATCAGAGTTCTCAAAGCAAAGAGTACGTTCCCTTGTCAGGGTGGATGGCAGTTACCAACTTGCAGGGACAGAAAGTATTTAGAAAGCTCCTGACATTGGTCAATGTTCAGATATGGTTATTCCACAACTTCATTTATTGGATAAATACCCGACAACTTGAGTGGCAAAAAGAACTGTGGAAAGTAGCCATGAAATGACATACATCTTGCCCTTCTGAAATCATGGCTTCCATTTAAACCCACAGACTAAAGGTTTAAGACTAATAAATTGGAGGTAAATGCAGCCATTATCATTCTCCTCAAAAGGGAAGGGTACAAATTGCAGACTATTTGGTAAAGTCTTCTTAAAGGAAAAGATTAAATTTAAAAAACCAATTCTAGAGTTTGACCCACTTTGCCTAGCTGTGGCATAGGACAGTGCACATGATATTAATACATGCCAAGTCACTACCAACTTCCTTTGGTGTACAGAAAAAGAGATTAATGGTTAATGGGCAGTCTTCCTCTATATTTCTCTATTTCAATCCCTACTCCAGGTTCCATACCTTCCAGGTCATCAATTGTCTTTTCCAGCTTGGCTACCGATCTCTCAGCAAACTCAGCACGGGTCTCTGCCTGGGGGAAATATGAAATTAGTCAGAACCAGAGATGAAGACAAAGAAGAACAATCTCTATTTCTTCCACCTTCTACTTCTGGACCTTTCAGAACCCAAACCAGCCAGTTTAAATCCATATTAATGCCTTATATACCTCTAAATGTTTTGGGTTCTGCCCTATAAATCCCCTCAGCTCACCTCCTTGAGTTTATCAGTAAGAATCTTGATTTCTTCCTCATATTTATCTTCTTTTTGAGAGTACTGTAAGATAAGTAGATTAAAAATTTCAGAGTAGAAATTAGTCACACAGGCAATACCCCCCTCCCTACATTTAACTTACATTGAATATCCTCTTGCACTAAATGTGCTGAATGGTCCAAGAGTAAGAGCAAGGCCTGGCTCTGGACAATAGGTCCTTGAAATTCAGAAATCTATGTCTTTAGAGCCATGAGATCCTCAGGTTAAAATTCTCCATGACTTTTTAAGATGGATCTAAGCTTTGATATTATTCAGATCAACCCAAGGAGGTGTTTTTCCTTTCCCCTGCTTGATGAGCAAGAGTAGTAGCACCCCAAGGTCACATGACTGAAACACACCCACATGATGGCAAAGTGAAGTCATCTGTCTTGATTGCTCATTAGGTCTCAGAGCTGATTCTGTCTGTTGCCCCCATCTGTCTGCTAGAAAGCCTGTTAGGGCCCTTGATTATTGCTTTTCAGCACAGCAGTATCAGCCTAAGGAGCACATGACTCCAGTAACCTGAGACCAAGAAGTTATTTTAATTAAAGCAATCAAAGTGCACAGAAAATAGCATTAAACCCAGAACCTGAATACATGGTAAGGAGGTAGGAAGAGGACACGCCTCACTGGATTATATATGGAATGCGTGTCTCCAGTCTTTCATCAAGGGCAGGGCTGGGCCCAGGCCCCAAAGCCTGTCACTTTCACAAACCAGCCCCTACCTTCTCCGCCTGAGCCTCAAGAGACTTGAGGTTGTTGGTGACATTCTTCAGCTCCTCCTCCAGCTCAGAACACTTACTGTGAATATTTTAAATACCACAGGAGAGGAAAAGGGAAAAGGAAGAGAATAAAAAAAGGGAGAGAGACACATAGACGTGAATTGAACCTATATGTAGAGAGAGTTGGAAGGCATACTGGGGAAGAGATGTTCCCAAGTAACCTGAGCAAGCATCAACCCTCCTCCCTCTACCATAGAACGTGTCAGGAGCTAGACCTTCCTGGGCTCAAAAATGTTTGAATACTAATAAAGCACTTGAGAGAAATCCACTACCAGGAACAAGTCATAACTGCTACCTGGGGTGGAGGTGGGAACAAATGCCCAACCCAAACAGTCCCCCAAATCACCCAAAGGAAGGAGACCCTGTGGAGAGGCAGTGAAGCAACTAGGAAAGAAGAGATGAAAGATGCCAAGTAAGTGGAAAAGAATGGAGCATTCCATGAAGAGATGAGACAGCACTCAACAAAATCAAGTGGAGGGGAGGCAGCTGCAAAACAAAAACAAAACAAAACAAAACCACACCACATATATAACCTTGCTGTGGGCTTAATGGTTAGTACCTTTTCTTCAGCAGCACTCAGACACTTCAGGTTCTGGTCCATCAGTCTAATCTGCTCATCCATCTCTCGGCAACGGCTGTTAGTGATAGTCACGGGGATGGCACAAGCCAGGTTGTGGGGAGGGAGAAAGGTCAAAAAGGAACACAGCAAGAAAACAAGCAGCAAAACGAAAAAAAAAAATTCAAAAAATGGGAAGAGAACACCACCATGGTCATGATATGTTATGTCTGGCAGACGGGAATGTAAGAGGGAAGCACAAATACATATGCATTCAGCACTGACTTTGTTAATCAAGGCCCAGAAGGTACCGACGGGAGAGCAGTTAATATCTACCCTTGCCCTAAGGTTCCCTAGCAGATTGGCAAAGTGGCCAAAACAGACACCAGATTTTTTTTTTAAATTTATTTGTTTTAGGGACAGGGTCTCCCTATGACGCCCAGGCTGGCCTCCAACTCCTGGGTTCAAGCAACCTTCCTGCCTTGGCATACTAAGTAGCTGGGACTACAGGTTTGAGCCACCACACCCAGCCAGACACTAGATCTTAAATCAGGATAGCCACTTTGATGTCTTCCACCCCAGGTGGAAGGACCCAGTAGGATCTTCCAATTAACTGTTCACCATGTATTAGTCCTTATTTGCTCTCAATTTGTAAACCCTACCAACAAAAAATAAGAAAGCCTCTTTTGTCACTTGTCACTAGTCAGGAGAATAAGGAAGCCTAAAACCATTCTTGGGCCTAAAAAAGCACTATAGATGACTCCCATTCCCTAGGCCCTGTTTAACAAGGTTGAAGGAATGCTAATTTATTCATATTAGTGCCCAAGCCAAAGGGGAAGGGATAAATTGGTAATGACAAGATTTGGGGAGCTAGATACTCACGACTCTGCCAGCTCAGCTCGTTCCTCTGTGCGTTCCAAGTCTCCTTCAATGATCACCAACTTACGAGCCACCTACAGGAAAAGATCCCAGTATAGCTTAGTGAAGCAAAGGAGCCATTTACCGCATTATGCTTTGTAAAAGGCCGATACGAGAGGGACTAACAGAAGGTCACTTACCTCTTCATACTTCCTATCTGCCTCTTCTGCAATGTGCTTAGCTTCTTTGAGTTGGATTTCCTGGAGTTCCATCTTTTCTTCATCTTTTAAGGCCCGGTTTTCAATAACCTTCATACCTCTGCCAGAAATAGGACAAAAGCAATACTGACACCCTGAGGAGTGTGTCGTCAGCTCCACTCCAAGGGTCTCAGAACTGTACTTTTAAAAGCCCACTCCTCTCTGTCTGCCCCTCAAATGGAAATTCCATGTTACTACTCCCACACCTTAGTTTAATTATTTCATTTAAAATTTTTTGTTATGGCTGGGCACAGTGGCTCACGCCTATAACCCCAGCACTTTGGGAGGCTGAGGCGGGCAGATCACCTGAGGTCGGGAGTTCAAGACCAGCCTGACCAACATGGAGAAACCCCGTCTCTACTAAAAATACAAAATTAGCTGGGCGTAGTGGCACATGCCTGTAATTCCAGCTACTTGGGAGGCTCAGGCAGGAGAATCACTTGAACTCAGTAGGTGGAGGTTGCGGTGAGCCGAGATCGAGCCATTGCACTCCAGCCTGGGCAATAAGAGCGAAACTCCGTCTCAAAAAAAAAAAAAAAACTTTTTGTTATAAAGGTAATACATCCTGGCCAAGCGCAGTGGCTCATGCCTGTAATCCCAGTACTTTGAGAGGTCAAGTCAGGTGGATCACTTGAGGTCAGGAGTTCGAGACCAGCTGGCAAACATGGTGAAACCCTGTCCCTACTAAAAATACAAAAATTAGCCAGGTGTGGTGGCAAGCACCTGTAATCCCATCTACTGAGGCAAGATAATCACTTGAACCCGGGAGGCAGAGGTTGCAGTAAGCCAAGATCGCACTGCTGCACTCCAGCCTGGGCGACAGAGTGAGACACCGTCTCCTCCACCACCCCCAAAAAAACTTATTAAGAAATTAAATACTAAAATATTAAATAAAAATATGGATATATACAGCTGGGCGTGGTGGCTCACGCCTGTAATCCCAGCACTTTGGGAGGCCGAAGCCGGCAGATCACCTGAGGTCAGGAGTTTGAGACCAGCCTGGTCAACATGGCAAAACCCTGTCTGTACTAGAAATACAAAAATTAGTCAGGCGTGGTGGCAGGCGCCTGTAATCCCAGCTACTTGAGGGAAGCTGAAGCATGAGAATGGCTTGAACCCGGGAGGTGGAGGTTGCAGTGAGCCGAGATTGTGCCACTGCACTCCAGCCTAGGGGATAGAGTGAGACTCTGTCTCAAAAAAATAAATAAATATTATTTAAATATATGTGTATATATATATATATATATATATATATATATATATATATACACACAAAAATCCCATCCCAGCTTCCCCAAAGTAATAATATACTAGACGGTTCTGCAACTTGTTTTCCACACTCTTTTTTTTCCCCCCGGTATTCAGCATGCAGCTATCCTCACTTTCTTTCTTTTTTTTTTTTTGAGACCAAAAAAAAGAGGGAGGCTCACTGCAACCTCCGCCTCTTGGGTTCCAGTGCTTCTCGTGCCTTAGCCTCCTGAGTAGCTGGGATTACAGGCGCGCCCCACCACGCCTGGCTAATTTTTGTACTTTTACCAGAGACTGGATTTTGCTGTGTTGGCTGGGGTGGTCTTGAACTCCTGGCCTCAAGTGATCGTCCACCTCAGGCTCCCAAAGTGCTGGGATTACAGGTGTGAGCCACTGCGCCCGGCCCTCACTTTCTATAATTTGCATGCTACTCTAATAGTATACACATAGCTGCCTCTTTCATTTTCACAGCTGCACAGTAGTAACGTACCCTTAGAAAGGCACTATTTATTCTGAAAACCCTTAGTTGTCAAGCACCTCTGTTCTAGTTTAACTCACATGTGGCAAGGAGACAACTGGCTATTTTCAAAAACATGAGTTATAATTTGTTTCAAGGGCCATGGTTCTCAACCCTAGGAACACATTAAAATTAGCTGGGGAAGGCCGGGCGCAGTGGCTCACGCCTGTAATCCCAGCACACTGGGAGGCCGAGGCGGGAGGATCACAAAGGCAGGAGATCAAGACCATCCTGGCTAATACGGTGAAACCCTGTCTCTACTAAAAATACAAAAAATTAGCCGGGCGTGGTGGCGGACACCTGTAGTCCCAGCTACTTGGGAGGCTGAGGCAGGAGAATGGCGTGAACCCGGGAGGCGGAGCTTGCAGTGAGCCCAGATTGCGCCACTGCACTCCAGCCTGGGCTATAGAGCGAGACTCTGTCTCAAAAAAAAAAAAAAAAAAAAAATTAGCTGGAGAACTTTAAAAACATCAATGCCCAGACCCCTCTTGCAACTGATTCTAATGGAACTGGGATGAGATCTAAGCATCCAGTTTTAAATTCCCCAGTGATTTCCCCCCTCACCCCTACCTATGATTCTAATAATGCAACCAGCGTTGAGAAGGCTTACTAAAAACAGATTGCCAGGCCCCACATCCAAAGTTTCTGATTCAGCAGATCAGCATAGGAGCTGAGAATGTGAATTTTTACCAAGTTCCCAAGTATTGCTGATGCTGCTGGTCTGAGACCTTACTTAGAGAACCTCTGTTTTAGAGAAATTAATCTCACAAATAGAAGCTTATGATCCAGAAAGTAGAAGTCATACTGGTGATCCCATTTTAAGGATCATTAGGCCAATTTGTAAGGAAATACCAATTACAAAAGGGTCACAACATCTAAGTTACCCTTACTGTCTTCAAGGGGACAGAATATGCAGAATAGAAAGGAGATCCTGTGTGATGGAGTTAGTATTTTATTTTTATTGACTGATTGACACAGGGTCTTTCTCTGTCACCCAGGAGTGCAGTGGCGCAATCAGAGCTCACTGTAGCCCCAACTTCCTGGGCTTGAGCCACCCTCCTGCCTCAGCGTCCCAAAGTGCTGGGATTACAGGCGTGAGCCATCACACGCAGCCAGAATTGCTATTTAGAAAACAGGTCTATAAGGAAATCTTGATCAGAACTATTATGAACTTTTAAAATCCACACTCCATCAGGCTTCCCTACACACCTCTCACTCTCATCAGCAGCTTTTTCAGCTTCTTCCAGCTTTTGCAGGGCAGTGGCCAGGCGCTCCTGAGCACGGTCCAGCTCTTCTTCAACCAGCTGGATCCTACGGTTCAAGGAGGCCACCTCAGCCTCAGCCTGCATTTGAAGGAAAGAATGGACAAGGGAAGCAGAGGCATGGAGAAAAGAAGAAATAACTATGACATTAAGATCAGGGTTGACTACCATGAAAAAGCCAGAGTCTCGCAGGGTAGAACTTGTCTTAGCTCAGCTGTTAAAAGATCTAGCAGACATAACTTTATATATATATATTTCCTCCCTTTCCCATCAACGAACTCCCATATGTTCCACAGGAAGAGTGTTTTAAAACTCAGTTCCTTGCCCAGCCCAGTGAGTTAGTACCACCCACTTCCTGGACTCAGTTCAAATTCCTCAACACACTGGAGTCAGAAAAGAAAGTCAATGAAGGGTTCCTTCTGCCTGAGCTCTGGCTTGGAGGCATGTCTCATCCTCAGTAACCTTTCAAGTGTCTCATAAAGCAGGAAAAAAAAAAAAAAAAAAGCAAGGTTTCTTAAAGAGGGTATCCTGACTGGGTGTGGTGGCTCATGCCTGTAATCCCAGTATTCTGGGAGGCTGGGGCGGGTGGATCATGAGGTCAGGAATTTGAGACCAGCCTGGCCAATATGGTGAAACCCTGACTCTAATAAAAAATACAAAAATTAGCCAGGTGTGGTGGCGCGTACCTCTAGTCCCAGCTACTCGGGAGGCTGAGGCAGAAGAATCCCTTGAACCCGGGAGGCAGAGGTTGTACTGAGCTGAGATTGCGCCACTACACTCCAGCCTGGGCAACACGGTGAAACTCCATTTCAAAAAAAAAAAAAAAAAAAGAGGGAATCCTGGATTACCTATTAATTGCTGCTTAACTCAAACCGTTATTCCTATGATCACTTTACCCTAACACATCAGAAGAATAACTAGCCAAGGGAATGTCTTCCAGAATAGCCTTCCAGACTGGAAAGCAAAAGAATGGAATATTGTTGGGATGCCTACTCACCAGCCCTTCAACTTGTGCCCCCGTACTCCTTTTTTAAGTTGGCTACAAGGAGCTGCTTCTGGCTAAAATTATCTGCTTTGATAGCTTTACAAAAAAGAAAGAACATTTCCACCACACCCACTACCATTCCTCCAAATTTCTGAATTTTCTCCTTTCTATTCCTCCAGCCATCCCCTTAGCTTCACCCTCTAATACAGCGACAATCTTCCCCCTGGCCTCCATCTCACAATGAAGTATATAGGTTAGAGTCCAAGTAAACCCATCCTGGATGGGTTTTCTCTAAGAAACAAGGAAAGAAGGAGGCAGCCTGCAGGTGGATGGATAAATTCTAATGGTAGGAAAACCTCTTTCCATGACTGCCTCCCCGCTACCTTTACTGGTGGGAGGTACCCTGACTGCAACAGTATACAAGAATTTAATATGCCCCGCACACCACCCAGTTCAGATGCTTATCCAAGTGCCTGGTAAACACGATCTCTCTTCTATAGCCCAGATTGTGCCTGAATTCTATTACCCTGATTTCTTCCTGGCAGGCAGGAGTTGGTGCAGCTATAGAAACAGCCTGGGCCACTAGCTCCGATGAGGAAGAATATAGACCAAAAGACTCCTTTTTAACCATCAGGACTGGCACAAAAACTTCCACATACAAACATGAGAAGCTGAAGAGACTAGGAAGGGAAGCAGAGGGCTGGGGCTACAATCTAGCCACCAGGCAAAGAAAATCGAGAAGTCAACATAAGCTGAAATCATTAAGAAACCATTTGTGCCTCTAACTACACTACTCAAAACACCACAAAGACAAGTATTCTCTGCTTCTGCCTCTTCCAGAAAAATAGATGTTCTCTGTAACAACACACATTTCTCCTCACAAACCCAACAAGGCCATGGATCAAGAGCAAGTCAGGCTATCAGGCAAGACCTAGGAGACACTGCTAGTAAAATGACTTACCCCCCTCAGACGAAAAATACAACTAGATTTAGAGGAAGCTCATGAAATGTAAGACATCATGCAGCTCACCAGTAGTTACCCAAACTGGAGTAGAAGATAACAGGCTATGGGGCGGGGGTGTACAGTTGCCATGACAGCAAGCTGGCTCAGGCAGTTTCTCCCACAAATCAGCATTTACAATAGAATTCTTAGCAAGGCTGAAAAGGGAGAGGGGGAAAACACATCTTGGTGCCCTCCTAAGAGCATGCACACATGAACAAGCCTGTATCAAAAGCAGAACCTGAGATGGGAGTCCTAGAAAAAGCTTCAGAGACCCCCTCCAGGGTGGAGTGGTAGGGAATGGGACCTTGCCTTTCTCTTTTCTCCTAGCACAGAGGATCAGTTCTCTTTACAATGAAACAAAAGCCTGCAGAATCAAGATCTGATACTTTGTTTAAAGGAACAAGGAAGACAAGCTGACTTTTCCCTCATGAGTCTATGCACAGTGCCTGTCCCTTTCAGGTCAAATAATACCAATGGGTACCAAGAGATTGAACAGGCCTACTTTTTGCAGACCAGGCTACCTGTGGCCCTGGGAAACGTTAAGCTCTGCACTTTCCTAATCATCTTAGGTTTTAGCATGCCCATCCAGATGCGGTTTTGGTGTTTCAGCTGACCTATCTCTGCCCAGTGTGGAGGATATACAGTACTCTGTGGTTCTTCCCTTCAAGTAATAATAGGATTCTCCACTGCCCAGGAAGCAAAGATCCTGGGTGAGGGATTGGGGAAAGAGTAGAATGCCCCAGCAACTCAGTCACATTACCAGATGGCTGACAACACCTTCGGCTATCCTCCACTCCAAAGAGATTTCCCAAATATGTCAACCCCTCCAGGCAAGAAACTGACAGTGTGATGGTACTCTCAGGCAGAACAGGGCCAAGGACAGAAGGGGATTAGCCTAAATCTGGCTTTCTGCCACACTGGGGTTTCTCTTATTAGATAAAAGCCACAGATAAAATTCAAATGAAAGAGTATCAGAAAGTTAGGCTTGAGCCCTGTGAGTAAAGGACTATTTGAGTTCACTGTGCTCACAAATGCATTACCCAGGGAGATACCGTGTCCTTGGGGAATTTAAACTTCACCAAAGGGGAGGCAAGTTGGAAGGGAGTAGAGCTATCTGCCCCACAGTAAACAAAGGCGGAGCCTAAGCAGGGGTAAAGGGCTATCTGCCTCTCCCCTGTGAGTGTGTGTTCTAGTACTGGGGAAAGAGAAAGGAAAGCAAAGCAACCAAAGAAAGGTTGCTTAGTCCACCAGGCCCACGAATAGAAGAGAACCACACAACAGTCAAGCATTCTAACCTCTCCAGAGACTAGGAATTTAGGATTAAGGCCAGAATCAAAGCCCACTCCCTCGGTAGTACTCTTAAGGTTTTTGTTATTACTTTTTTTTTTCTTTTTGAGGCAGAGGTAGTGTGCTGACCTTACACTCCCGCAGTTGACCCCTCACTCCCCCAGTGCCGATACTCGCCCAGGCTGGAGTACAGTGGCATGATCCAATCCTGGTTCACTGCCACCTCCGCCTCCAGGGTTGAAGCAATTCTTGTGCCTCAGCCTCCCAAGTAGCTGGGATTACAGGCATGCGCCACCATGCCCAGCTAATTTTTTGTATTTTTAGTAGAGATGGGGTTTCATCAGATCCACAGGTGGACCTCAGATCCACCCGCCTAGGCCTCCCAAAGGGCTGGGATTACAGGTGTGAGCCACCGCACCCAGCCTCTTAAGTTTTTTAGACTAGAAAAAAATTAAAAAGAGAAAAATATCAGGGACAATTAGGAGAGAGTTATTAAAAACAGATAAGGTGAACTGTACATTTATAAATGGTTAAAATGGTAAATTTTACATGTATTTTTATCACCACTACCACAAAAAAAAAGAGATAAGGAAAAAGACTGCATTTAAACATTATGTTGCCATCTGTTTCCATTTAGACAGAAGTAAAAAGGAAATACAGAACTGAAAGTAAATTTGACAAGGTGCTACATTATAAAAGACCAATTTCCAGGCCGAGAGCAGAAAAGAAAGATGGATCCTAGAACACCAGTGTCTCAGTTTTAGACTCATCTAGCTTCCCAACAAGGGTGGCTTGGATGTTCACACAAAGTAACCAGGAAAATAATTAAGTGACAATCCCACTAACAGCATGAGATACCATCAGAGAGTGCAGTTTCCCGCTCCAGAGGAGGGAGGAGTCTGCAAAACCCACATTCCAGAATGCCTTAAGAGGATAACAGGTAGCCCAAGCAACCCCCCTCCCTTCCCACAGGTGTCTCCTCCTCAGTAGGGGTTCAAAGTTCAGCAGAGCAGCAGAAAGTCAAAAGATTAAGCTTCTTCAGGCTGGGGAGTAGAAGAAATGATTTCATCAATATTTAACTATAACTCTACTTCCCCATTCTGAGGACTTCCTCACTAGACCTCAGCTCAATAAGCAAATTTGGCAGGCTCTGAGTGAAAGTAGCTTAAGAAACATCACCCCAGGACAGGCGCAGTGGCTCATGCCTGTAATCTCAGCACTTTGGGAGGCTGAGGCAGGCAGATCACTTGAGGTCAGGAGTTTGAAACCAGCCTGGCCAACATGGTGAAACCCCATCTCTACTAAAAATAAAAAAATAAAATAATAAAAAAAAATCGCCGAGTGTGGTGGTGGATGCCTGTAATCCCAGCCACTCAGGAGGCTAAGGCAGGAGAATCACTTGAGCCTGGGAGGTGGAGGTTGCAGTGAGCAGAGATCGTGCAACTGCATTCCAGGCTGGGCTACAGAGCAAGTCTCCATCTAAAAAAAAAAAGAGGGGGGATGGGAGGCAGGAATCACCCACCTTAGAACTACTCCTAGAATGTCCATATTTAAATACTGAGCCTAAGATTCTGCAGCTCAACACATGGCCAGTTCCTCTGTCTTCCCCTTTAAAGCTATCTGGTCTCCAGAACAAAGGAGATGAGAAAGTGCCACTGGCCATAAAGAGTCACCCAGCCAGTCCATCTCACTTGCACAGATAATAAGAAGTTGTTGGCAAACTGAACAGAGGAAAAAAATCTACCTAGAAAAAGGTGTCTGAGGAAGACAACAAGCTCCCATCCCAGCATCTCCATGACCACTTATAAAAATAAGTGAGTATTCCAACAATCTTTAAGTATTTAAACTGGAGGGCAGCTGTCCCCCAATTACCATCCTTTTCTGAAATCCACCCCTCCCCCTCCCAAAAACATTCTCAGTTATTTCCCAGAGGAGCAGCCAAAAAGAAAAACAAAAACAAAAACTTACCAAGGGAAAGAACAAAGAACAAAGAATAAACCACATGAGTACTTTCACTGGATCTTGAATTTTAGCAACAGTTACTTTACTCTCTCAAGATCCTCCAAAACAAAGCCTCAACTCGTATCAGCTCCATCTATTAGACTGCACCCTAGACCTTGGAAAATCTTATGGCTTACACTAAAACTAATCAGCCACTTTTAAACAGAAAGACGTTTAAAGAAATCACTAGAATAGGCTGGGCACGGTGGATCACACCTGTAATCCCAGCACTTTGGGAGGCAGAGGTGGGTGGATCACCTGAGGTCAGGAGTTCGAGACCAGCCTGGCCAACATGGCGAAACCCCGTCTCTACCAAAAATACAAAAAATTAGCCAGACTTGGTGGCGGGCACCTGTAATCCCAGCTACTCAGGAGGCTGAGGCAGGAGAATCACTTGAACCCGGGAGGCGGAGGTTGCAATGAGCCGAGATCATGCCATTGCACTCCAGCCTGAGCGACAGAGTGAGACTCTGTCTCAAAAAAAAGAAAGGAAGAAAGAAATCACTAGAATCACTGTTCACTCCACCAACATTTTATGTTTCCACTTTCAGTTGAACAAATATTCCACTAGAGTCACCTGGAATTCATTATTGTCTCCACCAAATTGCCCAAGTCAATCAGAAACCTTGAGACTGGCACACCATCTGATTCTCTGCCATACACTCGCTTATCAGCTCTGCTCGGAAGAAATGTTCTTAACCAGTTCGGCTTGCACTGATCACACTTCAGCAATAAAGGCCTGAATCTGACAGAAGTTCCTGCCTTCCAGGTCATTGTGGGTAGGGCCAGGCAAGTTTGGTTGGCTCCTACATTTGCACTAACGTTGAGAGAAGTACTATCCCCTCCCCTGCCGTTTCACGTAGATTCAGAGAGTGGGTGTAGCAGCTGCAAGAGCACCCCGTAAGAGGAAAGGGCCCCTGGCCAGAGGATGAGAGGCGGTCCTGTGGCCTCGAGCTCCTCCAGGGAGGGAGGGCACCGCGCTTCCTCTCAGCCAACTGCTGCCTCATTTCCTGAGCAGGAGGAGGGAGCGGAAAAGCTGCCAGCAGGCAGGCCGGGGTCTTTCCGACGGTTCCCACCCCAAAACCCTCACCATTTCACAGAAGGTTCAGTACTGCCCCTCCCCGAACAGAGAAGCACCCACCCACTCTTACCCCTTGGGCAGGAAACCTCAAGCCAGAGCAAAGTTCTCCCACCCTCCATGGGGAAGTGGGGGAGGGAGAAGCCGCTGAGCCCCTCCCACGGCCGCGCCCGGATCGGAGGCACTGAATGAATGAGGTGGAGAAAAAAAGAGGAGGAAAGCCACACCCCAAACCCCGTAAGGCTCAATTTCTTCAAAGGTCAAGCCTGCTCGCCCGAGCACTGTTTCCCCCTCGTCCGCTTGGTGTCCTACTGGTGCTGAGCCCCACCCATCCTCCGAGATCCCAACTTCATCTCCGAGCCCGCCGGCCTTCAGAGGACCGTGCTCCACGGCAAAAGGGACCTTATTCCGCTTGCCGGATACTCCAGCGCCTGCCCCTCCCTCATGAGCCTCACCATCTCCGTACCTGTTCCCGGGCCCGCCTTTCTCCCTCAACTTCTCGCTGGAGGCGCTCAGCTCGCTCCTCTGCATCATCTGCCTGCTGCTGCAGAACCTGGATCTTGCGCTTCACCGCCTCGATGGTGGTGATCCCAGCCATGGTGCCCACCCAGCTACTGCTCGCGCTCCGGTTCCTGCCTCCTCCGCTCGGCGTTGCAGCCTCCTCTCACCCTTACTTCCGCCTGCTACGCCCTGAAATACCGGAACTCACCAACCCGCCCGGATGTGACGTCCCTCTGCCGCGCCCTCCCACCGCCAGGCAGGCGGGAAGGCAGTCCACTGGAGGGAGAGCCGCGGCAGGGAGTGGATCCTCCCAGTCGCCCTGGAGTACGGCTCCCGGCCTTACCTTGGGCCAGTAAACTGGGACGGGGTTGGGACGAGGGAGTGTTACCATGGTAACTGGGCGGCGCTTCGTGCCCTAGCCTCTCCCGCCAGGCTGGCTGCCCACAATGGTTGGCCCCTTTGCAGGTAGTCGGCTGACCTTACACTCCCGCAATTGACCCCTCACTCCCGCAATGCCGATACCCGTCACCCCTCACTGTATTTGCTCCACAATATAAACATCCTACAAGTCTCTGCTTCCACTCACCCCACGACAAACTCCAAAACCAAGTTATAAGAAAAGTCTAAAAGACTTTCTGGGCCTCAGGTTCAAAAGAGCCCCACTCAGTCTCCTTTCAAAGTCGGCTCAGGTAGGTAGGTTCTCTCTCCCGTCTCCTGGAAGTCAATGAATGGAACTGTCGGAGTGGAAGGGATGGGCAAGATGGCACAAATTCTCATTCTATTTGGCATGGTATGAACTTAAGTGTTCTATTTAGAACAGACTTTTCTCCTTTTTTTTTTTTTTTTTTTTTTTTTTAAGAGACAAGATCTCGCTCTGTTGCTGGAGTGCGGCAGTGGCGAGATCACAACTCACTACAGCTTCGAACTCCTGGGCTCAAGCGAGCCTCCTACCTCAGCCTCCGGTGTAGCTGGGACTACAGGTGCACGCCACCCCGTCAGGCTCCCTGTTATTTTATTTATTTTTGTTTTGTTTTTTATTTTTTGGGACGGAGTCTCCTCTGTCGCCCAGGTTGGAGTGCAGTGGTGCGAACTCGGCTCACTGTAAGCTCCGCCTCCCGGGTTCAAGCGATTCTCCTGCCTCAGCCTCCCGAGTAGCGCCCTCCACCACGCCCGGCTAATTTTTTTTTTGTAGTTTTAGTAGAGACGGGGTTTCACCGTGTTAGCCAGGATGGTCTCGATCTCCTGACCTCGTGATCTGCCGGCCTCGGCCTCCCAAAGTGCTGGGATTACAGGTCCCTGTTACTTTTGAGAGTCATCATGCACCAAATTAACCAACCTTCCAGCCCCTCCAAACCTTGGAATGATTCAGGACTTGGCAATTTAATCATCAGCTGGGCGTGGTAGCTCATGTCTGTAAGTCTAGGATTTTGGGAGGCTGAGGTGGGAGGATGGCTTGAGCCCAGGAGTTCAAAACCAGCCTGGGCAATATAGCAAGACCTCATCTCTAAAAATAAATAAATAATTTAATAATCACTTACAATTCCTTTTGTAGGTAAGAAAGATATGCCCCCATTTTATCAGGAAGAAATCCTCTATTACAGACCACTGTCAGCCGGGCGGGGTGACTCATGCCTGTGATCCCAACATTTGGGAGGCCAACGCGAGAAGATCACTTCAGCCCAGAGTTTGAGACCAGCCTGGGCAGTATAGTGAGACCTCGTCTCTACAAACAATTAAAAAATTAGCCAGGCTTGGTGGCAGCACGTCTGTAGTCCCAGCTACTTGGGAGGCTGAGGTGGGAAGATTTCTTGAGCCGGGAAGGCAGAGGTTGCAGTGAGCCAAGATTGTATCACTGCCTCCAGTCTGGGTGACAGATTGAGAGCCTGTCTCAAAAAAATAAAAAACAGACGACTGTTACTAGATCCTTCATGCAACAGCCAGACATGAGTGCCTGTAAACTGTACTATAGAATTGAGCCTCCATTCTGTTACAACTTTTACCAATTTCAATGCCACTGTACTTCCAAGTACCCCCAAGGAACTGTTTATGAGTTAGAAACTTCCCTTTGGCCAGATGTGGTGGCTCATGCCTGTAATCCCAGCACTTTGGGAGGCCACGGCGGGCAGATCACCTGAGGTCAGGAGTTTGAGACCAGCCTGGCCAACATGGCAAAACCCCGTCTCTACTAAAAATGCAAAAATTAGCCGGGTGTGGTGGTGCACACCTGTAGTTCCAGCTATTCAGGGAGGCTGAGGCAAGAGAATTGCTTAAATCCAGGAGGCAGAGGTTGCAGTGAGCTGAGATGGTGCCACTCTACTCCAGCCCGGGTGACAGAGTGAGACTCTGTATCAAAAAAAAAAAAAAAAAAATGGCAAAACAGACCAGGCGCAGTGGCTCACACCTGTAATCCCAGCACTTTGGGAGGCTGAGGCAGGTGGATCACGAGGTCAGGAGTTCAAGACCAGCCTGGCCAAGATGGTGAAACCCTGTCTCTACTAAAAACCACAAAAACAAGCAAACAAACAAACAAACAAAAAACTAGCCAGGTGCAGTAGCAGGCGCCTGTAATCCCAGCCACTCGGGAGGCTGAGGCAGGAGAATTGCTTGAACCCAGAAGGCAGAAGTTGCAGTGAGCCGAGATCGCGCCACTGCACTCCAGCCTGGGTGACAGAGTGAGACACAGTCTGAAAAAAAAAAAAAGAAAAACAACAAAAAAAGAAACTTTCCCTACAGGCACTGCCATGCAGGATTTCTGGAAGCACAATAGTAAAGAGACTTGAGAACGTTATCTTCCCTCTTATTTCTTTGTATTCCTCCCACCTTCCCAGTAGGTAATCGTGATAAATTTTTCTTCTGGGACAGCTCTCTTTTCTCCTAGAAAATTAGGATGTGGAACAGGACTTACAATGAAGAGTCCTAATCCCTGAAAGGAATAGTAGGCAAGACAGTTGCTGCCCTCAATGTCTAGTTCTAAGAATGCTCCCTGCAGAGCCTCTGTTTTCCTATCACCTTTTGGAAATACCGAGCAATGAGACTATTCAGAAGAAACAACTTGGATAGATAATAATTTTCTCAATAGAGTAACCTGCACACTGATTTTTCCCCCAGAAATTAGGAAGGAAGATCAGGGTTCTGACTCTTAATAGACTCTACCCTGATGGCCTAAGAATTTTTCTAACTTGCTTTGTAGAAGTCTGATCAAGATGTGGCAGAAGTGACACTTTGTCATCTGGGTGCTGCTCAGCAGGGGGCACTATTGTACCTCCCTGTGCCCTGGTAAAGCAGCAGAAGACCTCATCCTAGCCAAACCAAGAGGGTATTGAGAGCACCACTGCATTTCTGAGACTGGTAGATTTGAGCAGATAATCTCCTCTTAATGCAGTCAAACAGATGGACTGACTCATGATAGCCTTTAGAAGCACAATGGATAGACAGCAAGGGGCCCAGTGCTATTGTGTTCCTAGTAACCAGCAATACAATATATCAACAGGTGTATATGTCCATCGTTGTCCCTTCTCTCCCCATCCTTCCTGCCACCTGTCCCTAAAAAATGGTGTTATGACTCTATGTCCTAACAATGCACTCCTCTTTCCCTTTGTTTCTCCCTAAACAGCATCTGATTTCATCTTGGATTAAAATGATCTTAGATGTGGTTGCACAACAATGTAAATATGCTACTACTGAATTAGACATTTAAAAATGGTTAAAATGGTAAGTTTTATGTATGCGTATTTTACCACAACTTAGAAAACAAAGTTAGACAAATTTAGGGAGGAAAAAAAAGTTTGGACTCGCCTTGCCATACCCTTGCCCTTTCTTTATTCAAGCAGTCCTAGTAAATCCTGCACTTTTCAGAAAGGCTTCTCAGATAACCAGAACTGCTTGTGTAAACACGTAGTTATTGACTCCCTCCTCCTTCTCTACTGCTTATATCTACTTCAAGATAATATGCTCTGTTTACTTATTTATTAACCTCAAGGACAGAAGCTGAGCTGTTAACTTCCTTTGTATTGGACAGAGTATACTCCCTCCAAAGATGCATATATTATGCTGCTGATGACTCTTACCTTTGCTTTCTGCTTTTAACCTTGTTGGTCCTTATTCAGCACCTCTCCCAATTCCTATAAACACTGTCCTTCTTTGACCCTTTGAGGCAGGGGTCATCCAACTTTTAGGGTCTTGTGGCCAGAGAGATAAGAAAGCCAGTAGACAGTATGTACAAGAATGAGCATGACTGTGTTCCGATAAAACTTTATTTACAAAACCAGGCTGTTGCAAGATTTAACCCACAGGTGGTAGTTTGCTGACTCTAGCTTTGAGGAAAGAAACCTTTCTTCTTGCTTGCTCCTGGCCACAACCTTCCCTCTCCTGTTTCTTGTTCTTATGCATATCTCTGAGGGTACTTTCTGACTTGGGAAAGCTAACAAAGGGGAGAGGGGTTGAATGAGTATTTTTAACCCTCACTTTACATATTTAAATGGGTTTTGGTGGATTCCTATGTAAATATGAAGAAACTTCTTTCAAATGAATATACTGAGTAGACCACATCTAGGTGAGGGGTGCTATGTGTGTGTATGTGTATGTCTGTACATGTGTAAAACAGATTAAGATAGACAGAATTCATCCCCAGGAAATCCTTTTATATTCCTAATGATTTTGATGTATTGCGTACAGCCTCTATGTTATTCTCCTTCTCATGATCTCAGGTTAGACTTGTTCTTTTTCTTGCTCCTGGAAACACCTCCTCAAGCCCACATACTAGCCGTTTCAGCCTAAGAGCAGACCCAGATTGATGTTACCCAATTTCTCACAAAACTGTTATTAACCTGACATTGTGCTAGTTTGTGAAAACTTCTATCTTCATGCCCATATGTTAGAAACAGAGAGATCCATCCAAATATACCAGGAACCTAGGCTATACAACTCCAGCCAGCCATCCACTTGCCCAAAGCCCAGGGGTAACCTGTAGATTTGGTAGGGTTGTTTGTTTGTTTGTTTTGTTTTGTTTTTTTGAGTTTTCTGAGAAGGGAGAATTTTTATCATTTTAAATAGAGACAGGGTCTTGCTCTGTCACCTAGGCTGGAGTGCAGTAGCATTATCATACCTCACTGCAAGCATGAACTCCTGGCTTCAAGCGATCCTCCCATCTCAGCCTCTGGAGTACGCGGGACTACCGGCACATGCCACCACACCTGGCTAATTTTTAAATTTTTTGTAAAGATAGGGCCTCACTATGTTCCCCAGGCTGGTCTTGAACTCCTGGCCTCAGGCGATTCTCCTGCCCTGGCCTCTCAAAGCAAAGTGCTGGAATTACAGGTCTGAGCCACCACACTGGGCACAAGAAGGGAGAATTAATAGTTTGTGGCGGCCTGGCCGGGCGCGGTGGCTCACACCTGTAATCCCAGCACTTTGGGAGGCCGTGGCGGGCGGATCACAAGGTGAGGAGATCGAGACCATCCTGGCTAACACGGTGAAACCCCATCTCTACTAAAAATACAAAAAATTAGCCGGGCGCGGTGGCGGGCACCTGTAGTCCCAGCTACTCAGGAGGCTGAGGCAGGAGAATGGCGTGAACCCAAGAGGCGGAGCTTGCAGTGAGCCAAGATCGTACCACTGCACTCCAGCCTGGGTGACACAGCAAGACTCCGTCTCAAAAAAAAAAAAAAAAAAAAGCCTGTGCTGGCCTTAACTTTTGGAAGAATGAGTTTAAATGATGTATATTTAGTTTGTGTTTCTAACCTCTGGCATAATATATTCAATTCTTACCACTTTCCTTGGCCACTGAAAGTGGTGGAAAACAAAACAGATCAGAAACCTAATGGCAGAGGCCAGGCATGGTGGCTCACATCTGTAATCCCAGCATTTTGAGAGGCCAAGGTGGGTGGATCACTTGAGGTCAGGAGTTGGAGACCAGCCTGGCCAACATGGTGAAACACTGTCTCTACTAAAAATATAAAAAATTACCCGGGCATGGTGGCAGCTGCCTGTAATCCCAGCTACTCAGGAGACTGAGGCAGGAGAATCACTTGAACCCGGGAGGTGGAGGTTGCAGTGAGTCGAGATCTTGCCACTGCATTCCAGCCTTGGTGATAGAACAAGACTCTGTCTCAAAAAAAAAAAAAAAAAAAAAAAAAAAAAAAAAAAAAAAAAAAAAAAAAAGCCCAGGCGCAGTGGCTTAGGCTGGGCGCAGTGGCTCACGCCTGTAATCCCAGTACTTTGGGACACTGAGGCAGGCGGATCACTTGAGGTTAGGAGTTCGAGACCAGCATGGCCAACATGGCGAAACCCCATCTTTACTAAAAAAAAAATACAAAAATTAGTTGGGTATGGTGGCACACACCTGCAATCCCAGCTACTCGGAAGGCTGAGGCAGGAGAATGGCTTGAATCCAGGAGGCACAGCTTGCAGTGAGCCTAGATTGTGCCACTGCACTCCAGCCTGGGCAACAGAGCGAGACTCCATCTCAACAACAACAATAAAAAGAAACCTGGCTGGGCGGGGTGGCTCACGCCTGTAATCCCAGCACTTTGGGAGGCCGAGGCAGGCGGATCACCTGAGGTCAGGAGTTCAAGACAAGCCTGACCAATATGATGAAACCCCGTCTCTAGTAAAAATATGAAAATTAGCCAGCCAGGCATGGTGGCACGTGCCTGTAATCCCAGTTACTCAGGAGGCTGAGATAGGAGAATCGCTTCAACCTGGGAGGTGGAGATGGCAGTGAGCCGAGATAGTACCATTTTATTACAGCCTGGGCAACAAGAGTGAAACCCTGTCTCAAAAAAAAAAAAAAAAAAAAAAGGAAAAGAAAAGGAAAGAAACCGGATGGCAGAGAGACCAAATATGAGGATCCGAAAGCATTTATGAATGGTTCACTCTGTCTGTCCTTCTAGCTATTTTCCAAAACCAAATGTGATTTTATTTTATTGACTTATTTTTTGAGACAGAGTCTCTCTCTGTTGCCCAGGCTAGAGTGCAGTGGTACGATCTCGGCTCCATGCAGCCTCCGCCTCCTGGGTTCAAGCGATTCTCCTGCCTCAGCCTCCTGAGTAGCTGGGATTACAGGCACCCGCCACCACACCTGGCTAATTTTTGTATTTTTACTAGAGACAGGGTTTCACCATGTTGGCCAGGCTGGTCTCAAACTCTTGACCTCAGGTGATCCACCCGCCTCGGCCTTCCAAAGTGCTGGGATTACAGGCGTGAGCCACCGCACCCAGCCCAAATATGATTTTAAATATTACATGCTCCTTTTTTCCTATTAACTCAGTTCACTGAGAAACTTGTTTCCACCAATACTGGGACATTTCTGTTGTTGTTGGTAAGATTCCTATGGTACTTTTCTTCTAAAAAACTTTTCAATCTACTCTCTCATTTATCTTTGCAGCAAACTTCAAGGTTAAAGATGAAGGAAAGTAGGTGATGATGATGGGATAATATGAGATGGAAAAGAGAATTTATTTTATTTGAGAATGGGAAAATTCAGCCCTAGACAAGCTGAGTAATTACTCACGGTCATAGAGTGAAGTCTGGTGGTGATACCTTTACCCCCTAAGATTCTTTCTTAGTTTCTATTATACTCTGTCACTGTAGGGATCTCTCTGCTGCCCTAGGAGCAATGCTTCATATGGCATCTCCATGGCATAAAGGCAAATGCCTGCATTGGCCAAGATAAATAAACCCATATATGGCCAGGGTCAGTGTGACCTCCATTTCCCATTGTGAAATCCGAGCTGGTTTTGTTGGACAGTTGAGAGATGAGAGGTTCCCTATTAATACACATATCCACATGCCAAGACTTGGACATAAAAGCTAAGAATGTGGCATGGGGGAGGAGGTAGGATAAGTGACAGCATTCTGAACTTAGAGTCCCCTCTCTTTGTCCAGGTCCTGGGAAAGATAATTAAATTCCTGGGTTGGTGATAGGAGATAAATGAGACCTTTACATGTATTAAAAAAAAACTTTTAACATGTTGGAGATGTCTTTAAGAAAGAAAATACATGCCATTATGAGAATATACCAGCATGTGGTTATATGCAAAAATGTATGTGAGTATATATGTCTGTGTTCCATGAACCCACAAGTGTGTTTGGAATTTCGTCATACATTAACATAAAGATCTATATGTGTAGATTAAACCCATCCTCCATCTCTCTAATACTCACATCAGCAGCCTTCTTCTCTGCCAGTTCCAGCTTCTCCTGGGCATCCTTCAAAGCTTCAGAATACTTGTCCAGCTCATCCTCTGTCCCTTTCAGCTTCTTCTGCATGGCTGCCAGCTCATCCTCCAGCTATAGGAGCCCAGAGAGTCACACACAAAAACACACAAACACAACAATGCAGGGTTGGACCCTGGGCTCTTGGAGCCCTGAGTGTAACCTCCATGTTACCATCCCTAGTGAGACACACTTTCTCCCCAGCCACTTCCAGCCCACTGCCTCAGGAGTTATGCCGTAGCTTGGCCTGTGACCCTGTAATCTCTGATCCTAAGATGACCAAGCCATCCTGGGTTTTCATCCAAGACCCCTGGATGATAAATATCTAAAGTGTAGATGCCCGTGATGCTATTTGAGTGAAAAGAGATGCTCTTTCCCTCTAGAACTCTTACCTTTTCCTCTAGAAGTCAAGGGTTCTTCCAAAACATGGTCCATTTCTACTTAAATTCAGCAGACATACTGTGGCTCACTGACTTTCCCAAGGTCACAAAGGCAGTCTGAGACAGATATGTTAGATATCCTCTGCTCCTCCAGTGAGGCTGGGGAGTCCATCCCACCCCCAAAAAGGAGGTGACACCAGTAGTCACTGTCTTTCCCATGAAAACTCCCTTCCATTTCACAGTCTTGTTCACTAGCAGATGAGAGAGATCAATGCCAGTGCCTACCTGTTTACTTCTTTCTTCTGCCTGCTTCTGCTCAGCTTCAGCTTGCTCTGCCCGATCCAGAGCATTCTCCTTGTCTAACTTCAGCATCTGCATCTTTTTCTTGATGGCCTCCATCATGAGCAGTGGCTGTTGGTAGGCTCACCTGTGAACACTGGAGAACTGGAGACTGGGGCAAGAAAGAAGGGGCTGCTGCCTGAGTGACCAGGAGGTCCCCAGACTTGAGTCTTTATCTGTGCTCATAGCTCCACCTTTTGTTCCTAATATGGTCTTTCCAGCTCCCTCCACCCCATCATTGTTCTCCTGGGGGAACACAGGGTGAGACGCTTTGATGAACTGACATCACCAGCAAAAAAAATATCTAGCAACAGCTGAGGCTGATTTTAGACAATGGAAAGTGGGGGAGGGAAGAGGTTCTCCCTGACCCTGAAACTTTCCACTCATTCTGGGCAGCTCTATGGATGTTTTAAAAGAAGAGGAAGAGGGGAGGGAAGAACATTGAAATAGAGAAGTGTACTTTGGCAATTCTAGGTTGGCAGTTTGCATCCAGGGGGTCCTGGTTGCCTTTCAGCTTCCCGTTTCACTCTCCCCCAGACTGTGTTGAATGCTGGTCAAACTCCGTTAGTTGAGTTTTAGCTTTTGATTCCTGGTATTCAAGGAGCTTGGGCACAGGGAAGAGGGGAGGTCACTCATGATCCTTAACAATTCTCCCAGATCCCCAGATCAAATTGCTGTGCTATTCTGGGAGTCTCCGATTGGCAGGGAGACGTTTTTCCTCCCCACCAAGAGCCACAAGAGTAGAGTAAGAGGTAGGGTTGGAATCTCCAACCCTATCCTTGAAGGCTATCCCAGAGCTTCAAGTGGGGTGGGGAGAGAAACAGGGGAGGGTCAGAACAATCCAGACAGGATCATACCCTTTGTTTTCCCACAGTAATCTTAAAATAGAACTGTTGTACCCACACAGACTTTGGTCTGTGTGGCTCTCTCCTCTTCTTCCCTTTATCTTCTCCCTTCTTAATTCTCCCCAACGCTGCCACTCACCACATCATCGTAATCATCATTATCAGCTCTATTCTTTCCAGTTTAGTTCCAGACCATGTTTATTCTTCCATTGGGAGCCTTGTTACTAACAGGTGGCAAGGATACCAGTCCACTGGCACCATACACCTGAAAATATGCCAAGGGAGAGGTGGGCACTGTTCAAGGTGACCAGATATATTGGACAAATATAAATGGCTCTAGTTAGTCATTTATGTCAGGATACTGAGAGTTAATGCTAAGCCCCAGCAATGGGGGAACGGAGACACCCACCAGGCCAGTGGGTAGAGCAGAGCTGGAGTCCACTATTGAGAGCTTCCAGTCACTAGAGGTAGATAGGCAGATAGACCATCAGCTGACTCTCGACAGAGAGAGGAGAAACCAAGTCTCCTTTCTCTGGAGATTAGCCAGGGAAAGGGGTTAGGGAACAGGGAGAGGAAGGAGTGGAAAATGGGGGGGGGGTGGGCAAGTGAATAAGGGGGAGAAAAATACGAGGACAAGAAAAGGCAAAGAAATGTCCCTTCTAGTATAAGGGGACAAGAAATAGAAAGATTCTATCCTCAAATTCCAACTCTCTCCCATTCCCACACCAGCCCTCTTAGGTTAAGATTGAAATGCACATAGGTTGCAGCTACTGGACTTTTGGGGGGGTCCTGGAGAGAAGAGGTTCAGTAAAAGAGACAGGAGCCCCAGAGATTGAAGTATGAAAGAGGGTGGTGCTGAATCACCTGCTGCTGTAAGAATATGTTTGACATTTAGTTGGTTCCTAATTAAACAACCCAATATCAAACATATCACACAGAAGCAGGCAGGAGAGCTTTGGGGGTCATCTGCCTTCCTTCCAGTTGCAAAGAAAGAATAGAGCAGACACCAGGCACCAATCATGTCTAGGTGGAGAGCCATCTCCTTGAGGAAGGGTACTGGCTCCTGCTCTTCACCTCCCAAGACAGCCAGCTCTTGCTTATTGTCCTACGTGTCATCCCTGCCTCAGCTCCTCCTCTACAAGCTCCTGGCCTTTGCTGGATCACGTTGGCCTAAACCAGGAAGAATACCTGGCAGGGCTCCACATCCGGGCAACTATCGTTCCCTAGAGCTCCCACACAGAGCTTCTCACCCTGATGTCACGGCCCCAGCGCCCAGAGGATCAGCCGTGTCAGCAGCTCCTCATCAAAATTGCCACCTGCTCTCTTCAATGCCATTCCAGCTGCCCTGAGGCTTTCCGGGGTGGGGGCAGAGGACTTGTACACCCTGCTTTACCTTTCCAACAGAACTCCTAACCTTCCCAGATCACCCCCACAAGACTACTGAGGTCCGTTCAGGAGGCACCATCCTGGCACCGTCCTGCTCTTAAGTGCTGCAGATGCTTGGCTTCCCCTTTCTGCCAGCTTAACCCTTCTCACCTTCTCCCCATGTCCTCCAGGCATCCTCCTTAAAGTCACCCTTGGATGTCCAGAACAGAAGAATAACTTGTCTCCCTGGCAGGCTCCATCGTGGGCTCCAGAAGAGAAGACTTATAGTTCCCCACCTTGCCTGGCAGAATTGAAACTAAGGCTTTAGACTGAGGGTAAGAGAGGAAACTTCTGCCAGGAAGCAGCCTGCAGTCCACAGGAGTCCTCTCCTCTTCTAGGGCTTTTTACCAGAACTCCAGGCTGCGTTCTCCAAGGGTCTTCCCTCACAGGGATCCAGCCGGATTCCCACATGGGAAATTTCTCTTTTGGAGAGAATCAGGTCTGTTGAATGTCATGTGGCAGGCAGATGCTTCTCTCCACTGTGGCAGAAAAGAGCCCAAGTTATAGCTGCATTGGGGGCTGGGGGGCTTGAGTGGAAGTGTGGGGGTGGGAGGAGGACACTCTGCTTCAGCCCCTAGGCCTGTTCCATGTGTCCTTGTTCCCATTCCAGACACCCACCCCAAACCCCAGCATATACCAACTCCACAGTGTCCTTGATCTAGATCAATAGCTTGTCCCAAGCCCCAGTCAATTCCTGTTGTGTGGCTCTTGCCTTTCAGGGGAAGACTAACAAATCGGCATATACAGGCCCCAAGGTAGGCATCTGTGATGTTGTCTTATGTCTTTGTTCCTTTTTGGCTCCTAAAGGGGATGTGTATGTAATTTGTACTTTCTTGCTCTCCCTTCTTACCCTTAACCCCTCAAGTTCTAGTTCCCTTCTCTGAGAAGCTTACCCACATTCAAGAATCAGAAGCTGGAGGAAGAGAGGCTGGGAAAGAGACTAGCAGGAATGAAAGGACTTTAATGTTTGGGGCACTAGAGGAACAGAGAGGCAGACTGGGAATATGGATGCAGGGGAGAAGCAGCTGTCTTGGAAGGAGAGTTTGTATGGCATACCTAGGCAGAAACATCAGATGGCCTTTGATACAAGCCGTTTAGCTCTCCTGGAAATATCTACTATGTAGCCATTTCAAACAGGACTGAGCCCCTCTGAGCCAGAGGAGCTGGTTATAGCATTCGCCACAGAGGGAAGAGGGGCTGAATGGGTATGATGGGGTGATGTTATGAGAGCAGACAGAATAGATAGAGAGGATCAGAAGAGATGGGCTCTGTAGGGGGCCAACCTGCCAATACTGGAGCCAGCCTGGCACTGACAAGCCCTGGGGGAAGAGGCCAAGGTCAGGGATCAAGGCAGAGGGGATGGGGCATTCTGTGGGTTCAGATGAACAGAGGAAAGAAGAATAGCAAAATAGAAGGAGTTGGTGAGGGAGTCTGGTTGGAGGTAAGGGGAGCCCATGTAATGGAAAGGAATGAAGGAAAAAAACTATCATAGGAGCAAGAAAACATCATTATGGGTTACCATTTATTGGACATTTTGTGCTACTTGCTGCTAAGTGCTTTATTTAATCCCCACAGCAACCCAATGAATTAGGCATTATCTCCCTTTTTACATACAGCATAAAGAACTGTAACCCAGAAAATTAAAATAATTTGCACAAGGCCACACAGTCAGTGACAGAGCCAGCACTGAAACCCAGATCTGTCCAGTGTTAAAGCCTGTTCTCCTAACGCCAAAATATACTGCCTGTGTAAAAGAAGCAATAAGCGGCCTGGGAGACAAATATGGGGGAAGATTTAAAAAGTGAAGGTGCAGTCCGGGTGTGGTGGCTCACGCCTGTAATCCCAGCACTTTGGGAGGCCGAGGCAGGCAGATCATGTGGTCAGGAGTTTGAGACCAGCCTGGCCAACATAGTGAAACCCTGTCTCTACTAAAAATACAAAAAAATTAGCCAGGTGTGGTGGCAGGTGCCTGTAGTTCCAGCTACTTGGGAGGCTGAGGCAGAAGAATCACTTGAACCCGGGAGGCAGAGGTCGCAGTGAGTCAAGATCGCGCCACTGCACTCCAGCCTGAGTGACAAGAGAGATTCCGTCTAAAAAAAAAAAAAAAAAAAGTGAAGGAGCAGCTGGCTATTTGGCTCATGCCTATAATCCTAGCACTTTGGGAGGCCAAGGCAGAGACTGCTTAAGCCCAAGGGTTCGAGACCAGCCTGAGCAACACAGTGAGACCCCCATCTCTACAAAAAAAAAAAAAAAAAAAAAAAAAAAAGCCAGATATGGTGGCATGTGCCTGTGGTCCCAGCTACTCAGGAGGCTGAGGAGGGGGTATTGCTTGAGCCCAGGAGGTCGAAGCTGCAGTGAGCCATGATTGTACCAGTGCACTCCAGCCTGGGCAATGGAGCGAGACTGTCTCAAAAAAAAAAAAAAAAAGGCTGGGTGCGGTGGCTCATCCCTGTAGTCCCAACACTCTGGGAGACTGAGGTGAGCGGATCACAATGTCAGAAATTCAAGACCAGCCAGGCCAATATGCTGAAACCCCATCTCTACTAAAAATACAAAAATTAGCCGAGCGTGGTGGTGGGCACCTATAGTCCTAGCTACCCAGGAGGCTGAGACAGGAGAATCGCTTGAACCCGGGAGGGGGAGGTTGCAGTGAGCCGAGATTGCACCACTGCACTCCAGCCTGGGTGACAGAGCGAGACTCCGTCTCAAAAAAAAAAAAAAAAAAAAGCGAAGGTGAGATGAAGCTTCAGAAAATAGAGGGCCGGGGAGGACACAGGCAGACAGAAGGAATGAGCGACTCAGTCTCAGGTTTCTGGGTCAGATCCAGGTCACATGTTTTGTCTCCTATAAAACTTACACCATACTTGTCGTTACTTGTTCAGTGCCTGCCTCTTCAACTAGGCTGTGAATTCCACGTCATCTGGTGTGTAAGCACTCATGAGTAGTTATTGACTAAAGATAAGAGGGTTTGGGAAGCAGAGGTGATGGGAGTTGGGGGTTGAATATCGGATATGTAGCACAGACAGAGGAATGGGCATGGGTGGAGAATGATATTTGATTGGATAAGAGGGCTGGCCTAGAGGTCAGCAAGCAACCTCTGGAGGACCTGGGTCACAGAGAAATCTCCTGAGGGAGAACATGGAGGATACCTACTGTGTGCCAAGCACTGGGCTTATACATTATCTTACTTAATTCTTCAAATGAGCCTATGAGATGGGTATTGTCCTAATTTTCAAAAGAGGAAATTTTTTTTTTTTTTTTTTTTTTTGAGATGGAGTCTTGCTCTGCCACCCAGGCTGGAGCGCAATGGCACAATCTCGGCTCGCTGCAACCTCCGCCTTCTGGGTTTAAGCAATTCCCCTGCCTCAGCCTCCCAAGTAGCTGGGATTACAGGGGCCTGCCACCACACCTGGCTAATTTTTGTATTTTCAGTAGAGCCAGCGTTTCACCACATTGGGCAGGCTGGTCTTGAATACCTGACCTCAAGTGATCCACCTGCCTCGGCCTCCCAAAGTGCTGGGATTATAGGCATGAGCCACCACGCCCAGCCTAGAAGAGGAAATTGAGGCCAGTTAAGCTAAATTACTTCCATATGATGACACAAGAATTAAAGAGGTGAAGCCAGAATTTGAACCCACACCTGACTTCAAAGCCTGTGCTCTTATTTTTATACTCTACTGCCTCTTGATCAGTGGGATGTGTAGGGGCAGAGGAAGAAGCTCTGACAGCTAGAAGAAAAATGGGGGATTCAGTAGGAGACTGAAGGATGGAGACAGACTTGGTTGGAGGGAAGGGTATGAGTTTTGCAGTGGAGACAAAGGCACATAGAGTTGAGGTCAGGAAAATATCATGTGGACAGGATGAGTGACCAGTGAGGATGCCAACGGCAAGGTGAGAGCACAGGACAAAGTAATGTATAATGGCATTTACATCAGGGAGCGATGGTGTGTTCAGGGAGTGTATTCAGGGACTCATGGTGTATTCCTACAGCTGTCACTGGCTGTGAAATGGGGGTCTCTCTGGCTTGGGATGTCATTCACATGTAAAGTGGACCCTTTTTATTTTTGAGACGGAGTCTTGCTGTCACCCAGGCTAGAGTTCAATGACATGATCTCAGCTCACTGCAATCTCCGCCTCCTGGGTTCAAGCAATTCTCCTGCCTCAGCCTCCTGAGTAGCTGGGATTACAAGTGCCTGCCACCATGCCAGGCTAATTTTTTGTATTTTTAGTAGAGATGGGGTTTCACCATTTTGGCCATGGTTGGCCAGGCTGGTCTTGAACTCCTGACCTCAGGTGATCCACCTGTCTCAGCCTCCCAAAGTGCTGGGATTACAGGTGTGAGCCACCTCACCCAGCCTGTAAAGTGAACCCTTGTAAGTAAAGTTGTCTATGGCCTTCATATGATGCACATGGTCAATCAGTACTTTTCAGTATTTTTCAGAATTTTGAGTGCCTTTATTTTGACTGCTCTTTCCAGCCCCCTACAAATCCCACCACTCCTTATTTCCTTACAACTGTAACATTACCTGCCTGACCCCTGGAGACATTTAAGTTTGGAATCCTCTCTCTTGGCATAGGTGGGAATTCAGGCCCAGTGGAAAGAGACTTGTCCAAAGTTTCACAATAACTAGCTGACTCAAAACCCAAAATGCAGGCCTCCTCACTCAAGCACTACGGTGTCTGTAGATTAATAGCCACATTCAGAACAATTTGTCCAAATATAAATAAAAGATAAGTGAAAGTGATATCTGAGAGATGGCAAGTGAAATCCAGGAGGTTAAGATTACAGTAGCTGAAAAATAAGCACTTTTGAAACAAATCAAGATTTAGACATGAAAGAATGAGCCCAGTGGTCTAAGTTTGAGCCTTTAGGAAGTAAATTTATTTGTTATACCAAATCAGGATTCTCAACTCTCATTGTCCACCCCTCCCCACCCCTGCCCCCTTACATCAACATAGTAAATCCCACTATGACCACAAGGCGTCACTCTTGTTGTTACTGTTGTTTCATAGATTGTTTCCCAAATAGCGGCAAAGGATTAACGAGAGAGTGGAGAAGTGAGAGTGGAAGTGCTGTCTTAAGTCCCTGACAGATAGCAAGATCCAGGTATGTTTTGGGAAGGAGGTTCAAGGTGGTAGAGGTTCTAGAAGGCTAGGTTAGCAGGCATGTTGAGAATGGAAGAGCAGTGTTTTGGATGCCATCAGAATCTCTCTACATAAAAAGCTTTGCCCATCTGATTTAGTTCCTGCTGGTACTGCTGATGCTCCTTTTCAAACAGCTGGTGCAGGGCAGCTTGACGGACCTGGTGGAGAGGGCAGAATAGAGTGTGTTGTTTGCCTCTGTTTACCACCCTTTCTTATTCTTTCTTCCTAGTTGTTTTCCCATTATTTGTGTTCTCTTGGAGCTGGACTTAGCTGTGACATAAAGCTGGGTGGTAGCAGAGAGGCTGAACCAGCAGAGGGAAGCCTATCCAATTTTTTTCTCCACAGGCAAAGCCCTATGTTCAGCAAATATTTGCTGAGAACAGACCATGAAACAGGAACTCTACTAAGTAACTGGGATACAAAGATGGTTACATGGCACCAAGTGGGGACCCCGGGAGAGAGAGAGGTACCGAGAGGCAAGTGATACGCACTAAGAGGCAGTTTTTTTTGTTTTTTGTTTTTTTGAGACCAAGTCTTACGTTGTAGCCCAGGCTGGAGTGCAGTGGCACAATTTCAGCTCACTGCAACCTCTGCCCTCGTTTCAAGTGATTCTCGTGCCTCGGCCTCCCAAGTAGCTGGGATTATAGGCAAGTGCCACCATGCCCGGCCAATTTTTGTGTTTTTAGTAGAGAGGTGGTTTTGGCATGTTGGTCAAGCTGGTCTTGAACTCCTGGGCTCAAGCGATCTGCCCGTCTTGGCCCCCCAAAGTGCTGGGATTACAGGCCTGAGCCACCACACCCGATCTAAGAGGCAGTTTTGAGTCTCACCAAGATGAAAGGAGCAGGAACTAGAGTATACTTTGGGACTTTAACATGTGCCTGCCGCCTGTAAGGTGGATGCAAAGAATCACTTAATGAAAAAGAGTTTTGGCAATGGAGTTAGAGTTGTGTTGCTCTGGTGTAATGCTGAAAACCTAGAGGCAAACAAGATAAATGTGCAATGACACACACTAAGAGCTTGGAAAACTCAATGGGCAAAGGCACACAGCAGTAGTGAATGAGACTTCAGGTTGCCCTGCTAGAACTCACCATTAGTAGTTGCTTTTTGGCCAGTGCCAATTCCTGTACCATGGTGTCCTGCATCCTTAGGGTGGCATACGGGTTTCTTCTCTGGCCCAATGCCATTTGCCACAGACAGTGAGTATGTGAATTTCGCCACCTGCTCCAGGTACAGAGGTGGGGGTTGAATGGGTGGGTTAGAGTTAGGAGTAGAGACAAAAAACCCATAGAGTGAGGCTGTTTCTTTTTTCTTTTTCTTTTCTTTTTTTTTGAGACAGAGTTTCACTCTTGTTGCCCAGGCTGGTGTACAGTGGTGCAATCTTGGCTCACTGCAACCTCTGCCTCCCAGGTTCAAGTGATTCTCCTGCCTTAGCTTCCCAAGTAGCTGGGATTACAGGTGCCTGGCACCATGCCCAGCTAATTTTTTGTATTTTTAGTAGAGATAGGGTTTCACCATATTGGTCAGGCTGGTCTCGAACTCCTGACCTCAGGTGATCCACCTGCCTCGGCTTCCCAGAGTGCTGGGATTATAGGTGTGAGCCACCACGCCTGGCCCAAGACTGTTTCTTCACCTGGAACCTCTGCCCCACTGTTAGAAGACTGTAAAATCCTTAAAAGGGTAATTTAGAACCTAGTATGTATTAAGTACATAATATCATTTAATCATTACAGTAACTATGTGGCATAGGTGTTATTTTATTTATTTATTTATTTATTTTGAGACAGAGTTTTGCTCTTGTTGCCCAGGCTAGAGTGCAATGGTGTGATCTCGGCTCACTGCAACCTCCACTTCCCGGGTTCAAGTGATTCTCCTGCCTCAGCCTCTTGAGTAGCTGGGATTACAGGCATGCGCCACCGCGCCTGGCCCATAGGCATTAATTTTTACATGATACAGGTAAGGAAACTAAAAGTTGTGAGATGCCCAAGGTCACTTAATGGCAGACCTGGGACTCAAATCCAGCTTTTTTTTTTTTTTTTAGACAGAGTCTCACTCTGTCACCCAGGCTGGAGTGCAGTGAGGCAATCTTGGCTCACTGCAATCTCTGCCTCCAGGGTTCAAGTGATCCTCCTGCCTCAGCCTCCTGAGTCGCTGGGACTACAGGCATGTGCCACCACACCTGGCTAATTTTTGTATTTTTAGTAGAGACGAGGTTTCACCGTGTTGGCCACGCTGGTGTCGAACTCCTGACCTCAGGTGATCCGCCTGACTCAGCATCCCAAAGTGCTGGGATTACAGGTATGAGCCACCGCGCCTGGCCCCAAATCCAATTTCTCTAAAGTTAATATCCCTTCCCTCATACTAGTGATTCTCAGCCCTGGCTAGACTGGAATCTTCATTGAAGTTTTAATTTTTTTTTTTGAGAAATAGTCTCGCTCAGTCGCCCAGGCCAGAGTGCAATGGCCCGATCTTGGCTCACTGCAACCTCTGCCTCCCAGGTTCAAGCAATTCTCATGCCTCATCCTCCTGAGTAGCTGGGATTACAGGCGCCCACCACCACGCCCAGGTAATTTTTTTTTTTTTTTTGGAGACAGAGTCTCACTGTGTCAGCCAGGCTGGAGTGCAGTGGCGCAATCTGGGTTCATTACAGCCTCTGTCTCCTGGGCTCAAGCAATTCTCCTGCCTCAGACTCCTGAGTAGCTGGGATTATTGGTGCATGCCACCACGCCCAGCTAATTTTCATATTTTTAGTAGAGACAGAGGTTTCACCATGTTGGCCAGGCTGGTCTTGAACTCCTGACCTCATGTAATCCACCTGTCTCAGTCTCCCAAAGTGCTGGGATTACAGGCGTAAGCCACCATGCCTGGCTGCTAATTTTTAAATTTTTAGTAGAGGTGGGGTTTTGCCATGTTGGCCAGGCTGGTCTCGAACTCCAGACCTCAAGTGATCAGCCTGCCTCAGCCTCCCAAAGTGCTGGGATTACAGGAGTGAGCCACCATGCCAGGCCAGTTTTAAGTTTTTTAATATATAGAAAGAATATAAATATACATCATGCATGTACATATATCTACTGTTGGCATTTTTAAAAAATCAAAAGTACATTTTCCACATGTTGAAAAAATTGAATCTACACAGAAATACATTAAGTGAGGCCGGCCGCGGTGACTCATGCCTGTAATCCCAGCACTTTGGGAGGCCCAGGCGGGCAGATCACGAGGTCAGGAGATCGAGACCATCCTCACTAACACGGTGAAACCCCGTCTCTACTAAAAATATAAAAAAATTAGCTGGGCGCAGTGGCGGGTGCCTGTAGTCCCAGCTACTCGGGAGGCTGAGGCAGAAGAATGGCGTGAACCCAGGAGACAGAGCTTGCAGTGAGCCAAGATGGTGCCACTGCACTCCAGCCTGGGCGACAGAGCAAGACTCCGTCCCAAGGAAAAAAAAAATACATTAAGTGAAAAGTAAAAACTTTCTGGGTGCAATGGCTCATGCCTGTAATCCCAGCACTTCGGGAGGCTGAGGCGGGCAGATCACTTGAGGCCAGGAGTTCAAGACCAGTCTGGCCAACATGGTGAAACCCCATCTCTACTAAAAATACAAAAATTAGCCGAGCGTGGTGCCACACACCTGTAATCCCAGCTCCCCAGGAGGCTGGGGCACGAGAATCACTTGAACCCAGGAGGTGGAGGCTGCAGTGAGCCGAGATTGCACCACTGCACTCTAGCCTGGGTGGTGGAGTAAGACTCTGTCTTAGAGAGACTCTGCCTCAAAAAAAAAAAAAAGTTGTTATCTCTGACTGGGCAAATATATATATATATATATATATATATATATATATATATATATATATATATATATATATATATACTTTGTTGGGAATGACTGTAGTTTTTACTTTTTTTTTTTTCTGAGTCAGAGTCCTGCTCTGTTGCCCAGGCTGGAGTGCAGTGGTGCGATCTCTGGTTACTGCAACCTCTGCCTCCCAGGTTCAAGCAATTCTTCTGCCTCAGCCTCCTGGGTAGCTGGGATTATAGGCGTGTGCCACCACGCCCAGGTAACTTTTGCATATATATTTTTTTGAGACAGGGTCTCATTCTGTTGCCTAGGCTGGAGTGCAGTGTGTGATTATGGATCACTACAATGTCAACCTCTTAGGCTCAAGCAATCCTTCTACCTCAGCTGTCTAAATAGCCAGGACAACAGGTGTGTGCCTGGCTAATTTTTATTTTTTTGTAGAGACGGAGTCTCACTGTTACCCAGGCTGGTCTCAAACTCCTGCACTCAAGTGATCCTCTGCCTTGGTCTCCCAAAGTGCTGGGATTACAAGTATGAGCCACCACACCCAGCTACTTGTGAATGTTTTCAGAAAATGTTTCTATCATAAACTGGGAAGTACATCTTCTTTTTTAAAAAACATGTAATCAGGCCGGGCGTGGTGGCTCACGCCTATAATTCCAGCACTTTGGGAGGCCAAGGCAGGCCGATTACTTGAGGTCAGGGGTTTGAGAACAGCCTGGCCAACATGGCGAAACCCCAACGTGGTGAAACTCCGACTCTACTGAAAATACAAAAATTAGCCAGGTGTGGTGGCGGGCACCTGTAATCCCAACTACTCAGGAGGCTGAGGCAGGAGAATTGCTTAGACCCAGGAGGCGGAGGTTGCAGCGAGCTGAGATCGTGCTACTGCACTCCAGCATGGGCAACAAGAGCGAAACTCCATCTCAATAAATAAATAAATAAATAAATAAATAAAAGCAATAGTCATGAACATTCTTGTGTATGTACCTTCTAGTGCTTTTCCAAGTATGTATATTTAAGATAAATTCCTATTTTTGCCAGTTCAATGGATATGTAAATTTAAATTTTGATAGATTTTATCAAACTGCCTTTGTAAACATGGCTGTATCAACCTAGACTCCTATTAAAATCATATATGTTCTTGTTTCTTCACATCCTTGCTAGCTCTGGATATAACCCGTGAAACCTTAAAAAAAGGCTTCTCCTATCCCATTTCAGACCACTTTTATCAGAATCTCCTAGGGTTAAGAACTAGGCATCAGTGCTTATTTATTTATTTAAATTAAGTTTTTTGGTAGAGATGGGGGTCTTGCCATGTTGCCCAGGCTGGTCTCGAACTCCTGAGCTCAAGCAATCCACCTGCCTTGCCCTCCCAAAGTGCTGGGATTACAGACATGAGCCAATGTGCCCAGCTCATTTTGTTTTGTTTTGAGACAGGGTTTTCCTCTCTCACCCAGGCTAGAATGCAGTGGTGGCATCACTTGACCTGAGCTCAACTGATCCTCCTGCTTCAGTCTCCTGAGTGGCTGAGACTACAGGCATGCACCACCACACCTAGCTAATTTTAATTTTTTTGGTAGAGACAGGGTTTTCCTATGTTGCCCAGGCTGGTCTCGAGCTCCTGGGCTCAAGCAATCCCCCTGCCTCGGCCTCCCAAGGTGCTGGGATTATAGGTGTGAACCACCATGCCAGGCTTGCATCAGTGTTTTTTTTTTTTTTTTTGTAGAGACGGAGTCTTGCTCTGTCACCCAGGCTGGAGTGCTGGAGTGCAGTGGTGCGATCTTGGCTCACTGCACCCTCCGCATCCTAAGTTCAAGCAATTCTCCTGCCTCAGCCTCCCGAGTAGCTGGGACTACAGGCGCACACTACCATGCCTGGCTAACTTCTTTTGTATTTTAGTAGAGACAGGGTTTCACCATGTTGCCTAGGCTGGTCTTGAACTCCTGAGCTCAGGCAATCCTCCTGCCTCAGCCTCCCAAAGTGCTAGGATTACAGGCGTGAGCCACCGCGCCCGGCTGCATCAGTTTTTTCAAAAGTTCATCAGGGTGAAAAGGATACGTAGCCCAGTCTTGTGAATCTTCTCATTCACTGGTTCAACAAATACTGCACTACCAACCACATAATTAGTACAAAGCCAGGCAACAAATACTTGAATTCTTGATAAAAAAAGAAAATAAAAACATGCTTCAATTTTTCTCCAGAGAATGAGGCAGGGGACAATAAAAACCAATCTATATCACCTAACCTAGTAGGCACTAAGAGGCTGATCTCATTTGCTTTGAGGACAAGGCTGCTTCTCACCCCTTCCGCATCTGTTTTCCTCTTGATGAGCCCCTAAAGAGATGCAGCAGAGTTGGGAGGTGGCTCAGGGAAGACAGCAGAGTGGAAAGGTCAAGCTCAAAGGTAAAGGGAGGGGATAGAAGCAGATTACCTGTCGACCGTCTTCTTAAGTCCCATGGCCTTTTGAAAACTCTGCAAGAAAAGGTAGTTCTGTTGATCTGCCTCAGTCTCCAGAACCTCTATTCTAATGAGAGACATAGACCTTTTTTTTTTTTGAGACAGAGTTTTGCTCTTGTTGCCCAGGCCAGAGTGCAGTGGCGTGATCTCGGCTCACCGCAATCTCCGCCTCCCGGGTTCAAGCGATTCTCCTGCCTCAGCCTCCGAGTAGCTGAGATTATAGGAATGCACCACCATGCCGGGCTAATTTTGTATTTTTAGTAGAGATGGGGTTTCTCCATGTTGGTCAGGCTAGTCTCGAACTCCTGACCTCAGGTGATCCGCCCACCTCAGCCTCCCAAAGTGATAGGATTACAGGCGTGAGTCACCGCACCCAGCCACATAGACCTTTTTGAGAAAGCAATTTCCTGGGGGGAAATAGGGAGAGGAAAGCTCTACTTTCAGAATGGATCAAAGAAAACACGCAGGGGTTGGATAGAACACATATTTGAATACCTACTGTGTACTAGACACAGCCTCCCACTCCTGTTACTAACTACATTATACCCTTGTTACATCAAAAGCCTTTCCCAGTAAAAGATGCACTTATAGTAAATTGATCTGGAAACTTCATCAAACTTCAACCCAGCCCCTCCTTCCAACTCTGCATACCTCTTCTACTTTTGTCATCTTTTCCACAGACATGTCTATAGATTTGCTTGATACAGTCTGAGGAGACTGACAGGCTCCTCTGTTTAGTTCAGTAACCAAGGTTTCAGTAGTCATAGTAACATTTACACCTCCAACAATAACCCTGGGCCTAGGAGTTGATTGGCCACCTGGCCTGTTGCCCCAGAAACCTTGAGAGAATCCTTGTTCTGCAGCCTTCTGTTGGTGACACAGGCATCTATGAGCAAGGGCCACAGTCCTGATTTTAGGATTTCTTGTGCTAGGGTCCCAAGGAGTATGTGTATGGTCGTAGGTCCAGGGTATGCACACAGTCCCACCAATTCTCTGGAGGCAAATCCTCATGCCCTATACCCTGTTAGAAATGTGCAGATAACATTATCAAATGCCTGTTTTATTAAAAGACAACTATAAAGGACTGATTCATACGTTTTATTTGATAATAGTTCATTTTATTAAATAATTTATAAAGTCAGACCAGTGCATTGGGCTTGTTAGGGGAAACCATTCCTTCCTACTGTCACATAGCCTGGCAGATTATATCAGGTGCCAAAACATTCCCTTTTATTCAATTTATTAATGAGAGTGTGGAATTAAAGTAGATCCTTGCATGTCAGGAAAGCTGCAACACATCTGGTTTAAGTGGAGCACAAAGGTAAGTTATTCCACATTCACCAACTTCCCCACTTGACCTCCCACCAGTTCCTGTCTGCTTTTTCCATCAATCAACTCTAAGATGCCCTAAACCCAAACAGTTCCCATTCAACTGTGCACAAAGGTATAGATATGGAAGACATCTCACTCCAACTCTCACCTTTGGAATTAAATAAACCTGGAACAGGGAAGGTGAACTATGGCTGAAACCAAGTGAAGATTTTTAAGAAGCTTTGACAGAAACATTAAGAATAACACCTGAATGCAAATCCAGAAAAAAGCGCTACTGGGGGAAAATAGTCTTAGCCAATGTTCTAAAAATGCTCATAAGGAAGGGTTGGGGAATTACCCTTTAGACACAAGCTCTAAGAACTCTGGATACAACGGGAACTTGGATGGATACAGTCTGGGCCTGCTGGGCCAGATGTTCCGAGGGCGGCCCGGCAAGCAGCCTGTCTTGCACATTGCAACTGACTGGCTTAATCTACGGCAAGAGTCCTTCAGCTCCGTCACAGAGTACTCTCCAATGTGTTATAGTTATCCTTAAAGCTCTTCAATTCAAGGAAGTGCTTGGCACGTTTACTCTTCTGACTGGAGGGGAGGTATGTCACCTGGATGGTTGTTGGGGAGACCTCAGGGGACTGAGTTAGGTCTTTGGCTGCTGACTGGTGATGTCGCTGAGAGCTCCCAATTCGTGCTTTAACCCTGAAGAACAGAGAGGGGAGGTCATTGACAGAATGAGGACTAATCAAAGAAATCAGGGCTTATCCCAGGCCATAAATGCAGCAATAGTCACAAATAGTTATTTGTGTCCTATCTGTCCTATTTTGTAAACTAGTTACTAAAACCCCATCTAGTAGCTTAGAAATACAAGAGGCTGAGCGCGGTGGCTCACGCCTGTAATCCCAGCACTTTGGGAGGCCCAGGCAGGTGGATTGTTTGAGGTCAGGAGTTCGAGACCAGCCTGGCCAACATGGTGAAACCCTGTCTCTACTAAAAATACAAAAATTAGCTGGGAGTGGTGGCGGGTGCCTGTAATCCCAGCTACTCGGGAGGCTGAGGCAAGAGAATCACTTGAACCCAGGAGGCAGAGGTTGCAAGCCAAGATTGCGCCACTGCACTTCAGCCTGGGTGACAGAGCAAGACTCCATCTCAAAAAAAAAAAAAGTAGCAGAGAGGCTGGGCATGGTCACTTATACCTGTAATCCCAGCACTTCAGGAGGCAGAGGCCAGAGATCGCTTGAGCCCAGGGGAGTTTGAGACCAGTCTGGGAAACAAAGTGAGACCCTATCTCTGCAAAAAATTAGCCAGGTATGGTGGCAAGCACCTGTAGTCCTGGTTCCTCAGGAGGCTGAGGCAGGAGGATCGCTTGAACCCAGAATTCGAGGCTGCAGTGAGCCATGAATGTGCCACTGCACTCCAGTCTGGGCGACAGACTGAGACCCTGTCTCTCTCTCTCACACACACCCTAAAAAAGTAGCAGCACTCCAGCCTGGGTGACAGAATAAAGGCCCTGTTTGGGTACCCTGACACACACCTACTCATACCAAAAACAACTAGCAGCAGAGAAACCAATTTCCCAGAGTTCTTGCCTCTGGCTCAAGCTTTTTTTTCAGAGACAGGTATCCCCAATATAGGTATCACCTTGTTTTGCAGATTAGGAAACTAAGGGTCCAATAATTAGCTTGTATGAGGTCACAAAACTAGTTAAGTGACAGACCTGGGATTCAAACCTAAGTTTGTCAGATTTCAAAGCCTATACTCTTCACTAAACCCAATGAACATTCCTAGAAACTACAAATCAAACATAATTTTTTGTTTTTGAGATGGAGTCTTTTTCTCTGTTGCTCAGGCTGGAGTGCAGTGGCACAATCTTGGCTCACTGCAACCTCTGCCTCCTAGGTTGAAGCGACCTGTCTCGGCCTCCCGAGTAGCTGGGGATTGCAGGTGCATACCACAATGCCCAGCCAATTTTTCTATTTTTAGTAGAGACAGGGTTTCACCATGTTGGCCAGGCTGGTCTTGAACTCCTGACCTCAGGTGATCCACCCGCCTCAGCCTCCCAAAGTGCTGGGATTACAGCCGTGAGCCACCATGCCTGGCCTTCAGAAATAATTTTTAAAAAGATTGTGGTAAAATACATGTAACATAAAATTTACCATCTTAAGAATTTTTAAATGTATGGTTCAGTAGTGTTAAGTATATTCACAGTGTTGTGCAACCAACCTCCACATTTTCATCTTGCAAAACTGAAACTATACCCAGTGAACAACTCCCTATTTCCCCCACTCTCCAGCCCCTGCAACCATCATTCTACTTTCTGTCTCTGAGTTTGACTACCTAGGTATCTCATATAACTGGAATCATCTAGTATTTATCTTTCAAAGAAAGTGAATTTTGAACAGGCTTCTGCTGACTTCTAGACCAAATGCCCTTTTCCAGCCTTTCTACATGTTCATTTTCATCAGTGCTCTAAGCAGTTTTTTTTTTTTTTTTTTTTGAGACAGTGTCTCACTCTGTTGCCCAGGTTAGAGGGCAGTGGCATGATCTTGGCTCACTGCAACCTCTGCCTCCCAGGCACAAGTGGTACACGCACCTCAGCTCCTGAGTAGCTGGGACTACAGGTAGGTGGTCGCCACCACTCCCAGCTAATTTTTTTTCGAGATGGAGTCTTGCTCTGTTGCCCAGGCTGGAGTGCAGTGGCGCGATCTTGGCTCACTGCAAGCTCCGCCTCCTGGGTTCATGCCATTCTCCTGCCCCAGCCTCCCACGTAGCTGGGACTACAGGCACCCGCCACCACGCCCGGCTAATTTTTTTTTTTTTGTATTTTTAGTAGAGACTGGTTTTCACGTTAGCCAGGATGTTCCCGCTCTCCTGATTTCATGAACCGCCCGCCTCGGCCTCTCCAAGTGTTGGGATTACAGGCGTGAGCCACCACACCTGGCCTAATTTTTTTATTTTTAGTAGAGACAGGGTTACACTATGATGCCCAGGTTGGTCTCAATCTCCTGGGCTCAAGTAATCCACCCATCTCAGCCTCCCAAAGTGTTGGGATTACAAGTACGAACCACTGCAGCTGGCCTTCTAAGCAGTTTTTACTAGGACCTTTCATCTTTTCGAGACAGACTCTTGCTCTGTCACCCACGCTGGAGTGGCACAATCTCGGCTCACTGCAACCTCTGCTTCCTGGGTTCAAGCAATTCTCCTGCCTCAGCCTCTGGAATAGCTGGGATTACAGGCATGTGCCACCACACCAGGCTAATTTTTATATTTTTAGTAGAGATGAGGTTTTGTCATGTTGGCCAGGCTGGTCTCCAACTCCTGGCCTCAAGTGATCCGCCCACCTTGGCCTCCCAAAGTGCTGGGATTATAGACGTGAGCCACTGCTCCAGGCCTTGGCCCTTTCATCTTTTAAGACAACGTAGCTCATTTTTAGGGACAGAGAGAAGACAGGAGAGACATACCCCTTAAGCTCTTGAAAAAGAGCAATATTCAACATAGCAGAAAACAGATTATTTTTATGGCTGGTAACTAACTGTTTATTATTATTTTGAGATGGAGTCTCGCTCTGTCGCCTAGGCTGGAGTGGAATGGCACGATCTTGGCTCACTGCAACCTCCACCTCCCAGGTTCAAGCGATTCTCCTGCCTCACCTTCCTGAGTGGCTGGCATTACAGGTGCGCACATCATCATGCCCGGCTAATTTTTGTATTTTTGTAGAGATGGGGTTTCACCATGTTGGTTAAGCTGGTCTTGAACTCCTGACCTTAGATGATCCACCTGCCTCGGCCTCCCAGTGTTGGGATTACAGGTGTGAGCCACTGCGCCCGGCCTAAGTTTTTACTCTAGATTGGCTTTCCTTTCTCGCCAAGAACTTTGATTTTAACATTTGCATGAAAATACGAGACTATGTTTAGTGTGTATTAAAAACATTCCCAAACAAAAGCCATGAATCCTCTCCTGTGACACAAATGCTCAACAGCTGACTCTATAGCGATGGCCTTTGTTTCAGACATGGTTACTAATACTTTAAGTGGTAGTAAAAATAGATTTTTTTAATTTTTAATTTTTATTTTTTTTTTGAGACAGTCATGCTCTTGTCACCCCAGCTGAAGTGCAATGGCATGATATCGGCTCATTGCAACCTCCACCTCCCGGGTTCAAGTGATTTCTGCCTCAGCCTCCCGAGTAGCTGGTATTACAGGAGCCCGCCAGCATGCCCAGCTAATTTTTGTATTTTCAGTAAAGACGAGGTTTCACCATGTTGGCCAGGCTGGTCTTGAACTCCTGACCTTGTGATCCACCCTCCTCGGCCTCCCAAAGTGCTGGGATTATAGGCGTGAGCCACCGCGCCCGGCCAAAAATAGATGTTATTTAATTCTTTTTTTTTTTTTTTTTTTTTTTTTTTTTTTGAGATGGAGTCTTGCTCTGTCACCAGGCTGGAGTGCAGTGGCGTGATCTCAGCTCACTGCAACCTCTGCCTCCTGGGGTCAAGCGATTCTCCTGCCTCAGCCACCCGAGTAGCTGAGATTACAGGCACGCACCACCATGCCCAGCTAATTTTTGTATTTTTAGTAGAGACAGGGTTTCACCTTGTTGGCTAGGATGGTCTTGATCTCTTGACCTCATGATTCGCCTGCCTCGGCCTCCCAAAGTGCTGGGATTACAGGCGTGAGCCACCGCGCCCGGCCCAATGTTATTTAATTCTTACTTTTATTGGGCCAAGACACAAAAGGGACGCTGAGACTCTGAAGAGAAGGAATCCCTGTGTGTGCTGAAAAACTATTCCCTTTGCTAGGCTACACCAATTTTGACATTTTATTGGGCTAAACAAAAGACAAGAAAAATGCACACAAGAAAAATGCTAGTAAAAACTTCTTTTACTAGCTTGTATAGTTGCATCTGCTTTCTTTTCTTCTTTTTTTTTTTTGAGACAGAGTTTCACTTTTGTTGCCCAGGCTGGAGTATAATGGCACGATCTTGGCTCACCGCAACCTCCGCCTCCCGGGTTCAAGAGATTCTCCTGCCTCAGCCTCCCCAGAAGCTAGGATTACAGGCATGCGCCACCACGCCCGGCTAATTTTGTATTTTTAGTAGAGAACGGGGTTTCTCCATGTTGGTCAGGCTGGTCTCGGATTCCCAACCTCAGATGATCCTCCCGCCTCGGCCTCCCAAAGTGCTGGGATTATAGGCGTGAACCACTGTGCCCGGCCGCATCTGCTTTCTAATGTAAGAGACTGATCTAATAGTCTAGAACCTGACAACTCTTATGGTATCATGGATTTTGTTTATATGCTTTATGAAGGTCACTGCACTGTGGCAACAGTCCAACACTACTGTACCAGCTCCCTCTGACACGTTCCCCTCCAAACTCACGCAGTGGCCAGCTCACTCAGGGCCTCCTGATAGCGTAGGTACTCATTCTGGCCAAAGACCTTAGGAAAGAGAAAGGAAGAGTGAGGATCTCTCAGTCTGAGGGATCTCTTTAGTGCCCCGAAGAAAAAACTGGCTTACCCCTGTCCCATAGCGGGCTGTTTCATAGCCATCCAAAAGGGTATCAATGAGTGCTTTGCGTACACCCTTGAAAGGCGTACTAGTGTTTCGCAGATCCAGCAGGTAGGAGCGGAAATTCTTGCCCATTAAGGAACGGGGATGCCGGCCTTCAGAATGAAATGGGATCTCTGTGGAGAAAACAGCACAATGATATCTCTTCTCATTCTTTAGTCTTTTTTTTTGAGATGGAGTCTCGCTCTGTCACCCGGGCTGGAGTGCAGTGGCAGTGATCTTGGCTCACTGCAACCTCCACCTCCTAGGTTTGAGCAATTCTCTAGTCTCAGCCTCCTGATTAGCTGGGATTACAGATGTGCACCACCATGCCAGGCTTATTTTTGTATTTTTAGTAGAGACAAAAATACAAAAGGGTTTCACCTTGTTGGCTAGGTTGGTCTTGAACTCCTGGCCTCCTGTGATCTGTCTGCCTCGCCCTCCCAAAGCGTTGGGATTACAGGCATGAGCCACTGCGCCTGCCCCATTCTTTAGTCTTTCTAGTTAATTCCCCAAACTTAGAAGTAGGTCTAATGAAGCTGGGCGCAGTGGCTCACGCCTGTAATTACAGCAATTTGGGAGGCCGGGGCAGGCAGATCACCTGAGGTCAGGAGTTTGAGACCAGCCTGGCCAACATGGTGAAAACCTGTCCCTACTAAAAATACAAAAATTAACCAGGCATGGTGGTAGGTACCTGTAATCCCAGCTACTCGGGAGGCTGAGGCAGGAGAACCGCTTGAACCCAGGAGGTGGAGGTTGTGGTGAGCCAAGATCGTGCTACTGCACTCCAGCCTGGGCAACAGAGCAAGACTCCGTCTCAAAAATAAAAAGAAATAGGTCTAATGAAATGAGCAAGTTGAGTTAGAGGGAGATTCTGATTGAGACCAAAGGTATAAAGCTGTGCCTGAGTGGTCATTTGGTGGTAACACCACAGTTGTAAGCTACATCTATGACACATGATAGTGTCATCACACATTTTACCATCCTGCTTACTCATCCATCCTAGGTTTAAGATATAAACTGTTTTCATAGAGATAAAGCATATATGACAAGTGTTGACAGAATGGAAAAAATTCAAGAACAATCTATCTTGGGCTTAGTGAAAAAGCAGGTGCCACCTGTCCTTTGTGGAAAAACAAGCAAATTACTATCATCTACTTCATGAAACTAAAGGTCTCAAGAGAAGAACTTTAAAAAACAAAACACCCAGACTCTTTGGAGAATAACCTGCTTATATCATTTCCTTCAGCAAAATCTCTAATCTAGTACTTTCAAAACTCTAGAATTTCCTACTAGCCAGGGATGTGCAGAAAGGACAAATCCTAACATACAAAGTGGGTTCATTACTCTGTTCCCTAGGTGGGCTTTCAGGATCCTAGAATGGACCCTGTCAGGTAGCCCTTACCAGAGGTACGAATGGCATCCAGAGCTTTCATCCTATACAGATAGTTGTAGCAACCTGTTGAGGAAAAGACTGGTGTTAGGCATAACCCTAAAAATATTCCCCAGGCTGGGCGTGGTGGCTCATGCCTGTAATCCCAACACTTTGGGAGGCTGAGGTGGGTGGATCACCTGAGGTCAGGAGTTTGAGACCAGCCTGACCAACATGGAGAAACCCCGTCTCTAGTAAAAACACAAAATTAGCCAGGCGTGGTGGCGCATGCCTGTAATCCCAGCTACTCAGGAGGCTGAGGTAGAAGAATTGCTTGAACAAGGGGGTGGAGGTTGCAGTGAGCTGAGACTGCACCATTGCACTCCAGCCTGGGCAACAAGAGTGAAACTCCATCTCAAAAAAGAAAAAAAAAATTCCCCAAACTCCAGCAAGCTAATAAATGGGCTCTGCATCTAACATATATCCAATAACAGGAATAACTAAGGCTTTGCCAGCAGCTTTTGACAACTCTGAGAGAAAAGGAATTCTGGACTTGTGGGACTCCTCACTGAAGCATTCCAAGAGCTTGCCACATACTTTGATTTCCCTGGGTTTCCAGTTGTAGTAGTCTAGCATCATCATCTGCAAGGAGCTGGGGCTCATACTTGATATCCTGAACCCTGGAGAGTCGAATATCAATCTCCTCTTTCAAGTCCTGTTCACATAAAAAAAGAATACACAATCATTTACCCTGCACTCTGCTTTCCACCAATGTGAAAATGGGGCAGAGTTAATGAATAACTAAGACAACAGAAATAGAGACCATGCTCATGTAGTTAATAAAATTACCAGATAAGAGGTAAGAATTTAGGAAAGAACGGGATTGGGTTTTCCAATAACCTCTCCAAGCTGCACATCTCTAAGCTAGAACATTTAACTTGTGCCAGAAATCCTTCAAGCTATACAGCACCAACATTATTTCCAATTTTTTTTTTTTTTTTTTGAGACAGAGTCTTGCTCTATCACCCAGGCTGGAGTGCAGTGGCGCAATCTCAGTTCACTGCAACCTCCGCCTCCCAGGTTCAAGCAATTCTCCTGCCTCAGCCTCCAGAGTAGCTGGGATTATAGGCGCGTACGACCATGTCTGGCTAATTTTTCTATTCTTAGTAGAGATGGGGTTTCACCATGTTGGCCAGGCTGGTCTCAAACTCCTGACCTCAAGTGATCCGCCTGCCTTGGCCTCCCAAAGTGCTGGGATTACAGGTGTGAGCTACTGCGCCCAGCCTCTCTTGCCTCAGCCTTCTGAGCAGCTAGGATTACAGGTATGCACCTAGCTAGAGGCTACTTTAAAAAAAAATTAACACATATTTCTTTTAAAATAGCCAAGTCAAATTCATGGTATACAAATTTTAAAGATAGTAAAGGGGCCGGGTGCTGTGGCTCACGCCTGTAATCCCAACACTTTGGGAGGCCGAGGTGGGTGGATCACAAGGTCAGGAGATCGAGACCATCCTGGCTAACACGGTGAAACCCTGTCTCTACTAAAAATACAAAAAATTAGCCGGGCGTTGTGGCGGGGTCCTGTAGTCCCAGCTACTCGGGAGGCCGAGGCAGGAGAATGGCGTGAACCCGGGAGGCAGAGCTTGCAGTGAGCCGAGATTGCGCCACTGCACTCCAGCCTGCGTGACAGAGTGAGACGTCTCCAAAAAAAAAAAAAAAGATACTAAAGGTAGCACCTCTCAGTTACCCAGCAGCAACTACTATTTTCAGTTTCATATTAATCTCTCTTACCTAAGAGGGTTACCAGAGCCCCAGGAAATAAATTTTTTGTTGTAACTTTTTACAAACTCCCATTGTGAAACATAAGATACACAAAATACAGGTAACATAGATGTACATTTTAAATAATTATAAAAAGCATAATAATGAACACCTATAACCAATATCCAGTTTATGCAATGGAACATTACCACTAACTTTCTTTTTTTTTTTTTTTGAGACGGAGTCTCGCTCTGTCGCCCAGGCTGGAGTGCAGTGGCGCAATCTCAGCTCACTGCAAGCTCCGCCTCCCGGGTTCACGCCATTCTCCTGCCTCAGCCTCCCGAGTAGCTGGGACTACAGGCGCCCGCCACCACGCCTGGCTAATTTTTTGTATTTTTAGTAGAGACGGGGTTTCACCTTGTTAGCCAGGTTGGTCTCGATCTGCTGACCTCATGATCCACCCGCCTCGGCCTCCCAAAGTGCTGGGATTACAGGCGTGAGCCACCGCGCCCGGCCCTACCACTAACTTTCAAGTCTTGTGTGCCCATCCCTCATTGAATGCTCCGCACCCCAAACCTTAACTTGTCAATAGTCCTCATACACTTCTTCACTGTTTTATCGTGTCACCCTAAAAAAGATGCTTAGCTTTGCCTGGTTTTCAACTTGATACAAATGGAAAAATACTTTAAGAATCCCTCTGCAACTTGTTTAAAAAAAAAATTTTTTTTTTTTGAGACAGGGTCACACTCTGTCACCCAGGCTGGAGTGCAATGGCACAATCTCAGCTCACTATAACCTCCACCTCCTGAGCTCAGATGATCCTCCTGCCTTAGCCTCCTGAGTAGCTGGGGTTACAGGCACACACCACCATGCATGGCTAATTATTAAACATTTTTTTTTTTTGAGATGGAGTCTTGCTCTGTCACCCAGACTGGAGTACAGTGGCATGATCTTGGCTCATTGCAACCTCTGCCTGCTGGGTTCAAGCAATTCTCCTTGCCCTCCTGCCTCAGCCTCCCAAGTAGCTGGGACTACAGGCGCATGCCACCATGCCCAGCTAATTTTTTGTATTTTTCGTAGAGATGGGGTCTCACCATGCTCGCCAGGCTGGTCTCAAACTCCTGACCTTGTGATCTTCTCATGTGGGCCTCCCAAAGTGCTGGGATTACAGGCGTGAACCACCGCGCCTGGCCCATTTTTAAACTTTTTATAGAGACAGGGTTTCCCCATATTGCCTACGCTGGTCTCGAACTCCTGAGCTGACGTGATCAGCCTGCCTCGGCCTCCCAAAGTGCTAGGATTACAGGTGTAAACCACCTCGCCTGGCCTTAAATTTTTTTTTTTTTTGATACAGAGACTCACTCTGTCACCCAGGCTGGAGTGCAATGGTGTGATCTCTGCTCACTGCAACCTCCGCCGGGGCTCAAGTGATTCTCCTGCCTCAGCCTCCTGAGTAGCTGGGATTACAGGCACACACCGCCACGCCCAGCTAATTTTTTTGCATTTTTAGTACAGTCGGGGTTTCACCGTGTTGGCCAGGCTGGTCTTGAACTCCTGACCTCAGGTGATCCACCTGCCTCAGCCTCCCAAAGTGCTGGGATTACAGGCGTTAGCCACCGCACCCAGCAAAATTTTTCAAATATACTTTATTGAGGTTGAATTTACATACAATAAATGCATTCATTTTATGTATATAAATTGATGAGTTTGACAAATGAACATACCCCCTTCACCACCACGTCAATCAAAGTAAAGAATATTTTCATCACCTGGAAATCTCCCCTCTCCCAGCCCAGGCAACATGATGTACTCTTTTACAGTTCTGCCTGTTCTAGAATTTCATATAAATGGGGTGGAAGCACATGGTACATATTCTCTTGTGAACGGCATTTTGGCTTTCTTCACTCAGCATGGTTTTTTTGTTTTTGGTGAGACAGAGTCTCGCTCTGTCACCCAGGCTGGAGTGCAGTGGTTTGATCTCAGCTTACTACAACCTCTGCCACCTGGGTTCAAGGGATTCTCCTACCTCAGCGTCCCGAGTAGTTAGGATTTTTTTCTTGTATTTTTAGTAGAGATTGGGTTTCACCATGTTGGCTGGTCTGGTCTCGAACTCCTGACCTCAAGTGTTATCTGCCCAACTCGGCCTCCCTAAGTGCTGGGATTACCGGCATGAGCTACCATGCCCGGCCCACTCAGCATGTTTTTGAGATTCATGTTTGCAATTTTTTTCATTCAGAAGTATTTTGAGGACTTGTCTTCATATATTTATCTTCAGTTTTTCATTTTTTACACTATTCCAGAATATGAATATACCACTACCTATTTTTTAGAAACAAGGTCTTGCTCTTGCCCATGCTGGAGTGCATCAGTGCAATCATAGCTCACTGCAGTCTGTAACTCCTGGGCTCACATGATCTTCTGGCCTCAGCCTCCCAAAGTGCTAGGACTACAGGTATGAGCCACTGCACTCAGCCTATATAATAATTGAAAAGTGGACATTTGAATTAAGTTTCTTCTTCAAATATTATGAACAATGCCCCTATAAATAATCTTGCACATGTTTCTTGGTACACATGAGCAAAACTTAATTTCTCTATGGTAGGAGAGAAACTGTTGGACCATGGATTAGGTACATGTGCAATCTTACCAGACAATGACCAGTTATTTTCCAAAGTGGTTTTACTAATTTATACTTTCACTAGCAATGGTTGAGAATTTAGAAAAAATTTTTAAGCAAAAGGAATATTGCTCTGAACTAGACCAAGGGACCCCTGAATAGCCAAAGTATTGATTGGTTCATGATGTGCTAGAAACTAACCCTATGTCTTTCTCATGAGGCAGGCAGGACTGTTAAGGTTTCAAGCCAGGACATCCTCCTAGAGCCTTTTCATGTACTATGTCAGCAAAGAACAAAGAGGGGAAGGTTAATAGCACTTGTTAATGAAAGTACAGTGCTCTAGGAGTTGAGGGAGTCATGAGCTCTAGCTCTACAACTAACCTGTTTTTCATTCAGCAACAAATTACAGAGTACCTGCTATGTGTAGGCCCTGGCACTAACCTGTTTTTCATTCAACAAGAAATTACTGAGTACCTACTATGTGTAGGTCCTGGCTTTATAGTCGTGAACAAAACTGGCATGGTGCCTGCATTCTTGAAGCTTACGGTCTAGCGGAAGAGAGAGGCATGTTTTAAACAAATGGACAAACATAAAAATTATGGTAAATGCTATGAAGGAAAAATCAGGGTACCATGTGAAAATAAAGAGAGGGGGAACCTACTTTAAAATAGGTAATAAGCATTCCTTTTTTGGAAGTAACATTTAAGCTAAGATCAAAAGAATGAATGAGCTAGCCAATTGAAGACCATTCCAGATCACAGGAGCAAAAAGGGTGGAAAATTCAGCCAGTGGAGCTGGGTCCCAGTGATCTGGGGAGAGCCACACAAAAGGGGGTTGGTAAGGGAAGCAGGTGTCTTTTACTTAGAAGCGAAAGACTAAAGAAGCAGAATGAGAGTGGCAGTGGGATAGCAATAATTCTGATTCACAAATGTTGGGTTTGAGATGTCTACTACAAATCTAAGTGGAAATGTCAGGTAATCAGTTGGCAATATATGTAAGGAACTCAGGAAAGAGTTCTAGGATAGAGATAAAATTTCATCTGTAGCTAAAGCCAAGGAAAGGAAGACAGTCACCTAAGGAGAAAGTACAGACAAAGATAAAAGACCACTGGGTTATTCACTTCCTATACGTCTTCTGGTAAACTGCCTCCTTTTCTTGGGCTTCTTGGTAACATGAATGGTGGAATTAGATGATTTATGGAGCTCCTCTTAAGTCTAAAATTATGTAAAGGTAACCCTTCTCATTGCTCTTGGGTTAACCTTAATGATCTCAACCCCATCCTAATCAAACAAAAAACACTGGGTAGTTTAAGATGAGCTGGGAAATATTTTACTACAAACAGTTGGGAACTTCGACCCAAGCCCTTCATTCTGCAGATACAAAAACAGAAGTTCCAGGATGAGCCACATGCTTGCCACAGCACTGAGCAGGTAAGCCAAGTTCCAAAGCGCACAGTGCCTGCTCAACTTAGTAAGTACAAGGACAAGTGCACGCAAAGAAACATGAGAATTAAAGTCATCACTAAAGGCAGAGGAAATCTCATTCTTGACCCTAAAAGATCTGGAGAAGTATGTTTAACTTGTGCCCTAAGGACCTACCTTGGGGGCATTGTGTCCCACAGGGACATGAGGTCCCCTTCGAGATTTCATTGCAAAGCGCATGATTTGCCTCTTCACAAAAATAAATAGCAGTACAAACACCTGTCCAAAAAGATGTAAAAATCCTTTAATAAAAAGTCAGTTTTGTTTTGTTTTTTTTTTAAAAAAGCATGCCTTCATTCCAAATCCCCAGATTCCGGCTCTCAGGAATGTTTCAGGGTAAAACTTGGGGCAAAGCAAGGCCGTTATGATGGGGGTGGATCTAAGAAGCCAGCAGCAGGGAGGCGTGGGGTCTGTGCTCTAGCGTTAAAGGGAGGGTTCTAGACTAACGAGGGCGGGTCGGCCCGACTAAGTGACTTAAACTCCCACCTACTCCTGGAATAAGGAGTCAAAGCCCGGATAGGCGCAGGTGAGTGGGTGGAGAATGCAGACGGGGTACAGCTCAAAAGGAGGGTCTCTACTGGGTAAGATGCGACAGCAGGAATGGGGTGGGGTAATCTCCTCACCAGGCTCCCGTAGGCCATCACCAGCACGACATTCACCCCGGAGAGCCAGTTACTGCCGGACGCCATGGCCTCCCTACCTCGCGCAGAATTGTTCGGGTTTACCCCGCTGTCCTGGCTGGTCAGCCCAGGCTCCGCCGAAGCGACGGCGCCTGGGTCCCCTGGAGCTCCCCGGCCATTTCCTTACGGGGGAAGACCAAGCCAGACCCGGCCTGAAAACATGGCGGACAGGCAGGAGAGCTGGGAAAGGAGAACGACGCCTTCCAGCTTCCCCCTGACACGTGACTCAGGCAGGCAATGGCACCCAGGAGCGTCGAGCGCTCAGACGCGGAACTACGACAGTAAGAGGAAGCGGCGGCCATCCGTGCGTCACGTGGTGGAGGCAGGGCCGCCGTGAAGGAGGCGGGGTGGACTCGCGGAGCCGGAAAGAGGTGTCTCGTGGCGAGGCGGCACGCGCACGCTTGCGTGCGCGCCCCTTTTAGCGTCACGCGCTGAGGGACGCAGGAAGGCAAGTGGGCGGGGGAAGGCGCGAGAGCGAGCGCGAGAGGGAAAAGGAGGGAGGGGGTGGGGAAGAGGGAATCTTATATCACGTGACAGGGGCGGCGCGGCCCGGGGTGTCAGTGTGGAGGAGACTGAGGTAAAGTTGGGAGCGCAGCGGCGTTGGCGGCGGCGGCGGCGGCAGCGGCAGCGCGGCGGGGCCGGGTATTGTCCGCGGCCCCTTTAAATCCGCGATCCCCCTTTTACCCTCCCTCTTTTCTCCCCTGCCCCCGCCGTATCCCCTCCCTCGGTAGGCCCCCCCACACCGTGTGTTCCCCCACTGTACACCCCCCCCCGAGTCATGCGAGCCCTGGCGCCCCCCACCTCGAGTCGGCCCCCGGAGGTTTTGTTTATGGTTGGGTTCGCGGCCTAGTGGGCCGCGCCAGAGCCGGGGCCTCGATTTGGGAGCGTGGCCGGGGCGGGGCTTGGAGCAGCCGTAGGAAGGGGGGGCCATGCGGCTAGAGCCTGAGAGGGGAGAGCGAGAAAGAGCGCGAGCGAGCGAGGCCTGGGCCTTGCCTGAGGTAGGGCTCTCTCTTCACCCCGGCCGGTGCCTGCGGAGGAGAGGGCCTCCTCCCTTTCCACCCACTGCGGGCCTCCTCTGATCCGGATCCGGCCTGGTTTGGGGGTGGCGTGGGGGAGGGAGGGCGATGGGGTGGAGCTCCCCCAAACTCCCCCATGTGGCCCTCAGTTTGGTGTGCGAAGGATTAATTTGTTCCGGCTGGGAGGTAGGGAGGAGATTGGCCCCGTGGGCTCTCGATGTGGCGCTGAGGGGGGTGAGCCTCCCATCCTCCACCCGTGGGCTTGCGTCCCCTCTCCGTTTCCAGGCTCTTTGTCAGCTCCTCTTATTACCCTCCCTTCTTTCTCACCAACCCAGTTCTTGGAATATGTTTTTGCTGCTGTCTTTAGCTTCCTGTTTATACTGTAGTTTGGGTACCCCAAACAATTGTGTTATTTGGGAAGCTGGACATGGAGGCCCCCATAGGGTGTATTTACGCTTAAGGGACGTCACTAGAGCACTGGGGTATTTGTTCACTCTTCTCATAATGGTACAGGAATGCCCAGTTTCTTCAAACCCTTAACCTTGTGGACAGCCCTTAAATTGCTTTGCAAACTGATGTCACAAACTGGAGACTGCTCCTTTTCCACCATTCTTGAAATGTAGCCACCTCTGGTGTAGGATGTTGTGGAAAGAAAAACACCACAGTAACAGGCGTTTTTGTTATTATTGTTAACGTTTTTGCCTTTGACTCTCCCTGATTATTAAATGGAGAAATCCTTTTTTTTTGTCTTCTCTCCCATCCTACCTTCCTCCGCCGCATATCCTGTTTTGGGGATACCTGATGTGACTTGCTGGGAGGTGATGGACATTACTAGTAACCAGCGTTTCTAGAGAATTAAAACATTTTGGCTGTGTATCAGTTGATAAAACTGCTTTGAGATCTGTCTCCATTGTACTTAAAGATTAGACTATCCCAATGATTACAGAGAATTAAAACATTTTGGCTGTGTATCAGTTGATAAAACTGCTTTGAGATCTGACACCATTGTCCTTAAAGATTAGACTATCTCAATGATTGTTTCCTTTGTGAATGGGAAATATTGCTGGCACATAAACTAGTGATGAAAGGCCTAAAAATGTCCTGTTTTGTTTTTCATCTTTAAAGCTCCTCCTTGCTATGTCCTAACTGGGAAGTACTCTTACTAACTAGATATCAAGGTGGTGGGGAAGGGGATGCAGGGGCCATTTCAACAAAGCATCTACAGAAATTAGTTGTTCTGTTAGAGGTAGCAAATTTTACCCAACTCAGTCTAGCTTCAGTTTCTGAATTGTTTCTTAAATTAGATTGTAAGCTCCCTGAGGGCAGCTACTAAGTCATACTGCTTTTGTATTTTCCTGAAGTATTGGACACATAGTAGATTCTCAATAAATATTTGTTATTTAGTTTTTTCAGTGAAATTTCTCTGGCTATTTTTTTAAGTAGCTAGTTTTCAAAAAAGAGTCAAGGGCACTCCTGTGTTGAAACCTCTGTTTACTCTCGCACGATTTCCTTGGTCTCCAATACTTCTCACCCTACTTCCTTTAAATCTTTTTATTTTCTAAGAAAGAGCAAGTAAGTAACAAGATTCTTCATCTCCAGTGTGATAGCTGGGAATGGGTCTGCTTGCTACTAATTCTGTGCCCTCAAGTGATCCATTCCAGATCACTTACTTTTGACCTGTTGCTCAGTGTTGTCACTACTAGGTGGTAAAAATTTTCTTAGTCACATTTCGAAGCACTTGTAAGAGGGAAATGTTACTAGCAAGAGTGATTAGGAGAATTTTTTTCTTTCTTGGTTAATTATATCTTTCAAGATGACTTTTTAATATGTTTACATCTGACTGGTACAGTATATGCAATAGTGTATAGCTAGTCATGCAGTTTATACCTGCAATATAACTTATCCTCACAAATAGATATCACATGTGGAGTAGAAAACAGTCAATATTTGTAAGTTACAGTAGTGGGTTGGAAATGACTATGCCATATTAGAAACTTCATCTTAGAGCCAATTTTAAAACAAAATAGTTTTCCTCTCGTCTTTATATATATACGTATATATGTGTATATGTAGTCTTGTTGATTTGGATTCGGGGTACTTGGTTAAACATTTTTTTTTTTTGTAAAGTTGAAACGACTATAATGCTAACCTGGGAAAATGGGCTACTGTGTAGCAAATAATCCTTTCTAGCTTGAAATACTTATGGGCTTTTGTGTGCCAATATGTGTAGGGGGAAGAGGTAATGGGTTAAAAATTACCTGAGAAGCTACCTTAAAAAAATCTTTCTTGATACAAAGACCTATGCAACCTATTGACGCAACTTGGTGAAGAATTTATGCACAGAAAAAGTCAGCTTTCTCTGTGACATCCAAGAAAGTCAGATGAAATTCACTTCCCTAATAGTTAATCCTTGCATATTTCTTTAGAAGTCCTTCCTCCCACTCAAATCCAGTAATATCTCTGGGCAGTCTAGAATTACGTTGTATAAGGTTTCATTAACAAGAAAAATTAAATATAGAGCAGAAAAGTATAAACTTACCCTCTTTGGAAGGGAATAAATGCAGAGTAACCTATTATTTTGAACACTCTATCATATGATTAATGTTTTCTTTTTTACTAAATGCAGCAGCTGAGATTGTATTATAAAACAAAGTATGAACTAAAGGAACTTGAATTCAGTAGAATCCTTCCTTGTTAGAAGTCTTGTAACAAAAACTATATTCTGGTTTGGGGAAGGCCCTGTGTGTTCTGTGTCTCTTTAAAGACTCAACTAAGTCATCTTGCCAGCATTAAGGTCTCAAGTTTAAAATGATTTCTTAGAAGCACTTTCTTCCAAATAAAACTTTGTGCTAGATGCTTTTGGTTTGAGACAAATTTGAGATTCCCTGTATATTAAGGTGAGTGGTGGAGGGTAATTGCCATTTTGGTTTCTTGAAAATGTGGACTAGGAGACCAAGAGAAGCACCTGTAAAAGCAGTGTGTTGGAATTATTTTCCAGAGAACAGAGATTCTGGACAAAGTCATTGGGGCTAATACGTACCCTGTTGAAGGCTGTGGTTTAAAAAAACAAAAAACCCCCACAAACACAAAACAAACCCATAGCATACTGAGAGAGATGAAACTTGAGGGACAAAGAAGAGTCTAGACTTGAACTTGTCCTTTCCCAAGCAATGGAGGTCACATGCAGCTTACATAAAAAAGGTTGTAAGGCAGGTAAGGCTGTTTTCTTAGGTGATTGAATACAGTATTTAAAATTATTTCTCTGGAGTGTAGACTAATCTCCTTCCTGGAAGGTTTTTGTTTCCAGACTTTACTGATTATCTTTCCTTCTGTCAAAGGTACTTCAGATACTTGCATCTATGTAAAAGGCTTTTGATTATTAGTTAAATGTAAAGTCTGCTTATGGGGGACTAGTAACCAAACTGCTGTAACTTCTTAAAAAAATCCATCACTTACACATGCTTTATACATTTCTTGTTACATAAAAATGGATTAACAGCCATAGCTCCTTAAGGAATTTATCAAGCTAATTATGTTGTAAGAATAAATGAATCTTATTGATTTGTTCCTTTGAAGAAGTGAAAGTGTTTGGTGGTGAAGGTGCTGATGAGAGAGTTAAAAACATATTTTGCCCACATTTAATACCTAATTTTCTTTTAAATCTTTCAGTATTCTACCTTGTAAATACTGTTATTTGTATATACTGTAAATGATGACATCGGTGGGCACTAACCGAGCCCGGGGAAACTGGGAACAACCTCAAAACCAAAACCAGACACAGCACAAGCAGCGGCCACAGGTAAATAATCCAAGGCATACGGATTCATGGATAGCGTTGCCTGCTGATACTGGTTTCCATGCAGTACAGCATCATTCTGTGCTTTGAACTGTTGGTTTAGGTTCCTTATTTTTGTTTTCTAGTCCTTGGCTCTTTTTTTACTTAGGTCCTGATAACTGTTCATGACATGCTGTAAGGCAAGATGCTTACTTTTTTGTTGTTTAATACTGTATTATGAGGCTTAGCACTTTATTATGGGTCCTGTGCTTTTTATCTTTTTTTTTTTTGTTTTGTTTTAAGATAGGAGCTCCCTTTGCCTAGGTCAAAGTGCAGTGGCACAGTCACCATTCATTTGTAGCCTCAACCTCTGGGGCTTAAGTGATCCTCCCGCCTCAGCCTCCTGAGTAGCTGGGACTACCAGTGCACACTACCATGCCAGGCTAATTTTAAAATTCTTGTAGAGATGGTAGTCTTGCTGCATTGCCCAGGCTGGTCTTGAACTCATGGGATTATAGGTGTGAGTCACTGCCCGGCTCTATAACTCTTAAGATAGCATTTCCCTTCTCTTACCTGGGCCATTTTAGCAATACCTTTCTATTTCTTAGACCTTCCACCTTGATATCTCTCTCTTTTGTTTTTGAGACGGAGTCTCGCTCTGTTGCCCAGGCTTGAGTGCAATGGCGCCACTTCGGCTCACTGCAACCTCTGCCTTCCAGGTTCAAGCAATTCTCCTGCCTCAGCTTTCTGAGTAGCTGGGATTACAGGAGTGTGCTACCATGCCCAGCTAATTTTTGTATTTTTAGTAGAGACAGGGTTTCACCGTGTTGGTCAGGCTGGTCTCGAACTCCTGCCCTCAGGTGATCCACCTGCCTCGGCCTCCCAGAGTACTGGGATTATAGGCATGAGCCGCTGTGCCCTGCCCCACCTTGATACCTCTCTAGCAAGCCTTTTCCATTCCAGATTTTATCCTTTGCTCCTCTTTTCCCCAACTTGTCTTTTATTTTCCTCTCTGGTTCCATTGAGACCTTACCTGATTATTCCTTTCCCATGAGGAGCTGGCAACTTCACTATGTTTCTTCAAAATTAAATGAAACACCTTAGAGCATTGCTCAATTTTAAGTTTTAAAGAGTAAATTAACCTCTTGGATATTAACTTTGATGTAGATATATTCTGTTTCTCATACCAGGTTGATGTTAGTTGGTATGTAATGTGAATGAATTACTTATATTTGATTATGGTCAGATAAATCGAATATGTAAGATTAGGACATCCCCCTTACGCATTTTTCTTTCATCTGTGTTTTCAAGTGGATTTCTAGTAGAATTATAATACTTAGTTGGGGCAGTAAAATTCCTAGTATCTGAACATACACTGGATATATAGAAGATGTGTTGAGTCTATTGTCAGACTTGTATTCTAAGCTCTAGGAATAAGAGGATGGCGTTGGTTATTACAGAAATAAGAATAGAGTTTACACATGGCTTTGTGACTTAATATGAATTAAGGGGCAGATGTTTCAGAGCGGTTCTGTGATTCTAAGACGGAAGTCCCTTTAACTGTGAAGATTGGTGAATGAGTTCCTTACTCTTTCTGTAACAGTTTCACTCAATTTTTTGTCATTTTACTGATTTAAGCATCTTTTTTTTTGAGGTGGAGTCTTGCTCTATCACTTAGGCTGGAGTGCAGTGCCACTATCTCAGTTCACTGCAACCTCCTCCTCCCAGATTCAAGCAATTCTCCTGCCTCAGCCTCCCGAGTAGCTGGACCTACAGGTGTGCACCACCACACCCGGCTAATTTTTGTATTTTTAGTAGAGACGGGGTTTTGCCATGTTGGCCAGGCTGGTCTCAAACTACTCACATCAGGTGATCTGTCTGCCTTGGGCTCCCAAAGTGTGGAATTACAGGCGTGAGCCACCACCCGCACCTATCCCTGATCCCCCATTAAGCGTCCTAAATGGTGCTTTATTACTTGCTCATTTGTTACAAGGAAAAGAAAATTGGGGCAGTGGAGGCTGACGAAATAGGTTCCTGTTCTCTAAACTGTTGCCTCATGATTATGCTTTCTTGATCTCATCTCAATTCCTAGGCCACTGCAGAACAAATTAGACTTGCACAGATGATTTCGGACCATAATGATGCTGACTTTGAGGAGAAGGTGAAACAAGTGAGTGTATCACTAATTTACTGTACACTATGAGAAAAGATACCAGTATTAAGGCATAATCAAATACTGTAGATGGATGCCAGGATACTTTCTACTATAGGTATTGAAAGAATTTTGACCTGAAATATAATAGGTCAGGCCAATAAATAAGTGCTTTCATTCTCTAATTTTTTGTAGCCCTTTGTTTTGTTTTTTGTTTTTTTTTCAGATGAAGTCTCACTCTGTCACCCAGGCTGGAGTGCAGTGGCATGATCTTGGCTCATTGCAGCTTCTGCCTCCCGAGTTCAAGCGATTCTCGTGCTTCAGCCTCCCGAGTAGTTGGGATTACAGGCGCTCACCACCATGCCTGGCTAATTTTTTGTATTTTTAGTAAAGATGGGGTTTCACCATGTTGGCCAGGCTGGTCTCGAACTCCTGACCTCAAGTGATCTGCCTGCCTCAGCCTCCCAAAGTGCTGGGATTACAGGTGTGAGCCACTGCACCCAGCCTATTGTAGCCCTTTGGATAGATACTTTGTTTGGAAATTTTATCTTAATTTTAACCTCTTGCCTGTTGCTGATGCCATTTTGTAGAAACTGAGCAGTTGTGGGTATAGGAAATGTGGAAATTCATGCTGAAGCCTGTGTGTTTCAGAGTTTGATTCTGTATTTGATGCTTAATTGCTTTGTAAATACTTTTGACCTCATCCCTGAACCACAGATGTTAATATTTGGCTTTTGGAAATAGAATACCAAAATTCTACATGTTTTCCTTTTTGGCGGGGGTTGGGGGGGTGGTTCTGGAAAACCTGCTAGGCAAATTCTACATCATTTTTCTTTCTTTCTTTTTTGTTTTTTTTTTTATTTTGAGACGGAGTCTTGCTCTGTGGTCCAGGCTAGAGTGCAGTGGCGCAATCTCAGCTCACTGCAACCTCCGCCTCCTGGGTTCAAGCAATTCTTCTGCCCCAGCCTCCCAAGTAGCTAGGATTACAGGCGCCCGCCACCACACCCAGCTAATTTTTGTATTTTTAGTAGAGACAGGTTTAATCATTTTGGTCAGGTTGGTCTCAAACTCCTGACCTCAGGTGATCCGCCCACCTCAGCCTTGCAAAGTGCTGGGATTATAGGCGTGAGCCACTGTGCCCAGCCCTCATCTTTTGCTTTTTAAACTTGTTTTTTTCAAACTCAACTGATAGCGTTTCCCTTCACCTAGTTTCCTTTCATTGGGAGTGTGAGCATAAGCCTGTTCATGATGGTTGCTGTTTTTTCTCTTTCAGTTGATTGATATTACAGGCAAGAACCAGGATGAATGTGTGATTGCTTTGCATGACTGCAATGGAGATGTCAACAGAGCTATCAATGTTCTTCTGGAAGGAAACCCAGACACGGTAGAGTGCTTATAGAGTGTTCTAGGACATGGGTCCTCAATTGGGAGGCTAGTAATGTTCTAAAAGTAGCAAATGGCAACATACCTTAAAGCAGAGCACCTTTTTCTTGAAGTAAAGTTGGGAACTTTCTTGGAGATTGTTCACCACAGGTTATAAATACTTAAAATTTATGTGTACTACATCCTTTTTATGAGGATAATGCTCATAGGAGAAAACAGTGAAATCAGTCTCTGCTAATTGGCCTGGAATAAATTATTTATTCCAGGCTAGTGACTGTTTTCAGGCTGTGGGGTTAGGCTGAATTAGAGGTGCGATTTGATAGCCTTGGATATTGCTGTTGAACAAAGTCACACACTATACTTGATTCTGTTTTTTTTTCTTTTTATTTTATTTTATTTTATTTATTTTACATATTTGATTCTGAATTCAGGACATTCCCCTCAATATCAGCTTCGCATTGCACACTACTGTTTCATTGCCTGAACTTCCTTCTGTTGAGGTAGCAGAGAAACAAGCTTTGTAGCCTGCTGACCATCCCTGGAGATGATAGGGGATATCTTGGAGGATCTCTTGCCCTGGAATTTAGACAAGTCGCTTTCACTTCTCCTTCCCACTTCATGAGAATTCTGTTTTTATGCTTGTCTTATGTTTGTACCAAATTGTAATCCTCTGACTGCCTTATTGATCTTCAGAATGTTCCTGCAGTGCTTACTAGAGAAATTTTGTTTTTTTAATGAGCAGTGTATTATTATTATTATTATTATTTTGAGCCAGGGTCTTACTCTGTGGCCCTGGCTGGAGTACACTGACATGCTGCAACCTCCTCGTCCTGGGCTTAGGTGATCCTCCTACTTCAGCCTCCTGAGTAGCTGGGACCACAGGCATGGGCCACCATGTCCAGCTGATTTTCCCATTTTTAGTAGAGCCAGGGTTTCTCCATGTTGCTCAGGCTGATTTCAAACTCCTGGACTCAAGCTAGCTGCCCGCCTCGTCCTCCCAAAGTGCTGGGATTATGGGCATGAGCCACCGCACCTGGCCCAGTGTATTATTTTGAAATCATTTTCATTTATTGGGTCTTATACTGGGGCTCTTTGGTTGGAATAGATATCAAAATTCATCCTTACAGATAACAACTTGTTTTTTTTCTTGAGTCAGAGTCTTGCTCTTGTTGCCCAGGCTGGAGTGCAGTGGCGTGAACCTGCTCTCTGCAGCCTCCACCTCCCAGGTTCAAGTGATCCTGTGCCTCAGCCTCCAGAGTAGCTGGGATTACAGGCATTCACCACCATACCCAGCTAATTTTTTTTTTTTGAGACGGTGTCTCTCTCTGTCTCCCAGGCCGGAGTACATCTCGGCTCACTGCAAACTCTGCCTCCTGGGTTCAAGCAATTCTCATGCCTCAGCTTCCCGAGTAGCTGGGACTACAGGCATGCACCACCATGCCTGGCTAATTTTTTGTATTTTAGTGGAGACAGTGTTTCACTATGTTGCCCAGGGTGGTCTTGAACTCCTGAGCTCAGGCAATCCTCCTGCCTCGGCCTTCCAAAATGTTAGGATTACAGGCGTGAGCCATGAAACCTGGCCTCAGATACAACAGCTTTCTGATACTACAGAGTCACTCCAGCTAAATGCAGGAGGTTTGTCAATTTCTTTGAGACAATGGGAAATAATAATGGAAAACTTTTAAAAACAATTGAATTTAAATTGGTGGGTTTTTTCTTCAAAAGTGTTATCCTGGATTAAATTTTACACTGTTGACCTTATTTGAATATTTACTATCTGGCCAATCAAGATATGCTTTTGATTTGTTTTGGGTTTACTCTAGAATAATTGTCTCCAGATTTTATGGGGGGAATCAGGTGGGGCTATTTATGTTTTTTTAAAAGTCTGAATGTTTTTTCGCAAATCACATTTTATCTTACCTTCCAGCATCTTCTGTCTAGTGCTATAAGGCTGATGTTATACAGTATCAAAAAGGAAAATAAGCTGGAGAATATAGGTTTATGTTACGAATAAACTAGCTACTAGTGAAACCAATGGGAAGCAAAGTCAGCTCCCAGGGATATTGGATGTATTTGGGTGGGTGAGATCATTTCAGAAAACTGAAGTCGCCTTTGGGAAGATAATAGTAATTCTTTCTCCTGACCCATCTTGTGCCAGCAACAGATGTGCATACAGAGGAGGGAGAAAGGTTACAGTTTCCTGAAACTTGCCAGGTTTTGAGATAGCAGCATAAATTCTAAAAGCTGTTTTGAGTCTAGCTTCCAGAGTGTTCCTGGTGTATATTTAGCTACAGGGTTGTTCTAACTTACTGTGAGCATAAAATGACCCACTAACTGTAATGTATAATAGGCTTGGGTTGGAAGAGTAGGCAGCAACAAACTACCAAGTCTTGGGTAGGTAATCTTTTTAAAACAAATGAATTAAGAGATGGGGTCTTGCCCTGTCACCCAGGCTGGAGTGCAGTAGCATGATCACTGCAGCCATGGACACCTGGGTTCAAGCAATCCTCCCACCTCAGCCTCTTTAGTAGCTGGGACAACAGGTGTGCGCCACCACACTTGGCTTTTTTTTTTTTTTCTTTTTTCTTTTTTTTGAGATGGAGTCTTGCTCTGTTGCCCAGGCTGGAGTGCAATGGTGAGATCTCGGCTCACTGCAGCCTCTGCCTCCTGGGCTCAAGCGTTTTTCCCACCTCAGCCTCCCAAGCAGCTAGGGCCACAGGTGTGTGCCACCACACCTGGCTGATTTTGGTATGTTTAGTAGAGACAGGGTTTTGCCATGTTGCCTAGGATGGTCTCTAACTCCTGGCCTCAAGTGATCCACCCTCCTTGGCCTCGGAAAGTGCTGGGATTATAGGTGTGAGCCACCATCCCCGGCCCTGTTTTCTATTTCTATGAATTTGCCTGTTTTAGAGATCTCATGTAAGTGAAATCATGTAATATTTGACCTTGTATGTCTAACTTACTTCACTTAGTGTAATGTTTCAAGGTTCGTCCATATTGTGGCATGGGTCAGAATTTCATTCCTTTTTAAGGCTAATATTCCGTTGTACATATATGTGGCATTTTGTTTACTCATCAGTGGACACTTGGAATTATCTGGAAGTTGTAGACATAATACTTGATACCCTTAAGTTCTTCAACATGCTTCCCTTAAAGGAGGATACTCTTACATTACCATAATACTATTATCAATCCTGATAAGGTTAATAATTTTGTATTATCTAATACTCAGCCCATATTCTGAAAGTGATTAGACATTAGGTAGCTGTTACTGAGCACTAGGGCCATGATTGAGTTTGATGGTAAGATAATAAAGATCTGAGGCTGTGCACAGTGGCTCACACCTGTAATCCCAGCACTTTGGGAGGCCATGGCGGGCGGATCACGAGGTCAAGTGATCAAGACCATCCTGGCCAACATGGTGAAACCCCATCTCTACTAAAAATGCAAAAATTAGCTGGGCCTGGTGGTGCCCTGTAGTCCCAGTTGCTTGGGAGGCTGAGGCAGGAGAATCACTTCAACCTGGGAGGCGGAGGTTGCAGTGAGCCGAGATCGCACCACTGCACTCCAGCATGGTGACAAAGTGAGACTAAGTTTCCAAAAAAAAAAAAAGGAAAGAAATCTGATAGTGTTGGTGTTTGTCCTGGAAGTTCCATTTGTACAGGTTTTTTACAAAAATATGTGTAAATCAAGGTATGCATTTTTTTAAAAACTTTTAAGTTTACAATGCTCATTTTCCTGAGGAAGAGTGTTTTGCAAGGGTGTTAAGCTTATTTTCCTTACCACAGACTTTCCCTCTTGCAGTTAGGAATGTATCATAGATATGTATTTTTCACTGGGGAAAGTTAAATTGGCTGATACCAATTTAGGAAATATAGGGAGAACACTGCAAGTAAAACCTGGATGGAAGGCTTTGTATAATCAGTATCTCTTGGGGTCAGGGCTGCGACTGTCGTTTGGTCTTCTTTTATTTTTATTTTTATATACTTTTTGAGACAGGGTCTTACTCTGTCACCTAGACTGAGTACAGTCACATAACCACGACTCACCGCAGCCTCAATCTCCTGGGCTCAAGTGATCATTCTGCCTCAGCCTTCAAGTGGTTTGGGTGACAGGAGTGTACCACCATACTTGGCTAATTTTTAAATTTTTAGTAGAGACCAGAGTCTCATTTGGTTGCCTGGGCTGGTCTCAGATTCCTGGCCTGAAATGATCCTCCTGCCTTGATCTCTCGACCTCCCAAAGTGCTGAGGTTATAGGTGTGAGCCACCACACCCAGCCTTACCTTTTTTTCTTTTTTTTTTTTTTGAGATGGAGACTCCTCTGTCGCCCAGGCTGGAGTGCAATGGCAGGATCTCAGCTTACTGCAACCTCCGACTCCTGGGTTCAAGCGATTCTCCTGCCCCAGTCTCCCGAGTAGCGGGGATTACAGGTGCCTGCCACCACGCCCAGCTAATTTTTTGTATTTTTGGTAGAGACAGGGTTTCACTATGTTGGCCAGGCTGTTCTCAAACTCTTGACCTCAGGCAATCCACTCTCCTCGGCCTCCCAAAGTGCTGGAATTACAGGCGTGAGTCACCGCGCCTGGCCCTTTTTTTTCTTTTTTTTTCTTTGAGATGGAACCTTGCTCTGTGGCCCAGGCTAGAGTGCAGTGGTGTGGTGCGATCTTGCGTCATTGCAACCTCCACCTCCCAGGTTCAAGCAGTTCTCCTGCTTCAGCCTCCTGAGTAGCTGGGATTACAGGTGCGCACCACCACACCTGGCTGATTTTTGTATTTTTAGTAGAGACGGGGTTTCACCGTGTTGGCCAGGCTGGTCTCAAACTCCTGCCCTTGTGATCTGCCCGCCTTGGCCTCCCAAAGTGCTGGGATTACAGGTGTGAGCCACCGCACCTGGCCACCCAGCCTGATCTTTTAAATGAAATTGCTGTGTGTGTGTGTGTGTGTGTGTGTGTCTGTAGGTAGGTAGCTCTAGTTGTTTTCCTCCTAAATTTATGGGTGAGATTAGAGAACGTGCCCAAGAGTAGAATGCTGCTCATTCATTCTGAATTCATAGGTAACTTTTAGAAACATTTTCTTTTTTGCTTTATTTGGTATGAATGATGCTATAAAAAGTTGTGGGTCACTGACTCCGAAGGAAATTAGTTTTTTCTTTTTTTTTTTTAGCCCAGGAAATAACACTTGAAAGATAGGGACCAATAACTTGGTCCTTTGACTAATATGCTAAGTGACTGAATTAGATAGAGGTCTTTGTAATCCTCTTGGAAGTGATCCCTGCAATGTTTCCTATAAGTACCTTCCCTACAAAAAAGACTTTATGGCTGGGCTTGGTGGCTCACGTCTGTAATCCCAGCACTTTGGGTGCAGTGGCTCACATCTGTAATCCCAGCACTTTAAGAGGCCGAGGTGGGTGGACCACCTGTGGTCAGGAGTTTGAGAGACCAGCCTGGCCAACGTGGTGAAACCCTGTCTTTACTAAAAATACAAAAATTAGCCGGGCATGGTGTCGCGTGCCTGTAATCCCAGCTACTTGAGAGACTGAGGCACGAGAATCGCTTGAACCTGGGAGGTGGAGGTTGCAGTGAGCCAAGATCACACCACTGCACTCCAGCCTGGGCAACAGAGCGAGACTCTGTCTCAAAAATAAATAAATAAATAAATATAAATAAATAAAAAATAAAGGACTTTACTTTTTGTAGTGATATGTATAAAATATTTAAACAGAAGTAAAAGCAAACTAATGGAAGTGTTTTAGACATGGATGCTGAGTGGAGAATGGTTAAGTCAATCAGTCATCCCAGCTTTCATCTCTAGTGTCCTGATAGCACTCCATATTGATTAGATATGAATGCTCTACCCTTCTATAGCATTCCTGGGAGATGGTCGGGAAGAAGAAGGGAGTCTCAGGCCAGAAGGATGGTGGCCAGACGGAATCCAATGAGGAAGGCAAAGAAAATCGAGACCGGGACAGAGACTATAGTCGGCGACGTGGTGGGCCACCAAGACGGGGGAGAGGTGCCAGCCGTGGACGAGAGTGTATGCATGGGGCTTTATCAAAACCAGCTGTGGGTCAGTAATGTCTAGACTCTAGGGATGTGCCAGGGCCCTGCTAGTCAGGACCTAGGAACCATTATATTATCCTTTTGCTTTTCTTGCCGTCGTCTGTTCTGAGACCTTGACATCTCTTGCATGTGGCCTTTTCTACCAACTGCCACCAGTCTGGCATGAGATTACCCTGTAGTCATTTATAAAGTTAAATTTGACTTGCAGCTCTCCATTAAGGCACATTACCATTCCCTGAGAAACATGTTCCCATCCTTCCAGCTCATTTTCTCTTCGTTGTTTTTTTAATTCCCAATACCATATTACATACCATTTATATATTTGTATATATCCTGTTGACTGTGCTCTGGCCATCTGTGGTTTGGTTTTTTTGTTGTTGTTGTTGTTTTAATTTTTATTTTTATTTCAGTTCGAGGTCAGGAAAATGGATTGGATGGCACCAAGAGTGGAGGGCCTTCTGGAAGAGGAACAGAAAGAGGCAGAAGGGGCCGTGGCCGAGGCAGAGGTGATCAGTTTGTTGGGGGATGGATATTGGGGGCAGGTTACTCTTTATTCATTAATGGTCTGCTTTATTTTTTTTTTTTATTGGAGGTAGTCTCACTCTCACCCAGGCCGGAGTGCAGTGGCACAGTCATAGCTCACTGCAGCCTCAGACTCCTGGGCTCAAGTGATCCTCCTGCCTCAGCCTCCCTAGTAGCTAAGACTACAGGTGGCCGCCAGTATGCCTGGCTAATTTTTTTTGAGATGGAGTCTCGCACTGTCACCCAGGCTGGAGTGCAGTGGCGCGATCTTGGCTCACTGCAACCTCTGCCTCCCGGGTTCAAGCGATTCTTCTGCCTCAGTCTCCCAAGTAGCTGGGATTACAAGCGTGCGTCACTACGCCCAGCTAATTTTTGTATTTTTAGTAGAGATGGGCTTTCACTACATTGGCCAGGCTGGCCTCGAACTCCTGACCTAAAGTGATGCGCCCGCCTCGCTAATTTTTAAATGCTTTTGTAGAGATGGAGTCTCAATATGTTGCCCAGGGTGGTCTCAAACTCCTGGCTTCAAGAGATCTTCCTGCTTGGCCTCTCCAAGTGCTGAGGTTATAGGTGTGAGAGACAGCACTTGGCTCCAGGGTCTACTTTGTTTAAAAACAAATTAACATGAAGTCTAGTTAGTTAATTCCTGAGGTGTCATGCATATACTAGAGATTGCAGAAGGGGAGAGTGAGAAAGAAGGTAGATGTCATTTCCTCTAGTCTTTATTGCTAGTATTGTATTTGCTTGAGGACATGGTAGTCTGAGAGCAAAAGAAAAATCTCTCAACAGTAATGATTGTCCTACTCTATTACTGATGTGTAACATGGGACAGAGAGAAAGAACATCTGATAGTATCAACCACTTTTTATTCCAGAGCTGCCTCAGCTGGCAGGGTAGTTTTTTGTATTTTTGAGGCAAGGTTTCACTGTCACCCAGGCTGGAGTGCAGTAGTGCGGTCTTAGCTCACTGTAGCCTCTGCCTCCTGGATTCAAGTGATCCTCCTGCCTCAGCCCCTCAAGGAGCTGGGACTATAGGTGTGTGCCACCACACTCAGCAAATTTTTGTACTTTTTATAGAGATAGGGTTTTGCTCTATTGCCTAGGCTGGTCTCGAACTTCTGGATGCAACCAATCCGCCCGCCCTCAGCCTTTCAAAGTGCTGGGATTACCACCGGGAGCCACTGTGCCTGCCTGGCAAGGAAGTTTTATATCAACTTCTAAAATACATCTCTCTTCTCTTTTTCTCATTCTTTCTTTAGGTGGCTCTGGTAGGCGAGGAGGAAGGTTTTCTGCTCAAGGAATGGGGTAAGTTTCATTGATCTAGTGTCTTAATTTTTTTTCCCTTAAAAATTACTGTAGGCAGCCTTAACCAAAATGATCAGAATGATTTCTAGACTGGTCAGAAAGATATGGGGACTTAGGGCTCATTTCTTAGGGATAAACCTTTACCACCTGGATCATTACCTATATTTTATATATCTTTATTTGAATCAATATACCTGTTCTTTTCTCAGAATATCTTAGATATATGTTGAGATTATACCATGAAATTTTGGGTAGAGTGATAAGTGAGAAAAAGTAGATGACACACAGGATTATAGAATGGGGCCATGACAGATTTGTACTAGGAAGGATGCAGTCAAGATTTTGATTCTTTGAGTTAATATTTGCCAAAGCTGCTTAGAGGTCAGAGACTCTTAAGTTTTATTTTTTCCAGAACCTTTAACCCAGCTGATTATGCAGAGCCAGCCAATACTGATGATAACTATGGCAATAGCAGCGGCAATACGTGGAACAACACTGGCCACTTTGAACCAGATGATGGGACGAGTGAGTGACCATTTATCATTCATTTCTTGTCTCTGGGAATCTAAGGAAATAGTTTTTTCTGATTATACTTACATTAAAACGTGGAAGAATAGTGTTTGGTTATGGAGATAGGGTGAGAAAGGGCTGGCAGTTGTATTACTGTGTGTACTGTTTATGTAACGTGCATATGGGCACATTACACATGTTATTTCGCTTAATGCTGCTTGATATTGTATGAAATAATCATTATTTATCATCACTTTCCAGATGACAAAACTAAGGCCGAAAGAGAGGTTATAAATTTGCTAGTATTTGAACTCAGCATTGTTTGACCCTGAAAGTCCATGCCCTTTCAACTATGCTATGTCACTGCTATTAGGTCCAAGTGTATTTTCTAGTGTTTATGTTAGGGTAGTGTTGCCTTTTGAAAAGATAGCCAGAATTAATCAAGCCACTGCTTGTAAAGATGAACAAGGCCTAGAATCAAAGTCCACACTATCCATTTATTTGTTTTCTGTTACTGAGATAAGAATATCCTTTTTTTCCCTTTATTTTTGGGACATGTCAGTATCTGAACAAGAAGATTTCGAAATCTCTCTAGCCTTTCTGGTGCCCTGTTGAACAGCCTTCTTGGTGTGATGGAGTATTCAGGGTTTGAATAAGATTACTTTTTTGTTAACTGACTTTGGTGCCTGCGTCTGGGCTGGATATAAATGTTTAAGGATATGTTAAGCTGTGGTATACACCTAAGATGTGTTTGGGGGTGGATACGTGTGCCACTTTCAATAAGAGCAGTTCATTTTAGTAAGAAAACTCTGGAGTGCTTTCTTGAACAGCTGCCTCATTCTGGCTGAGCTAACACATGAGAGCCTAAGGCTTTTTTTCCTCTTACAAAGGGGGATGAGTAGGGCCTGAAATGTTTGACTCCTTACCTGTTTAAATTTGCCTTGTCACCTTTCACAGATACGTGATCTCTGGGCCTTTAGGAGAGCCTTTGGCACAAATAGTTTTCCACCTTTTTCCTACAATATATTATTCCTGAGGCTCTGAATGTCGTCTGCTTTTTGTTCGCCAAGTTGCTATCTTATAAATTCATTTTTAACACATTTCATGGGTGGAGGCTGAAGTTGAGTTACAAGATAGGTATCTTTGAATTTCTGCATCATTTAGTTACGAAATGTCCTGTTATAGTTTAACTTACTATACTTCGGAGGCATTAGAACTGTTCTTCATTCATCTCTTGATGGCTTTGTAGAGGCAGTGGTAGCAGTCTCAATAACAAATAAGTTACTGTTTTTGAGCTGTAGCTTATTCCTGGGTATTTGGCTTTTTATCTTTGGCAGGTAAGATGGCAGAAGTTGAAAAGTTTGTTTTTAGTTGTGAATAGAAATTCAGGCATGGGGTCCCAGTCCTTAGCCTTCGCTGTCTTCAGTAAGGATCTGGTTGGAAAAACAGCGAAAGGTAGTGTGTGTGTTAATTTCTACTGAGTAGAAAAGGGAGCAGATGTGCAAGGCTGGAATTGGAAATCTGATTTGTAGCTGAATGTGACGCCACTATCGTCTTGTTAGTGCAAAAGTGTTGGTTATAGCTTCATGAATTCCCATTGTCATTAATTTTTTTTTTCTTTTCTTTTTTTCTTTTTTGAGACAGAGTCTTGCTCTGTCACTCAGGCTGGAGTGCAGTGGTGCGATCTTGGCTCACTACAGCCTCTGCCTCCTGAGTTCAAGCTATTCTCATGTCTCAGCCTCCTGAGTAGCTGGGACTACAGGTGCACGCCACCACGCCTGGCTAATTTTTGTATTTTTAGTAGAGATGGGGTTTCACTATGTTGGCCAGGCTGGTCTCAAACTCCTGACCTCAAGTGATCCACCTGCCTTGGCCTCCCAAAGTGCTGGGATTACAGGTGTGAGCCACCACGCCTGGTCGTTGTTAATTTCATGATATGAACATACCTTCATGCATGGTTTCTTTTTGTGTTTTCCTGATAGCAAACTTGAGTTTCCCCTTTAAATTAAAAAAAAAATCCAAACCTACCTTTAAAATATCCACAGGTACAATGGGGATTATGTATTGGGGCAGACTTTCTCATTTACAAGCAAAATTTCACTGGTTGTTTTTTCTTTTCTTTTCTTTTTTTTTTGTTTCAGGACTTGATTTCATTGGGGTTGAGGGGTCAAATTATCCCCCAAAATTATCCCCCAGACTGCTCCTGGTATGATACATCCAGGTGCCTAACTGCCCCAGATATTTTTGTAGATTTTTATGAGCTGAAATATCTGTGGATATGTCATTTTTATGTCTTTCTGCTTTTTCTCTTTCTGCCTTTTTCTCTCATTTTTCTGTGTCCACTTACCTTTCTGTTCATTTAATGAATATTTGACAGTTACACTGATTGCTTTCTGCTAATGGAATGGAAACCCTAGTCTGTTGTTTAGAGCATTTCCATCTATTCTGTTCCTTAATGCTTCCTCAGCTCTCTCTCTTCCTCAGCCATGACCGTATATCCTGAATAGGAACATACCAGTTAGGTGTCTACGTTCCTCCTTTCCATCCCAGTTGAAGTCATCAGTGTGCAGAAAAAAATTCTTGCATCAAGAGCCTAGATTAAATAACCTGTTAGATCATGTCTAACTCTAGGATTGTGTATAAGTGCTAATGCAACTTGGATTCCATCGAGCCAGGATAAGATGGATGTCAATGAGAAGAAAGTGTGGTATCAATGAAGGAGAAAAGAATGTGGTTTGTAACTTGTCTGTACTGAGATTGGACTTTGGTTTTGAGAATATTGTCATTATTAAGTGGTTTAGGATTTCCCTGGTGCAATTTTAATATTTTCCTGGGAAAGTCTTTACAATGAATATATTTTCCTCTAAGAAAGAAGATTTTTGCATTATTAAATGTTTAGAAGAATTTTAGATGGGCTTTGTATTAGAATACTTCTAATGTGGTGTTAGAATACTTCTCTTCAGTGGCACAGCATCTGAATGTCAGACTTTTCATTTCATTCTTATAAGCTTTTTTCCAGTAGGAGGGAAGGATTGAAGAGTTATTTAATATATATTATTCTAGCAAGAAAATAAGGGTGCTCTTGTCCCTTCTTCAGACAGGTTCTTGTTTTTACTGTGCCTTTGGCTGAAGGGAAGAATCCTGGTTCTTGTTAGAAATTCTCACCCTTATTTTTTAAGAAAGGACATTTTTTTTTTTCTGAAAATATATGTATACATGAAGCACAAAAAAGGAATGTGGAAGGTGGTTTGATTGCTTTTGGATTTCTCCAGTAGAAACTGTATCCCAGCTTCCGTATTACCAACAAACACAAGGACAGTGTATACTCCCGTTGTCTGTGCCATGACCATAGCAGGTCAGGTTTCAAGTTCTATATGAGTAAGGTTAGGACAGTAACTATCATTCATACCTGATTTTTCAGTCTTGTTCATTGTCTTTTGAAGAGGACAGCTCTATAGGGGCTTTTCTTATACAGTTAAACCAATAAGATCTATAAACTTGACTTCTGCTGAGTATGCATTTTTAATCTAATTCTCATAGCAGATAGTTTTCAATGCCCTCAGTTCGGGTTTCAAACCCACCCTTCTTCACTGCTCTTTCACTAACCATTATGTGGTAACCATTTGTGTTTCTCTATCAGTGCTACTATCCTTCTTCAGACTGCCTACAGTATTTTTTGTCTTATACTAGATAAATAGGTGTAGTTTGCATGTTATGGTTTAAATTGGCTGCTGCCATTTCACTGAATTGACCACTAAATCAACCTGAGGACCTTAAAGATACTGCTTTGAGCATTGGGTGGTTGTCTGTCTGTCCCCCCCCCCACCCCCATTCCTGCTTTGTAACAAAAACTGAAAGTAGCTATGAAATCATAATCTTATTAAAACCCTGGTACTCTGAGATATCCTTTTCTAAAGAGTGTTTCCTTACCTTTGAAGCCCAAGAATTTCTTTTTTTTTGTTTTGTTTTTTGTTTTTGTTTGTTTTGAGACAGTTTCACTCTTGTTGCCCAGGCTGGAGTGCAATGCCGCGATCTCAGCTCACTGCAACCTCCACCTCCCAGGTTCAAGCCATTCTTCTGCCTCAGCCTCCCGCGTAGCTGGGATTACAGGCATGTGCCACCACGCCCAGCTAATTTTGTATTTTTAGTAGAGACAGGGTTTCTCCATGTTGGTCAGGCTGGTCTCGAACTCCCGACCTCAAGTGATCCACCCACCTCGGCCTCTCAAAGTATTAGGATTATAGGTGTGAGCCACCACACCTGGCCTTCTGATTACTAAATTTTAGTCATACTTTTGGCTGCCAAAAAAATTAATACATTGATGTTTTCTATACATGCTTTGTACTGGCATTTAATAGTGAAGTTACTTCACTATTTTTCTTTATTCTCAGGTGCATGGAGGACTGCAACAGAGGAGTGGGGGACTGAAGATTGGAATGAAGATGTAGGTATTCCCAGGTCATTCCTCACTAATGCCTTCTATCCCTAAGTGTTGTTTAGGGATAGAAAATGGGTATGTTTCTACCCCTCAAAATTCACCCTTAAGATTCTGACCCAAAACTTTTACATCCAAAATAGTGTTCTGAGCCAGAACATTTCACATATGTTATATGAAGGAGACTGGGCATGAACAGGACTCTGTGGAACCACACTATGGAAAGGGCAAGTGCACTTGTGTAAGTCCAATATCTGATTGTCGGATTTATCCCAGGAAGAGATTGGTGGTTGGGTAGGGCACCAGAAGTGGAGTTAGGCAGGTAGTGCATTGAGTAACAGCTGCTGGTGGTACATGACTACTTGGTGCATTTAAGTATTTGCTATAAGGTCCTGTAATGGATTGGCAGTGGATCCAAAGCGAGTGTTGTGGTACCAAATCCTCAAACTTGTAATCTGGTTGACTCTGGAACCCTTGTATTTATTTGAAGCCCAACTGTATAATTGTGATTGAGATGAATATCTGTAGAATTGGCTATCTGCCAGCTTGACTTAACTTGGAAACCTCATAGATGGGTGGCACGTAAACAAGCTCTGTGAATTCATTTGAGTACTACCTGAGTAAGAATTTTGCTGATTCCTGGTCACAGTCAAGCTTCTGCTGTGAATTATGGTTTTCAGTGATCATGGATAAACTCTTGTTTTAACATTTTTAATCTATGTACTTTTCTATACTTTCATGTAGTTAGGCAAGACAGCTTTTGTGATAAGAGGAAATGACATGTGAAGACTGTTTTGGTTGCCAATTCTGGGTTTTTTAAATTTCAGAGGCATCAGCATCACAGGGTGATTATTTTCTATTGTATAATCAATGAACTAGACTGCTTTGTGAAAATGGGCAAATTATGTTCCTTTCTGAGATTTGGCTTGTCCGCTTAAGCAACTTTCAGAGAATGATAAATGGTGTTGGGCATTGAGGGGAGAGTGGATTTTCTGTGCTTTAGCGATTTTAATCAAGAAATAAAACTGAAACCCAAATCAACTTTTGAATAGTAGGAAAAGTTAATCCCTGCATTTGCTTACCTAAGTTTGATGCCTTAATAGTGGAAGGACTAGATGTCACAAAGTCAAATATTAAGGCAAAAATAACATCTAGTTAAAACGATCTCCCATAAAAACCTTAATTCAGCAGCACTTGGGCCCTTACTGCTCAAAAGCTAAAAATGAACTTCTTTTATTTATTTCTTCATCTTGGTTATGATCTTTCTTTGGGAGGGGTGGGGCTGTGAAGGGAGTAGTAGAAGACAAATGTGGTTTGGGAAGAGGTGGGAGTTGGGAACTGTAATGGGAAAATATAGAGGGATTTTCTTTCTTTTATTTTTTTTTTTTTATGTCTAGCATGCCTGTAAGTTCAGTATGCATATGATCATGTGACTCCACTATATTTTATTGGGTTCCTTGCTTCTACTCTTTCTTTGGCTAAAACTATTGAGCATATATTGAAGGGCTTGAAAGTCAATCCATTCAGGATTCCTCAGGGTAGATAGTTTTCTCTTTATAGGGCTTTCACTTTTTCTTGATGTTGAATTCCCCTTACCTATGCCAAGTTTCTGACTGTAGCATCCCTGACACCAAGAGTGACTAATCCCTCTGTTTTCCAGCTTTCTGAGACCAAGATCTTCACTGCCTCTAATGTGTCTTCAGTGCCTCTGCCTGCGGAGAATGTGACAATCACTGCTGGTCAGAGGCAAGTGTGCAGTAAAATTTAGTACCATTTCTTAAACACATCTGCTGAGATTACTGTAAAGAGAAGTGGCACTGGCCTTTGTAAACTCCCATGGTGTCAATAATAATAACCAAATTACATTACATCATTACATTCCTCTTAAGTTGATGGAGAGACTTCTTTTTTTTTTTGTTTTTGAGACAGAGTCTCACTGTATCGGCCAGGCTGGAGTGCAGTGGCACGATTTCGGCTCACTGCAACCTCTGCCTCCTGGGCTCAAGCAATTCTCCTGCCTCAGTCTCCCGAGTAGCTGGGATTACAGGCGTGTGCCACCACGCCTGGCTAATTTTTGTATTTTTAGTAGAGACGGTGTTTCACCATGTTGGCCAGGCTGGTCTCGAACTCCTGACCTCGGGTAATCCGCCCACCTCTGCCTCCCGAAGTGCTGGGATTACAGGCATGAACCACCGCGCCAGTTGATGGAGAGACTTCTAAGAGTTAGTACTAGTTAATCTGCTGAATGGAAGTTGATATGTTACAATTTTAAAGTTGATTCTCCCTGCAAATAGCACTTTAATTACAAAGATCAGCCTTTCATATCACCAGCATTGAGTATATAACTTGTTTTGAAGTAAGTCAGGGAAAGAAGAGCCAAAAGTGGAAATGTTTTCATTTATTTCTGAATCTTTTAGAACTGTTCAGCAGTTTATTCTCCTGTTCTCTGAGCCCACTGAGTATAACAGTTGTTTTTTTCCTTTGGATCAGCAGGATCCAGCTAATAAACGTTTTAGAATTTAAATCTCTAGGGATCAGTGGTAGGAGATACACTCTTCAGGGAATATTTTTAATTCGCTGGAAACCTCTTGGATTTTTTCTAGACCTGAGCCTGATAGCTCAAAAATTCAGTTCTGACGTTAACTACCCAGAGTTAATGCAGACCCCACAAGTTGAAAGCTCAGTTCTACAAGAGTGCCCCAACTTCAGAGGTTCTGCCAGCCAGCTACAAATTTGGAGGTTCCCATGACCGCCTTTCAAGTTTGATAACTCACTAGAATGACTGAACTCAGGAGTTTTACTTGCCGTTACTGTTTTTTTGTTTTTGTTTTTGAGACGAGACGGAGTCTTGTTCTGTCACCCAGGCTGGAGTGCAGTGGCGTGATCTTGGCTCACTGCAACCTTCTCCTGGGTTCAAGCCATTCTTCTGCCTCAGCCTCCCTAGTATCTGGGATTACAGGCATGCACCACTATACCCAGCTAATTTTTTATTTTTAGTAGAGGCAGCGTTTCACCATGTTGGCCAGCCTGACCTCAGGTGATCCACCCACCTCAGCCTCCCAAAGTGCTGGGATTACAGGTGTGAGCCACCACACCTGGCCCATTACTGGTTTATTATAAAGGTACAACTCAGCAACAGCTAAACGGAAGAAATGAGTAGGGCAAGGTATGAATGGGTATGTGGGTGGGGCACACACAACCTCCTTGTCCTCTGCAGGTATCCTGAAGCTCTCCAAATCTTATTGTTATGAGTTTTATTACCTAGGCATGATTGATTAAATCATTGGCCATTGGTGATTGGACTTAATAGCCACCTCGCCTACACCCCTGGAATTTGGTGGGATTGGGAGGGGCTTCTGAAAGTTCCAACACTCTTACCTGGTCTCTTTTTTTGAGACAGAGTCTCACTCTGTTGCCCAGGCTGGAGGGCAGTGGCACAATCTTGGCTCACTGCAACCTCCGCCTCCCAGGTTCAAGCGATTCTCCTGCCTCAGCCTCCCGAGTAGCTGGTATAGTAGGCACCCGCCACCACGCCAGGCTAAGTTTTGTATTTTTAGTAGGGTTTTACCATGTTGGCCAGGCTGGTCTCAAACTCCTGACTTCAAGTATCCGCCTGCTTTGGCCTCCCAAAGTGCCGAGTTACAGGTGTGAGCCACTGCATCCAGCCTTATCTGGTCTTTCTAGTGACCAACCCTCATCCTGAAACTATCTGGGGCCCCACCCTGGGCTACCTCATTAGCATTCAGGTATGGTTGAAAGAAGTGTGTTATGAGTAACAAAGGACACTATCACTTAGGAAATTCTAAATGTTTTAGGAGCTCCATGCCAGGAACAAGGCAAAGCTCAAGTATATATTATACCACAGGTAACTTTTGAAATTTTACGAAAATTGTGGGAAAAAATATCTCTCAGACTGCCCCTGTTCTAAAGCCATTTGAAGATTCCAGTGTTCTGGTATATGATTTTCTGTTTTAGGAATTGGTAATGACAGGTATTCAGTATTAAAATCATGGATAAGTACTTGTAAGTTTTGGCTGAGTTATTGAGCTGCCATGTTAAAACTAGCATTTGAGGCCGGGTGCGGTGCGGTGGCTAACGCCTGTAATCCCAGCACTTTGGGAGGCCAAGGCGGGCGGATCATGAGGTCAGGAGATTGAGACCATCCTGGCTAACACGTGAAACCCCTTCTCTATTAAAAATACAAAAAAAAAAAATTAGCCGGGCGTGGTGGCAGGCACCTGTAGTCCCAGCTACAGGCTGAGGCAGGAGAATGGCGTGAACCCAGGAGGCAGAGCTAGCAGTGAGCCAAGATTGCACCACTGCACTCCAGCCTGGGTGACAGAGCGAGACTTTCTCGAAACAAACAAACAAACAAAAACTAGCATTTGATATTTCATTAAATTAATAACTTCACTTAAAAAATTAACCATTATTATTGGCAACATCAGTGGAATTCAGCTATATACTGTAGTGACTCTTATGCATCAGTTATTTTGGGACATTTAAGCATTTCAAGGCTTTTGTGTTTGAACCCTTTTAGAAGAAGCCCCAGCAAGTGGCTTCATTTTGATCTAATCTGATTTGAGTGTTGGGGAATGTTAGCGTGTTCAGTCATTCTTCATGAAGATCCCTTCCCTTCCCCATTAGAATTGACCTTGCTGTTCTGCTGGGGAAGACACCATCTACAATGGAGAATGATTCATCTAATCTGGATCCGTCTCAGGCTCCTTCTCTGGCCCAGCCTCTGGTGTTCAGTAATTCGAAGCAGACTGCCATATCACAGCCTGCTTCAGGGAACACATTTTCTCATCACAGTATGGTGAGTAGGAAACGTGGTTTATCCTAATCAAACCTTCCTGCTAATCCTAGCACACATACACAGTTCCTTCCAAAGACAGTCAGGTTTTTGGCAGGTGAAGCATCCTCTTTGTCTTCTTAAGCAGACTTGGTTGTAGAAATGTTTGAGTTGGGTAATAGGGGGTAGCTCTAAGAGAGGACTTAGTTCTGGACAGACTGAATATTCTTATAAGAATAAGTTAACATTATTTATTGACTACTCATTGTGCTGAATGAACACCATTTGCCATTACTCTTGAGAGAAAATCAATGACATAAACTTGTCAATACATTTTAATCCTTTTGCAGCCCTCATTAAACTATGATGGGAGATTGTAGCAGTTCCCCATTTCTTGATGGATCAGAATTGTCTTGTATATTTACTTAAACCAGGTATTTGTAGACAAGGCCTCCAGAAACCTATGGTCTTCCCATTTCTGCCACTTACTAGCTGTGTCTCCATTTCTATGTAAATAGGGATAAAAGTGCTAGTCCTTCCCATCTTCCCAAAGGTGGCTATACAAGTGTGGTTTCAGTAGTGATATTATAAATAACTTAGAACTTATGACATATTACTTGTTGACTCAGAGCATTTAAAACATCCAAGGTCATTAACGACATCAAAGGAATCATTTAAACTAAACAAAGATGCTACAAGTACCAGTTTTCTCATAGTCATTGAGTCCTGAGAAGTACTGCTTTTTCTTTTTTTCTCTTTTTCTCTCCTATTTTTTGATGGAGGGATACTAAAGTTGTAAGCAGACCATGTGTGTGCATATAATTTTATTTTTCCAGTTAGAGTAATTAGTTTAACTAGAAAACTGCCAAGCTAGCTACTAATTCAGAACTCGGTCAGTTTTTAATTGTTGTCTTAAAATGTTTTTTGTGTGTGTTAAGTTAGTAATTTGGTGGTCGATGTCCTGCCACATAGGAAAGGTAACAGGTGAGAAGAGGTGGGAGGAGAAGGGAAATGGAGAGAAGTGTTGGGATTAAATAGAAAAAGAAGAAAGAAAATAGGACAAAGGTTGTAAGAAGGTGTAATGAAGATCAAGAAGTAACTACCAACCCTTAAAGATAAATGACTGGAAAATGTGATTATGTGATCTATGTCTCTTAATTGCCCTCTTAATGTCTGGAATTGTGAAAATTTACAACGAAATCAGACTTTTGATATCAAAAAGATGTTTTCAGCTGGGGACAGTGACACGTTCCTGTAGTCTCAGCTACTCTGGAGGCTGAAGTGGGAGGATTGCTTGAGACTAGGAGTTCAAGACTATAGTGAGCTTTGAGCTCACCACTGTACTCCAGCCTGGGTGACAGAATGAAACCCTTTCTCTAAAAAAAAATTTTTTTTAAATAAAAATGTGAAAACTAAGTATAAATACTATTCTGTTTTTTTGTTGCCTGTACTAATCAATATGTTAGATAATGTAATTTCCTTTCTATTGAGAATAAATGTTAGAGGATTAATTTCACTTAAAATTTAATAGAGCTAAATAACATGGGAGTTTCTTTATATTTTTATGTATAATACAGTGAACACTAGGTAATTTTAATTGTTTTTATTTTTTATTTATTTTTTATTTTTTTTTGAGACAGAGTTTCACTCTTGTTGCCTAGGCTGGAGTGCAATGGCGCGATCTTGGCTCACCGCAACCTCCACCTCCTGGGTTCAAGCAATTCTCCTGCCTCAGCCTCCTGAGTAGCTGGGGTTACAGGCGCCCGCCACCACGCTTGGCTAATTTTGTATTTTTAGCAGAGACAGGGTTTCACCATGTTGGTCAGGCTGGTTTAGGACTCCTGACCTAAGGTGAGCTGCCCGCCTCAGCCTCCCAAAGTGCTGGGATTACAGGCGTGAGCCACCGCATTCGGCCCAGTGATTACCCTATAGAACTTGTATGTACATGGAGAAAACAATCAAATCATACTGACTTGCTACTTGATTGTCTAGTGCAGAAGTTGGGATGCCCTTTAACTTTTCCTTTTTGCCTCTGTGCTAGTTATTAGCAGCATCGAGATGAGGCTCCAGTTAATTGTTGTTTCTTTTGAGTTTTTTTAATGAGAAGGGCAAGGACCTTAATGGCAAAAGTAAAATCTTATATTACATTTATGTTAATTGTATTGGTTGATTTAAAAATTCTCGGCTGGGTGTGATGGCTCACGCCTCTAATCCCAGCACTTTGGGAGGCCGAGGCGGGTGGATCACGAGGTCAGGAGATCGAGACCATCCTGGCTAACACAGTGAAACGCTGTCTCTACTAAAAATACAAAAAATTAGCCGGGTGTGGTGGCGGGTGCCTGTAGTCCCAGCTACTCGGGAGGCTGAGGCAGGAGAATGGTGTGAACCTGGGAGGCGGAGCTTGCAGTGAGCCGAGATAGCACCACTGCACTCCAGCCTGGGTGACAGAGCGAGACTCTGTCTCAAAAACAAAAACAAAAACAAAAATTCTCCAGTCAGCCAAATTTTATCCCTGAGAAGCAGGGAGAAGGAAGTAATGATGATATGAAGTTTTAATGGCTCTGTTTTTTTAGTGATTACTATGTGCCATACATGTATTAAGTGCTTTAATTTATTTAATCCTCCTACAGCTTTACTTTTATTCCTATTTCCAGATGAGGAAAGAGAGATTAAAAAATAGTTTTTCCAAGCTTACATAGCCAGGATTTCAATCTAAGACAGTCTGACTCTAGGTCCTATACTCTAGTGGACTATGCTGTATACTCAGTGTGACAGTATTCTTTACTTGCCTGATCTATACTGGCTCTCGGTCTGGATAAGTGTCTTTATGAGTAGCTGAACAAGGTTACTGGCTGTAGGTTTCTCTCATCTCTTTGTTGATCTACAGGTGAGCATGTTAGGGAAAGGATTTGGTGATGTCGGTGAAGCTAAAGGCGGCAGTACTACAGGCTCCCAGTTCTTGGAGCAATTCAAGACTGCCCAAGCCCTGGCTCAGTTGGCAGCTCAGCATTCTCAGTCTGGAAGCACCACCACCTCCTCTTGGGACATGGGCTCGACGACACAATCCCCATCACTGGTGCAGTATGGTGAGAAGATGGAAAGTGACTTGAATCTTTAAAGCATTGGAGCATTACTGTCAAGAGGCTAGCAGGGGGAGGGGGTGGAGAATGTGTCCTGAAGTGAAGAAAAGGGGCAGCTAGTTGGTTACCTTCCCACATGTATTTCCCCTAATCAAATAAGCTGAATTCAAGAAGTTGGGGAATAATAAAATTTGAGGCTATGTATTTCTCATCACATTTAGAGGCTGGGCATGGTAGCTTACACCTGTAATCCTAGCACTTTGGGAGGTTGAAGTGGGAGGACAGCCTGAGCCTTAGGAGTTCAAGAACAGCCTGAGCAACATATCAAGACTCCATTTCTAAAAAAATTGTTTTCAATTAGCTGAGTGCGGTGGTGTGCACCTGTGGTCCCAGCCCCTAGTGAGGGTGAGCTAGTGTGAAGCTAGCTTTCCGCAAAAAAAAAAAAAAAAAGAAAAATTTTTAACCATATACATAGTTGCAGTCTTCTGTTGATTGGGGTTTTAATTATTATTATTATTCTCCTTAGATTTATCTTCAGTGTTTGAAAATAACATATTGCCTCCAGGTTCTTAGGCTTAGCCATCTTAAGACCTTATACAGTAAGTCTTCACTTAATGTCATTGATAGGTTCTTGCGACTTTATGCGAAACATAAGACAAGGTCTAGTTCTGTCATCCAGACCGGAGTACAGTGGCACTATCTTGGCTCACTCATCTTCCTGGGCTCAAGCAGTCCTCCCACCTGAGCCTCCTGAGTAGCTGGGACCACAGGCTTGTACCACCATGCCTGGCTAATTTTTAATTTTTTGTAGAGATGGGTTTTCACCGTGTTGCCCAGGTGTGTCTCTTGGGCTCAGGCGATCTGCTGGTCTTGGCCTCCCAAAGTGATGGGATTGCAGGCGTGAGCCATTGCACCTGGCCATTTTTTTTTCCTCATCAACATTATAATGAAATCATGTTGAAGGAAACAACGTTATGCCAAGATATGCCATGCCTTGTTTTTGCTTAAAGCCAGTTTCCAAGCACCTATGGATGTTAAATGAGAACTTGCGGTACTTTAAACTTGGACAATTTGTGCATTCCTGTCTTACACAGACAGGGTAATGTTGATTTAGTTAGGCTTTATTTAAGGATGGTTGTAGGCCAGGTGCGGCAGCTCATGCCTGTAATCCTAGCACTTCGAGAAGCCGAGGCGGACGGATCACTTGAGGTCAGGAGTTCGAGACCAGCCTGGCCAACATGACAAAACCCCGTGTCTACTAAAAACACAAAAATTAGCCAGGCATGGTGGCGCGCGCCTGTAGTCCCAGCTACTCTGAGGCAAGAGAATTGCTTTAACCCAGGAGTCGGATGTTGAAGTGGGCTGAGATTGCACCATTGCATTCCAGCCTGGGTGACAGAGCAAGACTCCCATCTCAAAAAAAAAAAAAAAAAAAAGATGTAATCCAGTGATTGTCACCTATAGAAATGAGATTAAGCCCCAAAAGAGGGCCTGCTTATATGAGTTTCTGATTTTTACAGTCCTCATTCATGGTGCTAGTGCAGGACAATAGCATTTCCTTGAGATTCATTAGCATCTCTGGCTTCATATACTGGGTTTCCTCTTGCAGATTTGAAGAACCCAAGTGATTCAGCAGTGCACAGCCCCTTTACAAAGCGCCAGGCTTTTACCCCATCTTCAACCATGATGGAGGTGTTCCTTCAGGAGAAGTCACCTGCAGTGGCTACCTCCACAGCTGCACCTCCACCTCCGTCTTCTCCTCTGCCAAGCAAATCCACATCGGCTCCACAGATGTCGCCTGGATCTTCAGACAACCAGTCCTCTAGCCCTCAGCCGGCTCAGCAGAAACTGAAACAGCAGAAGAAAAAAGCCTCCTTGACTTCTAAGGTACTTAAACTTTTAGGTAGATACCATTTTATGGCAAGGGGTGTGGGGCTTGAGAATTGAGATTAAAAGGGTAAGTTTGGAAATTTAAAGGGAAGGGTTTTTTTTAGTCTTTAGTAAGGTTGTATTAAAGCCATTACTTTCTCTTCTCCTTCAACTTTATAGATTCCTGCTCTGGCTGTGGAGATGCCTGGCTCAGCAGATATCTCAGGGCTAAACCTGCAGTTTGGGGCATTGCAGTTTGGGTCAGAGCCTGTCCTTTCTGATTATGAGTCCACCCCCACCACGAGCGCCTCTTCAAGCCAGGCTCCAAGTAGCCTGTATACCAGCACGGCCAGGTAGAGGAAACATTAACCATAAGACCTCTCTTATTAACCTTTACTACTTTTTTAATCTGTGGGAGATTTCTAGAACTCTGGAGAGGCCAAGCCCCTCTGCATGGCTGAGGGGGAAAGTAGTCAGTCATAGCATTTTTAGTGCTTTAAAATATTGTTATTAGGGTTATCTGTAACTAAACAGGTAGAAATATGCCCCTTAGGGGCTGGGTGTGATGGCTGACACTTATAATCCCAGCACTTTGGGTGGCCAAGGCAGGAGGATTGCTTGAGGCCAGGAGTTCAAGACCAGCCTGGGCAACATAATGAGTCCCTGTCTCTACAAAAAAAATTTTTTTTTAAACACAGAGTTTCACTCTGTTGCTTAGGCTGGAATGCAGTGGTGCGATCTCGGCTTACTGCAACCTCTGCCACCCGGGTTCAAGCGATTCTCCTGCCTCAGCCTCCCGAGTAGCTGGGATTACAGGTGCCCACCACCATAACCAGCAAATTTTTGTATTTTTTAGTAGAGATGGTGTTTTACCATGTTGGCCAGGCTGGTCTAGAACTCATGACCTCAAGCGATCTACCCACCTCGGCCTCCCAAAGTGCTGGGATTACAGGGGTGAGCAACCGTGCCCAGCCCAGATTTTTTTTTTTTTTTTTTTTTTAGATGGAGTTTTGCTCTGTTGCCAGGCTGGAGTGCAGTGGTGTGATCTCGGCTCACTGTAACCTCTGCCTCCCAGGTTCTAGCAATTCTCCTGCCTCAGCTTCCTGAGTAGCTGAGATTACTGGAATGTGCCACCACATCCGGCTAATTTTTGTATTTTTAGTAGAGACAGGGTTTCACCATGTTGGCCAGGCTGGTCTTGAACTCCTGACCTCGGGTGATCTGCCCTCCTCGGCCTCCCAAAGGACTGGGATTACAGTCATGAGGCACCACGCCTGGCTCAGAGTTTTGCTCTTGTTGCCCAGGCTGAAGTGCAATGGTGCAATCTCCGCTCACTGCAACCTCTGCCTCCCAGGTTTAAGCAATTCTCCTGCCTCAGCCTCCCTAGTAGCTGGAATTACAGGCATGCACCACCATGCCCAGCTAATTTTGTATTTTTAGTAGACATGGGGTTTCACCATGTTGTTCAGGCCAGTCTTGAACTCCTGAATGGAGATGATCTGCCCACCTTGGCCTCCAAAAGTGCTGGGATTACAGGCGTGAGCCACCACACCCGGCCCAAATCTTATATGGTTCTTGAGGGAGCCTAGAATTCAGAATTCTCTAAAATGAGTGTGAACAAAAGATGGCTTTTCCTGTGCTTAGGGTCCATGTTATAATGTATAGAAGGGGCCAAGAGTAATGTATCCTGTATACCGACATTTAGCCACTTTTTTATTTTGAGACAGAGTCTTGCTCTTGTCACACAGGCTGGAGTGCAATGGCACGATCTCAGCTCACTGCAACCTCTGCCTCCCAGGTTCAAGTGATTCTCCTGCCTCAGCCTCCTGAGTAGCTGGGATTACAGGCGCCCACCACCATGCCTGGCTATTTTTTGTATTTTTAGTAGAGACAAGGTTTCGCCATGTTGGCCAGGCTGGTCTCGATCTCCTGACCTTGTAATCTGCCCACCTTGGCTTCCCAAAGTGCTGGGATTACAGGCATGAGCCACGGCTTCCGGGTCCACTTTTTCTTATAACAGCAAAATGTAGGGGGGAGCCAAGGGACTTTTCTCTTCCTTGAAGACTTGAAGATGTTTTTAAGATTTTTTTTTTTTTTTTTTTGAGATGGAGTCTCGCTCTGTCACCCAGGCTGGAGTGCAGTGGCTTGATCTCGGCTCACTGCAAGCTGCGCCTCCCGGGTTCATGCCAGTCTCCTGCCTACTCCCAAGTAGCTGGGACTACAGGTGCCCGCCACCATGCCCGGCTAATTTTTTTGTATTTTTAGTAGAGACCATGTTAGCCAGGATGGTCTTGATCTCCTGACCTCGTGATCCGCCCGCCTCGACCTTCCAAAGTGCTGGGATTACAGGCGTGAGCCACTGCGCCCGGCCTAGATGTTTTTTTAAGATTAATTCTTAATTCAGATCTCTGGCGCTATAGAAGGTAGGGATTCCTAGTGTTATCAGGAGGAAATTTTGGTAGATTCTTCTATTTGTTGCTGAAAAATTTCTTCTTGATTCAAATCAAGTTATTCCACTAGTAGATCTCCACGATTTCCTTAGTATGAGTAGATATGCTCTATTTTGTTTCTCTGAGATTTTTCTCTTCGTTACTCACAGTGAATCATCCTCTACAATTTCATCTAACCAGAGTCAGGAGTCTGGTTATCAGAGCGGCCCAATTCAGTCGACAACCTATACCTCCCAAAATAATGCTCAGGGCCCTCTTTATGAACAGAGATCCACACAGACTCGGCGGTACCCCAGCTCCATCTCTTCATCACCCCAAAAGGACCTGACTCAGGCAAAGGTAGTGGCTTCATGAACCCTTGGGAATTGGTTAGGAGAATAGTGGGCAAAAATTCCTTAAATATTAGTGTTTTACTTTTCAGCAAGTGGTGCTAAGAAACTTTGGAAGTAGTGATTGAGAATTTGAAAAAGGCACACATCTGTGGCTAGTGAATTAAAAGTTCTTATCAGCAAACCCGGAGACTGAAGAGCCAGGAAACCATTCTCTTTGTACTAAAAATTCATTGCCTCTAGTAGAATCAGTCTCAAGTGCCTGTCCTGTCTTCTGGGAAGATGTGATTGCCAGATTTCTGGGTGCGTGTCAGTAGACCTCACCTTGCTAAGTCCTGGCATGGTGAGGGAGACAGCATGTGCCAGAGGTGATGTGGAGTGAGTGTCAGATGCAGCCAGCGGAATAGGTGGTGTGGCTGAACTGTTGTACTTACCCTTCCCCAAAAATCACTGGATGTGGACTTTGGGCCTTTCCTCTATCTGTTTTAGGTTTGGGGTGTCTTCAACAATTTGTAGGGTTTCCTTCTTTTGCTTTTGGTCACACAGTGTTGGTATATCTCAGTTTTGTTGTTTAATTTTTGTTCCTATTTTGGTTTTTTGGATAGTCTACATTGTATTAATATTAATCCTTTTGGTTAATTTACAGAGTTTCTCCTAAAGATTTGTTGACCAAAATAAAGCTGCATCAGTGCTAACTTTCCTCATTCACATGAGTTTGTCTGTTTCTTGCTCTTCTGTTTTTTTTTTTTTTACCAGAATGGCTTCAGTTCTGTGCAGGCCACGCAGTTACAGACCACACAATCTGTTGAAGGTGAGTGTTCTTCAGGCTTTTCCCCTCCTAAGTTTCTGGTTTTCTATCTTAAAATGGTGATAATCCATTAGTTCCCTTCACTGGACAATTGAGACCCATGCTGTGTAATTCTCAGCATTAAAGAAAAAAGATTCTACCTAATATAGTCCATTGTTAAATAACTCATCCTTTTGTCTTTGGAACTGCCTTGGACTGTGGTCACCTCTCTATAGACATTCCCTTTTTTCTGATGAGAGGAATTCCTTTCTTCTAAATTTCTAGGTGCTACAGGCTCTGCAGTGAAATCTGATTCACCTTCCACTTCTAGCATCCCCCCTCTCAATGAAACGGTATCTGCAGCTTCCTTACTGACGACAACCAATCAGCATTCATCCTCCTTGGGTGGCTTGAGCCACAGTGAGGAGATTCCAAATACTACCACCACACAACACAGCAGGTGATTTGGGGTGAGGATGGAGGTTGGGGTTGGTGAATAGCAATAACAGAGCTCTCTGGTCCTTATTACTCCCTTGACCTGGCAGAGACCACATTAGCCCTGCTTTTGTCGTAAGTGGGTGACCTAAGAACTGTGGGAAGTGAAGACAGAGGAGGCTTGTTTTAATTTTCCCCTTTCAACATCCACTTTTGCTTTAACTGCTCTCTACCCCTGGCTGGCCATTGTGCTTAACATATGATCTCAGACCTCCTTGGTGTCCCATATTATGTCTTATTTCCTTGTTATGTTCTTGACTGAAGCTCCAGGTCACGTAACTATAGCACTATGGCTGATGGCAGCCTCTTTTTTTCTGACAGCACGTTATCTACGCAGCAGAATACCCTTTCATCATCAACATCTTCTGGGCGCACTTCGACATCCACTCTTTTGGTAAGTGTGATGCTGAGAGGGATGTGTGGTTTTCTTACACTTAGAACTGTCCAACTGTAAGATTGTCCCAAGAGAGAATTATTGAAAATTTCTTCATGAGGTGGCAAAATAATTGATTTGAGGTTGCAGGAAAAGGAGTAAAGGGATGTTAGGAAGCCAAGAGAGGCAGAAGAATCCCTAAACATTGAGCTCTGGGTCATTCCTAAAAGCCCTGAAAGTGACTTTCTGATTTTTTTCCCCTACTGAATATATAGTTGGGCTTTGTATGCTTTAATAAATTCTGGAAGAACATACCTTTCCAACTGGTAGAGCTGTTCTCTTTCCTTGGTCTTGGGTATGCCCAAGTTCTGAAAAGAATCAGTGCAAGGCTGGACATTTTTGTGAAAGTAGATGCCAGGTGAGAGCTTTTGGTCCAAGAGTCAATTTTATTGTTTTGATTTGTAACAACTATTAATAGAATTAAGCTGAGCCTGTAAAGGGAAGGACCCATTTTGGACAAAAGTATCAGATTTGCCGGAAGCCTGGGGAGGTATGAGGGCTAAGGCTCCTTTAGGAGTCTCTATTCAAATACACAGTTTCAGATTTAAAGTCAGAATTGTGGACAGGTGCAGTGGCTCACCTCTGTAATCCCAACACTTTGGGAGGCCAAGGCAGGAGGATTGCTTGAGCCCAGGAGTTTGAGACCAACCTGAGCAATATAGTGAGACCTCATCTCCATAAAAATTTTTTGAAGATTGGCCAAGCATGGTGGTACATTCGTAGAGTCCTAGCTACTCGGGAGGCTGAAGTGGAAGGACTGTTTGAGCCCAGGAGGCCAGGGTTGCAGTGAGCCAAGATTGCACCACTGCACCCCAGCCTGGGCAACAGGATGGGACCCTGTCTCAAAAAAAATGTAAAATCAGAATTTTTGCTTTTTCCTAGTCCACAAACTGGTCTCAACTAGTAAAGAAAAGTTGGGGAGAGAAAGCTGTGATATATTTTTTACATCTCAACTCTCTCTGTTCCTTTATCAGCCAGTGTTAGTCTCTGGGGAATCTGTCTCCATTTGCTTTACTGTCTTTCTGAACAGGATGATGATGTGCAGTGAGTCTGTTACCATTCTTGCCAGATGAGTCTTGAGGAATATGTAGCTGGAGATTATTTCTAACTACTTTAGCAGGGTGTACTTTGGTACCTTGCCTACTTGGCCTCTTTAATTAGGAAGTTGACATCATAATATATTCAGCAGGAGGGATTGTCTTATTTTTCCTGACCTATGATGCTGATCTCTTTTCTTCTTCTCTCTTCCACTGCTCCCCCTTTTGAAGCACACAAGTGTGGAGAGTGAGGCGAATCTCCATTCTTCCTCCAGCACTTTTTCCACCACATCCAGCACAGTCTCTGCACCTCCCCCAGTGGTCAGTGTCTCCTCCAGTCTCAATAGTGGCAGTAGCCTGGGCCTCAGCCTAGGCAGCAACTCCACTGTCACAGCCTCGACTCGAAGCTCAGTTGCTACGACTTCAGGTAGCCTTGCATAAGCAGATGGCATTCCTCTGGGATGGAGGAGGTAAGTAATTGTGTGATGGGATAAAAATGTAATTTCTCTTTTAGGAAAAGCTCCTCCCAACCTCCCTCCTGGGGTCCCGCCGTTGTTGCCTAATCCGTATATTATGGCTCCAGGGCTGTTACATGCCTACCCGGTAAGTGGGACTAAAGGATCTTCTTCAAAAGGTGAGGATGTTGTGGCTACTCTTTTTATAGCTCTGGCTTCAGATGGACCCCTGTGAATACCAAAACTTGCACATACTCAAGCCCTGCAGTTGGCTCTGTGGAATCCATGTATATGAGTTTTGCATTCTGTAAATGTGGCCGTATTTTTGATCTGTGTGTCTGGTTGGAAAAAATTCATATATAAACAGCGTGCAGTTCAAACCTGTGTTAAGGGTCAACTGTAATTAAAATATAAAATAAATGAGGGATTGCCACATGTAATCAAACTGGTTTTTAATCTTTGCAGTTTTGGAAAAAATACTAAACTGAGGCCAACCCATCTATTGTGTATCTGCTTTGGTTTATGGTGCACACATGTATGCATGTGTGTGTGTGCGTACAATGTGTATGTATATGTGTGATGAGAATATCTGCCCTGTTTGAAACACAGCTTCTGGGCCTCAGAAGCCAAAGGCCAGAATGTTCATCTGGAATCCTTTTTGGTTTCTTAGATAATTATGACTATTATTTTATTTTTTGAGGCAGATCTTGCTCTTTTACCCAGGTTGGAGTACAGTGGAACGATCATAGCTAGCTCACTGCAGCCTTGAACTCCTGGGCTCAAGCAATCCTCTCACCTCAGACTCCCCAAGTAGCTAGGACTACAGGTGTGCATCCCCATGCCTGGCTAAGTTTTAAAAATTTTTTTAGAGACAGGGTCTTCCTATGTTGCCTAGGCTGGTCTCAAAATCCCAGGTTCAGACAGTCCTCCTGCCTCAGCCTCTCAAATAACTGGGGTTATATATAGGCCTGAGCCACTACTCCTGGCCCCAAGAATTATTTTCTCTGATTTGATTAAATCCCTAACTCTGAGTGTGTTTGCTGGTCTGGCCTGGTTAGAGGAAAGTTTCCTGACTCAATCTGGGACTTTGAGAATAAGTGGCTGACATTAGTAGCTTTTTGCCCTAGTGTATCTTCTGTGACCTTCAAGTATTTGGTACCTATTAAGATGAAGGATATATGGAAACGTTTTAGAAGATACCTGTTCCTGCCCTCATAGACAAAGTCTAGATAAATTTCATACCGATGACACATCCAAATAACACAGTTACACATTTTTAATTTGTGGTCACTACCTTAAAACCCTGACATTGGAGAAAAGTGAAGTATTCTTTCCAGAGGAGATTATTTTTAAGCCAGATTTTGAAGAGTATAAGAGACAGAGACTTGTAGAATAGAGAGTAAAACTGGTTGTTCGTGTATGTTTTGTGTCTACTCTATTGGTATCAAGAAGCCAGCCTACTAGAATCAGTAGTATTTAGCTCAAGGAAAGCTTCAAGACCTTTCATGAATCATTTAATCTCTGTGTACTTTACTGCTTTTTCCTTAAATAAAATTGAAGGAAATAATCCGTGTCCTGTTCTAACCCAGAATGAGGATGAATGTTCTGTTGAATTAGCTTGTCTCTTGGCTCCTTGTTTTGCTAACATCATGACCAGTTCCTGTTATTGCTATATGTCTGTATCTTTCAGCCACAAGTATATGGTTATGATGACTTGCAGATGCTTCAGACAAGATTTCCATTGGTGAGTATGTGGGATAGAGCTTTGGAAAAGAAAGTAGTCTTAAAATTAGTGTTGGGAGAATTATCTCCGTCACAGACATAGCTCTTTCCCATCCCAGCCCTCCATACACTCTGATTTAAGGCATATTAGAATATAGGGATTTGGGGGAGGGTTTCCAACAGAAGATAACTTTTTTTTTTGAGACAGAGTCTTTCTCTGTCGCTCAAGCTGGAGTGCAGTGGTGTGATCTTGGCTCATTGCAACCTCCGCCGCCTGGGTTAAAGCAATTGTCTGCCTCAGCCTTCCGAGTAGCTGGGATTAAAGGTGCCCACCACCACCCCCAGCTAATTTTTTTTGTATTTTTAGTAGAGGCGGGGTTTCACCATCTTGGCCAAGCTGGTCTTGAACTCCTGACCTTATGATCCACCCGCCTCTGCCTCCCTAAGTGCTGAGCTTATAGGCATGAGCCGCCGCACCCAGCCTTTTTTTTTTCTTTTTTTAAATCAGAGTTGTGGCATCTTAGTAAATACATTTTAACCTATTCTATAGCCCAGTAAAGTACTCTGGAGCACTCAGGGTGCTTTCTGTTTGTCCCAGACACTTTAAATTATCGAATGATCTGTTTTCTCAGTAGAATAAGCTTGGTATAAACTGATAGGGATGACACCTAGAGGGTTGAAAATATTGGTCCTCGTGGACTTTGATGTATTCTCAAGTGGGCATACCCGTAGACCTTGTCTGACTGTGCTCATGGCCAGGCAGGGGGGACAGTGTATGCAAGAGTAATGTGGAGTTTGTGCTAACTCTAGCCAGCTTAATTAGTGACTGGATAAATTGCACAACTCTCACATTCTTCTGTTTTTTCCTCCGTGGAAATAGTACTCATGCTGGGGAATGAGTGACATTGAATCTCTGCTCTTTTTTCCCCTCTTTTCTAGGATTACTACAGCATCCCATTTCCCACACCCACTACTCCGCTGACTGGGAGGGATGGTAGCCTGGCCAGCAACCCTTATTCTGGTAGGATTGGGATGGGACTAAATAAATAAAAAGGGAGATAGTGTTGGGATTGATGGCAGACACCTGATTGGTAGCAAGAAGGGATGTGATAAATCAGGATTGGTAGATTCAAAATCCTGCTAAAGTTGGGCATGTCATGGCTTTTCCTATTCATCCCACTTTGTGTTGTCTCCCTGTGATTTCTAGATGATATCTTAGCCAGGCATGGTAGCACACACTTGTAGTCTCAGCTACTTGGGAGGCCAAGGTGGGAGAATTGCTTGAGCCCAGGAGTTCAAGACCAGCCTGGGCAACATAGCAAGACCCCATCTCCAAAAAAAGTGATATCTTGACTTAGTTTCAAGCCATTTGCTAGCTTTTTCCAGGAAATACAGTGGTTGAGGTGGTCTTCTCTGCTCATCTCTGCCCCTTTATGCTACTACTCACAGTGGCAATCTCACTGCCTTGCCACTCCTTCTTTTACCTGACCTATCATTGTCCTCATTGACTTACCGTTTTCCCTGATCCATCGTTGTCCTTCAAGTCCAGCATGGGGTATTCCCCATGGAGGAGAAGAGGGGAGGGAAGAAGAGGGAAGATGAAAGAGAACACAAGTGGGCAGAGAAATTGTGCAGGTGCCTTATTCCAAGAGCCTCCTGCCATAGCATTGCACAGTTATTCAACATTAGTCCTTGACTTGCAGCAACTGTGCTAAGTGTATGCTGAGCAACAATAATTGGAGCCACTAAGAAATGTAATTCAAGGAATTGAACTTTAATAGTCTTTGAACAGGATCTCCTGGAATCATGTGAAATCAGAAGAGGTAATTCTGTATTGGTATTGGGGTGAAAGAGGCAGGTACATTTAGCTTCTCCTGTCACAGGTGACCTCACAAAGTTCGGCCGTGGGGATGCCTCCTCCCCAGCCCCGGCCACAACCTTGGCCCAACCCCAACAGAACCAGACGCAGACTCACCATACCACGCAGCAGACATTCCTGAACCCGGCGCTGCCTCCTGGCTACAGTTACACCAGCCTGCCATACTATACAGGGGTCCCGGGCCTCCCCAGCACCTTCCAGTATGGGCCTGCTGTGTTCCCTGTGAGTACCTGGCTTTGGTCACTCCTTGTGGTGAAGGATCCTAGCCCTGGACACTATCCTAGCTGCTTTTAAGGGTCAATGACTTTAATAATGGATGAGGAGGAACAGTTTCCACCTCTGGCCTGTTTTTGGCCTGATGCAGGGTGGTGGGGGAATGGGGCTGGAATTGGTGGAATTAGGATAGGGATTGCCTAGTCTTAGAATTTGCCAAAGGGAGAATATGATACCATACAGCTTTGCTTCACTCAGATTCATTCATTCCCTGCTGCCATTGTCCCTTTTTCTTCCTCCAAACTACCATTTCTTGACTTCATTAGTAGATTCTAGAACAGTTAGTAAGGAGCTAATTTCACTAAGCAAACTGTAGTCAACTTGCATCAGGATAGGTAGCCATCTGAATGGCCAGTACCTGGAGCAGGACAAGTGGGACAGATGGTATTCTGCTGCCAAGTCACTGCAAATCTGGCCTTTTTGCTCTTTAGGTGGCTCCTACCTCTTCCAAGCAGCATGGTGTGAATGTCAGTGTGAATGCATCGGCCACCCCTTTCCAACAGCCGAGTGGATATGGGTCTCATGGATACAACACTGGTAAGCTGACCTTGTCTCTGGCTCGGTGTTATCTGTGGGGTGTTATTGGATAAATTTCAGGGAGGAAGACTTGGTGCTTGAGAAAATGGGATTGGTGAGGGTGTGCCGCTGCCCCAGGTATGATTGTTAATGCTTGGCTGACTTGGGTATCTGTGGGAGCAGCACCAACAGAGGAGCTTGATACTAGGACATGTGTCCACTATTTGTGACGGGAATGCCCAAGAGTATGTGTTGGTTTTTAGAATATGTTGGTTGGCCAAAAGTGTGGGTGGAAGTAGGGCAAGGAGCCCCAAGATTTTGCTGAAATGTCAGTGGAGGCAAGTGTTAATAGTATGTATGGCACTGATAGTACAAAAGGGGGGTGTATTCACTGAGTAGAAGGATTAAATGGGTTCATAGCTAGCAGCCTACGATAGGTTTGGCTTAAATCACTTTGTAGCACTACTTTTCTTATGTGTCCTTTTTTATTCCCTAGCTAGAAGACCTAAACTGTGGAGAAAAAGGAGTAGGCGTGACCATACTTAATAGAGTGGGAATTGGACTGGGAGAGTTGGGCCTTTAGGTTCCTTCATTTGTATGGCTGGTCTCTTTGCAAGTCTTTTTGCATATGTGATGGCAGGGAGGGAATTGTAGGAATCCTCTGGATGGGTACTTACCTAAAAGATACTCAGCCTCTCCCTTGCTTCCATACCTGACATCTGTGCTCTACTTTTGGAGGACAGGGAGTGAGAAGGAATCTTTGAATAATATAATTGTACCTTTTCAGCGACTTGTAGATGAATAGGGGAGGAGTAGGTTTCTCTGATTGCTTAGGGTTGGGGATGGGGGTTGTCCTTCAAAGCTGTCAGCTCAGTTACAGTTTCATGGTGATTTGGATAGAGCAGCATGTGTTTTTCACCCTTATGTGGGCTCTGGGTGGGTCAGTTGCCCACAGTTTTCAATAATTGGGAAGAGCACAGAAGGCAGTAAGGGCTAGGAACTGATAGCCAAGTGGAGCTTTGAACTGTGCTGCATGAGTTAGAGTGGGTCATGAGTTAAATTAAACAAATCCTGAGAAGCCCCATTGAGATTTAATACATAGACTCCTTGTGGCCACCCCTGTCATTGAGCAAGGTTCACCCTAAATCTTGGTGGGGAGGATTATAAGCCTTTTGACTTGGAGTGGTGGCCCCTTTCTGAGGACATTAGGTTGAAGTCTTAGTTGGACCAGGTTCACGAATTTTAAGAGGTAGGTGATGGATAATATAAGAGAATTGGCATACCTGATTCTAGAAATCCCACCTTCTTGCCTCCCTTCAGAATTCAGAAACGTATTATATCAGCCCTTGAGAACCCCCAGTTCCCAACCCCACAAAGGGCTTTTGTCATTCCATTCATTTATTTTTATGTATTTGATTCCTTTTAGGAAGAAAATATCCACCCCCTTACAAGCATTTCTGGACGGCTGAGAGCTAATTTGGCCCAAGGCTGGGGGCTGTGTTTTGTGTGTGTGTATAAATTTGCACTGAAGTCTTGTTTCAGAAACCAGACCACTGAGGAGAGCCTGCTGAGCTGAGGCCATGGCCTGCGTGGCTTGGGGAAATGAGTTGGTGGATACCTTCTGGGCTTTTGAACTTGCCCCTCCCCCATTTCCCTCTCCCCCATGTGTCTGACCCTGTCTTACCCATTTCAAGTTCAAGCGGTGCAGCACCTTCGAAGCATCAATGCACACACCTGCTGTTGCTTTTGATTTCTGGAAGGCATGTAGTTTCAACTTGTAACAAAAATATTTGTAGTCTTCAATAAACTGTGGTATTTCTTTAGCTAACTCTGGCGTTCTTTCCGTGCATGTCTTTGTGGACACTAGGAACCAATGCTGTGCTGTGGATGAAGGGTGGAGGGTGGCCTTTTTAATCAAACCCCAGCATAGCCAAAGAACTATTAATTTTTCAGTATGGTGGTTTTATGAAGGTGGGGGGAGGGGAAACAGCCTCAGTTTCCCACCTGTTGATTAGTTGGTAAAGGAAACTATTTGTAGAAATACCTGATTCTCCATGCTTATGTTGCTTCATTTTTCCATTTAGATCTTTCCTTTGCCTCTTACATAAGCAGTGGGGGAAAGGACAAAAAAGTTTGGAGTGTCATGTCATGGTGAAAGGCAAAAGAGAGAGTTTTCAGAGCTGTTAGAGAAGTATCTTTCAAGGCTTAATTCCCACATCTATCTGGTTCCTAAAGGCCAAGTGGCTAAGATCTGATAAAGTCATTAGTGATAAGCTAGTTGATGACTCAGGCTCTGTGGCGACTGTGCTATCCTGGAACATTGTTCTTAGTCCCTTGATGGCTTTTCAGAGATCGTGGATTACCAGTTTTGCATTTGTGGGTATAAGCTAAGGATGTGCAGGAGCGGTTTGGTCAGATATCTCCTTGACTATGGAAATTCTAATTCCCTCCCAGTCCAGCTAGCATACAACATTAGCCCTTTGTTTATAAAGTTAACGTGGACAGTGAGATCACCACCCTGGGTGAATTAGAAACCAAAGTATTCAGCTTTCCTTGTATTTGTTCCCAGCCCTTTGGAGTAATTTTGCTCTGTGGAGTGTGACCACCTTTCCCAGGGGCTGCCATGGTGGGAGAGATAGATTCATGTGTCTCTGCCCTGCTGCCCACGTGATTCTGGTATTGTCACTGTTTGGGGATAAGTAGGGGGTGTTGATGTTGGAAGGAAAGCAAGAGAACTCTGTAGTCTGAAGATCTTCCTAATAACTGGTGAGGGGTAGTGAAATCAGTACCCATTATTTTCTAGGTCTCTAATACTGTAATTGAGATTATTATGGCTACTACAGAGTATTATGGTTCCTGCATTCTCAGTCCCTTCAACCTCATATCAAAGATAAGGCCTCTGGACTAGAAGCTGTTTTTAGCCTAAACTCTGGAAAGAATGAGATCAGGTAGGGGCACACTGGAGCTGAATTCCTCCCTACCACTCGGCTTGAGAATCCAGTTAGTCATTTCTTCCATCCAATATAGGCAGCCTAGCCTCACTGCAGAAGGTGACCAACTATGCTATTTTTTATTTTTTTATTTTTTTTTTGCCTTTGCAGTAAAGATAAATTCTCTCTTTTGGTTTGACTTAAAAATGTTCTACTTATATCCTGTTTATTCCACCTTTACTCTCCACCCTTCCACATGAACTTACTAGCTTAAGCCTTTTCCATAACTGAACTTCCTATTCTTAAAAGTTATGCCTGTTACTCAGTGATTTGCCAGATGGGCACCTCGGGTTTGAAAAGGGAATGGAAAAAATACCCCATTAGCCCTTTAAGATACTCCTGTATCGTTCCCTTCTTTTACTTCAGTGTCTTTAGACAGTTGATGCTTCGGAGATGAGGAAGTATTTTCTCTTGCTTGGTTTTCTGTAGTTCCGTTATTTTTCCTAGTTAGTGTTTGCCCCTCCCAGGAACTATCTGGACTTAGGATGTTGGGAAGGTTTTCCAGATTAAGATACCACTTCAAAAGTGACTGTTCAAGGTGGGCTTAACTTTGGAAGGCTGCCTTTGTCTGAGGCATTGGGAGGATTTAGGTTCTAGAGTTTGAATTGTGGGTGAATGGAGGATTCCTTATTTGTGATTTGGCCACTCTAGTACACTGCTTCTAAAACTCTTTTCCATCAGTGTTCCTGATAGCAGAGGAGAAGGAAATGTGTACCTCTGATGGGAAGGATCCAAGGGCATAGACAGGCAAAGTTTTTCTGAAGCTTTGTTTTATTTTTATAAAAACTAATATATCTTTTTAAAATCATGCTTTATATTCCTAGTTAAATTACTTACTTTTCTTCACATCTTTGTTTCAAAATGGAAAGTATAAAAGATGTTAGGTTATTTATTTCATGGCTTTTCCTATCTTCTTGACCCGATGCCTTATACCCCAGGTGATGGAATATAGTATGAGTATTTATTTGTTTGAGGAGTACAAATTAGAATGACATGTTGTACTACTCTGGTTTCTTTAAAGTTGTAGTGGTTAGTAGGGAGTTTTTTTCAACAGGAAATATGAGAGTTGGGGTATGAGAGCTTTTATCTTACGGAGAAGCTGAAGTTGTATACTGAAAATGACGTGGTTTTTGTGTTCCACCTAGGCTATAGGAGATGGCCTACTCCTGTCTACCTATCCCTCCCCACCCCGCTACACTTAGGCTTAAATTGTGTACATGGAAATTGATCTTGATACTAGACCTTTACATCTTAAGTTTGAAGATTTAGCCTAGATGCTCCAAGACTAAAGAAGCTGGACTAATTGAGCTGAGGCTCTGAGAATGAGAGTGCCCTTGGGGATTAAAGTGGACTGCTCCTCTAGTACTTATGCAGTGGAGGCATGGATTTTGAGCCCAGAAATGTCACTTCAGGAAGAGAGAGGGCCAGACTGCCCCAGTCTCCAGGAATAAAACTGAGTGGCATTTGGGTGGATTGATTTGAAATGGACATTAAAATTAAAAGTTTATTATATTCCTGCTAGACTTTGGCACAGAAGTGTTTTGAAAACAGTGTATGCTAGTGAGGTTTGGTCATATCCCCTTGCCCACCAAAAAACAACTTACCTCACTCTCTCTCACGTATACTCAACACGTACCTGGGAAGGGCCAAAGAACCCTTAGGGAGCTTTTGTTTCATGAACTCTTACCTCTCAGGACTAACTTGAAGCTGGAAAACCGACCAAAATTCCCTTGCATTGGTATAGCTAGAAAGGCTACAGATATCACCTCATCTCAGGAATAAGGGCCAGGTAGCTAGCTGAGCTAATCCTCCTGTCTGTTTCCTCCTCCCCCAGGTGTTTCAGTCACCTCCAGTAACACGGGCGTGCCAGATATCTCGGGTTCTGTGTACTCCAAAACCCAGGTAGGTGCCTGGCTCTGGATAAAAGTGGAAAAGAGATAGACATAGAGGAGGTGGAGTTGCAATGGTAGAAATAACAGTGGACAAGAAGAACCCTAGGAGAGGTGGCAGGAAACCCATCCTACTTTTTCTAAATGAAAGGTCTTCTCTAGACTTCACTTCCTCTAAGAAGTTAAAATTTAGCCCTCTGAGAAAAAAAACGAGAAACGTAATAGGAAGGTAAAGCGTGGCAAATTGTTTATCGTGTCATGTAATTTACTGTGCAACTCTCCTGGCCCCTTTTCCTACCTACTCCCAACCTTTTTCATAACTTTTCAAGAGAATAAGTATGAGAGTGACAGGAAACTAGTTCATTCCATTCTTTGAGTAAATCTATAACAGTGGGAGTGGGAAAGGAGACGACCTAGTAACTAATGAAGCATTTGAGTGATCCACAGGTTTGTTATGTTGCTTTTATCCCCCATCACCATAAATACTTAAAGTTTGCTATAAAGCACTGGGGGTCTGGGGGGGCACTTCATGCACAAGACCTTCAGCACTTCAAATATCTCAGTATGTGTTTATTTCTTTTGAAATATCCAACGAGTTTTTTTTTTTTTTTTTTTTTTGAGATGGAGTCTTGCCTTGTCACCCAGGCTAGAGTGCAGTGGTGTGATCTCGGCTCACTGCAAACTCTGCCTCCTGGGTTTAAGCGGTTCTCCTGCCTCAGCCTCCTGAGTAGCTGGGATTACAGGTGCCCACCACCGCGCCTGCTAATTTTTGTATTTTTTAGTAGAGACGGGGTTTCACCATCTTGGCTAGGCTGGTCTCGAACTCCTGACATCATGATCTGCCCACCTTGGCCTCCCAAAGTGCTAGATTACAGGCGTGAGCCACTGCACCCAGCGGAGTTACTATTTTTGTAAGGAATATTGGAAGGGGTAGGGACACTATTGGTTTGCCTTTTTTTTTTTTTTTGGAGACAGTCTCAAGAAGTCACCCAGGCTGGAGTGCAGTGGTGGAATCTCAGCCTTCTGAGTAGCTGGGGCTATAGGTGTACACCACCAGGCCTGCCTAATTTTTGTATTTTTGTTTTTTGTTTGTTTTGTATTTTGTATTTTTGTTTTTTGGTAGATACAGGGTTTTGCCATGTTGCCCAGGCTCGTCTCGAACTCCTGGGCTCAAGCAATCCACCCGCCTTAGCCTCCCAAAAGTGCTGGGATTACAGATGTGAGCCATCATGCCCAGCCTGGAGTTCTAAGTTCGGATTTCATGATGTTCACATATGACATTCAGTTTTACAAAGTGCTTCCACATTCCATCCTCTTATTTGGTCTTTTTTTTTTTTTTTTTTTTTTTTTTGAGACGGAGTTTCATTCTTGTTGCCCAGGCTGGAGTGTAATGGTGCGATCTGGGCTCACCATAACCTCCGCCTCTCGGGTTCAAGCGATTCTCCTGCCTCAGCCTCCCAAGTAGCTGGGATTACAGGCATGTGCCACCATGCCCGGGTAATTTTGTGTTTTTAGTAGAGACGGGGTTTCTTCATGTTTGTCAGGCTGGTCTCAAACTCCTGACCTCAGGTGATCCGCCTGCATTGGCCTCCCAAAATGCTGGGATTACAGGCATGGGCCACTGCGCCCAGCCTTTTTTTTTCTTTTTTTTCTTGAGATGGAGTCTCCCTCTGTCTCCCAGGCTGGAGTGCAGTGGCACAGTCTTGACTCACTGCAACCTCCACCTCCCAGGTTCAAGTGATTCTCCTGCCTCAGACTCCCAAGTAGCTGGATTACAGGCGCCCGCCACCATGCCCGGCTAATTTTTGTATTTTTAGTAGAGACGGGGTTTCACCATATTGGCCAGACTGGTCTTAAACTCCTGACCTTGTGTGATCCACCCATCTTGGCCTCCCAAAGTGCTGGGATTACAGATGTGAGCCACCATGCCCAGCCTATTTGGTCTTTACAACAGGTTTGTAGCATCCCTGTTTTATATCTGAGGAAACTGAGGCTAAGAGATTGAGTAGTATGCCCAGGTTCACACAGTTCTTAAATAAGAGCAGAGCTGAGACTGAGACCTGAATATGTGACTTCAAGTGTACTGTGCCTTCTGTGACACCATGCTGCTTTCTGAGGGTCAGGGAGCTTGAGCTCAGGAAAAATCCCAAGACTAGTTTGCTGATCCCTTTTACTCTGTCTCCTCCTGGCCTCCTGGATAGCAGTCCTTTGAGAAACAAGGTTTTCATTCCGGTACTCCTGCTGCTTCCTTCAACTTGCCTTCAGCCCTAGGAAGTGGGGGCCCCATCAATCCGGCCACAGCTGCTGCCTACCCACCTGCCCCCTTTATGCACATTCTGACCCCCCATCAGCAGCCGCATTCTCAGATCCTTCACCATCACCTGCAGCAGGATGGCCAGGTAATAGCCCTTCCCCTTCTCTCCTTTCCCTTCCTCTTCCTTCCTATCCCTTAAAACTGCCTTCCCTTTCCTTTTCTTACCCTTCCTCACCACCACCTTCACCCAATCCCTCCCCAGCGCCAGTCATGGGCACACAGCACATACAGACACAAGCGCACATAACACGAGCGGCCGGCAAAGGAAATCTCAGAGAAGGGCCGGGTTGAAACCTTTTTTGCCCAATTCCTTTGGTGCCCTTCTCCTCCTGTGCCACAGTTGTCCTCATCCCATCAGACCTGGGTCACACCTTCCCTCTTTCCTCTCCCAGCCTTCCCTCTTCCCTGACATTTTAGCTTTCCCTTCTAATGGTGGAGTTCTATTGTCAAAGTTTGTCCCTTTATTTTCCATATATCCTGGTTCTGCCTCAGCTACCATATTTGCAGATGATTCTCTGTTGCCAGCGCCAGCAGGAGGAGCAGGTAATGAAATTGAATGATCATATGCTTGAACCCACTCCTTTTCAGTCCCCATTTCACCTTCACAGCCTCAGGGAACTTGAAAAGACTGCGCGGTCACAAATCGGGATACACAAACACAAACACCTTGCTGAGCTCTCTGGCCTCCCCTTCCTCTCTCCTCCTCCCCTCCCCAACACCCTCTTTATCTTTGTACCCTTCCCCAGCTGTGGAAAACATTCGGTTACCAGAATGGAAAAGATTCTTGGGGCAGCATCTGGAGCCTGAGGCCTCAGACTGCCTCTCATACCTGCCTGAAATGGGCTCACAGATGTGATGTGTGGTAGGGGTGGGGATCTGTGGGGCGATGCAAGTGGCCTCTTGAGAGCTCCATTATAGGTGGCTGGAGCTAGAATAAGGGCTTCCTTCCTCAAAGACAGCTTTCCAAATTGAGGCATTAATGGGGATCAATGGAAATGAAATTGCCTTGTGATCACCCATCTCCAAGAGCAGGGGAGAGAGGGGGTAGTGTGAGAATGTAGAATTGAAAATGAGTAGAACTCACTCACTACCTTGTCTCTAAAGGTATCTTGCCCTCTTCATCTTTTCCCTATTTAAAAGTCAAAAATGCCTTCCTGCTTGTAAGAAAGGGGCTTTAGCAGCTATGCAGACCAAATTTTCTATGGTTCTAATAGTAGTGAGGGGAATGGGAGAGCAAGACAGTTTGCACATCTCCACCTGAAGATGTTACAAATTTGTACCACTAACTAGACACCTTTTTCCTCCTCATGATCCTCCCATTCCCCTGCAGACGGGCAGCGGGCAACGTAGCCAGACCAGCTCCATCCCGCAGAAGCCCCAGACCAACAAGTCTGCCTACAACAGCTACAGCTGGGGGGCCAACTGAGGCCCTGACCCTCTTCTCCCGGTCCCATCTTCTGAGAGGGCTTCTCAGCCTGGAAACTATGGAAACAGCATCAAAGAGAAAGGAATGTGGGGGGTTTCCGCTGCCCCCCACCCCCAGCGGCCCACCCCATGCCTCAGCTTCATGTCTGTCCCATTCCTATACCATCCCCACCCTGTTGTATGTATTATAGGATTTGTATTTTCTCCTTTTTTTTCCCCCTTCCATTCCTTCTCCCCTCTTGCATTCAAGATTATGAAACTTTGCTATGGGCCCTGCACTTCCTTTGCTTCCTCCTGTTCACCCTGGTGGTGTACGGATGAGGCGGGGAGGTGGGACCCCCAAACATATATCAGCCCAACAGCCCTAAGTCTCCTTCTTTATTATTAGGAAAACAACAACAACAACAAACAAAAAAATGGCGTCATGAATATGAACAGCATTGTCAGATGAATTAGTTGAAGTGGTTTTTTTTTTGTTTTTTTTTTTTTTTTGTACTGTGTCCTCAAATTTAATGGATTAATGTGTCTTGTATATATAAAAAGAAAACCTCTACCTTCAGCCTCTGCCTATTCTTGCTCCGTCTAGGACATCCTCAATTTCGTCGATGACCAGCTTGGTGAATAAGTATTACTGTACCAACTGGGCCTCCTCTAGCAGGCCCCTGAAGGCAGTGGAATAAAATGAAATCTTCGCCCTTTAAGAACTCCTGACCTTAATGTGGTAGTAGTATCTTGTCCTTGAGGGGATTTCCTTCCCCTCACCCCTAAGACTTTCACAACCTGGTGACTGGAAAGAACCACCACAAATCTTCATTTCCTCCAGAAACTGCTACATCTACAGCCGATTTCAGGCAGTAAAGGGAGAGGGATAGAGGAGATTGGGTGGAAAATGGAGAGGATCAAGAAGGAGCTGAGACCATTTCAAAGAAAAAAAATGCTTTATAGAGTTTTAAGTATGACTTAGATGGGTCCAGGCAAATAAACTAAAAAGAAGTGAAGGCAACATGTATCGTCTGGCAGAACTAAATCTTGGAGTGGGGTGAGGGATGAAAGACTACATATTGGGTACAGTGTACACTGCTCGGGTGATGGGTGCGCTAAAGTCGCAGAAATCACTAAAGAACTCATCCATGTAACCAAACACCACCTGTACCCCAAAAACGAAATAAAAAAACAAAACCTTGGGGCCCATTCCCCCTAGGAATGGACTACTGTAGTAGTGGCTTCTTGGATGCTTCTCTGTGACATAGCTATACCCAATTCTTTGAAAAAGAATCTAGAGCAAGGTCTGGCTTGGGGATGGGGTACAGGGAGAGACAGGTCTCGGAGAGGTTTTGAACAAAACACTTTTAAAAAGGAATGAGGACAGGCGCTTTGGGAGGCTGGGTTGGGCGGATCACCTTAGGTCAGGAGTTCGAGACCAGCCTGGTCAACATGGTGAAACCCCGTTTCTACAAAAAATACAAAAGTAGCCGGGCGTGGAGGCGCATGACTGTAATCCCAGCTACTCGGGAGGCTGAGACAGGAGAGAACCTGGGAGGCGAAGGTTGCAGTGAGCCGACATGGTGCCACTGCACTCCAGCCTGGGAAACATGAGAGAAAACTCTGTCTCAAAAAAAAAAAAAAAAAAAAAAAAAAAAAGATACCAAAGGGATATTTCTTTATAACCCCCAATTTGTTCCTTCTCAGGACTCAACTAGCTTCCCTTCCCTTGCTTTCTTAAAAATCCTTTGTCTTGCTGGTTGCAGAGCCTGCTTAGAAAAAAGAATTCTATATAGTTATAACAAACTCCCTAGTAGCTAGAGAGGTGGAGGAAGTTAAGTCCATGCGTCTCTTATGTCTTGATCTCTTCTCTGGGAAATTCAATACTAGAAGGAGCTTGGAAAAGCATTTTGTTCATCCCTCTAACAGCAGACATCGCCCAGGTCAGTCAAAAAGAACGCCCGAGTAAGGAGCGAGGTGGCTTCTGCTGTGAGGCTGGCCAGCCCCGCGGGTGGGGTGGTTGAGGGACGCCCTCAAGCCGGTCCATTTGTGCGGCTGGGCTGCCCTCTGGCGGCTTTATCCGGGTGCCATCCAGAGTCAAACCCTCGAAATCGCTTTTCGTACTGAGTTGGTCTGCAGAAAGAAGAACAGATTTAGGAGGAAGGCGGTCATAGGAAACTGAAAGTGCGTCACGCCCACTCCCGTCACGGAAACTGGTCTCTGAAAGGTGGGGTAAAGATAAAGCCTTTCAAATTTGAGGAAGACCTTCGGTCCCGCCTCCATTTCACGTCCGGCTTACCGTCGTTTACGACAGTGTCAGGATCGCGGGCTTGCTTTCCGGTAGCGTGGGCTGACGCCTCGCTCAATTTCTCACAGGGCTGCGCAGGTTTCCCCCGTCTGCGAATGGACCACTGGAGGGGTTCAAAGGTTCGCGTCCCAGTACGGGAATGAGCCTCTTTGATCTCTTCCGGGGCTTTTTCGGCTTTCCTGGACCTCGGAGGTGAGAGTAGGTCCGGCTCGGACAAGGGTGGGGGTCGTCTGAGGGGAGCTTGACCCCTACGTCTTATTTTTGGAAAAACATCCTCTGTCCCACTCCTTCAACTCCTGCAGAGAGGACAGAAGTCGCAACATTGAACACTCACCCCGCCACAGTAACCAAGGCGGTCATTAAGAGGAGAAACAGCAAACTAAGCCTTTCTCCAACCTGGGGTGATGCAACAGGGACCCGGGCGGGGAAGACCGTGAGGGTCTGGGGAATAAGACAGTGAGCAAGTGAGCAGGACCTTGGGAGAGAGAGGAGGGACTGGGGCACACTGAAGAAAAACTGGGGGAAGGTGTATGAAGGGAGCTGCGAGCTGAGGTCTGACTTTGATTAAAAAAAAAAAAAAAAAAAAAGAACTGTCAGCCATTGTATTAATGTTTTGATGTGGCAGCCAGTCCTCCGACCCTCTCCCTAGCTTCCCAGACCCCTTGCTCTTGTCCCACTTTGCCACCCATGAGTTGATTTAATGGCTTAAATAGTGCTGAAATATTGGTGGCCAATCTGCCTCCACTCTCAGCCACAGAGATCCCTTTTTTGGAGGGATGACTCGAGATGAAGATGATGATGAGGAAGAAGAAGAAGAAGGGGGCTCATGGGGCCGTGGGAACCCAAGGTTCCATAGTCCTCAGCACCCCCCTGAGGAATTTGGCTTCGGCTTCAGCTTCAGCCCAGGAGGAGGGATACGTTTCCACGATAACTTCGGCTTTGATGACCTAGTACGAGATTTCAATAGCATCTTCAGCGATATGGGGGCCTGGACCTTGCCTTCCCATCCTCCTGGTGTGTGGCTTTCCCTAAGGGGCAACCTGTGGTTTCTGGTGGGTTGGTGGGTGAAATAAAGAGCCTGCAGGGAGTAGCTGGGGGATGGGAAGTGTGAGAAGACTGATGATTTCAGAGAGATTAATAGAGCCCAAGTCCTTTCCCATCCCAGCAAACACCTGCCACCTTTCTGCAGAACTTCCAGGTCCTGAGTCAGAGACACCTGGTGAGAGACTACGGGAGGGACAGACACTTCGGGACTCAATGCTTAAGTATCCAGATAGTCACCAGCCCAGGATCTTTGGGGGGGTCTTGGAGAGTGATGCAAGAAGTGAATCCCCCCAACCAGCACCAGACTGGGGCTCCCAGAGGCCATTTCATAGGGTGAGTATCCCATCTGGTCCTGAAGTGAGAGCTTGTGAGAGACCACTAATAAAGTGCAAAGACTGGCTAGGTGCGGTGGCTCACGCCTGTAATCCCAGCACTTTGGGAGGCCGAGGTGGGCAGATCACCAGAGGTCAGGAGTTGGAGACCAGCCTGGTCAACATGGTGAAACCCCGTGTCTACTAAAAATACAAAAAATTAGCCGGGCATGGTGGCAGGTGCCTGTAATGCCAGCTACTCAGGAGGCTGAGGCAGGAGAATTGGTTGAACCCAGGAGGTGGAGACTCCATCTCAAAAATTGTTTGAGACCCAGCCTTGCTCTGTTGCCCAGGCTGTAGTGCCGTGGCACAATCTCAGCTCACTGCAACCTCCAATTCCCAGGTTCAAGTGATTCTCCTGCCTCAGCCTCCTGAGTAGCTGGGATTACAGTCGCCTGCCAAACGCCCAGCTAATTTTTGTGTTTTTAGTAGAGATGGCGTTTCACCGTGTTGGCCAGGCTGCTTTTGAGCTCCTGACCTCAGGTGATCCACCCACCTCGGCCTCCCAAAGTGCTGGAATTACAAGTGTGAGCCATCATGCCTGGCCAAAGATTGCAATTCTTGTTTGAATCTGATAGCCTTGGGTTGGAATCCTAAGCCCTCCATTTAGTGTTTTCTGTTTTCTATATTAAGCTTGTGGGATTTTCTTTGGGGGGAGATGGGTGTTCTGTTTCTTTTAAAAAACAAAAACAAAAAAACACCACTGGTCTAGATAATTCTTGGATAAGGCAGGATTGTGCACAGAGGATAGGAATATATCAGTTCAGGAAGTCTTTCTGGTAGAAGGATACATAAAACAGCCAGGAAGGAGTGTGTAAATAAGGCTATTCTGAATGGAATTATCTCTTCTGTGGAAGGGGGTTTTGGAGCTCGGGAGTAGTTTGAGGTCTATGACCTTTCAAATTTCAGATTGGAAGGAGTCTTTTCACTTACTATGGTTTCTTCTGCAGTTTGATGATGTATGGCCTATGGACCCCCATCCTAGAACCAGAGAGGACAATGGTAAGTCTGGAGGAAGGGGAAGTTTACCAGCCTTTTGTTATTCTTCTGAAGTTCTGTGTGTTCTCCCTCCCTGAAGTTTCTTCCTGTACACTTGTCTCCTTTTTTCCTTTGGACTCTTTCTCTCCTGCTTCTTCATCTCTCTGCTCTTCCAGATCTTGATTCCCAGGTTTCCCAGGAGGGTCTTGGCCCGGTTCTACAGCCCCAGCCCAAATCCTATTTCAAGAGCATCTCTGTGACCAAGATCACTAAACCAGATGGGGTGAGTTGAAAGAAAGAGGTAAAGGAAAGTATGGCCAGGGAACGAATGCCCTGAAACAGGGATCTGTGTAAAGAAACTGCTGAGCATAACCTTTAGTAACATTCGGAATATGGTGGGGACTTCTCTTTGTAGATAGTGGAGGAGCGCCGGACTGTGGTGGACAGTGAGGGCCGGACAGAGACTACAGTAACCCGACACGAAGCAGATAGCAGTCCTAGGGGTGGTAAGTTAAAAGACAAAGGGGTTCATCTCAAGATTCCTTGGGGAAGGGAAATCTTACTCTTCTACCCTTGTCCTTTGCTTCTGCCTAGTCTCTTTCATTTAGCCTATTTACGTGTATGACTTTCTTCCTTAGATCCAGAATCACCAAGACCTCCAGCCCTGGATGATGCCTTTTCCATCCTGGACTTATTCCTGGGACGTTGGTTCCGGTCCCGGTAGCCTTGTTAACCCTCAGAGGCCTTCAAGTCCTTTCCACCTCTCACCCATTGCCCACCATTAATAAGCTTAGCTTCTCTTGCCACCTCAGGGGCTTGGATATGTGGAATAGTGAACTGGGGCCATGTCAGTTTGTCACTCACCCAAACTGACCAATAAAACCTTTATTTATGCTAATTTTTTGTCTTGGTTTTGTCAAGGCTATTTCAGTTTCTAGAACCATCCAACACTTCCGAAATTATCTTGGTCCTCTGCCTTCTCCTTATTCCTTAATTTTTTATTCTGCATCTAAAACCTGATTTCATAAGTAAGGGTCAGGCACAAGTAGAAAATGATTTTTCTTTCTCAAGCAAGAAAAAAAAAAAAAGAGGCCGGGCTCGTTGGCTCATGCCTGTAATCCCAGCACTTTGGGAGGCTGAGACAGGCAGATAACCTGAGGTCAGGAGTTCAAGACCAGCCTGGCCAATGTGGTGAAACTCTGTCTCTACTAAAAATACAAAAATTAGCTGGGCATGGTGGCGGGTGCCTGTAATCCCAGGCTAGGGCAGGAGAATCGCTTGAACCTGGTAGGAGGAGGTTGCAATGAGCCGAGATCACGCCATTGCACTCCAGCGTGGGCGACAAGAGTGAAACTCCATCTCAAAAAAAAAAAAAAAAAAAAAAAAGAAAAGAAAAGAAAAAGAAAAATGATTTTTCTTACTGAGGAGATGACTAGAAATAATTTCAGGAAAATTTCTAGAGAGGGATACATCAGATTCCCAAAAAAAGGGTGTGGGTGTGGAAGTAGGGGTTAACTGCTTCCCTGAGTGTGGGATCACTGACTGGAGAGTTCATGAAGTAACTGGGGAAGCACATGGGTAAATTTCCCTTACTTTACTGGCCTTAAAAAGTTGTTATGTGGCTGGGTGTGGTGGCTCACGCCTGTAATCCCAGCACTTTGGGAGGCCGAGGCAGATGGATCACATGAAGTCAGGAGTTCGAGATTAGCCTGACCAATACGGTGAAACCCTGTCTCTACTAAAAATACAAAAATTAGCCAGATGTGGTGGCACATGTTTGTAATCCCAGCTACTTGGGAGGCTGAGGTAGGAGAATTGCTGGAACTCAGGAGGTGGAGGTTGCAGTGAGCCATGATCATGCCATTGCACTCCAGCTTGAGCAACAAGAACGAAATTCCATCTCAAAAAATTGTTATGTATGTTAGAGAAAATACACCTGGCACAAACGTTACTAGGTCCTTTTTTCTTTTTGAGGCAGGGTCTCATTCTGTCACACAGGCTGGAGTGTAGGGGGCGATGTTGGCCCACTGTAGCCTCGACCTGGGCTCAGTCCTCCCACCTCAGCCTCCTGAGTAGCTGGGACTACAGGCGTACACCACCATGCCTAGCTAATTTTTTTTCTCGTTTTTTTTCCTTTTATTATTATTATTATTTTGTATTTTTTGTAGAGACGGAGTTTTGCCATGTTGCCCAGGCTTCCTTTTCTCATTATAAAAGTTTTTAACCAGGTGTGTTAGACTGTACCTATCATCCTAGCTACTTGGGAGGCTGAGATAGGAGGATTACTTGAGCCCAGGAGGCGGAGGCAACATAGCAAGATCCTATTTCTAAAATATATATATATATATATATATATTTTTTTTTTTTTTTTTTTTTTTGAGATGGACTCTCGCTTTGTCACCCAGGCTGGAGTGCAGTGGCGCAATCTCGGCTCACTGCAACCTCTGCCTCCCGCGTTCAAGTGATTCTCCTGCCTCAGCCTCCCGAGTAGCTGGGACTACAGGCACGTGCTACCACGCCCAGCTAATTTTTGTATTTTTAGTAGAGACAGGGTTTCACCATGTTGGCCAAGCTGGTCTCGATCTCTTGACCTTGTGATCCGCCTGCCTCAGCCTCCCAAAGTGCTGGGATTACAGGCGTAAGCCACCACGCCCCGCAAAATATTTTTTAAAAATTGGCTGAGCAGGCTGGGCATCGTTGCTCACACCTATAATCCCAGCACTTTGGGAGGCTGAGGCGGGTGGATCACTTGAGGTCAGGAGTTCAAGCAGGCTGGGCACTGTGGTTCACACTTGTAATCCCAACACTTTGGGAGGCCAAGGTGGGCAGATCACTTGACGTCAGGAGTTCGAGACCAGCCTGGCCAACATGGTGAAACCCCAACTCTACTAAAAATACAAAAATCAGCTGGGTGTGGTAGTGCACACTTGTAATCCCAGCTACTTAGGAGGCTGAGGCGGGAGGATCATTTGAACCCAGGGGGTGGAAGTTGCAGTGAGCTGAGATTGTGCTGCTGCACTCCAGCCTGGTTGACAGAGCGAGACTCCATCTCAAAAAACATAAATAAATAAATTAGCTGAGCATGGTGGCCCACATCTGTAGTCTCAGCTATTCAGGAGGCTAAAACAGGAGGATCCCTGGAGGCTGGAGTTCGAGGCTGCGGTGATCTATGATCACACCACTGCATTCCAGCCTGGGCGACAGAGTGAGACCCAATCACAACAACAAAAGCTTTTAGTACTGTGGTTAAGAGGGGCAAATCTGGGGCCAGTCACAGTGGCTCACACCTGTAATCTCAGCACTTTGGGAAGCTGAGCGGAGAGGATCAATTGAGACCAGCCTGGGCAACATAGGGAAACCCTGTCTCTACAAAAAAATTTAAAAATTAGCTGGGCATGGTGGTGCATGCCTGTAGTCCCAGCTACTCAGGGGTCTGAGGTGGGACGTTGTCGAGCCCATGAGGTCAAGGATGCAGTGAGCCATGACCATGCTGCTGCACTCCAGCCTGGGCAACAAAGTGAGACTGTCTCAAAAAAAAAGGCCGAGAGTGGTGGCTCGCGCCTGTAATCCCAGTACTTTGGGAGGCCAAGATGGGCGGATAACTTGCTGTCTCTGCTAAAAATACAAAAATTAGCCAGGCAAGGTAGTACGGGCCTGTAATCTCAGCTACTCGGAAGGCTGAGGCATGAGAATCACTTGAACCCGGGAGGCAGAGGTTGCAGTGAGCCGAGATTGCACCATACACTCCAGCCTGGGTAACAGAGCAAGACTCCGTCTCAAAATATAAAATAAAAAATAAATATTTAAAAAAAAAAAGAGTGGTGGCCGGGCATGGTGGCTCACGCCTGTAATCCCAGCACTTTGGGAGGCTGAGGCGGGTGGATAGCCTGAGGTGAGGAGTTCGAGGCCAGCCTGGCCAATATAGTGAAATCCCGTCTCTACTAAAAATACAAAAAATTAGCTGGGTGTGGGGGTGGGCGCCTGTAATCCCAGCTACTAGGGAGGCTAAGGCAGGAGACCCTCTTGAACCCAGGAGGTGGAGGTTGCAGTGAGCAGAGATTGTGCCACTGCACTTCAGCCTGGGCGACAAAAGTGAAATTCCATCTCAAAAAAAAAAAAAGAGAGTGGTAAATCTGACATATTTATTTACTTCTGTTTCCTCTGGAAATCCCACTAAATTATGACAAAGGGATTTCTCTAAAGAGGTATATCACAAGAACAAAGGACAGGAGATGATAGTAATGAAGCTCTGTCTTTTAATTCTCTATTGTATCTTTTGGTGAACAGAAGTTGATTTATTGTAGCCTAATTTATCTTTATAAGTTTGTGTTTTACGTTTAGGTTTTTAGACCTACCTGGAATTTTTGTTTGTATATGGTATTAATTTGGGTCCAATTTGGAAAAAATATGCACAAATATATAAATATTTCTTTTTAAAAAACAAGGTTGGGCACTGTGTCTCCCGCTGGTAATTCCAGCACTTTGGGAGGGATAGGTGGGAGGACTGCTTGAGCACAGGAGTTTAAGACCAGCCTGGGCAACAAAGTGAGACCCCCCCACCATCTGTACAAAATAAAAATTAAAAAATTAGTGGGGCATGGTGGCATGTGCCTGTAATCCCAGCCACTGGGGAGGCTAGGGCAGGAGAATCACTTGAGCCCAGGAGTTTGAGGCTGCAGTGAGCCATGATCACGCCACTGCACTCCAGGGTGTCAGAGCAAGACCCTATCTCAAAAAATAAATAGGCTGGGTGCGGTGGCTCATGCCTGTAATCCCAGCACTTTCGGAGGCCAAGGCGGGGGGATCACGAGGTCAGGAGTTCAAGACCAGCCTGACCAACATGGCGAAACCTCGTCTCTACTAAAAATACAAAAATTAGCCAGGTGTGGTGGCGCATACCTGTAATCCCAGCTACTCAGGAGGCTGAGGCAGGAGAATCGCTTGAACCCAGGAGGCAGAGGTTGCAGTAAGCAGAGATCATGCCACTGCACTCCAGCCTGGGCGAGAGGTGAGACTCTGCCTCAAAAATAAATAAATAAATAAATAAGTAAATAAATAAATAGGCCGGGTACGGTGGGTCACGCCTGTAATCTCAGCACTTTGGGAGGCTGAGGCAGGTGGATTACCTGAGGTCAGGAGTTCAAAACCAGCCTGGCTAGCACAGTGAAACCCCATCTCTACTAAAAATACAAAATTAGCCGGGCATGGTGGTGGGCACCTGTAATCCCAGGTAAAAATAAATAAATAACTAAAACAGCCCCAAAACAATAGCAACAACAACACACACACATGCACACACACAACTGTGCTGGGTCTTTCTATTCTATTAGTCTATTTGTCTATATTTGTGCCCATATCATACCTTAAAATACTATAGTTTTATTTAGTAAAACCAGTCTTCCTACCTTTTTATTATTTTTTAACCCTTCTATTGTATAAAAATACAATTGTTTTTTCTAATCAGCTTTTTAGAGTACCATCACAAATATAAATGGAGCTAAAAATCACCAGATATGTGAAGAAAGCATTTAACATGAGTGGTAGAGACAAACGAAACAACTTGAAAGAAACAGAGACTATGCAGAGAGATTAAAAACTTTAAATGTACACAATTTTTTTTTTAGATGGAGTCTTGCTCTGTTTCCCAGGCTGGAGGGCAGTGGTACAATCTCATCTCACTGCAACCTCCACCTGTAAGTGGAGGCTCAGGCGATTCTCCTGCCTGAGCCTCCCGAGTAGCTGGGACTACAGGCTCAAGCCACCACACCCGGCAATTTGTTTTTTTTTTTTTTTGAGACAGTCTCACTCTGTTGCCCAAGCTGGAGTGTAATGGCACGATCTTGGCTCACTGCAACCTTCGCCTCCCGAGTTCAAGTCATTCTCCTGCCTCAGCTTCTCAAGTAGCTGGGATTACAGGTGCATACCACCACGCCTGGCTAATTTTTGTATTTTTAGTAGAGACGGGGTTTCACCATGTTGGCCAGGCTCTTGAATTCCTGACCTCAGATGCCCGCCTCGGCCTCCCAAAATGTTGGAATAACAGGCATGTGCTACTGCGCCCAGCCTACATTTCTGAGTTTTTAATGGAGACAGGCTTTCACCATGTTGGCCAGGCTGGTCTTGAACTCCTGACCTCAAGTAATCCACCCACCTTGGCCTCCCAAAGTGCTGGGATTACAGGCATGAGCCACTGCACCTAGCCTATTGATTCATATTTCTAAGCACTATAAAGATGTATGTACTTGGCCGGGTGCAGTGGCTCATGCCTGTAATCCCAACAGTTTGGAAGGCTGAAGGGAGAGAATGGCTTTAGCCCAGGAGTTGGAGACAGTCTGGGCAACATAGTGAGACCCGTCTCTACAAAAAATTAAAGATTAGCCAGGCAGGGTGGTGCACACTGTAGTCCCTGCTACTGGGAAGGCTGAGGTAGGAGGATCGCTTGAGTCCAGGAGTTCAAAACTGCAATGAGCTATGATTGTGCCACTGCACTCCAGCCTGGGTGACAGAGTGAGACTCTGTCTCTAAAAACAGAAATAAAACCCACAAATGTGATAGAGTTCAACTCTCCAAAGTTGAACTCTCCACAAAGTAAACAAAATAACTGATCAAAAAATAAGAGAAAAAAGGCTGGACGCAGTGACTCACGCCTATAATCCCAGCACTTTGGGAGGCCGCGGCGGGCGGATCATGAGATCAGGAGATCGAGACCATCCTGTATAACACGGCGAAACCCCATCTCTACTAAATATACAAAAAATTAGCTGGGCGTGGGGGCGAGTGCCTGTAGTCCCAGCTACTTGGGAGGCTGAAGCAGGAGAATGGCGTGAACCCAGGAGGTGGAGTTTGCAGTGAACCGAGATCACGCCACTGCACTCCAGCCTGGGAGAGAGAGTGAGACTCCATCTCAAAAAAAAAAAAAAAGAAAAAAGAAAAGAAAAGAAAGAAAAACATAAAACTAGAACGGCATAAATTATCAATGAAATAAGTCATGAAAATATTCCAGAATTGAAGAATATTACTTAATTTTTTTTGAGACAGAATCTCACTCTGTCACCCAGATTGGAGTGCAGTGGCACAATCATAGCTCATTGCAGCCTCGAATTCCTGGGCTCAAGCAATCCTCCTGCCTCAGCCTGAGTGGCTGGGACTATAGGTGTGCACCACCACACCCGACTAATTTTTGTTTTTTGTTTTTTGTTTTGTTTTGTTTTGTTTTGTTTTTGGTAGAGACGGTGGTCTTGCCATGTTGCCCTGGCTGGTCTCCAACTCCTGGGCTGAAGTTATCCTCCCACCTCGACCTCTCAAAGTGCTGGAATTACAGGAAAGAGCCACTGTGCCCGGCCTGAAGGATATTACTTTCTAACCTGAAAGGACTTGCCACATGCCAGACACCAAGGGTGAAAATAAACCCACTCTAAGGCATGCCATATGAAATTTTAGAACACTGGAGACAACAGAGTTTAAAAGATTCTAGAGGGAGAGAGAAAGAAAAATGGGGCACATGTTCTCAGGATCTCCTGAGGGCTGTGTCAGTGGATAACAAAATAACCTAAAGGATCAAGAATCATAATATTCTCAAACTTTATCAGCAACACAAAGTATAAGACAATGGAGATCCAGCAATCCAGCTACTAGGTATATATTCAAGGCAACTGAAATCAGTATGTTGAAGAGATACCTGCACTGCCATGTTCACTGCAGTACTGTTCACAATAGCTGAGAGTAGGAATCAACCCAAGTCTCCTGCAGTGGGTTAATGGATAAAGAAAATGTGGCATATATACACAATGCAGTACTATTCAGCCTTACAAAGGAATGAAGCCTGGCTCGGTAGCATGCTCATGTTGTCTCAGCTACTCAGGAGGCTGAGGCAGGAAGATTGCTTGAGCCAGGGAGTTCAAGGTCAGCCTGGGCAACATAGCGAGACGTCATCTCTAAAATAAAGACATTCTTTACAGAAAAAATAGAAAACAAAGAATGAGATCCTGTCATTTACAACATCGATGAACCTAGAGCACATTATGTTAAGTGAAGTAAGCCAGGCACAGAAAGACAAATACCACATGATCCCACTTATATATGGAATCTTAAAAAAACCTCATGCAGGTAGAGAGTAGAATGGTGGCTACCAGAGACTAGGGGGTGGTGAATGCTGGGGAGACATTGGTCAATGGATACCAAATTTCAGTTGGACAGGAGGAATAAGTTCAAGAGATCTATTGTACATCATGGTGACTACAGTTAATAACAATGTAGTTGGCTGGGCACAGTGGCTCATGCCTGTAATTCCAACACTTTGGGAGGCCAAGGCAGGAGGATCACCTGAGGTCAGGAGTTTGAAACCAGCCTGGCCAACAAGGTGAAACCCCATCTCTACAAAAAAATACAAAAATTAGCCAGGCGTGGTGGCACGTGCCTGTAATCCCAGCTACTCGGGAGGTTGAGGCAGGAGAATCACTTGAACCCGGGAGTCGGAGGTTGCAGTGAGCCGAGATTGCAACACTGCACTCCAGCCTGGGTGACAGAGCGAGACTCCGTCTCAAAAAAAAAATAAAAATAAAAATAAATAAATAAATAAATAAATAAATAAATAAATAAAATAAAAATAAAAAGTACTTGTCTACATTGGGAAGATGGAGGAACCAATGCATATATTTGTTGTGGGCAGTGCAATATGTAACTAAATCCTTATCTTCCATACTGTAAACACAATAATTAGTTTCTTTTTTTCTTTTTTTTTTTGAGATGCAGTCTCATGCTCTGTCCCCCAGGCTGGAGTGCAGTGGCACAATCTTGGCTCACTGCAAGCTCTGCCTCCCAGGTTCATGCCATTCTCCTGCCTCAGCCTCCCGGGTAGCTGGGACTACAGGCACCCGCCACCACGCCTGGCTAATTTTTTGTATTTTTAGTAGAGACAGGGTTTCACCATGTTAGCCAGGATGGTCTCGATCTCCTGACCTCGTGATCCGCCCGCCTCGGCCTCCCAAAGTGCTGGGATTACAGGCGTGAGCCACTGCGCCCGGCCAATAGTTAGTTTCTAAAACAAAAAGTAAGTATCACTGTAAGCATATTTAGGTATATAATGGTAAATATTAAAGAAAATATTTTAAAAGTTGGTAATGGTTGGCCAGGGCTGGTGGCTCACGCCTGTAATCCCAGCACTTTGGGAGGCCAAGGCAGATGGATCACCTGAGGCCAGGAGTTCAAGACCAGTCTGGCCAACATGAAGAAACCCCATCTCTACTAAAAATACAAAAATTAGCTGGGTGTGGTGGTGCACACCTGGAGTCCCAGTTATTCAGGAGGCTGAGGCACGAGAATCAATTGAACCCAGGAAATGGAGGTTGCAGTGAGCCGAGATCACACCACTGCACTTCAGCCCAGGCCACCGAAGGAGACTCTGTCTCAAAAAAAAAAAAAAAAAGTTGGTAATAGTTGCCTCTGGGGATTGGAAAAGGATGGACCATATTGACACTGAAGTCAGGAAGCTGCTATTTTTCATGTGTTGTAGAATTATTTGACTTTGTCCTGGTACAGTGGCTCATGATTATAATCCCAGCCCTTTTAGAGCCCTGTCTAAACAAAAAATATTAGCTGGGCGTGGTGGCATATGCCTGTAGTTCCAGCTACTGGGGAGGCTGAAGCAAGAGGATCACTTGATCCCAGGAGACTGAGGCTGCAGTGAGCTATTACTAGACCACTGTACTGCAGCCTGGATGACAGAGCAAGATCCTATCCCCCCCTCCAAAAAAAAAGAAAAAAAGAAAGAAATAAAAAAACAGAAAAGAAAAATGTTTAATTATTTCACTCTTGATATATCCATGTAGCCGGGCACAGTGGCTTACACCTGTAATCCCAGCACTTTGGGAGGCCAAGGCAGGTGGATCACCTGAGGTTAGGAGTTTGAGACCAGCTTGGCCAACATGGCGAAACCCTGTCTCTACTAAAAATACAAAAAATTAGCCAGGCACAGTGGCGCAAGCCTGTAGTCCCAGCTACTTGGGAGGCTGAGGCTGGGGAACTGTTGAACCCGGGAGGCGGAGGTTGCAGTGAGCAGAGATTGTGCCATTGTACTACAGCCTGGGTGAGAGAGCGAGACTCCATCTCAAAAAAAAAAAAATCCATATATTAGCAATAAATTAAAAATTTAAATTTATAAATGTAATGCAAAAAAAGTGAGTTAATGTAAAGAAAATACATTTATAGCAGTCTTGACATTTGACAGGGTTGATACAACAGACCAGTGGAGGAAGAATGGATTGTTTTTTTTCTTTTCGAGACAGAATCTTGCTCTGTCGCCCAGGCCGGAGTGCAGTGGTGCAATCTTGGCTCACTGCAACCTCTGCCTCCCGAATTCAAGCAATTCTCCTGCCTCAGCCTCTTGAGAAGCTGGGATTGCAGGTGTGCGCCACCATGCCCGGCTAATATATATATATATATATTTTGTATTTTCAGTAGAGATGAAGTTTCACCGTGTTGGCCAGGCTGGTCTCAAACTCCTTCCCTTGTGATCCACCCATCTTGGCCTCCCAAAGTGCTGGGATTACAGGCGTGAGCCACCATGCCCAGCCTGGATGGATTGTTTTAAGAGATGATTTTGGAAAAACTGGAAGAAAAGAAAATTACATGCATGCCAGTTCAGATGGATTGGAAATACAAAGCTTATAGGTGAAACTGTTAATGGTGGAGAGTGTCCAGGTTCTTGGCGTCTTGAAAGAAGAATTGGACTAAATGCACAAACAAAGCAAGGAAGGAATGAAGGGGTTTATTGAAAATGAAAGTACACTCCACAGTGTGGGAGCAGGCCCGAGCATAGGGGCTCAAAGGCCCTGTTACAAAATATTTGGGAGTCTAAATACCACTCTAGAGGTTTCCATTGGTTATGTGGTGTACACCCTATGTAAATGGAGAGGATGAAGTAAAGTTACAAAGTCATTTACTTGGCCTAGGCCCTATGGAGAGGTTATTTCCTGTCATAGCTGAAGTGTGAATTGGCCTTATGTTCCCTGCCTCCAGACCCTATTTTCCTGCCTCAAATCTATAGTGGTAATAGAAGAACCTGTGTTCTTTCTGACTTTGAGGCAAAGGAGGGCTTCTTAAATAAGACCCCAAAATACAAACCATAAGTCAGACAATGGGTTAATTTTTTATATCAAAATTAAGGGGCCAGGCATGGTGGCTCACACCTGTAATCCCAGCCCTTTGGGAGGCCTAGGCGGGTAGATGACCTGAGGTCAGGAGTTCGAGACCAGCCTGACCAACATGGTGAAACCCCGTCTCTACTAAAAATACAAAAATTAGCCAGGCATGGTGGCGCATGCCTGTAATCCCAGCTACTCGGGAGGCTGAGGCAAGAGAATCGCTTGAACCTGGGAGGTGGAGGTTGTGGTGAACCGAGATTGCACCTTTGCACTCTAGCCTGGAAAACAAGAGCGGAACTCTGATTCAAAAAAAAAAAAAAAAAAATTAAGGGCTGAATGTGGTGGCTCACGCCTGTAATCCCAGCATTTTGGGAGGCTGAAGTGGGCAGACTGCTTAAGCTCAGGAGTTTGAGACCAGCCTGGGCAACATGGTGAAACCCCATCTCTACCAAAAATACAAAAAATTAGCTGGGCATGGTGGCACGTGCCTGTGGTCCCAGCTACTTCGGAGGCTGAGGCGGGAGGGTCACTTGAGCCAGGGAGGTGGAGGTTGCAGTGAGCCAAGAACGTACCATTGCACTCCAGCCTGGGTGACGAAACCCTGTATATATATATATAATTAAATAATCCTGCTCAATAATGGAAACTATAATCAAAGGTAATAGTGAATAGACCTAGGGCGGAGTTTGCAAAATTTAAAGCAAGCAATGGGTTAATATCTAGACCACACAACCCACTCCTCAAATCAATAAGGCACTAAACTAAAAGCAAGAAAATAGGGCTCCCTCTCCCTCTCCCTCTCCCCACGGTCTCCCTCTCCCTCTCTTTCCACGGTCTCCCTCTGATGTCGAGCCAAAGCTGGACGGTACTGCTGCCATCTCGGCTCACTGCAACCTCCCTTCCTGATTCTCCTGCCTCAGCCTGCCGAATGCCTGTGATTGCAGGCGCACGCCGCCATGCCTGACTGGTTTTCGTATTTTTTTGGTGGAGATGGGGTTTCGCTGTGTTGGCTAGGCTGGTCTCCAGCTCCTAACCGCGAGTGATCCACCAGCCTCGGCCTCCCGAGGTGCCGGGATTGCAGACGGAGTCTCCTTCACTCAGTGCTCAATGGTGCCCAGGCTGGAGTGCAGTGGAGTGATCTCGGCTCGCTACAACCTCCACCTCCCAGCAGCCTGCCTTGGCCTCCCAAAGTGCCGAGATTGCAGCCTCTGCCCGGCCGCCACCCCGTCTGGGAAGTGAGGAGCGTCTCTGCCCGGCCGCCCATCGTCTGGGATGTGAGGAGCCCCTCTGCCTGGCTGCCTAGTCTGGAAAGTGAGGAGGGTCTCTGCCCGGCCGCCATCCCATCTAGGAAGTGAGGAGCGCCTCTTCCCGGCCGCCATCCCATCTGGGAAGTGAGGAGCGTCTCTGCCCGGCCACCCATCGTCTGAGATGTGGGGAGCACCTCTGCCCTGCCGCCCCGTCCGGGATGTGAGGAGCGTCTCTGCCCGGCCGCCCCGTCTGAGAAGTGAGGAGACCCTCTGCCTGGCAACCGCCCCGTCTGAGAAGTGAGGAGCCCCTCCGCCCGGCAGCCGCCCGGTCTGAGAAGTGAGGAGCCCCTCCGCCCAGCAGCCACCCCGTCTGGGAAGTGAGGAGCGTCTCTGCCCGGCAGCCGCCCCGTCCGGGCGGGAGGTGGGGGGTCAGCCCCCCGCCCGGCCAGCCGCCCCGTCCGGGAGGTGAGGGGCGCCTCTGCCCCGCCGCCCCTACTGGGAAGTAAGGAGCCCCTCTGCCCGGCCACCACCCCGTCTGGGAGGTGTACCCAACAGCTCATTGAGAACGGGCCATGATGATAATGGCGGTTTTGTGGAATAGAAAGGGGGGAAAGGTGGGGAAAAGATTGAGAAATCGGATGGTTGCCGTGTCTGTGTAGAAAGAGGTAGACATGGGAGACTTTTCATTTTGTTCTGTACTAAGAAAAATTCTTCTGCCTTGGGATCCTGTAGATCTGTGACCTTACCCCCAACCCTGTGCTCTCTGAAACAGGTGCTGTATCCACTCAGGGTTGAATGGATTAAGGGCGGTGCAAGATGTGCTTTGTTAAACAGATGCTTGAAGGCAGCATGCTCTTTAAGAGTCATCACCACTCCCCAATCTCAAGTACCCAGGGACACAAACACTGCGGAAGGCCGCAGGGTCCTCTGCCTAGGAAAACCAGAGACCTTTGTTCACTTGTTTATCTGCTGACCTTCCCTCCACTATTGTCCTGTGACCCTGCCAAATCCCCCTCTGCGAGAAACACCCAAGAATGATCAATAAAAAAAAAAGAAAAAGAAAAAAAGAAAATAGGTAAAAAACATGATTAAGCACTCACTGATGAGTAGCTTCTGACTTTCATTCTGAGTTTGCTGAACCCAGATGCCATTCCTGGGAAGGAAAAAAATAAACATGGTAAGCAATCACAGAAGGGGAAATCTGAATACCAACAGTATAAATTAATCCTCTACCTTGAACGCAATCAGAAAAATGCACATTAAAATAATAATGAGATACCACTTTACACCCATCAGGTAGGCAAAAATTAGTCCGGTAATACCAAATATTAGCAAGATCCAAGATGAGAGGAAACAAATCCCTGCTGTACTCCTGGAGTGTGAGACATGCAGCCGTTTCCATTTTTGTAGTAAAGAATCTGGCAGAGCTTTGTGAAATTAAATATGCACATGCTCTATGACCCAGCAATTCTACTCTGTCGACCAAAAGAGTGGAACTCTGTAAAATATTTGAAGAGATTTATTCTGACTCAAAGATGACTGACCATGGCCTGTGACACAACCCTCAGGAAGTCCTGAGAACCTGTGCACAAAGTGGTTGGAGTGCAGCTTGGTTTTATACACTTTAGAGAAGAATGACACATCAATTAAATACATTTAAGACATACATTGGTTTGGTCTAGAAAGGTGGAACAACTCAAAGTGGGGGCTTCGAGGCTATAGGTGAATTTAAATGTTTTCTGGTTGACAATTGGTTAAGGTTGTCTAAAGAGCTGGGATAGATAGAAAGGGAATGTTCAGGTTAAGATAAAGATTGTGGAGACCAAAGCTCTTTTGAAGTCTCATAATGGCTGCCTTGGAGACAATAGGTGACAAATGTTTCCTATTCAGATCTCAGTTAGTCTCTTTAGGATTGGGAGGATCTGGAAGAAAAAGATGTATATATATATACACATATATATATTTATATATATGTATATGTATATGTATTTTTATATATATGTATTTATGTATAAATATATATATATATATATATTTTTTTTTTGAGATGGAGCCTCGCTCTGTCTCCCAAGCTGGAGTGCAATGGCGCGATCTCCACTCACTGCAGCCTCCAACTCTTGGGTTCAAGTGATTTTCCTGCCTCAGCCTCCCAAAGTGCTGGGATTACAAGCATGAGACACCGCCCCCAGCCCTGGCTATGTTAATAGAGATTCTTTATGGATGTAGATTTTCCCCACAAAGAACAGCTTTGCAGGGGCATTTTAAAATATGACAAAGAAACATGTTTTGGGGTAAAATATTTTGATTTTCTTCTTTGTCTCGTAATGTTATACCAGAGTCAGGTTGGAAAGTAAATCATGATATATAGGGTTAAATAAAACCTATCTGATGAGAATTTATGATTTGTAGGTCATGACTCCCCAGATCCCTTAGATAGGAATTTGGGCAAGATAAAAAAAATTAGAGTTTAGTCCTCAACTCCTTCATATACGTTACAGAGAAACTTGTGTCTAGATTCATAAGGGGTCACATGCAAGAATATTTATCACAGCATTATTTGTGGAAGCTCAATGTTAGAACTCAGTTTTGGGTGACTTTCATTAGCAAAGTAGAAAGGTTAAATATAAGCCTGGTGCAGTGGCTCACGCCTGTAATCCCAGCACTTTGGGAGGCTAAGGAGAGCAGATCACCTGAGGTCCGGAGTTCGAGACCAGCCTGGTCAACACGGTGAAACCCTGTCCCTACTAAAAATACAAAAATTAGCTGGGCATGGTGGCAGGCGCCTGTAGTCCCAGCTACTTGGGAGGCTGAGGCAAGAGAATCGCTAGAACCTGGGAGATGGAGGTTGCAGTGAGCTGAGATCACGCCATTGCACTCCAGCCTGGGCAACAGAGCGAGACTCCATCTCAAAAAAAAAGAAAGAAAGAAAGAAAAAGAAAGGTTAAATATGGGAGTTGCATAGTATAGAATGCTACTCAGCAGATATACAAAATATTCAAAAGACAACATGGAGAGATCTTAAAAATAGTAATGAGTGAAAAAACAAAACCATATTGTTTGCACAGTAACACTCATGTCAATTTAAAACTACACCAAGGAACGTGCGCGGGGTTCATGCCTGTAATCCCAGCACTTTGGGAGGCCGAGGCAGCAGATCACCTGAGGTCCGGAGTTTGAGACCAGCCTGGCCAACATGGTGAAACCCTATCTCTACTAAAAATACAAAATTACCTGGGCATGGTGGCAGGCACCTGTAATCCTAGCTACTTGGGAGGCTGAGGCAGGAGAATCGCTTGAACCTTGAAGGAAGAGGTTGCGGTGAGCCGAGATCACACCATTGCACTCCAGCCTGGACAACACAGCGAGACTGTCTCAAAAAAAATAAAAATAAAAATAAGATACATTAAAATAAATAAATAAATAAAAACTACACCAAGGAACTTCTGGCTATAGCAGTGTAAAGGGATCTGTGAATCTTCACCAAAAAAACTATGAAATTAAATAAAATTGCCCCAAACAATGATTTCAAGTCTCTGGAAACTGAGCAAGGCAGAAAACAAATTGAGGAGCTTTTATTCTTGAAAAACTGCTACAGCTTCAAGCAAAAGCAATGTGAGTTTGCAGCCTTCTTGCCTGAGGCTGCTCCCATCCAACTTCCTTGGTGGCTGGGAACTGTAGTTTTACCAGTATGGAACTGGCTGTGAAAATCAGCAATGTTTGCTGTCACAGTGGGTAGACTGAAATTGTAGGAGTTAGTTAGGTGGAGGCGGACAAAAGCCTACAATGTTCTCAGCTGAATGATATGAAGTTGGTAGGAAATAAACAGGCAAAAAACCCTCTAGCTGTACTAACTCAAAGTAGCACTCCTAGTTGTGTTCAGTGGTGGAAAAGCCAGAAATTTAGCTGGAAAATAGGAAACTACAAAAGGGCTGAGATAAGCTCTCCCACATCCCTGGCTCACTGGGAAACTATCATATGCATGGAGGATAGCTCAGAGAGCTCCCTGAAAAATAAAAGACAAGGAAGACTTGAACACTGCTGCACATTTTAATACACTTCTCATCCTTCAAACAGATATATTGGCAGAAGTGGATGCTATATGGGCTTGAGGTGTTGGAACACAATGCTTATTCTAATCATTGGCTGAACACTGTGCTATGTAAGCATAGGGGTGATACTGCTGCGGGATAATTAAGGAATCAGAGAGACCGAGGGATTGAGGAGGAGTTATTTAATTATTTAGGTTCACTGACCCAGTTGGATTAACATCCAAAGGACTGAGCCTGGAACAAAGAGTCAAGCTACCTTTTAAGCATTTCGTGGGGTGGGGGGAGATCTGTGCGGGGGGAAGCGTATTATAGAAGCGAGAGACAAAGACAGTTATTCAGTTAAGGCATGCATTACATTATTTCTTACTGTTCAAGGAACAACATGTTTTACGACTTGAGATTATCTGTCTAGTGACCTTGCAGCTGCACAGCTAGAGAAACAGAGTCTTCACAATGCCTGGTAAATGGAGAGATAAGGCTCACTAGCCACAGAGAGAAAAACAGGCAGTTAATTTTAAAGGACTCCAGCCCTTTCTGTTCCTCAAGGGGGAATTGGGTTTTCTTACATACAACTGAGTTTTTGCTTACACAGTCTTTAATTTTTTTTTTTTTTTTGAGACAGAGTCTCACTCTGTTGCCCAAGCTGGAGGGCAGTGGCGCCATCTTGGCTCACTGCAAGCCCCGCTTCCCAGGTTCACGCCATTCTCCTGCCTCAGCCTCCCGAGTAGCTGGGACTACAGGTGCCCGCCACCATGCCTGGCTAATTTTTTTGTATTTTTAGTAGAGATGGAGTTTCACCGTGTTAGCCAGGCTGGTCTCAAACTCCTGACCTTGTGATCCACCCACCTCAGCCTCCCAAAGTGCTGAGATTACAGGCATGAGCCACTGCGACCGGCCTACAGTCTTTAATTTCTTTTAATTCCTGTTCTAATCCTTGAGGGAACATTTTTTTTTTTTTGAGACGGAGTCTAACTCTGTCGCCCAGGCTGGAGTGCAATGGCTCGATCTTGGCTCACTGAAACCTCCACTTCCCAGGATCAAGCAATTCTCCTACCTCAGCTTCCCGAGTAGCTGAGAGTATAGCTGGGTGCCACCATGCCCGGCTAAATTTTGTATTTTTAGTAGAGATGGGGTATCGCCATGTTTGCCAGGATGGCCTCAAACTCCTGACCTCAGGTGATCCATCCACCTTAGCCTCCCAAAGTGCTGGGATTACAGACATGAGCCACTGCACCTGGCTGGAAAAATTTATTATTATTATTATTTGAGATAGGGGTCTCACTCTGTCACCCTGGCTGAAGTATAGTGGCATGATCTCGGTTCACTGCAACCTCTGCCTCCCAGTCGCAAGCAATCTTCCTACTTCAGCTCATGAGTAGCTGGGACCACAGGTACATGCCACCACTACCTGCTAAGTTTTTGTATTTTTAGTAGAGATGGGGTCTTGGTATGTTGCCCAGGCTGGTCTCAAACTCCTGAGCTCAAGCCGCTTTGGCCTCCCAAAAGTGCTGGGATTAAAGGTGAGCCACCATGCCTGACCCCTGTGGGAAAATTTTAAAAACAAGAATAAATGGCCGGGCATGGTGGCTCATGCCTGTAATCCCAGCACTTTCGGAGGCCGAGGTGGGAAGATCACCTGAGGTCAGGAGTTGAAGACCAGCCTGACCAACATGGAGAAACCCTGTCTCTACTAAAAATACAGAATTAGCCAGGCATAGTAGTGCATGCCTGTAATCCCAGCTACTCACTACTCAGGAGGCTGAGGCAGGAGAATCACTTGACCCCTGGAGGCAGAGGTTGCAGTGAGCCAAGATCATGCCATTGCACTCCAGCCTGGACAACAAAAGCAAAACTCCATCTCAAACAAAACAAAACAAAACAAAACAAAACAAAACAAAACAAACAAACAAACAAAAAAAACGAGAATAAAAACTGAGCAGACACATTAGCAGCTGCACACTGTGGAATGATAGACTCTACAGTTTAACTCCAGACAAATGACACACACACACACATCAGCATCACCAGCATCACCACCATTCAGAAAAATACAATAGAATCCAGACTCTACGGTTTAACTCCAAATTACACACACACACACACACACACACACACACACCCCATCAGCATCACCAGCATCACCACCTTTCGGAAAAATACAACAGAATCCAGAGTTATTACAGTCTATTATCTAAAATGACCAGTTTTTTAGAGGAGGAAGAGGATAAAATGATCAGTTTTCAAGAAAAAAATTATGACACATGCGAAGAAACCTAAAAAACAGTAACTCATATCCTGATTTTAAAAGTCAATGAAAACTAGCCGGGTGCAGTGGCTCACGCCTGTAATCCCAGCACTTTGAGAGGCCGAGGCGGGTGGATCACCTGAGGTCAGGTGTTTGAGACCAGCCTGGCCAACATGATGAAACCCTGTCACTACTAAAAATACAAAAATTAGTCAGGCATGGTGGTGGGCGCCTATAATCCTAGCTACTGGGGAGGCTGAGGCAGGAGAATTGCTTGAACCTGGGAGGCGGAGGTTGCAGTGAGCTGAGATCATTCCACTGCACTCCAGCCTGGGTGACAGAGCAACACTCTGTCTCCAAAAAAAAAAACAATAAAAAACAAAATAAAAACTGAGTCCAGGCACAGTAGCTCACACCTGTAATCCCAGCACTTTGGGAGGCCGAGGCTGGCAGATCACGAGCTCAGGAGATCAAGACCATCCTGGCTAACAAAAAAATTAGCCGGGCATTGTGGCGGGCGCCTGTAGTCCCAGCTACTTGGGAGGCTGAGGCAGGAGAATGGTGTGAACCTGGGAAGCGGGGCTTGCAGTGAGCCGAGATGGCACCACTGCACTCCAGCCTGGGTGATAGAGTGAGACTCTGTCTCAAAAAAAAAAAAAATAAATAAAAATAAAAACTGACTCTGAGTAGGCCCAGAAGTTGAATTTGGCAGACAAAGACTTTAAAGCACATATTATAAATATGTTCAAGGAATTAAATAAAAATGTTTAACAATGACTCAATAAATATGGAATCTCAACAGAGAAATAGAAGCTATAAAAAAAGAATCAAACAGAAATTCTAGAATTATAAAGTAAAATAACTGAAATGAAAATTTTACTAAATGAACCCAATAGCAGATTTAAGATAGCAGAGGAAAAATTTAATAAACTTGAAGATAGATCAATAATAATAATCTAGTCTGAATGACAGAGACAAAAATGATTGCAGGAAAGTGAACAGCTGGGTACAGTGGCTCACACCTGTAATCCCAGCACTTTGAGAGGCTGAGGCAGATGGATTGCTTGAGCCCAGGAGTTTAAGACCAGCCTGGGCAACATGATGAAACCCTATCTCAACAAAACATACAAAAGTAAGCTGGATATGGTGGTGTGCCCCTATAGTCCCAACTACTTGGGAGGCTGAGGCAGAAGAATCGCTTGAGCCTGGGTGGTCAAGGCTGCAGTGACCATGTTCATGTCACTGCACTCCAGCCTGGGTGACAAAGCAAGACTGTCTCAAAAAAAGAAACAAAAAAACCAAAAAACAAAAACAAAAAAACACCGAAAACAAAAAGACTCAGAGGCCAGTGGTACATCAAGCATGCCGATATACATGTAATACATGTCCAAAGGAGAGGAGACAAAGGGTCAGAAAAAAGTAGTTGAAAAAATAATACAAAGGCCAGGTGTGTAGCTCACACCTGTAATCCCAGTACTTTGGGAGGCCGAGGCGGGCAGATCACAAGGTCAAGAGATTGAGACCATCCTGGCCAACATGGTGAAACCCCATCTCTACTAAAAATGCAAAAATTAGCCAGGTGTAGGGGTGTGTGCCTGTAGTCCCAGCTACTCAGGAGGCTGAGGCAGGAGAATCACTTGAACCTGGGAGGCAGAGATTGCAGTGAACCGAGATCTTGCCACTGAACTCCAGCCTAGCGACAGAGTGAGACTCCATCTCAAAAAACAACAAATAATAATAATAGCCAAAAACTTTTCAAATTTGATGAAAAACATTACACATCTGAGAATCTCAATAAACCTCAAATACATAGACACATCACGGTCAACTTGTTTAAAGACAATTGGCTACCACATGTACAAAAATTCGAACAATTCAGAGAAGATTAGCCAGTCTCCTGTACAAGAATGGCATGCAAATTTGTGAAGCATTCCATATTTTTACATGTAAATAAAAGAAAAAATAAAAGCAAATGTACTATATATAGAGAGTAATACTACTGTGTTAAATACACAGATGAATACAAAAAATCTGAGCATGGAAGAATGAATTTAAAAATAAGTGATTACAATAAAAAGACAAAAAAGATCTTTCAGACAGCAAGAAAAAAAGACTCATCAAATATGGGGGAAGAAGTACACAATTAACGGCAGACTTCTCTTCAGAAACAATGGAGACCAGGAGGCAATGGAATGAGATATTTTAAGAGCTGAAAGAAAATTACGGCCATGTGTGGTGGCTCATGCCTGTAATCTCGGCACTTTGGGAAGCCAAGGCAGGTGGACTACTTGAGCTCAGGAGTTTGAGACTAGCCTGAACAACATGGCAAGGCACCATCACTACATAAAAATTTTTAAAAATTAACTAGTTCCAGCCTGGCCAACATGGCAAAACCCTGACTGTAATAAAAATACAAAAAAAAATTAGCTGGGCGTGGTGGCTAACACCAGTAATCCCAGCACTTTGGGAGGCCGAGGCAAGTGGATCACTTGAAGTCAGGAGTTTGAGACCAGCCTGGCCAACATGGCAAAACCCCGTCTCTACTAAAACTACAAAAAAATTAGCTGGGTGTGGTGGCGGGCACCTGTAATGCCAGCTACTCGGGAGGCTGAGGCAGGAGAATCACTTGAAGCTGGGAGGCGGAGGTTGCAGTGAGCCAAGATCACACCACTGCACTCCAGCCTGGGCAACAGAGCAAGACTCCATGTCAAAATAAATAACAAGGCTGGGCACGGTGGCTCACGCCTGTAATCCCAGCACTTTGGGAGGCAGAGGCAGGCAGATCATGAGGTCAGGAGATCGAGACCATCCTGGCTAACATGGTGAAAACCTGTCTCTACTAAAAATACAAAAAATTAGCCAGGTGTGGTGGCAGGCACCTGTAGTCCCAGCTACTTAGGAGGCTGAGGCAGGAGAATGGCATGAACCTGGGAGGCAGAGCTTGCAGTGAGCTGAGATCTTGCCACTGCACTCCAGCCTGGGCAACAGAGCGAGACTCCGTCTCTAAATAAATAAATAAATAAATAACAAAATACAAAAAATTAGCTGGGCATGATGGTGCATACCTGTAGTCCCAGCTACTCGGGAGCCTGAGGTATGAGAATCACTTGAACCCGGGAGGCAGAGGTTGCAGTGAGCCAAATTGGCACCACTGCACTCTAGCCTCCAGCCTGGGTGACAGACTGAGACTCTGTCTCAAAAAAAAAAAAAAAAAAAAAAAGAAAAGAAAGATTTAAGGGATAAAGCTAAAGCAATGCTTAGAAGAAGATTTGTAGCTTAAATGCCTTTAGTAGAAAGAAAGAAAGGTCTACAATCAATAATCTAGGCTGGGCATGGTGGCTCACGCCTGTAATCCCAGCATTTTGGGAGGCCGAGGCAGGTGGATCACCTGAGGTCAGGGGTTTGAGACCAGCCAGGCCAACATGACGAAACCCGAAACCCCATCTCTACTAAAAATACAAAAACTAGCTGGGTGTGGTGGCACATGCCTGTAATCCCAGCTACTTGGGAGGCTGAGACAGAGAATCGCTTGAACCTGGGAGGCAGAGGTTGTAGCTGGCCGACATTGTACCACTGCACTCCAGCCTGAGTGACAGAGCAAGACTCTACCTCAAAAAAATAAAAAACAAAATAAAATAAAATCAATAATCCAATCTTTCACTTCAAGAAGCTGGAAAAATAAGAGTAAATCAAACATAAAGTAAATAGAAGAAAGAACATAATAAACGCCAGACTGAAAAATCAATGAAATAGAAAACAAAAACTTTAGAGGCAGGAGAATCGCTTGAACCTGGGAGGCAGAGATTGCAGTGAACTGAGATCTTGTCACTGAACTCCAGCCTGGAGACAGAGTGAGACTCCATCTCAAAAAACAAACAAAAAAAATAATAGCCAAAAACTTTTCAAATTTGATGAAAAACATTACACATCTAAGAATCTCAATAAACCTCAAATACCTAGACACATCACGGTCAACTTGTTTAAAGACAATTGGCTACCACATATACTAAAATTTGAACAATTCAGAGAAGATTAGCCAGTCTCCCGTATAAGAATGGCATGCAAATTTGTGAAGCACTCCATATTTTTACATGTAAATAAAAGAAAAAATAAAAGCAAATGTACTATATATATAGAGTAATACTACTAGTTATTTGGAAAGATCAACAAAACAGACATATCTTTAGCTAGATTGCCCAAGAAAAGAGGAAAGAACATACACATTACCAAAATCAAGAATGAAAGAAGGGACATCTTGTCCAAGTGTGGTGGCTCATGCCTGTAATCCCAGCAGTTTGGGAGGCCGAGGCGGGCAGATCAAATGAGGTCAGGGGTTTGAGACCAGCCTGGTCAACATAGTGAAACCCTGTCTGTATTAAAAACACAAAAAAATTAGCCAGACGTAGTGGCGAATGCTTGTAGTCCCAGCTACTCAGTAGGCTGAGGCAGGAGAATTGCCTGAATCCAGGAGGTGGAGGCTGCAGTGAGCCAACATCATGCCACTGCACTCCAGCCTGGGCGGCAGAGTGAGACTCCGTCAAAAAAAAAAAAAAAAAAAAAGAAAGAAAGAAAGAAGGAAGGAAGGAAGGAATTGTAGGGAATTTAAATGATATGGAGAAAACCCTAGAAAGAGACAAATTAACAAAGCTAACTAAAGAAAGAAAAAAAGAAAATCCAAATAGACCTATACCAAGGAAAAGGAAAAGAATTTGGATTTAAAATCGTCCCACAAGAAAATGCCCAGGTCCAGATGCTTTATTGCTAAATCATGTCAACACTTAAAGAACAGGCCAGGCACAGTGGCTCAAGCCTGTAATCCCAGCACTTTGGGAGGTGGAGGCGGGTGGATCACCTGAGGTCAGGTGTTCAAGACCAGCCTGGCCAACATGGTGAAAGCCTGTCTCTACTAAAAATACAAAAATTAGCCAGGCATGGTGGCGCACACTTGTAATCCCAGCTACTTGGGAGCCTGGGGCAGGAGAATCACTTGAACCCGGGAGGCAGAGGTTGCAGTGAGCCAAGATCGCACCACTGCACTCCAGCCTGGGCAACAGAGCAAGACTCTGTCTCAAAACAAACAAACAAACAAACAAAAAGCAAAATAAGAGGATAAAGAGAGGCCAGGTGTGGTGGCTTACGCCTGTAATCCCAGAACTTTGGGAGGCTGAGGTGGGCGGATCACTTGAGCTCAGAAGTTCAAGACTAGCTTGGACAACATAAGGAGACCCCCATCTCCACAAAAAAATTTTAAAATTAGGGCCAGGCAAGGTGGCTCATGCCTATAATCCCAGCACTTTGGGAGGCAGAAGCAAGCAGATCACCTGAGGTCAGGAGTTCAAGACCAGGCTGGCCAACATGGTGAAACGCTGTCTCTACTAAAAATACAAAAATTAGCCAGCCATGGTGGCAGGCACCTGTAATTCCAGCTACTCAGGAGGCTGAGGCAGGATAATCGCTTGAACCCGCGAGGCAGAGGTTGCAGTGAGCTGAGATCGCACCACTGCACTCCAACCTGGGTGACAGAGTGAGACTCCATCTCAAAAAAAAAAAGAAAAAAAAAATCTGCTAAAATTACTTTGTATTTATATACAAAAAAGAGTCACATTCTGAGATCATATAATTATAAACAAGTTTTTCACCTATATGCACTATGGTAGGACATTCTAAAGTCATGTAGGACATACATAGAACAAGTCTTTGTTGCGTGTCTTGCAGAATGTTTAGAATATCTGGACTCTGACTACTAAATGTAAGAATTACTGCCCCTTTCCCACCCATTGTGAAACAACATTGACAAAAATTCTGACTACAATTTTTTTTTTTGAGACAGGGTCTCTGTTGCCCAGGCTGGATTGTAGCAGCGTGATCTCGGCTCACTGCAGCCTCAACCTTCTGGGTTCAAGCAATTCTCCCATCTCAGCCTTCTGAGTAGCTGGGACCACAGGCATGCACCACCATGCCTGGCTAATTTTTGTATTTTTTGTAGAAAAGGGCTTTTGCCATGTTGCCCAGGCTGGTCTCAAACTCCTGGGCTCAAGCAATTTGCCCACCTCAGCTTCCCAAAGTGCTGGATTTACAGGCGTGTACTCACACACCTGGCCTTACAAATTTTCAAAATTCTCCCTATGAGATAGTAGTATTCCTGGTTTTAAAAACTGGTCTAGGCCAGGCACAGTGGCTCATGCCTGTAATCTCAGCACTTTGGGAGGCCAAGGCGGGTGGATCACCTGAGGTCAGGAGTTTGAGACCAGCCTGGCCAACATGGTGAAACCCCATCTCTACTAAAAATACAAAAAAAATTAGCTGGGAATGGTGGTGGGTGCCTGTAATCCCAGCTACTTGGGAGGCTGAGGCAGAAGAACTGCTTGAACCTGGGAAGCAGAGGTTGTAGTGAACTGAGATCACGCCATTGCACTCCAGTTTGGATGACACAGAGCAAAACTCTGTCTCAAAAAAAAAAAAAAAAAAAAGGTCTAATAGAAGTTCTTCTACCTGGAAACATGAGTATGTGGTATAAGAATAATAAGCACATATTACTTTAGAAACTATGAAAATAAAACCAATTTTTTCTTCTTTTTCAAAGTGACAGGGGAGAGATCTCGATGCAGGATATGGTGACTTTTTTTTTTTTTTGAGACAGGCTCTCACTTTGTTACTCAGGCTGGAGTGCAGTGGCCGAGATCTTGGCTCACTGCATCCTCGACCTCCTGGGCTCAAGTGATCCTCCCACCTCAGCTCCCCAGGTAGCTGGAACTACAGGCATGCTCCACCATGCCTGGCTAATTTTTTGTATTTTTTGTAGAGACGTGGTTTCATCATGTTGCCCAGGCTGGTCTCAAACTTCTGAGTTCAAGCAATCCACCCACCTTGGCTTCCCAAAATGCTAGGATTATAGGCGTGAGCCACGGCACCCAGCCGTATATGGTGACTTTTGATATTCTTTTCTTTCCTTTTGATTTTTTTTTCTTTTTTTTTGTAGTGATGGGGGTCTTAGTATGCTGTCCAGGGGGCTGGTCTTGAACTCCTGGCCTCAAGTGATCCTCCCACTTCAGCCTCCCAAAGTGTGGAGATTACAGGCTTGAGCCACCGCACTCAGCCCTAAATGTGTTTGTTGTTTTTTGTTAAAGAGCCGGGGCTGCTCTGCTTATGGAGTAGCCATTCTTTTATTCCTTTACCAGAAAAAGAAGAATAAAAGAGCCAGGCCTGAATGGGGGTATGTCTCACTATGTTGACCAGGCTGGTCTCGAATTCCTGGGCTCAAGTGATTCTCACGCCCGGGATGGAAGGCATGAACCACCGCGCCCAGCCACTTTACTTCTTCACAAGTGTATCTCTGAAGATCACTGCCACATAAACCTTCTACATGGAACTCTCCATATCAGGGCCTGTTTCCAGGGAGAACCAATCTAAGACATTTAGTTTTTCCAACCCACACACTTTGTACCATTAGCCACCCTCCTTGAGTCTTTCAGGTTAAAGAATATCAAAAGTCAGACTGGGTGTGGCAGCTCCTGCCTGTAATCCCAATACTTTGAGAGGCTGAGGTGGGATGATCACTTGAGATCAGGAGTTCAAGACCAGCTTGGGCAACATAGTGAGACCCCCATATCTACCAAATAAATAAATAAATAAATAAATAAATAAATAAATAAATAAAAACATTCAGAACAGGGATCTCTGAGGGAAGAAAATATTTTAAAAACCAATTTTGGTGGCGGGGGACAGTCATGCTCTGTCACCCAGGCTGGAGTGCAGTGGTGCGATCTCGGCTCAGTGCAACCTCTGCCTCCTGAGTTCAAGTGATTCTCCTGCCTCAGCCTCCTGAGTAGTTGGGATTACAGGTGTATGCGCCAACACACCTGGCTAATTTTGTATTTTTATTAGAGACAGAGTTTCACTATGTTGGTCAGGCTGGTCTCGAACTCCTGACCTCAAATGATCCACCCACTTCACCCTCCCAAAGTGCTGGGATTACAGGCATGAGACACCACACCCAGCAGAAAAAAAAATTTTTTTTTAAGTTAAGAAGGCAGAATTGAGCAGAGGGAGTAGCTGACACACAATGTGGTTGCAGCAGAACCTTAACTGATCCTTGGATTTTACAGACAGCCCTGGAATGAAGATAATTTTTCAGAGCTGTCCCAAATGAAGGCAAAGGGACCATGATTTTGTGTCACTGCATTAGCCAATCATTGGCTGCAGGAAAGAAAGGTCAAAACAATTTCCTGTGGCTGATGGTAATGTCCAGTGAGGGAGGCAGCGGTGGGCCATCAGTGGCTGATATTCCTAGCAGCTGGGGAGTAGGCTTATGATCCTAGAAAGGGAATCTGGGTGAAACACCGGTGTTTTCTACAGTTTACCACTTGCACTACTCAGATCCTTTTTTTTTTTTTTTTGAGACAGAGTCTCGCTCTGTCGCCCAGGCTGGAGTGCAGTGGGGCGATCTTGGCTCACTGCAACTTTGCTTCCTGGGTTCAAGCAATTCTCTACCTCAGCCTCCCAAGTAGCTGGGATTACAGGCGCCTGCCACCACACCCGGCTAAATTTTTTTGTATTTTTAGTAGAGATGGGGTTTCACCATCTTGGCCAGGCTGGTCTTGAACTCCTGACCTCGTGATCCACCCGCCTCAGCTTCCCAAAGTGCTGGGATTACAGGCGCGAGCCACCGCATGATTCATTCTTCTTTTTGTTGTTGTTGTTTTTTGCTTTTTGAGACAGCGTTTCACTCTGCCGTCCAGGCTGGAGTGCAGTGGCACAATCTCTGCTCACTGAAACTTTTGCCTTCCAGGTTCAAGCGATTCTCCTGCCTCAGCTTCCGGAGTAGCTGGGATTACAGGCGTGCACCACCACGCCCAGCTAAATTTTCTTTTTTTTTTTTTGAGACGGAGTTTCGCTCTTGTTGCCCAGGCTGGAGTGCAATGGTGCAATCTCAGCTCACCGCAACTTCTGCCTCCCGGGTTCAAGTGATTCTCCTGCCTCAGCCTCCTGAGTAGCTGGGATTACAGGCATAAGCCACAATGCCCAGCTAATTTTTTTTTTTTGTATTTTTAGTAGAGATGTTGTTTCACCATGTTGGCCAGGCTGGTCTTGAACTCCTGACCTCAGGTAATCCACCTGCCTCGGCCTCCCAAAGTGCTGGGATTACAGGCGTGAGCCATCGCGCCCGACCCAATTCATTCTTCTTATAGTTAGTTTGCCCTGTTGGGGAAAAGCATCTATAGCGTTCTGATTGGTTTCATTTCCTGGGGGAACTTTGAGAGAAGGATTAAGTGGAAAAGTTTATAGCCTTTTTACTGCTGCAATTAGTTTTGAGGTTCTAAGAACTTCTCATTATCCCCTCCTGTACCACTAATGCCAGATTCTCCTCACCTTTGGCTAGCACTTCTGCTGGTCTAGAGAGCTGGGTAGCAGAGTGACCCAGACCCTAAATCCTGAGAGTGCCTTTGGTTACCATGTGGCTGCTATACTTTTCTATTTACTGTTAGAATTCTTTTCTATTTACTGTTAGAATTGATCACAGTAGCACCAAGAGGCATCCCAGTGGATGACCTGAATGCCAAAGTATTCTTCCTGGCCAGGCATGGAGGCTCACGCCTGTAATCCCAGCACTTTAGGAGACTGAGACAGGAGGATTGCTTGAGCCCAAGAGGTTGAGCTTGCAGTGAGCTATGATCACGCCACTGCAGTCTAGCCTGGCTGACAGAGCAAGACTGTCTTTAATTTAAAAAACAAGGCTGGGCGCAGTGGCTCATGCCTGTAATCCTTGCACTTTGGGAGGCCGAGGTGGGTGGACCACTTGAGGTCAGGAGTTCGAGACCAGCCTGGCCAGCATGATGAAACCCCATCTCTACCAAAAATACAAAAAATTAGCTGTGCACGGTGGCGCGCACCTGTAATCCCACCTACTCAGGAGGCTGAGGCAGGAGAATCACTTGAACCCAGGAGGTGGAGATTGCAGTGTGCCAAGTTCGCGCCACTGCACTCCAGCCTGGGCAACAAGAGCAAAACTCCATCTAAAAAAAAAAAAGGCCAGGCACAGTGGCTCACACCTGTAATCCCAACATTTTGGGAGGCCGAGGCAGGTGGATCACTTGAGGTCAGGAGTTCGAGACCAGCCTGGCCAACATGGCAAAACACTGTCTCTATTAAAAATACAAAAATTAGCCAAGCTTGGTGGCATGCGCCTGTTATCTCACCTACTCAGAAGGGTGAGGCAGGAGAATCGCTTGAACCTAGGAGGCGGAGTGTGCAGTGAGCCGAGATCGCGCCATTGCACTCCAGCCTGGGTGACAGAGTGAGACTCCGTCTCAAAAAAAAAAAAAAAAGAACTTGGCACAGTGGCTCATGCCTGTAATCCCAGCATTTTGGGGGCAGGCAGATCACCTGAGGTCAAGAGTTCAAGACTAGCCTGGCCAACATAGTGAAACCCTGTCTCTACTAAAAATACAAAAATTAGCCAGGCGTGGTGGCGGGTGCCTGTAATCCCAGCTACTTGAGAGGCTGAGGCAGGAGAATTGTTTGAACCTGGGAAGTGGAGGTAGCAGGTCAGCTGAGATTGTGCCATTGCACTCCAGCCTGGGCAACAGAGACTCCATCTCAAAAAAAAGAAAGATCAGTAGATCCTTTTGTCACATGCCCACTGCCATATCCCCACTGCTGTAATGTTGATCTTTTAGAGTAATGTAATTCAGATTTCATTGTTTTCCATGTTTTTTTTTTTTTTTTTTTTTTGGTTATTGTTGTTGGAGTCTCACTGTGTGGCCCTGGATGGAGTGCATTGGCATGATCTTGGCTCACTGCAACCTCTGCCTCTCAAGTTCAAGCAAATCTCCTGCCTCAGTCTCCCAAGTAGCTGGGATTATAAGTGCGCACCACCATGCCCTGCTAATTTTTGTATTTTTAGTAGGGACGGGGTTTCACCACATTGGCCAGGCTGATCTCAAACTCTTAGCCTCAAGTGATCCAACCGCCTCAGCCTCCCAAAGTGCTGGGATTACAGGTGTGAGCCATCGTGCCCGGCCAGACTTCATGTTGATGGATCAAACACTCTGTAAGTCCTTGGAGAGTGGTACTAGTTACGGGCAGACCCTATGGGCAGGAAAGGCAAACCTATATTCAGAATACGTGTCAATTTCAGTCAAAGGTGGTGGGGTATAATGTCATCAACTTGTCCCTGAACGGCTGCTTGTTCTTCTCGTGGGATAGAACCATATGGGGGCTTAGCCCTGGCGTTTATTAATGACAGATTGAACACTGGCAGCAGCCATAGCTATTTCAGCCTTGGTGAGTAGGAGTTTGTATTAGTCAGGGTTCTCCAGAGAGACAGAACCAATAGGATATACTGGAGGGAGAGAGAGAGAGAGAAGAAGAGGGGATTTTAAAGCTCAGTCTACTGACTCATATGTCAATCTCCCCTGGAAACACCCTCATAGACATATCCAGAAACAATGCTTCACCAGCCATGGAGGCGTCCCTCAATCCAGTCAAGTTGACACCTAAAATTAGTCATCACAGAGCTCATGCTGGTGGGCCCATGCATCACCTCCATCTCTACGACCAGTTACTCCATTCATTGTACCCATTGTTCAGAGCTGGGGTGGCTGATGACAATGGCTGAGTCATTCTGTCTACTTATCTGTTCAATGCTTCCTTTGTAATGGATGCTCTCTGGTGGGCATAACATGTTGTACAAAGATCGTACACTTCAAGACCACTCCTATCGTTACAGAGTCTCACTCTGTTGCCCAGACTGGAGTGCAGGGCTGCAATCATAGCTCACTGAAGCCTTGAATTCCTGGGCTCAAGCAATCCTCTTACCTCAGCCTCCCAAGCTGGACCACAGGCGTGTGCCACCATGCCCTGGCTCTCAGACCTTTTTGTCCTTGTTCTTTCACTCTTTCTTCTCAAGCCCTTGACGAACCAACCGGGGCATTTGCCACTGACTATGTGACTGTGTGAATATTCTGCCCATGTGAATATTCTCATGTAGGGCTACTTCTCTTTCCACACAAAGGGGATGACCAGATATACTGTCCAAATCTTTGTCCCTGGAAGGATTTCCCCTCACCACTATCTTCCAGAGCTGCTTCTGAGTGAGGCTGCAATGCAGCAGGATTCTCTTTTTTGGCTTTTCCCCGTTTACCATGCCAATCCATCTGTGAGCAAAGCTTGGGCTTTTGCCTTCCCTGTCAGCAAGTCACAGGGATCCCTGACAGGGCCATAGGTGAGAGCTGAAGAGAGATGTCAGTGCAACACTGCTGAGTGACCTGGGAGTCTGGGCCACTTGCTTTGAAGCTTGCTTTGCCCTCTGATCCTGCTTATGCCTGATATCAAAGATGCCACCTCTATCTTACAATGTTTTTGTTGTTGTTGTTGTTTTGTTTTGTTTTTTGAGACAGGGTCTCACTCTGTCGCCACAATATGTTCTTGCTGGGCCCACTCTTCCTAATGACATGGAGGATCTGACAGAGCCCAGCTTTTGATGGTTAGTTCTGGCCACTTGGTTACTTGATGTCCTATAGTCAGGTTCTGTGTCTCTACCGGAGCCCAGGAGCATTTCAAGAGCTGCTTTTCAAGTGGTGGGTATTTTCCTGCTGCAGATGGCATGGATTTGCTCCAGAGCTTCAGGGGCCTACATTATGATTCTCCTCTGAGAGCTTGCCAAACCAAAACCAACATCTTCTCCAACCACAGACATTCCAGTCTCTTACGTTCTGCTAGGTCACAAGGCTGCAGAGGCCTTTTCTGCTTTTGGCCCCACTCAAAGTTGATGTCTTTCAGTGTCAGCTAGTAAATTGGTCAGGGTTGTATTCCTAACTGTGAAATATTGCTCCAGAGTCCTAAGAAGATTGGCATCGCACTTCTTTTTTTCTTAGTGGTGGGAGGCATGAGATGCAATATCTGACCTTGACTTTGGATAGATATCCCAGCATGTCTCAGACCACTGGACCTCTAAAAACTTAACCAATGTAGAAATTTCCTGAAACTTTGCAGGGTTTTATTTCCCACTCTCTGAATACATGTATCTTTCCAAGGATACTTCTTGCTCTTCCCGTATGATTAGCATGATGTTATACATATACAGTAGACTGGGCCACTTGCTTTGAAGCTTGCTTTGGAGCTAATATGATGTTCTTCAGAATGTTCATGTAGTCAAGATGCCTTCAGAGTATATTATGACAAAGGGCCAGAGAGTTAACATAATCCTGGAGTCAGGCATGGTGGCTCACGCCTGTAATCCCAGCACTTTGGGAGGCCGAGGCAGGCAGATCATTTGAGGTCAGGAGTTCGAGACCAGCCTGACTAACATGGTGAAACCTTGTCTCTACTAAAAATACAAAATTAGCTGGGCATGGTGGTGTACACCTGTAATCCCAGCTACTTGGGAGGCTGAGGCAGGAGAATTGCTTGAACCTGGGAGGCGGAGGTTGCAGTGAGCCAAGATTGCACCATCGCACTCCAGCCTGGGCAACAAGAGCGAAACTCCATCTCAAAAACAAAAAACAAAAAATGTTAAGAAGGCAGAACTGGCCAGACATGGTGGCTCATGCCTCTAATCCCAACACTTTGGGAGGCCAAGGTGGGCAGATCACTTGAGGTTAGGAGTTCGAGACCAGCCTGGCCAACATGACTAAACCCCATCTCTACTAAAATTACAAAAATTAGCTGGACGTGGTGGCGTGCACCTGTTATCCCCCTACTCAAGAGGCTGAGGCAGGAGAATTGCTTGAACCCAGGAAGCGGAGGTTGCAGTGAGCTGAGATTGTGCCACTGCCCTCCAGGCTGGGTGACAGAGTGAGACTATCTCCAAAACAAAACAAAACAAAAAAACATAATCTTGGGACAAGCCCATAAACAAACATTGTTGTCCTTCCCATGTGGATGCAAATGATCCTGCTTCTGATTCTCCTTCTGATCTATTTGGGATGGAAAATAACATTCACAAACCAAATTAATGGCGTACACCAACACCCGGGGGCTATAATAAACTGTTTTACAAAGTTACCATGTGGGACACAGCAACTGCAATTGGGGTTGTTGTTTGGTTAAGTTTGGGGTACACTGCTGCCATCTGCCATGATCTAATCAATTTTTACAGGAGGTAAGGCAGGAGAATCACTTGAACCCAGTAGGTGGAGGTTGCATTGAGCTGAGATTGCCCCACTACACTCCAGCCTGGGTGACAGAGCAAGACAGAAAAAAAAAAAAAAGATTAGCAATTATGATTCAGGAGTCATGCAGCTGGAGCCTACAAGATTCTGACCCTCTCTAAACTGCTCCTAAGATCAGTGCTTGAGATATTTTGCAGACTCTGCACTTGATGGATCAACTAGCACCACCCAGATCGATTAACTGGCTCATCTGATCTTGTGGCCCCCACCCAGGAACTGACTCAGCACAAGAAGACAGCTTCGACTCCTTATGATTTCATCTCTGACCTGACCTATCAGCACTCCTGGCTCACTGACTTCCCCCACTCACTAAGACGCCCTTAAAAACTCTGATCCCCTCATGTTTGGGGAGACGGATTTCAGTAATAATAAAACTCTGGTCTCCTGCACAGCCAGCTCTGTGTGAATTACTCTTTCTCTTTTGGAATTCCCCTGCCTTGATAAATCATCTCTGTCTAGGCAGTGGGCAAGGTGAACCCATTGGGTGGTTACACCAGGGTGTTAAATCCTATGTCACAGGCGAGTGTTCCCATATCAATAAATTCTTCCATATCTATACCTTCCATGTCTAACTTTGTGTTCCACCTCCCTTGATCCAACATTCTCAGTATCCAGTTCCATGTGTCTCTCCCAAATTCTGCAGGTACATATTAACAAGATCCTGAAGTTCCTTTACCATATATTTTCTCCCTTCTCTTAGTAGGCCAGAACATTCTTTTTGGGTCTTTGCTAGAATTCAATCCTTGTTATTTGTCTTGTTGCCAGGAGAGGAGGTGGCGATAGATCCTGGAGAGGATGAGTATCATCTTGTAAAGCACCTGCTTCCTTTGAAGCCTTTGTATGATCATTTTGCAAGTGAAGAGTGAGCCAACTGGGCATGGTGGCACATGCCTGTAGTCCCAGCTACTCTGGAGGTTGAGACACGAGAATTGTTTGAGCCCAGGAGATGGAGGTTGCAGTGAGCTAAGATTGCACTACTGCACTCCGGCCTGGGCAACAGAGTGAGACCCTGATATGGTTTGACTGTGTCGCCACCCAAATCTCATCTTGAATTCCCTCGTGTTGTGGGAGTGACCTGGTGGGAGGTAATTAAATCATGGGGGGTAGGTCTTTCCCATGCTGTTCTTGTGATAGTGAGTAAGTCTCACGAGATCTGATAGTTTTGTTGTTATTGTTGTTGTTTGAGACAGAGTTTTGGTCTTGTTGCCCAGGCTGGAGTGCAATGGTGCCATCTAGGCTTGCTGCAGCCTCTGCCTCCCGGGTTCAAGAGATCCTCCTGCCTCAGCCTCCCAAGTAGCTGGAACTACAGGTGCCTGCCACCATGCCTGGCTAATTTTTTGTATTTTTAGTAGAGACACGTTTTCGCCATGTTCGTCAGGCTGGTCTTGAACTCCTGACCTCAGGTGATCTGCCCGCCTACACCTCCCAAAATGCTGCGATTACAGGCATGAGCCACTGCACCTGGCCAGAGATCTGATGGTTTTATAAGAAGGAGTTTCCCTGGGCAAGCTCTCTTTGCCTGCTGCCATCCATGTAAGATGTGACTTGCTCCTCCTTGCCTTCTGCCATGATTGTGAGGCATCCCCAGCCATGTGGAACTGTGAGTCCATTAAACCTTTTTCCTGTAATAAATTACCCAGTCTCGGTATGTTTTTACTAGCAGCATGAAAATGGACTAACACAGACGCTGTCTCAAAACACACACACACATACACACACACACACACACACACACACACACACACACACACATATATATATATATATATATAGTGAGCTAACTCTGCAGGCTTGGACAGAGGTTTCAGAGGAATCTGGGGACTCAAGATTCTGTTGTATCTACTTAGATGTCTCTATCCCGTCTCAAGATCCTACAGTTTTTCTTTTTGACCCTAACCTTGGCATAGGAGATCTACAGGGGCTGAGAATTCAACCTTCTCTAAAGATCTACTACTTATATAATTAACACTTGAGCTGCTCCTTCACTCAATGCCCAATGGATACAAGGGATTAGGTTTTCCTTAAATGCTGTCAAAAAGGCCTGTTGGCTTTTATAGTCTGCCTTGATGTGGTGATTAGTTTTTTTGTTTGTTTGTTTTTGTTTTTTTTTGAGGGAGTCTTGCTCTTGTCACCTAGGCTGGAGTGTAGTGGCACGATCTCTGCTCACTGCAACCTCTGCCTCCTGGATTTGAGTGATTCTCCTGCCTCAGCCTCCAGAGTAGCCAGGCTGACTAAAAATGATCCACCTGCCTCAGCCTCCCAAAGTGCTAGATTTATAGGCTTGAGCCACCTCACCTGGCCCGTATATGGTATTTTTTAAAACTGCATATTGGCTGGGCGCAGTGGCTCACATCTGTAATCCCAGCACTTTGGGAGGCCGAGGCTGGCGGATCACCTGAGGTTGGGAGTTCTAGACCAGCCTGACCAACATGGAGAAACCCCGTCTCTAACAAATACAAAATTAGCCGAGCTTGGTGGCACATGCCTGTAATCCCAGTTACTCGGGAGGCTGAGGCAGGAGAATCACTTGAACCCGGGTGGCAGAGGTTGCGGTGAGCCGAGATCGCATCACTGCACTCCAGCCTGGGCAACAAGAGTGAAATTCCATCTCAAGAGAAAAAAAAAACTGCATATTGTCTGTTTCCACCTACTAGAACGTAAGCTCTAGGAGGGCAGAGACTATGTTTTGTTCACCACTGTTTCTCCAGTGTCTACAAGTAGATACTTTGAATGCATTTAATTGGAGGCTTGAGATATGAAGAAGTAGGATGCAGTTACTTCATGCAGAGCAAGAGTGGCATGCACCCAGAGAAGGCCAGGTGGAGCTCAGCATGAGTGTGAAGGCCTCATGTCAAGCCATGTCAGGGGACACAAAGATGGAGTATTCTTTTTTTTTTTTTTGTTAGACAGAGTCTCATTCCGTCGCCCAGGCTGGAGTGCAGAGGTGCGATCTCAGCTCACCGCAACCTCCGCCTCCCGGGTTCAAGCGATTCTCCTGCCTCAGCCTCCCGAGTAGCTGGGACTACAGGCACCCGCCACCATGCCCTGCTAATTTTTGTATTTTTAGTAGAGATGGGGTTTCACCATGTTAGCCAGGATGGTCTCAATCTCCTGACCACGTGATCGGCCCGCCTCGGCCTCCCAAAGTGTTGGGATTACAGCCTGAGCCACCGTGCCCGGCCAAAGATGGAGTATTCTCTAACCTGTGTGACACTTGGCATAAGGAAAGTACAAGCACTCAATGTGTGAGTTTCATTCCCACAGTCTATGGTCTTTAGCCCAGTCTCTCCAGATGCCTATTGAGTTCTTCAAGCATCCAAATGGTTTGGGGAAAGGCTTCAGGTTCTAAATGAGAGGCTTTGTGGGTTACCAGTTGGAGAGTCAGAAGATCTGGATTTGAATTCACTCAGCCATGAAATAGTTGTGTGATCTTGGGCCAGACATGGTGGCTCACGCTTGTAATCCCAGTACTTTGGGAGGCCAAGGAAGGTGGATCACTAGAGGTCAGGAGTTTGAGACCAGACGGGCCAACATGGTGAAACCCCATTTTTACTAAAAAATATAAAAATTAGCTGGGCATGCTGGTGCACACCAGTAGTCCCAGCTACTTGGGAGGCTGAGGCAGGAGAATCGCTTGAACCTGGGAGGTGGAGGTTGTAGTGAGCTAAGATGGTGCCACTGCACTCTTGCCTGGGCGACAGAGCAAGACTGTCTGAAAAAAAAAACAAAAACCAGAAACAAAAAATTGTATGATCTTGGGGAGTTCTAAGGCCCACTAGCCTCATCTGTAGAATGGAAGCAATAGTACTATTTTGCAGAGCTGACTTCAGGACCAAGAGATCTAACGTATATGAAGCAGGGTACTTCCTTCCATTTGTCAGGATAGGGGAGGCTAGTCCTGTGATGAATGGGAATGAAGGATAGAAGAGACAGAGATTGGGCAAACTTCAGATTCTGTGCTCATAGCCTGCTCCCAGACATTCTCCTGTTATCTCTCTGTTTCCTAGCCTACACATGTGCACAGACAGTAGATGCTGTTCAGGAATTGAGCTAATGGTTTTTGTTTGTTTGTTTGTTTGTTTGTTTTGAGATGGAGTCTCGTTCTGTCACCTAGGCTGGAGTGCAATGGCGCTATCTCAGCTCACTGCAACCTCGGCCTCCTAGGTTCAAGAGATTCTCCTGCCTCAGCCTGCTGAGTAGCTGGGATTACAGGTGCCTACCACCATGCCCAGCTAATTTTTGTATTTTTAGTAGATACAGGGTTTCAGCATGTTAGTCAGGCTGGGCTCGAACTCCTGACCTCAAGTGATCCGCCCACCTCGGCCTCCCAAAGTGCTGGGATTATAGGTGTGAACCAAAGTGCAAAATCTTCACAATTTATATTTAAATATTACAGTAAAGACAGGCATAACAAATTATAAAAGTATTAATTTGGGGAACTAATAAATGTCCATAAAATCTTCACAATCCACGTTCTTCTGCCATGGCTTCAGCCGGTCCCTCCGTTTGGGGTCCCTAACTTCCCGCAACAGTCTCTTCCTTATCTTTGCTGGGGACAGGCAGTAGCTGCACAGTGGCAGTGTGCCTATGCAGACAGAGGGAGCAGTGAACAGCAACAGGGTGTTTCCACCATGGTCTTCACTCAGGCCCCGGCTGAAATCATGGGCCACCTCCGGATATGCAGCCTCCTGGCCCGGCAGTGCCTGGCAGAGTTTCTGGGTGTGTTTGTACTCATGGTAGGTAGGGTCACTGGGGGAAGGAAAGAAGGGGGTTGGGCAAAAGTTCCTGGCTCCTTCTGGTGTCCTCATCTCTTTCTCTTGGCGTCCCCCTTCCTCTCAACTCCCTATCAGTTTTCATTTGCATCCTCTCGTCTCTCCTAATCTCCTTTCCTCTCCTACTTCATCATTTTTATTCTTGTCACTTTTCTTCCTTTTTTCCCACATTCTTTCCCTTTCTTCTTCCTCCACTTTCCCCATTTCTTTTCCCTTCCCTCCTTCTGCTTTTCTCCTTCCCTTGCTTGTCTTCCGTGCTCATTCATCTCCTTGGCTGCTCCCCTGGCCTTCCCAACCTTTCTCCCTGTTGGACTCCTGGGCTCCCTGTTCCTCATCTCTCCTCTTCTCAGCAGCTCCTCACCCAAGGAGCTGTGGCCCAGGCTGTCACCAGTGGAGAAACCAAAGGCAACTTCTTCACCATGTTTCTGGCTGGCTCTCTGGCCGTTACGATAGCCATCTACGTGGGTGGTAACGTCTCAGGTGAGGAGGGTGGGGTCTGGTCATCAGAGCAGGTGGGACGTGCATGTGAGCGTGTCGGTCTGGCGATGGTGGAAACGCAAATCCTTCTGTGACTCATGGACATTATCTCCTTGAGCTTGACCAGTGCCCCGGACTGAGATAAGCCTTTGGCCACACCAGCCCGTCCCCTTTCTGTATCTCTCCATCCCGCTTCCTCACACTAATACTTGGCTCACCTAGACAGAAATCAATGGCAGGGCACGAAGGGCAGGTGCTATCCTCTTGTATCCCCCACCTGAAGTCCTCTGGGGGCTCATCTCCACTCAGGACCTCTCCTGCTTTTCCCCCAGACATCAGTGTGCCTGGCTGGAGCCTTGAGACATAGTGTGTTGCTGTGGAAAAAGCAGACAGACTTAGGGTGTTTGCTTGTTCGTTTGTTTTTTTGAGATGGAGTCTTGCTCTGTTTCCCAGGCTGGAGTGCAGTGGCACTATCTCGGCTCACTGCAACCTCTACCTCCCAGGTTCAAGCCGATTCTCCTGCCTCAGCCTCCTAAGTAGCTGGAATTACAGATGCGTGTCACCACACCCGGCTGATTTTTTGTATTTTTAGTGGAGATGGGGTTTCACCATGTTGGCCAGGCTGGTCTCAAACTCCTGACCTCAGGTGATCCACCTGCCTCGGCCTCCCAAAGTGCTGGGGTTACAGGCGTGAGCCACCGTGCCTGGCCCAGACCTAGATCCTAACCTTGGATTCACAGTGTGACTTTGATAAGTTGCCTAACATCCTGGAGCCTCAATTTCCTAAGCTGTGTGATGGGAATAACAGTATCTGCCTTAAGAGCTATAGGAAGAACAGCTGGGTGTGGTGGCTCACCCCTGTAACCCCAGCACTTTGGGAGGCTGAGGCAGATGGATCACCTGAGGTCAGGAGTTAGAGACCAGCCTGGCCAACATGGCGAAACCCCGTCTCTACTAAAAATACAAAAACTAGCTGGGCATGGTGACATGTGCCTATAGTCCCAGCTACTCGGTAGTCTCAGACAGGAGAATTGCTTGGACCCAGGAGACGGAGGTTGCGGTGAGCCAAGATTGCACCACTGCATTCCCACCTGGGTGAGAGAGCGAGACTCCATCTCAAGAAAAAAAGAAAGTCATAGGATTAAGTAGGAGGTTGTCACAAGATACAGGTCATAAAGACCTTGCTGATAAAAAAGGTTGCAGTAAAGAGCCAGCGAAAACTCACCAAGACCAAGATGACCACACTGACCCCTGGTCTTCCTCACTGCTACACTCCCACCAGTGCCATGACAGTTTACAAATGCCATGGCAACAACAGGAAGTTATGCTATATGGTCTAAAAGGGGGAGGCATGAATAATCCACCCCTTGTTTAACATGTAATCAAGATACAACCATAAAAATAGGCAACCAGTGGCCCTCGGGGCTGCTCTGTCTGTGGAATAGCCATTCTTTTATTCCTTTACTTTCCTAATAAACTTGCTTTCACTTTACTGTATGGACTCGCCCTGAATTCTTTCTTGCATGAGCTCCAAATGCTTTCACATTTCATCCTATTTGTTTTTGTTGTTGTTGTTGTTGTTTTTGTTGTTTTTTTTTTTTGAGACACAGTTTCGCTTTTGTTGCCCAGGCTAGAGTGCAATGGCGCAATCTCAGCTCACTGCCACCTCCGCCTCCCAGTTCAATCGATTCTCCTGCCTTAGCCTCCTGAGTGGCTGGGACTACAGGCATGTGCCACCATGCCCGGCTAATTTTGTATTTTTAGCAGAGATGAGGTTTCTCCATGTTGGTCAGACTGGTCTCGAACTCCCGACCTCAGGTGATCCGCCCACCTCAGCCTCCCAAAGTGCTGGGATTACAGGCATGAGCCACCATGCCCGGCCTCCTTCTTGTCTTGTATGTCCTTAGCAGCTTGACCTTGTAACCATGTGGCCATGCTTTCTCTTTTCATAATGGCAGCCCTGGTTTAAAGTCCAATTCCCAGTTTAGGGGATGATCCTTATCTTCTGTCTGTCTGTGTATTTATATGTATTATGTGTGTAATGTTTATATATGGAAAAGCTTTAATTAATTGGTTTAACAATAAGAATTGCTTAAATCAAACATTTTATCAGAAAAGTAAAAAGTGGAATACCCTTTATTTAGTTCATGTGACTTAAGTAATCTTTGGGAAATAAATACAGTTTTAAAGATTATTGGTAAAATAAAAAATCTTCAAAAATGTAAACATTTTGTCCGGGTGCGGTGGCTCATGCTTGTAATCTCAGCACTTTGGGAGGCCAAGGCGGGCAGATCATTTGAGCTCAGGATTTCGAGACCAGCCTGGCCAACATGGTGAAACCCCATCTCTACTAAAAATACAAAAATTAGGTGTAGTGGTGCAAGCCTGTAGTCCCAGCTACTTGGGAGGCTGAGGGAGGAGAATTGCTTGAACCCGGGAGGCAGAGGCTGCAGTGAGCCGAGATTGAGCGACTGCACTCCAGCCTGGGTGATGGAGCGAGACTCTGACTAAAAAGAAACAAACAAACAAACAAAAAAAAATGTAAACATTTGGTCTAAATTATACAGGTCAGATATTAAGTTTGCTAAATTCTTTAAGGTCATAAGCTGCTTCTTTGACTATTAAAAATTGTTCAATTTTAGGCTGGGTGCAGTAGCTCACGCCTGTAATTCCAGCACTTTGGGAGGCTGAGGCAGGCAGATCACAAGGTCAGGAGTTCAAGACTAACCTGGCCAACATGGTGAAACCCCATCTCTACTAAAAATACCAAAAAATTAGCCAGGCATGGTGGTGCGCACCTGTAATTCCAGCTACTCAGGAGGCTGAGGCAGTAGAATCACTTGAACCCAGGAGGCAGAGGTTGCAGTGAGCCGAGATCATGCCATTGCACTCCAGCCTGGGCAACAGAGGGAGACTCTGTCTTAAAAAAACAAAAAAACCCAAAAAACAAAAAACAACAACAACAAAAAAAATTGTTCAGTTTATCTACTTTGGAGCATTAGATTAAATGTGTTATTGGTACATGTTCCAAAATTATGAGAAATTCCTATAATTCTAATATGACTTAGCGTATGTTATTAATAATTGTTACATAAAATTTTGTATGCAACAGAAGTAACCAAAATTTCCTAGTTAATTGTGGCTTTACTAGTGGCTGTCCTAAGACTTTTTTTTTTTTTTTTTTGAGACAGATTCTTGCTCTGTCACCCAGGCTGGAGTGCAGTGGCACGATCTCAGCTCACTGCAACCTCTGCCTCCTGGGTTCAAGCACTTCCTCTGCTTCAGCCTCCTGAGTAGCTGGGATTATGGGCACCTGCCCTATGCGGCTAATTTTTGGATTTTTGGTGGTGACGGGGTTTCACCATGTTGGCCAGGCTGGTCTCAAACTCCTGACCTCAAATGTTCCACCTGCCTCCGCCTCCCAAAGTGCTGGGATTACAGATGTGAACCACTGCACCTGGCCCTAAGACTTTTTATCATCCACAGACAATTGTTGTCTTGTTTTGATCTTCTTTAGAAGGTAGTTTATAATCAGCCATAGGACTTTAACAGGTGCACTTAAATGCAGGTTTCTGATAACTTTGGAGATTGTGACATTAGAATAGAGGAAACAACTTTCAGAACTCTCATGGGGAGCTGAAATGTTCATAGATATCAAACAAAAGTTAACTGCATAAACTAAAGAAGACTAAAGCAATCTTTTTGCCTTTGCTTAAAACATTGCTGATCCTTTGTTTTATTTTTTAGAGTCAAGGCAACTTTTCTTTTCAGATATTTACAGCTTTTAATAATCGAGTAAAGTATACTCCTGTGAACAAAATTTGGAGTATATGCATCTCTCTACTTGATTTCTCCAGAATTTGGAAATTATTTGTGTGTATTCTTAATTTATGGCAATGCAGTTATTTGCATAAGGGTAATAAGAATCTGTTTTCTTTTGCAACAGGACACAATTGGAGAAATTGTTTATTTTATGAAGGGTTTGACTGGAATGGTGTGCTTTCCATTAAGGAATCAAACTTGACTTGTAAAGCCTATAAAAGCCACTTAGCGACCTGGGCTCATAACCTTGCCTACACAGTCCCTGTACAGGGTTTCTGACCTGTGGTAAGTAAAGAATGTCACCTTCTAAAAGGTCCAGGAGCCCCAAGTTATCTGGGGACCTCAAAAGGAGAGGAAGAATTTACCCAACTCAAAGGTATTTGAGGGCACAAACCCATGGCAGGGCTCAGCTTTAAAAAGTCTTATCCAAGATTCTTTCTATGGAACAGAGTTCCATCAAAGCCAATTTTAAAAGCCTACGTGAAAAATAATTATTCTTGCTGCACTTTATACAATCATCAGGCCAAGTATAATAAAGCACATTGGTCTTACCATAAAAATGGTCTTTCATAAAAATGGGAAACTGGAGAGAGAAAAATTATGTTTCAAGAACTATGATACACTTGTTATTAAATTCCAGTCTCATCAGTTGTCTTTAAGTTTGTTTCTGCAATTTAGGCTAACCCTGCTTAGTCCTGTGAACCAACCAGTGGCCTCTGACTGCTGCTCAGAAGAAACAAGAGGGATGGGTAATGTAAAAATCTGCATCAATATTCTAATTCTGGGCATGTACTGGAATCATCTAGCAACCTCATATCAGCGTGGTTCCAACAGTTCCTCAGTTCATGGAAAGCCTTCTAGTTTAGTTTACTTGGGATAATTTTACTTATTTTGCTTTATGGTTGTGGAATGTATAGCTGTTGTAATCTTTGTATAGGAATGGAGGACAAGCTTACTGAATGTTTCCTTAAACTGAACACTTATGAATCTTCCAGAGTATCACCTTTTGTCAGAACTCATGAGTTATGAATGGCCCTCAAGATACCAATGCTTTTTCTTCCCTTCCCTTCCCTTCCCTTCTTTTCTTTTCTTTCAGATGGAGTTTCATTCTTTCAGGCTGGAGTGCAATGGCACAGTCTTGGCTCACTGCAACCTCCGCCTCCCAGGTTCAAGAGATTCTCCTGCCTCAGCCTCCTGAGTAGCTAGGGTTACAGGCACCCGCCACCACATCTGGCTATTTTTTTTGTATTTTTTAGTAGAGACAGTGTTGCACCATGTTGGCCAGGCTGGTCTGAACTCCTGACCTCAGGTGATCCGCCTGCCTCAGCCTCCCAAAGTGTTGGGATTACAGGCATGAGCCATCCCGCCTGGCCCATACCAACACTTTCCAACTGAGCTCCTCTCTACCACGAATATGAGAGATTCTAAGAGTTAGGCAAAAATATCATCGCCCCTATTCATCCTGAAGAACTTACAGAAGATGGACCTTCGTCCCTCTGCAACCCTTAGGATTAGTGCTTCTCTTATAAAAGGAAGGGGGGAAATGTCAGAGGCACGTGAACCAGAGCAAGTCTATTTTGAACAAGAGCTGAGTAAAATGAGAATGAGACTTACTGGGCTGCATTCCCAGATGGTTAAAGCATTCTAAGTTACAGAATGAGATAGGAGGTTGCCATAAGATACAGGTCATGGCCGGGCATGGTGGCTCATGCCATGACAGTTTATAAATGCCATGACAATGACAGGAAGTTACCCTATATGGTCTAAAAAGGGGAGGCATGAATAATCCACCTCTTGTTTAGCATATCATCAAGAAACAACCATAAACATGGGCAACCAGCAGCCCTCGGGGCTGCTCTGTCTATGGAGTAGCCATTGTTTTATTCCTTTACTTTCCTAATAAACTTGCTTTCACTTTACTCTATGGACTCGCCCTGAATTCTTTTTTTCTTTTTTTTGAGGCGGAGTCTCGTTCTGTCACCCAGGCTGGAGTGCAGTGGTGCGATCTCGGCTCACTGCAACCTCCACCTCCCGGGTTCATGCCATTCTCCTGCCTCAGCCTCCCAAGTAGCTGGGACTACAGGCGCCCACCACCATGCCCGGCTAATTTTTTTGTATTTTTAATGGAGACGGGGTTTCACCATGTTAGCCAGGATGGTCTCAATCTCCTGACTTTGTGATCCCGCCTTGGCCTCCCAAAGTGCTAGGATTACAGGCATGAGCCGCCGCACTCAGCCTGAATTATTTCTAGTGTGAGATCCAAGAACCCTCTCTTGGGATCTGGATTCAGACCCCTTTCCTGTAACAAGATTAGGCACCAGGAGAAACTGACACACATGGATGATATAACAGATGCCTAAATGGATCCTATGGGGGAACTGGAGCTGGAACAGCCCTTTAGAGTTGTCGCAAAGTGAGGCAAAGAGGCTAGACTTTTATATCCCTCCATCAATCAGTGTTTGACATGGGCCCCATAGGAGGGCATGTAACCTTCGGTGAGGCATCTTTCTGACTTGAAGGGCATTGCCCAATGAGGGAGGTAGCTATGTGGTATCAGCAGCTGGTATTTCCTACATGTAGCGAATGGGCATATTGGCTCCCAAGGGGGAATCTGGGTGGAGCACTATAGTATCCATTAAACCTAGTAAAGAAATATTATTTCTTTACTAGTCACACAGATGTGCCCAGGACAGTGGTAGAGCCCACAGGGTTACATAAATCATAATGGTAGCCCTCAAGAACTTCATAAACTGTATATGGTATTTTAAAAAGTTGCATATTGTCTGTTTCCACCTACTAGAACATAAGCTCTAGGAGGGCAGAGACTATGTTTTGTTCACCACTGTTTCTCCAGTGTCTAGACGTAGATTCTTTGAATGCATTTAATTGGAGCCTTGAGATATGAAGAAGTAGGATGCGGTTACTTCATGCAGAGCAAGAGTGGCATGCACCCAGAGAAGGCCAGGTGGAGCTCAGCATGAGTGTGAAGGCCTCATGTCAAGCCATGTCAGGGGACACAAAGATGGAGTATTCTCTAACCTATGTGACACTCGGCATAAGGGAAGTACAAGCACTCAATATGTGAGTTTCATTCCCACAGTCTGTGGTCTTTAGCCCAGTCTTTCCAGATGCCTATTGAGTTCTTCAAGCATCCAAATGGTTTGGGGTAAGGCTTCAGGTTCTAAATGAGAGGCTTTGTGGGTTACCAGCTGGAGAGTCAGAAAATCTGGATTTGAATTCACTCAGCCATGAAATAATTGTGTGATCTTGGGCCGGGCACGGTGGCTCACGCTTGTAATCCCAGCACTTTGGGAGGCCAAGGAAGGTGAATCACTAGAGGTCAGGAGTTTGAGACCAGCCTGGCCAACATGGTGAAACCCCGTCTTTTTTTTTTTTTTTTTTTTTGAGACAAAGTCTCGCTCTGTTGCCAGGCTGGAGTGCAGTGGCACAATCTCGGCTCACTGCAACCTCCGCCTCCCTGGTTCAAGTGATTCCCCTGCCTCAGCCTCCCGAGTAGCTGGGACTACAGGCGTGCACCACCACGCTAATTTTTTTGTATTTTAGTAGAGATGGAGTTTCACCATGTTGGCCAGGATAGTCTTGATCTCCTGACCTCGTGATCTGCCTGCCTCGGCCTCCCGAGAAACCAAGTCTTTACTAAAAAATATCAAAATTAGCCAGGTGTGATGGACCTGTAGTCCCATCTACTTGGGAGGCTGAGGCAGGAGAATTGCTTGAACCTGGGAGGTGGAGGTTGCAGTAAGCTGAGATGGTGCCACTGCACTCCAGCCTGGGGGACAGAGCAAGACTCTCTCTCAGAAAAAAAAAAAAAAAAAGTTTGATCTTGGGGAGTTCTAAGGCCCACTAGCCTCATCTGTAGAATGGAAGCAATAGTACTACTTTGCAGAGCTGACTTCAGGACCAAGAGATCTAATGTCTATGAAGCGGGGTACTTCCTTCTATTTGTCAGGATGGGGGAGGCTAGTCCTGTGATGACTGGGAATGAAGGGTAAAAGAGACAGAGGTTGGGTAAACTCCAGGCTCTGTGTTCATAGCCTGCTCCCAGACATTCTCTTGTTATCTCTCTGTTTCCTAGCCTACACACGTGCACAGACACGTAGCTGCTGTTCAGGAACTGAGCTAATGGTTTTAAAGTCTGTTCCTTATCTTTGCTGGAGGCAGGCAGTAGCTGTGCAGTGACAGTGTGCCTATGCAGACAGAGGGAGCAGTGAATAGCAATAGGGTGTTTCCACCATGGTCTTCACTCAGGCCCCGGCTGAAATCATGGGCCACCTCCGGATACGCAGCCTCCTGGCCCGGCAGTGCCTGGCAGAGTTTCTGGGTGTGTTTGTACTCATGGTAGGTAGGATCACTGCGGGAAGGAAAGAAGGGGGTTGGGCAAAAGTTCCTGGCTCCTTCTGTTGTCCTTATCTCTTTCTCTTGGTGTCCCCCTTCCTCTCAACTCCCTATCACTTTTCGTTTTTATCCTCTCGTCTCTCCTAATCTCCTTTCCTCTCCTACTTCATCATTTTTATTCTTGTCATTTTTATTCTTTCTTTAATAACAAGTGTATCATAGTTCTTGAAACATAATTTTTCTCTCTTCAGTTTCCCATTTTTATGAAAGACCATTTTCATGGTAAGACCAATGTGCTTTATTATACTTGGCCTGATGATTGTATAAAGTGCAGCAAGAATAATTATTTTTCACATAGGCTTTTAAAATTGGCTTTGATGGAACTCTTCCATAGAAAGAATCTTAGATAAGACTTTTTAAAGCTGAGCCCTGCCATGGGTTTGTACCCTCAAATGCCTATGAGTTGGGTAAATTCTTTTCTTTTTTCCCACATTCTTTCCCTTTCTTCTTCCTCCACTTTCCCCATTTCTTTTCCCTTCCCTCCTTCTGCTTTTCTCCTTCCCTTGCTTGTCTTCTGTGCTCATTCATCTCCTTGGCTGCTCCCCTGGCCTTCCCAACCTTTCTCCCTGTTGGTCTCCTGGGCTCCCTGTTCCTCATCTCTCCTCTTCTCAGCAGCTCCTCACCCAAGGAGCTGTGGCCCAGGCTGTCACCAGTGGAGAAACCAAAGGCAACTTCTTCACCATGTTTCTGGCTGGCTCTCTGGCCGTTACGATAGCCATCTACGTGGGTGGTAACGTCTCAGGTGAGGAGGGTGGGGTCTGGTCATCAGAGCACGTGGGATGTGCATGCCAGTTTGTCTGTCTGGTGATGGTGGAAACGCAAATCCTTCTGTGACTCGTGGACATTATCCCCTTGAACAGTGTCCCAGACTGAAATAAGCCTTTGGCCCCACCAGCCCCTCCTCTTTCTGTATCTCTCCATCCTGCTTCCTCACACTAATGCTTGGCTCACCTAGACAGAAATCAATGGCAGGGCACGAAGGGCAGCTGCTATCCTCTTGTATCCCCCACCTGAAGTCCTCTGGGGGCTCATCTCCACTCAGGACCTCTCCTGTTTGTACCCCAGATACACACTGCATCGGTGTGCTTGGGTGGAGCCTTGAGACATAGTGTGTTGCTGTGGAAAAAGCAGACAGACCTAGGTTCCAACTTTGGATTCACAGTGTCTTCTTCTTTTTTTTTTTTTTTTTTCTTTTTTTTTGAGATGGAGTTTCACTCTGTTGCCCAGGCTGGAGAGCAGTGGTGTGATGTCTGTTCACTGCAACCTCTGCCCCTGGGTTCACGCGATTCTCCTGCCTCAGCATCCCGAATAGCTGATTTTACAGGCACCTGCTACCACGCCTGGCTAATATTTGTGTTTTTAGTGGAAACGGGGTTTCACCATGTTGGCCAGGCTGGTCTGGAATTCCTGACCTCAAGTGATCCACTGCCTCGGCCTCCCAAAGTGCTGGGATTACAGGCGTGAGCCACTGTGCCTGGCCCACAGTGTGACTTTGCTAAGTCACTTAACATCTGTAACATCTGGAGCCTCAATTTCCTAAGCTGTGTGATGAGAATTACACTATCTGCCTTAAGAGCTATAGGAAGGAGCAGTAGTGTTGTCTGGTGACAATGCCTGGCAGTGACACTTAATAGATGCTCTTTTTCTTTCCTTGATACTTGAAGGGGCCCACCTGAATCCAGCCTTCTCCCTGGCCATGTGCATCGTTGGACGCCTCCCCTGGGTCAAGCTCCCCATTTACATCTTGGTGCAGTTGCTGTCTGCTTTCTGTGCTTCGGGAGCCACCTATGTTCTCTACCATGGTGACAGAGGGAACAGAGGGAGCTGTGCCTTGAGAGCACCTGTGGGTGGGCAGGGGTGCCTCAGAATGGTTTTGGATGAATGAGCAAAGAGGGAAATCCTGGGTGTTCCCTTCCTCCACAGATGCCCTACAGAACTATACAGGTGGGAACCTGACAGTGACTGGCCCCAAGGAGACAGCCTCCATTTTTGCCACCTATCCTGCCCCCTATCTGTCCCTGAACAATGGCTTCCTGGATCAGGTAAGTGTGAGGGGGAGACCTGGGGACACTACTTTGGTCCTGTTCCTCGGCACCCCAGCCTATTGTTCAGTCTCTGGGTGGAGTGTGGGTTGGGTCTATCTTGGCACTCCCCACCATCCCCAACTGCCTGTGTTGCACAAAGCCAGATGACATGGAATATTTGGATGAGAGAGGGCAGATGGAGCACCTGGCAGCTGACAGGGAACCCTCTGCCTCTGTTGACTCCAAGGTTCTGGGCACTGGGATGCTGATTGTGGGGCTCTTGGCCATCCTGGACAGACGGAACAAGGGAGTCCCTGCGGGTCTGGAGCCTGTGGTGGTGGGGATGCTGATCCTGGCCCTCGGGTTATCCATGGGTGCCAACTGCGGGATTCCACTCAACCCTGCCCGGGACCTGGGCCCACGTCTCTTCACCTACGTGGCTGGCTGGGGTCCTGAAGTCTTCAGGTGGGAGACAGACTCTCCTGGTGCTGGCCTCCACTCACCTTCCTCTGCTAAGGGCTCTGTCCCTGGGTCCACAGCACTCTGCCTTTAAAATAGCTCTCTTGGCTTCTTAGGACAGTGTTCTTTCTCCAAGTCATATTCTCCCCCTTTCTCCCTTGCTTCCCTCCCAACTTTTCACTGAAACAGTAAGATTTAGAGGTTGTGTTCTTAGGCATGCCACATTACTTCCATGCACATTAGTGACTTCATCAGCAAAATTAATATATTCAGATAATTCCCTAAGGCAAGAGGCTGGACCAAGCTCTCCTGGGGTTCCCTCTTCTAAATACTATGCTTTGGTGACAAGGCAATCCTCTTCCTGGTGTCTACCACCCTGGGAACAACTTTAGGGCACTCTCTTGTTACTGCCCCCCGTCCTTGGAGAGGGGAAGGCTAAGGGAGTCACTCCTGATACCTTCCCACTGTCCTTCTTTTGCAGTGCTGGTAATGGCTGGTGGTGGGTGCCTGTGGTGGCCCCTCTGGTGGGGGCCACCGTTGGCACAGCCACTTACCAGCTGTTGGTGGCTCTGCACCACCCTGAGGGCCCAGAGCCAGCTCAGGATCTGGTGTCTGCTCAACACAAAGCCTCAGAGTTGGAAACTCCTGCCTCAGCTCAGATGCTGGAGTGTAAGCTATGATTAGGACAACCCTCACTTCACTCATGGACCCTGGAGCCAGCCACTGACCCCGCCTGGGAACAACAGTCATTCTTCCTCTTTGTTAATGTGCCAGAACCTGGGAGGCTTCTCTGTTTATCTGTTTGGCATCCCTTCCTCCTAAACTAAGAAGGATCCTGGACAGGGAGAAGTGGAGGAGGATAAGGTACCAGGACTCAGGCTTCTCATCCCCTCCTCCCGCAAAGCGGTTTTCTGACCCTCAGGGCCTCTCGGAATGTAGTTGCTCGAGGTAACCGCTAGAGGGTGCGCACCTGGATGCTGGATGGGGACGGCTGCGGGCATCTGCAGGGTGGAGGGGGCCACCATCCAGTGTAGGGCACAACCCTGGGGACTGCCCTCCATAGCCTGTCCCGACTGCCGACTCCTAGCTCTCATCGCCTCGGCGCCTCCCACCTTCACCCTCTCGGGGATGCCTCCCCAAGAGGGTAGTTAGGGGTGGGGAAGCCGCCTCCACCCAGGGGGCGTGGTGGGGGCGGAGGGAAGGAGGGCGGCGGGGCACAGAGACAGAGAGCAAGGCTGTGAAACTGAGGCACCGTTCCTAGACATCTCGGTGCTGTGTCGTTCATTCAAGGAGAGTTGAGATACAGTGAAATGAGCCAGGGCGAGGAGGGAGGGTGAAGGAACGGAGGGCGGGCGGCTCCGAGGAGCGAGAGTCGGGCTGAGGGCAACCTGGCGCCAGGGAAAATTCTGGTTATTCACCACTTCTACAGCTCTCCTGCCGCTCCCTGCAGAGGATGCTCGTTTTGCAGAGAAGGCAGTGTTCCTCTATTCCCTTCTTCCGAATTAAAAATACCCCCTCAGAGCGATCTAGCCTCCCGAATTGTTTTTTCTTTTAAGATGCGGATGGACGTACGTGTGGGGGCATCCCAGCCCAGCCACGCCGAGGCTCGGAAGGGCTAAGACCCTCCCACTGCCCCGCACAAAGATGGCTGCTCCCTCCTCCCCGCTCCTTCTCCCCTCCCCAAAACCCCCTCCCGCCCCCCGGCCCCCGCCGCCGGCTCCGTCACTTCCGCCCCGCCGTGGCCGAAACTGACACAAAGTAGCGGGCCGAGGCCCCGGGGGAGCGGGGCCGCAGCTGGGGGGGCGGGAGCCCGTGGGGAGCCGAGCCGAGCGCCCCCCGCCCCAGCCCCCGGCATGGGCAGTACGGGGCCGCCGGGGCGGGCGCCGAGCGCTGAGCGCTGAGGTGAGGCGAGGCGAGGCGAAGCGGGGGCGCCCGGGAGCGCGGGGCCAGGAGGGCAGAGGGAGATGCGGCCGCAGCCGCGGGGCTGGAGGGGCCGGGGAGCGGGTGTAGACTGGGGAGCACCGGGGGCCAAGATTTGGGAGCTGCGGCCAGACGGGGCGGGGATGGCGGCCGACTGGAGACGAGGGGCTGTCGGGTTCCCGGGGACGGGGCAGAGCGGGGGTCTGCGTACAGGATGGGAGGATGGGGTGCCGAAGGGGCGCGTGGAGAGCAGGAGAGCGGCGCGAGTGCCAAGGAGAAGCTCGTGCAGCCTTGGCCAGGGGAGACCCGCCCAGAGAGTTGTTGGGCGAGAGGAGTAACCGGGACCCGAGGGTTTGGTGCCTGGAGAAGGGAGTTTGGGCTGGTAGGCTTTGTCTCAGTAAGGTGGAGGTCTATGCCTGAGGAAAACTGAGGGTGTCAGGAAGGGGCAGTAGCTCTGGGAGATGATAGCTGTGCCGGGAGCCCTGAGTTCTGTCCTTGGTGAGGGAAGGTGGCCCGAGCTCGTGTTGGTGGCCAGTGAGCTGGAGGTCTCGAGTTCCATTTCCTCCTGTTTCCCTGACCTGCCATCCTCCTCTGAAAGAAGTGGCCAGCCTTTGGGGCTCTTGCTTGTAAGGGAGCAGGGACCGGACCTATAGGAGGAGCTGTTTTCCTCCATGGAGCATTGCCTGCTTGCCGGGGCTGGCTATTTTTATCCCAAATGTGGCCGAGAGGGGGCTGGGGCTGGGTGACGGGGCAGGGCAACGTGGCTGATGGGCCTGACCTGCTCAGAAAACCCAGGCTGTGTGAGACTAAGAAGGAAAAGTGAGAGGGGATCCCAGTTCCCAGGTCTCTCCTCTCTTCCCCTTGGAATGATGGCCCCCCCAGAGGGGATGAGGTCTGGGGCCAAGCCTGCTTCCAGTCTCCCCAGGGTCTCAGAGGTAGAACAACTTTCCTGGTCCATATCCAGACTCCTGACTCCTGATGGCGTGTGCAGCTCCTACATTAACTCTTTCATGGGACTCAAACTCAGATGTTTAGGCTGATAGTGTTTCTTGATCCCTTCCTCCCCAAGGGCGGGGCTGCCTGTAGAACTTGTGATGCCCACTCTTGCATCCTTTAACCTCTCCCTGTGCTCCCCACCCTCCCGTGACTCATACTCAGACTGGGTGGAGACCCTGGCTGGGGGCCCTGGAGGAGGGCTTGGCATCTCTAAAATATGGATGAGGTTTTTCTTCCTGAGCCAGGCACCCTGGACTGCCATAGTTGGAGAAGGTCAGGGATGAAAAGGACTTCTGGCTTTCAGGATTGCCTGACTTGGTGTAAGGGCGGGATCTGAGCTAGCGAAGGGAGAACTGGTGTGGGTGACTGGGTTGTGGCCAGAATCTGTAATTATAGAGCTTAGCCAGACAGGCAATTAGTATCTCTTGGGGCTGACAGGTTGGTGGGGTGTGCCTGGTAGGCTAAAGGCAGAGGGAACCAAAGAGGATGAGGAGGTGAAAGGCCTTCCACCCAGACAAGGAAAGAGGAGGTGACTGACTGGCAGTTTCCTTTGGGCCAGGCTGGGGAGTAAGGATGAGGCTCTGCCTTGTAAGGCCAGGCCTTGAACCTTTTAGGAGAAAGGACATGGGAAGGCGGAAGCAGGCAGAGGCTTGTCTCACTGGTGCTCCCTAAGCCTGCACCCTGTGCCATACTGACTGGACTAGGCTTGGGGTGGGAGGGAGGGAGGGGCAAACTCCCCACCAGGGTTGGGAAGACCCCTCTGCCAGCCCAGAAGGGTGGCTGACCCAGGCTGAGGGGAAGCTGTTTAGGGACTGTCTGTGCAGAAAGTGAGGGCCATGCCTCTAATGTGAGCTCCCCTGGAGGAGGTGATAATGGAAGCCCTAGTAATGGGGGGTGGGGATGGCAGGGAACTTATAAGCCTTTCGAGAAGGGTGGAGCCTGCCCACCCTGTTTCCTGATGCCCTGCCAGGTGTTTCCTGGCTCATGTTCCCTCCACCCCACCCTTTGGGGAAACTGCTTTCTAGTAAGCACAAGCACTACTCATTGCCGCCAGAACACATGAGAGCCTCCATTGTCCCTGGGATGGATACCTTGAGAGCTGTTCCCCTTTTTTCAATATCTGGCCTCTTCTCCTTTCCCTACAGGCATGGGCTTCTGTAAAGTCTCAGCCCCCCATGTCACCCAAGGCAGGGGCATGATGGGAGGTGGTGGGGAAGTCCCCTCTTTCCCAGGAACCCATCATGGCAGTAAGAGGAGAGACTGGGAGAAGGAGGCTGGGGGAGGGGCAGGGTCAGAGCTGGAGAAGAGGGTCTTCAAAAGAGGTCTCATGAGGGGAGGGAAGGGTTATCCTCAGCTTCCTGACCTCATTCGTCTGTCACTTCTTGCAGGGTCTCCCATGGGATTGCTGGGATCTTGCTGGGTGAGATGGCAGTGTGTGCAAAAAAGCGCCCCCCAGGTAAGACAGGCAAGGAGGGGAGATCCCGGGAACCATCAAGAGTGGGTGTTGTTATGGCTCAGGGAGCAAAAGGAAAAGGGACAACTGGTATGGGTCTGAGGGAGGGTAGCTTACAGCAGCCCCTACCCAGCTTGGGGGCAGCCTAGGAAACCGAATTCTTCCGCTTGATCCCAAAGCTGGGTTATCTGCCAGGACAGCGCAGAGCACCAGCCCCACGCCCCGAAACACCTGCAGTCTTATCTTCGGGCACCTGCAGCTCCTGCTTTCTGGCCTAGGGAGCTGTGTTCTCATCTCTGCTTGGTCCTCTCACCCCTTCCCTGCTCCCCTCGTTTTTCCATCTACCGGTTCTCCTGGTTTTTCCGCGGGCGGGGGTGTGTGTGTGTGAAAGCGGTTGCCCCCGACAACGCCGGCAGTCCGCTCACCCGCATTGGCCCGGCCCGGGGGTGGGAGGGGAGGCGGGGCTCGCGCGCGAGCTTTCGCCTACGCGGCGCGCTGGCAGGCTGCGGCTCCTGCAGTCGGGGAGCGGGCGGGGGCGGAACCCTGGGCGTGCTCGGCGTGTCCGGGGCCACTCAGCGCACGCTGGCATCCGCCGGGGGGCATGGGGGGCGGCGGCGGCGGCGCAGCTGAGCTCGCGGTGTCCCCGAGCGCCGGCGGCCGGGAGGATGGCCTGGGCTGCGGGTGGGGCGCGCGCCCGACGGCTGGGGCTCCCCTCTGAGCGGCTGCGGCTCCTGCACCTCCCCGGGGAGCCGCCCCGTCGATGCCACTAAGGCCAAGGACATATAGACGGTCTGCCCTCCCCCACTCAAACCGGGATCATGACGGTCCCCAAGGAGATGCCCGAGAAGTGGGCCCGGGCCCAGGCGCCTCCCTCTTGGAGCCGAAAGAAGCCCTCTTGGGGGACAGGTAACGGGAGGCAGCGCCTGGCAGCTCTCCCGCACCCATTATTTCCCCCCTCCAATCCCTACATTCACTTGTCCCCAGCCTCCCCCTACCTGCCTTGATCCTCTTTCCAGACCCAGAGATCCTGGCTCCGAAGGATCCAGTCCCTACCTTCTTCGTTTGCATGGTCTTTGGTGATTGCGCAGGGGACTTGGCCCAAGAGAGCCCCTCTAGGGAAGTTTATGGGAGTGAAGTGGCTTGGTAGGCAGGGGGCACTGTGGCCTGGGTTTTGTTACTGCAGTGTGCTCTGCAGGGGTCCTGGGGTGTGTAGAAAGGGTTCTGGAATGCTGTCTTTGGCTCCCGGACAGGCTTAAGGCATTAGGTTTGCTGCCTAACCAAGTTACCCCTTTTTGCAGCATGAGGTCATGGTGACCCCCGGGGAGACGGGCTGGGGAATCTATTATAGGACAGCTCCTTGTTCTGGGACATGAATTTGATGCCTGCAGTCCCAGACCTGCAGAGGTTTCAGATAGGTTTAGCTAGATAGGTGTCACTAACTGAGTGACAGATGAGCCCTTTAAAGCTAAATGTGTGCAGATGGTACAAGGAAGGTCCAGTTAGAGAGCAACTGTTTCAATTACATTTCATTCCTCCCTCCTCTATCTCTATCTCAGTCTGCATGACCCATATCCCTGAAACGCACCCCCCACACCTTTTTCTACTTGAAGATGAGCTTTGAAATAAGGTGATGTCATTTCGGGCCAGTCAGAAGCAGTTGCTGGTGACATGTGACAACCAGAGGCTCCTGTAGGGGGGACTGCACATGGGGCTGGGATGCTCCCGCAGAGCAGCTCCAGGGCACAGGGAGCCTCCTTCTTGCCACCTACCCCACTCTCTAAATAAGGGAGAGAGCAGTACCGCGACTAGATCTGCAGTGGTCCCCAGGGGGAAGGAAGCTTTGCGTTTTCAGCGCTACTCCTTGATTATGACAATGTATGCATTAGTAATAGCAGCAAAAGGGGCTGGGGAATCCCAGGACTGTCAGTGGCTCAGATTCCTCTGGAGTGGGGGTGGGGGAGACAAACTGGGTGCTTCCAGTGGAAGACCTTGAAGTTTGGTGGTGAGGAAAAGAGAACATGTCCTGTCCTGTGAATGTAACCTGGAGAGCCGTGTGGTCAGGCTGCTGGTGAGAGGTGGACTGGAGGGAAGAATTTGATGACCCCCTCAGTTGTGGAGCTAACTCCTTAAAATGATATTCTGTGGAAAAAAACAGGGAACCCCCCAGCAAAGTGTTGGTCCAGACCTCAGTTTGCTCCTCCTGACTGCAGCATCATTTTGTTGCAGAAGAAGAAAGGAGGGCGCGGGCTAATGACCGAGAATACAATGAGAAATTCCAGTATGCGGTAAGCGACTCTAGACCACCTGTTCCCTCTCTCTGTTTGGAGAGGGGAATGGGGCAAGGACAACCTACCGTTGGGACTGAGGGCTGCCTGGGAAGAGTGCTTGGGGGAGGGGAAGCAACCTCCTCAGCCACTCTCCATCTGCTATCGTGCTGAATTTTTCATGCCTTCACCTGTCAGTGAAGCAGAATACATTGACCCCCTTGAGACTCCCTTCTCTCCTCCTCTTTCCCCCTCCCACACCTGTGTTTGCTAGCTTTTGGGGTAGAGGTCTGGGGAAGTATAAAGATGGGGGAGGCAGCCTCAGTCTGGTTCTGGGTTGGGACTGGAGACTGCTCATTATCTTCTCTCCTACTGCCATAGAGTAACTGCATCAAGACCTCCAAGTACAATATTCTCACCTTCCTGCCTGTCAACCTCTTTGAGCAGTTCCAGGAAGTTGCCAACACTTACTTCCTGTTCCTCCTCATTCTGCAGGTAGGTGACCCATAGTAGATTTTTTGCAGCTCCCCAAACTGAATAAAGCCAAGGAAGAGGAAAGGGAATGAAGGCATCAGATGGGGCCTCAGAGGCATACTTCTCTTTCTTTTTTTCAGTTGATCCCCCAGATCTCTTCCCTGTCCTGGTTCACCACCATTGTGCCTTTGGTTCTTGTCCTCACCATCACAGCTGTTAAAGATGCCACTGATGACTATGTGAGTGGTTTTCATTCTTCTATTTTGTCCCAGTCACCCACCCCTACTCCCAGCCCCACCCCCATCTCATGGCCACCTTCATCCAGCACAATTTCTTGGTGACCTTGACATCCCTTACCCGGTCCAGCTAGATCCATGATGTCTTTTTGCTGAGCGTGGGGAGAGGGAATCAGGGAGTGAACTGGTTTGTGATGGGGTGTGTATGAGGCGTTAACCAGCATGCTCTGAGTTCTACTGATCAACGAATTCCTTCGAGGCGGGGGAAGGTGTCTTACCTTTCAGTTTTCTTCTTTTCAGTTCCGCCACAAGAGCGATAACCAGGTGAATAACCGCCAGTCTCAGGTGCTGATCAATGGAATGTGAGTGCCTGTTGGAGACAAGAGCTCTGGGGACGAAGGGGGTCCCTTAGGAACCTCTTTAGCTCCTGACAGCCTCTTCACTGTCTTCTCGTTGCCTCAGCCTCCAGCAGGAGCAGTGGATGAATGTCTGTGTTGGTGATATTATCAAGCTAGAAAATAACCAGTTTGTGGCGGTAAGGGACAGGGTACCCCTCTAGGCCTGTAGGTTCTTCCTCTTCTTTGTGAGAAAAGGATGAATCTTTCCTGATTTACTGTTGCCTCTTAAACACCCGTGGCAGGAATCTTTCTCACACCAGGGGCTTCTGTGTCATGCTGATATGCCTGGAACTAGCCATTTATGCACCTGGAACTAAGCAAACCAAGAATGCTTAGTGGAAGGAGCCACCATTACAGCCCACTGGGGGTGGAGGTTTGCATATTTGGACTTCTCATTAGTTTTTCTCTCTAGGCGGATCTCCTCCTCCTTTCCAGCAGTGAGCCCCATGGGCTGTGTTACATAGAGACAGCAGAACTTGATGGGTAAGTGGCATGCTCAGTGTCAGCCCTCTCCTTCTGTCTCTTTGGAGGTAAAAAGATTGTCTTTGAATGAGGTTCTCAGGCCTGGGCTCTGTCTGAATTTGGAAAAATTAGGGGTAAGAAAGGCTTTGGATGGGATGTGTGAAGTGTTATTCAACCAGTATTTGCTGGGCTGAGCAGTTATGCACCATGCTTAGGTGTCACCAGGTAGAATTTAGAGGATGGGGAGAGGTGGGCATGGTGACTCACTCCTGTAAATCCCAGCACTTTGGGAGGCCAGTGTGGGAGGATTGCTTGAGGCCAGGAGTTTGAGACCAGCCTGGGCAAGATGGTGAGACTTCATCTCTATAAAACAAACAAACAAAAAATTTAAAAAGTTTAAAACTTAGCTGGGTATGGTGGTTTTAATGCCTATAATCCCAGCCACTTGGGAGGCTGAGGCGGGAGGATTGTTTGAGCCCAGGAGTTCGAGGCTTTAGTGAGCTATGATTGTGCGACTGCACTCCAGCCTGAGCAGCAGAGCGAGACCCCATCTGTGAAAAAAAACATTTAGAGGATGAGGAGGGAGCGGGGACTCAGAGATACTGTCCTTCCAGCGAGACCAACATGAAAGTACGTCAGGCGATTCCAGTCACCTCAGAATTGGGAGACATCAGTAAGCTTGCCAAGTTTGACGGTGAGTAATTTTGGAGGAGCAGCCTGAAGGTAGAGGAGTGGGGTTGGGTTTTGTTTGGGGGCGTTAAATTATACATTTTCCTTTGGGCTTTTTGTTGTTATTATGCAACTCCCTGGACTGTTTTGGGGAGGGGAGTGTTTGTAATGTCATGTGGCTCCCTCTTGGTTTTGAGTTTATAATTATTTCAAGGGGACTTTGTGGCTGATAGCTCCCCACTTGCTATGCATGTTGAGAGAAATTCAGCTTATTCTTTTAGCTTATTAGCTCAGAATAATAATATGTGTTCCTTATAAGACAAACCATACAGAGTGTATAAGAAAAAGTGAATAGAGGTCGGTACCATGGCTCACGCCTGTAATCCCAGCACTTTGGGAGGCCGAGGTGGGCGGATTGCCTGAGGCCAGGAGTTCGAGACCAGTCTGGTCAACATGGTGAAACCCTGTCTCTATTAAAAATACAAAAATTATTAGCTGGGCGTGGTGCTGCATGCCTGTAATCCCAGCTATTCAGGAAGCTGAGGCAGGTGAATCCCTTGAACCTGGGAGGCGGAGGTTGCAGGGAGGCGGAGGTTGCAGTGAGCTAAGATCGTGCCACTGCACTCCAGCCTGGGTGACAAGAGCGAAACTCTGTCTCAAAAAGAAAAAAAAAATACAAAAATTAGCCGGGCGTCGTGGTGTGCATCTGTAGTCCCAGCTACTTGAGAGGCTGAGGCATGAGAGTTGCTTGAACCTGGGAGGTGGAGGTTGCAGTGAGCCGAGATCGGGCCACTGCACTCCAGCGTGGGCAACACAGTGAGACACTGTCTCAAAAAAAAAAAAGAAGAAGAAAATAGCTCTTCCTTCCTCTTCTACCCTGCTGAAGTAGCCACATTAATTGACAGTCAGTGTGTGCTCATCCACACTTTTCATACATGTTTGTACAAACAAATATTAGGTCATGCTGCAGCTTTTTTTTTTTTTTTTTTTTAAATACTCCTGCCCAGGTTGGAGTGTAGTGGTGCGATCTCGGCTCACTGCATCCTCTACCTCCCAGGTTCAAGCGATCCTCGTGCCTCAGCCTCCCGATTAGCTAGAATTACAGGCTCCCACCACCACACCCGGCTAATTTTTGTATTTTTAGTAGAGACAGGGTTTCACCATGTTGGCCAGGCTGGTCTCAAACTCCTGACCTCAGCTGATCCACCCGCCTTAGCCTCCCAAAGTGCTGGGATTACAGGCATGAGCTGCCGCGCCCGGCCTGCTTCATTATTTTCCTGAAGAGTTGCATCAGCTCACACTCCTCCCAGCAGCATATGGATGGGCCCTTGCCCTTGCATCCTCTTCGCTCAGCTCATTTTCTCTTTGTTTTATTGTCTTGTGGTTAGGCTGTAGACTGGACCTTAAGCAGTGGAATTCTTGTCTCCTGTTCAGGTGAAGTGATCTGTGAACCTCCCAACAACAAACTGGACAAATTCAGCGGAACCCTCTACTGGAAGGAAAATAAGTTCCCTCTGAGCAACCAGAACATGCTGCTGCGGGGCTGTGTGCTGCGAAACACCGAGTGGTGCTTCGGGCTGGTCATCTTTGCAGGTGAGCCTCCTAGCATCCAAAGAAAGAAGGGTAAGAGTGACTCAGCCAGCCCTCACTCAGGAGTATGGGATGAGGTGGGAGAATACCTAAGGTAAAAAACCTCCAGCTGTGTATACAGGCTTCTTATCTAGCCAGTATCTCTATTCCACCCTGGTGTCCTGCAGTCTGGGGATCAGGGCAGAAGCCCAGAGGCAGATGTGTTATTTGGCTTTCCCAGCCCTTCCCATTCTTTTCCAGGTCCCGACACTAAGCTGATGCAAAACAGCGGCAGAACAAAGTTCAAAAGAACGAGTATCGATCGCCTAATGAATACCCTGGTGCTCTGGGTGAGGCGCCCCACATCTGGCTCCCTGCCCCTGCCCTCTCTTCTCCTTGGGTGCTCCTTTTCCTTTCCTCTTTCTTCTTTGGTCAGTAGACTTCAGGTTTGGCTTTAAAGCTGCTAGCAGGTCAGCTACACAAAGGCAGTGTTTATTTTAGGCTCCTTTTAGTTGGAAGATGTTATTTAAAAAAACTTCAGGAACGTGCATGAATCAACAACTTAAAGCTAAAACAAATCATCCCTTCTCTGATTCCAGTTATGATGATGACTTTGTGAAGCATGTGACCTTCTGTTTGCTTTTGCCAGGGACAAGGAGGCCTTCATGGGGATGGAGAGGGAATTAAAAGAAAAATTTCCATTTGGAAGAGGTTGGCAGGGTCTTTTCCCCCCAACTTCTAAGAACGAAGGATCCCAAAGGAAAAGTTTCTGTTTAAGTTTTTGGCAGTTCCTGAATCCTTCTCTTGTTTAGCTAGAAATCTGAACTCCTTGTTGGGCTCTCCTCCCCTTCCTGTGCCCCGACTGTCTGCTGCCTGCCCGCCACATGCCAGCTTGTGAAGGCTGGGGCTAGCCTCTGGTGAGCTTGTTTCCGCCCTGGCTTTAAAGAGTGTGCGGAAACCCAGCCTGGTGGGCGAGGTTGTCTATCACATAAGGGCTCCAGTCGCCCCCTGGTGGCCATTGGGCACCAATCTCCTATTTTGTTTCAAAGCCTAAACAGCGGAGGCAGCTTTGGAAATAGATGTAGGAAATTGGACAGTGGCCTGGTTTTTTACCAGTCTCTCCAGAGACTCCAAAATTTATAAGATTTTTGACTAATCAGGAAATCTAGACCAGGAGTGGTGGCTCACACCTGTAATCCCAGCACTTTGGGAGACCAAGGTGGGAGGATCATTTGAGCCTAGGAGTTCGAAAACAGCCTGGACACCATAGTGAGACCCTGTCTTTACAAAAAACTGAAAAATTAGCCAGGTTTGGTGGCATGCACCTGTGGTCCCAGTTACTCTGGAGGCTGAGGCGGGGGGATTGCTTGGCCTGGGAGATTGAGGCTGCGTTGAGCTAGGATCATGCCACTGCACTCCAGCCTGGGCAACAAAGCAAGACCCTGTTTCAAAAAAGAAATCTACGTTTATGAAGATAAGTTTGTTTCCCAAGTTTAAAAAAAAAAAAGGCAATCTTAGCCAGGTGCAGTGGCTCACGCCTGTAATCCCAGCACTTTGGGAGACCGAGGTGGGTGGATCACGAGGTCAAGAGATCAAGACCATCCTGACCAACATGGTGAAACCCCATCTCTACTAAAAATACAAAAAAATAGCTGGGCGTGGTGGCGGGCACCTGTAGTCCCAGCTACTTGGGAGGTTGAGGCAGGAAAATGGCGTGAACCCGGGAGGTGGAGCTTGCAGCAGTGAGCCGAGGTCGCGCCACTGCACTCCAGCCTGGGCGACAGAGCAAGGCTCCATCTCAAAAAAAAAAAAAAAAGGCCATCTATGTGAGATAGTGAACATTACCGTGGCTTGGCATTTTTGTTGGCTTGTACCTAGCCCAGGTGAATAGATTATTTACAGTAAGTTTTCTGGTATGTTAAAAGTAGCTCATCCCCACTCTTACCAACTTTGAGGACTCTGGAAGGTTTCAAGGTGCCAGATTGAGAGCTAATCAACTATTTCAGTTTCTTCATCATATAGATGAAATAATGGTCAGACAGAAGGCCACATGATAATTGGTGACAGACTAGAACCTGTCACCAGTTCTGAGCTTTTTCCACTAGAGCAGTGGTGTCCAATATTTTGGCATCCCTGGGCCACATTGGAAGAAGAATTGTCTTGGGCCACACATAAAATACACTAACATTAACAATAGCTGATAAGCTTAGAAAAAAAAAATTGCAAAAAAAAATCTCATAAATTTTTTTTTTTTTTTTTTGAGACGGAGTCTCACTCTGTCACTAGGCTGGAGTGTAGTGCAATGGCATTATCTCGGCTCACTGCAACCTCTGCCTCTCGGGTTCACGTGATTCTCCTGCCTCAGCCTCCCTAGTAGCTGGGATTACAGGTGCCCGCCACCACACCCGGCTAATTTTTTTGTATTTTTAGTAGAGATGAGAGATGGGGTTTCACCATGTTGGCCAGACTGGTCTCGAACTCCTGACCTCATGATCTGCCCGCCTTGGCCTCCCAAAGTGCTGGGATTATAGGTGTGAGTCACTGCACCTGGCCTTTTTTTTTTTTTTTTTTGAGACAGGTTCTTGCTCTGTTGCCCAGGCTGGGATGCAGTGGCATGATCTTGGCTCACTGCAATGTCTGCCTCCCGGGTTCAAGCAATTCTCATGCCTTGGACTCCTGAGTAGCTGAGACTACAGGCAAGTGCCACCAGGACTGGCTAATTTTTTTAATGTTTTTAGTAGAGACGGGGTTTCACCGTGTTGGCCAGGCTGGTCTCAAACTCCTGACCTCAGGTGATCCATCCGCCTCAACCTCCCAAAATGCTGGGATTACAGGCTTGAGCCACTGCGCCCAGCCCATAATAGTTTTTTTTTTTTTTATAATTATTTTTCATTTAACATTCAGCTGTTACCAAAATCTCATAGTGTTTTAAGAAAGTTTATGAATCTGTGTTGGGCCACATGTGGCCCAGAGACCATGGGTTGGACAAGCTTGCACTAGAGCATCTGAGCTTTTGAGGGCTCAAGGGATGAATACATCACAGATGCACTTGGTTTTGAGGGCTTCCTACATGTCAGCCTCGCCTGTGCTTCTCATTCCTCCCCAGATTTTTGGATTCCTGGTTTGCATGGGGGTGATCCTGGCCATTGGCAATGCCATCTGGGAGCACGAGGTGGGGATGCGTTTCCAGGTCTACCTGCCGTGGGATGAGGCAGTGGACAGTGCCTTCTTCTCTGGCTTCCTCTCCTTCTGGTCCTACATCATCATCCTCAACACCGTTGTGCCCATTTCACTCTATGTCAGGTATGTGCCTTCTCTGACCTGGGGTCTCTCCAGGGAGTCAGGCGGTCCCATAGAACTTTTCTTTTCTATGAAGATGAAGTCCTTGAGAAGTAACGAGAAGTCCTCTTCTTCCTGTACTGTAAACATTTGATGTTATCTGTTTATCTTTGTGGGCAGAGCAAACTTTTTACCACAGTTTCCTGGTACTTGGGACTGTATTAGAGAAAAAAAAATATTGATTTATTCAGCACCTATTTATTACATGCCTACTGTGTACAAAGAAGTGTGCTAGGTGCCATCACAAATAAAAGATGAATTAGGAATGGATCTCCTTCCTTCTAGGAGCTTACGTCTAGTAAAGGAAGGAAAATCTAAACACATTATAAAACAAAATAGGAACCAGTGCTGTAGAATTCGACCTAGAGTCTTCTATGTGAAGCTTGGGGATACAGAGATGTATAAGGTGGCCTCTGCCTTTAGCAGCAGCAGATGGATAGGTCGAGGAGGGGAGATCTGGACAGTGTCAGACTGAGATACCATGTGGGAGGCACAGGGTGCCCGGGGACTGGGAGAGTGTCGCTCCCTAAGCAGGTAGGCAGAGAGGGAGAGATGGCATTTGCTCTGGGCTTTGAGTGGTGACTGGGCTGGATGAAGGTGGAGCCACAATGGAGAGGAGGCTGAGAGGGCTGGAAGCAAAGGTGTGGAGATGGGAGCCTGGGAATGGCCTATGGAAATAGTTGGCCAGGGTCTTGGGCCAAGAGCAAGAGCTGGAAACATAGCTTGCTCCTGATTGTGGAGGCTTTTGAATATTTGCCTGTGGACTTTGTATTTACTAACCATTAAAAGTTATTGAAAAGACTGGGCACGGTGGCTCACACCTGTAATCCCAGCACTTTGGGAAGCCAAGGTGGGCGGATAACGAGGTCAGGAATTCGAGACCAGCCTGGCCAACATGTTGAAACCCCGTCTCTACTAAAAATACAAAAATTAGCCAGGTGTGGTGGTGGTTGCCTGTAATCCCAGCTACTTGGGAGGCTAAGGTAGGAGAATCGCTTGAAACCGGAAGGTGGAGGTAGCAGTGAGCCAAGATCACGCCACTGCACTCTAGCCTGGGCAACGAGCGAAACTGTGTCTCAAAAAACAACGAAACAAACAAACAAACAAAAAAGTTTTTGAAGAAAGTCAAAAGAATGTATTCTGTATTCTAAAAATGCATTCTAAGTGTTACAGCTCTTTTAGAATTTGTCTAGCAGGTTTTCCAGTTTTCACTGGAACCCCTCCCCCACAAAAAGAAAAAAATGCATTCTAAAAAAAAACTAAAGAATGCTTTAGGAAGTATTGACTGGCAGTAGTGTACAGCATGAATAGGATCAAGGCAACATGTAGGATGTTTGAGGTAAAGAGAATGTTAGCAGGGACAGGCCAGTGAGAATGAAGGGGAGGATCGGAGGAAGACGAGGCAGGAGGAATGGCCAGGGGAAAGGAACTTTCTTGCTTAGTGCCTTGCACTTGAGATAAGGGAACCTGTGACATTTTTAAGGAAATGTTTTATGGAGGTGCTGAAAACTTGTCCTGTCTCCCATCTTTTGTTCATACAGATTCCCCAAATAGCCCTCAACTCTCTCCCAGCCCCCAATCTTACTGCTGGTGATAATAAATAGAAGATACAGCATTTCTGTGCTGAGAGAATATAGTTTAGGCTTTTCCAGGGTGTGAAGAGGAGAGTTGGGAGGTTCTGGGTTTAGTCCTGCCTCCTCACTGGCCATGTGACCTCAGGAAAATCCACGGTCACTCAGGGCCTCACTTGATCTTAGTTTTCCCACGTGAAACAGGAACAGGAGTACTTGTCTCACCTTTTAATAGGATGTCTTGATATAAGATATTGGCTTAGAAGATACATTTTAAACTTAAGTGACTGTACAGTTACTGGGTGGTAGCCTGCTCATTGTGACTGTTGCCACTCCCTTCTGCATTACTATTTAAATGCCTTTGTGCTTACAACCTAATTTTGTTTTCCCACCTATGGGCTTTGCTATCTGTGTTTTGTATCTCAGTTCACTTGAAGCCCTTGGGAGCAGCTAAAGCAGTTTTCTTTCTGAGTCTCATCAGGTCACAGTGTGTATGTTTCGGGAGGCTAAGAGGGGGTTGAAGAGCTGTGTGAGGAAAAGGCCCTTTGGAATGTGAAGACATTCCCATTTGCCTGGTAATGGGATCCTGATAGGTGCCTTAGTCAGGTGGGAAGCAGGGCTCTCGATAGGGCCCCATTGCTCGGCTGCACTGGACCTAAACATGGCCCTTTCTGGAAATGCTAACAGTGCATATGATTAGCAAAGAAGAGGATACGAACAGACCTGGAGATGTTAAAGGCACTATAGGGGCCAGGCATGGTGGCTGTCGCCTGTAATCCCAGCACTTTGGGCGGTGGAGGCGGGAGGATCTCTTGAGTTCAGGAATTCAAGACCAGTGTGGGCAACACAGCGAGATCCCATCTCTACAAAAAATGAAAATTAGCCAGGTGTGGTGGTGTGCACCTGTAGTCCCAGCTACTAGGGAGGCTGAGGTGGGAGGATTGCTTGAGCCCAGGAGTTTGAGGCTACAGTGAGCTATGATTACACTACTGCACTCCAGCTTGGGTGACAGAGACCCTAGCTCAAAAAACAAACAAGCAAACAACAACCACCACAATGCGCTGTGCCATTGTGAAGTGGTGGTGTTCTGCAGATGCCCAGGGCCCTCTCCCTCTGGAGTCAGCACCTCAGCCCTGCCCGGTGTTCAGAATCAGGAATGTAGTGCCCCAAGCCCAGGGTGGAAGGAGCGCACCCAGCCTGTGGTGGGACAGTGACGAGTGGGCTTCAAGCCTTCTCCATTTCCCCTCCCCGGTGCCACCCCTCTTTGAGGTGGCGTCTGTGTTGCTGTGGCATGCACAGCACCCTCATTATTTCTCTCTCTCTTTTCTCTCCCCTCCCTCTGGCACTTTCTCTTGTTTTTCTCTGCATGGTTTCTGTATTATTAGTCCTGAGGTAAGAACTGGCCGAGTGCCTTGTCTACAGCCCCTTTTCCTCCTTTGCTGTCTGTCCTGCCCACCCAGGCCCTTTGCACCTTCTTGTCTGGAGAGCATCAGGAGGGTCGGGTCGGGGCGTTCCTCTGCTGGCTGTGTGCAGCCGGCTCCACCTTCAGGCTCTCCTTGCCCTTTCCCACCCAGGTTTCTGTGCCCAGGTGTCTTCTCCGTTCTTGTCTCTCCCCAGGCGGAGGGCCTGCAGCGAAGGCCCATGTGGGTGGGGCACCTCCTCTTCTTCCCGACCCAAGCCTCACCTCTTGTCCCCTGTGCAGTGTGGAGGTCATCCGTCTGGGCCACAGCTACTTCATCAACTGGGATAAGAAGATGTTCTGCATGAAGAAGCGGACGCCTGCAGAAGCCCGCACCACCACCCTAAACGAGGAGCTGGGCCAGGTGGAGTACATCTTCTCCGACAAGACGGGCACCCTCACCCAGAACATCATGGTTTTCAACAAGTGCTCCATCAATGGCCACAGCTATGGTATGGTGGCACCACTGGGGACTGGGGGCTTGCACCTCGCCTGGAAGGACAGTGGAACTGGGGCCCCACAGTTTCCTTAACATTGGTTTTTTCTTCCTTCCTAGTTGGGTCTGAGGGGCCTAGAAGAAAGGGTCCATCCTGGCCAGGCACGGTGGCTCATGCCTATAGTCATAGCACTTTGGGAGGCTGAGGTGGGAGGATTGCTCGAGCCCAGGAATGCGAGACCAGCCTGGGCAACATAGTGAGACCACATCCCTACAAAAAATTTAAAAATTAGCCAGGTATGGTGGCATGCACCTGTGGTCTCAGCTGGCCAGTGACTCAGGAGGCTGAGATGGGAGGATCACTTGAGCCTGGGAGGTCAAGGCTGCAGTGAGCCATGATCTTCCACTGCACTCCAGCCTGGGCGACAGAATGAGGCCCTGTCTCTCGAGAAAAATCCACACACAAAGAAGAGGTCCATTCTGTGTCCCATGTCAAGAAGCAGATCCTGGCTGGGCGCAGTGGATCACCTGAGGTCAAGTGTTCGAGACCAGCTTGGCCAACATGGTGAAACTCCGTCTCTACTAAAAATACAAAAAATAGCTGGGCGTGGTGGCAGGTGCCTGTTTTCCCAGCTACTCGGGGGGCTGAGGCAGGAGAATTGCTTGAATCCAGGAGGTGGAGGTTACAGTGAGCCGAGTTTGCGCCATTGTACTCCAGCCTGGGCGACAAGAGTGAAAGTCTATCAAAAAAAAAAAAAAAATTAGATTCTGAGAGTCCTCCCCTTGTCCTCTCCTGATGCCCTGACCCTGGTCTCAGCTCCAGGAATTAGGGGAGCTCCTTGGCTGTTTGAAGTGAGACACTGGCCTCTGGGCATCCTGGCCAGGCGGAACCCTGCTAGACTCTCCCCTGTTGCTGCTCAGGGTCCTTGTGAGTCTGTGGAATGTGGCTGTGGTTGGACTTCCCAGTGTGGCCCGTGGCTGTGCTGCTGGGATGGCCTGGGGCAGCATGTGGGGCTGACTTTTATGCAGAGTGTGGACCCCTCTTGTGACTGCTTTCTGTACTGACTGATGCCTTTCGGTCAGTGTCTGAGCCTTGTCTGCTGCTCAGGTCTAATGGGTGCAAGGAGGCCTGGGAGGTGTGGAATTGGAGCTGCCCTGAGGGGGGTGCCGCCTAGGGTAGAGACAGGGATGGTGAGCAGTGGGTGCCGGGGCTCTTTCATGGCCAGGCCTTGGGGTTCTGGAATCTAGGGTGCCTGATGCCTCCTATCCCGCGAGTCAGCAATGTGACTGAGTGACTCACACTGTGACAGCTGCTCAGCGATTAGGGTTGAGGGGCTCAGTGCCTACGGGGATTCTGCATTGGAGATGTTTTTCCATGCTCTGGAGCTCTCTGGCTCTGACATTGCTTCTTTTTCTGCCCTGGCTGTATGTAGGTGATGTGTTTGACGTCCTGGGACACAAAGCTGAATTGGGAGAGGTAAGATTCAGTCTCCCTAATTCTATGTGCCAGTGAAACAGGGTGCCTGGCCAGTAACAGTGTAGTCAGGAGTGATGTGTTGTCTGGATAGGAAATGGAAGCTGCTTGGAGAAATGGGTGTTTTAAGGCAGAACTGGTGATGACGGAAGTGGAAATTTTGAGGTCCACCGTGGACAGGAGCCTACTGAGAGTTGGGAGGGCAGGGATGAACCCTTCCCCGGGATGCAGCCTGGCACTCTAGCCTTTCCTAAGAGCCTTCTTATGTGTTTCAGAGGCCTGAACCTGTTGACTTCTCCTTCAATCCTCTGGCTGACAAGAAGTTCTTATTTTGGGACCCCAGCCTGCTGGAGGCTGTCAAGATCGGGGACCCCCACACGCATGAGTTCTTCCGCCTCCTTTCCCTGTGTCATACTGTCATGTCAGAAGAAAAGAACGAAGGTGGGCCGAGGAGCCGGCTCGCACTCTCCTGACCTGACTCTGCCCTTGGGCTCTGCTCTGCTCTGCAATGCGGCTGGGCTGGGGCTTCCTGGGCGGGGCACGTGGCTGAGGGAAGCCACTTATATCACGTGTATTCTTCCTCCCCACCCAGGAGAGCTGTACTACAAAGCTCAGTCCCCAGATGAGGGGGCCCTGGTCACCGCAGCCAGGAACTTTGGTTTTGTTTTCCGCTCTCGCACCCCCAAAACAATCACCGTCCATGAGATGGGCACAGCCATCACCTACCAGCTGCTGGCCATCCTGGACTTCAACAACATCCGCAAGCGGATGTCGGTCATAGGTGAGGCCAGGCCTGGGGTGCTGGGGCGTTTGGGGACAGCATTCAGGCCTGGAATGGGTGAAGTGTGCCGGGTGACTCTTGATGTGTTTATGTTGGGGGTCTTTGCCTGTCTGAATTTTTCTGGCACTTTCTTCACCTGCCCCATTCATAGTGCGGAATCCAGAGGGGAAGATCCGACTCTACTGCAAAGGGGCTGACACTATCCTACTGGACAGACTGCACCACTCCACTCAAGAGCTGCTCAACACCACCATGGACCACCTTAATGTGGGTGTGAGGAGAGGAGGGGCCAGCCTGGGGGGTTCTACTCTTAGTGTGGGGGAGGCGACTTAAGTTTGTTTTATTGTGTAAATTTAAGGTCTACAACGTGATGTTTTGATGTGTATATATAGTGAAGTGATTACTACAGTCAGACAACTTAACACATCAGCCAGCTCCCATAGTTACCTCTTTTTATGTATGTGGTGACAGTCCCTAACTGTGGAATGTGGCACACACCCAGTCTACAGTGCAGGATTATTCATTGTCGCCCTCACGCTGTCCATTAGCTCTCCAGACTTACCCAGGTGTGCCTTTCCACTCTGCCTCCAGGAGTACGCAGGGGAAGGGCTGAGGACCCTGGTGCTGGCCTACAAGGATCTGGATGAAGAGTACTACGAGGAGTGGGCTGAGCGACGCCTCCAGGCCAGCCTGGCCCAGGACAGCCGGGAGGACAGGCTGGCTAGCATCTATGAGGAGGTTGAGAACAACATGATGGTACGGGCTGCGGGACGGGCCAAGGATGGGCACGGAGGGCTCATGCCTGCAATTCTTGTGCCAGGAATCCTTGTGGTATTTTCAGCTGCTGGGTGCAACGGCCATTGAGGACAAACTTCAGCAAGGGGTTCCAGAGACCATTGCCCTCCTGACACTGGCCAACATCAAGATTTGGGTGCTAACCGGAGACAAGCAAGGTGAGAGCCCAGCAGGGCAGAGCCAGTTGCAACTGACAGTAGCCCTGTTGGACCCTTGCATGGAGCCGAGGACATCAGGCAGGCAAGTGTGCTGACCTTGTTGGGTGCCTGTCCGTAGCTCCTGCGTTCTCTCTTGGTAGAGACGGCTGTGAACATCGGCTATTCCTGCAAGATGCTGACGGATGACATGACTGAGGTTTTCATAGTCACTGGCCATACTGTCCTGGAGGTGCGGGAGGAGCTCAGGTAAACAAGAAGCCCAGGGGAGGCGGTGCTGTGCGTTGTGCCCAGGGCTCAGGTGGGGGTTTCTGGACCATTTAGACTTGAATCCCTGCTCCCCACTGCCGTTCTGGAAGACCACAACCGTATCATTTCCACCTCGACAGGAAAGCCCGGGAGAAGATGATGGACTCATCCCGCTCCGTAGGCAACGGCTTCACCTATCAGGACAAGCTTTCTTCTTCCAAGCTAACTTCTGTCCTGGAGGCCGTTGCTGGGGAGTACGCCCTGGTCATAAATGGTCACAGCCTGGTAGGCATCGCTATCCTTAGCTTGGGCAGTATCTTTCCAGTGAGCACTTCTGTCCAGGGCTTTTATATCTTGTTCTAATTTCCCCTGATTTCAGAGAAGACTGGTCTCAAAGGGGACTGGGAGGAGCTGAGACTCCCAGGTGTCTCCTGGAAAGACTGGCTCTCTCAGGTTTCTCTGTGCTCCAGGCCCACGCACTGGAGGCAGACATGGAGCTGGAGTTTCTGGAGACAGCGTGTGCCTGCAAAGCTGTCATCTGCTGCCGGGTGACCCCCTTGCAGAAGGCACAGGTGGTAGAACTGGTCAAGAAGTACAAGAAGGCTGTGACGCTTGCCATTGGAGACGGAGCCAATGATGTCAGCATGATCAAAAGTGAGTGTGGGCTGTGCAGGTGTGTAGGCTGGGCTTGAGGCTGGGGAGGGGCCCACTGAGGTCTCTGGACTGCAGAAGAATGACGGGAAGGGGGTTGTAACTTGGTAGGCTCTAAAGTGTGTGGCCGGTGGCCATCTTCACCCTCTTGTCATCTCTTGTCTCTGCAGCGGCTCACATTGGTGTGGGGATCAGTGGGCAGGAAGGGATCCAGGCTGTCTTGGCCTCCGATTACTCCTTCTCCCAGTTCAAGTTCCTGCAGCGCCTCCTGCTGGTGCATGGGCGCTGGTCCTACCTGCGAATGTGCAAGTTTCTTTGCTATTTCTTCTACAAAAACTTTGCTTTCACCATGGTCCACTTCTGGTTTGGCTTCTTCTGTGGCTTCTCAGCCCAGGTAATAAATGTTCCCAGTCCACTGTTGTGCAAATCTGTAAACCTGAGGGCAGAGGTTCTGTCTTGTTTATCACTCAGTCCCCCAGGGCCTAGCTATTTTCTGGTACATACTCTTAAAAAATGCTTATTAAAGGAGGAGAGAAGGAGCCTCAGAAAATTTCTTAGGGTTCTCTGTATGTGACATCAGCTGTCTTCCTGTGCCTGATGTGTAGCAAAGAAAGGTTGCATGCTCCCTTGCTCCCTGTTCTCTTCCAGACCGTCTATGACCAGTATTTCATCACCCTGTATAACATCGTGTACACCTCCCTGCCAGTCCTGGCTATGGGGGTCTTTGATCAGGTATGGGGGAGTTTGATGATCAGATGGGATGCGGGGAAGGTCACTGCTTGAAGGAGTCACATAGACGTGGTGTGTGACACTTGTGCCCATTTCCTGTGGCCACTGGGAAGGCAGTTCTTTCAGCCGGGGAAGGTGTGGCTGGTTCTCCCTCCTGGCTGCAGCTGATCTAGAACTCTCTTGGGTTGCTGAACTAAGTTAGTCTGGGGGTAGCTGGCTTGAGGTTGGTTCTAGCTGCCAAAGACTTTGGAAAGGAGGAGGCAGGGACAGAGTCAGAGTCTGCCCTTGGTCATCCAGGGTCAAAACGGCAACCTCTGAGGCCCCCTATGCTACATGGTCCTCCCACACAGGATGTCCCCGAGCAGCGGAGCATGGAGTACCCTAAGCTGTATGAGCCGGGCCAGCTGAACCTTCTCTTCAACAAGCGGGAGTTCTTCATCTGCATCGCCCAGGGCATCTACACCTCCGTGCTCATGTTCTTCATTCCCTATGGGGTGTTTGCTGATGCCACCCGGGATGATGGCACTCAGCTGGCTGACTACCAGTCCTTTGCAGTCACTGTGGCCACATCCTTGGTCATTGTGGTTAGCGTGCAGGTATGAGGCCATCCAGGAACTCCCCTCTTCTCTGGAAGGAGTGAGCCTTCTGTCCCTGGGGCTGCCCTGGGCACCACAGTTCTGTTTCTGGGGGAAGGGGCTTTTAGGGCGTGCGCCTGCCTGACTATGCCTACTTTCTGCAGATTGGGCTCGACACAGGCTACTGGACGGCCATCAACCACTTCTTCATCTGGGGAAGCCTTGCTGTTTACTTTGCCATCCTCTTTGCCATGCACAGCAATGGGCTCTTCGACATGTTTCCCAACCAGTTCCGGTTTGTGGGTAAGTCCCCGTGGCCTCCTTGAATCGGTGAGGAATCACAGCTGTTCTGGGACTAACAGGACCATCAGCTAATCTGCACATTCAACATTTCTTATGTGCCAAGTATTCTGTTTATTTTATTTATTTATTTATTTATTTTCGAGAAGGAGTCTTGCCCAGGCTGGAGTGCAGTGGTGCGATCTCGGCTCACTGCAGCCTTCGACTCACTGCAGCCTCTGCCTCCCGGGTTCAAGCGATTCTCATGCCTCAGCCTCCTGAGTAGCTGGGATTACAGGCACACGCCACCAAGCCTGGCTAATTTTTGTATTTTTAGTAGAGATAGGGTTTCACCATGTTGGCCAGGCTGGTCTTGAACTCCTGACCTCAGGTGATCCACTCACCTCGGCCTCCCAAAGTGCTGGGATTACAGGTGTGAGCCACCGTGCCCAGCTAGCACAGAGAAATCTGAATAAAGGGAAAGGGAGCCTGCCATGTGGCTCTCTGGGAACTGTCAATCCAGGAAGAGGAAACAGCAATATAAAGGCCTTCAGCCCTGGCCTGGGAGGAGGTCTTCTGCACGTGGAGCTGGGGAGGAGTGGAGGAAATGAGTTGGAGGGTGGGGGTGTGGAATGAGTCAGGATTATTTAAGCCCTTATGGGTCAGAGGAAGAACTTTGAGTTTTTGAATTTTAATCTAAATGTGAGAGGAAGCCATTGGAGGGCTTTGAGCAGAGAAATACCAGAAGCTTACTTATGTTTTTAAAGGGCCGCTCTTACAGTTTCGTGGATAATAAAGTGTAGGGGGCAAGGGTGGAAATGGGAGACTAGGAGGTGAGAGCAGTCACCAGGTGAGCCTAATGAGGGCTCGGAATAGAGTAAAAGGCCGTGAGATTCCAGAGATGTTTTGAAAATGGAAACAACAGGCCGGGCGCGGTGGCTCAAGCCTATAATCCCAGTACTTTGGGAGGCCGAGGTAGGCGGATTACCTGAGGTTGGGAGTTCAAGACCAGCCTGACCCACATGGAGAAACCCCATCTCTACTAAAAATACAAAATTAGCCGGACTTGGTGGCACATGCCTGTAATCCCAGCTACTTGGGAAGGCTGAGGCAGGAGAATCGCTTGAACCTGGGAGGTGGAGGTTGTGGTGAGCCGAGATCGCGCCATTGCACTCCAGCCTGGGCAAGAGCAAAACTCTGTCTCAAAAAAAAAAAAAAAAAATGGAACCAATAGATTGAATGTGGGGTCCAAAGAAGAGAGAGAAATGAATCAAGATAAAAAACAACAAAAAAAAAATTAAAAAAAAATTTTTACAGAAATGAATCAAGATCCATTGCAGGGTTTTTAGTTGGAGCAACTGAATGGGTTGTGGCATTTCCTGAGTTGAGAAAGACCAGGATCAGATTTGGGGAAAGGAAACAATAGTTGAGTTTGGGCCACGGGAAATTCAAGATGCCTGGTATGTCAAGTCTGGCAGTTGAAGCAGCAGGTCTGGAGCTTTGGGGGAGTTTGGAGCTAAATTTGGAGATTTACATTTGGAGGGTGAGCCTGGAGAAGCGGGAAGCCAGAGGTGACTTAGGCTTTGAGAGTAGGGAAGTGGAGCTGCCAGAAATGGGAACGGGGAATGTCTGCCTCGTGACTCCCAAGGCCACTGACTCCTCTTCATCCCCAGGGAATGCCCAGAACACCTTGGCCCAGCCCACGGTGTGGCTGACCATTGTGCTCACCACAGTCGTCTGCATCATGCCCGTGGTTGCCTTCCGATTCCTCAGGCTCAACCTGAAGCCGGATCTCTCCGACACGGTGAGAAGCCAGGCTACCTGCTGTGGGAGGCAGAGATGGGGTGGCTGGAAAGGCCTCATGTGAACACTGGGGGGCTCTGTGGGGCCATGTGGCTGTTCAGTGTGTTGGTGCTTATCTGTTCTTCCTGGGGACAGACACCCTGTGCAGCTGGCCACAGAGGCCTCTGCGTCAGCCTGGTCCCAGGTGCTGTGGGTCGGAGGCCTCTGTGTCAGCCTGGTCCCGGGTGCTGTGGGTCCCTTCTCCTTGGCGATATCTGACACCTCCACGCTGACAGAGGGCTCTTCCCTGTGCCCCTCTGCAGGTCCGCTACACACAGCTCGTGAGGAAGAAGCAGAAGGCCCAGCACCGCTGCATGCGGCGGGTTGGCCGCACTGGCTCCCGGCGCTCCGGCTATGCCTTCTCCCATCAGGAGGGCTTCGGGGAGCTCATCATGTCTGGCAAGAACATGCGGCTGAGCTCTCTCGCGCTCTCCAGCTTCACCACCCGCTCCAGCTCCAGCTGGATTGAGAGCCTGCGCAGGAAGAAGAGTGACAGTGCCAGTAGCCCCAGTGGCGGTGCCGACAAGCCCCTCAAGGGCTGAAGGCCGAGGATGGATGCCCTGTGCCAGTGACCAGAGCACCCAGGGCTGGCCAGTCACTGAGGGAACAGCGTCTCGGAACTGCTGGTCCTCATTCCTTGCTTCCCGTCCCCCCGGTAGACTCTGTCCTGCTGGTCCCACCACACATGGCTGGGACATCTGTTCCCAGCTGTAGGCCCTTCCACCAGCTGGGGAGCTAGAGGGAGCAGGCCCAAGGGCAGAGCAGAGGCTGAGGCACGGGGAGCCAGCCCCACTCGGGGACCAGAAGTGGAACCAAAAACAAGAAAAAACTGTGAGAGATTGTGTCTGCCCCTGCCCTGCCTGGGACCCACAGGGAGACTATAATCTCCTTATTTTTTTACTCCTACTCCCCAGAGGGGCCCTAGTGCCTCTGTTCCTGAATTACATAAGAATGTACCATGCCGGGAAGCCAGAGACCTGCAGGGGCCTCGGCCCCTCACATCGTGTATGTCTCTCCTTGATTTGTGTTGTGTCCAGTTTGGTTTTGTCTTTTTTTATTTGGCAAGTGGAGGAGGCTTTTATGTGACTTTTATGTTGTGGTTGGTGTCTTAACTCTCCTGGGAAAAGGAGGCTGGCACACACTGGGATGCCGCAGCCTGGCCGGCTGTGGGGTGGTTTGGGAGGATCCATGTCGGCTCTGCCTGCAGTGACCAGTGCTCTGTGGGGCAGAGGAGCTGACCAGGGAGGGAGGTACCCATGAGCAGAGGGTAGTGGGAGAGTGTAAAGGAGGGTTTGGTCCTGTCTGCTTCCTCACCTTGAGAGTAAAGTGCTGCCCTCTGCCCCCAACACACACACATATCAATTCCTGGATTCCTTAGTCCTGCTGGCCTTGGGCTGGAGCCTAGGAAAGTGGCCCCCAAATCCTTAGTGAGCTAAAGCTGGGTCTGAAATTTGGTCAGTGGGGAGGGGTAGTTTTCTTTTCTTTTTTCTTTTTCTTTTTTTCTTTTTTTTTTTGAGATGGAGTCTCACTCTTGTCACCTAGGCAAGAGTGCAATGGCACAATCTCAGCTCACTGCAACCTCCACCTCCTGGGTTCAAGCGATTCTCCTGCCTCAGCCTCCTGAGTAGCTGGGATTACAGGCACACACCACCACGCTTGGTTAATTTTTGTATTTTTAGTAGAGATGTTTCACCATGTTGGCCAGGCTAGTCTTGAATTCCTGACCTCCTGACCTGCCCACCTCAACCTCCCAAAGTGCTGAGATTACAGGCGTGAGCCACCACACCCAGCTCAGGGAGGCGTAGTTTTCTTTAATTTTAAATTTAAACCCAAGTTTATTGGCAGACTCCCTTTTGACCTCCCTTTGCCTCCCCATCTGGTGCTTTCTTGCATCTACACCCCAGGGCCCTGTGGTGGGGCTGCAGGGGGAAGCTGTGCACCTGAGATGAGGCTGGAACGGGAATTGGCCTCTCTGCTCCCTTCTTCAGTAAGCAAGGAGCCCCGCCCCTCAGGCCCAGCCTCTGGCAAGAGGTGGTGGAATCCTTGTGCCGGGTAGTAGAGGAGGATAAGGGCAAAACCAGGCCCAGGCCAGTGCCTGGCTTGGTCTGGATGGGACACTGTCAGAGTTTGGCCACAGCCTGTCCTTTACTTCATCCACACCTATGAAGCTATTCCCTAAATAAGGCATTTCCCAAGTTAGTCGCTACCTAATCAGCCTTGAGAAGAATCCTTTCCTCTTCTTTGATAGTGGGTCGGGGGATTCTTCAGGAATGGTTTGGAGCTGGGAGTGGGTAGGGGGATTTTAAATGTTCCATATGGGAGCCCCAAAGGAACTGGATGGGCTGCAGTGAGGTGGGGGCGGGTGGGCAGGGAATGGGAGAGGGGAAGTCTTGGCAGGGAAATCCCTTTTGGCCACACAGTTTACAAACCCAGTATCATGTCTGTCTGTGTGTCTCTCAAGGTGAGAGTCTGATTTTTATACCAAAGAGGAAATGATTTTTTTTCATATTTTGTTTGTCTATATTATATAAATATATATATACAGTTATATATATATATATTATTTTTTGGTTCTCTCTCGTTTTTTAGGGAGGGAAGAAAGTACCAAGTTGCATTGAGCTGTAATTAAGGAACATTATAATTTATGACACATTTCTATACTTGCAAAAATTATATCATTTTATGGATATAAGAGAAAAATGCCTTTTTATAAAATTTCAATTTCTGAGAAGTGTGTAATTTGTCTCTTTTCTGATGTTTAACCAAGACTGGTGGTGAAAGTAAAGACAGAAACTGTCTCTTAAATGTAATTGAGTGGGTAGATCTGGGATATCTTGGACAAATTGGAATCTGACTGGTGTGGGATAGCACCTCATCCATTTGCAGACCTCCCGGGATCTGAGTTTCAGCTGAAGATGAAGACGGGGCAGTGGGTGGTACTGAGCGGCATATCGTATGGACTTTGGCTGGGTGCCTAGGACCTTGAGCTGTTTACCTTTCTCCAAACGCAGGCCAACCTGTCATCCCTAACACACGCCAGATGGATGTGTGTGTAGGGAAAGTACCTGGTAAATATTGTAAGGTTTTGTTTTTTAACTCTGCGCTTTTCCGCATGCCTCACATCTTCCTGGCTTCTCAAGTGAGTATCAAGGAAGCTAAAGTCTTATATTAAAGGGAGCTTTCCTCCAGGGAAGGGAGGGCGGATGAGGATGGGGTCCTAGGAGTCAGGGCCAGGGTTAGTGCTGGCCTGAGGAGAAAGAAGTATAGCTTCCTCCGCCGATGGCCAATATCAGCATGATCCAGCCCCACCCGCAGGCTAATTTCCCCCTGACCCAGCCAGTCTTCAGTTATGGAACAATCCTTCTCAAAAACGTAGACTGGGTGTGGTGGCTCAATGCCTGTAATCCCAGCATTTTGCGAGGCTGAGGCAGGAGGATCACTTGAGCCCAGCCCAGGAGTTCAAGACCAGCCTGGGCAACATGGGGAGACCCCGCCTGTATTAAAAAAAAAAAAAAAAAGGGTGGGGGAGCGGAGGGTGTATGGGGGGAAGATGTGAAGATAAGATCTGTTTCCCTCTTCAGGAGAAACGGCCCCTGGCGGGAATCCCGCCACAGACCGCCAGGAACACCACCTGACACCCACCTCCACCCAGGGAGAGGCTGTCCAGTCCACACAAGCCTTTCTTTGGGGTCTGTCTGGAACCCTGAGCTTTGGGCAGCAAGTGGCATCTGGCTTCAGTGCCCCCACCCCCGAAACACAGAAAGAAGCCTTAATCCCTTGAGGCTGGTGAGGCCCCAAGTCCACCCCTCCCACAAGACAGGTCTTCAGCACTGCGCTGGCCTCCCGTTGGGGGTCTGTTCAGCCACTGGGAATGTCTTCCTTGGCTCCTCTCGCTGACCCTGGCTCTCCTGCACCCAGGATCCTATTATGTGTGTCTGAGGGGCAGGGCCAATGTCATTTTAACTTTCATTGCCTCTTGGGGACGCGTTTTCTCCGTCGCGATATAGACACACGCCTCCACGGAGGCTCCGGGCACTCGGGCTCCCCGTTTTCTCCCCTCTGCCGCAGGCATCCCTGGTCTTCCTTCCCTGCGCTGACTGAGCACCTGGGCTCCTGTGGGAGTGGCTTCCAGCCCCTAGGTCCCCATCGTCCTAGTGCCTTTTCTGAGTGCGTGGAGGTGAAGTCTGTCCGATACCGCAGCTTTGTTCCACTGAGCCTGCTTATCTCCAAGGGCGTTCCTCTCCACTCCACTAAAGCAGCACACACCCATGGGCGCCCACTGCCGTCGGGAGGAGCTCCACCTCTGAACTCTCACAATTCATTCAGCATTTGGCCATCCATATTCTTCAGTTCTTCCCGCTTCCATCTGTGCTCCCAGCGAAAACTACGGCCCCTCCCTTTCCTCCTGGTCGCTTGCTTCCATATGTGAACCCTTACTTGCTTCCCAATCCAGCCCGGAGCCCGTGGTCTGGTACTCGTCGCTTTGCCCCGGAACATTCCAGCCTTGGGTCAGCCCAGCGTCTCCCAGGGTGAGCTGTGGAATGCTGAAGGGCAGCACACAACCACGGAGCAAGAGGAGCGGCAGCTGCCCGGGCTCCCTCCGCAGGCGCCTCTGCACGGCGAGGAGACGCTGGGAACCTCATTCTCCTGCCCCTCCCTCAACTCCTGCCACCGCCTCCCACCCTGCCCTCAGCAGATGGTGCTGCCTCCTACTTCACGGAGCAAATAACTTCTGCGGCTTTCCTCTCAACTACAAATCTCACTGCGCACAGGCACGCCGGCCTTCCCCTTTCCTTTCCCCTGCCTGGGGAGGCTGGACTCTCCTGTCCCGCTCCCTGTGGCCCCGCCCCTCCCCTCCTCCCACCACTGCACCTTCCATTGTCCTTCACCAGGACCTTCTCTTGACCCTGCCTTCATTTCCCTCTCCGTTGATTCTTTCCTTCCCCAAATTAGCCTGCTCAGTTTTCTTCCCCCTCACCTGACCCCTAACCCCTATCAACTCTGTTGTGGTCTGTGTCCCTCCCATTAGCCTCTCTGTTATCTCTTCCACTGCCTGTAATCTGGCATCTCCTTCACCAGTCCCTGAAATGCTTTCACTAAAATCACCTTTGACCTTCATGTTGGCCAAGTCCAGAAGGCATTTCCAGGTCTGATCTGACTTGCAATCTCTTAGTCATTTGACTGTGTTGGCTGCCTTCTCCTTGAAACTCTGCCCTCTGCTGACTTTGTTCCACTTTCTCTTGGTTTAACTGCTGCCTCTCTGGTTGATCCTTCTGTCTCCTTCCTTGGAGCTCCTTCCTCTGTTCTTCTTCCCACCATGCCCCAGGACTCCATACTTGGCTCTAAGCTTTTCTCTTCTGTGCAGGGTCCTTGAAGGTCCCCATGCAAACCCATGGTTTAAATAAGATTTGTTTAAACAAGTAAGATTTAACAATTAAATGGAGAGTCACCATTGTTCACCTCTAGATTGGACTTCTTCCTTCCACTCCACGCTCCAGACCCTTGTATTCAATTATCCATTGGACCTCTCCACTAGGACGACCCACCACCACCTGTTATTCAACATACCCCACACTGAACATTGTTTTTCCCAACACCTGTTGCTCCTCCCGCATCCTCTATTTCAGTGAGCAGCACGCGATCTCACCAGTCACCAAAGCCAGACACACATGTCCTGGAGAAAACCCTACAACCTCTGCTCTGGGGCCACCACACTGTAAATCATATATTTCATCTTCTTTGATGTGGAGCATGAAATGATTAAGCTGCAATGTCCTGAGCCACTGTTTCCCAGTGATTGTGACCCAGGCAGGGTCACGACAGCCATATTTCTGTCCCCAAAGCGGGGCCATCTAGGTTGGGACTCAAAACACAAAGAAATTCTGCCACAAAGGTTCAATGTCACTTTCCTTGGCCCCAAAAGAGAAACTGGAGAGACCAGAGTGCTCAGATTAGGTAGGCAGCTGCAGCCTCCCACTGTAGCCACCCTGCAGAGCATGAGGGAGGGACTCACTGATAAAGCACCAGGACTACCCACTGCAGTCTCTACTTCAGAGGAAGCAAGCCATTGATGGAGATGTACTAAACACTGGGCTCTGCGGCTGAAGGAAGGAGCTGAGTTCTCCTGCTTATCTCTGCTCCAGTGTCCTATCTTGAAGGACTGTGTCCTGACCCCAGTGAGAAACATGACCTGTCTGACCCTCCCAACCCTTCCTGGAAACTTTCCAGTTCTCAGTGAGTTGCTGGGAGCTGCCCTGCTGGACACCCGCCTGGGGAGGGTGTAGACTTATCTTGCCGGGCTGAGAGAGGGAAGTCTTTCCCAATACTAGTCTATTAAAACACACACTGGGCTGGGCGCAGTGGCTCACGCCTGTAATCCCAGCACTTTGGGAGGCCAAGGCGGGTGGATCATCTGAGGTCAGGAGTTCGAGACCAGCCTGACTAAAATGGCTTCACCCTGTCTATACGAAAAATACAACAAATTAGCTGGGCATGGGGGCAGACGCCTGTAATCCCAGCTACTCAGGAGGCTGAGGCAGGAGAATTACTTGAACCTGGGAGGCGGAGGTTGCATTGAGCTAAGATCAGGCCGTTGCACTCTAGCCTGGGCAACAAGAGCGAAACTCCATCTAAAAAAACCAAAACACACACACACACACACACACACACACACACACACACACACACACACACACAGTGGCCCGGCATGGTGGCTCATGCCTGTAACCCCAGCACTTTGGGAGGTCAAGGTGGGCAGATCGCCTGAGGCCAGGAGTTCGAGACCAGTCTGGCCAACATGGTGAAACCCTGTCTCTACTAAAAATACAAAAATTAGCTGGGTGTCCTGGCGTGCCCCTGTAATCTCGGCTACTCAGGAGGCTGAGGCAGGAGAATGGCTTGAACCCAGGAGGCAGAGGTTGCAGTGAGCAGAGATCGCGCCACTATACTCCAGCCTGGGCGACAGAGTAAGTCTCCTTCTAAAAAAATAAAATAACAAAACAAAACACACACACACTTTCCCTCTCTCTCTCTCTCCAAAACGTGATGGAGTGTCTCCTCTTAAGAAAGGAGTGTTTTTGGACACAGAAAGAGGGAGTTCCTCCAGCCTAGCACAGCCTGAGTTTGGCCTGGGCTGGAAATTCTGCAGAAATCTTCCATCCTGCCACTGGGAATAGGACAGGGAGGCCTAAGCCGTGTTTTCGGCCCCCCGGGGCCCAGCAGGGACATGTGTGGGTTCCAGGACTGGGGCAAGGAGGAGAGGATGCCCAGGTTTACTCAAGGGCAGGCAGGAGGTGAGGAGGGGGTGACAGGTGGAAGGAAAGGACCATGTCCCACTCTCCACTCCTTCCTCATGGGCCACTCTTCATTTCACTCGCAGCCCCGCAGTGCACAGCTACAAGCTGGGGGTTCATCTCTTCCTGGTCCCCTACTACCTTGGGTGCAGCTCTTCTGCCAGAACCTTCTGGGCGCCTGCTGCTGTGCCTGGGCTCCCCACGCAGGGAGGGACACCCCTGGGGCGGAAGGCAGGCAGCTGCATAGCTGAGTGGCTGCTTCTACAACACCTGGAGAACCGCTGGGGCTAGAAGCAAACATGCAGCAGTTTGGGCCTGGGGGTTGATTCTCCTCTGCAGGGGAAGGGAAGATTTCTAGAAACGCAGAAAGTCTATTCTGTGGAGGTACAAAGGATACCAGAAGACTATAGGAGACATCCTTAGTACCCCCAGATGCTGGCTGTTCTCTAGGTCTACCCTCACACAAAGAAGTGGGTGAGACAACCTTGGACCCCGGCTTTGGATCCAGCATAGTAGAACCGGCCAGCTTGCCCTGTCATGTTTTCTGCAATGTCTGGGACTGCGGTTCTTCATACTTTTGGCTCAGGTTCACCTCTGAAAATCCAGTGAAGCCATGTGATGAAATGCTTATGTGCTTTTACAAAGTGCATGCAGTTTAATAGGCTCCTCAGCTGTTCACCTAGGGATGCTTCAGGCAGCCCTGCCCTGAATGTTCATGGGACTCAGGGCAAGTAGCAAATGGAGGCCCACGTACCACGTGTCTGAGTACAGAGGAGTTATGAGATCAAAGTAGGCTGTGTCTTCCTACCTTGACAGATATATCTTCCTAACAACTTGGAATGTCAGTTTAAATTTAGAACCTGCCCCTTTGGCCTCCCAGCCCCCAGCCTGCCCCTCCTCTTCCCACTTCCCTCCCTGTCCCATTCTACACTGTGAGGGTCCTTGCTTCTGCAGCACACCCCAGCACACAAGTCCAAGTTCCACCTGCACCCCTGCAAACAGCTGTTCCTGGCCACTTACTGGAGCCAGGTGTGCACACTGGCAGATGGGTCTGTTTGCCAGAGAATACCTGAAGCAGAAGGCTGCAGAGTCCTTGGAAATGAACTCAACACCATTTGGATAGAAAAATGCCAGAGTCTAGAATAGTGCTTCAGGTGAATAACCAGCTTTTAAAGTTTCCAATCTGTTAAATTTCTTTCCTTTTTTTTTTTGAGTTGGAGTCTCTGTCACCCAGGCTGGAGTGTAGTGGCACTATCTTGGCTCACTGCAACCTCTGCCTCCTGGATTCAAGCAATTCTCCTGCCTTAGCCTCCTAGGTAGCTGGGATTACAGATGTGTGCCACTACACCAGGCTAATTTTTGTATTTTTAGTAGAGATGGGTTTTTGCCATGTTTGCCAGGCTGGTTTCGAACTCCTGACCTCAAGTGAGCTGCCCACCTCAGCCTCCCAAAGTGCTGGGATTACAGGTGTGAGCCACCGTGCCCAGCCTTTCTTTCCCTTCTTGAAAAGTAAATAAATAAATAAAATTTCCAATCTGTGATAGGCTGGCTGATACTTTTATAAAATACAATGAAAACAAATTCCTGGAAAATGGAAAATGATCAGGAGCTTGGATGTTGCAGCAAAGTAAAATTGTGATAAAAGTTTCTAAATGCTTGGTGTTTCATTTCATTTCATTTCTTTTTTTCTTTTCTTTTTTTTTTTTTTTTTTGAGACGGAGTCTCCCTCTTGCACCCAGGCTGGAGTGCAGTGGCACGATCTCGGCTCACTGCAACCTCCACCTCCTGGGTTCAAGTGATTCTCCTACCTCAGCCTCCCGAGTAGCTGGGACTACAGGTGCCCACCACCACACCCGGGTAATTTTTTGTATTTTTAGTAGAGATGGGGTTTCACTGTGTTAGTCAGGATGGTCTCGATCTCCTGATTTTGTGATCCGCCCGCCTCGGCCTCCCAAAGTGCTGTGATTACAGGTGTGAGCCACTGCACCTGGCCTAATTTTTGTATTTTTAATAGAGACGGGGTTTTGCCATGTTGGCCAGGCTGGTCTCGAACTCCTGATCTCATGTGATCCACCTGCCTCAGCCTCCCAGAGTGCTGGGATTACAGGTGTGAGCCACTGCACCCTGCTGCTTTTCTTTTCTTTCTTTTTTTTTGAGATGGAGTTTCACTCTTGTTACCCAGGCTGGAGAGCAATGGTGCGATCTCTGCTCACTGCAACCTCTGCCTCCCGGGTTCAAATGATTCTCCTGCCTCAGCCTCCTGAATAGCTGGGATTACAAGCATGGGCCACCGTGGCCGGCTAAGTTTTTTGTATTTTTAGTAGAGACGAGATTTCTCCATGTTGGTCAGGCTGGTCTTGAACTCCCAACCTCAGGTGATCTGCATGCCTCAGCCTCCCAAAGTTCTGGCATTACAGGAGTGAGCCACTGCGCCCGGTGCCCTGCTGCTTTTCATTTCTTTCTTTCTTTTTTTTTTTTTTGAGATGGAGTTTTGCTCTTGTTGCCCAGGCTGGAGTGCAATGGCATTATCTCAGCTCACCGCAACCTCCGCCTCCCGGGTTCAAGAAATTCTCCAGCCTCAGCCTCCCGAGTAGCTGCGATTACAGGCATGTGCCACCATGCCTGGCTAATTTTGCATTTTTAATAGAGACAGGGTTTCTACTGGTCAGTCTGGTCTCAAACTCCCGACCTCAGGCGATCCGCCAGCCTCGGCCTCCCAAAGTGCTGGGATTACAGGCGTAAGCCACAGCGCCTCGCCTCTGCTGCTTTTCATTTCTATACTTGGCTCATTGTGGTCCAGTAACAAGCCATCTGTTGAATGGCAGCAGTTCAAGGGCCACAATTTGAGTGTGCTGGTCTAGAAGGAGGCAGTGTGGGCTCCAGCTGGGCAAGTCCAGTCGGCCCCTTTGACTCATCATTTTATGGGAGGGGTATGGCCAGAAGAGGGCTCATGGTGGTGGTGGTGAGGGGAGCTCCCTAGATCAGCCTGCATCAGTAGCCTTTCTTGTCTGAGTTTGGGTGGTATTGTCAGAGGCATTTGAACCAGAGCAACTCCATCTTGAATAGGGTCTGGGTAACATAAGGCTGAGACCTACTGGGCTGCATTTCCAGGAGATCAGACATTCTTAGTTATAGGATGAGCTAGGAGGTCAGCACAAGATACAGGTCACAAAGACCTTGCTGATAAAATAGGATGCAGTAAAGAAGCCAGCCAAAAGCCACCAAAACCAAGATGGTGACACAAGTGATCTCCGGTTGTCCTCACTGCTCATTATGTGCTAATTATTAGCATGCTAAAAGACATTCCCACCTGCGCCATGACAGTTTACAAATGCCATGGCAGTGTCTGGAAGTTACCCTATATGGTAAAAAAAGGGGAGGAACACTCCCCTCAGTTCCAGGAATTGCCCACCCTTTCCTGGAAAACTCATGAATAATCCACCCCCTGTTTAGCACATAACCAAGAAGTAACTATAAGTATAATCAATTGTTACTTGATTAGTCTGTTCTCATGTTGCTAATAAAGACATACCCAGGACTGGGTAATTTATAAAGGAAAGAGGTTTAATTGACCCACAGTTCAGCATGGCTGGGGAGGCCTCAGGAAACTTGCAATCATTGCAGATGGGAAAGCAAACATGTCCTTCTTCACATGGTGGCAGCCAGGGCAAGAATGAGAGCCCAGTGAAGGGGGAAGCCCCTTATAAAACCATCAGATCTTGTGAGTACTTACTATCATGAGAATAGAATAGGGGAAACGGCCTCCATGATCAATTACCTCCCACCAGGTCCCTCCCATAACAAGTGGAGATTATGGGAACTACAAGATGAGATTTGGGTGGGGACACAGCCAAACCATATTATCAGTTGAGCAGCCCATGCCACTGCTCTACCTATGGAATAGCCATTCTTTTATTCTTTTACTTTCTTTTTTTTTTTTTGAAACAGAGTCTCACTCTGTCACCCAGGCTGGAGTGCAGTGGTGTCATCTCACTGCAACCCTTTACTGCAACCTCTGGGTTCAAGCGATTCTCGTGCGTCAGCCTCCCAAGTAAATGGGATTACAGGAATGAACCATTATACCTGGGTAATTTTTGTATTTTTACTAGAGTCAGGGTTTCGCCATGTTGCCCAGGCTGGTCTCAAGCTCCTGAGCTCGAATGATCAGCCTGCCTCAGCCTCCCAAAGTGCTGGGATAACAGGCATGAGCCATGGTGCCTGGCCTATTCCTTTACTTTCTTAATAAACTTGCTTTCACTTTACTCTATTGATTTGCCTCAAAATCTTTCTTTCTCGAGATCTAAGAACCCTCTGCTGGGGTCCGGATTGGGACCCCTTTCTGGTAATAGCATAAGGGAGGGATGTAGTGGGATGTAGACCCTTGAACTGCGTGGAATTCTAGCATGATTTATCAAGAAGTCTGAAGTATCATCTCATATCATGGTGCTAAGTCTCCACTGGGCCAGTGGCCAATGACAGGCAAGGGAATCAAAGGCAGGGTATGTATTCATAAATGAGGAAACCTATTATATGACAGAAGAGCTTAATTCTTATTCTTCTAATTTAAAAAGTTGTTTTTTTTTCAGGATGGGGTCTTGCTATGTTGCCCAGTCTGTTCTCCAACTCCTGGCCTCAAGCAATCCTCCCACCTCATCCTCCTAAGTAGGTGGGATTACAGGTTTGTACTACATGCTGGGCTGAAAACTTTTTGATACCAAAATTTTGATTTGGTTTTTAATATTTGATGTATAGGTACAGAAGAATGCTACAAGCATCAAAGTTCAAGTAAGCTAGGTGTGTCAAAATAAATCTTTAGATAAATAAGGCTGTGCTATGAAATAAATTGTATCCCCCCCAATTCATATGTTGAAATCATAACCCCTATGTGACTGTATTTGTTTTTGTTTGTTTATTTTGTTTTGATTTTGAGACAGTATCACTCTATCACCCAGGCTGGAGTATAGTGGCATAGTCTCAGCTGACTGCAATCTCTGCTTCTGGGGCTCAAACCATCCTCCTGCATCCGCCTCCTGAGTAGCTGGAACTACAGGCATGCACCACCATGCCTAGATAATTTTTGTAGAGACAGGGTCTTGCCATGTTGTCCAGTCTTGTCTCAAATTCCTGAACTCAAGTGATCTGCCTGCTTTGGCCTCCCAAAGTGTTGGGATTACAGGTATGAGCCACTGTGCCTGGCCAGTATTTTGTTACAGCAGCTGGAGTTGACTAATACAGACTGATTGGATAGCTTTAGTTCATCCTAGAGGACAGGTCTTGAGCTGGGCATGGTGGTGCGCATCTGTGGTCCCAGCTACTTGAGAGGTTGAGGCAGGAGAATTGCTTGAACCTGGGAGGCAGAGGTTGCAGTGAGCTGAGGTCGCGCCACTGCACTCCAGCCTGGGCGACATGAGCAAAACAACTCCATCTCAAAAAAAGACAGAAAAAAAGAAAAAAAAGAGAAGAAGAAGAAGAAAAAAGACAGCTTTGCTTTTTACCTTCTTCTAATTTTATTACCATGTGGAAAGTATTGTTTGCATAATATTAGTTTATCCAAGACTTTATTTTTGCAAAGTTTAATTAATCTGAGCTTTCTAAATTTCCTTTGCTGGCTTTACTGGTCAGATAAGCTACTTTACTTCCACTAAATATTTCAGAAGGAGAGTATAAACAACTGTACTCACCTAAATGGAATGATAACTACTAATAAATGTTTTTATAAAAAGACATTCTGGCCAGTCATGGTGGCTCATCCCTGTAATCCCAGCATTTTGGGAGCCTGAGGCGGGAGGATCACTTGAACCCAGGAGTTCAAGACCAGCCTGGACAACGTGGTGAGACCCCGTCTCTGGAAAAAATACAAAGATTAGCCTCCAGTCCCAGCTACTGGAGGGTGCAGGGCCGGGGGTGGGGGCTGAGTTGGGAGGATCGCTTGAACCCAGGAGGTCAAGGTTGCAGTGATTGCGCCGCTGCACTTCAGCCTGGTGACAGAGCAAGACCCTGTCTCAAAAAATGAAAAATAAAAAGACCTTCTGATGTTTTCAGACACTGTGACCCATCAATCTGTGAAAGGAAGATAAATCTCAGGACCCCAAAATCACTAAGCCAAGGGAAAAGTCAAGCTGGGAATTGCATCAGGCAGAACTGCCTCCCATTTTATTGCTAAATGAGATAGCTACAAAGATAAAAGAGCTACATACCTCCCTCACAATTTGTCCACAAGGAAATTCCTTGCGGGCCTCAAAATCTTTATCCTAAAATAGTTCTGTTGAATTTCACCCTGGCAATGTAAACCGTTAGCTTATTTTCACAGGTACAGGACAGAAAGTCATCCCTCTGCTGACTTGAGACAAATGCTTATCTTATTGCTTCCTCTGCCCTATTGTTAATGTAAAAATGCAGATTCACTAAGCCAGAATAAATTGTGTATTCAGTGAAAGGCTGATCAAGGACTGAAAAGAATACAACCTTTTTTGTCTTATCTACCTATGACCTGGAAGCGCTCCCCCACTTCGATTTGTCCCTCTTCACCAGACAGAACCAATGTACATCTTGCACATATTGATTGATGTCTCGTGGCTCCCTAAAATGTGTAAAAGGCTATACCCCGACCACCTTGGGACCACCTTGTCCTCAGGACCTCTGGAGGCTGTGTCATGGGTGTGTCCTTAACCTTGGCAAAATAAACTTTCTTTTTTTTTTTTTTTTTTTTGAGACAGAGTCTTGCTCTGTCGCCCAGGCTGGAGTGCAGTGGCGCAATCTCAGCTCACTGCAACCTCCACCTCCTGGGTTCACGCCATTCTCCTGCCTCAGCCTCCCAAGTAGCTGGGACTACAGGCGCCCACCACCACACCCAGCTTATCTTTTGTATTTTTAGTAGAGACGGGGTTTCACCATGTTAGCCAAGGTGGTCTCGATCTCCTGACCTCATGATCCACCCGCCTTGGCCTCCCAAAGTGCTGGGATTACAGGCGTGAGCCACCGCACCCGGCCAGCAAAATAAACGTCCTAAATTGGTTGAGGCCTGTCTCAGATACTTTGGGTTTACAAATCTAAATCATTCTGCATGTCATCAACTGATAGTTTTCACTGTCCTCTCACACAAGCCTCAGGGCCCTTGCTGTATGCTACAGACCCCATTAGGGTCTTCTGGAAGAAACATCCTAGAAAGATAACCTTAGGAACGTAGAGGAAAGAATGAAACAAAGGACCGGAGACTCAGAATTCCTAGGATCATTTCAGTTCCGCAGTAGGTGACCTCATGACGTCAGGCTACTGACGCAAAACCACTAGAATGAAAATTAATTCCACGAGACTCAGACTGTTGAGCACATTTACTTGAACTGTATTCACCATTATTACTTGGCTACCAGTATGTAAAAGACTTTTGATGAGAATGGTGGTATTAACAAATGTGATTTTTTTGACATTGTATGATGAATTATCTCAATAATCTTTATAACTTAGTGACCCAGTATTTTCCAAATAACCAATGCATGATGTTACAAAATTTTGTATAGTAAAAAAAAAAAAAACAACGTGCAAGATAGAACAATGGATTTTAATGAACAAAAAAATATGAAAACTTAGCTGGGTGTGGTGGCTCACACCTGTAATCCCAGCAGTTTGGGAGGCCAAGGTGGGTGGATCATGAGGTCAGGAGTTTGAGACCAGCCTGGCCAATATGGTGAAACCGTCTCTACTAAGAAAAATTTAAAGATTAGCTGGGTGTGGTGACGTGCACCTGTAATCCCAGCTACTCAGGAGGCTGAAGCAGGAGAATCACTTGAACCCAGGAGGCGGAGGTTGCAGTGAGCCAAGATCACGCCACTGGACTCCAGCCTGGGTGACAGAGGAGACTCCGTCTCAAAAAAAAAAAAAAAAAAAGAAAACTTTATGAATTCGAAATTTGGTTTCAGATTCCATATTGCAACTAGTCCTTAAGGAAATACCACTTGTTGGCCAGGTGCAGGAGCTCATGCCTGTAATCCTAGCACTTTGGGAGTCCGAGGTGGGTGGATTGCTTGAGGCCAAGAGTTCGAGACCAGAGTGGGCAACAAAGTGAGAGCACTGTTGCTAAAAAAAATAAAACAATTAGGCCAGGGGAGGTGGCTTATGCCTGTAATCCTAGTACTATGAAAGGCCAAGGCAGGCAGATCTCTTGAGCCTAGGAGTTTGAGGCCAGCCTGGGCAACACGACAAAAGCCGGTCTCATACAAAAATTAGCTGGGTGTAGTGGTGCACACCAGTATTCCCAGTTATTAATACTTGGGGGGTGCTGAGGCAGGAGGATTGCTTGAGCCTAGGAGGCAGAGTTTGCAGTGAGCCAAGATCAGCCATTGCACTTCAGCCTGGGCAAAAGAGACCCTGTCTCGAAAAAAAAAAAATTAGTTGGGTGTGGTGGTGTATACCTGGAGTCTTTGCTACTTGGAGGCTAAGGCAGGCAGAACACGTGAGTCCAGGAGATGGAGGCTACAGCGAACCATGATCATACAACTGCACTCCAGCCTGGAAGATAGAGTGAGACCTTTGTTAAAAATAAATAAAATGAAATAAACTACCACTTGTTGAGTTTTACATAAAAAAAAATCCACAATTATCTGAAAAGGCTATTAAAATTCTCCATTTTCCAACTACATATCTATGTAGGGCCAAACTTTCTTCGTATAATTCAACTAAAACATCATATAGGAACAGATTGAATATAGAAGCCAAAATTAGATTCATATTGTCTTTTATAAGTCAGACATTAAAGTAAAAGCAAAAACTGTAAAACAATGTCTCTCTTATTTCTCTTTATTTTAAACAAAAATTTGGCGGGGCACAGTGGCTCATGCCTGTAATCCCAGCATTTTGAGAGGCCGAGGGAGGCAGATCATCTGAGGCTGGGAGTTCAAGAGCAGCCTGGCCAACATGGCAAAACCCTGTCTCTACTAAAAAACTAGCCAGGCATGGTGGCATGCACCTGTAATTCCAGCTACTCGGGAGGCTGAGGCAGCTGAGGCAGGAGAATTGTTTGAACCCAGGAGTCAGAGGTTGCAGTGAGCCGAGATCACACCACGGCACTCCAGCCTGGGTGACAGAGTGAGACTCTGTCTCAAAAAAAGAAAAAAACACCAAAAACGACAAAATTTAAAAATATACATTTGTAGTGGTTTAATTGTTATTATTTCAGATTTCATAAAAATATTAATGAATTAATATTTTAAATTCTCAATTTTAATATCTTTTTGTTTTGTTTTGATTTTTGAGACAGAATCTCACTCTGTCGCCCAGGTTGGAGTGCAGTGGTGCAATCTCAGCTCATTGCAACCTCCGTTTCCCAGATTCAAGTGATTCTCTTGACTCAGCCCCCCAAGTAGTTGTGACTACAGGTGTGTACCACCACACCCAGCCAATTTTTGTACTTTTAGTGGAGATAGGGTTTCACCATGTTGGCCAGGCTAGTCTTGAACCCCCGGCCTCAAGTGATCTGCCCTCCTCGGCCATCCAAAGTGCTGGGATTATAGGCGTGTGCCACTGTGCCCACACAATTTTTTTTTTTTTTTTTGAGACAGAGTCTCTGTCACCCAGGCTGGAGTGCAGTGGTGAGATCTTGGCTCACTGCAACCTCCACTTCCCAGGCTCAAGTGATTCTCCCACTTTAGCCTCCTGAGTAGCTGGTTCTACAGGCGCACGTTACCACATCGGGCTAATTTTTGCATTTCTCGTAGAGACAAGGTTTCACCATGTTGGCCAGGCTGGTCTCGAACTCCTGATCACCTTGACCTCCCAAAGTGCTGGGATTACAGATGTGAGCCACCAGTCCTGGCCTGTGCCTGGACACTTTTAATTTCTAATATGGTAAATATTCTTAGACATAACTCACATAAACAAAGGCTCGTTGGAGTCCTCAATATTTTTAAAATTGTGGTAAAATAGAGAACATAAAATTTACCATTGTAACCATTTCAAAGTGTACAACCCAGTGGCTTTGTTCAACCGTTACCTTTTTTTTTTTTTTTTTTTTTTTTTTTTGATATGAAGTCTTGCTCTGTCACCCAGGCTGGAGTGCCATGGTGTGATCTCGGCTCACTGCAACCTCCGCCTCCTGGGTTCAAGCAATTACTCTGCCTCAATCTCCCAAGTAGCTGGTACTACAGGCGCCCACCACCATGCCCGGCTAATTTTTGTATTTTGAGTAGATACTGGGTTTCACCATGTTGGCCAGGCTGGTCTCAAACTCCTGAACTTGTGATTCACCCGCTCCAGCCTCCCAAAGTGCTGGGATTACAGGCGTGAGCCACTGCATCTGGCCTCAACCGTTACCATTATCTAAGTCCCAGGTCTCTCATTACCCCAAGTAGGAACTTCATACCTAGAAAATAGCCACTCCCACGTCCCTCTGCCGCCCCAGATCTCGGCAACCACTCATCTGCTTTCTGTTTCTATGGGTTATTTCTATTATGGAAATTTCATACAAATGGAAATATAATATGTGACCTTTTGTGTCTCTGGCTTCTTTCACTTAGCATAATGTTTTCAAAGTTCATCCATGTACTATTACTTAATCCTTTCTATGGCCAAATAATATTCCATTGTATGAATATGCCCCATTTTGATTATCCATTCCTCTGATGGACATCTTACGTTGTTTCTACCTTAAAAAAAATTTTTTTTAGGCTGAGGATGGTGCCTCAAGTTTGTATTCCTGGAATTTGGGAGACTAAGACAGGAGGATCTCTTGAGCCCCAGAGTTTGAGACCACCCTGGACAACATGGCAACACCTTGTCTCCACAAAAATTTTTAAAAGACAGGGCATGGTGGCTCATGCCTCTAATCCCAGCAATTTGGGAGGCCGAGGCAGGTGGATCACCTGAGGTCGGGAGACCAGCCTAGCCAACATGGCGAAACCCTGTCTCTACTAAAAATACAAAAATTAGCTGGGTGTGGTGGCGGGCACCTGTAATCCCAGCTACTCAGCAGGCTGAGGCAGGAGAATTATATTTCCATTTGTATGAAATTTCCATAACAGGCATAACCCAGAGAAACAGAAAGCAGATTAGCGGTTGCCCAGATCTGGGGTGGGAGAGGGACATGGGAATGGCTACTTAGTAGGTATGAAGTTTCTACTTGGGGTAATGAAAGAGCCCTGGGACTTAGATAATGGTAATGGTTGAGGCCAGGCGCGGTGGCTCATGCCTGTAATCCCAGCACTTTGGGAGGCTGAGGCGGGCGAATCGTGAGGTCAGGAGTTCGAGACCAGCCTGGCCAATATGGTGAAACCCTGTCTCCGTCTCTACCAAAAATACAATTCTCCTGCCTCAGACTCCTGAGTAGGCGGAGGCAGGGTTGCAGTGAGCCGAGATTGCGCCATTGCACTCCAGCCTGGGAAACAACCGTAAAACTCCATCTCAAAAAAAAAAAACAGAAAGAAATTGAAAAATTAGCTGTGCATGGTGATGCATGCTTGTAGTCCCAGCTACTCAGGACGCTATTAAGCAAGAGGATCACTTGAACCCAGGAGTTCCAGGCTGCTGTGTGTTCACACCACTGCACTCCAGCCTGGGCGACAGACAGATCCTATGCCAAAAAAACCCCTTTTTTCTTTCTTTTCTTTTCTTTTTTTTTTTTTGAGACAAAGTATCGCTCTATTGCCCAGGCTGGGATACAGTGGCTCAATCTCAGCTCACTGCAACCTCCGCTTCCTGGGTTCAAGTGATTCTCCTGACTCAGCCTCTCGAATAGCTGGGATTACAGGCGCGTACCACCATGCCCTGCTAATTTTTTGTAATTTTAGTAAATACGGGGTTTCACCATGCTGGCCAGGCTGGTCTCAAACTCCTGACCTCGTGATCCGCCCACCTTGGCCTCCCAAAGGCCTGCTGGGATTACAGGTGTAAGCCACCGTGCCTGGCCAAAAAACCATTTTGTTTAGAGACAGAGTCTTGCTATGTTGCCCAGGCTGAGTGCAGTGGCTATTCACAGGCATGATCATACCATACCACACAGCCTGAAACTACTGGGCTCAAGCGATCCTCCCTCCTCAAACTCCTGAGTAGCTGGGACTACAGGCGCACCACTGCTCTTGGTTTTGTTTCCACCTTTGGCTAGTGTGAATAGGGCTGCTATAAACATTTTTGTGTGGCCGGGTGCGGTGGCTCACGCCTATAATCCCAGCACTTTGGGAGGCCAAGGCAGGTGGATCACCTGAGGTCTGGAGTTCGAGACCAGCCTGGCCAACATGGTGAAACCCCATTTCTACTAAAAGTACAAAACTTAGCTGGGCGTGGTGGTGGGTGCCTGTAATCCCAGCTACTTGGGAGGCTGAGGCAGGAGAATCTCTTGAACCCAGGGGGCGGAGATTGCAGCGAGCTGAGATCACGCCATTGTACTCTAGCCTGGGCAACAAGTGCAAAATTCTGTCTCAAAAAAAAAATTTTTTTTGTGTGCAAGTTTTGACTTGAACACCTGTTATCAATTATTTTGGTTATATACTAGGAGTAAAATTGCTGGTCATATGGCAATCCTATGTTTAACTTATTGAGAAACTGCCAAATTGTTTTCCACAGCAGCTGTACCATTTCATATTCATTTTCCATTCCCCGGCTTACTTTCCTTTTTAAAATAATTATTGCCGGGCGTGGTGGTTCACACCCATAATCCTAGCACTTTTGGAGGCCGAGGTGGGTGGATCACCTGAGGCCAGGAATTAGAGACCAGCCTGACCAATGTGGCGAAATCACATCTCTATTAAAAATACAAAAATTGGGCCAGGCGCGGTGGCTCACACCTGTAATCCCAACACTTTGGGAGACTGAGGCGGGCGGATCACCTGAGGTCGGGAGTTTGGGACCAGTCTGACCAACATGGAGAAACCCCATCTCTACTAAAAAATACAAAAAAATAAGTCAGCTGTGGTGGTGCATGTATGTAATCCAGGCTACTCGGGAGGCTGAGGCAGGAGAATCACTTGAACCCAGGAGACAGAGGTTGCAGAGAGCCGAGATCGCCCACTGCACTCCAGCTTGGGCAACAAGAGTGAAACTCCGTCTCAAAACAAAAACAAAAACAAAAATTAGCCGGGCATGATGGCGGGTGCCTATAATCCCAGCTAATAGGGAGGCTGAGGAATGAGAATCACTTGAACTCGGGAGACAGAGGTTGCAGTGAGCTGAGATCATGCCACTGCACTCCAGCCTGGGCAATAGAGCGAGACTCCGTCTCAAAATAAATAAAATAATATAATTATTATGGGCTGGGTATGGTAGCTCACACTTGTAATCCCAGCACTTTGGGAGGCCAAGGCTGGTGGATCACTTGAAGTCAGGGTTTGAGACCAGCCTGGCTAACATGGTGAAATCCTGTCTCTACTAAAAATACAAAAATTAGCCGGGCGTGGTGGCAAACGCCTGTAGTCCCAGCTACTTGAGAGGTTGAAGCAGGAGAATCATTTGAACGCAGGAGGTAGAAGTTGCAGTGAGCGGAGATCTGGGCAACACAGTGAGATTCTGTCTCTAAATAAATAAATAAATAAATAAATAATTAGCCAGGCGTTGTGGTGCCTGCTTGTGGTCCCAGTTACTCAGAAGGCTGAGGTGGGAGGATCGCTTGAACCTGGGAGGTCAAGATTACAGTGAACTATGACTTTGCCCCTGAACTCCAGCTTGAGTGACAGAAAGATACTGTCTCAAAAAATATATATATATATTTTTTAATTTTAGCTCACTATGGTCTCAAACTCCTAGGCTCAAGTAATCATCCTGCCTCAGCCTCCCGAGTAGCTGGGATTACAGGCGTGGATTACTCCACGCCCTGCTAATTTTTGTATTTTTTGTAGAAATATAAAAATTCACTGTTTTGGACAGGCTGGTCTTGAACTCCTGACCTCAAGTGATCGCCTGCCTTGGCCTCCCAAAGTGCTGGGATTACAGGCGTGAGCCACCGTGCCCAGCCCCAACTTCATTCTTTTACATGTAGATATCCAATTGTGTTCTCAACAATCTTTGTTTTTAGTATAATTATGTTGTCTTTTTAATTTTTTTTTTTTTTTGAGACGGAGTCTCACTCTGTCGCCCAGGCTGGAGCACAGTGGTGTGATCTCGGTTCATTGCAAGCTCCGCCTCCCGGATTCACGCCATTCTCCTGCCTCAGCCTCCTGAGTAGCTGGGACTACAGGTGCCCGCCAACACGCCCGGTTAATTTTTTGTATTTTTAGTAGAGACGAGGTTTCATCGTGTTAGCCAGGATGGTCTCGATCCCCTGACCTCGTGATCTTCCTGCCTCGGCCTCCCAAAGTGCTGGGATTATAGGCATGAGCCACCGCGCCCGGCCAGAAAAGTTTTTAATTATTTCATTCTCAGCCTACACCCTAAATATATATAATTTTTATTTGTCAATTTAAAAAATAATTAAGGCACAGGGAGCAGTGGCTCACGCCTGTAATCTCAGCACTTTGGGAGGCCGAGGCGGGTGGATCACCTGAGGTCAGGAGTTTGAGACCAGCCTGACCAACATGGCAAAACCCCATCTCTACTAAAAATACAAAAATTAGCTGGGTGTGGTGGCGCATGCCTGTAATCCCAGCTACTTGGGAAGCTGAGTCAAGAGAATGGCTTGAACCCAGGAGGTGGAGGTTGCAGTGAGCTGAGATAGCACCATTGTACTCCAGCCTGGGAGAAAAGAGTGAAACTACGTCTCAAACAAAACAAAACAAAAATAATAATTAAGCCTGGCTGGCGTAGTGGCTCATGCCTGTACCCCAGCATGTTGGGAGGCTGAGGCAGACGGATCACCTGAGGTCAGGAGTTTAAGACCAGTCTGGGTATCATGGGAAAACTGCATCTCTACAAAAAAATACAAAAATTAGTTGGGTGTAGTGGCATGCACCTGTAGTCCCAGCTACTTGGGAGGCTAGGGTGGGAGGATCGCTTGAACCGGGGAGGTTGAGGCTGTGGTGAGCCAAGATTGCACCACCGCACTGCAGCCTGGGTGACAGAGCAAGACCTTGTCTCAAAAAATAGTAATAATAATAATAATAAAATTGCTGCTCTAGGATAATCAATAAAAATAGTAAAAGAACGTATAATTGGGCTGGGTGCAGTGGCTCATGCCTGTAATCCCAGCACTTTGGGAGGTCAAGGTGGGCAGATCACGAGGAGGAGCTCGAGACCAGCCTGGACAATATGGTGAAACCCCATCTCTAATTAAAAAACAAAAACAAAAACAAAAACAAAAACAAAAAATTAGTCAGGCATGTTGGCACGCGCCTGTAATCCCAGTTACTTGGGAGGCTGAGGCAGGAGAATCGATTGAACCTGGGAGGTGGAGGTTGTAGAGAGCCAAGATCGCGCCACTGCACTCCAGCCTGGTGACAGAGCGAGACTCTGTCTCAAAAAAAAAAAAAAAAAAGACTTTAGTTTGCATGGGAAGTGAATGCGTTGCCAGCATGGTACCTACTGACTGTAGTTTCCGTAGCTCTCTCTTATTTTCCTAGCTGGGTGTTTGCATTACACCATGGTACCCAAAGGCAAAGTGGGCCCAGGAAAGAAGAAGCAGATATTTGAAGAGAACAGAGAGACCCTGAATTTCTACCTGTAGATTTTACTGGGGGGCAAGGACATTTTTCTCCTTTATTTCTAAGGGAGGAGACCACCCCTTATATTGTCTTATGCCCAATTTCTGCCTCCACAGAAAGAAAAAGTGAAAACTAAAAGGCAGAAATGGAATCCACAGGCAGATAGCCAAGCACCGCGCCCTGGGCCTGGTAGTTAAAAATCAACCCCTGACCTAACTGCTTGTGTTATCTATAGAGTTCAGACATTGTATGGAAAAGCATCGTGAAAATCCCTGTCCTGTTCGTTCAGTTCTGCTTACTGGTGCATGAAGCCCCCAGTCATGTACCCACTGCTTGCTCAATAAATCACGACCCTCTCACGTGGACCCCCTTAGAGCTGTAATCCCTTAAAAGGGACAGGAATTGCTCACTTGGGGAGCTCGGTTTTTGGAGACGTGAGTCCGTCGATGCTCCCAGCTGAATAAAGCCCTTTCCTTCTACAACTCGGTCTCTGAGGGGTTCTTGTCTGTGGCTCATCCTGGTACATTTCTATTAATACTGCTTGTCTTAATACTCTCTTGTGACCTTAATACTCTCTTGTGACCTTGTGACCTTGATATTCTCTTATGACCTTGGTCTTCTCCTCAACTGCTTCATTTTGGGCCTGGTTGGCCCTGAGCTTTAGTCTTTAGTGGGCTGATCACAAGGTCAGGAGTTCAAGACCAGCTTGGCCAACATAGTGAAATCTTGTCTCTACTAAAAATACAAAAAAAAAATTAGCCAGGCATGGTGGCGGGTGCCTGTAAATCCAGCTACTTGGGAGGCTGAGGCAGGAGAATCGCTTGAACCTGGGAGGCGGAGGTTGCAGCGAACCAAGATCTCTCCACTGCACTCCAGCCTGGTGACAGTGCGAGACTCCATCTCAAAAAAAAAAAAAAAAATACATAAAATAAAATAACACATACGGGGCAGGTGTGGTGGCTCACGCCACCTCAGTCTCCCAGCATGCTGGGATACAGGCATGAGCCACCATGCCTGGCCAGCCTTAATTATTATTTTTGTTTTGTTCTGTTTGAGACGGAGTTTCACTCTTGTATTCCCAGCACTTTGGGAGGCTGAGGCAGTGGGTGGATTACTTGAGGCCAGGAGTTCAAGACCAGCCTGGCCAACATAGCAAAATCCCGTCTCTACTAAAAATATAAAAATTAGCCAGGCTTGGTGGCACATGCCTGAAATCCAAGCTACTAGGGAGGCTGAGGCAGGAGAATGGCTTGAACCTGAGAGGTGGAGGTTGCAGTGAGCTAAGATCATGGCACTGCACTCCAGCCTGGGCCACAGAGCGAGACCCTGTCTCAAAAACTAAATAAATAAATAAAATAAAATAAAAAACACATAGGCCCGGGTGCGGTGGCTCACTCCTGTAATCCCAGCACTTTGGGAGATGGATCCCCTGAGGTCAGAAGTTCGAGACCAGCCTGGCTAACATGGCAAAATATGTTAAAACCATGCCTGGCTAACACGGCAAAACCCCGTCTCTACTAAAAATACAAAAACAAAAATTAGCCGGGGGTGGTGGTGCATGCCTGTAGTCCCAGCTACCCAGGAGGCTGAGGCCGGAGAATCACTTGAACCCGGGAGGCAGAGGTTTCAGTGAGCCGAGATGCTGCCACTGCACTCTAGCCTGGGAGATAGAGACTCTGTTTAAAAAAAAAAAAAAAGGAAGAAGGAAATAATAAATCTAAGAACAGAAACTAGTGAAACAAAAACCAAACATAGCCCAGTATAAATTAACAAAGCAAAAAGTTGGTTTGTTTGAAAGAACTAAGATTAATAAACTTTTTTTTTTTTTGAGACGGAGTCTCACTCTGTCGCCCAGGCTGGAGTGCAGTGGTACAATCTCAGCTCACTGCAAGCTCCGCCTCTCGGGTTCAAGCCATTCTCGTGCCTCAGCCTCCCAAGTAGCTGGGACTACAGGCGCCCGCCACCACGCCCGGCTAATTTTTTGTATTTTTAGTAGAGACGGGGTTTTACCGTATTAGCCAGGAAGGTCTCGATCTCCTGACCTCGTGGTCCGCCCACCTTGGCCTCCCAAAGTGCTGGGATTACAGGTGTGAGCCACTGCGCCCAGCCATAAATATATATATATTTTTTGAGACGGAATCTCACTCTGTAGCTCAGGCTGGAGTGCAGTGGCGCGATATCGGCTCACTGCAAGCTCCACCTCCCGGGTTCACGCCATTCTCCTGCCTCCCCAGCAGCTGGGACTACAGGCGCCCGCCAGCACGCCTGGCTAATTTTTTTGTATTTTTAGTAGAGATGGGGTTTCACCGTGTTAGCCAGGATGGTCTCGATCTCCTGACCTTGTGATCCGCTTGCCTCAGCCTCCCAAAGTGCTGGGATTACAGGAATGAGCCACCACGCCCGGCCTCATAAACATTTTTCAAAGGCACAAAGTGCCAATATCAGGAATGAAAAGGGGCTGGGCATGGTGGCTCATACCTCTAATCTAACACTTTTCGGGGTTGAGGCAGGAGGATCATTTCAGGACAGGAGATTGAGACCAGCCTGGGCAACATAGCAAGACCCTCATCTATAAAAGCAACAAAAAAATTAGGCCAGTGTGGTGATATGTACCTATAGTCCTAACTACTTGAGCCCAGGAGTTCAAGGCTATAGTGAGCTATGATTGTGCCACTGCACTCCAGCTTGGGGGACAGAGTGAGACTCTGTCTCAACCACCACCACCACCACCACCACCGGAAACAAGAAGTAGGAAATATGGGCTGGGTGCGGTGGCTCATGCCTGTAATCCCAGCACTGTGGGAGGCTGAGGTGGGTGGATCATCTGAGGTCAGGAGTTTGAGACCAGCCAGGCCAACAAAGTGAAACCCATCTCTACTAAAAATACAAAAATTAGCCGGGGTTAGTGGCAGTTGCCTGTAATCCCAGCTACTCGGGAGGCTGATGCAGGAGAATCACTTGAACCCAGAAGGGAGAGAGGTTGCAGTGAGCCGAGATCGCACCACTACACTCCAGCCTGGGTGACAAGAGCGAAACTCCATCCCCAGCCCCGCAAAAAAGAAGTAGAACATACGAATCTGAAGAGTCCTATATCTGTTAAAGAAATTGGATCTAAAATTTAAAACCTTTCAGTAAAGAAAACTCCAAGCACTAATGACTTCACCAGAGAATCTCCAAACATCTAAGAAAGGAGTCACATTAATCTTACTCAAATTCTTCCAATTCATTTTGGGAGATCAGCAGAACCTTCATAACAGCAACAGAAAAGAATTACAGGCTAATCTCTCTTATGAACATAAATATAAAAATTCTGAACAAAGTAGTAGTAACTACACATTAGATTCTAACCATATACTATATTATAATATTAATCTAATTCTAATAATATTAGATTCCAACTGCATATAAAGAGCTTACTCATTACAATAAACTTGAATTTATTCTAGGAAAGCAAGATTTGTGTAAGAGTTAAAAATTTATGATTTTTGGCTGGGTATGGTGGCTCACAGCTGTAATCCCAGTACTTTGGGAGGCCAAGGCGGGTGGATCACGAGGTCAGGAGTTCAATCGAGAGCAGCCTGGCCAACATGGTGAAACCCCGTCTCTACTAAAAATACAAAAATTAGCCAGGTGTGGTGGTGAGTGCCTGTAATCCCAGCTACTTGGGAGGTTGAGGCAGGAGAATTGCTTGAACCGAGGAGGTGGAGGTTGCAGTGAGCCAAGATTGTGCCATTGCACTCCAGCTCTGGGTGACAGAGCAAGACTCCATCTCAGAAAAAAAAAAAAAATTATGAGTTTTGATTCTGACATTGATGATTCATCATGATAACAGAATAAATGAGAAAAACACATGGCTCTCTCACTGTCTCAATAGATACAGGAAAAGTGTTTCATAAAATGCTATGCCACCTTTAAAAAAAAAAAAAAAAGCTCCCACCTGGTGCTGTGGCTCATGCCTGTAATCCCAGCACTTTGGGAGGCCAAGTGGGGGTGGATCACTTGAGGGCAGGAGTTCGAGACCAGCCTGGCCAGCATGGTGAAACCCCGTCTCTACTAAAAATACAAAAATTAGCTGGTTGTGGTGGTGGGCACCTGTAATTCCAGCTACTTGAAAGGCTGGGGCAGGAGAATGGCTTGAACCCTGGAGATGGAGTTTGCAGTGAGCCAAGATTGCTCCACTGCCCTCCAGCCTGGGCAACAGAGCAAGACTCCATCTCAAAAACAAAACAAAACAAAACTACAGAGTCTATAGATAAACTATTAACATTAATAAATGCATTTGTAAGATTATGGATACAAGAGTGAATAAAAATTCATTATATTTATTTATTTATTTGAGATGGAGTCTCGCTCTGTCACCCAGGCTGGAGTTCAGTGGCGTGATCTTGGCTCACTGCAATCTCCCCCTCCCGGGTTCAAGCCATTCTGCTTCCCTAGCCTCCTGAGTAGCTGGGACTACAGGCAAGTGCCAGCACGCCTGGCTAATTTTTTGTATTTTTAGTAGAGACAGGGTTTCACTGTGTTAGCCAGGATGGTCTCGATCTTCTGACCTCGTGATCCGCCTGCCTCGGCCTCCCAAAGTGCTGGGATTACAGGCGTGAGCCACCGTGCCCGGCCTATATTTCTTTTTTTTTTTTTTTTTAGTGTACTCATTTCATTAGAAAATTAGGTAAACCTCGGATTAGAAAGCCAAAGCAAAATAATTTTGCATGGTTAGAATGTGGTCAAGAAACCAGCTACAATTTAACTGGATTAGACTTCAACACGGTGTTCCCTAAATAACCTTCATTTAGGAATATTACATTCCTCCAGTATCTGGACAGACAATAAATACACTTCCTTTTTTATTTTATGATTGTGATTATTATTTTTTTTTGAGACAGAGTCTCACTGTGTCCCCCAGGCTGGAGTGCAATGGTGCCATCTCAGCTCACTGCAACTTGTCTCCTGGGTTCAAGTAATTCTTGTGCCTCAGGCTCACGAGTAATTGGAATTATAGGAGTGTGCCACCATGCCTGGCTAATTTTTGTATTTTTAGTAGAGACAGGGTTTTCACCATGTTGGCCAAGCTGGTTTCAAACTCCTGATCTCAGGTGATCCGTCTGCCTCGGCCTCCCAAAGTGCTGGGATTACAGGCATGAGCCACTACGCCTGGCTAATAAATACACTTTTTTCTGTCACTGAGGAGGAAATTTTCCCTCTTGATGGGCCGACACTATTTCGTTTTTGCTGCTCTTTATTTTATTTTATTTTTTTTGAGAGGGAGTCTAGCTCTGTCGCCCAGGCTGGAGTGCAGTGGCGCAATCTCGGCTCACTGCAAGCTCCGCCTCCTGGGTTCACGCCATTCTCCTGCCTCAGCCTCCTGAGTAGCTGGGACTACAGGTGCCCGCCACCATGCCCGGCTAATTTTTTTTTTATTTTTAGTAGAGACGGGGTTTCACCGTCTTAGCCAGGATGGTCTCGATCTCCTGACCTCGAGATTCGCCTGCCTCGGCCTCCCAAAGTGCTGGGATTACAGGTGTGAGCCACCACGCCCAGCCCACTGCTCTTTTCTCTTTTCCTTTACTTGGTTTCCCCCTTCCATGGAGCTTCTTTTATTTATTTATTTTCTTTTTTCTTTACAGAGGCAATCAAGTTACACAGAGCTTCTTTAATTTCCCATTTAAAAAAAAAGTGCAGTTCACTGCCAGCACTCATTTAATTTTACATAAACAGGCTCTTTGAGGCTGAAGCAAATCTGTCTGATTTTCAATATGAAAATAAAATATCGAAACTGTTCTTGGAGTTATTTCTGAACAGAGCTAACATCAGAATTGCCTGAATCATCAGAATCATCTATTTAGGAAAAATCCGATTCATCAAATGAATCTTCAGCCAGCAACTGTTCCAGAATGATGTTAACATCACGTGTAGGAATGCTACATTTTCTAGCATTTGACATTTTCAGTGATCGAGAATTACTATATTTTGTAAATGGAAATACCACTACTAGAAACAGAATGCTATGAATAGAATGATGCCTTTTGTTTCCAAAGATGTGATATACTAGAGCGATGTGAAATAATAATAAAAACGAGATATCTCCTGGCAAAGTTATCTCGAGGTAAACACTGCAACCACAAGCACTGCTGGCAAATATTCCTGGGGCAGACAGGAAAAGTGTTAAACACATTTGTTTATCCTTAATTTTTTTTTTTTTTTTGAGAGATGTGGTCTTTTTGTTGGCCAGATTGGTCTCTCTCTCTTTCTTTTTTTTTTGAGACGGAGTTTTGCTCTTATCACCCAGGCTGGAGTGCTGTGGCGCTATCTTGACTCACTGCCACCTCCGCCTCCCGGGTTCAAGCAATTCTCCTGCCTTAGACTCCCAAGTAGCTGGGATTACAGATTCCTGCCACCACGCCCGGCTAATTTTTATATTTTGAGTAGAGACGGGGATTCACCATGTTGGCCAGGCTGGTCTTGAACTCCTGACTTCAGGTGATCCACCCACCTCGGCCTTCAAAAGTGCTAGGATTACAGGCATGAGCCACCGTGCCTGGCTCATCCTTAAAATCTTGATGCTCATCTCTGTAGAGGCCAAGGCATAAGAATGTCCCCATGAGTACAAAATAAGTATTGTAATCTGGATACCAGTCATAAGTCTTCTTCTTGGCCAAAGGCTGTTCACTAAACAGTTTCACCACTTTCTTTTTTTCTTTTTTTTTTTTAGAAACTGATGTTTATTTATTTTCCATCAACCATTTTTCCATGTTGCTTAAGAGCCCATGCAAGAACAGCTTAAGACCATTCAGTGGTTGCTCCTACCCATTCAGTGGCCTGAGCAGTGGGAGCTGCAGACCAGTCTTCCGTGGCAGGCTGAGCGCTCCAGTCTTCAGTAGGGAACTACTGAATAGACACAGAGGGCACCTGCAGACCTTCAGACCAGTCTGCAACCTCAGGCTGAGTAGCAGTGAACTCAGGAGCTGGAGCAGTCCATTCACCCTGAAATTCCTCCTTGGTCACTGCCTCTTCAGCAGCAGCCTGCTCTTCTTTTTCAATCTCTTCAGGATCTCTGTAGAAGCAGAGATCAGGCATGACCTCCCATGGGTGTTCACGGGAAATGGTGCCACGCATGCGCAGAACTTCCTGAGCCAGCATCCACCACATCCAACCCACTGAGTGAGCTCCCTTATTGTTGCATGGGATGGCAATGTCCACATAGCGCAGAGGAGAATCTGTGTTACACAGCGCAATGGTAGGTAAGTTAACATAAGATACCTCCGTGAGAGGCTGGTGGTCAGCCCTGGGGTCAGTAACCACAGGAAGCTGTGGCTCCCGGAAGGCTGCCTGGATCCGGTTAGTGAAGGTTCCAGGAGTGAAGTGGCCAGCAATTGGAGTGGCTCCAGTGGCAGCAGCAAACTTCAGCATGGCCCTCTGGCCAGTATTCCTGGAGGATATAACACTGACATCAGCAGGGTTTTCAATGGCAACAATGGCACGAGCTGCCAGCAGAAGCTTCTCCCAGGTCCTCTTCAGATTTATGATGTAGATGCCATCACTTTTCCTTTTATAGATGTACTGTTCCATCTGGAAGTCAAGATTAGTGCCACCTAAGTGGGTTCCTGCTGCAAGGAACTTAAGGACATCCTCCTCCTTCATTTGCAGGACATCAAGGGCTCTGGACATTGTGAAAATTTCCCTTTAAGTTACAACGGGAATCCAGAACAACACGGTATGGACCCCTCTGTAGGCCGCGCAGAAAAAGCAGTTTCACCACTTTCATAGACTAGGAATCAGCAGGCCAGGCAACTTCACCAAATAGCCAGGCATTCAGAAGAGCACGTGTGCAAGGCACATTCTGAAAGAGAAGACATCTCTTTTTTTTTAAATTTCTTTTTTTAATTAAAAAGTAAACTTTAATGTCAAAAATGCAAACTTGGGGAAGACAGAAAAGATCACACACAAGGCTGTCACTTCACACTTGGAAGGTTGCACAGAGGCCGGGCAGAGGCGCTCCTCACTTCCCAGACGGTGGGGCGGCCGGGCAGTGGTGCTCTTCACTTGCCAGATGGGGCAGAAGCCTGGCAGAGGCGCTCCTCACTTCCCGGACGGTTGGCGGCCAAGCGGAGGCGCTCCTCACTTCCCAGATGGGGCAGCAGCCAGGCAAAGGCGCTCCTCACTTCCCAGACGGTTGGCAGCCGAGCAGAGGCGCTCCTCACTTCCTGGACGGTTGGCAGCCAGGCAGAGGCCCTCCTTACTTCCCAGACAGTTGGCAGCTGGGCAGAGATGCTCCTTACTTCCCAGATGGTTGGCGGCTGGGCAGAGGCGCTCCTCACTTCTCAGACGGTTGGCGGCCAGGCAAAGGCACTCCTCACTTCCCCGGATGGGAGGGCAGCCAGGCAAAGGCACTCCTCACTTCCCAGATGGTTGGCGGCCAGGCAGAGGCACTCCTCACTTCCCAGACAGTTGGCGGCCAAGCAGAGGCGCTCCTCACTTCCCAGATGGGGCAGGAGCCAGGCAAAGGCGATCCTCACTTCCCAGACAGTTGGCGGCCAAGCAGAGGCGCTCCTCACTTCCCAGATGGGGCAGGAGCCAGGCAAAGGCGATCCTCACTTCCCAGACAGTTGGCGGCTGGGCAGAGGCGTTCCTTACTTCCCGGACTGTGGGGAGCTGGGCAGAGGTGCTCCTCACTTCCCAGATGGGGCGGCAGCCAGGCAGAGGCACTCCTCACATCCCAGACAGTGGGGCGGCCGGGCAGAGGCCCTCATCACTTCCCAGATAGTTGGCGGCCAGGCAGAGGCACTCCTCACTAAGGGAAGACATTTCTTAAGCAGCAAGGTGCCAGAGTCCCTGGACCTGACCTTGTTCACCCATGCCAATTAATTGTATTCCCTTTTTTTTTCTTTTGACACAGAGTTTTGCTCTATCACCCAGGCTAAAGTGCACTGGCACAATCTTGGCTCACTGTAACCTCAGCCTCCTGAGCTCAAGCTATCCTCCCCACCTCAGCCTCCCAAGCAACTGGGACTATAGGCAGGTGCCACCAGTCCTGGCTAATTTTTTTATTTTTTGTAGAGATGGGGTTTCCCCGTGTTGCCCAGGCTGATCTCAAACTCCTGGACTCAAGTAATCTACCCACCTTGGCCTCCCAAAGAGCTAGGATTATAGATGTGAACCACTGAGACTAGCCAATTATTTCTGTTTCTATATACTATAAACAATTAGATGTTCTTTTGAATAAATAGTGCTGGAGTTGTTGGATATATATGGAAAAAATAAATATTGACCCCTACCTCACATCATGTACCAAGAAAAATTGATTCAAAACAAATCATAGGCCAAAATGGTCAAGGTAAAACAATATATCTCCTAGAAGAAAACAAGTCTATTTTTATGACCTTGAAGTAGAGAAAGATTTAAAGAAGACACAAAAGTATTAACCATAAAATTAAAATATCAACAGAAAGAAATTTTATTAAAATGAAGAACTTCTGTTTCCTTTTTTTAAAATGTATTTTTATATATCTATTTTTTACTGCTCCTTGTAGAGTAGGGCTAACTCATAGGCAGTGCACCCAGTCAGCCAAGAAGTGATGTATGTTTCTTTCTTTCTTTCTTTCTTTCTTTCTTTCTTTCTTTCTTTCTTTCTCTTTCTTTCTTTCTTTCTTTCTTTCTCTCTCTCTCTCTCTCTCTCTCCCTCCCTCCCTCCCTCCCTCTCTCTCTCTCTCTCTCTCTCTTTCTTTTTGAGATGCAATCTCACTCTGTCACCCAGGCTGAAGTGCAGTGGCGCAATCTCGGCTCACTGCAACCTCTGCCTCCTGGGTTCAAGTGATTCTCCTGCCTCAGCCTCCCAAGTCACTGGGACCACTGCTGCGTGCCACCACACCTAGCTAAATTTTTGTATTTTTAGTAGAGACGGGGTTTCACCACGTTAGCCAGGCTGGACTTGATCTCCTGACCTCATGATCCGCCCGCCTCGGCCTCCCAAAGTGCTGGGATTACAGGCGTGAGCCACCATGCCAGCCCCAGAACTGCTGTTTCTTGTTTTTCTTTTCTTTTTTTTTTTTGAGACGAGTCTTGCTCTGTCGCCCAGGCTGGAGTGCAGTGGCACGATCTCAGCTCACTAAAAGCTCCGCCTCCCAGGTTCACGCCATTCTCCTGCCTCAGCCTCCTGAGTAGCTGGGAATACAGGCACCCACCACCATGCCTGGCTAGATTTTTTTGTATTTTTAGTAGAGATGGGGTTTCACCGTGTTAGCCAGAATGGTCTTGATCTCCTGAACTCGTGATCCACCCACCTTGGCCTCCCAAAGTGCTGGGATTATAGGTGTGAGCCACCGTGCCTGGCCACTGCTGTTTCTTAAAAGTCATCAATGGCCGAGCACGGTGGCCCACGCCTGTAATCCCAGCACTTTGGGAGGCCAAGGCGGGCGGATCACCTGAGGTCAGGAGTTCGAGATCAGTCTGACCAACGTGGAGAAACCTCGTCACTACTAAAAATACAAAATTAGCAGGCCATGGTGGTGCATGCCTGTAATCCCAGCTATTCAGGAGGCTGAGGCAGAAGAATCGCCTGAACCTGGGAGGCAGAGGTTGCAGTGAGCTGAGATCGCGCCACTGCACTCCAGCCTGGGCAACAAGAGCTAAACTCTGTTTCAAAAAGAAAAAAAAAAAGTCATCACTGAGTGAAGATGCAGCTTCACTGGCAGAAGATATTTGAATTACACATACCCAAACAATTTACATTGGAATATATAAATAACTACAAATAAATAAATAAAAGACAAGTAATCCATCTAAAAAATGGGCATAATATTTTAATGGGCATTTCAAAAAAAGATGATATCCAAAGGGACAATAAATATGAAATGTATTTAACCACAGGGAAATGTCATTAAAACCACAAGTAGACACTACTACATAACTAGAAGAACTAAAATAGAATGGCAATACCAAGTGTTGACAAGAATGTGAAGCAACTATGACTTTTATATTTTGCTGGTGGGATTGTAAATTGGTTCATGCACTTTTTAAAAACTTGTTTTAAATATATTTTTAAAGCCGGTCAAATTTAGCAGTGTTTTTGTTTTTTTAAGAGACAGGGTCTCATTATGTTGTCCAGGCTGGTCTCGAACTCCTGGGCTCAAGCCATCCTCCCCCCTTGTACTCCCAAAGTGCTAGGATTACAGACGTGATCACTGACCATGCCTGGTGGGTTCATACACTTTGGAAAACAGTTTGGCAGCATCTACCACTGTATTAGCTAACTACTAAATCTAAAAGTATGCCCACCCTATGACCAGAAAATTCACTTCTTAGGTGAGAGAAGGACGTGCATATGTCCATCAAAAGACAAGTTCAAGATTGTTTACAGCAACATTACTCACAGCAGCCAAAATGTCAAAATAGCTCAAGAGTATCACCTGGAGAATAAACACATTTTATATTCATATAATGAGGTAATATATGGCAATAGAAAGAATGAGCAATAGATAACCCAACAGCATGAATTAATCTCACATTCATTCTGCTGAACAAAATAAGCCAGACACAAAAGGTAACTGTGTGTGACTTCATTTATGCTAGAATCAAGAGAGGCAAAACAAATCCATGGTTAACCTTTGAGGGGGTGGAAGGGTGGGGGTAGGGAGGAACAATCTGTGATGTCTTTATTAGATACGGAAATGTTCTATATCTTGCCAGGCTCAGTGGCTCACACCTGTAATCCCAGCACTTTGGGAAGCCAAGGTGGGCGGATCACCTGAGGTCAGGAGTTAAAGACCAGCCTGACCAACATGGAGAAACCCTGTCTCTACTAAAAATACAAAAATTAGCTGTTCGTGGTGGCACATGCCTGTAATCCCAGCTATTCCGGAGGCTGAGGCAAGAGAATCGCCTGAACCCAGGAGGTGGAAGTTGCGGTGAGCCAAGATTGTGCCATTGCACTCGAGCCTGGGCAACAAGAGTGAAACTCCGTCTGAAAAAAAAAAAAAAAAAAGTTCTATATCTTAATCTGGGTGGTGCTTTCCTGGATGTATTCCTATGCAAAGCTTTATTGAACTATGCACTTCACATTAATGCACTTCACAGCTACGTATAATATATTTTAATAAAAAGGTATATAAAAATACTATTTGGCTGGGTGCCGTGGCTCATGCCTGTAATCCCAGCTCTTTGGGAGGGCAAGGCAGGTGGATCACCTGAGGTCAGGAGTTCAAGACCAGCCTGATAAACATGGTGAAACCCCGTCTCTACTAAAATACAAAAATTAGTCAGGCGTGGTGGTGCACGCTTGTAATCCCAGCTACTCGGGAGTCTGAGGCAGTAGAATCGCTTGAATTTGGGAGATGGAGATTGCAGTGAGTCAAGATGGCACCACTGCACTCCAGCCTGGGTTACAGAGCAAGACTCCATCTCAAAAACAAACAAACAAACAAACAAACATCCCTTTGTGTCCTGTCTCAGACACTATTCCCCATCTCCCCAAAGGTAGCCTGTATCCTGATCCCCAACACTATAGATCATTTTTGCACCTTATATAAATGGAATCATGTAGTATGTACTATTTTGTAACGTGTGCCCGTGTGTCTTTTATGTTCATGAAATTTACCATCACATGCTGTACAAAAATAGGTAGTAGGCCAGATGTGACCTGAGGGCAATGGTTTTCTTTTCCTTTTTCTTTCTTTTTTTTTTTTTTTTTGGAGACAGAGTCTTGCTCTGTCATCCAGGCTGGAGTACAATGGCGTGATCTCGGCTCACTGCATTCTCTGCCTCCCAGGTTCAAGCGATTCTCATGACTCAGCCTCCCGAGTTGCTAGGAATACAGGCGTGAGCTACTACACCTGGATAATTTTTGTATTTTTAGTAGAGATGGGGTTTCACAATGTTGGCCAGGTTGGTCTCGAACTCCTGACCTCAGATGATCTGCCCGCCTCGGCCTCCCAAAGTGCTGGGATTACAGAAGTGAGCCACTGCACCTGGCCCTTTTTTAAGACAAAGTCTCCCTCTATCGCCCAGACTGGAGTGCAGTGGCACTGTGGCTCATGCCTGTAATTCCAGCACTTTTGGAGGCCGAGGTAGGCAGATCACTTGAGGTCAGGAGTTCAAGACCAGCCTGGGCAACATGGTGAAACTCCATCTCTACTAAAAATACAAAAATTAGCTGGGCATGGTGGTGCACGCCTGTAATCCCAGCTACTGGGGAGGCTGAGGCAGGAGAATCGCTTGAAACCGAGAGGCAGAGGTTGCAGCGAGCCGAGATCATGCCACTGCATTCCAGCCCAGGTGACAGAGACCCTGTCTCAAAACAAACAAACAAACAAACGAACCAACCAACCTCCAAATGACGATGCTTGAGCTTTAGCTCAGCTATCTCCAGTTGTCTTTGGGTAATGGGGGTGTCAAGTGGCAATGTTCCAAGTCTGGCTTATCTTGGGGGAACTAAATGGCTGTTATCATTCCCAGGCCTCACATCTACACTCTGCCTGATTCAGAGCAAGGGAGGGGGGTGTCTCCTGTGCCATCCACTGCTCTATCCTCAATCGAACCAAGCCCTTTGACCAGGGAAGTGCTGTGCCCTGTTTGTGCATGCTTGTAGGTACAGGGAAGAGACAGGTGGAGGGAGATCCCCTGACTAGCTTACATCAACCTGGCTCATCTCTGGAATTTGGGATGGAGTTAAACCCAACAACCCCTGGGCCTGCTCCAATGAAGACAGGGAGTGTTTATCAATGAGCAGTGACAATTACTACCTCTCCTGAGAGCAGATGAGTAGGTTTCAGGCATGGGGTTTCTCTAAGTCAGCAAAAAGCACCCGATCCCTAATGACAGAGGAGCAGTGTGTGTTAAATGTGTGTGTGCACATGTGTGAATAATTCAGGGCCCTCTAACCATGAGGCCCGGGACAAGAGCCACACTTGCCCACATGAAGTCAATGCTCTTGTCTGCAAGAACATTGTTTATTGTGGCTGGAGCCCAGATAACAAGGAGAAAGTGGCAAGAGATGAGGCAGGAGAGAAAAGCAGGGTGACTTCTGGAGAACCCTTTTCTCGGTGAAGGGATTTCAGCCTTATTCTGGGAATAAGCCAGAGCCCTGAGGGGTTTTAAGTGGAGGAGAGCCAGCCCCACCCCAACTCAGTGGCTTTAGGGGTCATTCTTCCCATGCTACCATTTCCCATGGTTCAAAGATTAACAATAGGGCTAACTTCCAATTTATTCAATTCTCAGGTTATTTATTCAATAATCTAGTGTTCTTCCTCTCTACTTCCTCCTCTTCAGTACCTTGTTGTGGGTGGAGCTCCAGGAAGAGGATGGGGCGTGGTGCCTAGAGGCGGAAGTGTGTATCTTGATTGTTTAACCTGGGAACCCTGAGGGCAGAGGGCGTAGGGGTTGGGAGAGGAAAGGAAGGCGCTAGGAAGACACTGGAAAGACCCCATAAGCGTAGCAGCTCCTAAACCACAGCTAAGCATGTCTGGAGGAGAAGCCTGAATCCGAAAGCAATGAGGAAATGATTAGTGGTTTCATAGTAGGTTGTCTGTAGCTGCAGACACACAGGCGTTTTTGTACACAGGTAAATACAGGCCTGTTCTGTTATTGACCACACGTTTGTATGAAGCTCCAAACTCATGTGTCCTCCTGTTCTCCTGTTTTTTTTTTTTTTTTTGAGACGGAGTTTCGCTCTTGTTGTCCAGGCTAGAGTGCAATGGCACGATCTCGGCTCACGGCAAACTCCACCTCCCAGGTTCAAGCGATTCTCCTGCCTCAGCCTCCTGAGTAGGTGGGATTACAGGCACGCGCCACCATGCCTGGGTAATTTTTGTATTTTTAGTAGAGACGAGGCTTCACTATGTTGACCAGGCTGGTCTCAAACTCCTGACCTTAGGTGATCCACCTACCTCAGCCTCCCAAAGTGCTGGAATTACAGGTGTGAGCAACTGTGCCTGGCCTCTCTGAAGTATTATTTGATATTTTTCTTTTGAAGTTTTCTTCTTCCTGTGTAGAAACTATTTCTGCAAATTGCTTTTCAGTCTGCTTTTTGCTCATTTGTTTTTATCTTCCATGTCTGAGGTTTTTTTCAGCTGTCTGGTGATCTTTGACTGATTATTTATAAGACAGGCAAATATCAGTTAAGTCCTTACAGTAAACATATGGTTTACTCAAGTTAGGATTATTTTAGGAGGATTTCTTTACAAAATGGCCATTTACAAAGACAGAGTATAGGAGAGCTATAACCTTTGGTTGAGAGACACAGGCAGCCTAAGAGAGGAACCCTCTAAGAGAAGAACCAGAGGAACAGATATCTTGATCTCACGCTCCTCCTCCCTCTGGTCTTCCGGGTTCTGCGTTGTCTAGACCAACTGCTAGTCAGAGGGTGTGGGGTATTGCTCATGTGGTCTCTTCCTGGAATACCCCCAGTGCAGAGGGCCAGGCAGCGTGGGTGGGGAGTAGCAAAGAGAAAGCTCTGACATGGGAACGAAGGCGCTGATTGGAAGCTCACATGGTGGGCATCTGGACGGGACTGTTTGCTGGGGGAGTCCCCACATGTCTGGATCTTTAGGTCTTTCGTCTGGGGCCAGTCAGGTTACCCAGAGAAGAATCTCCTTCTAGGAGGGAACAGGCCAGCCTGCCAGTGTTCTGGCCCCCGAAAGGAGGCAGAGGGCTGTGGGTCTTAGCCTGGGGCATTTGGCATACGCAGTCCCTTAGTTCCCGAGTTTACAAGCCATAGCCATGCTGTCAAATGTGCCTGGTATCACCCAGTTCAGAGACTCTCTGTTTTATCCTGTACAGAGAACAAGCTTGCAGATTTCTGTGGGAGGGAGGGAGGGGTAGTTACTCAGTAATGAAGGGTGCTTCTCAAACAGCTTTCAACCAGTCCTCCTTGTTTGCACACTCACACACTCAGAGACACACAAACTCAGTTCCAGAGGTACTTGGAGCTGCCAGTTCATGAGCGTTTTGAGGATTTTATGAATAGATGGGTTGCTTCTCAGTTTTCTCTGCTGGTCATTTAGGATTTGGCCTTTTTTGTTTTTTTTTTTTGTTTGTTTTTTTGGTTTTTTTTGAGACAATAGTCTCGCTCTGTCGCCCAGGCTGGAGTGCAGTGGCATGATCTTGGCTCACTACAACCTCCACCTCCCGGGTTCAAGAGATTTTCCTGCCTCAGCCTCCCGAGTAGCTGCAGCTAGAGGCATGCACCACCCCACCCAGCTAATTTTTGTATTTTTAGTAGCGAGGGAGTTTCACCATGTTGGCCAGGCTGGTCTTGAACTCCTGACTTCAAATGATTCACCGCCTCAGCCTCCTAGAGTGCTGGGATTATAGGCGTGAGCCACTGTGCCTGGCCAGGATTTGGGTATTTCAAGTTGGCTACATCAGTTGTCACCTAAACCCAGAGGGTTTTTTGGTTCCTGGGGTACATCTGGAATTTTCAAATCTTCTTTGGCTGAAACACAGTATATTTGAGAGAGGACTCAGAAGAAAGAGGAAGAAAAGGCATCATGGGGCCAGACTGGTAAGTGTTTGAGTAGATTGTACTTTTTTCTTTTTTTGAGACGGAGTTTTGCTCTTGTTGCCCAGGATGGAGTGCAATGGTGCAATCTTGGCTCACCGTAACCTCCGCCTCCCAGGTTCAAGCGATACTCCTGCCTCAGCCTCCTGAGTAGCTGGGATTACAGGTATGTGCCACCACGCCGGGCTAATTTTGTATTTTTAGTAGAGACGGGGTTTCACCATGTTGGTCAGGCTGGTCTTGAACTCCAGACCTCAGGTGATCTGCCCGCCTCGGCTTCCCAAAGTGCTGGGATTACAGGCGTGAGCCCCCGCACCTGGCTGAGTAGATTGTACTTAACTCTAGAGACCATGGGCTTAGGGGTGGGAAATAGCAACTGAGGTCTAGGTACATGGGTCCTTTGAGAAGTTTATTCTCTATTAGGTCCCAATTTTCTTTTTTCTTTTTTTTTTGAGACAGAGCCTCGCTCTGTCGCCCAGGCTGGAGTGCAGTGGCACAATCTTGGCCAAACCCGTCTGAGTCCCAATTTTTATTGCTTCCTATATGATGCCTCAATAGGGTGTGTGGAAACAGTAAACTATAAAGTGCTGTACTAATGTAATGCTTTATTTTTTGAATGCAGCCAGAATTTTCCTGTGTCTTTGCTCATACTGTTGCTTCTGCTTGGAGTTTTCTCTATCTTCTCCCTCACCTCTCCAATCCATCCATCTCTACTTATAGAAATGATATCTTTGGCCGGGTGTGGTGGCTCATGCCTGTAATCCCAGCACTTTGGGAGGCTGAGGCGGGTGGATCACAAGGTCAGGAGTTCAAGACCAGCCTGGCCAAGATGGTGAAACCCCGTCTCTACTTAAAATACAAAAACTTAGCTGGGCGTGGTGGCGCCTGTAATCCCAGCTACTTGGGAGGCTGAGGCAGAGAATTGCTTGAACCTGGGAGGATGGAGGTTGCCGTGAGCCGAGATCACGCCACTGGACTCCAGCCTGGGCGACAGAGTGAGACTCCATCTAAACAAACAAAAAAAAGAAATGATACCTTTAAGGCCCAGCTGAAGGTCAACTCTACTATGAGTCTGCTGCCCTCAAACTAAATGAGAACTTTCAAACTTTAATGATGGCCATTTTTTTCTCACCTCCATTCCTGCCCACCTGTATTAGTAAAGGTTCTCCAGAGAAATAGAATATATATTTATCTTCTATATATACGTATGAATATACAGAATATATATCTTCTGTATATATAGAATATACATCTTATATATAAATACATATCTATATGTTATAGATACATATCTTCTGTATATATAGAATATATATCTTCTCTCTATATACTATATAAAACATATTATATTAATAGGTAATATTTTATATATATATAAAGGAATTGGTTTGTGCAATTACGGAGGCTTTTTTTACTGGTAAATCCAAAGATCTGTAGGGTGAGTCTGCAAGCTGGAAACCTAGGAGAGCTGATGGTGGAGTTCCAGCCTGAAGGGTGAAAGTCTTGACACTCAGGAAGAGCTGATGTTCAGTTCAAAGGTAGGAAAAAGCCAATGTTCTCTGTTTCAAAGGCAGTCAGGCAGGAAGAATTCTTACTCGGGGAAGAGTCAGACTTTATGCTCTATTCAGGCCTTCAACTGATTGGATGAGAACTATCCACATTAGGGAGGACAATGTGCTTTACTCAGTTTAATTATTTAAAAAAAATTTAAATTATTTATTAATTTATTTATTTGGGACAGGGTCTCACTCTGTTGCCCAGGTTAGAGTGCAATGGCACGATCTCAGCTCACTGTAACCTCCACTTCCTGGGTTCAAGTGATTCTCCTGCCTCAGCCTCCCAAGTAGCTGGGATTACAGGCACCCACCACCACTCCCAGCTAATTTTGTATTTTTAGTAGAAATGTGGTTTCACTGGCCAGGCGTGGTGGCTCACAGCTGTAATCCCAGGACTTTGGGGGGCCAAGGCAGGCAGATCATGAGGTCAGGAGTTCGAGACCAGCCTGACCAACATGGTGAAACCCCATCTCTACTAAAAATACAAAAATTAGCTGGGTGCGGTGGTACACACCTGTAATCCCAGCTACTCAGGAGGCAGAGGCAGGAGAATTGCTTGAACCCGGGAGGCGGAGGTTACAGTGAGCCAGGATCTTGCCATTGCACTCCAGCCTGGGCAACAGAGCGAGACTCCATCTCAAAAAAAAAAAAAAAAAAGAAAGAAATCTTTCACCATGTTGGCCAGGCTGGTGTGGAACTCCTGACTTCAGGTGATCCGCCTGCCTTGGCCTCCCAACGTGCTGGGATTACAGGCATGAACCACTGCGCCCAGCTTTTTTTTCTTATTTTTTTTTTTTTTTTGAGATAGGGACTCTGTCACCCAGGCTGGAGTGCAGTGGCATGATCTCAGCTCACTGCAACCTCCACCTCCCAGGCTCAGGTGATCCTCCCACCTCAGCCTCCTGGGTAGCTGAAACCACAGGCGCATACCACCGTGCCTGGCTAATTGCTGTATTTTTTTGTAGAGATGTGGTTTTGCCATTTTGCCCAGGCTGGTCTCGAGATCTTGAACTCCTGGGCTCAAGGGATCCACCTATCTCAGCCTCCCAAACTGCTGGGATTACAGGTGTAAACCACCACACCTGGCCTAAATGTTAACCTCATCCAAAAACACCCTTACAGGCTGGGTGCGGTGATTTATGCCTGTAATCCCAGCACTTTGGGAGGCAGAGGTGGGTGGATTACTTGAGGTCAGGAGTTTGAGACCAGCCTGGCCAACATGGTGAAACCCCGTCTCTACTAATAATACAAAAATTAGCCAGGCATGGTGGCGAACGCTTGTAATCCCAGCTACTTGGGAGGCTGAGACAGGAGAATGGCTTGAACCCAGGAGGCGGCAGTTGCAGTGAGCCAAGATGGTGCCACTGTACTCCAGCCTGGGTGACGAAGCGAGACCCTGTCTCAAAAAAAAAAAAAAAAAAAAAAGCTACCCTTAAAACATCCTTACAGAAACTCTCATAATAATGTTTGAGGTATGCCATGGCCCACTGAAATTCACACTTTTTTTTTTTTTTTGAGACAAGATCTCACTCTGTCACCCAGGCTGGGGTGCAATGAATTGATCATAGCCTTGAACTCCTGGGCTCAAGCGATTCTCCCACCTCAGCCTTTTGAGTAGGTGTGCCACCACGCCTGGCTAATTTTTTTTTTTTTTTTTTTTTTTTAGACAGAGTCTTGTTCCGTTGCCCAGGCTGGAATGCAGTGACAACACTCTACCTTCTGGGTTCGAGAGATTCTTGTGCCTCAGCCTCCAGAGTAGCTGCGATTACAGGCACGTACCACCACGCCTGGCTAATTGTTTAGTAGAGACAGGTCTCGCTATCTTGCCCAGGCTTGTCATGAACTCTTGGGCTTAAACAACCTTCCCACGTGGGTCTCCCAAAGTGCTGGGATTGCAGTTGTGAGACATCACACCCAGCAATTTAAAATTTTTTGTAGAAATGGGGTCTTGCCACATTGCCCAGCCTTTTCTCAAACTCCTAGCTTCAAGCAATCATCTTGCCTCTGCCTCCCAGAATGCTAGGATTACAGGCATGAATCAACATGCCAGCAACACGTAAAATTAACCATCACACTGCACTTCCTTGCTTTGGTTGTATTGTAAGGAACTGGGAAACTGCAAGCTACTTTCCTCTGACTCTCTTTCCAGCTGACTTCTGGCTAGGTTCTGCAATGGGTGCCCCTGGTGAAAGATTAGAAGGGAAGCTAAAGGAAGAGGTCTTCTTGTTCTCTTCTTTTGGCAGTTCCTCTGACAGTGGCAGCAGCAGGTGGATGTAGGCTCCTAGATTCCTTGCTTCACCAGCACAGTGATTGCGGCCACAGCAGCACAGTGATTGTGGACTCTGGGGCTGGAGGAGGCAGCAACAGTGGTGTGACTTTGGGCTCCTGTAACAACAGCAGGAATGCACTCCTTCCCTGCAAGGTGATATGTGCAGTGATTCCAATGAGAATCATAGCAGCAGTGGAGGCTCCAGCAGCCGTGATGGTGCAGTCATCATGGGCTTTAACACTTTCTGGCTGGGTGTGGTGGCTCACGCCTATAATCCCAGCACTTTGGGAGGCCAAGGAGGGCAGATCACCTGAGGCCAGGAGTTCAAGACCAGCTGGCCAACATGGTGAAACCCTGTCTCTACAAAAATTACAAAAATTAGCCAGGCGTGGTGGCAGGGGCCTGTGGTCCCAGCTGCTCGGGAGTCTGAGGCAGGAGAATCGCATGAACCCAGGAGGCGGAGTCTGCAGTGAGCCGAGATCGTGTCACTGCACTCCAGCCTGGGCGACAGAGCAAGACTCTGTCTCAAAAAAATAAATAAATAAAAATAAAAAAAATACAAAAAAAATACAAAAAAATTAGCTGGGCGTGGTGGCACGCGCCTGTAATCCTAGCTATTCGGGAAGCTGAGGCAGGAGAATTGCTTGAACCTGGGAGGCAGAGGTTGCAGTGAGCTGAGATCGCACCACTGCACTCCAGCCTGGGCAACAGAGCAAGACCCCATCTCAAAAAAAAAAAAAAAAGAAAGAAAGAAAGAGAGAAAATTAGACTTGTCTGGGTTCTTTAAATTTTTTTTATTTTTATTTTTATTATTTATTTATTTATTTATGTTGAGACGGAGTTTCGCTTTTGTTGCCCAGGCTGGAGTGCAATGGCGTGATCTCAGTTCACCACAACGTCTGCCTCCTGGGTTCAAGCGATTCTCCTGCCTCAGCCTCCCCAGTAGCTGGGATTACAGGCATGCGCCACCATGCCCAGCTAATTTTTGTGTTTTTAGTAGAGATGAGGTTTCTCCACATTGGTCAGGCTGGTCTTGAACTCCTGACCTCAGCCTTGGCCTCCCAAGGTGCTGGGATTACAGGTGCGAGCCACCACACTGGGCTTTTTTTATTTTTTAGAGACAGGATCTTGTTATGTTGCCCAGGCTGGACTGGAACTCCTTGGCTCAAGCAAGGCTCATGTAGCCTCCTGAGTAGCTAGGACTATAGGTGCACACTATTGTGCTGGGCCATATGGTAATTCTACTTTTAATTTTTAAGGAACCACCAAACATTTCCCCAGATGCTGCACCACTTTACACTCCCACCAGCAATGCACAAGGATTCCAGTTTCTCCACGTCCTCACCAAGAGTTGTTATTTTCCTGTTTCTTTGAATAGCAGCCATCATCCTAATGGCTATGGTCTCATTATAGTTTTGATTTGCATTTCCTTGATGGCTAATGATGTTGATTGAACATATTTTTATGTGCTTGTTGGTCATTTGTATAACTTCTTTGGGGAAATGTCTATTTTAGTCTTTTGCCTCCACCCCCTTTTTTTTTTAAGGCAGGGTCTTGCTCTGTCACCCAGGCTGGAGTGCAGTAGTGCCATCTTGGCTCACTGCAACCTTCGCCTTTAGGGTTCAAGTGATCCTCTTACCTCAGCCTCCCAAGTAGCTGGGACTATAGGTGTGCGTCACCATACCTAGCTAATTTTTGTATTTTTAGTAGAGATGGGGTTTTGCCATGTTGGCCAGACTGGTTTTGCCCATTTTTTAATTGGGTTGTTTCTTTCTTTCTTTCTTTTTTTTTTGAGGCGGAGTCTCACTCTATTGCCCAGGCTGAAGTGCAGTGGCACGTTCTTTGCTCACTGCAACCTCCGCCTCCGAGGTTCAAGCAATTTCTGGCTAATTTTTGTATTTTTAGTAGAGACAGGGTTTCACCATGTTGGCCAGGCTGCTCTCTAACTCCTGACCTCAGGTGATCCACCTGCCTTGGCCTCCCAGAGTGCTAGGATTACAGGCATGAGCCACCGCACCCGGCCAAATTGGGTTGTTTCTTTTTGTTGTTGAGTTGTGGGAGTTCTCTATATATTCTGGATATTAATCCCCTTACCAGATATATGATTTGCAAATACTTTCTCCCAATCTGTAGGTTGTCTTTTGTTTTGTTTTGTTTTTTTGAGACAGAGTCTTGCTCTGTCGCCCAGGCTGGAGTGCAGTGGTGTGATCTCGGTTCACTGCAACCTCCGCTTCCTGGGTTCAAGCAATTCTCCTGCCTCAGCATCCTAAGTAACTGGGATTACAGGTGCCCACCACCATGCCTGGGTAATTTTTGTATTTTGAGTAGACAAGTTTTCACCATGTTGGCCAGGCTGGTCTCGAACTCCCAGCCTCAAGTGATCTGCCCACCTTGGCCTCCCAAAATGGTGGGATTACAAGCATGAGCCACCTTGCCCAGCCTCCCATATTGTTTTGAGTACTGTAGCTTTATAGTGAGTTTTTTTTTTTTTTTTTTTGAGACGGAGTCTCGCTCTGTCGCCCAGGCTGGAGTGCAGTGGCGGGATCTCGGCTCACTGCAAGCTCCGCCTCCCGGGTTCACGCCATTCTCCTGCCTCAGCTTCCCAAGTAGCTGGGACTACAGGCGCCCGCCACTACGCCCGGCTAATTTTATAGTGAGTTTTAAAATTAGAAAATGTTAAGCTCTCCAACTTTGCTCCTTTTTCCCAGGATTGTTTTGGCTATTTAGGATTTTTTGAGATTTTAGGATTTTTTCTATTTCTGCAAAAATTGCTGTTGAGATTTTTTTTTTTCTTTTCCATAGTCTCTCTCTGTTGCTCCGACTGGAATGCAGTGGCACAATCAGAGTTCACTGTAGCTTTGAACTCCTGGGCTCAAGTGATCCACCTTAGTCTCCTGAGGTGGTGGACTACAGGTGTGCATCACCATGCCTTGCTAATTGCTGTTGGGATTTTGATAGGAATTACATTGAGTCTGTAGGTTATTTGGGGTAGTATTGTTGTCTTAACCATATTAAGTCTTCCAATCCATGAACATGAGATGTCTTTCTATTTATTTGGGTCTTCTTATTTATTTCAGCAATGTTTTGCAGTATTCTATGTACAAGTCTTTTACCTCCTTGGTAAAATATATTCTCAAGTATTTTACTTTTTTTGATGCTATTGTAAATGAAAAAAAAGTTTAATTTCTTTTTCTGATTGTTCATTGCTAGTGTATGGAAATGCAACTAACTTTTATGAGTTAATCTTGTTTTCTTTTAATTTTTAAAATTTAATTTAAAAAAATTACCATCAGGAAGTCATATGTGTTGATTTTGTGTCCTGCAACTTTACCGAATTCATTTATTAGCTGTTTATTTGTATTTGTGTGTGTGTGTGTGTGTGTGTGTGTAATCTTTAGCAATTTCTTTTTCTTTTTTGGACGGAGTCTCGCTCTTTTGCCAGGCTGGAGTGCAAAGGTGCAATCTCGGCTCTCTGCAACCTCCGCCTCCTGGGTTCAAGCGATTCTTGTGCCTCAGCCTCCCGAGTAGCTGGGACTGCAGGCGCCTGCCATCACACCTGGTTAATTTTTGTATTTTTAGTAGAGATGGGGTTTCACCATGTTGGCCAAGATGGTCTCGATCTCCTGACCTCGTGATCCTCCTGCCTCAGCCCCCGCAAAGTGCTGGGATTACAGACGTGAGCCACCGCACCCGGCCTAGAGTTTTCTACATATCAGATCATGTCATCTGTGAGCAGAGATAATTTTACTTCTTTCTGGCCCAGTGCGGTGGCTCACGCCTGTAATCCCAGCACTTTGGGAGGCCAAGGCAGGCAGATCACGAGGTCAGGAGATCGAGACCACGGTGAAACCCCATCTCTACTAACAATACAGAAAATTAGCCAGGTGTGGTGGCAGGCGCCTGTAGTCCCAGCTACTCGGGAGGCTGAGGCAGGAGAATGGCGTGAACCCGGGAGGCAGAGCTTGCAGTGAGCTGAGATCGCAACACTGTACTCCAGCCTGGGTGACAGAGCGAGACTCTGTCTCAAAAAAAAAAAAAATTTTTTTTTTTTACTTCTTTCTTTCCAATTTGGATGCCTTTAATTTCTTTTTCTTGCCTTATTGCTCTGGCTACAAATTGTTATATTATGTTGAACAGAAGTGGCAAAAGTGGGCATACTTGTCTTGTTTCAGATCTTAGAGAGAAAAGCTTTTATTCCTTCACCATGAAATATGTTAGCTGTGGGTTTTTAAAAATACGGCCTTCATTCTTACTTCCACATTTATTAAATAAGACCTTGAATAAAGTCATGAATATAACTTTTTATTCATAAAACAATTATTTATTGAGTGCCTACTCTGTGCCTAGTATTGTTTTATGCACTGAAGATAAAGCAATGGCTAGACAGACACAGTGCCCATGGGAATGTGTAGAAGGATTTTAAGCAGAAAAATAACATGATCTAATTTACATGTTTTTAAAGCATCCTGGCTGAAATGGGGAGAATAGATTGAAGTGGAAATACTTAATGGGAGAAATCAGTGGTTCATACTTTAGAAGTCTGAGAGAGATGGTAGTTAACTTGGACATGTATGGTAGCAGTGAATGTGGAGAGAGGCAGATGGATTTGAAATCTCTTCTCGAGGTTGAAGCAACATTGTAAGAACTGGATGACAGAGGAGAGGAAGAAGGAGTTAAGGATGATTCTTAGGTTTCTGACATGAGCAAATGGTGGGACAAGTCCCTTAGATAGAGAATATAAGGGGAGAGCAAGTAGTGACAGGAAGATGAGGCTCGGGTTTGGATATGTTGAGTTTGAGATGTGTATGAGATCTCCAACTGCAGATGTCAGGCAGGTAGTGGTAGCACAGGGAAAGTTGCTTCTTAAGATGGGAGAGACTATAGCATGTTAAATGCTGATTGGTAGGATTCACTGGAGAGGGAGAGGTTTAACACAGGAGAAGAGAGGGATAACTCACGGCTTAAGGTTCTAGAGAAGAGGGGTAGGAGTAATCCTTGGAGATATTAGCATTAGATGAGAAGGGCAAAATCTGTGCCTTATTTATCTTTGAATTTGTTGTAGTGGGGAGAGGGGCAAAAAAAGTCTGGCACATGGCTGTCATTAATGAATAATTATCAGGCTGGATGCAGTGGCTCACGTCTGTAATCACAGCACTTTGGGAGGCCGAGGAGTGTGAATCACCTGAGGTCAGGAGTTTGAGGCCAGCCTGGCCAACATGGTGAAACCCCATCTCTACTAAACATACAAAAATTAAATTAGCTTGCCCACGAACACTTGTTATTATATGACTTTTTGATTATAGCAAGTTCAAATACTTTATTTATTTGAGATGGAATCTTGCTCTGTCACCCAGGCTGGAGTGCGGTGGCATGATCTTGGCTCACTGCAACCTTGGCCTCCTGGGTTCAAGAGATTCTCATGCCTCAGCCTCCAGAGTAGCTGGGATTACAGACATGCACCACCACGCCCCACTAATTTTTGTATTTGTATATATTTTTTTGGAGATGGAGTCTCACTCTGTGGCCCAGATTGGAGTGTAGTGGCGGTGGGGGATCTCAGCTCACTGCAACCCCCACCTCCCAAGTTCAAGTGATTCTCCTGCCTCAGCTTCCCAAGTAGCTGAGATTACAGGTGTGCACCACCACATCCGGCCAATTTTTGTATTTTGTATTCACCATGTTGGCCAGGCTGGTCTTGAACTCCTGACCTCAAGTGACCTGCTCACCTCAGCCTCCCAAAGTGCTAGGATTACAGGTGTGAGACACCGCGCCCGACCTAATTTTTGTAATTTTAGTAGCAATGAGGTTTTTCCCTGTTGGCCAGGCTGCTCTCAAACTCCTGCCCTCAGGTGATCCGCTTGCCTTGGCCTCTCAAAGTTTTGGGATTACAGGCGTGAGCCACCGCGCCCAGCCTTATTTTTATTTTGTTTTTTACCTTTCCTATGGTGCTGAAAAAACTTTTAATCTTTATGCTGTATTGCTTCAAATTTATTAAAATTATGGTCAGCCTAATCCATTTTATGGGCCAGAAAATTGTACAGCATGTTTAGAAAAAAAGATTTATGTAATGGTTAATATAAATAAGGTTTTTTCCTTGGAGGGAAATTTCACTTAACAGAAAAAAATCGATTCTAACTAATATCCACCTTCTTCCTCTTCTCCCTGGAATGGATGAGGTTACCATATGTACAGATTATTGTCATTATCAGGCTGAGCATTTACTGGGTGCCAGGATTGTATTAAGTACTGTAGGTAGTTTTCTCAGTTAATCCTCACAATAACCCTGTGCAGTAGACACTCTTAATATTCCCATTTTATAGAAAAGGACAGTGAAGTTTAGATAAAATTACAGCATCCAAGGTCCCAGCTGGTCAATGGCAGAGCTAGATTTGAACTCAGGCAGTTTGGCTCAGGAATCTGCTTACATGTCTGTGTCTACATAAATAGCTCGGCATAGACAAATGATTGCTAAAGAGCATGCTAATAATGAATGCAAATGGAACACATGATTGGCAAGTGAAGGGTAATTATTACTCAACCCTCATTCTGCACAAATCCACAGCATAATGCAGCCTCTGCTGGGAAGTGTAAGAGCAAATAGCTCACGCATATGTGTGAAGTCCAAGTTTAGACTATCTTCCAGGAAAGGTACAATGGCAGGCAGAGGTAGTAACTGCAGGGCCCTAGCTCTGACAAGAGATTACTGTTAACAGCAGAAGCAAACCCGACTGAAACTGTTAAGTCAGCTAGTACAGTAAGTCCTCACTTAACCTTGTTAACAGGTTCTCGAAAACTGTGACTTTAAGCAAAACAACGTATAATGAAACCAATTTTACCATAGGCCAATTGATATGAACTAGAGTTAAGTTTCTACGACATTTCTGGTCACAAAGATGTAACCAAACTTCTAAATAAAGACCCCAAACACTGCTAATATCAAACATTGAAATAAATGTGAGCTATATATACATTTAAGAAAGATTAATAAAAGCAATGAAGAAAATTATGTACCCATTTATTTCAGTTTAGTGTCTCTGTTGTGGGTGGCGGAGCCTGGAACCTATCACAGCAACTTGGTGCAAGGCAAGAAACAGCCCCAGACAGGACGCTATCCCATCACAGGGTACACACTATCCCATCACAGGGTACACACACACACACACACACACACTCTCTCTCTCTCTCGCTCTCTCTCTCTATGTCTCTCTCAGACTGGGACAGTTTAGACATGCTAATTAACATAACGGGCACATCCCAGAGTACCAGAAGAAAACCCACACAGATATGGGGGAAGCATGCAAACTCCACACAGACAGGGGCCCAGGCTGGGAATCTATTTTTTTTCCTTATTAAAATTATCACTTAGCCTGGTGTGGTGGTGTGCACCTGTAGTCCCAGCTACTCGGGAGGCTAAGGCAGGAGAATCGCTTGAATCCAGAAGGCAGAGGTTGCAGTGAGCCAAGATGGCGCCACTGCACCAGCCTGGGCGGCAACAGAGCAAGACGTCATCTCAAAAAAATATTATTTCGGCCAGGCACAGTGGCTCACACCTGTAATCCCAGCACTTTGGGAGGCCCACGCGGCTGGATTACCTGAGGTCAGGAGTTGGAGACCAGCCTGACCAACGTGGTGAAACCCCATCTCTACTAAAAATACAAAAATTAGCCAGGCATGGTGGCACATTCCTGTAATCCCAGCTACTTGGGAGGCTGAGGCAGGAGAATCGCTTGAACTCAGGAGGCGGCGGTTGCAGTGGGCCGAGATCGTGCCATTGCACTCCAGCCTGGGCAACAAGAGTGAAACTCTGTCTCAAAAAAAAAAAAAAAAAAAAAAAAAAAAAAATATATATATATATATATATAATTTCAAAACATTGACCTAAACGATGTCATCAGAAGACCTGCTACCAATGGCCTTCCATTTTAAATCCATGCAGCTTCTGAGAAGGGGCCTCACAGAGCAGCTAATGACCAAATTCTACTTCAACATCTTCATTTTATGGGTGATATAATGAATTATATTTTAAAAAACATTTGGATGAACTTCTGTGTCTAGAAAGAATACGTTTTGGGAAAGTTTACTTATTTACATTTATTTAACAAACCCTCATATAGAGTTTATCATGTATTGTCATTGTTATAAATGTTTTACATATGTTAACTAATTTAATTCCCATTAGAATTCTATGAGGGTACTTCCCCCCTATTTTTTAGATGACGACATTGAGACACAGAGAAGTTGAGTGACTTGTTCAGAGACAAACAGCTGATAAGTGGCAGAGCTAAGATTTGAACCCAGACACTTTGGCTCCAGAGTTTGTGTTCATAGAATTATATTGTATAGTGCACCAAAAAAAGTGCACTATCTTTAAGGAATCTCGTTATATATCCTTTAAAAATATGAGTTATCTTCCCTTCCCCACCAACTCAATAATGCAATCTGTTTTCTGGATTTCCAAGCATCTAGCTTGTTTAATTTTATAATTGCGATGCTTTATTAAAAATGTGGTAAAATATACAAAACATGAAATTTCCCATTTTAGCTTTTTATTTATTTATTTAAGATAAGGAAGGTCTTTTTCTGTCCCCCAGGCTGGAGTACAGTGGCGCCGTCATAGCTTGCTGCATCCTCAAACTCCTTGCCTCAAGCTATCTTTCCAAGTAGCTGGGACTACAGATGTGGGTCACCATGTCCGGCTAATTTTTAAATTTTTTGTAGAGATAGGGTCTTGCTATGTTGACCAGGCTAGCCTTGAACGCCTGGCCTCAAGCAATCCCCCTCATTTGGGCATTTTAACCATTTTTTAAATGGTTCAGTGGCATTAAGCACATGCACATTATTGTGAAACTATAACCACTATCCATCTCCAGAACTCTTTTCATCTTGCAAAAACGGAAGTTCTGTACCCATTAAACAATAACTTCCCGCTCTCCTCCTACTAACCCCTGGCAGCTACCACTCTGCTTCCTATCTCTATTAATTTGACTACTCTAGGTACCTCATATAAATGAAATCATATAATATTTGTCCTTTTGTGTCTGGTTTATTTCACTTAGCATAATGTCTTCAAGGTTTATCATGTTGTAGCATATGTCAGAATTTCCTTCCTTTTTAAGACTGAGTAATATTTCATTATATGTACATACCACATTTTTTTATCCATTCATCTCTTGATGGACTTTTGAATTGTTTCTACTTTTTGGCTATTGTAAATAATGCTGCTAAAAATACGGGTGTACAAATATCTGTTTGAGTCCCTGCTTTCAATTTTTTTGTGAATATATCCAGAAGTGGAACTGCCGGATTATATGACAATTCTACATTTAATTTTAATTGTGATGCTATTTATTTATTTATTTATTTATTTATTTATTTATTTATTGAGACAGAGTCTTGCTCTGTTGCCCAGGCTGGAGTGCAGTGGCACAATCTTGGCTCACTGTAACCTCCGCCTCCTGGGTTCAAGAGATTCTTGTGCCTCAGCCTCCCAAGTAGCTGGGATTACAGGAATGCGCCACCAGGCCAGGCTAATTTTTGTATTTTTAGTAAAGATGGGGTTTCACCATGATGGCCAGGCTGATCTCAAACTCCTGACCTCAGATGATCTGCCCGCCTTGGCCTCCCAAAGTGTTGGGATTACAGGTGTGAGGCATTGTGCCTGGCCCTATTTTTATTTTTATTTTTAAAGACGGGGTCTTGCTCGGTGGCCCAGGCTGGAGTGCCAAAGGTGTAATCATAGGTCACTGCAGCCTTGACCTCCTGGGCTCATGCAGTTCTCCTGCCTCAATCTCCCAAGCAGCTGAGACTACAGGCATGTGCCACTATGCCCAGCTATAACTGTGATGCTTTTTAGCAGTTAAAAATCATAACATTCTCTAAATATTACAAGAAGGGGATAAACTTTTATGAACCCTTTCTGAGAATGGTGCTAAACAAATCCCTTTTCTGGGTGTAAACTCACCTGGTGAGGCAATGGGGAGCCAGACTGTCATGCTGCCGGAGCCAGGGATGCTGCATTCCTCCACTGTGAAAGCGAGGGTCTCCACAGGCAGGCTGAGGCCCTCAGTGGGCCCTGGCTGGGGCCTGACTCTGAGGGATGCCACTGGCCAGACACTGAGTTCTGTTATTAGACCTCTGTCTGCCCACGTAACCTCCTCCCAGGCTGATGAGAAAGCAGGAGGGGAAGGTTTCAGAGAATAAGAAGCACCTTCCTGTAATTATTGATTAACCAGGGGCTGGCTCCAGGGCCAGAGGCCAGGGAGGGGTCTGCAGGTCAGTTCAGCCCTACCCCACTGCACTTCTCAGAATAATCGTTGTCCCTAAAGATGGATTCACATGGTGAATAGAGAATAAAGTGCATAGTTTTAAACTCTCACAGTTGAGAATGGCCCCAACACATCAGCCCAGACCTGGAGGTTGGGGGCAGGGTGGGAATTTAAAAAGACCACTTTGAGTCAGGGTATCTGGGATCTTGACCAGCTCTGTCACCACTGCCTGTGCCATCTTTACCAAGCAACTTCTCTTCTTGAGGCCTAGCTCCTTATCTAAAAAGTGAGGGAGGAGAAGCAATGATGACCAAGTCCCTTTTGGTTTCAAAATAACCTTACATATTTATTCTGTGGGTCTCCTGTAGACTTCTGCTTTAGGCAAACTTTAAGATGCTTCATCGCTTCAGGTGAAAGGTGAGAGAGGACTTGCTTGCTGGGAGTCAGCCTAGGGCTTCCCCCTTTACAGGAGACGGAGGGTCCCTGCAGGAACACCGGTGAAGGAGAGGGTGTCCCACACACCAGGTTCTGCTCTCTGCTCTCCCCTCACAGACTACAGAACACCAAGTGCCTGCTGCCATGGTCTGCAGTGTCTTTGGTCCTGGGTGGGCCGACCGAGCCCTTGCTCAGTGAGAGTCCTGGGCCAGGAGCCAGACCTCACCCTGGAGCTGCCAGTTACTAGTAGTGCAGTTTTGAACAAGCCACTTTACCTCTGTTAGCCTCAGTCTACTCATCTGAAAATTGGGGGCAATGTCTCCCAGCATTCAGGGTTGAGAATTTCAGAGGAGATTGTGTATGTAAAGCAATTTGTAAGCAGCACAGTTATCTGAGAAGTGTTCTGGCTCAGACAACTAAAGTCTTCATTGTTCCTTCTGTTGTCTGGGTGAGGGCAGGTCAGGCTGAATTGTGCAGGTATGCTTTCTTCTCTTTCTTTTTTCTTTTTCTTTTCTTTTTTTTGAGAGGGAGTTTCGTTCTTCTTGCCCAGGCTGGAGTGCAGTGGTGCCATCTCGGTTCACTGCAACCTCCGCCTCCTGGGTTCAAGTGATTCTCCTGCCTCAGCCTCCTGAGTAGCTGGGACTACCGGTACGCACCACCATGCCCGGCTAATTTTTGTATTTTTAGTAGAGATGTGGTTTTACCATGTTGGTCAGGCTGGTCTCGAACTCCTGACCTCATGATCTGCCCACCTTGGCCTCCCAAAGTGCTGGAATTACAGGTGTGAGGCACCACGTCCGGCCTGGCCAGGATTAAATTTTTTCATGTGAACCACAACACTAAAACTTTGTATATTGCTGCGCTTATCTTACAAATCAGGAAATAGGGGTTCAGAGAAGTTAAATAGCTTGCTTAAGTCACACAGCCAGCAAGTGGTAAAGCTGGGATCTGCATGACTACAGAGCACACAGGCTCCCCACCAGTAGATTAGAGAGGGGGAGGTCTGCTTTGGTGCAGAGACAGGTGGGATCTGTGATGCCCGTTCTTGGTTTCAACATTCTTTTAAACTCTCCTATCTGAGCCTAGGACTTTCTGCAGCCTTCCTGTTTTAGGCTGGCAGCTCACAGTCCCTCTCTGGTTATTTTCAGGTCTGTGTGTGCCACAGAGAGGAAGGGGGCAACCACAGTGGGAACCGCTTTCCAGCCCTGCTGCAACCCCTTTTGAAATAGCAGGCGAGAGGGCTGGTGGCCTCCACTGTGCTCTTCTGTTCCTGTCTGTGGGCATGGCTAAAGCAAACAAGCTCACCCACACCAGCTCCCATCGTGCGGTGGATCAGTGCATGTGCTTGGTTCTGTCTGGCACTGCTGATGGGTGGTTCCTACAGAAAGATCCAGATGCACGGGGTCTGAGGACTGTTTCAGAAGCTCTGTCCGTCCATGCCTGGCCCTGTCCACTTGGGAGTTCCATTAGGCCATGCCTGTTCCAGCTGTCCCAGGATCTTTGATCTGGGTTAGGATTGGCCTGAAACCAAAGGTAGAAAAACACATTCTAATGAGCAGTTGCTGGTCTAGAAGCTTCTCAGCCTAAACTTTATTTCAGCATTTTTCTTTCCCTCCAGATTCAGCTATGAGGCCATCCTATCAGCTTTAGGCTCTGTGGGGGTCCTTGAGAGAGTTCCCCTCCAAGGGACGGACAGATGGTCCCCTTCAAGGTCCTTGTGGTTGCTCAAAAGCCAGGTGCTTGTTTCTTTCTTTTTTTCTCTCCTTCCTTTCCTTCCTTCCCCTCTATCCCTCCTTCCCTCCCTCCCTCCCTCCTCCCTTCCTTTTCTTTCTTTCTTTTCTTTTTTTTTTTTTCTTTCCAGACAGGGTCTCACTGTCATCCAGGCTGGAGTAGCAGCCCCCAATCACGGCTCACTGTACCCTGGATCTCCCGGACTCAAGCAATTTTCCCACCTCAGCTTCCCTAGTAGCTGGGACTATAGGTGTGTACCACCACACCCAGCTAATTTTTAAATTTTTTTATAGAAATGGGGGTCTCACTTTGTTACACAGGCTGGTCTAGAATTCCTGGACTGAAGCAATCCACCCACCCGGCTCTCCCAAAGTGTTGGGGTTACAGGCGTGAGCCACTGCCCCTGGTGTTAGTGTCTGTCTGTCAAGTCAGGAGGGCAGCCATGAACGTTCTGATGTCTACTGAGCACGTGTGGCCCAGACCGTGTGTCAGGTGTTTAGGTGCCATCCACAGAACCTTCCTAATAACCCTGGGCAGCATAGGCTTTCTTATCTCTGACAGATGAGGAAATGGAGACTCAGATTCTGAACCGAAGTCACAGACACAGTAGATGGTAGGTCTAAATGGGGACCCAGGTCTATCTGACTGCAAAGTCCAAACCGTTTCCTTGCCTCTGCTGCAGCCTGCGAGGAGCAGCTGGGCAGAAAGACTGTGCCTTTACGGTGGTGAGTCTTCCGATGCCCAAGCCTCACCCCAGACCGATGAAATCAGAATCTCTGGAGACCCGACCCAGACATTGGTGGGTTTTAGGGCTCCTGGCTGATTCCAGTGGGCAACCGGGCTACCAAGCACTGTTTTACCCTAAGGGTAAGAGGAACATCGCCTCCTCGAGGGCTCTCCAGGTGTGCCTTTCACAGCGTAATCCCGTTCACGAAACCAAAAATCAAAACTAGGCCACTGCCCACTGGTGGCTGATACGCCCTTTTCTCATCAACAGAACCGGGAGGAAGGGCTCTGGTGGGGCTGGCGGTCCCCTGTTCTCCCCGCTCAGGTGCGGCGCTGTGGCAGGAAGCCACCCCCTCGGTCGGCCGGTGCGCGGGGCTGTTGCGCCATCCGCTCCGGCTTTCGTAACCGCACCCTGGGACGGCCCAGAGACGCTCCAGCGCGAGTTCCTCAAATGTTTTCCTGCGTTGCCAGGACCGTCCGCCGCTCTGAGTCATGTGCGAGTGGGAAGTCGCACTGACACTGAGCCGGGCCAGAGGGAGAGGAGCCGAGCGCGGCGCGGGGCCGAGGGACTCGCAGTGTGTGTAGAGAGCCGGGCTCCTGCGGATGGGGGCTGCCCCCGGGGCCTGAGCCCGCCTGCCCGCCCACCGCCCCGCCCCGCCCCTGCCACCCCTGCCGCCCGGTTCCCATTAGCCTGTCCGCCTCTGCGGGACCATGGAGTGGTAGCCGAGGAGGAAGCATGCTGGCCGTCGGCTGCGCGCTGCTGGCTGCCCTGCTGGCCGCGCCGGGAGCGGCGCTGGCCCCAAGGCGCTGCCCTGCGCAGGGTAAGGGCTTCGGGCGCACCTGGAGGGCTGGGGCAGCTAGCGGCTGGGGGAAACCGCCTTGGTCACCGCAGTCTGTGGGAGGCTGGAGGGAGGAAAGGAGGTGCGACGGATCCCCTTTTCTGTGGCTGCCTTGAGGCCCCGCGGGTACCTAGCTGTGTGGTCGCGGGTAGTGGCTCTTGCGCCCCCTGCTGCGCTTGCTCCCTTGGTCCGGAGCGCTCCCCGGAATGCCCGGTGAAGCTGTGCGGGAACCCTGCGGTCTGTGTACAGGACTGTGTCCTTGCAAACCTGACTCTCGAGCTTCCTTCCCAGTGCCCCCAGGAGCCTTTACACAACCGCGTCCCAGGTTACTCTAAGGGGAGACTGCCCGAGAGGGCGCGCCCCAGCGGGGTGATGTACCCGCCTGGGGAGTCCTTTGTACCAGCGCCCCTCTTCTCCCTCTGCATTGGGGGTCCACCTCGCCTGGTCCTCCCCCCACCCCCGCGGGTGCATGTGTGGATGACAGTGCCCTGACTATGAAGGGACTGACATCACGGGCGCTGAGTCACGGATCTTCCCGCTGCACGGAGTCACTTTGGCAGCCACCAACTCTGGGAAGCCAAGTGCCCCAGTCCTGGGAATTGAGTCGGGAGGCTGGCAAGGGAGTGAGACCTCCTGGGGCTGGCACGTGCTGGACTCCCCTCTAGAAAAGAGAAGGACCCGTGAGGGAGAGGGCAGAGGCACTTACTGCTCCCGTTGACTGTAATCTGCCCCTGGCAAACCAGGCTTTTCTTGGGCTCTGGCCGCATGCCCAGCTGCGTGTCTAGTCTCTCTTCTGGAAGAGTTGGGCAACTGGCTCTCCAGAGGTTTATTTTAGGGTCCCAGTGCTTCTTTGAGGACACAGCAGAAAACTAAGGGGCAGCTGACAGGCTTCTGGAACAGCTGACAGGCTGGGGAGGCTGAAGGCTAAGACTTTCAACCACTAGATCACACTGAATTCCAGTCCTAGGTGAACACTGATCTCTCCCTTTGAGGAGGTGACTTTCTGCAACTAGAGGCTGAGCTGGAGTGTCTGAGGCTCTCTTTGCTTTTTGGATGGTTGTGGTCCTTATGATTGGAAGAAAAAAAGAAGGGATTCCATTTTCAATACACATTTATAACTCCTGCCAGTAACAGACACTGTTGATTGGGGCACCCATTCAATGTTTTCTAATCCTCCACTGTATCTACATATAACTTTGTTTGAAAGAGGAGACTGAGGTTCAGGGAGGTTGGGATGGCGGGATGGCAGGTTGTCAGGCCCCGGTGATGGAGGCCAACCCCTCCCGTGGCTCTGTGCTCCAGTGTGGTAGATGTCTAAGACTCTCAAATATAGAACTAGATCAGCAGGCAGAGCTGGGGGCATTGGGGCAAGCTGAGAGTCACTCTTGTCTGGCTGAGTGCTGGGACAGAAAAGGCTGAGGGAGGGAAGTGGAGGCCCAGGCTTGCCCATGGTGGTGTTAGAGGGATGCAAGACAGGTTCCAGGGCTCGGATGGCCTCAGGAGCAAGCAGGGCTCCCTTGGCTGCCTCTGCTGCTGTCACGCCAGCCCAAGGCTCCTGCCCCAGGGAGGTTACTGTTACTGCTGTAGTTGCCACCACCTGTTGCTCCTGAGTGGATGCTAGGCCCTTCCAGGGCAGCCAGTTACAGTCAGTTTTCCATTTCCCTGGTGCTCAGGAAGGATTAGGAGAGGTGGTCTCATGGCCTGAACAGCCCATGAAAGGCAGAACTGAGAGACTGGGGAGGAAGTGAAAGTCCTCCCAGCTCAGAAGGAAAATGCAGAGAAGTAGAAATACCCAGCCCCTCTCCCACACCCACACAGACTCAGCCCACAAACTGGAGAGTAAAAATAAAGAAATCGTACAGGAAGCATGGAGCAAATGACTGTGAGATGTTTCGCTTTAGAGAAGTGAGGAGCAGAGGGGGAGCAGAGGCTGGAGTTGGCTGAGAGGGGAAATCCGCAGGTACAGCCTGCGGGGCTCTTAGAGCCCAGAGGTTTGTTTTCCTCGGGATCAGCTGCCGCCCACACACCCTGGAGCTGCCAGGACTTCTCAGGTGTACTCGTTGTCTAAGGGCCTGGACTAGCTGGGACTTAGGCTTCTGCCGGTTCCAACACTCTGGTGCTGGAAGGCTGGACTTGGGTGACTCAAGTTCCCTCTTCCTACTGCAATGCAAGAAAATACACAAAAGAAGTATGTATACCTTTAAGTATCTCAAAGAGCTATCTCAGCTTCTGAATTTCCTTCTAGGGCACCTCTTCCTGCCCCCATTACCCACACACGTGCCTAGCCTCACCCTAAATCAGTATTTCTCAAAAGCTTAGTTCTGAGCCTAGCATCAGATCTGGTGTGTGTGCTGGGTGGGAGGGCTTTGGTAAACATGATGATTTTTGAACCCTAACCCAGATTTATTAAATAAGAACACCTAGGAGTGAGGCCTGGGGCATGTCCTTTTAAACAAACTGCCCCTTGTGATTCTTAGGCACTGTCAGGTTTGAGGACGGCTGCCTAAATGGTGTCATTGAGGAACTGAATGAAGGCCCTCCCGCTTCGGGCTCTCTGTTGCCAGAAATCTCTCCTTGCTTTGGCTTGCTGCTTGTTTATTCATTGCAGCAAACATTTCTTGAGTCGGTGTAGAGCCTGTGAGGCCTGTGTAGGATCAGCTATGCAGACTCCACCCTAAAAGGAGCCTGAAAATGGTCATGGGTAAATCCTGAGAAGGGCTGAGAAACCCCAGACTCTGACCGGGCCACTGGGTACCAACTACCCGTGAACAGATTGTCTGGCTTGGGGTAGGGGGTGGTTAGAGAGAGGAAGTTCCTCTGACTGAGGACCAAGATCCCAAGGCAGCAGGCACACTGATCCTGACCCTGACCCTCATCTCCAGCCCTCAGCAGCCAGGGTAAACAAATACTCCCCTCACTGGGTATTTGTAGATTACACAAAGTAACCTAGGTGCTGACTGCTGAAAATATACACTCCCTTCCCCCGTCTCCTGAATCCTGGTCCCACCAGGCCTGGAAGCCACAGACCCAGCAAGCAAAAGAGTTTCCAGTCAATGAATCTAGTCTGGATTGAAGCTGTGCTCTGTAATACGGTAGCCACTAGCCACGTGTACCTATTTAAATTTAAATTATGCCAGCGCAGTGACTCACGCCTGTAATCCCAGTACTTTGGGAGGCTGAGGCAGGAGGATCTCTTGAGCTCAGGAGTTGGAGACCAGCCTGGGCAACAGGGTGAGATGCCGTCTCTACAAAAAGATTTAAAAAATTAGCTGGGCACAGTGACATGAGCCTGTAGTCCCTGCTACTGAGAAGGCTGAGGTGGGAGAATCACTTGAGTCCAGTCTGCATGGAGCCATGTTTGCACTACCGAATTCCAGTCTGGGCGACAGGAGACCCTGTCTCCAAAAAATTAATTTAAATGAAATCAAATAAAAACTTAGTTTCTTAGTTGCACTAGTCACATTTTAAGTGCTCAACACTCACATTGCTAGTGGCTACTGTACTGAACAGTGCAGATACAGATCTCTTCCATCATCGTGGAAAGCCCTACTGGACGGTGCTGGGCTAGAGTGTTAACCAGTTTCTTCCAGAGGTTTTCTGTTCTCTTTTCCTTTATCCCCCTCTGCCTTCTGCTCTCCTCCACCTGAACACAGCTCATTTTGCATAGGTGATGGCTAAGGTCTTCAAGCCAGGCACATCTCTGCCCTGCACTGCCAAGTAAAAATGATAACACCTTGGGCAAGTGATTTAACTTCTTTGACAGCCAGTGTTCTAGAAAATAGAAATAATTGTATTACCTCGAAGGGTGGTTATGAAGATGAGATGAGCTAAGTAAGGTATTAAATAGAGTGTTTACAGAAGTCCCTAACACACAGCAAGTGCTTAAATAAGTGTAGGTGATCATTCATTCACTCCAAAAATATATTTTTGGAGTGAACACCTCCTACTCTGTTCCAGGCACTATTCTAAGAGCTGGAGATACACCATGAATAAAAGAGACAAAAACCCCAGGCTTAGTTGAGTTTCATTCTAGTGTGGGAGACTATTAACAGGATGTAAATTAAGTATGTGGTATGCTAGCGACTAGTGCTAAGGAGAAAAACTAAAGCCGAGAGGGAGACAGACCCCATGTGTGTTTGTGGCAGGGTGGGGTGGCATGGTGCCTTGGATGGGAGGCCAGGGAATGCCTTGCTGAGAACATAATATTTGAGTGAAGACCTGAAGAAAATATACAAATCTCTAGAGATTCCCTATATGTCCATCTTGGGCAGGAAAATTCTTGCCTCCTCTTTAACAATGTGTACTACCTGAGGGTGTGTTATGTTCTGGAGCAGAGGGCTCTGTGGGGACACATGGATGCTCCCTGCCCTGGAGAAGTATCTCTGGGGTAACAAGTCCTCAGCCCTTTAGCTCCTTGAAGTCTAGCAGAGGGAAGTGCTAAATGCCAGGTCATAACTGCAAGTCTGCAGGTGGGATCCTTGAGGGCTGGAGTGGCAAGGGGAAGGTGACAAAGAAAAGGCCTTTTTTTTTTTTTTAAATACAGGATCTTACTCCCGTAGCCCAGGTTGGAGTGCAGTGGCACAATCACTGCTCACTGCAGCCTCGACTTCCTGGTCTCAGGTGATCCTCCCACCTCAGCTTCCGGAATAGCTGGGACTACAGGCGTGCACCACCACATCTGGCTAATTTTTTGTATTTCTTGTAGAGACAGGATTTCGCCATGTTGCAGGCTGCTCTGGAACACCTAGGCTCAAGCAGTTCACCCGCCTTGGCCTCCCAAAGTGCTGGGATTACAGGCGTGAGCCTTTGTGTCCAGCTGGGAGGTTTTTTTGTGTAGTTAATCTGTGTTCTTTACCCTCTCCTCTTGCCTGGGATCTGAAGAGGTCAAAAGTCCCTGGCAAAGGCAGAGGCTTTTCTGCCACTGGGTTCAGGCTTGACGTTAGCTGGACCTCAGCAGCCTCCCCCACTCCTGCTCATCCCTTGCCAGCTCTGTCGGGTGCTTTCTACTCTTAGGAGTATGTCCCTGAGGCCCTGCATCCAGCCTATTCTCCCCAGCACCTGTTCTCTGAATCAGTTCCCACTCCACTTCCCAACCGCTTTCCCGAAAAGCATCCTTTGGTCTTCCCTCTCTATATGATGGTTACAATAACTGTTACCATTTATGGTGTGTCAACTGTGTGCAAGTAGCTGTGCTAGGCCCTTGGCATCTGTGATCTCATGTAATCTTCAAAACAGCCTCAGGTGAGAGAAGTGCTGGCCCCATTGCATAGATGGTGGGCTGTAGGACAAGATGAGAGGCCAGTTTTGCACATATGGAAACAAATGTCTTTTGTTTTCGTTTTTGTTTTGAGACAGAGTCTCTGTCTCCCAGGCTGGAGTGCAGTGGTGCAATCTTGGCTCACTGCAACCTCTGCCTCCCGGGTTCAAGCGATTCTCCTGCCTCTGCCTCCAGAGTAGCTGGCATTACGGGTGCACACCACCACACCTGGCTAATTTTTGTATTTTTAGTAGAGATGGGGTTTCACCAGGTTGCCAGTCTGGTCTCGAACTCCTGACCTCAAGTGATCTGCCTGCCTCGGCCTCCCAAAGTGCTATAGGATTGCAGGCATGAGCCACCGCGCCTGGCCGCAACGAGACAATCAAGAGAAGATGCTGATAAGGAGTTGGATATGGGAGTCAGGAATTTGGGAATGAGGACTGAGCTTGAGATGTAAATGTGGGAGTCGTGTGCTGGCAGATATTATTTCAAGCCCTGAGAGTGGCTGAGGTCCCCCACATCTATTCATATGCCTTTGGTCAGTGGAATGTTTTGCAATCCACATCACTATAAATGAATTTCCTCTGTCTCTGAGAGAGGCCGCTGAGGTAGCAGAGAGAAAACAGCTTTGAGGGCAGGCAGTCCAGGCCTGTCTCCCCATTAACTGCTTCACCAGCTAGGGGACCTTTGGGCAAGTCACTACAAGCTTTAAAGTATAAAATACTTTTTGAGGCCGGATGTGGTGTATCATGTCTGTCATCCCAGTGCTTTAGGAGGCCAAGGCAGGAGGATCACTTGAGCCCAGGAGTTCGAGGCTGCAGTGAACCGTGACAGCAACACTGCACTCCAACCTGGGTGACAAAGCAAGACCCTGTCTCAACAACAACAACAACAAAAGTATAAAATACTGTAACAGACAAAAATGCATGCTTGATAAATGTTATTGATCCTAAGAGCCTTTTTTTTTTTTTTTTTTGAGATGGAGTCTTGCTCTGTCGCCCAGGCTGGAGTGCAGTGGCGCGATCTCAGCTCACTGCAACATCCGCCTCCCAGGTTCACGCAGTTCTCCTGCCTCAGCCTCCCGAGTAGCTGGGACTACAGGCATCCGCCACGACGCCTGGCTAATTTTTTGTATTTTTAGTAGAGACGGGGTTTCACTGTGTCAGCCAGGAGAGTCTTGATCTCCTGACCTTGTGATCTGCCCACCTCGTCCTCTCAAAGTGCTGGGATTACAGGTGTGAGCCACCGTGCCCGGTGAGCCTTTTTTTTTTGTTTTTGTTTTGAGACAGAGTCTCACTGTGTTGCCCAGGCTGGAGTGCAGTGGCACAATCTCAGCTCACTGCAACCTCTGCCTCCCAGGTTCAAGCAATTCTCCTGCCTCAGCCTCCTGGCCTCAGCTGGGATTACTGGTGCCTGCCACCACACCCGGCTAATTTTTTTGTATTTTTAGTAGAGACGGGGTTTCACCATGTTGGCCAGGCTGGTCTCGAACTCCTGACCTCAGGTGATCCACCCACCTTGGCCTCCCAAAGTGCTGGGATTACAGACGTGAGCTACCGCGCCCGGCCTTTAAAAGCCTATTTTGATGGGAGGAGGGGGATGCTATAATGTGAGGACTTTCTCCCAGAAAAGGAGAGAGAGGCACTAATGCAGTGGGGATAATAATTAAAATCGCTTAACATTTTTTTTGAAAGATTAGGTATGTTCTGAAAATAGTGCTGAGGTTTTTGCATTAATTATCTAATGTAATCCTGACAACATTTGAAGTACCTATGGTTATTATTTCTATTTTATGGATGAGAAAAGTGAGGCCTAGAGAGGTTGAGAAACAAGCCCAAAGTCACACAGCTAGTGAGTGACTGAGATAGGGTTGGAACTTGGGTATATCTGAATCCTGGGCTTGACCTGTAGACCCCTGCTCCTGTGGACTAGGAAATTTAAACAAAGAACTTCCTCTTTTTTTTTTTTTTTGTATTTCATTATATGGATGTACTGAGTTTATTTATCTGGTTCCCCCCCTTTTTTTTTTTGAGACAGAGTCTTGCTCTGTCGCTCAGACTTGAGTGCAGTGGCACGATGTTGGCTCACTGCAACCTCTGCCTCCCGGGTTCAAGCAATTCTCCTGCCTCAGCCTCCCGAGTAGCTGGGATTACAGGCATGCACCACCAAGCCAGGCTAATTTTTGTATTTTTAGTAGAGATGGGGTTTCACCATGTTGGCCAGGCTGGTCTCAAACTCCTGACCTCGTGATCCACCCACCTTGGCCTCCCAAAGTGCTGGGATTACAGGCATGGGCCACTGTGTCCGGCCACCCGGTTACCTTTTGATGGATGTTTAGTTGTTCCCTTCTTGCTCTTACGGCCCCTGCTGTGGGGAATAACTTTGCATATGCCTCTTGTTGTGTGAGTGCAAGTACACCTGCAGGATATATTCCCCGAAGGGGAATTGATGGGCAAAGGCCATGAGATTTGTCATCGTGAGACAGAATAGAAGTTGCACCAATTTATACTTCCAGCAGCATTGTGAGAATGCTTGTGTCCCTATGCCCTTGCCAAAAGTGTACTATTAACCTGGTATCTACACAGACAATGGCGTCTGTGTGGAATTAATTTGCATTTATCTTATCTGAATAAGATTGTATGGGTTTTTTAATGTATAACTGACATTTGCATAATCTACTATGACCTGCCTGTTCATATTCAATGCTAATTTTATTTTGATTGGGTCATTAATCTTATTGTTTACAGGAGCTCTTGACATATTAACATGTCATACATGACTTTTTTTTTTTTTTTTTTGGTGGTGGGGGTGGTTTTTGCCAAGAAATTTCTTTTTTTCCATCTCTCTCTCTCTCTCTCTTTCTTTCTCAGGGTCTCACGGTGTCACCCAGGCTGGAGTGCAGTGACATGCTCATGGCTCACTGCAGCCTCAATTTCCTGGGACTCAAGCGATCCTCCTGTCTCAGACTTCTGAGTATGAGGCTCAGACTCAAAAGATTGGGGCTTTTACAGGTGCACACCACCACACTTGACTAGCCTTTGTATTTTTTGTAGAGACGGGATTTTGCCATGTTGCTCAGACTGGTCTCAAACTCTGGGTTCAAGCGATCCTCCCTCCTTGGCCTCCCAAAGTGCTGGGATTACAGGTGTGAGCCACTGCGCCTGGCTGCAAATTTTTTTTTCCAACTAGTTGAATTTACCAGTCTCTTTTATAGCTTCTAGGTTTTGTGTCATACTTAATAACATCCTTCCCATTCCAATATTTTATTTTTATTTATTTTTTGAGAGAATGTCAATCCACCTTTATTGGAGGAAACCTTGCACTGTAACTGTTTTAAATAATGTGTGCCCTGCCCCACCCTGTGCCTGGTGGGCTCAGAAGATCATCTCCAGCTGCCGGGCATACTCGGTGACCTGTTTGGCCAGTTCTGTGGAGGGAATGGTAGTGTCTTCTGGCTCCTGCTGCTGGCCGGCAAAACTATATTAGTTGTTGGGGCCCGGGACCCACCCTCACTTCTTGGTGTAGTCGGTCATCTTTTTGGGTGTGTTGAAGAAGAGGATCTGGTGGCCTCGGTAAAAGGGATTTTCTCATAGGCTTTCTTGATGCACCCGGCCATCTCATCCCTGATAGTGTCAAGCAGGATGTCGATGAAGACGGTGTAGCTCTTGGCGAGGATGTTACCCTTGGCCAGGAACACTTTGTTGTAGCTGCCCTCCATTAGGTATTGCTCCAGGGACACAGGGTTTTTGGTGTAGACATTGGTCTGGATGTCCTTGGCAGGCAGCCACTCCAGCTCCATGTGGAACTCAGCCACCCGCTTCTGGGACAGCAGGAAGAGGAGATTGAGGCCCAAGAGCTGGTGCATGTAGGCTGACTGGGGAAGCTGTTCCTTGTAATCAAAGTAGCAGCATTTGAGCTGGGTCATGTGGCGCTGGAAGGAGGGGATGTCCTCGCATAGGATGCTCCACTGGCCCCGATCTTCAGTATGTCACGGGCCAGAATGAGCTGCTGTTTGGTCAGCTTGGTCCCTGTGGTTGGCAAGAAGTTGAGCTCCAGAAGAACTAGCTTGAGGCAGCCCAGCTCTTCCCTGCACTTGCTAAGATTGGGGCTTTTACGGTTCCACTCGCCCTTGAGTTGCTTGTACTTGCCGTCCTCAGCCTGCAGGACAGGGCCCTAGGTCGCCAGGGGCCCGGAGCTCAAGGCGCCGGCTGCACTGTTCACCTCCACCCCCATTCCAATATTTTAAAAGATTCTCCTTTTCTGGTATTGTTAAAAGTTTTAAAAGTTTAAATATTTGATCCATTTTGAATTTATTAATATTATGGATGAGGTATGAAGTCTGACTCCAGCTTTTTCTTTCCAGTTGTCACCTGACATCTCTTTACAGTTTATTGAATTCATCTTTCCCCCACCAATTTTCAAAGTTACATTTTAAATCTACCAAATTCCTGTATACTTGGGTTTATACGCCTCTTGGCATAGCGAGTAGTTAAAAGCACAAATTCTGAGGCCCAATTGTCTGGACTTGAATGCAGGTCACCCCTAATTAGCTATATAACCTCAGTCTCTTCTTCTGTCAAATAGACTATTGAGAAGATCAAGTTAGTTAATCTATGTAGCACACTTAGAAACTGCCTGTATGTGTAGCAAGCACTTAGACTAAGTTATTTTTTTAATGTGGTAAAAACACATAATATAAAATGTATCAGCCGGGTGCAGTGGCTCACACCTGTAATCCCAGCACTTTGGGAGGCCGAGGCAGGTGGATCATTTGAGGTCAGGAGTTTGAAACCAGCATGACCAACATGGTGAAACCCCATCTCTACTAAAAATACAAAAAGTAGCCAGCTGTGGTGACAGGCACCTGTAATCCCAGCTACTCCGGAGGCTGAGGCAAGAGGGGAGGCAGAGGTTGCAGTGAGCCACGATTGTGCCACTGCACTCCAGCCTGGGCGACAAGAGTAAGACTCCATCTCAAAAAAAAATAAAATAAAATAACCATTTTAAAGTATACAGATCAGTAGTGCAGACTAAACTATTTTTTATTTTTATTAGTTCTGAACTTTCTAGTCTCTTCCATAATTTGGTCTCCCTATTCATGTGCCAGTATCGCACTGTTTTAATTATGTAGTTTTATTTTTTCCTTCCTATTTTTTTAGAGGAAGGGTCTCACTCTGTTGCCAAGGCTGGAGTGCAGTGTCTTGATCATAGCTCACTGCAACCTTGAACTCCTGGACTCACGCAATCCTCTTGCCTTGGCTTTCTGAGTAGCCAGGACCACAGGTGCATGACACCATGACTGGCTAATTTAAAAAAAAATTTTTTTTTTTTTTTTTGTAGAGATGGAGTTTTGCTATGTTGCCTAGGCTGGTCTTGAGCTCCTGGTCTCAAGAGATCCTCCCGCCTCAGCCTCCCAAAGTGTTGGCATTACAGGCATGAGCCACTGCACCTGGCCAAGTAAACTTTAGAGATTAATTAGGGAACACTGATGTATTTTTAATGCCGAGTCTTCCTATCTCTTGGTAGGCCTGATGGGGCTTATGATGAGGGAGGAGGAGCTGGGGCAGGAGAGCCCGACATTCAGGTCTCACTGAGGGGAGATGTGCCCAGGACACTTCCACTGGAACTGCTTCCTTGATGGTGATGTGGAGTGAGCTGGACCAGTGTGTGCGTGCATGTGTCTACCCAAGCTCATGGCACATGGGGGAGCGGAGGGGGTGGGGATGGCTCAGCAGTGATTGGAATGCAAGAGTGGGGACTTTGGGGCCTGTATGAAAAAGTGTTATGGCAGAGTGACACACCTACGAAAGAGTGTGGTCAGCATAGGCCTCACACTGGGTGGGTTTTTACAAACTGAACACATGCATGGAACCACCATTCAGAATAAGAACTGAACAGAAGCATCCTCAGGGGAGCCCTGAAATCCCCCTATGCACACCCCTCAAACCTCCCCTTATCCCTCCCAGCTGCTCCATCCACACCTCCACGTGACTTCTTAAATCTTCAGCTTTGCTGCCTCATAGCTAAGGGGGTCAGGGAGGGGAAGCTGGGGGGTCTGTAGATATGGAATGGGGGTGCGTACATCAGGTCCCTCCCTCTCCCTGCCCTCCTGCCACCTTCCAGAAGCACATAAAAAAAATCTGACTGAGGGCCAGCCTCTTTGTTATACTCTGAGACTGTGCTCAGAGATAGAAGACAAGACCCCTAGGCCATGCTTCTGGGAAGGCAGAGGGCTGCGTGTTAAGCCTGGACCGAGAGTCCCAGAGCCCAGCTCCGGTCCTGACACCATGCACTGCTGTGTGACTTCTGGGCCCTGGTTCTCCTCATCCACCAAAATGAGCAGGTTGGCCTGAGTCGTCCTTAAGAGTCCTGTATAGCCTTAAAACAGCGCTCCTTATCTCAGCACCCTACACACTGGCTGTAGCTTCTCCTCACTGTCCCTTTCAGGACCAAAATACTGGGTGTATCCATCTGCAGGTACCAATGGCTTTCTTCTAAGGCCCTGCTGCGTCCTGCTTTTAATCTCTTTATTTCTCTATCTGCTCCTGGGGTTAGGTTTGGGCCAGGGAGTGGATTGTTTGCCCTCCTTAGATATCCTTTCTTTTTTTGAGACAGGGTTGCCCAGGGTGGAGTGCAGTGGTGCGATCTCGGCTCACTGCAAACTCCATCTCCGGGGTTCAAGTGATTCTCCTACCTCAGCCTCCCGAGTAGCTGGGATTACAGGCATGCACCACTATGCCCAGCTAATTTTTTTTTTTTTTTTTTTTTGAGATGGAGTTTCACTCTTGTTGCCCAGGCTGGAGTGCAGTGGCATGATCTCAGCTCACTGCAACCTTCCGGTTTCAAGCGATTCTCCTGCCTCAGCCTCCCAAGTAGCTGGGATTACAGGCACCCGCCACCATACCCGGCTAATTTTTGTATTTTTAGTAGAGACAGGATTTCACCATGTTGGCCAAGCTGATCTCAAACTCCTGACCTTGTGATCCGACCTTCTCTGTCTCCCAAAGTGCTGGGATTACAGGCGTGAGCCACTTCACCCGGCCTAATTTTTGTATTTTTTGGTATGGATGGGGTTTCACCATTTTGGCTAGGCTGGTCTTGAACTCCTGATCTCAGGTGATCCGCCAGCCTCAGCCTCCCAAAGTGCTGAGATTACAGGCGTGAGCTGCCGCACATGGCCTTAGATATCTTTTCCTCTAATTAGTTTATAATCTCTGAGAGTTGACCCAGGTTGTACCTTCTTGGACTGGAGCCAGGTGGTTATCTCTGATGCTGCCAGAGGAGGATTAGATGTTTTATCTCCTGAGTTGGTCACACGCGCACGTGGGTCTCTGAGTCAGCATTGAGCATTACCTGTTTATGGGTCCAAAGGAGCCTCCCTCCCAGACCCTCTCTCCAGCAGTGTACAGTCCATCGTGTGGATGGGAGGAAGGCAAGGCCAAGGTAAATACTGACTCAGACAAATACAAGCAGGTACAAGAAGTACAAATACATATGTGGGGGAGGAGGGAGCAGGGGCCTGCCAGCCAAAGCTAGTCATCTGAGAAGAGGGGGTTGCGGACAGGTGGGGCTGGGAGCTGAGTCAGAGAAGGTTGCTGGGCCTCCCATTAGAGCCTGGGAGCCTTGACTTGCCGTAGCCTGCGGCCTTGCCTCTTCCTGGACAGTGGCCGAGGGTGCCCTCTGAAATGTTAAGGAGAAATGAATGGGCCCAGATGGTGGGGTGACTTGGGGAGGACGCGAGATTTGGAGTCCAAGGGGAGGCAGTTTTAGGCTCTAACTCATCCTATACACGCTGCGGCTGTGGGGGAAGGGAGAGAAAGGCCAAGGGCACGACTCCTGGCTCCTGAGAGTCCCCAGTGCCCCATTAGGTTGGCAGCTGCAGTGATGGCGCTGACCCCCCCTTGTGCACACCCCTCAAGCCTCAGCATTCCCTTCCCTGGGCCTCTGAAGGGTGGAAAGATGTGAGAAGAGCAGGGAAGAGGAGAGGAAATTGGGAGAGGGGGAGAGAGAGGGTGGTGGGGAGCCCAGAGAAGGGAGCTGGGGGTGGAGCATGGAGAGGTACCTGGGCCAAGTAGAGAGAGGCTTTGGCCAGGCTCATCTGGGTCCAGCGTGGATTCCCTCATGCATGAGCTGTGTGAATTTGGGCAAGTTCCCTAACTTCTCTGATCTCTTGTTGCCTCAACAATGAAATGGGGACAAGACTTCCTCCCTGGCAGACTTTTTGTGAGTAGTGTGCTCTTAGGGAAAGCCCAGGGCGCAGGGTAAGTGTCCCAGTTGCTAATGATTGTTATGGTTATTATCACATCAAAGCCAGGAGCCAGTCTCAGTCCAAAGATGGAGAATGCAAGAACAGGTGACCAAGAGCACTGGGACTTGTCCTAGCCCTCGTGGGACCAAATTCTATACTTGTTTCCATGTGGACACAAGGTGTCCACAGGCTTCTCCTGGAGGCTTCTCAGCACCCACCTACTTTTAGATCAAGACCATTATTGCTGACAGGGGACCTTTGTTTCCTCTGTAGCCCCTTCTGAAATCCTATGCCTTTGCAACCCAAGAAGCTGGGTTAGGCTGGGGGCCTCCTGTGCTGCCAGCTGGCCTGGGCAGCGGGGACCTGCGTCTCTGCTCAGAAACTGGGGTGGTGAGATGGGATTAGCAGGCACGAGCCAAGCCTGTGTCCTCGGTGGCAGGCCAGGCAGCTGGTTCACCGCTTACATAAACGGGGCCAGGAAGCTGAACTTGTTTTTGCTGGCAAGAGCTGCGGCAAGCTGCAAGAGAGTTGAGAAATATGTGTCTCCGTGTGCGTGTTTTTCTCTGGTTATTGACATTTGCAAGTTTACTTGAAGAGGGGGAAAAAGTAGAAAAACAACAAAGCTGTTTGGATTCCTGGCACCCAAACTTAGGTCCCAACTGGGGAGGAACCCCACTTTCCCAGAGCTGTGCTGCAGGGTCCCCAGACCAAAGGGTGTCTGGGCCATGGTGGGGGTCCCAGTGTCCCTGGGAGGGGGAATCCTAGGCCACCGGGGCAGGGAGATATGGGCTTGCTTGTTGGGAGTTACTAGGACCTAAACTCTCTTTCCCTTGAGGAATGGGAGGCAAGGGAGGTTGTGGGAATTTTCCCTCCCCTAGAGCTCTCCAGGGAGAAAGAAGCATTTTTCTGAGGGCACTGGGATGATCTGGTCATCATCCTTCTCCCAAAGCCATCAACTATTAAATAATAAATCCATAGATTCATTATGTGTTTTCAAGCTGAGTATTGTTTGCTTCCTGCCCTCTGAGAGCTAATGATTGGGCGCCATGGGATGCTAGACCGCAGGAGTGGGGGCCTGTGGGGGATCTACAGGTCACAGTCTGAATCCTCATTTCACAGAGAAGGCCAGTGGGCTCTGCCAGGGGCGGTGACGTGCCCATGGCTGCCTGTGAGTCATCACAAGACCAGGAATAGAACTCAGGTCACCTGACAGCACAGAGCTGTTTCCTCTACACCAAGGGGCCTCCTGCTTGTGGAGATGTACTTTATTTTATTTTATTTATTTATTTATTTATTTATTTATTTTCAAGAAGGAGTCTCGCCCAGGCTGGAGTGCAGTGGTGCAATCTCAGCTCACTGCAGCCTTCGACTCACTGCAGCCTCTGCCTCCCGGATTCAAGCGATTCTCATGCCTCAGCCTCCTGAGTAGCTGGGATTACAGGCACACACCACCAAGCCTGGCTAATTTTTGTATTTTTAATAGAGACAGGGTTTCACCATGTTGGCCAGGCTGGTCTCGAACTCCTGACCTCAAGTGATCCACCCGTCTCAGCCTCCCAAAGTGCTGAGATTACAGGCGTGAGCCACTGCACCCTACTGAGATGTACTTTATATTAAAGAACAAATCAAGGCAGACTGTACGTTTGTGTCAGCCCAACCCCACACAATTAATAGTCAGTGATTAAACTGACCAGACCAGACCAGACACCAACACTGACTGTTGAGGAGGAGCTTGGGGGTTTGTTTTCGGGAGGCAATACTGCCTCCTTTTGTGATCTTAGTCCCAGGTGAGGTGCTTCCTTGTCCTCTCTGCAGAATCCCATTCTTTCTTAGCCTGGGCTGAAGCTGCTCCCTCCCTGTATGTGACCCTGGCCTTGGCGCAGTCCTTGGGTGCTCTTCCTCCCTCCTGCCTCTGCGCTGCTTCATGATGCACAGGAGCCAAGGAGGGGCAGGGGACAGTCGGTTTTTTCTCAGGGAGATTGGAAGAGAACAGAAACAAGAAGCAATGGAATGCTCCTGTCCTGGAGGTTGGTGGGGCAGTGGGGAGAGGTGGGGAAGCCATTGAGCCTGCACATACTTTTGACAGGCTTGGCTCATGCCTGCCAACCCCATCCCACCGCCTGGGTTTCTGAGCAGGGACATGGGTCCCCACTGCCCAGGCCAGCTGGCAGCACAGGATGGCCTCCAACCTAACCCAGGCTCTTGGGTTGCAAAGGCATAGCATTTCAGAAGGGGCCACAGAGGAACCAAAAGTCCCCCTGCCTGTGGAGTCAGGCCTGATCTCTTTGAGGGTGCTCACACCCTCCATGTTCCCCTGTAGGTCTTCCTTCCCTCCTTACTGCATTTCAGATACTCCAGACACCAGCCCTCCCCAGAACTCTCACTGTTTTTTGTTTTTTTGAGACACAGTCTTGCTCTGGGTCCCAGGCTGGAGTGCAGTGGCACAATCACAGCTCACTTCAGACTTGACCTCCTGGGCTCAAGTGATCCTTCTGCCACAGCCTCCCAGATAGCTGGGACCGCAGACATGTGTCACCATGCCCAGCTAATTTTAGAGTTTTTTGGTAGAGATGGAGTTTTGCCGTGTTGCCCAGGCTGGTCTCAGCCACCTGGGCACAAACGATCCTCCCATCTCAGCCTCCCAATGTGCTGGGATGACAGGCGTAAGCCACGATGCCTGGTGACTCTCAATTCTTTTTTTTTTAATTATTATTATTATTATTTTGGAGATAGAGTTTCACTTTTGTGGCCCAGGCTGGAGTGCAATGGTGCAATCTCAGTTCACTGCAATCTCTGCCTCCTGGGTTCAAGTGATTCTCCTGCCTCAGCCTCCTGAGTAGCTGGGATTACAGGTGTGTGCCACCACGCCCGGCTAATTTTGTATTTTTAGTATGGGGTTTCTCCATGTTGGTCAGGCTGCTCTCAAACTCCCGACCTCAGGTGATCTGCCCGCCTCGGCCTCCCACAGTGCTGGGATTACAGGCGTGAGCCACGGCGCCTGGTGACTCAGTTCTTAATGCCTTGCATATACTGTTCTCTCTTTATGGAATGTAACTCCCTGTGGCTCCACTTATCAAACCCCCACTCATTTATCAAGGCCCCAATAAAATCTCTCTTCCCCCTTTAGAATAATTGATCCCTCTTCTTAGTTCCCTCAGTATGTTGGAGACATTTATATCAGGTTGGCCTGTATTACAGATAGTTTTAAGTTCTAGGGCTTTGTGGGGTTTAAAGAAGATTACGATATGGAAATGATAGGAAGGAGTGCCAGTGCATTGTAGATGCTCAGTAGCTTCAATATGGAGTTTTTTTTTTCCTGGATTAGGAACTTCTGAACTTGCACATCATGGGTGCACAAAAATTATTGAATTCTTGAAGAAGGGACAGGCATAGGCTTGCAATCCTGGCTCTGAATGCTGAGCAATTGCTCACGGACAAATGCTCCGTTGATTGTGTGCTCTTTGCTAAATTTCAGTGTGTGCACCAGCCACGCCTTCGCCCCCGCGTGCCCCGTCTCCTAGGGCCTACTATGCAAGGCCTGTGTCAGGCCGGGGTGGGAGCATGAGAATGACTGGGCATATCTCCCAGGACCAGGAAGGACTGCTCTCAGGAGCCCCCTCCTCACCTGGTTCCTCATCGTGTCTCTTCCTTTTGGCCCTTCTCTTTGGTAGGGCCTACTTAGGGAGGGCCCCAGCAGATTCCCAGGGAACAGAAAAACAGACAGATGGGAGGAATCAAGGCTGAGCCCAGGGATGGTGTCTTGTGTCCACCAGGGAATCAGGCCTACAGGGGAGGGCTGGGCTATGGGTGCAGAATTCAGTGACAGTGACAGTGAGAGAACTCAGCAGTGCAAGGGCAAAGTGGCACTGTTTGGCCTGAAGGTGCTCGGAAGCTGCTTGTATTGAAAAATCCACCCTCATCCCCCGACATCCCTCAGTGCCCACTGCGCTCTGCCGTGCCCTCTCCCTCCTTCCTAGAAATCCTAACTCACACAGACCCAGGCTATGTAGCTTGTTTAATTAAATATATATATATATATATATATATGTATTCATTATAAGAGCAATATAGGCAACTTATAGAAAATTCAAAAACTACAGAAAGACACAGGGAAGAGAAAGAAATCACCTCTAACACCATCATTTGGAGAGGAGGGCAGAGGTAGGGAGAGGACACTTCTATGAATGTTACTTGTTCTGAGAGTCACCCATGAGGCTTCCCCACTGCCACCCAGCTGTCAGGGGTACTGAGTCAGAGATTTGGGTCAGGAGGCAGAGGGCTGAGTGGGTGGGAGGGAAGGGGCGGTGCTGCCCACTCTGACTTTAGCAAGTATGTTTTCTTATAGTCTTTATGAGTATTTCTTTGATCATTCTGCATACAGTGCTTTTAAAAGCGTAGTTAACACAGTGTTGTTCGCAGGTTCTAGAGGAAATATATTTTGAAGCAGGGCTGTGACAGGCAATACTTGCCAATGGGTGGTTTATAATTAATCATTCCCTGTTTTAAAAAATAGTGACTCAGTTTTAAAGATTCAGAAAGCCATTACTCAAGTTCCTTGGCAGAGGAAGTGGCCATTATGTTGCTCCCTGCAGCTCTGCTTTTGTGGAAGAGGGAAAAAAAAGTATTTTTATTTGGTATTTCTCTGAGCTGCTCAGATACTTTGGCCATTGTTAGTGAGTGCAGGAGCAGAACAGCCCCTGCTATTGTTCAGGCTGGCCGCTAAACATGGCAAGAGCTTCCCGCTGAACTGGGGTAGGGGAAATGACCAGAAAGACATTTACTGGATTTGGCAAAGGCAGAAGCAGAAAAGAGAGCTTCCTCTGGCTCCAGGAGTCTATTTCTTGCCTCAGCGGGCTCCTCTGCCCCCCAGCCTGGGGCCTGCCCATCACACAACACGAGAGGGCACCACTTAGACCCCTTCACCTGCAAACCGTGCGCCTGGGAGTTTTTGGTGCCGAGACCCTGTCCCTGTGGGCACCCCTAACATGCCCTATATTCAACAAACATGCATGAAGCACCTACTAAGTTCTCTGATGAGTGACGACCAGGAGCTTCCAGTGTTGTCACCATGGTCGGGGAAGGGACCTTTATATAGTTGAGGACTGTGCCATGTGAAAAGTGCCAGTGATTGGATGAGCTGCAGTGGTCCTTGACCCCTACCTTAGACCTTCATGCATCCTGCACTTGTGTCTGTTGCATGCCATGTGAATTCTGATTTCTGCTAATCAGCGAATCAGCTGAGGAAGGGATATTGCAAGCATTGCACTGGGAGCAGTTCTCTTTGGGCACTGTTTCCATCTTTGCTCCTGCAAGTTTGTCATTTGTGCAGGAACTTGAAATCCGTGTTAGGTTTTATCTTGACAGCTGCTTTATCCAGTGGAAAATGGAAAAGTGGAAATATTGATGCACTGATTAGAAGTGTCGTTGCATCTTCCATACGTAACCGCATTCAGGCACTGATGGACTTCAAGATGTGGGCTGGATGTGGTAAACTGCTGCCTCCATCAGGTGCTCATTGGAGTTCAACGCACTGGACCGTGTGTTCAGTTGTGATGTAGCAGGACAAGCCACAGACAAAACCCCTCAGACACCGAGTTAAAGAAGGAAGGGCTTCATTCGGCTGGGAGCTTCAGCAAGACTCATGCCTCCAACAACCGAGCTCCCCGAGTGAGCAATTCCTGTCCCTTTTAAGGGCTCACAACTCCAAAGGGGTCCGCATGAGAGGGTTGTGATTGATTGAGCAAGCAGGGGGTACGTGACTGGGGGCTGCATGCACCGGTAATTAGAATGGAATAGAACAGGACAGGGATTTTCACAGTGCTTTTCTATGCAATGTCTATAATCTATAGATAACATAACCGATTAGGTCAGGGGTTGATCTTTAACTATCAGGCCCAGGGTGTGGCGCCGGGCTGTCTGCTTGTGGATTTCATTTCTGCCTTTTAGTTTTTACTACTTCTTTCTTTGGAGGCAGAAATTGGGCATAAGACAATATGAGGGGTGGTCTCCTCCCTTAGTGAAGGAAAAGGACACAGGTCACACACGCCAACACCAGCAGTTTCATTCTTAGGGAAGTTCTTGGGCAAGTGCACTGAGTCATGAGAAAGTTGATAGCCACCCTCTTTGATATGGCAAAACAATGGGAATGACCGCAAACCTCCCTCAGTGAGAGAATGATAGGGTCACACAACGAAATATTACATAGCAGTGAGACTGAACGAACTACGTGTCAGTGAATCAGAGAAACATATAAATGAGGCCGGGCCAGGTTGTCATCCCTCTAATCCCAACATTTTGGAGGCCCAGGTAGGAGGATTGCTTGAGGCCAAGAGTTTGAGACCAGCCTGGGCAATATAGTGAAACCTCATCTCTCAAAAAAAAAAATATACAGCCAGTCATGGTAGCATGTACCTGTAGTCTCAGCTACTTGGGAAGCTGCGGTGGGAGGATCAGTTGAGCCCAGGAATTAGAAGTTGCAGTGAACCATGATTGTGCCACTGTACTTCAGCCTGAGTGACAGAGTGAGACCCTGTCCCAAGAAAAAGAAAAAAAAAAAAAGCAGCCGGGCACAGAGCCTCATGCCTGTAATCTCAGCACTTTGGGAGGCTAAGGCAGGAGGATGGCTTGAGGCCGGGAGTTGAAGACCAGCCTGGGCAATATATTGAGAACTTGTCTCTAGTAAAAATTAAAAAATTAGCCGGGCATGGTGGTGTGCACCTCCCAGTTACTCAGGAGGCTAAGGTGGGAGGATCGCTTGAGCCCAGGAGTTTGAGGTTGCAAAAAGCTATGATTGTGCCACTGCACTCCAGCCTGGGCAGCAGACTGAGACCCTGTATCAGACACACACACACACACACACACACACACACACATATACACACAAAGGAAGTTCGAGAAAAGCACCAGACTGAGACCCTGTATCAGACACACACACACACACACACACACACACACACATATATACACACAAAGGAAGTTCGAGAAAAGCACCAGCTGGGCGTGGTGGCTCACGCCTGTAATCCCAGCACTTTGGGAGGCCGAGGCGGGTGGATCACCTGAGGTCAGGAGTTCAAGACCAGCCTGACTAATATGGTGAAACCCCATCTCTACTAAAAATACAAAAAAAGGAAAAAATTAGCCGGGCATGGTGGTGTGTGCCTGTAGTCCCAACTACTCGGGAGGCTGAGACAGGAGAATTGCTTGAACCCAGGAGGTTGAGGATGCAGTGAGCCGAGATCGCGCCATTGCACTCCAGCCTGGGTGATAGAGCGAGATTCTGTCTCAAAAAAAAAAAAAAAGAAAGAAAAGAGAAAAGCATATCACAGCAGAAGACTATATTCAAACCATTTATATGAAGCTCAAAAATGAAGCAAAGTTAAGAAAAATGTAGGGATGTATGGGTAGTGAAAGTTAGGTTGGTGGGCTTTCCTGGGTATTTTATGCTTCATAAATTAACTTTTATGTATGTAGCTTTTACATACATTATATATATGAATTTGCATGTATTCAGTATTATGTAATACATTAAAAACAATGTTCGCAATGCTAAAAATATATTGTTGAAGATTCTGTGTGAAAGCTATACTGTAGTTGTGGCTTTTTATAACCCTTTCAAGCCCTCTGGGCAGTAGCAGTCCACCCCTTATTGCCCTCAGTGGACTTCACCTTCTAGGGACTCAGAATTTTTTTTTTTTTTTTGAGACGGAGCTTCGCTCTTTTTGCCCAGGCTGGAGTGCAGTGGCGTGATCTCGGCTCACTGCAAGCTCCGCCTCCCTGGTTCAAGCAATTCTCCTGCCTCAGCCTCCCAAGTAGCTGGGATTACAGGAGCCTGCCACCACGCCCAGCAAATTTTTTGTATTTTTAGTAGAGACAGGGTTTCACCATGTTGGCCAGGATGGTCTCGATCTCTTGACTTGTGATCCGTCTCGCCTCGGCCTCCCAAAGTGCTGGGATTACAGGTGTGAGGCCCAGCTGGGACTCAGATTTTGCTGAGGACCAGGACAGTACTGTGTGCTGTGTCCTGGCCTTGCAGCAGTGAATGTGTCTCCCGTTTCTCAAGGGCAGGTCTCTGGGATGCCTGACTGTGTCTTCCTTGCCAGTGCCTGGCTGCTGCAGCCTCCTCAAATGTTTATCAAACACAGGACTTGCCCACCGTGGGAGAAAGTAAGGCCATAGGTGTCTCAGGAACCTGCCCAAACTCGCCTGGCTGCACGGTGACAATTCAACCAGCTTTCTTACCCAAGGTCTGTTGGTGACCAGAGAAAACCTTAGATGACCGGCTGCCATGATGGCCTTATATCTGTCCCTTTTCTGCCAGCCTTGAGGTAGAGGGTGCCAGGGAGGAGGACTCTGGCTCTAGGTGTTAAAGTGAGAGGGAAGTGTGAAGGGTATCTGTATAGCTAGACAGGGCTCAATGCCAGGCAGAGCTGTCTCCGCCCCTTTGATGTCTATGTCTCTGTCCCTGGACTGTGGCCAGTAGCCAGTGTGGACTCCAACCTCACCAGCTTTAGGGGTGTTATCTGCCTGGGAGTCACTGATCCTTACTCCCTCCTCTGACAGCCACCTTGGATGGGGTGAAAGGAAGGACAGCCTGCCAAGTATGAGATAAAAACGCCTCATAAACAAGAAGGGATTTGCAGGCCAGGCAGAGAGCCTTGTGCTGCTTCTGAGTCCCAGGAGCATGGGCGAGGAGGTGAGGTCAGGCACTCAGCAGCTGCTGGTCCTCTCTGAAATCTTTGGCCAGATTTATTGCTACTGCTTGCTAATAAATGGTTATGCATTTGGTTCAAAGGACCAAGTGTGCTTACATGAAAACTGGCTGTGTTCCCTGGCCTCTGTTTCCTTAGCTGGTTGGACTAATTTGATTGGTTAATAAATGAGTCCAAGGTGGTTGGGCTAATTTTTATCTTAGATTCTATGACTCTATAACTGCTACTCAAAAAAAGTGTACTTGTTCCTTTAATCTTTAATCTTATTTTTCTTGAGTAGTAGAATACACCCAATTTTTTTCAAGGGGTAGAGAATGCATTTTTTTTTTAACCTTCCAGTTTGGTCCCTAGAGTAAACACAGCATTGCTGTAGTAGATGTAGGGTACTGGAGGGAGCATGGAACAGGGAACCAGAAGCCCTGGTTCCTACCCCAGCTGGGCATCTGGGCCAGTCTCTTGATTCCTCTGTGCCTCAGTTACCAACTATATAACGGGCATTCTGCCATGAATACCCTGCGATTTGGAAACCTCCTGTGTACGTGTGCACTTGGGTGCCTGGCATTCATTCCTAATGGCATCCATTCGTTCACACATTCATCCAGTACTCAGCAGACTCCTGCCATGGGCCAGGCAACGTCCCGGGCACTTGGAATATAATGGAGAACAAAGCAGGGTGCCTACTTCTGTGGTGCTTGGAGTCTTGAGGGGAAGAGAGACACGGAATTCGTAATTACATGGCAGCGTGTGGGTGACGTATTGCAGAATGAGGGCCTAGTGGAGCTGGGGGACCGGAAACGATGTTTAGGCCGAGACCTGGAATAGGAGGAGTTGTCGTGGGGATGATGTAGGAAGAACGAGTGTGAGGAGGAGAGCGAGGGGAGTTGAGGGGAGGGCTCCACACCTTCTAAGGAGTGGGGAGAGATGAGGCCTCCAAGGACAGAAGGGCCCTGCAGGCCACGCTGAGGAGCTTGGACTTCATCTTGTGGATGGTGGCAGGCCCTTGAAGGGTTTTCTAATCCAGGGAGTGGGGTGGCTGGATCATGGCTTCAGAAGGCTCTCCCAGGCAGCTGGATGGTGAAGACCAGGTTGGGGAGGTCACCAGGAGAATGCTGCCCTAATCCAGGCAGAGGTGACGGTAGCCTGGGCCACTTCATCATTATCACTGAGGCCTCTCGTGGCTTCCTCAGACCAGAACGAAGCCCCCTTCTTCAGTGGCTGTGGGCTCACCAAGTGTCTTCTCCCTCCTCCAGAGGTGGCGAGAGGCGTGCTGACCAGTCTGCCAGGAGACAGCGTGACTCTGACCTGCCCGGGGGTAGAGCCGGAAGACAATGCCACTGTTCACTGGGTGCTCAGGAAGCCGGCTGCAGGCTCCCACCCCAGCAGATGGGCTGGCATGGGAAGGAGGCTGCTGCTGAGGTCGGTGCAGCTCCACGACTCTGGAAACTATTCATGCTACCGGGCCGGCCGCCCAGCTGGGACTGTGCACTTGCTGGTGGATGGTGAGTTGTGCCTCAGAGGTCCCGGAGATAGTTCCCGTAAGAAATGAGGCTTTGTGCATTCCAGACAGTCCCTGTCTGAGCCTTCAAACTCCCACCATTTCCTTGGCGCAAGAATTTTGGGGAAGGCCCACCAATGTCTGCCATCCAGATGCTGGCAAAGACTGCTGCTGGGTGGGAGTGGGAGCGTCTGACTGGTGGGGAACATTGGCTTTGGGAGTTAGGACTTTTGGTGAACTGGTGAATAGCCTGGGGCCCGGAGTCAGGCAGCCTGGGTTTGAATCCTGCTCCCTCACATACAGCTTAACTTCTCCACCCTTCAGTTTCATCTTTGGCAAAATAAGGTTAATTTTATTACCTTACCTTAGAGTTGTTGCAAAGGGGGTGTATGTGAATTTGCGTATGTGTGTGTGTGTATATCACACACATATGCTGCTAAAAAGTCTGCATAGCCCATCCTAAGCTCTCAAATTAGCTATTCTTATTTTTTTAGAATTAGCAAGTTCTTAGCTCCCTCATACCTAGATAAAGACTTCCTGGAACCAGTGCCCTGTGTGTCGAGCCCTATGCCAAGGCACTTTCTTCCTTGTATCTCTTGTAATCCTTCAGCAGCCTTGTCAGGGAAAGCAGGCTTATCATCATTTCCATCATCATTACATTATCATCAGTTTATTTTATACATGAGGAAACTGAAGAGCAGCTAGGACTTGCCCAAGGCCGCACAGCCAGGTCTGTGTGACTCCAAAGCCCTTTTTTTCGATCATCCTCTCTCCCCTTCAGACAAGTTGGTCCTGAGGTTCTTCCCTTCCCCTGTCCCGGATCCGTGTCTCAGACTGAAAGGAGGACTTTGGTGTCCTTTAATTTCCCAGCTGCGATTCCATTCATGTGTGGCTGAGTGTGGCCAGGGTCCTGACTAGCTCCAGGGCTGGGGCCGAGGGGCCCAGCCACGTGCTCCCCTCAAGGGAGGCTGCCCTGTCTGCGAGGTCAGTGCGCCCCAGGATCCCCGCCCGCCTGCTGACACCTGCAATGCTTTCCTTTCAGTTCCCCCCGAGGAGCCCCAGCTCTCCTGCTTCCGGAAGAGCCCCCTCAGCAATGTTGTTTGTGAGTGGGGTCCTCGGAGCACCCCATCCCTGACGACAAAGGCTGTGCTCTTGGTGAGGAAGTTGTAAGTATCTTGGGCTGAGCTATGTGCATGTTGGCTCCCTCCTTCCCGAGGCCCCCCAGAGAGGGGCTGGTTCAGGTGATTTCAAAACATTATCATTAGGAATTAATTCCTTCAGGCTGAGGAAGAGGAGATGAGAGGGAACTGAGATTTACATTTGACTGCCCCCCCTGAGCTAGGCACTGTGCTTGTGCTTGGAACCTTGTCCTATTCACTTGACCTTGGTTATCACAACAGCTATGGGAAGTGGGCTTTATTTTTCTCACTTAACAGATGGAGAGACTGAGGCCCAGAGACTGATTAACAGGTTTGGTTCACTTAGCTAGTAAGTGGCTCTGCTGGGAATTCAATCCCAGTCTGTCTGATTTCATTCAAAGTCCGAAGATTATGGGCGTTGCTCTGAAAAACATGCAAATATCCCTGGGAGGGGGTGTAGCACAGCCAGACCATTATCAGTGTCTGGGCCCTTGTGGGCGTATCAGGCTATTTCCATGATAAAGACACGAGAGAGAAAGCGGTGATGGGCGGGGGAGAGGGAGCTTGGGGCCGTGGGGGGAGAAGTCACGCCTGCCTGGGGGCTCTGCATCATCACCGGAAGACGGCTTAACGTGGGAAGACCTGGGATGGGTTCAGGCATGGATGTAGAGGAGGTGGAAGATGCTGAAAACAAATCTGCCTCTGCAGTTTTGCTGGTCTCCATCCCAGAGCCACAGTCTCCCTTAGTCCAGAGGTTTACAATTGAGTTTGAGCTGTCAGTCATCAGAATATAGGGCAAGGAGGTCGCATTCCAAGACCCCTAGTGGATGCCTGAAATCGCAAATGGTGCTGAACCCTATATATAGTATGTTTTTCTATAGATATGTACTTATGATAGTTTAATTTATAAATTAGGTGCAGTAAGAGGTTAGCAATAACTAAAAATAGCATAGAACAGTGATAACAATATACTGTAATAACAGTTATGTGAATGTGGTCTCTCTGTTTCTCAAAATGTCTTATTACTGTACTCACCCTTCTTGTGATGATATGAGGTTGTGAAATGCCTGCATGATGGGATGAAGTGAGGTGAATGATGTAGGCATTGTGACTCAGTGTTAGGCTACTAGGGCTTTCTGACCATGTGTTAGAAGGAGGATCAGCTGTTTTGGGTGACTCTGGGTCACCGAGCCATGATGATGGCGGTGGATGTCAGGACGAGTGATGGGTAGCATGCACAGCGCAGGAATGCTGAACAAAGTGATGATTCATGTCCTGGGCGGGACGGTGTGAAATCTCGTCACACTTCTCAGAACAGTGGGCACTTTAAAATTTCTGAAGTGATTATTTATGGAATTTCCCATTTAATATTTTTGGACCGCAGTTGACCACAGGTAGCCGAAATCTTGGAAAGCAAAACCTCAGATAAGGCAGGACTACTGTATCAGAAAGCCAGAGCAGTGACTTCAATAGGGTGGTTCAGCTCCCACTTGGGTCTGTTTCCATAGAGTTACTGGGCTGCCTGGCAGTCATGTTTTTGTTCTGTCCTCTATGATGAAAAGTGCGGATTACCATCTGTGAATGATGCAGCTGCCATTAGCACTGTCAGCTCATGCCCCAAGCCTGGATAGCTTCACAGCCCAGCAAAGGATACACCTTGTTTGTACCTCAAAGGCTTGTACCATAGATAGGATTAGCCAGGATAGAGACTGTGGCTGGCAGCTTCCCAGGCCAGCCTGTGGAAAGCTCTGTCATTTCTGACACTTCAACTGAAATACTTTTTTTTTTTTTTTTTTGAGATGGAGTTTCGCTCTGTCGCCCAGGCTGGAGTGCAGTGGTGGGATCTCGGCTCACTGCAATCTCCGCCTCCCGGGCTCAAGCGATTCTCCTGCCTCAGCCTCCTGAGTAGCTGGGATTACAGGCGCACACCACCACGCCTGGCTAATCTTTGTATTTTTAGTAGAGATGAGGTTTCACCATGTTAGCGGGGCTGGTCTCGAACTTCTGACCTAGGGTGATCCGCCTGTCTCGGCCTCCCAAAGTGCTGGGATTACAGGCGTGAGCCACCGCGCCCGGCTTGACTGGAATACTTTCCATGTTGACAGCGGGAGTGGGAGAGAGTACAGTGCTTGTCCTCCCGAGCAGCCTCGTGCCTTTGCTTCCATCTGCTTTGAAGAGTCAGCATGACCACTGGGCGCCTTTGAAGTGAGGAAAGAGCAGGGGAAGTGGCTTCGAGAGCCTCAGGGGCCCCAGCCCCCACTGAGGCCCCACCCAGACCTCAGGCCACTGCAGGGCCTGGAAGAGACAGGCCCCTGGAAAGGGATTACTGGGAGCTCTGCTTTTTCTCTTGTGTGTCTGCTTTCACACCCTTGCCCAACTGCAGCACTGCTCCCTCCTTCTTCCACAGGCAGGGGTGAGCTCAGCCTCTGCCTTGGACCAGGCGCAGTGCTGGGGCAGTGGGAGGAAGCGGGCCAACAAGACTGAGCCCCGGCCCTCTGACCCCACCTGGGCACACACGTAAAGCAGTCGGTGACCCTGCCTTCGTGGCTGGGTGGAAGCCTGGGTGGTGTTGGGGGAAGGAGGAAAGGGGCTTTAACTCAGCCTGGAAAGGTTGGGTTTGTCCCATGTGCTGGATTCAGCAGGAGCCCAGGGTTCGAACCCAAGTCAGAGGTGGCAGACTCGTCACCCCAGCTGGAGGGTGAGTGGTTGACGTGGCCTCACATGCCCACATGTGTCATAAGAGGGTGAAGCCTCAGGTTTCCAGGCCAGGTGGGATGGTGGCTGACTCACCTCGAATGTCTTCAGTTACCCAGAATTCTTTTCTGGACTCACCTGCCAGAACCCCTCTAGCACTTTTTGTGTCTCTGGAGTGGCATTTCTGCTGGGTGTCTAGTCATCTGAGGACAGATCTTTTTTGTTAGTGCCTTGAAGGCAGGGTGGGGCCTCTCTTGATTCATTTCTATATCCCCTACAGTGCCAAGAGCACAGGCCCAGCGGGAGACCAGAGCTGGCCAGCCGACCATTGCCTGAGTGACTAGCTGAGCCCTCCAGCCTAGCTCCCCTCACCCCTCGTGCCAGGCGCTAGGCTACATGTTTATATATATTTGTAAATCCAGCTAGTTTCCTCATCTCTAGATTTTACATTTATTGCTCAATTTTTTTTTTTTGAGATGGAGTCTCTGTCGCCCAGGCTGGAGTGCAGTCTCTGTCACTGCAACATCTGCCTCCTGGGTTCAAGTGATTCTTCTGCTTCAGCCTCCTGAGTAACTGGGACTACAGGCATGCGCCACCACGCCAGGCTAATTTTTTATTTTATTTTTTGTATTTTTAGTAGAGACAGGGTTTCACCATATTGGCTAGGCTGGTCTCGAACTCCTGACCTCATGATCTGCCTGCGTTGCCCTCCCAAAGTGCTAGAATTACAGGCGTGAGCCACCGCGCCCGGCCTTATTTCTCAGTCTTAACAGAACCAGCCACGTGTGATTGTTCATGCCTGTAATCCCAGCACTTTGGGAGGCTGAGGCGGGCAGATCACCTGAGGTCAGCAGTTCGAGACCAGCCTGGGCAACATGGTGAAACCCCATCTCTATTAAAAATACAAAAATTTGCTGGGCACGCTCAGGAGGCTGAGGCAGGAGAATCTCTTGAACCTGGGAGGGAGGCGGAGGTTGCAGTGAGCCGAGACTGCGCCACTGCACTCCAGCCTGGGTGACACAGTGAGACTCTATCACAAAAACAAAACAAAACAAAAACTTAACCCCTACTAGGTAAGTAGTATTAATATTCCTATTTTCAAATGAGAAAAGGAGACTTAGAGGCACAGGGCTTATAAGTCTGGAGCTGGGATTCAAACCCCGGGATTCCACTTCCCCCTTCTGTCCCGTCTTGAGTCTGTGCGAAACTGACAGGCAAGCCCTGCCCTTGTTTTGTGTCTAACAGTCAGAACAGTCCGGCCGAAGACTTCCAGGAGCCGTGCCAGTATTCCCAGGAGTCCCAGAAGTTCTCCTG